>NT_187663.1:0-1423190 GCF_000001405.40 Homo sapiens | reverse complement strand
ACCCCACCCATCCATCCACTCACCCACCCATTCATCCATCCATCTACTCCCCAAGCCACCCATACATCCATTAAGCCACCCACCCATACATCCGCCCACCTGTTGAGCACCTATAATAAGCCAGATTTGGTGTAGGGTACTGGAATCCAGAGAGGTGGAAGCCATGGTTCTTACCTTCCAATTGTTTTCCAGTGAGAGTGACAGCATCAATCAGGATACAAGTACCTGGAAGCCCTACCTGAAATAAGAAGGAAAATTTATTTCACATAAGAAGGCCAGAGGTAGGGAACCTCTGGATTGGTCAATTCAGGGGCCCAAAGGCATCATTGAAAATTCAGATTTTTTCTGTTTTTCTGCTTGACCCTCCCTCCAAGTGCCTGCCAGTTCAGCTCATGGTGCCAAGGGGCTACCACACATCTGGGGACTGCAGACAATTCCTGTAATAACTGAAGTATAAGAGGAACAGTTTCTTCTTGCATTTTTTTTTTTTTTGAGACAGAGTCACACTCTTGTTGCCCACGCTGGAGTGCAATAGTGCAATCTTGGCTCACTGCAACCTCCACCTCCCGGGTTCAAGCGATTCCCCTGCCTTAGCCTCCCAAGTAGCTGGGATTACAGGCATGCACCACCATACCTGGATAATTTTGTATTTTTAGTAGAGATGGGGTTTCACCATGGTGGCCAGTCTGGTCTTGAACTCCTGGCCTCAAGTGATCCGCCTGCCTTGGCCTCCCAAAGTGCTGGGGTTACAGGCATGAGCCACCACACCTGGCCCCTTCTTGAATCCTTTTTCGAGAAAGGAGACCTTTCTGCAGTCCCAGGCAGAACTTCCCTTCAACTGTCATTGGCTAGCACTGCATCTATGTGCAAATTAGTCTCTGAAAAGGAAAAAGGAATAACCACACCTGGCTTAGGTGAGTCATGATTTATCCCTTAGCTGAAGATGGCGATCCCTTCCCCAGGGGAGAACGGGTATCTGATCAAAACCAGGGCTCTCTCTATCAGGAAGAAGGGGAAACTGACCACAGGGTTGGCTACTCACGGTATCTGTGGGCAACCAGGTGAAAGATCTAAATGTTTTGTGTTTCTTCCTCACCCCAGAAGCAGCATGATAAACTCATTCCTGGCTTTCTCAGCAACCCCCACCCAAGCCCCCACTCTGCCTGTTTGTTTTTCCCCCTGGACTGACTGCTTGGCCACAAACTGCTCCTTGTTTGTTGTTAAAACTTGGCCGAGTGAAAACTTCCTGCCATAGCATTTTGTCTCTCTCTCTGTCTCTATCTTACACACACACACACACACACACACACACGCACTGTTCCCTTATCGAGATTTCAAATGAATTACTCTGAATATCTCATCTTATGGGGAAAGTAAGTTTCAGCACATTGCACCCTCCGCATCACAGACATTCCTCATCTATTTCTGACAAGGTTAGCACAAGTAGGGATCTATGAGCCTCCATTTCTTCACAATCAATTTACAGCTGAAGACTGGGCTTGATCTAAAGCACGGGAAAAATAACACCTAAACTCATGTGCACCACCCGGACTTCCCAGAAGGAAGATGCTTCAGGAGGGCAGCATCTAGGGAGGAGGAAGGAGGCTGCTCACCTCATTGGGTCAACACCAGGCACCAGAAGGAATCCCAGTGGTAAAGATCTTGCGGCCCAGTGCCGTGGCTCATACCTGTAATCCCAGCACTTTGGGAGGCCAAGGTGGGTGGATCACCTGAGGTCAGGAGTTTAAGACCAGCCTGGCCAACATGGCAAAACCCTGTCTCTACTAAAAATACAAAAATTAGCTGGGCACAGTGGCGGGCGCCTGTAATCCCAACTACTCGGTAGGCTGAGGCAGGGAGAATCACTGAAACCTGGGAGATGGAGGTTGCAGTGAGCCGAGATTGCGCCATTGCGCTCCAGCCTGGGTGACAGAGTGAGACTCTGTCTCAAAAAAAAAAAAAAAAAAAAATTCTTGCTCCATTTAGCCCAGAGACAGTACAAGGCAGCTGACATTGTGGGGGAAACCAAAGGATTTGTTGCAGGTGACTCAATTGCCTTAAGCATGAAGAGATATCAGACTAGACCTATTGCTTGGGATTCTGATGTTCTCTTCAGCTTCTTTCCCATTAGAAGGCTGGAGAACTTTCCTATGCCACCTACTACACTGAATACAAAAATCAAGTCCCTCACGCAGACCTGCTTGCTCTATGTAACAGGGCCCTGGCTCCCTCATGTGTCTTAGCTTGTGTCACTCTCCCTGGCTGCCCCAGCTCCAGCTGCATTGGCTCTCTTGCTGTTCTTTAAACGTGCTGGGCTGGGCGTGGTGGCTCATGCCGTAATCCCAGCACTTTGGGAGGCTGAGGCAGGCGGATCACCTGAGGTCGGGAGTTAAAGACCGGCCTGGCCAACATGGTGAAACACCGTCTCTATTAAAAATAGAAAAATTAGCCGGGCATGATGGTGCAAGTCTGTAATCCCAGCTACTTGGGAGGCTGAGACAGGAGAATCACTTGAACCCAGGAGGCAGAGGTTGCAGTGAGCTGAGATCGCACCACTGCACTTCAGCCTGGGCGACAGAGTGAGACTCCATCTAAAAAAATAATAATAATAAAATAAAAATAAATAAATAAATAAATGTGCTGGGCTTATTTTCACTTCAGTTCCCTCTACCTCAAACATCTTCCTCCTATCTTAGCTCAGAAACCAGTTTTTCAGATAAATCTTCTTTTAATGCCTATGTAGGGCAGTCCTTCCCCCTTTATCTGATTAATTTCCATTGCATTACAGCTGATTGGGAAAGACATTGCTTTTCGTTTATTTATTTCTTATCCACCTCCCCTCCCCACTAGAATGTAAGCCTCTGAGCACCAGATCCTGGCTGTCTTGATCCCCACTTTGTTTTATGGCCCAGAGCACAGAGCTTGGCTTGTAGATGGTGTTCAGTAATGAATAAGTTAATGGTATCTCCAGGCCAAACCACCTTTCTGGGATGACATGGAAAGAAAAAAAACACATACAACTGCTGCCAAAGTGCCTAATAAAGATTAGCTAGTATTATAGTCTCCCCACCCTACCTTGTACTGTACTGCTGAACACAGTGCAGTGAGTTGAATGCGAGAAGCGGGTATACACTCTTTCCTAAATGCTGCTCCTTCTCCAAACTCTTCACCATCCTCATCCTTTAAGGGTGATTGTACTTCCAGGGGGCTCAAGAAATAGAAAGGGCCAGGCACCGTGGCTTACGCCTGCAATCCCAGCACTTTGGGAGGCCAAGGCGGGTGCATCACCTGAGGTCAAGAGTTGGAAACCAGCCTGGCCAACATGGTGAAACCTCATCTCTACTAAAAATACAAAATTAGCTGGGTGTGGTGACACACACCTCTAGTCCCAGCTACTAGGGAGGCTGAGACAGGAGAATCTCTTGAACCCGGGAGGCAGAGGCTGCAGTGAGCCAAGATCATGCGACTCCACTCCAGCCTGGGCAACAGAGCGAGATTCCATCTCAAAAAAATATATATATACATATATATATGTGTGTATATATATATATATGTGTGTGTGTGTGTGTGTATATATATATATATATATATATATATATATATATGTATATGTATATATATAGAAAAGGATGGGAGGAGGTGGTGAAATTGTACTCCTGTTGAATTCCTACTACATCTAACAGTACCGATGCCTGTGCACTCCCTGTACCCCAGGCACTGTGCTGTGTGGATAAGATACAGATCCTTGTGCCCATTCTACAGATGAGGACTCTGAGACTCACGGGGGTTGAGTGACTTGTCCAAGGTCCCTGAACTAGAGGGGAATGAGCTGAGGTTGTACCCCTATAGTTTGACTGAAGAGTCTGTGCCCTTAACTACCCCCACTATATATCTCCTTAATTCCAGGTGGGGTCACTGTAAGAATGAAATACAACAGCAATCAACCTGCTTAACACAATCTCCTAGCATATTCTAAATAACAGTTCTATGGGGATACAATTCACATAAAGTTCACCCTATTAAAATATACAATTCAGTGGGTTGTATATACTCAGTGTATATTCACAGAGTTGTGCAACCATCACCAGTAATTCCAGAGCATTTTTCATTACCTCCTCCCAAAACCCATACCTACTAGCAATCACTCCCATTCCCTCCTCCCCTTAGTCCTAGGCAACCACTAATCTGTTTTCTGTGTCTATGGATTTTTCTATTCTGGACATTTCATATAAATGGAATCATACAATATGTAGTGTTTTGTGTCTGGCTTCTTTCACTTAGCATTATGTTCTCGAGGCTCATTTACGTTGTCTGTGTGTCAATGTCAGTACTTTGTTTTTGTTTGTTGGTTTGTTTGTTTGTTTGTTTTGAGACAGGGTCTCGCTCTGTCACCCCGGCTGGAGTGCAGTGGCATCATATTGGCTCACTGCAACCTCTGCCCCGCTGGGCTCAAGCCATCCTCCCACCTCAGCCTCCTAAGTATCTGGGACCACAGGCACATGACACCATACCTGGCTATTATTATTATTATTATTTTGTATTTTTAGTAGAGGCAGGGTTTTCGCCACACTGGCCAGGCTGGTCTCCAACTCCTAAGCTCAAGTGATCCGCCAGCCTCAGCCTCCCATAGTGCTGCGATTATGAGTGTGAGCCACTGCACCCAGCCGTGTGTCAGTACTTCATTCCTTTTTATGGTCAAATAATATTCCATTGTATGGATATACCACAATTTGTTTATCCATTCACCAGTGGATGGACATTTGGGTTGTTTCCACCTTTTCCTTATTATGAATAATGCTGCTATGAACATTCACATGGAAGTCCTTGCATGGACATTTGTTTGAATTCCCTTGGGTAAATACCTAGGAATGCAATTGCTGGGTCATATGGTAACGCTATGTTTAACATTTTGAGGAACTGCCAGACCGTTTTCCAGAGAAGTTACACCAATTTACATTCCTACCAGCAATGGACGAATGTTTCAATGTATGAGGGAGGCTAGGTGCTGTTATTATGACTGGTTATTATTACTGTTGAAATATGCAATTGTCTGACTCTCTGTTGAATCTGGCTACATTAGGCAAGGATTCCACTGGAAACTCGAGGATTCCCAAGGCAAGAATCACCATTTTCTGTTCAGGTGTCGTTCCTCATCCTCTGCTTCCTATCTTTCCTCCTGGCCCTAGTCTCTAATGCTCCTCCATTCCCAAGTTGAGTTTCCTTCTCCAGGTCTTACTTGTGCCCTCCTCACATACAGTGTCAGTCCAGAGATGAGGCCAGGTCTCATAAGAAGAGGCCATGGCCAGGGTGGGCAGAGAACAGCTGAGCAGCCCTCTTCCTGGGACAACCTTGAACTTGGCAATGGAAACCCTTGGGGTAGCAGGCCAAGGCATCCCATGGGAATTATTTTACATGTACAACATTTATTTGTTGATACTGCTAAGATTTCAGTTGTTAACAGTTTGGAACTTTTTCTGTGCATGTTTTTGAGGCTCTGAGGCCATCTATTTGTTGGCTGGGGGAGGGTGGGAGGTGGAAAGAGAAAAGTTCTTTCCCACATTTTCCTTGGGGTATCTCAGCAAGGTCACGGTAGTGCCTAACGCTGAAAAATGTGGAGAAAGGTTGGCCTTTGGGTGAATGGGATGGAGGGGATGCAATTAGGATGGGCCAGGCCCCGTGATCCATCCCCAGTAATGCTCTGCTCTGTCTCCGGAACATTCATACAACCTCCTCCAGGACACCCTTTGGCCTACTTCCCAGTGTATTTTCTGGAAAAAGAGGAGACCACATTAGAGGCCATGTACCCCCTCCCTCCTTGAGCAGTCCTCACCTGGGTCCTGGGTGTGCAGGACCCACCCACATGACACCTCTTGTTTCCTCTTTGGAAAGTTCACAGCCAGAACCCAGGACCCAGGTAGGAGAGAAGCAAGGGGTTCAGGAGTCTCCATGATATTTTGCTATGGAGCAGAGTCAATAAAGAAAGGTAGCCAGCGTGGTGGCTCACACCTGCAATCCCAGCACTTGGGGAAGCTGGGGTAGGAGGATTGCTTGAGCCCTGGAATTCGAGACCAGCCTAGGCAACATGACGGTGAGACCCCATCTCTACAAAAATAAAAAATAAAAAACAAAAAATAAAATAAAAAAAGGTACACCCAGAGCCTGCACAAGAAAAGCCATTCACCAAGCACCATCACCCCAGGAAGCTTCTCAATCCAGTGTGAGTCCAAGGATGGACTCCACATCAGTGACTCTATGGCCCCCAATACTGGCTCATGGTAACCTAGAGTTCTAGTTTATGGCAGCTCTGGGTGGACTCCTCCAGGGTTCTAGGTCCTATGTCCTGTGGTCCAAGTGGTTCCAGATGTCAACAACCCCAGGGGAAGGTGACCTTGGCTAATGGTAGCCTCGGATTCTAGGCATCAGTGGTCCTGCTAATGACTATTGGAGACAGTGGCCCTAGACTTTGGTAGCCCTGGGAAATCTGGGTGCTGGTGATCCTGGGCATTACTGATGGAGGCTCCACAGTTCCAGGTGCTGGCCGCCTTCTGGAACTAGGTCTCAAGCCTGTAGGCATTGGCCGCAGCTGGTCAGAAACAAAGGAAGAGGAGCCAAGCCAGAGTCTGCCTGGTGCTGCTGAGCTGCTGCTCAAGCGTTCTTGGTACTCGAGCGGTCGCAGCAGATTCTTTCTCTTCTGAAGTTCCTCTCTTTCTGTTTATCTAGCGACCTCCTCCAGGGGCACACCCATTAGCTTGTGGGTCTTCTGTAGTCCCCTCAGGAACGTGGGAGAGTCACAGTCTGTAGCATTTGACTTGAAGCTGGAAAGCCCTAGTAAGACCCAATAGTGTTGATTTGGGGACTTCTTTTGGCCTGGACTCTGGTGGGGGGTGTCCAGCCCTAGATGCCCTCAGGGTCCCAGGCCCATGCTGTGTGACTTTCTCCCCACACACTCCCCTCCTGCTTGGGCGCTGGAATCCAGGAGGAATAGGGGACAGTGAGTGGCAAGGACTGCCTTGTGGTGGGACGGACATCATAGAAAGCAGCACATAGTCTGCAGATGGAGGGAAATAGGCAGGGCCAAGCTGTCGCTTTGCCTTGAGAGTGACCATGATGGAGCTTGACCAGTTCATGACCTGTGCGCTAACCTTGGTCTTTTTTTAATGTGTTTGTTTGAAACAGGGTCTCACTCTGTCACCTAGGCTGATCTCAAACTCCTGGGCTCAAGCAATCATCCTGTCTCAGCCTCCCAAAGTTCTGGGATTACAGGCATGAGCTGACACAGTACCTGGCCTTGGTCTGTCTTTCTTTCTTTCTTTCTTTCTTTTTCTTTCTTTCTTTCTTTCTTTCTTTCTTTCTTTCTTTCTTTCTTTCTTTCTTTCTTTCTCTTTCTTTCTTTCTTCTCTCTCTCTCTTTCTTTCTTTTTCTTTCTTTCTTTCTCTCTCTCTCTTTCTCTCTTTCTTTCTTTCTTTCTTTTTCTTTTTTTGAGAGAGAGTCTCACTCTGTTGCCCAGGCTGCAGTGCAATGGTGTGATCTTGGTTCACCGCAACCTCCGTCTCCCGGGTTCAAGTGATTCTGCTGCCTCAGCCTCCCGAGTAGCTGGGATTACAGGCATCTGCCACCAGGCCCAGCTAATTTTTTTTGTTTTTTCTTTTTGGTTTTTTTAGTAGAGACGGGGTTTCACCATGTTAGCCAGGATGGTCTCGATCTCCTGACCTCATGATCTGCCCGCCTTGGCCTCCCAAAGTGCTGGGATTACAGGCATGAGCCACTGCGCCCAGCCTGGCCTTGGTCTTTCTTAATCCCCAGATGGAACCCCCTCTGCCCCCACCAGCTTCCCCTTCAAGACCCTGCCCAGCACCAGGCTCCCACCCCTCAAGCTCAGATCAGGCCCTGCTCCCACTTGTCTCCTGGATCCTCAGACACCTGCAGTAGGACCAGGGGCTTGCCCAGCAGCAGATGGTTCCAAACAAGGCAAGATTCTTGGAGTAGCAGAAAATATTTCTGCACCCACCATGTACCAGCACAGAGCCGTGGGGAAGCTGCTTCTCTGCAAAATGGGAGTAACAGGACCTGCCATGCAACGTTGCTGTGAGGACTGGTTAAATCAATTATCATTAAGAAAATAAAACTTGGGAAATTCCCAGGCACAACCTTTCTGAACCTCTGCATGGCAGGGTAACAGCAATTATCTAGAGGCCTATTGAGAGAACCAAATAGTGACAATGGCGGGGACAGAATGCTCAGACAGGCCAGGCACCATGTCAAGCACTTCACTGCATCATCTCAATCTTCACATCAGCCTCCATGGTAGGCACCACGGCCACTGACCCCACCTCACGGGTGAGAGCTGTGGCACAGAGAGGTTCCGTCCTCATAACACAAATGGGGAAGTTAGGATTTGACTCGTACAGCCCAGCTCCTGAGCCTGCATGGTTAAGCCTTGGGCTGCGGCTACCTCAGAACTGGAAGCACTTCATAAGGCTCCATGTACAAGTTAGTTATTATAAGTCACTTGTGGGGCTAGGGTGGGGGATCCCAGCTAGCAGCCTCCGCACTGACCGGTGGCTGAACCCAGGCTGGGCTGTCTGCCCTGGGAGCAGGGCGATGCCTGGGGACTGATGGCCCCGTGTCCTCTCAGCCGGGCGCTGGGAGGGCCTAAGGCCACCTTCCTGTGGTCTCTGCTGTGGTGCAGGCAGGGGCCACCACCAAGGAAGGTGGGATCCAGCCTGTCTGGGCAGGTCTGCTCTGCCGAGATCCGGCCGGCTCTCCAGTGGCTGGGATGCCCCAGAGCGGACAGGCGAGCACGTCCCGTCCCGAGCACAGGCCCCTGCCCGGGAGGCCCCGCTAATGACCCCGTGCATTCCGGCTTGCATGGCCCGGGAATTGGCTGTGGGCAGGCCCATTAGCTGGAATCCTCCCAATGCTCACACATCAGAGTGGAGGGGGGAGAAGTGAAAAGTTGAAAAAGAGCTAATTATCGCTTTTATCAGAGCGGGTGGGTTGATGGGTCCTGCCCGAGGGCAGCTGGGACTGCATTAAAGATTAAACGCCAGGTGGGGGGAGTGAGCTCGTCATTCCACAGGAGGGGGGCCGGCTGGCGGCCCCACGGAGACCTGGTGGCAGGCGGCAGCCTTAGATCTGTCAGCCAAGCCCTCTGTCCCAGCACCCACCACAGCCACATTCCACCAGGGGACCCCCGCAGTGCCGGCACTTCCGCCCCATGGGGAGGGCAGCTGAAGTCCAGGTCTGCTCCCTCAAGGGCTGTAGGGTCGGGGCAAGCCTAATTATCCAATTGGTAGGTTTCCTGGCACCTGTCTTAGGGGGACTTAATGACCCCTGCACATCAGCCAGTGACCTTCTGTGTAAACCTACATTGGAATCTTATGAGGCCTGGCAAAACCCAAGGTCGGGTAGGCTGACCCCCCTTGTTATTACAGAGCAAGAGCCCAAGGCCCAGAGAAGGAAAGGGACTCAGTCAATCACATTGCCCGCTGTGAAGTTAGTCCCATGAGGTTGCGAGTCCATTGAGGACGTGGCTGCATCTTCAGCACTTTGTACCTAAGGTATTGACATTAAAGGAACAGGGCGACTAGCTCAGAACAAAGCCAGGGTGAATTTGTTATACCATCGCAACCCAACAGTGTTTTGTATGTTCGAGGTGTTTCACAGGTGTTTGTTGGCTGCAATCAGGGCGGCACCTAAGTGGTCACAGTAAGCATTCTCCAAATCTTGGGGGCGAATTCACTGGCTGTAAATAAAGGATGAGTATCCTGGTCTGGAGTTACAAACCAAGCCATGGGTGAGCCAGCTGTGCTAACCCTGCCGTGCTCAGCATCACTGTTTGTGTCTTGATGAAAATGTCCACCAAGGCACCTCCACGCCCACTTGAAGCATGACATCCATGCTCTGGCCCCACCAGGGACCCTCAGCCCCTGGCCACCTTGGCTTTTTCCAGGCTCTGCCCTAGCTCAGGAGAATGAATTGGGCTCTTTGCTTCTTTCTTTTGCCGACAGTTACAGCAATCTTTCTAGACTCCTCTAGAAGCCAGAGCCTTCCAGTTTGTTTTTTTCAGGATTCCAACCTCAGCTTGGAACTCAATGGCTGTTCTTACATCTCCCCATAGTGAGGAGATTCTACAGGTGACATGTAGCTACCCAAGTCAAGGGGGTCCTGCCCTCCCCTACTCTGCTCATATACACTGTCCCACAGGCAGACACCCTCCACCCAAGATGATATGGGCTAGACTACCCTAGGAGAGACCCATAAATGCCTGGTGGGGAGAATGAAAGAGTCTGGGCAAAGACAGATAAAAAGGGTCTGAGGTCCATAAAGGACCCCAAGCTGTAACTACACTGGCCACATGAGGATAAATGAGTTTGAGCAAAGATAGATAAAAAGGATCAGAAGTCCATAAAGGACCCCAAGCTGAAACTACAGTGGCCACTGTCCAAGAAGGCAGCCAACATGTTGCTGGATTGCTATGAAATATTTGAATACAGGAACCTACTCCTCAGCACCAGGTACTTCTTAAGAAAGTTCAGGTAGCCAAGCGCGGTGGCTCATGCCTGTAATCCTAGCACTTTGGGAGGCCGAGGCAGGTGGATCACTTGATGTCAGAAGTTTGAGACCAGTCCCGCCAACATGGTGAAAACCCAACTCTACTAACAATACAAAAATTAGCCAGGCATGGTGGTATGCTTCTGTAATCCCGGCTACCCAGGAGGCTGAGCCATAAGAATTCTTGAACCAGGAGGCAGAGGTTGCAGTGTGCCAAGATCGCACCATGCACTCCAGCCTGGGCAACAGAGCAAGACTCCATCTCAAAAAAAAAAAGAAAAGAAAAAGAAAGGTCAGGTAGTCCTGGACTGCATAAGCCAGCACTCTGCAGTTCTTCAACAGACACTTACACAGTGGTGATGAATCTTTTGATTAATTTTATGTATATTTGATGATCTACATCAGCCACTAGATTGAACAACCATGAAAACTAGGACCATGCCTTTTTTTGTCCATCCTTGAGCCCCCAGTACCTGGCCTGGCACATCACAGGACTGTTTAAATATTTATTGAAGGAGAGAGGAGAGGAGGGAGGAAAGAAAGAAGGGGAAGAATTTTTTCAGGAATCGAGGTGGCTTGAGAGCCAGTTCTTGCTCATAGAAGCTCACAGTCCAGTGTGGGGAGAGAGATGGACAGATGGACAGACACCTACAATGCTAGTGCAGGCATAAAGGGAAAATCAGTCCGATGGTGGAAGCTCAGAAGAGGAAGTGCTTTCTACGGCTGAGTCTTTAAGGCTGAGCAGGAGTGAGTTGGATGGACAAAGGCAGGAAAGTCATTGTCAGTAGGACTGGCACATACAAAGGCACAGAGCTGGGAACACGTGGTCAGCATTCAGAGACAGGTGATTTGGCTCAGGGGATGGGGCTGTGGTGTACCTTGAGGGGCATTGGAGGTATGGGTCTGGGAAGGTAAGCTGGATGGTGGGGAAGAGCTGAGGGACTTACCTGGGGTTTTTAGGCAGGGGTGTGACATTTCCAGCCACCAAGCATAAAGGGAGGAGGCCTGTGCAGTGGCTCACACCTGTAATCCCAGCACTTTGGGAGGCCGAGGCAAGTGGATCACTTGAGATCAGGAGTTCGAGACCAGTCTGGCCAACGTGGTGAAACCCCATCTCTACTAAAAATACAAAAATTAGCTGGACATGGTGGTGGACACCTGTAATCCCAGCTACTCCAGAGCTGAGGCAGGAGAATCACTTGAACCCATGAGGTGGAGGTTGCACTGAGCTGAGATCACACCACTGCACTCCAGGCTGGGTGACAGGGCAAGACTCCATCTCAAAAAAAAAAAAAAAAAAAGAAAAGAAAAGAAAAGAAAAGAAAAAAAGAGTAAAAGGAGGAACTTGGAAACTCTAAGGACTGCCATTAACCTTCACTAGAAACAGAGACCATTTAGTTTGGAGCCAAGAAAGCTCTGGGGTTCCTGAAGCCCCTGCAGAGGGGAGTCCTCTGGTCAGGGGATAAAGAAGGACCAGGCCTAGTGAGAGGATGAGACTGGGCCACATGCAAGGACATTTCTGGCTGGAAGGCTGTCAGGTCATGTGGAACGGGAAGCATTTCATGGCGGTGATAATTTTCTCCCTGGTGTTCCGTACAGACAAACTGACATCCTCCCAACTGAACTGATAGCTTTGGGAGGGAGAAGGTTTGAGGGGCCCAGATGAGAGCCCCTGGCTGCGTACCCCTTGGAAGCCTCTCAGATCTTGGCCCAACTGAGGACGTTGCAGATGGTGGGGTGAATGCAGACCATCCATCAAAGAGGTCAGAGTGTGGTGTCCTCACTGCACAGCTGGGCCCTGGCGACCTTGCTTTGGGTTCTGGTTGGGTCATCTTCCATCTGTGACCTTGGCAAGAGGCTTCATCTCTCTGAGCCTCAGTTTCCTTATCTGCAAAAGAGGGATGATAAGGCACCCCTGCCTGCCCTGTGGGCTATGGCGAGGCTCAAAAAGAAAGGCCACGGAAGACACTTTGTAAACAGGAATGCGCTACACAAAGGTTAAATATGATTATTAACACGTAATACCCAAGTCACAGGACAAGGAAGACCCAGACACAGAATTTCAGGGTCTGGACCCAACTTTTCTAGAGGCTGAGACTAGCCAGACAGCCCTGAGGCTGCCAGGGGTCGCCCTCCTGTCTCTCCCCATCAGGTGCTTTGCAACGTAAATTCAAAATCCTGCTCTTCCCCTTTCCAGCCTCAGGCAAGGGCTTTTCATTTCGCTGTGCCTCAGTTTCCTCAACTGTCAAGTGGTGATAGGTGCACCTACCTCAGGGGCTGTTAATGGAAATTAAATAGGATGAGGCGGGCAAAGTCCTGGCTCAATACCAGGCCCACTGAACAAGAGCATTAAAACGGGTGGTTCTTGGCTTCCTTCCTTCCTTGCATCCAACCCCCGCCCGTGCCTCTTGCTTCTGCTTTTGTCTCTTCCTGAGAGCTTTGCCCAGGGCTCCTGAGGGACCCCATGGCTGGTGAGATCCTTGGAGCTTGGGCTGTTGGAAGGCAGGCTTGTGACAAGGTCCAAGGGTTACTATGGACAACGCCATCACAAAGACAGGCCATGCCTGTGGCTGAAGGAGATAGACCCCGGTTCAGGGGCTGAGCACAGTGGTTTTGCCAGGAGTCTCTCAGTTGCAAAATTTCACAGCCCTGGGAATTCTCAAATGGAGTGACCAAATGTGGTCCCAGAGCAGTGCTGTCACACGACACCAGTATGAGTCTACCTCGAGGGTCCTGGGATGCCAAGACCTCCCGCTCCCTGGTCTCGGGGCCTGAGCTCCTGATGGCAGTCCAGGAGGGACTGCTCTCCTTTGCCCACTCCCCACCATCCAGCCTCTTATCGAATTGGCAGGAAGGAGGAAAGCCCACCAGGGGACTCACAGACCCGAATTCTTCCTCCTGAAGCACCCTCCAGCTGGATGGCCCTTGTCCCTCGTGGAGCACTTTAGGCAGAGTTGGGAAACCACAAAAATTTTAAGCTGAGATGAAGGAACGTAATGGGCTCTAATCTGAACTGACAGCAGCATGATTAGTCGGCACAAGACTGCAGGAGCAGCGGGGGACTGACAGGGAGGGAAGAGGAGCGAGGAGGAGGAGGGATGAGGGACAAAAGACATAGAGCAGACCCAAGAATGAGGCAGGGCCTCAGGGGTGGAGATGCAGGCCGGGCTGAAATGGTGGCATGGGAGGGGCTGCTCAGGATGATACTTGCGGTAATAATAGTAATTGCAGAGAATGCTTGTTTAGAGCTGACAATATGCCAGGCATTATTCTAAGCATTTGTTTTAACGAACATGATCCTTGCGATGTAGGTGTGTTAGTATCTCGATCCTCATTTTACAGATGATGTAGAAATAAAGTCACAGAGAGGTCCATCGATAAAGAATGTCAGCCCTGAGTGCAAAGCTGGGGTCTGGTTGCTAGTAGAAGCTGCCTTCTGTTTTCTAGGAGTCAGAAGTCCAAGGTCCCGCTTAGGAGTTCATGAAATGCAACTGACACTTTCAGAATAAACAAGGGCTTGGTGTCTGTGGCAAGGAGGGTGAGGGAGGGCTATGTGGACCCCCTCCATCCAGGGTTGGGAGGGAAGAAAAGGCATGCTCTAATAATCACAGCACAGGTATGGATGACAGGGGACCAAGAACACAGAAGTCAGAGGTCTTAATTAGCCTTTTAGGACTCAGAGGTCCATTTAGCCAACTGGGGGCTGATGGCCATGACCCCTGACAGTTGGCTGGTCTCCACTAAGGCCATGATGAAGCTATGGGTTAAGACGTGACTTCCATGTCCTTCCAAGAAAGGACAGAGGGGACTTGGTCTCCAGCTCTGCTTCCCTGTGGCTAGCTGGCCCCACAGCTCTCTGGGGGTCAGACATGCTGAGCCACCCCCGCCACGCCCAGGGAGGCACTTCCTGCCTGGCTAAGGCAGTCATACCCAGAGGTCCTGATTCTGAAGGGGACATCTCTGAGTGAGTGGTTCATTGCCTCCCCATCCTGCATCTAGATATAGTCAACTCCTGACCATCTGGCCCCCCTGGAAATCAGATTTTCAAAATCTTATTCATGCCTCCATGGGTTCTAAGTCTAGGATACGAATAAAGGTTGAGTTGCACTTAGTAGGCTCTGCAGAGTCAGAAGAAATGGTTCTCTTCCTGCTGCAGGGAAGAGCTGAGCAGGCAAGCAGAGGAAATTTTAGACATGAGAGCTCTGCTTTAGGGTCAGTAAGGGGCTAAGAGGCACCTGGAGTCAAAGCTTGACAATGTGAACTCATGCAGGTTACTTAACCTTTGCATGCCTCAGTTTCTTCATCTGTAAAATGGGGGTAGTGATTACAGTAGCTTGCTCCTGGTAGGGTGGTTGTGAGGTCAAGGATTTAATCAAATCCAAGTGAAGCATTTTGCACAGCACCAGGTGCATTGGTGGTGCTCAGAAACACTGGTTTTCACTGCTATGAACGGTATGCTGCTGCCTTGGGTCTGGGGCAGGGAGAGAGTTCTGTCCCTTCCTAGCATGGGGAAATTTCTTGGTCTGTGACATAAGATGAGCAACCAGACAGTGTGGGGTTGTTTTGGTCCTGTGCTTGACAGACAGCTGATTCTAGAAGAGCCAAGAACCCCCCTTAGTGGGCCACCCTGAGCTTCAAACTTCTTTCTGCCCTCCTGTACCCAGGATTGGATTAGTGTAAACTGTAAAATGCCGCAGCAGTGTTATGAGTTCCTGTCACCAAGGCCTTTCAGAGGCCCAGGAATATATCAGTAGAGTCAGTGGCAGCCTTAGGGTCCCCTCTCCCTAGCCTCTGCCAATGACAGCAACCATAATTGAGGAATAATAATAGCTACCATACAGTAAGCACATCCTGTGTGCCAGGCACTTTCTGGGGACACTTTTAATCCTCCCAGTGACCCTGCAACGTTGGTGTTTATCACCCAGCACCATAAACTTCCATTGACACCTGCATCCCTCTCCCTCCAACTCCCCACCTGACCCACACCTCCCTAAGCTTCAGGCTGTAGCTGGGCTCTCACTTCTCTGGGAAGCTTTCTCTGACATCCTCTAGGCCAGGTCGGTATCCCTTCTCCCTGCTGATGTTCCCATAAGCACACTCCCGCTTGTGAAAACTCATCACATTTTATTTTTATTTATTTTGGATCAGGAATACATTCACATGGTTCAGAATTCAAAAGCAACAAGAAATGGAGTAAAAAGTCTCCCTGCTCTCCCTATCTCTAGCTCCCAGCCACTGAGTTTGGCTGCCCAGGGTGAGTAGGGTTGTCAGTTTCATCACATTGAATAGTGATGACTTGTTTATCTGTCTTCTGTGTTTTAAGAGCAGGGACTCCGCCTGTCTCACTAATTGCTTCATCCCTGGGGCCCAGCACAGTGTTTGGCACATAGTAGGAGTGCTACATGTGTTATCTATCTCTCTCAGAGATTTCTTTCTTTCTTTCTTTCTTTCTTTTGGACAGGGAGTCTCGCTATGTCGCCCAGGCTGGAGTGCAGTGGAGTGATCTTGGCTCACTGAAACCTTCACCTCCTGGGTTCAAGCGATTCTCCTGCCTCAGCCTCCCAAGTGTCTGGTGTTACAGGCATATGCCACCATGCCCGGCTAATTTCTTGTATTTAGTAGAGATGGGGTTTCACCATGTTGGCCAAGCTGGTCTCAAACTCCTGACCTCAGATGATCCACCCACCTCAGCCTTCCAAAATGCTGGGATTACAGGCTTGAGCCACCACGCCTGGCCCTCTCTGAGAGATTGCTATAGAAAGATATCTATATAGAGATTTTTTTTTTTTAATGAATGAGGCTCAGAGAAGAAAGGTGACTTTGCTTGCTTAGTTCTACTCCCAAGACAGTGCTCACTGGGAACTCTGTTTATCTGAATTTTAATGACCACCTGTCCCTTCTTCTTGGACATTTGACCATCCTCTGTGAAATGGATCCCAATTTCAATTTTTTAGGCTTAATTTTTAAATGGGAACATAAACAGTATCCCTCATTAATTATCAGGAGATAGAGCAATGCTATACTTCCAAAGTCCTGTTAGTGCCTGCCCAATCCTGACCTCATTTTACCATGACTCCAACTTTGTGTTAAGGATGTTCTTGCTGGCCGGGCACAGTGGCTCATGCCTGTAATCCCAGCACTTTGGGAGGCCAAGGCAGGTGGATTGCTTGAGCCCAGGAGTTCGAGACCAGCTTGGGCAACATGGTGAAACCCCGTCTCTACTAAAAACACAAAAATTAGCCAGGTATAGTGGTGCACGCCTGTAATCCCAGCTACTCGGGAGGCTGAGGCAGGAGAATTGCTTGAACCTAGGAGGTGGAGTTTGCAGTGAGCTGATATCGCACCACTGCACTCCAGCCTGGGTGACAGAGTGAGACTCAGTCTCAAAAAACAAACAAACAAACAAAAAAAACAGATGCTGTTGCTCACCTGGCCTCACTTTGCCCATCTGTAAAATGTCAAAAGACAAAATGACAATAAATTTTGTTTAAAGATCTTAATAGGCTTTTATTCATGATTCTAGAATTGGGCATCCCTCCGAACCACAGCTTATTCAAAGAACTCCAACCAGCAACATGATCACGCAGTATTTGTAGATAGAAAACAGAAGTGAGGTGTAGATACAGCTTAATTGGTTACAGCATCCTTAATTGAATCACCTGGCCACCTACATTGACAGATGCTCAGCTGCTGTAACTGCCCCAAAACTCAGCTATTTGTTACCACTTTTTGCAACTTAGGAGTATACTCCCAAGTTAATTGCATTTAGCATGAGTGACTCCATATTTGTTTGGTCTGTTGGGTCCATTACAGGAGCACAGTACAAACTAATGGCCTCCTACAAATTTTATTTATTAATTGAAAGGGGCCCAATAGTTCTATGCATCTTTGATGTCTTCTCTCATTTAACCTCCATCCCCACCAATTGATATAGGTTTATGCCTGCAGTAAATGGGATAGTTATAAAGCTAATGCTTCATACCAATGCAACTAGTGCATGAAGTGGGTGAGGACAGCTTTCTGTACTGATATGGGTATCAGCCAGACTGGCTATGTCCCCAGCACTAGCCCAGGCTCAGGGTCAAGTACACACAGCTGTGCATCCTCTGAAGCGCTGGAGGGAGAGAAAGAAGTTCATCTGGGGAAGCGGGTGGAGCTGAGGCAGGGGACCACCTTGGGGAGGGTGGGTTGGCCCAAGCGCCGTCTCTCCCAGGGATCAGCAGGCTGCTTTCCAGCTGGGTTAGCTCATTCCCCACCTCATCTTGCAGAAGCTCCAGGTTCAGGCTTCTGCACAGCTTTGTTCTTGTGGTTGAGGCAGCCAGGGATTCTGAGAGTTGGGAAGGGGAAGCCAGGGGGAATGAAGGGAAGGAAAGGGAGGAGAGAAAAAGGCAAGTAGCAGGGGCAATAAGGAGGCCGTGTGTCAGGGAGGGATGTGGTGCCAGCTACACCAGGAAGCCTGCTATGGCAAGACACTGCCAAGTGAGGGAAATGAGGATGGGTAAACAGTATGGAGAACAAGATTTATAAATTCATTTGTTCATTCATTCATCCAATAAAACAAAAGATGCCAATATTGACAGATGGCTGTCACTCAAAACATACACAAAATGCTAAGGCGGCCGGGCACAGTGGCTCATACCTGTAATCCCAGCACCCTGGGAGACTGAGGCTGGCAGATCACTTGAGACCAGGAGTTCGAGACCAGCCTGGCCAACATGATAAAAGTCCATCTCTACTGAAAATACAAAAATTAGCTGAGCGTGGTGGTGCACGCCTGTAGTCCCAGCTACTTGGGAGGCTGAGCCAAGAGAGTCACTTGAACCTGGGAGGTGGAGGTTGCAGTGAGCAGAGATCATGCCAGTGCACTCCAGCCTGGGTGACAGAGCGAGACTCTGTCTCAAAAAAAAAAATGCTGGCCAGGCGCAGTGGCTCACACCGGTAATCCCAGCACTTTGGGAGGCCGAGGCGGGTGGATCACCTGAGGTCGGGAGTTCGAGACCAGCCTGACCAACATGGAGAAACCTCATCTCTACTAAAAATACAAAATTAGCCAAAAATACAAAATTAGTCAGGCGTGGTGGTGCATGCCTGTAATCCCAGTTACTCAGGCAGCTGAGACGGGAGAATCGCTTGAATCCGGGAGGTGGAGGTTGTGATGAGCTGAGATCTTGCCACTGCACTCCAACCTGCGCAACAAGAACAAGACTTCGTCTAAAAAAAAAAGCTAAGGAAATATAAAAGAGGGAGCAAATAACTATTTGATGGGTTGCAGGAGTGGGGAAGTTGGGGGAGTTCACAAATTTCACTGGAGATATTTGAACCAAGTCAGGAAGCAAATATAGGAGAAGCCAGGCCATAGTCCTCCCCAGCTCCACGGCCTCTCCCTTCCCAGACCTCCCAATCCCAGTCCAGCTGTCGCCTTCACTGGGTCTGAAAGCTGGCCCCGCCTCATACTTGCTGTGTGACCTCAGGCAAGTGGTCTAACCCCTCTGAGCCCCGGTTTTCTCAGCTGCAAAGGAGGGATGACACCAACTTGGAGCGTTGTCATAAGATTCAAATACAACAATGCACACGAGAGGCACTCTGCAGAGCACTTGGTACCTGTATGAAGCCTGCGCAAAACAACTACTGTGGCTGTTGTCAGCACTGGCAGAGCAGCAACTTCATTTACCAAACCCTGGGCCTCTGTCATCAGGCTGGAAAGGAAAGCAGAGGCCATTCCAGGAGTCCCCCATCCCTGGCCCCCAGCACTTGGGGAAACATGAGAAGCAGAGCTTGAGGATCTCCTGTGTGCCCCCTCACGCCCCTTAATCCTTCCTGAACTTGGAGAGGGGGCTGGGTGTGGGGCGGGGGCGGCACCACTGCAACACCTGCGCAGCTCTGACATCTCCCGCCTCTGGGCAGAGAAAGCAATTTCAGAAATGACATGTTGCCAACAAGCAGAAATCAGCTTCTGAATTAAAATGTGTCAGCGTCAGGTGACCCCGGGCTCGGAGGGCTGGCTGCATGAAGACAGCTGAGATTAGAGCCTGTCAGGCTCTGGTGGGGCTGTGTGGGAAGAGGTGGGGGTCCCGGGGGGCTACCGTTGCTCTCCAGGCTTCTGGCCACCCTGGACTTGTTGAGACGTGGGGGCAGGAATTCGGACGCTGGGTCAGGTTCTCCCGTGCCTCTGCCCGGCCTCCACCACTCCACTGCCCACTCTCCATGGCGGGAGGACGGTGGGGCAGGGGTAGGGGCTCAGCTCCCCTGAGACGGCTCCAGCGTAAACACACTAATGGGCCCAAGAGAGCCAGGGAGGAATATGGGCCCCACAGCCCCTGGGGACTTGAGGAGGGATGGGAGTGGGGGGATAAGACGCGTGAGAGGCATTAACCTCCTCTTTGCGGTATGCAGGGTGGGGAGAAAGAGAGAGAGGAGAAGACAAGGAGGACCAAGTGGCAGGACTGGAAGATGCCACCAGTCGCCCTGAATCCTTGCAACTCCCTCATACCCCGTCTCTCTGTCCCCAGGCCGTGCCCAGCACTCCCCGGGAAGAGGCAGTGAAGAAGCTGTTTCATTTCCAGCCCTGCTACTTATTGTGTAGCAAGGGAACCTCTCTGAGCTTTAGTTTCCTCATCTATAAAATGGGGATCATAGGCCAGGCACAGTGGCTCACGCCTGTAATCCCAGCACTTTGGAAGGCCAAGATGGGTGGATCACCTGAGGTCAGGAGTTCAAGACCAGCCTGGCCAACATGGTGAAACCCCGTCTCTACTAAAAATACAAAAATAAGGCCGGGCGTGGGGTAGGCGCCTGTAATCCCAGCTACTCTATAGGCTGAGGCAGGAGACTCACTTGAACCCGGGAGGCGGAGGTTGTAGTGAGCCAAGATTGCGCCATTGCACTCCAGCCTGGGTGACAAAAGCGAGACTCCATCTCACAAAGGAAAAAAAAAAAAAGGCCGGGCGCAGTAGCTCACGCCTGTAATCCCAGCACTTTGGGAGGCTGAGGTGGGCGGATCACGAGGTCAGGAGATCAAGACCATCCTGGCTAACGTGGTGAAACCCCGTCTCTACTAAAAATACAAAAACAAAATTAGCCGGGCGTGGTGGCGGGCACCTGGAGTCCCAGCTACTCGGGAGGCTGAGGCAGGAGAATGGCATGAACCTGGGAGGCGGAGCTTGCAGTGAGCAGAGATCATGCCACTGCACTCCAGCCTGGGAGACAGAGGGAGACTCTGTCTCAAAAAAAAAAATGGGGATCATGGTTGTATGGACCCCTGGGGTTGCCCAGAGGGGAGTATGAGGAAATGGCCTGCACAGGAATGCCTGTGTGGGGTGGAGCCTGCACAGAGCCACCTATTGGAGTGCTGGACACCGTGCATGCCAGCCATCTCTTTGCTTGTCTCTCCCCTTGTCTGGGACCTCCCTGAAGGCTGGACCTAGTCTCATTACCATGGCATCTAGGACCCTGTCACGTGCCTCGTGCACCATAGGCCACCAATCCGTGTTTGCTGCATGATCGGTTGCAAGAAGGAACTCCAGGTGAGAGATGGAGCGAAGTCAAGAATCGGAAAGAAATGGGAAGGGTGGGGGCAGGCATAGGATGCTTCCCGCCAGTGCCTCTCCCTCCAGAATGTCCCCATCCCCATCATGGGTGAGCCTGTAATCCCAGCTACTCTAGAGGCTGAGGCAGGAGAATCGCTTGAACCTAGGAGGTGGAGGTTGCTGTGAGCCGAGATCGCACCACTGCACTCCAGCCTGGGCAACAAGAGCAAAACATCCTGTGGCTCCTTACAGCATGCACAGAATAGGATACACATCACCCAAGCAGCTTATTGCCAAAATGTTTAACCTGAATCCAAGTACAAGGAAACGATCAGGCAAATCTCAGTTGAGAGGTATTCCACGAGACATGCAGCCTGGACTCTTCAAACTATCACTGTTATGAAAGCAAAGAAAGAGGGGGACTGTTCTAGATTACAGGGAGCTGGAGAGACATGAAAACAACGTGCAATGCCTAATTCTTGAGTGGATCCTGGGCCAGGAAAACATGTTTTAAAAATTTTTTAATTTTAATTTTTTAGAGACAGGGTCTCACTCTGTCGCTCAGGCTGGAAGGCAGTGGTGCAATCACAGCTCACTATATCCTCGAACTCCTGGGCTCAAGCGATCTTCCTGCCTCGGCCTCTCCAATCGCTGGGATTATGGGTGTGAACCTGTGCCTGGCCAGAAAATAATGTTATAAAGGACATTTTGAGGGACAATTGGGGAAGTCTGAATATGGACTATGTAGTAGATAATTTTTGTCAATGTTACATCTCTTAGATGTGGTGATGGCCTTGTGGTTCTGTTGGAGAATGTTCTTGTCCTTAGGAGATACATGATAAAGTATGTAAGTGTCTTGGTGTCTGCAAAGGTCTCACAAGTGATTCAACAAGATAGATATTGCAAATGCAAAGACAGAAAGCACATGTGGCTGTTTTTAAAGGAGGAGGGATATTGCGGGTAGGGTACCCACCTAGTGACTGTCTCAACAAGCCCCGGTCCTCCTGGAAGATGGTGGCATTGAGCAGCTGGAGGTGGAGGGGTCTGCGGGCCTGTTTGGGAACTAGATTATGAGCAGGAACAAAGTAAGGCTCAGATGAGGGCAGGAGGAGGTGAGGATGGTGTATGGTAGAGAGAATATGGGGTTTGGAGGCAAAAGGCCTGGATCCGCTTGCTAGCGATATAGCCTTTGGTAAGTCACTTAACCATTTTGTGTCTCAATTCCCCTATCTGTAAAAAAAGAAGAAGGGTGTCCACCTTGTGAGGTTCAAGAGAGAAAATAGATGAGAAATCCCTTGATAAACTGGAGCCTGCTGCTGCATGTGGACGTGTCTGTCATTACTCAGAGCCAGCTGGTCTCCAGGCCCAGGAACACTGGGTAGAAGGAGCATGTTAGGACGGGGATGCTGGTGGAAATGTAGGCCCCTGCAGGGCTGGACTGTGGGCCCACCTCTGCCTCCCGCCCTGGGGAGCCCAGTTAAGGCAATGTGGACCCCAGCAGGGCTGAAGAACTGGGGCAGGGCAGGCCTGAGCCAGGAGACAGGCACTCTCTGCTGTGCTTGGCTCAGAAAGAGGCCTCCTCTCCCATCAGACCCCCAGGAGGATCCTGGTGGGCGAGGCCTCCCAAAGCATGTTGGGAAGGAACTGTGGCCAGAAAAGGGACACAGGATTCGTGTGTAAATGACCCAAACCACTGCATGGCTGTGCTTCTCATTTCTCCTATTAGACTGTAGGTCCCTGAAGGCCCCTGGTTGGCTTCATCCCGCCCCACCCTGAGCCATGCTGCTTGCCATAGCATGAGGGCTCCAGAAATGCTTATCAACTCCAGGAAGGATGCAGGCTCTGGCCTGTCTGAATTGGTGTGTAATCCAGGATGGATTATTTCCTTCCTCTAGGCCTTAGTTTACCCAGAATCAATAAAATGGGGCGATCCATCCCTGCCCGACCTATACCAGTGTACAGAGGAAAAAAATCCCATACTTTGGAGGCCAGGAGATCTGTGTTCCAATCCTGGCCCCACTGCCTGCCAGTTGCAATGAGGAGGCTTCTCATCTCACAACCTCCATTTCCTTATCCATTACGGGGACCATGTCCAATGTGCAAAGTTATTGCAATAAATTGAGACAAAGTAAATGCAAATAACTGGCATGTCATTTATTGGTTTATTGTCTTTCTCACCCACTAGGATGTCAGCCCCATGAGGCAGAGACTTGGTCCTGTTCCTTGCTGCACCAAGCACCCAGGATGCTGCCTGGTGCTCAATAAGAGATCCCTAAATAATCATTGGTTGAATAAATGGACATAAGGGGTGCTCAATAAGTGATGGCTTCCATTGTTATTCTAAAGTGTCCTGAGACAGAAAGCATTTGAAGTTCATGGTTGTTGAGAAAGGAAAGGTTCAAAAGCAAGTAATGTCCAGGGTTGGCATGGGGCTGTCTGTCTGCCAGGTGATGAAGGGTACCAGGAAAGCTGGGCTTATCTAGACCAGGGGACAGGACTATGTGCTCATGAGAGGCAGGCAGGGGCATCCATGAGCAACGGGGGCACTTGGGGCATCCTGTCCATTAGACTCCCTCACTCTAGCTGCCTGCAGGAGGACATGCAGGCCCAGTCTGCCAGCGCAGCTGACTTTTGCAAAAGCAGCCAGAAATCCAGTGGAAAACAATTCATTTTTACAAGCAAAACACAAATGAGAGCAATCAAAATTCATCTGTAGGTTGGGAGGGGCCCAGTGGTGTAGCCCAAGCTTCTTGGGCAGTGTGGGCAGAAGGACCCCTTGGAGTGGCCTCCATGGGTTCCTGGTCTCTCCAGCCTTCTCAGGCAGCCAAAGCCCCTGAGACATGGGACTCCACTTGGGGGAAGTGCCAACATGCCATCCAGATCCAAAAGGCTGGGATCACAGCCTGGGAAGGAACTGCTTCCCTGAGTTCTTGGGCTCACAGTGGTATCCAGGCTTTGGGGCTCCTGGGCTCAGAGCAGGTCAGCCCGTAGTGCCTGGTCTATGGAGATGTTCAGTAAATATTCATTGAACAAGTCTCTTAGGTGTGACTTTGAGCACAGCTCTCCATCTCTGGACCTCATCTATAAAATGGCCACAGTAATGTGGCCCCACCTACCTCACAGAGATAACGGAGAAATCAAGTGAGATGAAAGGGGTAAAAGTTTTTGTTTCTAAATAGCAAAGTGCTTTACAAATGCCAGGTGTGGGAATTCTCGTTGTCATTATCATTATGAGTAAGACACTTTTGCCAGAGCAGAAGAAGGGGGCCTGGACCCAGAAGGGCAGAAAATCTACAAAAACATCACAAGGAGGGTCTGGATGGAGCCCACCAGGGCTCATCACAGAGCGGACATGTGCTTACCAGCTCCGAGACAGACCCAGTCATGGAATACAGGTTTGTCCTCCTTCCCAGCGACCCGGCCTCCTGCTCAGTGGGGGACCCGGTCAGGTCAGGCTGTATCTCCCCAGACAGAGGGTTTCCGGGAAAATACACAAACCCCACCTGTGCTGTCTGTGAAATATAGCAACTATATAAATAATATAAATACTTTCTCATATATCTTAGCTATATAAATTATTCTCCTTTGCTCTAAAAACTATATATTTGAGGTAGACAAAAATACCCTGTGAGCATTTCCCTTAAAGCTGTAGAATGAGGGGTCAGTGGTCACTCTAGTCCCCAGGGGCCCCAAGAGGGCCGAGGTGGGTCTTCAGGGGTAACTGGAAAAGAAAGGGATGAGAGCAAGGAAGAAGAGAGGGAGAGAGACAGACAGAGAAGACCCCACAAGCCAAGGAGCCCTCAGAACCTGCACTGTGCCATTGACTTGGGGTGTCCATGTTAGCAGCCAGCCACTGCCTAGATGCCTTAGAGCCTGCCCTTTGCCCTCCCACGACCCTGGCACTGCCAGCCATGAAGTCAGAATGCAGGTGGCATGTTGGTGGATCAGGGTGCTCTGGCCTCCACGTTGCTCCCAGGCCCCCTGCTCTGCCAGTGAGGTCCCTGCTGCCTTACGCCCAGCACTGAGCCTGGGTGGAGGCAGAGTTGGGGTCTCGGAGGAGCAAGATGGATTGGGAAGGCAGAGAAAATCTCCATGCTGTGGGGAAGTGGAAGAAAGGAGAAAACCAGCCCTCTCCCCATTTTTCTCCTGCTGCCAAGGTGTGGGCCAGGTGCTTGGGTCAGCAATGTCATTTTAACGAGAGGGGCTCAGGTCAGTTTGGCTTCTCAGCCGGGCCTCTGCAGTCAAAAATCCTTCCAGCATCCAGCAGACTGCCCTGATCCACTGGAGACTGGGCAGCTCCTCCTCGCCCTTGGAGGTCTCAGGGAGTTGGCCAGGGCACAGTCAGCGGGCCTTTGTCCTGGAGCTGGCACAGGCGAGGTTTCTGAGCATTCAGCTGATTCTGAAATTTCCTGTGTTGGTGAAGGGTCAGCAACTCTAGGTTTAGGGAGAAAGGAAGCTGACAGATGGGCGTGGCAGGGCCAGCAAAGTGGCCAAGGGCTTCCCGAAAGAAGTCACTTCCTCCTGGGTGGCATCGGGCCCCACTCTGGGGAAGTACAATGCCTCCAGCAAGGGGACCCCTGCAAGGTCTTCATCCTGAACAAGAGAGGCATGTGCAACAGGAACCCCCAGCCTGGTCCAGGGGCTGTGCATCCATGTGTGCCTGTGTGGAGGTACCAGTCTCTCCTCCTTTCACAGAGGGCCTTGGCAGGTGCTGCTGAAAATGTCCACAGGATCTGAGGAAATTATCAAAGTCACGTCTCCTCCTCAAGTAAGAGCCAAAGTGAGGGCCAAGTGAGAGGCCATTAGGAACTGAAGGAGGCTACCCAGGAGCCAGGCTTAGCAAGGACTCAAGCACCTATAACCCCAGCCAGGGCAAAAGCCTTAACTAGATGAGCAGCCACAAGAATAGAAATGTAACTTCAAGTCATAGCTCGTGAGCCAGCTGTTCTTCAGTATTGTGAACTCAGCTGGTATGGGGGTGTCACAGACCAGGCAGGCCCCAGCCACAGGAAGTCACCAAAGCTCACTCAAGAGCCAGCTGAGAAACTGAGCTCGCCACGTCACTGCCAGGCACCAGGAAGCTGTTGCCCTCCTCCTCTGCGCTGGGAGTGAAGATTCCTTTGGCCAGCAGGGAACACAGGGAGGGGCCGTTGTCTCCCTGTTCAACCTCAGGTGCACTGAGTCCCGCCTTGGTGGCTAGTTCTCCCACCTGTCTTACCTGCACTGGTGGTAGTTTTGAGCACGGCTGGGTGAGTGTGCATAACCCAGCTCTCGAGACAAGAATGAGGCCTCAGCGGAGGCATATTTGAAAAGCCAAATCAAGGACACAGGGCTCCAGGGCACAGATCTCACTCGGGTCCACTCAAGCACAGAAAGCTCTCCTTTCTCTGAACGGATGGCTTCTACCACCTGTGCTTTCTCCCCATCTCTGGCACAGCAAAACCAGGGGAGTGGTGGAGGTGTGTGACACCTGGAGCCCACTGCACCTGAGCAGGGCCACAGGACCCGATTGACCCATCTCAGCCAGGCTCCCGCCTTCACTTCCAGCTGGCACTGCCTGCCTTGGCATTCCTAGCCCAGCAGTTCACCTCCCAAGAACATGCTGGCTCCAAGCCATTCATCCCAGGAAGCAAGATGGAATAGCCCCTCTCTCCCGTCCAAAATTTCAGTCCTGCTGTGCTCTTGGTCTCCCTTATTTCCCTCCATGTCTTTCTCACTCTGCCCTCCTCTCCAAGTCCTCAACAAGGTTGGGGATGCTTGGGTTAAGGGAGGAGGCTTTGCTTCTCTTTGTTGAGTATCGAGGGAGGCAAAAGGCTGGCCAAGGAATGGTGGTGAGTGGCACACTCGTGTGCATTGGCACACATGCCGGTTTATGCATGCATGTGATGACAGTCTGCCCAGAGGGCCGGCTGGGCAGCTTGAAGGGTGCCACAGGAGGTCCTGGCAGTGCCAGACTGGCTTGCTGGGCAGTAGGCCTAGTGCTTGCAGGTGTACACAAGCTCCTCCTGCACACATTGCTGGCACTCCACGTAGCAGCACCACTGCACCTGGCAGTGGCAGGAGAAGGCCACCAGGCGGCTCTGGGTGTCATAGCCCCGCCCGCAGCACAGGCTGCTGCAGCTGGCCTCCCGGGAGCACACCCTACCTGCTGTGCCAGGTGAGTACTTGCTGGGCCGGCAGAAGCTGGGTGAGTCCTCCATGTACACCAGGTCCCCAGACCTTGGGGCCAGGCCTTTGGTGAGGCTGCCCTGCCTGGCAGGGGCCCACAGCTCTAGGCGGCCCAAGGCCTCATTGGTGGCACTGGACACCTTGACAGCCGAGTCATAGCGCAGTTTCAGCACCTGGCCCGTCTCACGGAACGGGGAGAGCTGCTTCCAGCAGGTGCGCACGGCACAGGAGCCTGATACGCCATGGCACTTACACGTGGTCCTGAGGCCACTCTTCACAGCCTGTGGGGGAGGCAGAACAGAGGCGTGGTCAGAGGCCTGGGCCCAGCAGCCAGAGCCTGCCCCCAGAGCACCAACCCCAGCAGGGCAGAGGCAGGAGAATGGGAAAGAGACCCAGGGTCTCAGCCCCAGCTCCTCCCCTTGGCCTGGAGTTCTTGTGGAATAGACAACTTACGCGACTGAACACAGCAGTCCCAGTTCACACCAACTGAGTGACTGAACACAGCAGCCCCGGTTCACACCAACTCAGTGACTGAACACAGCAGCCCCGGTTCACACCAACTCAATGATTGAACACAGCAGCCCCGGTTCACAACTCAGTGATGACAACTCAGAACTTAATCTCATAAACAGCTAGAGCACTGGTGTCTCCCAGCCTCCTCCCCTCAATAGACCAAGATACTTTTCACCCTCCAGACCTCCCACTACTGTGTAACCTCAGCCCCTTCCCTTCTCTGGGCCACTTCCATCTTCCCACCCATAAAATGGAGAAGTGGGCAGTTGCTCTAGATGGAGGTTTTCAAACAATGTTGGGCTTCCAGGACCTCCAGGAAGGCCTGGTCCTTGGAATGGAGACCCCTCTCCAAACATGTCCCTGCTTCACCAGACCTAGTCCTAAGCCTGGCTCCCACTGGTGACCACTGCTTCCACCAATGACACTCATGACCCTTCCATGCTTCCGCTGTGTTCCTGGCACCCAGTCACAGCCCAGAGTAGATGCCAAGGGAATGCTGGTTGAAGACGTGAAGTTCATCCTGCCTTTATGAAGTTCACGGCTCTTCATGTATTTTGGGGAGTGGGGTGCTGGCCTCCTTCAAGCCATGCTCCCCAGCTGTGTACCCTGGTGGGAAGGCACTGCGGGCAGCCAGGGACATGCTCACCTTGATGCCCACGTGGGTATTGTGGGCGTCTGCCCGTGCCCGCAGGTCCTTGTTTCCTCTCTTGGACCCCAGGAAGTTGCTCAGAAACTTGGTGCTGTACTTGAGGTTGTCACCGCACACGCCCCACTGCCAGGCCTGCCGGCTCTCCAGCCCCGGAGAGTCATCACAGGTGCAGCGCTCCATGCGCCCAGCGCTGCAGGCCCGGGCCAGGGTGTGGGTGAGGGCGGCAGAGGACACCGCGTACAGGAAAGCTGTCTCTTTGAAGCCTGGATCGGGCACCCAGGGGCATAGGGAGGGAGGAAAGGGGGAAGAGAGGAAAGGAGGAAGCTTAGAGGTTGCCTGCCGCCCTCTGAGGGCCAGAGGCGGTGGTGGCAGCGCTGTGATGGGCAGGACAAGAGAATGTGGCTTGAGGACACAGCTCCGGGTGGGTCTCCCTGTCAACTGCCCCTTAAATTCTGACTGCAAGTTGCCATTTAAATGGAACTTCCAGGCTGGGCACAGTGGCTCGTGCCCCTAATCCCAGCACTTTAGGAGGCCAAGGCGGGCGGATCATTTGAGGTCAGGAGTTCAAGACCAGTCTGGCCAATATGGTGAAACCCCGTCTCTACTAAAAATACAAAAATTAGCCGGGCATGGTGGTACATGCCAATATTCCCAGCTACTCAGGAGGCTGAGGCAGGAGAATCACTTGAACCCGGAAGGTGGAGGTTGCAGTGAGCTGAGATTGCGCCATTGCACTCCAGCCTGGGTGACAGAGGGAGACCTTGTCTCAAAAAAATTTTTTTAATTTATAAATAAATAAATAAATGGAATTTACAAATTCACTATGGAGTATGTTCCCAGATTCCCAGAGGGCAGCAGGCCAGGGGCTACGGCCTTCACCTCTCAGAGAAGAACACTGAGATGCAAAGAGAAGCTACTCAGACACCTGGCGTAGGCACAGTTGGGGCTAAACCTGCCATTTTGACTCCAGGTCGGTGTATGACCATTTGGATGGGCCCATTTCTGAGGCCCCTGAGATAAGCCCCATGGGCTTCCTATGACACATGATGGTTCTCAAATGTCATTCTCTGCTACCCACTGTGGAATAGACCCAATGATACAGTGACCTTGAGTCTCCTGGCTGACTTGCCTCAGACTGACCATCCCACCCACTCCAGAACCACCGACACTCCTCTCTGCTGGGTGTGGCCCAAACCTGGCCTCCCACCAGCTCACTACTTCCTGCCTGCCCTCCAGTGCATCTGGGTGCTGGTGATGTCCCGAGAGAGACACAGAGAGAGGCCATTAGCTTGGCTGCAGACCGTGGAGAGCAGCTGGCCTAGGAGGGGCCTGGCTGCCCTGTACAGCATCACTGCATTTTTTTTTTTTTTTTTTTGAGACAGAGTCTCATTCTGTCTCCCAGGCTGGAGTGCAGTGACACAATCTTGGCTCACTGCAACCTCCACCTCCCGGGTTCAAGCAATTCTCCTGCCTCAGCCTCCCAAGTAGCTGGGATTACAGGCTCCTGCCACCATGCCAGCTAATTTTTGTATTTTTAGTAGAGATGGGGTTTCACCATTTTGACCACGCTGGTTACAAACTCCTGACCTCGGCCTCTCAAAGTGCTGGGATTACAGGTGTGAGCCATGGCAACCGGCCAACTGCAGTGTTTAAATTTTTGTATTTTTAGTAGAGACGGGGTTTCATCATATTGGCCAGACTGGTCTTGAACTCCTGACCTAAAGTGATCCACCCGCTTCGGCCTCCCAAAGTGCTAGGATTAGAGGCACAAGCCACTGCGCCCAGGCTAGAAGTTCCATTTAAATGGCAACTTGAGTCAGAGTTTAAGGGGCAATTGACAGGGAGACCCACCCGGAGCTGTGTCCTCAAGCCACATTCCCTCATCCTTCCCTGTCAAAAGCCCTTTCCCCTTGGCAAGGGAGTCACATGGTGACCTGTGTTCTCCCTTCCAGACTGCATGCTTCCCGAGGGTAGCTGGGTCTGGTTCAGCTCTGAACCTCCAGGATCTGGCACAGTGCCTGGCTCACTATGGGCCTCCATGGATGCTTAGTGGGTGGGTGGAGTGGGGAGGGAGGTAGAATGGGAGTGGAAGGGAAGGAGGGACTGATGGATCGATGGATGTGACAAACAAAGGGACAGATAAAGGAGTGAACAAATGCATCGCCTGGCTCGTGTCATCGGGCCTGGAATCAGCTGCCGCCCATCCTCACGTCTTCATGTGCCTTGTTTCGTGTGTGTGTGTGTGTGTGTGTGTGTGTGTGTGTGTGTGTGTGTGTGAAGAGGCAGAGGGAGACAACTGGGGGACCCCATCTTATCTGTGAGCTCCTCCAGGAATAGGCTTGTGTCTCCTCCTCTCTTGGATCTTCCTTGCTCCTCTGCTCCCCCAAACCTGAGGCTGGGCCACAGCTGGCCTTCAACTGCCCCTCATTAACTCTTGTGACTCTTCTCATTTGGGACCGTGCTAGGGCAGGAAGGGCAGTGTGGCCTGGGCACGGGAGCCAGGAAAAAGGAAAGGGCAGCCTCTCCCAGCCTCCTCCTCCCTGAAGGCTTCTTCCCCCAGCCCTCCCCGTCCCCTAGCCCTCCTCCCCACCTCTCTTGAGCAGGCCCATCCTGCCCTCCAGGCTACAGTTCCAGCGCTCATGCCGGAACTGAAACTGGCACTCAAGCAGGCCGAGGTGCGCAGCATCCCTCAGGGTCTCAGCCAGGCCGGGCTCCCTCCGGCAGAGCTGCTTCTGCCGCCGGGACAGCTTCAGCAGGTCACACTGCTTCAGGTGGGCCCCGCCCTGTGCCGGGGCTGCCGCAGTGCCCAATCCTGGGAAGGGCGTCAGGACTTCCCGCCCGGTCAGGCTAGAGAGAGCGAGAGGAGGGAGACAGGTGAGCCTTGGGGATGGTGGTGAGGGGCAAATGAAGGGAAGGGGCCTCCTCAGGGGCTTCATTTACTGCCCTTCTGGGCAGCAGGCTGACCCGCTGGAGGTCCCGTCCCCATTTTACAGATTAGGAAACCAAGGTTCATGTAACAAAGGTTGCTGCAGGACCTTAAACCTGTTTTCCAGATTCCGGTCTCTGCTCTTCTTATCCACCCTATTTTCCTATTTCCCTATTGGCCCAGTTAGAAAAATCATCTGGGGTGCTTATTAAAAATACGCTTTCCCAGGATCCATGCTGGGCAATTCTGGGTCTATTGGTTTGGAATTGGGCCTGGGAATCTGTACATTTACCACAGTCCCTAGGCAGCTTTTGTGATCCGGGAAGTTTGGGAAATAATGCACAGAGTATTGGTGGCTGCCTGGCCAAGAGAGCCACATTCCTGAGAGGGGGCAGGCAGAGGGGATGTGGACATTGAGCGGACACCCAGCCAAGGTCCCCTGACATCCCTCTCTCCCTTACATTATGCTGCTGCCCAAGTAATCCTGTACCAATCTAACATGTTTCCATAATTCCCAGATAGACCTTCAACCATCTGACCACCTGGTGCCTGGTACAAACAGATGCCTGGGGAGAGAAGGGGATGGAAGGAAAGAGAAGGGAAGGAAGGAAGGACTGATGGATGGTTAGATGAAGGTGAAGGAGCTGAATTCCCATCAGGCCATCAATCCCAGACTTCTTGTTCTCCTAGATTGAAAGTTCATCGATTCTGGAGCCAAGCTACCAAATTCTAAGGCTGATGTTCTAGCTATGCAATCTTGACACCTTGGTTTTTTCCCTTCTGGAAACTGGGCAGAGTGATCTTCTCTACCTCCTAGGGTTGGTGGGAGGATTATATGAAATGGACTAACCACAGTGCCTGGGACAAGCAGGCCTACCTTCCTGCTAGCTGGAGCTTCCCAAACTTCCCTCATTTTGCAAGATGCTTTACTCTCCAGCTAAGCAGAGTCTCCCCTTTGTCCAGATGAGGAAACAAAGGATTTACGAGGGGGCAGTGACTGGACTGGTCATACAACAGATCAGCAGCAGGGTGGGAATTGGAATTAGAGTTCGTCTTCCCTCTTCCCAGAAGCTCTCTGTGAGATGGCTCTGCTGGTTCAAAATGTTTGCTGTCCTATATCCTGGTGCCCCCAGTGTGGGTGGAATATACATCATTCCAGGACCCAGCCCAAGAGAAGTAACCCTGTTCTGGGATATCCTGGCCTCATAGCCAGGGTAAAAGATCAAAGGTGGGCTGGGCACAGTGGCTCACACCTGTAATTCCACACTTTGGGAGGCTGAGCAGGTGGATCGCTTGAGTCCAGGAGTTTGAGAGCAGCCTGTGTGACAGCAAAACCCTGTCTCTACTAAAAATAGAAAAATTATGTGGGCATGGTGGCACACACCTGTAGTCCCAGCTACTTGGGAGGCTGAGGTGGAAGGATAGCTTGAGCTCGGGAGGTGGAGGCTGCAGTGAGCTGAGATCGCATCACTGCACTCCAGCCTGGGAAACAGAGCAAGACCCTATCTCAAAAAAAAAAAAAAAAAAAAAAAAGCAAAGGTGGAAGCAGGCAATGTCTCTTAGAGCTCCTGCTTGGATGTGGCACTTGCCACTGTTGCTCATGTGCCACTGGCCAAGGTAAGTCCTGTGGTCAAGCCAGGAGTGGTCAGAGAAGCCCATGTTCCTCTGAGCCAAGGGCACAGCTCTCCTCTTTGGAGTCACCTGCCTTAGCCAGGACATCTGGCTGGAGGCCATGCCCTCTCTGTATGCCCCAGAAGTTGGAAGCCTCACCAGAGGGTATGCGGCCTGGCCAGGCCCCAGGTGCCCTCAGAAATCACCTGTAGATTCCACACCCATCAGGTGCAGTCAACCCATCATGGAGCATATCTCCGAAACCTCCGAGCAGAGACAGATGCTATCGGGCTCCCGTTGGCCTAGCCTGGCCCTGGGCTCCTCTCCCAGACAGGGTGAGGGCAGGGACCCGTTAATCATTAATCTGGGGGCAAATGGGTAATTTTCCAGTCCACCAGGTCTACACCCAAACCCCTCCCTGCAGCCTGGCAGGAAATCCTCAGAGTTTGACCCTTGGCAGGTCCAGAGAAGAACTGGATGTCAACTCCAGCTGAGGAGGCCACGCCTTGACTGGCTTCCAGTGTGGAGGGCAGCTTGGGGGCTGCAGCTACCTTGCCCTCAAATGTCCTCCTTCTCACACCGAGGGCTGGTGTGAGTGGCGACTTCTGCTCACACAATTCCTGTGTTTCAGAAACTGGACCTCCCTGATAGCAACTGATTGACAGAGGGGAGAGCAAGCAGGGAGTGATGGAAATTTTGGCCAATGAAGCTGCATATCCTTCAAGACCTGCCTCAAATGCCATTTTAAGAATAATAGCTATGATTATTATATCATTATAGCTACAGTATATGTCATATGATATGACATGATATATAACATTTTTTTTTTTGAGACAGTCTTGCTATGTGGTCCAGGCTAGAGTGCAGTGGTGTGATCTCAGCTCACTGTAACCTCCACTTCCCGGGTTCAAGCAATTCTCCTGCCTCAGCCTCCCGAGTAGCTGGGACTACAGGTGTGCGCCACCATCCCTGGCTAATTTTCATATTTTTAGTAGAGACGGGGTTTCACCATGTTAGCCAGGCTGGTTTCGAACTCCTGACTTCAAGTGACCTGCCCGCCTCAGCCTCCCAGAGTGCTGGAATTACAGACGTGAGCCACTGCACCCTGCCCAAGCTGTGTTCTTGTCTGGGACTCCCATGTAGTGTGGAGCGAAGGCTCAAAGTTGGTTTGTCTAACTAAATGCATCATCCTTGATTATGACCTCTGACATGTGAAGAGTGCCAGAATTCCCTAGGCTGCACTTGGGAGCCAGACCCAGCAAACCCCTCCACTCATTCAACAGGCATCTGGTTTTTGTTGGTTTGTTCATTTTTGTTTTCGTTTTTGGTGCTTCTGGCATGGAGTGGGTGGAGACCAGGGACGCTGCCCAGCACTCTGCAGTGCCCAGAACGGCTCCACTCCAACCACAATGTCCGCGATGCCCAGGGGAAGAGACCCTGGAGGGAGCAATGGGTCTCAAACGGTGCCCAGCTCTGCATGGCCAGTGTTGCCTTGGAGCTCTGTGGAATGCAAATCCTCAGGCCCCACCCCAGAGGCATCTGTTTTTTAAATTTCATCTAATGGACCCTGAGATTGATGGCTCAGAGAGTCCAGTATCAAGTCGGTTAATTTTATTAGTGGTAATGACACTTAGTAGCGATTAATGACCAGGAAAGGTAGCCAACCGCACAGAGGCCTCAGGCCACACCGGGCCCTGGTCTGCCCAGGGCTGCTCTCAAAGAAGGCTCCCTGGCACTGCCTCGGGAACCCCACAGGGCCCATGAAGACAGCCTGGGAGGCCTCAAAGACCCAGTTTCCCTCTGTTTATTTTCTGTGTTGCAGTTTGGGATCGTATTTCCTTTGAAGAAATAGTACCATGACATCATATTTAGAAAATGACCATCTATTTTCCTCAACAGTGAATTATCCGACACATGCTCAGCCCATGGCTTCTGCTGGGAAGGTATCTTCCTAGACCCCAGAATAATTCTGGGTGTGGCAGGCTTCAGCCTGCTCAGAGGTCAGCAGGAACAACGTCATCCCCTGGAAGAAGTCATACTGTTTGGCATCCCAGCCCTGCAGACACCACTCACTGGGTCCCTCTGTGAAATCTCAATTACCCACAGTTAGCTGAGTGCCAAGGGGGTAAGATGGACAACTGGAGAAATTCAAGTGGGCTTCCTTAGTCTTATGAACCCAGAAAAATGTGTTTATTTTGGTGTTTTTGTTTTGTTTTGTTTTGTTTTGTTTTTTAATCGAGTCTCACTCCATCACCCAGGCTGGAGTGCAGTGCTGAGATTTCGGCTCACTGCAACCTCTGCCTCCCGGGTTCAAGCAATTCTCCTACCTCAGCCTCCCGAGTAGCTGGGATTATGGGCACGTGCCACCACGCCCAGCTATTTTTTTTGTGTATTTTTAGTAGAGATGGGGTTTCGCCATGTTGGCTAGGCTGGTCTTGAACTCCTGACCTCATGTGATCCGCCCACCTTGGCCTCCCAAAGTGCTGGGATTACAGGCATGAGCCACCACGCCCAGCCAAATATGGGGGTCTTAATGAAGATGCTGCCTTATGGCCAATGAGATGCTATCAGATCAGTTAAACAAGTAACCAGGGTTCTGAACTAAAGGGCAGAGGAAGGGTTGTTTGCCAACTTGCTAATTGCTCTTCTGGGCTGGGGGCTACTGCCTGACTCAGGTGCTCCTGAGCCTCCTGGGGCCACCACTCTATCAGGCTGCACCTGCTTTGGCCCAGCTACCTCCACTATTCCTGTCTGTCTCAGGCTCCCCAGGCTAACTTCCAGCCTCTCTTTTCCCATTAAGAAAGCAATGACCCCAGGTGAACAGCGGCCGCCTCCTCCCCTTGCTGCCCCCAGTCTGTGCCCTTCTGTTCTCTGCACCTTCACCCCATGGTCCTTGGTGGTCAGGTTCATCATAAAACCAGAGCCCCCACCTCCACACATGCGATGACCTCTGGCTTGGACCCCAGGACACCCCCAACCACTTGACAGACCAGCCTGTCTTTCTCTAGAGTGGGAGAAGTCAAGGGTGCCCCTCAGGGCTTCATCTCACACACTCTCACCCTCAGATCTCTTCTGATCCTCCTGGAACCTCCTTCCCCACCTCCTTTCACACTCTCCAACACACACCCCACCCACAATTGTGGCTAAAGCTGCCCCGCTGGGGTGACCTTGAAGGAAGCAGAAGATGGCTCTCCCAGGTTTTGGCAAAAGCCTCCCAGGAGACTGCTCTGTCCACCGTCAGCAGGACCCCAGGGACCTCACCCTTCAGTAATCACCCACCCCCTGCCTGGAGAGTGGGGCCCAAGGATCTCATGCCCCAAGGCTGTTCTGGCCTAGGTAGTCTGGTCCTAGGTCTGACTCACTCCGAGGTGACCTCAGGGTTGTCCCCTCACCAACTGAGCTCATTCCATCAAACAAATACACCTTAACTCATGAGAGGGGATGGCTGGAGCCAGACTGCCTGGGTTCAAATCCCACCTCCACCTCTTCCTAGTTGTGCTACCTTAGGCAAGGTGCTTTACCTCTCTATGCTCTGAGAGCAGTGAGCACACAGTAAGCTCCAGATAAGTATTTGTCATTAGTGAGCATCTACCATGTGCCAGGTACTGTGCTGGGACACGGTCCTGCCCTCAAGAAGCTCACAGTCTGGAAGGAAGTTGGTTGGACTCAGGAGTCCTCCAGACTCTCTCAAGGCCCCAAGAAGGGGAAGGAAGAGAAAGCTTTGCACTGGCCTGCCTCCTTGAGGAAACACCAGTAGCTGCTTAGGGACCCAGATCAGAACTCCTGGTACCATGCAGGTGAGAACTTGATCTTGACCAGTCCCATCCTGCCTGTAGGAGGCCTGGGGGTGAGGAGGAGGCAAGAGGAAGCTCTCAGGGAGCACTCCAGGCTGTTTGGGGAAGACCAGGTTGGTGGAGAGCTTTTCTCATCACCTAAGAGGACCCCAAGCCCTGTTCTTCCACCTACTCCCATCCTAGTTTCTGCTTGAGAGGGTCTGATGCTTTCAGCAGAGGCTATCCCCAGGATGTGGTGGGTGGGTGGCACAGGACAAGGCAGGTGGTTTCTAGGGCACCAGGTAATGCCAGTGTGTCTGGACTCTTAGCTGGAGGGTCCAGGAGTAGTGCATTACGCCAGGGCCATGCCAACTACAGGCAGCTGCCTGGGAACCGGGAAAGCCTTGTGCTGCCCGGGGTGCTGGCTTCCACCCTGAAAAACCCCATCAGATGCTCCTGATAACAGGCTTCCGCTGCAAGGCCATTTGCATGGTGAGTGCGCCCTTTGTGCTTTCATCTCAAACGTCTCAGTCTACCTCTCCTGGCCCTCACTGATCCCCCTACACACACAAATACACACACACACTCACACTCCCTCACACACACATCCACATTCATACACACCTATACTCGCACATACACTCATGCACACTCTCACACATACACACATTCTCACGCACATACACACTCACACACACACTCTCACACACCCCTAGCCCCTCCTGTGCTCTCCGCTCCCAACCTCTTCCCAGTAGCGGGGAGTTCAGTGAGGGGCAGTGCCTGGCCCAGTAAGAGAGGGCACCATGGCTCTGGGCAGCCCTTTTTTGAGGGTGGCTGCTCAACACCAACTCCAGGCTTCTCTCCCCTCCTGCTGTTACACTGGGAGGCCCCAGATTTCCCCTACTGTGAGCACACCCTCCCCTCTACCTTCCAGGTGCCTTTCTCTTCTACAGCACCCAATGCCACCTTGCACCTCCTCCATGACGTCCTGCAGCCAGGCAAATTCGGAAGCTACTATTTCCAACCTTCCTACCTTTATGCCCAACTCTCTCCACCCCCTCTTTTCACTTACTCGCTCATTCATTTATACCTCTATTAACTGAGTATCAATAAACAAAAGTACAACTATAAAGGATTTTTTTGGTCAGGCATTGTGGCGCGCACCTGTAGTACCAGCACTTTGGGAAGTCAAGGCAGGTGAATCACTTGAGCCTAGGAGTTCAAAACCAGCCTGGGCAACGTAAGTGAGACGTTGTCTCTACAAAATTAAAAATTAAAAAATTAGCTGGGCATGGTGGCACGTGCCTGTGGTTCCAGCTACAGGCTAGGAGGATCGCTTGAGCCCAGGAGGTCAAGGCTGCAGTGGGCCATGATCACGCCACCGCACTCCAGCCTGGGTGACAGAGTGAGACCCTGTCACACACACCAAAAAGGACTTTTCTAAGCATCAGCTTTTTGCCCAGTCCACCCACAGACCTCAAAACCACTCGTTCCTCCTGTCTGGCTCCCCAACCCCTACTCCTGGATCCAGCCTTCCTTCCCTACCCAGCTCTCACCCTCCATCCCCATGAACCCACCCTGAGGACTGAATCTGGCCACACTTCCCCGCTGGAGCCCACCCCACAGCCTCGTCCCCCACCCATCCCTGACTCAGAGAGGAAAGAGCCGGGTCCAGCTGTAGGCTTTGTCTCTCCAAGCACAGCCCCACTTCCTGTCTCACAGCCGCAGACCAGGCTGCCTGCAGGGGATGGCATCAGGGAGACGTGCTCAGGGGCTAAGTGGGTAGTGAGCAGCTCGCACAGCAAGCATGCTTTGCATCTCAACAATCCCCGGCATTTAGAGTGTGGCTAGTTCAACATCTGTGAAGGAAATGCTTTTTCTTCTTCCTCCTGTCTCTCTCCCTCTCCACTCAGGCTCGGGCTGAAGCCAAGGAGAGGAAGCCTTTGTCCCTGGCACGTATGCATCAGGTGTCACAGTGGCTGCGGAGGGTCCCCAAAGTCATTCCTGCAAAGAAGGATCCATCACCTCTATGAGTCTGTGACTGTAAACATCTACCCCAGTTCCTAGGCTGAGTCCAAATGTACACCATTCAAACCATTATACGTTAGAGCTGGAGAAACCCTTTAAGGTCACCCGGCCCAGAAGTTCTGCTCTGCTGGCTCCTGGAAGGTGTCCTGGAGGCTGTGCGGGGAAGCAGGAGGGCAAGGGCATGCCAAGTGTGCAGGTCTCCGGTGGCCACAAATTCATGCAAGATTGGTCGTCCAAGGCGACCCACTGGCTTGGTAGCAGGGCTGGGTCTGTGGCCCAGGTCTCTTGATTGCTTCCACCAAGCCTGGCAGTTTCTGCTTGCAGACCCAGCACATCAGGGAAGCCAAATCAGCCATCACCACAGCAAGCATCTAAGGTGGTGGAAATGCAAGACAGCTAGGTTTTGAGGGAAGGAAACCTGGTCAGGACTCCTCTGACCCCCTGGGTGGCCCAAGGGTGGACCCTCAGGAAGGGAGAGAAAGACCCTCTGTTTAAAGGCTACTTTCCCTGGTCTGAAACTCAGTCTCTTCAGCAAAAAGTCAGGAATCAGGCTTACAGAAGTGGCCTACCTCTTCATACTAAAGTGTGAGAGTCTGATACAATACCAGTGCTTGAGAACATACTTGGCTAGATAGAGGGAAGTTCAAAGGAGAGGGCCTGGTATGTGAAGAGAAGGAGTTGGGGGAGCTTGGTGTGGGGATGTGGAGGCAGTGGGTGGGAAGTTCAGGGAAAGGCAAATCATGGCTGAAACCGCACTCCTGGTGGCAAGTTCCTACCCAACCAGGGTACTGGGTGACTCTGGCTGGGTGACTGCAGCCAAGTTATTTAACCATGACGCATTGACCAACTAACTACCTTGACAGGTTCTTGAATGCACCCTGGGCTCCGATCACCCTCTTCCCACGCACAGGCAGGCTCAGGCTGGGCTTGGGCCCTGGAAGGGCCAGGCCTCTGGGGAATGCCTTGTGCGTGACCCCCTCAATGATGAGGACAGTGCCATTGTTTGCACAGGCTCTAGGCAGAGATGTCCCATGCTGCAGATTCCACTTGTTCTCCTGCAGGCCCCACGGATGGCCCACACCCTTCGCCCAGCTGTAGGGACAGCAGGAACCTCCCTGCCTGATCAAGGATCCACCCCCAGAGTAGTCCAGGACACCCCCTGGGATGGATGTAGTTGTGAGCGGCTCCCTTGGGAATAGAACCACTAGGACTGTCCTAAATCCAGAGCCAGCCAGGGCTGGAGAAAGGGGACCCTCCCCTCAGCCAGGCTAGTCTCTCCCTTGTCCTCTGCCATGTCTAACTCGGTCCGACCCCCATGCTGTAACCTTCTCCCAGTCCAAAAGCCCTCATGGATACCCTGGAACCTTTTATAGCCATGTCCTTTTTTAACATTTGATCACCCCGAGGTCCCAGACAGCTCTAGTATGCTGTGATGTTTGTTTGCCTCCTCCAGGAAGCCCTCCTTACTTGCCAGCCCCATCCCCCTCTAACCATCCTCTTTCTTTGTCTTCTCCCACTTTTGTATATATAGTACCATCAGTTCCGCATGGCAGACACTCCTTTCTTCCTCTTCAAAGCTGTATCCTGTAAGCTCCTTGGCAGAGGCCATGGTTTTTCATACCCTGAGATCCATTCTTTCCCAGTCCAGATGCGTGCTCCTCCCAAGCAGATGCTCTACAGACACCTGCTGGCTGCATATTATGCCCCTTAGGTGTCTAACCCCACGCAAGGAGTGCAGTTCGGGGCTGTCCCTCAGCCTCCCTGCAGTCCCACCCTGCTGGCTTCGCTGTGGTCTTGCTCTCTGGCTGCAGAGGCTACCACCTAACGCCCCACCGCCAAACCTTCCCAAGCTGGGGCTGGGCGGGCTTTGGGAGGGCGTGGCTCTGGAGGAGGCTGCCTGTGCCACGCCCTCCCTAGCCCACGACTGATTGCTGGCGTATGCTCTCCCCAGTGCCAGATCTCGGGGCCATCCCGCCATGGTCCTCAGCCCCTGTGGGGCCCTGTACCTTGGGGTCTGAGAGCCAGGCCCGTTCCCTCTGAACCTCAGTTCCTGGGGAAGATCTGTGCTTGGGTAGCCTGGTGACACCCAGCGAGGACCAGCCAAGCAACTGGCCTGAGTCTTTGTTTAAAACTCAGCTTAGGCCTGGTACACAGTGGCTCACGCTTGTAATCCCAGCACTCTGGGAGGCCGAGGCGGGCGGATCACTTGAGATCAGGAGTTTGAGACCAGCCTGGCCAACATGGTAAAACCCCATCTCTACTAAAGATACAAAAAATTAGCCAGGTGTGGTGGTAGACGCCTGTTGTCCTAGCTACTCGGGAGGCTGAGGCAGGAGAATCCCTTGAACCTGGGAGGCAGAGGTTGTAGTGAGCTAAGATCCTGCCACTGCACTCCAGCCTGGGCGACAGAGCAAGACTCCGTCTCAAAAAAACAAAACAAAACAAACAAAAAAAACTCAGCTTGCACAACCTCTCGCAGTGACTTGGGCTCAGAATTTGCCACAGATTCACAAACCCTTATCCACAATTCCAAATTCCAGGAAACTCAGAAAACTACAAGTTTTTTTAACAATTGTGGTGAACTCATACGGTAGCAAGCCCTGACCCAAACCAGGGAGAATATTATGGGCTTTGTTTATCCCAACCTGTAGATGTCTACCTGCAAAATTAATAGAGTCTGATTACAGGTGCTGCCCCAGATCTTGCTAGAGGTGCTGTTAGCCATGGAATATACGATACGTTACCTTTCTGTACTTTTAATTTTTTAATTTTTATTTTTTAAGTTTATTTGTTCTGCCTCCCCTACCTCCTATATTACTTTTCTTTCCCTTTTCTTTTTCTTTTTCTTTTTTTTTTTTTTTTGAGACGGAGTTTCACTCTTGTTGCCCAGGCTTCAGTGCAATGGCACAATCTCGGCTCACTGCAAACTCCGCCTCCCAGGTTCAAGCAATTCTCTTGCCTCAGCCTCCCAAGTAGCTGGGATTACAAGCGGCTGTCACCACGCCCAGCTATTTTTGTATTTTTAGTAGAGATGGGGTTTCACCATGTTGGCCAGGCTGTTCTCAAACTCCTGACCTCAGGTGATCCACCTGCCTCAGCCTCCCAAAGTGCTGGGATTACAGGCATGAGCCACTGCACCCGGCCTACTTTTCTAAAATTCAAAGAGAAATGTTGAATTCTGACAGCATCTGGCCTCAAAGGGATTGTAACACCAGGAAAAACAAACCCTTTGGTCTTGCCCTAAAACCAGCCTCTTGGAAGTTTCCAGGACTGACCAGAGCTTGGTAGTTGGTCTTTCTGGCTCTAAGACTCTTCACCCTCCTCTTCAGCCTTCATCTCTCCAATGAGGGGCTTGGGTGTAGAAGAGGCCACCCTATGCCCCCAGCTCATGTCTGCTGCTACCAGCATGCCATGAGGTGGTGGGTGTGGCTGATTTCTGGAGTCCGATGGGGATAAGTCTCTGCTCTCTGCTTTGTGTCCAGTTCCTATCCTGACAGAAGCCAGGCCATGGCTCCCAGTTGGCCAGGCCTAGGTGAGGTAGTATGTGCCCCAGAGAGCCCATGGAGGCAGAAGATGAAGGAGTGAATGGGACAGGGCACAGAGGGAGATTCCAGGGGAAAGGAAGGGCCAGTGAAAGGGAGAGGACGCTGCCCACCAAGATATTCACTGCAGACCAGGGAGCACTGCTAGAGACTGTGGGACTCAGCCAACAGCAGGGCCCCGAGGTCTCTACTAAAGGAAACTACAAGTGAATTGAAGACCTGAGCACCTGAAAAATTAGCTAATGAGCCAAGAGTTTGAGACACACAGGACAACAGATGCCCAGGACATGCACCAAGTGCAGGGCCTGGGCCACAGGGTCGGGGCTCAGAGGGACAGAGCTGCCCTAAGGGGACAGGCCTCCAGTTGGGGTTCCACTGCCAACATATGGCAGAGATGAAGAGGTTGGCTTGGATTCTGACAGTTTCCCCCCAACACGCACACCTATAAATGAGGATAACTGGCCAGGTATGATGCCTTGGGCCTGTAATCCCAGCTACTCAGAAGGCAGAGGCAGGAGGACTGCTTGAGGTCAGGAGTTCAAGGCTGCCATGAGCTATGATCAAGCCATTGCACTCTAGTCTGGGTGACAGAGCAGGAACCTATCTCTCTAAAAATAAAAAAAAAGTGAAATTTTAAAATAAATGAGAATTATATCAGCACCTACCTCCTGGGTTGCCACAATGTGAGGTGAAGTAATGCACATAAAGTGCTGAGCACAGAAAAGGCTGGGTTTGTTCTGAATTGTACAGTGGCTGGGATACAGGCACAGAGAAGAAGGAACAGATGTCACCACCAAAGACTCTTCTAAACGTGGGACGCTGTAAGGCAGATCACTAGATTTCTTGGAATCCTTATATAGAGATAGCATTTGAATACCTATATATACATTCATTTAACTCTTACAACAAGCCTAAGAGATCAAGATTATCCCATTTTACAGATGAGAAAACTGGGGTCAGAATGGTTATCTGACTTGCCCTGGGTCAGTCAGTAAGTGGTAGATGGAGATTTGAACTCTGATCTGTGTGACCCCAAGCCCAGTGCCCCTTACACTATAACAGGGCCTTGGGCCATGTCCGATCCTGCTCATGCTGATGCCAGGATGGGAGTCACCCTCACAGCACCTGGCCCACCTCCTCCTGAGCCCAACTTCCACCTGAGCACATAATCCCAAAGGCACCAGGACCTCTCTTCCTTAGGAGATTCCAGCCCGGGAGTCTGCCGGCCCCGCTTCCCTCCTCTCCTCCTTCCCGTCCTCAGCCACAGAAAGTCCACCATCATCCACTGAAGAGGCTAGGATGACTCTCAGCCCAACTCTGGAGCCCAGCTCCTCAGGGGTTACAGCTCAGCCAGAGACAAGCTGGCCTAAATTCCTTCCCAAAACACAGTGATTCTTATCAGCGATGTTTGGCTTTCAGTCCACCACCCCCAAAGCAGTAAAATTTCTTTTACCTTTCCTTCCCTCCAACTATGTTTTTCTCAGGCCCCAATTCAATTTCTAAAAATGTGTTTTTATTAAAAATAAAAACAATACTATCTAAATACATAGAGCACATTGGAAGAATTTCTTTTTTTAAATTTTCAATGCCTGCACACTGAAAACTAGAAAACACTGCTGAGAGAAATTACAAAAGCTCTAAATAGAAAGATATGGCCTGTGTGCAAATCAGCAGACTCAATATTGTTAGAACGTCAATCTTCCATGAACTGATGTATAGATTCAATGCAATCCCAGTCAAAATCCTAGGAGGCTTTCATGTGGATATTGACGAGATACTACTAAAATCTATGCCGAAATACAATGACCCTGAATAGCCCATGCAATTTCGAAAAAATAGTGCACAGTTAGAGAACTTATAGTACTTAGTTTCAAGACTTAACATAAAGCTATAGTAATCTAGGAATATAAAAGGCTTATTGGGGAAAAATTTTTTTTAAAGCTACTGTAATCAAGGCTGTATAGTATTGGCATAAGGATAGGCATATAGATAAATGAAACAGAGTAGAGTGTCCAGAAATAGGCCCACACATATTGAATCAATTGATGAGCAACAAAGATGACAGTGGAGAAAACATCATCATTTCAACAAATGGCACTGAAACACGTGGACATTCATATGCAAAATAATAAGCTTGCCCCTTACTCCATGCTGTACACACTAGTTAACTCAAAATGAACCATAGACTTAAGGGTAAAAGCTAAGATTGGCTGGGTGTGGTGGCTCACGCCTGTAATGCCAGCACTTTGGGAGGCCGAGGCAGGTGGATCACCTGAGGTCAGGAGTTCAAGACCAGCCTGCCCAACATGGTGAAACCCCATCTCCACTAAAAATACAAAATTAGCTAGGCACAGTGGCGGGCATCTGTACTTCCAGCTACTCAGGAGGCTGAGTCAGAAGAATCACTTGAACCCGGGAGGTGGAGGTTGCAGTGAGCCGAGATCATGCCACTGCACTCCAGCCTGGGTAACAAGAGTGAAATTCTGTCAAAAAAAAAAAAAAAAAGCTAAAATTATAAGTTTCTAGCTGTGGCTCATGCCAATAATCCCAGCAGTTTGAGAGGCCGAGGCAGGAGAATTGCTTGAGCCCAGGAGTTTGAGACCAGCCTGAGCAACATAGCAAAACCCCATCTCTACAAAAAAATAAAAAATTAGCTGGGCGTGATGGCGCATGCCTGTGGCCCCAGCTACTCAGGAGGCTAAGGCAGGAGGATCACTTGAGTCCAGAAGGTCGAGGCTGTAGTGAGCTGTGATTGTGTAACACATTTAGTTTCCTTGTGAGAACTATTTACACCCATCCTACATGGTTCTGGAGGAATGGCCCTGAGGATCAGGTGAGAGAAGGGGCTGTATGAGAAAGTGATTTGTAAACTGCAATACTAGTTATTATGTTTTTATCACCACCAACAGAATTAGGCTCCAGGCTTACTCAAAAGCAGCAGAAGCAACTCTAGCCTGGAGGACCGAAAGATATCATTTCTCCAAAAAATAAAATAAAATAAAATAAAATAAAATAAAAAGGAGAAAACGTAGGAAGAAATCTTTGCAACTTTTGGGTAGGCAGAGATTTCTTGGGTAGAACACCAACAAAGCACAAACCATACAAGAAAAGGTTGATACACTGGACTTCATCAAAATTAAAAACATCTGTTCTTCATAAGACATCAATAAGAAAATGAAACGGCAAGTCACGGGCAGGAATAAAATATTACCAGTACTTGTGACAAAGACTTGTATCCAAAATATATAAAGAACTCTTAGGCCAAGTGGCTCACGCCTGTAATCCCAGCACTTTGGGAGGCCGAGGTGGGTGGATCACATGAGGTCAGGAGTTCAAGACCAGCCAGGCCAACATGATGAAACCTTATCTCTACTACAAATACAAAAATTAGCCGAGCATGGTGGCGCATGCCTGTAGTCCCAGCTACTTGGGAGGCTGAGCCACAAGAATTGCTTGAATCCAGGAGGTGGAGGTTGCAGTTAGCCAAGATCATGCCATTGTACTCCAGCCTGGGATACAGAGTGAGACTCCATCTCAAACAACAGCAACAACAACAACAACAAAATACATAAAGAACTCTTACAATTCAATAAGAAGACAAATAACCCAATGAAATGATATTCAAATGACCAATATACACATGGGAAAATGTTCAACACACCATTCATCAATGGGGAAATACAAATTAAAACCACAATGAGATACTACTACATACTTACGAAAATAGCCACAAGTTAAAACTGATGATAGCTGACCATAGAATATGGAGCAACTGGAACTCTCATACATTACTGTGTAAAATGGTAAAACCACTCTGAAAAATGCCAATTCTATAAGTTATGCATATATCAACCATCTGATCCAACAATCCACTCCTAGACAGTTATCCAAGAGAAATGAAAACATACACCCACAAAAAGAGATGTACATGGATGTTTATACCAGCTTTATTTGGAATAGTCCAAAACTGCAAATAACCCAAATATCTTTTTTTTTTTTTTTTTTTTTTGAGACAGAGTCTTGCTCTGTTGCCCAGGCTGGAGAGCAGTGGCACAGTCTTGGCTCACTGCAACCTCTGCCTCCTGGGTTCAAGTGATTCTCCTGCCTCAGCCTCCTGAGTAGCTGGGATTAGAGGCATGCACCACCACCATCACACCCAGCTGATTCTTGTAATTTTAGTAGAGATGGGTTTTCACCATGTTGGCCAGGCTGGTCTCGAACTCCAGACCTCAAGTGATCTGCCCGTCTCGGCCTCCCAAAGTGCTGGGATTACAGGCATGAGCCACCACGCCCAGCCAAAATAACCCAAATGTCTATCAAGTGGGGAATGGATAAATAATTTGTGGTATAGCCATACAAAGGAATACTCAGCCATAAAAAGGAATTCGCTATTGCTATATTCAACGACATGGATGAATCTCAAAAGCTTTATGCTGAGCAAAATAATCCAAGCAAAAGAGGCTATATACTCACAATTTCATGATATAAACTTCCAGAATAGGCAAAACTAACACATAGTGACTGAAAGCGGAGAAGTGGAGTAGCCATGGGCTGGTGGGAGAGGGTTGATTGCAAAGAGGAACAAAGGATCCTTTAGGATGGTAGAAATGTTCTATGTAGTCATTGGAGTCACCACAAATGTGTTACACAGGTGTATAATTTGTTAAAACCCAAACTGTGCAATTTAAAATGCATGCATTGGCTGGCCGTGGTGGTGCACGCCCATAATTCTAGCACTTTGGGAGGCTGAGGTGGGTGGATCACCTGAGGTCAGGAGTTTGAGACCTGCTTGGCCAACATGGTGAAACCGTGTCTTCACTAAAAATACAAAAATTAGCTGGGCATGGTGGCGCACACTTGTCATCCCATCTACTTGAGAGGCTGAGGCAGGAGAATCACTTGAACCGGGAGGCGGAGGCTGCAGTGAGCCGAGATTGCACCACTGCATTCCAGCCTGGGCGACATAGTGAGACTCCATCTCAAAAAAAAAAAAAAGAAAGAAAAAGCATGCATTTCATTGTATATAACAACGATTTGGGGGGAAAATAAAGATTATGTTTTGTTTCTCCAATGGAATTATAGTAATGACACTTCCACCACCTGGGATGATGTTTAGAACCCCAGCATCCACTGAGAGTGAGCCTGGACTGAGCACTTAGCACATATGTGCCAGACACCCTATCCAGCCCTTTCATTCATTGTTTCAATTAAGCCTCACCCTCACCTCTCAGATAGGTATTCTCATAACCCAAAGCTCAGCAAGGTTAAGACATTTGTCTAAAGTCACACAGTTAGCAACAGGCAAAGCTGGGATTCACTGTCTTGGGCTTTCATAAACTTCTCTGTACTATCCCTAGAGAGGAAAGAAACTCAACCAGTGCAGAGGTCACACACTGAAGAAACATCACCAAAGTTAATTATGATTTAAAAACTTGCATCCACAGAAACTATTTCTAGTTACAAAGCCACTCGGATAACTTACAGACTGGACTGGGGGCCGGGCATGGTGGCACACACCTATAAGCCCAGCAGTTTGGGAGGCTGAGGTGGGTGGATCATTTGAGGTCAGGAGTTCCAGACCAGCCTGATCAACATGGTCTCTACTAAAAATACAAAAATTAGCCAGGCATGGTGGCACATGCCTGCAATCTCAGCTACTGGGGAAGCTGAGGCAGGAGAATCTGTTGAACTTGGGAGGTGGAGGTTGCAATGAGCCGAGATCACACCATTGCACTCTAGCCTGGGTGACAGAGCGAGACTCCGTCTCTAAATAAATAAATAAATAGACTGGATTGGGTAACTGGGCCTGTCTTGTGCCCAGCTCATCACATAATGCAGTGCATTTTCATTTATACAACATCACAGAAGTTAACATTTGTGGAATTCCTAGGCATTCAAAGCCAAAATAAAAACTCTTCAGCAATCCTAGACTTCCAGAGCCAGGACCAGCCCTGTTAGCATTAGGGAACCTTAGCACCTCCAGGTGCTACTGACCTTGGAGATGAGTGACTTGATCAGGGACAACACAGAGAGTGTCCCAGAGCCAGGACTAGCTTGGACCCTCACCTCTGGTCCGCCTCCTGTCCCACTGCCATCATGCTGTTCTGTGAGCCAAACTGACAGTCTAGCAGGGGTCAGTGCAACCCGTCTCACTACTGAGGACAGAAAAGAATGTGCGGCCTTATCCATCTCACTACAGCCAAGAGAGTCTAAAAGAGTCAATTAAGCAGGGAAGGGAGGCTCCCTCCACCCTCACCCCCTTCGGCCTCTCTGCAGCCACTGCTGCCCTGGGGGAATCATACTGTCTTAGCACTGGAGGCTGTTCCTGTAGGTTGAAGGGCCCAGACTGGAAGCAGGGTTTCTATTCAACCTCCCCCACCGATTCACTGTGTAACACTGGGTGACTGACTGAACCTTTCTGACCTTCAGATTCCTTGTGGGAACTATTTACACCCATCCTACATGGCTCTGGAGAAATGGCTCTGAGGATCAGATGAGAGAGATGGCTGTATGAGAAAGTGATGGGCTGGGCATGGTAGCTCATGCCTGTAATCCCAGCACTTTAGGAGGCCCAGGCAAGTGGATCACCTGAGGTCAGGAGTTCAAGACCAGCCTGCCCAACATGGTGAAACCCCATCTCTATTAAAAATACAAAAATTAGTGGGGTGTGATGGGGGGCACCAGTAATCCTAGCTCTCGGAAAGCTGAGGCAGGAAAATTGCTTGAGCCCAGGAGGTGGCGGTTGCAGTGAGCCGAGATCATGACACTGCACCCAGCCTGGGTGACACAGCAAGACTCCATCTCAAAAAAAGAAAAAAGAGATTTGTAAACTGCAATACTAGTTATGTTTTTTTTTATCACCATTAACAGAATTAGGCTCTAGGCTCACTCAAAAGCAGCAGAACCAACAGCTGGCTCACTGTGGTTTGGGGTTTGGGGGTTGCCTCATCTGAAAAATTGGGATAATAATACATCCTGCTTGAAGCAGTGAGTTTTGGACCAGAGATCCTTCTGGGGTCACTTCCAACTCTGAAGTCTACGATTCTATGATTTCAAAGAGCCCAAGAAGATCGGCCTCACCTGCCCTCCTGATGTTTGCATATTCTCTTATCAGGATGCCAAAGCACTTTGTGTTATAATCAAATGCAAATGACTGCGGAGGAAGAAGCGCTTTGCCTCACTTTCCCACTACAGTGTAGATGACTGATACCAGATTCCTCCCAGACAGCGAATGCAGATGGGAAGCTGGGAAACCTGGTCTGAGTCACCAGAGGGTTTCTTAACTGAGAGCTCAGGCTGAATCCTGTCTGTTCCCTGAGACCAAACACTTAACATCATGAGGCCCCAGTTTTAGCTGATTCTCTGAGCATCTGTCCTGCTCCCCAGATTGGGGTGGTGGTGGCTTTTGTGTCTTTTGTCAGCTCTTTCCAGCTGGGCTCCTGACCTGGAAGAGGTGGCTCCGATACTCATCCCTCTCAGCCCTAACCCAGGCCTATTTGACCATCTCACATGTCATTTTCAAGGCTGCTCCATGCTCAGTTCCCTCAAAATTCTAACCCCATGCACTGCTGAGAACACCTTTCCCTTCCAATACAGCAGCTAGGGTGGTCCTCCTGGAACCCCTCTCCTCTCATCTCACCTGACTCTTGCCCCATCTCTAACCATAAAAACCAAGCAAACAAATGAATCGTGGAAATGAGCCAGTGTGTAAGAGGATATAGGTACCATTTGTCCCATCCCTTTCCATTCCAGCTCAGAAAACTGTTAGGGCCAGGACATCAAGATTCTATAACTGGTTTCCTTAATGAAAAAAACTAGCCAGGCCTGGTGGCTCATGCCTGTAATCCCAGCACTTTGGGAGGCTGAGTTGGGCAGATTGAGATCAGGAGTTCGAGACCAGCCTGGCCAACATGGTGAAACACTGTCTCTACTAAAAATACAAAAATTAGCTGGGCATGGTGGCACGCGCCTATAGTCCCAGCTATTCAGGAGGCTGAGGCAGGAGAATCGCTTGAACCCATGAGATGGAGGTTGCAGTGACCCAAGATCACATCACTGCACTCCAGCCTGGGTGACAGAGGGAGACTCCGTCTTAAAAAAAAAAAAAAAAAAAAAAAAAAGTCACTAGCATTAGTTGAGCACTTACTGCATGCTAGACACTGTCCTAAGTGCTTTACATGTACTAGCTCAATCTTCTTATAAAATAGGCAGTATAATCTTCATTTTACAGATTGAGAGACTGAGAGACAGAGAGGTTAAGTTAAGTGACTTGGCCAAGAGCACACCTAGCAAGTGGCAAGACTGACCCCAGAGTCTGTGCCCTAGTGATGATGACATCCTGCCTGCCGAGGGAACAACCATTCCTTCAAGCCTGAAATCTTCGGAAACAAACAAGTTGTGCACTGCTGTTGGGGTGGATCGCAAAAGGATCAGTCATATCAAGTTCAACCCCTTCTTTGTACAAAAGGAGAAAGTGAGGCCCAGAGACTGAGTGGTCTTCCCATATCATTAGCAAGCTAAGCCCAGAGCTAGGGTCTGGGATGATACCCTCCTCCACAGCCCAGACATGTTTCCACCAGGGGTCATGACCTGGAAATTAGCCCACAGCCCTTACTCCAACCTGTGCAGAACTTCTCAGACCTTTACATACCTCTCCCTGGCTACTTCTTCAAAGCAGCCTCTAGCAGGTCACTTGCTTGGTGTTTTCTTGCCTTTGCTGTATATACTCAGACTGTAAGCCTCCTATTGATTTGGGGTGAAGATTTTAAAAGGAGGCAAGGCTTAAAGTAACAGGCTGTACATATTGGAGTTGGCTTTGGGTGGATGGTGGGAAGGTGCCTTCTTACCCATGATACCCGCCCCCATCCCTCACCAAATCCCTGCAATTCAGGGTCAGAGAAGAAGGGACTGGAAACAATTGCCCTATAACTTTTGCTCCAAACATTCCCCACATAGTTCCTGTCCGGCTCTCTCCCCAGTGTCACCTACCCCACTGTCCCCCAGGTGTCACCCCCCACTGTGATCCTCCTTTTCCAACCATGTACACACACACACACACACACACACACACACACACACACACACACACACACACACTGGGCCCTCTCACTCTTTCCAGTGTTCTCCTGAGAAATCACCCCATGCCAGGTCTGAGATGTGGTCGCATTTCCCCAGCGCACGGTTCCTTCCTGCGTCTCCAGCTGGCGCTCTCACCGTCCGAGGTTTCCCCCATTCTCCCTGGACGCGCACGATCCTCTGCCCCGAGACCGGGAACAGCCCGTCCCACCCATCCACCCAGCCCTCTCGGTCTCCGCTCCGCAGGGCGAAGGCGGAGGGTGGGGAAGGAGTCCGAGGCAAGGACGGCTCGCCGGAGGCCAGGATGGCGGCAGACAGGGCACCGGCGTGAGGATCCCGAGAGGGCATCAGAGAGCGGGACTGACGCCTGAACGGGCGGGGCCGGGGCGGACGGGGCCAGGGTCCGAGGCGTGCGCAGAGTCCGAGACCCGGCGGGATGAGGAGAGCGGCGGCTGGGGGGCGACCAGAGACTCGGACACTGAACAGGGCGATGGATTCGGAGCCGGGGAAGCTGGAGACCGAACTCAGGGCGCGAACTCCGACTGCGAAGTGGGTTGGGTCGCGCCGGGCTAGGGTCTGAGTTCGAGACCTCGGCGGGGCCAAGGACAGCGGGAGGGAAAAATTGGCCCAGCTGTAGCGCAGGAGGGAGAGACAGGCAGGCCGGGGAGCGGGCGGGGGGCGCGGCGGGCACTGACCCGAAGTAGGAGGCGGCGGCGGCGGGCAGCGCCAGCAGGCAGAGCCCGGCCAGGGCCAGCGCGGGCGGGGGGCGCATGGTGCTGGCGGCGCTGCGCCCTCTAGCATCTCCTCGCGCCGCTCAAGCTCGCAGCTCCGCCACCACCCGCCCGCGGGACTTTAAACCCGGGTGGGGCGGGGCAGGCGGCGCTGGGAAAGGAGGAGATTGGGAGGCTCCCCAGCCCCGGGCGGCGAGCCCCCCGCCCCATTGGCCCCACCGCCCTCGCCCCGCCCCGTCGCGGGTGGGGCAGCCGCCCCTGGACCGCCCCCGCCCCTCCCCCATTGCCCCGCCCTCCGGCCCCAGGTGAGCGCTCACCTGGCGCCGCGCCCGCCCGGGGTCGCGGTGGCTGAACGTGAAGCCCCCCGGGCCTGGAGAGGCGGGGAGGAGGGTACGAGGCGGGGACGGAGGAGATTCTGCCTCTCCGGGATGGGGCGGAGGCAAGCGCAATGGCTTCTCCGAGGTAGAGAAGGTGGAGGGGTAGGAGGAGGGACGCATCTGGAGTCGGTGGAAAACCCGGGTCATTGTCCGCCCTCCTGCCGGGCAAGTGCGGTCTCTTCGCCGCAGCCCGCAGACTCAGGGCAGGGCCGGGTCCTGGTGCAGAACCGCTCTCTGGAAGCGGGGGAAATGCATGTCCAATGGCTCAGGGGACCCTGTTGCCAGGCAAAGAGTCTTGGGCAGAGGGGAGAGAGGAAAGGGCGCTCTGTTTTTAAACGGGAGAGTGACTGTTACCGGCGAGGCGCGCAGCGTGGGCCTCCGTGGGCTTTTGACAAAATGCTGCTGATGTTCCCCAGCGCAGAAATCCAAAGTGGACAGTGGGGCAGACAGAGCCCTGCGGGAGGAGGGACCCACTTTCCAAGGTGTGTAGATGCCAGAATCTCTGGTAGATAGGGTGGGAACTTCAAGTGTTGGGCCCCAAAGTTCTGTTTTGCTTATTATTTTTTAAAGTTTAACCCCAATTTCTGCTGCGAAGGTGCAGAGATCAAAGCGGCGCGTGGTACCTGTCTAGAAAGGAGACATACAACCAATGACCCAAGTGAGATTTAAAATGTTTTTGAGAGTCTCGAACACGGGGTCAAATCAAGCAAAACAAAATATAACTTGCAATGAATGTCAAGATCTGCATGTAAAGTTTCCAAAAAATCAGCCATGCATAGGGAACATCAAGTGACTGCGACCTTGGCTTTTCAGTGGACACCAGCATGGTAGGGGGCTGAGAGAGGTGTTGAGGGAGGTGTTGGGAAGATGGTGGCTACCGTGTTAGGTGGCATTAACAGAGGAAGCCCCCACCTCTTTGAGCCTCTTTGAGCTCAGTTTCTCTGTCAAATGAGCGCAGTGATTACATGATCTGATGATTCCTAACAGCTCTGCCAGCCCTATCAAATCCCATGGTTCTACTTATTGAGGCCACATGGCCCAATGTAATGTGCAGAGACCTGGAGTCAAATCATGTAAGTTATGAGCCCCATATGAAATATGGATGATGAGAAATATCTAACAGGATTTTTGTGCAGGTAAGATGTTAAATGCTGGCCAGGCACGTTGGCTCATGCCTGTAATCCCAGCACTTTGGGAGGCCGAGGTGAGAGGATCACCTGAGGTCAGGAATTCGAGACCAGCCTGGCCAACATGGCAAAACCCTGTCTCTCCTAAAAATACAAAGACATTAGCCGGGTGTGGCAGTGCATGCCTGTAATCCCAGCTACTCAGGAGGCTGAGACAAGAGAATCGCTTGAACCTGGGAGGTGGAGGTTGCAGTGAGCCGAAATCACGCCATTGCACTCTGGCCTGGGCAATAGAATGGGACTCCATCTCAAAACAAAAAAAAAAAGATATTAAATGCCTAGCAGGTGCCGGCACCTAATATCAGTGATCGTTATACCTGCAGGCAGGACTGGGGTGTGATGGTGTTTACAACTGGTTCTCAAGGAGGGTTGATGGTGGTCTGATTTGTATCATCTGTTGATCTCTGTGCCTTAAATATTCCCATCATGGCTGACTTCATGCCACCAATGTGGCATCGTTTCTGATCACTGGAGTTAGGAAGAGATGTGCACAGCTAGCCCTGCAGGCCAGCTGGACCCAGCTCCAGCATATCACTGGTAAGATTTTGAACCACGATCACAGAAGCTAGAGGATGAGGGGCCTGAGCTGGACCAGTGTGAGTCAGAGAGAAGGAAGAGCCATGGACTGGGGTGGCAGACAGACCCCACCAGGCCCCAGCCACACCCCCTAGGCAGGTGAGGATGGAGTGGGTTCAGCTCAGGCTGCCCAGCTGCTCCTCCTGTTCTCATGCCCCTAAGCACACATAAGCATGCTTGTGCATGGAGAAGGCAGGGCACATTCTCCCAAAGTGACACCTTTTCAAAATTTCATGAAAGTTACATGTTGATGTCTGATGGGTAAGCCTATGAATCAAAGACTGGAAGAAGCACCCAAGACTCGATGGAGACATCAGTGGCTGGAGAGTGAGAAACACGAGGAAAATATTTAGATGGATGCTCTTGAATCCTTGCCAGCCAATGGCGTGGCCCCACCCTTGGGTTCCCTCCTCCTGATGTTAGAACTGTACCAGGTTTCTGTCTGCTGGGGTGCCTTCCAGCTTGCCCATGGAGGCTTCAGAGTTCTGCTTCTGTCTTTTTGGCCAATAAGGCTGCATAGAACTGCCCAGATAATAGCTCCTTCTTGCTAATAATAATAATTCCACAGCAGCTCCTGTGTACCAAGCTCTGTGTGTGTGTGTGTGTGCACGTGCACACATGTGCCGGGCCTGGCTCACAATCTCACTAAAGCCTCAAGCCCTCTGGGAGGCTGGGACAATCATAACTCCATTGCACAGATGAAAAAACAGAGGCTGGGAGAGCTGACGTAGCAGGTGTAGGTGGGCCAGCTGTAGTGGAGGCAGGAATTGAGCCCAGCCCTAGCCCAGCGGTACTGTCAGTACTGGCTATGGCTCATGATTGGCCATGGCTGGCTCAGAACTGCCCAGGCACAGCCTGACTCACAGACACCTTTGCATTATACATCCTTACAGAGCATCGTGTACCTCCTAAGTGTCCATCCCCAAGGGGCTTATAGCCTGGAGGGGGAGACGGCAGTGAAAACAGATCATCCCTGCAATTGTGATATTATAGGATCCCTGAGGAAGGACATGAAGAGCAGCCCTTGGGACCTACAGCCTGTGCCATAAATGATTTGTTGCTCTGCCACCTTCCCTCTGCCCTGTGGGCTCCTGAAGGGCTGGCCTGAGTTTCACTTCTCTCTGTGTCTCCAGAGTCTGGCACAGGTCCCAGCACATAGTAGGTACTCAGGAAACAAGTGTTGTTTTCAGCTTATAACCCTGGTTTGTGGCCTTTTTATGGCAGTAAACATGTAAAGTATCATACAAACACATGTGTGGTGACGGAAGCACTCCTTCCTGGGCTCGGACACGGGCTCCATGGGGCACACACACTACAGCCCAAGTCCAGGCATTTGGTGACACACAGACCCCCACTGTTCCCCCATGGGTGTCTACATTCCTGGGCAGCCCCACAGCTGGTCCTGGGTCCACACGTTCACACAGGTATGCAAGAGAAGCATTCTTGGATATCCACATGCAGCTACCTGTCTCCATTAACCAGCCCAAGGCAGCCAGCGCTCAGGGCTGGAGCCCTCTCCTCCTCTTGTGCACACATGCACGTGCACACACACACACACACACACACACACACACACTTTGGAAATCACAAACATGATGAGGCTGAAAGCTTTGCTATGGCCACATCAAATCTAGCTCCAGGATGTCTGCAGACCTCTCCTTCCTCTTCCCGGCACCTGCCCCCAGGCCAGCCCACCCTGCCTGAAACAAACCCTCAGGAACCATCCGCCTTTGGTTGGCTCCATATCTCCTGTGCCTCCCAAGTGGAAATGCGGCTTCCCAGGCTGGCTCTCTCCTCTAATCTCCCTCAAACTGCACTGGAAATGAACTCTGGACCCAACAGGAAGTGGAACAGATGATGCCCCAGCAGCTCCGAGGGAAGGTGCCCATGCTGACCTGACACACAGCTGCCCAGGAGGGCTGGTCCTGGGGAGCCTGGACAGGACTGGTGTGGGTGTGGGCTCACCTGTCCCTCTCCCTGTCCTTCCCCATCCTCCAGGTGACCTGGCCTTCTTGTCATAGCCTTATGATGACTGGCTGAGTCCTGACCACTCCCATCAGTCCTAGCCCCACATACTTGAACTGTATTGGCAATGCCCTTGCAACATTGCACTAGCATTGACTCTGGAGCACTGTGAGGTAGCATGTGGGCCATGATTGTCCCCATTATACAGATGAGGGCACTAAAGTCCAGAAAGATGAATGACTTCCTCAAGGTCATAGAACTCACTGGCTCTCGGGGATGGAAGACTTGATTTTTCTGGAACACCAGACTGAAATAGGACTGAAGCTAAGTGGGGAAAGTGGGCTTCAGAATCCCCTCCAGGGAACTCACAGCCATGCCTGAAAATGACAAAAAAGGGGGCAGAGAAGGACACCAAAATGTTAATAGGGGCTGCCTTGGAGGTTGGGAGTGTGGGGTAAGAAATGTTTTTATCTTCCTTGCATTTTCCTAGTTTTCTATGACAAGAATGTTTGACATTTATAATGAAAAAAATTACTGAAAGTGGGGAGGAGAAAAATACATAACAATACATCTCCAATGGTGGAACTTTAAGCATTTGCAGGAAAGGTATTTGGGAGGGGCAGGGCAGTATTTCTGGACTGGAGTCCTCTGTGACCTTCACTCATCTGTCCTTCTGCGGGAAGGGCCCCTGTCCTATCTTGGGAAGCTCACTCCAGAGCTGGCAGAGCTCACCACTCCCCATGGCACTTCCAGTTCGAGGCCTTCTCACTTCTGTTCCTCCCTCCCTCCCTCTTCTTCCTCACAGAACTCTTTGAATTGTGTTGTGAGGACGGTGTGGGACCCACCTTCTCTTGCCCCTTGCCTATTCAAGGCCATTCTCCAGCCCTTTATCCAGCAGCATCTTTGAGTTCAGCCAAGGCAGGCTGAATGCAGAGAAGCAGCCCTTTGGTGGCCCCCCACCCAGCCATGCTTCTGTGGCCAAGGGCAGCTGGAACCCCACCTTGACTGACAATTCCTGCCTCTGCTCACTCACCACATTGGTTCTACAACCTTTATTGGCACAACTGTACTTTGTGCCAGTGCCTATGTTGATATACACTGTCCTTGAGTTTGGGAGATTAGGCATCCCTGCTATGTGTAGACTGCAGACACCTCAAGATCTGAGACCCTGTCCCCTGTTTCTTTTCTATCCCACACTTCCTCCCATAGTGGTACTGAGTTTCAGCCCACAGTAAAAACATTGTTAAATAACTGAATTAATGAATGAATAACTGAATGAATAAACATTGGACTGTGGAAGGTCAGACCTGACTTATTGATGGCTACAAACCCTGCCTCTGATTTTATAATGTTCATGAGAGACAGGATGAGCCATCTGTACTGAAACGGTTGAAACTAGCAGGAGTGCTTTGAGCAGTCCAGTTCTGTCTAGTAGTTATAGGTAAGTAAGTAGTGACCTGGAGGAGAACTCTCAATTTCAGATAACATGGCCGGGCACGGTGGTTCACACCTATAATCCCAGAACTTTGGGAGGCTGAAGTGGGTGGAGCACCTGAGATCAGGAGTTCAAGACCACCCTGGCCAACATGGCAAAACCCCATCTCTGCTGAAAATACAAAAATTAGCTGGGCCTGGTGGCAGGTGCCTGTAATCCCAGCTACTCAGATGGCTGAAGCAGGAGAATCGCTTGAACTCAGGAGGCGGAGTTTGCAGTGAAAGGAGACCACACCACTGCACTCTAGCCTGGAGGACAGAACGAGATTTGATCTCAAAAAAAAAAAAAAAAAAAAAAAGCCAGCACAGTGGCTCACACGTGTAATCCCTGCACTTTGGGAGGCCGAGGTGGTTGGATCACAAGGTCAGGAGTTTGAGAGCAGCCTGGCCAAGATGGTGAAACCCATCTCTACTAAAAATACAAAAGTTAGCCAGGTGTGGTGGCGGGCACCTGTAGTCCCCAGCTACTCGGGAGGCCAAGGCAGGAAAATCGTTTGAACCCAGGAGGCAGAGGTTGCAGTGAGCCGAGATTGTGCCACTGCACTCTGGCCAGGGTGACAGAGCAAGACTCTGTCTCAAAAAAAAAAAAAAAAAAAAAATTCAGATAACTCACTCCATTGTCCCTGTAAGTCGACTCATGTATGTCAGGTGACATATATGTCCAAGCTCTGTTTGGGCACTGGGCTCACCGTGAATATAACCCCCACCCCAGCCCTGGTTACCACTTCCAGGAGCATAGAATACAGTGAGCTGACCTAGAGACTAGGAGATGGCTGGGCAGGTGGCACGGAGCAGCAGGGCATTCTGTCTTCAACCACCGTGAAGTCCCCTATGGGCAAAGCACTAGTGAAAGACTCTACGTTGGGGTGTTTTACAACAGAAAGGCATTCCACACAGGACATAGCTATGGATACTGCTCAAAAGAAGGAGGAAGGAGACCAGGCACTGTGGCTTACGCCTGTAATCCAAGCACTTTGGGAGGCCGAGGCGAGTGGATCACCTGAGGTCAGGAGTTCCAGACCAGACTGGTCAACATGGTGAAACCCCATCTCTACTAAAAATACAAAAAATTAGCCAGGTGTGGTGGTGCATGCCGGTAGTCCCAGCTACTTAGAAGGCTGAGGCAGGAGAGTTGCTTGCAGCTGGGAGGCGGAGGTTGCAGTGAGCAGAGATCCCACCATTGCACTCCAGCCCTGGGGCAACAAGAGCAAAACTCCATCTCCAAAAAATAAAAAAGAAAGAAAGAAGAAAGAGGAAGGAAGGAAGGAAGGAAGGGAAGGAGGGAGGCAAGAAAACAACTTTCTTAGGGACTAGAAGTTTAAAAATATGCCATAATTTACTATAAATAACATCCTATAGATTTGGGTCTGCACAGAGGCATTCTCAACATCTTTTAGTTTGTTTTCATCTGAGTAAGTTCTTGCTCTCTAAACTCTCTAAAAAGAAGGACGAGAGGAAAGGGGTCCCATCTTGAAGTTCATAGGTGCCTAGAGGAATGCAATCCTTTGCAGTTAGTTTTAGAAATCGGCCACCACCACACCATTTCCTCCAGGTCATATTATCAGAACTGCAGGTACAAATAAGTTTACAGGAAGTGCTCATTAACTGTGTCCTGACTGGTAGACAGTTGGACCATAGCACGTTTTCCTGAACTCATGGTAGGACTGCAGTGGCCCAGCCAGATGTTTTTCTTTAAACAAAGGAGAGACTCGAACCTTGGTTTATCTCTGGGAAGCAGTAAGCTGAGGCTTAACTTATCAAAAAAAAAAAAAAAAAAAAGGTGGCTAACTCCACCTCACTGCATATTTTCTACTTTATATAAAGTATAGGCTGGATACAGTGGCTCATGCCTATAATCCTAGCATTCTGGGAGACTGAGGCAGGAGGATTGCTTGAGGCCAGGAGTTCAAGACCAGCCTCAGCAACACAGTGAGACCCTGCTAATACAAAAAAGAAAAAAAAAATTAGCCAGGCATTGTGGCACATGCCTGTAGTCCCAGCTACCCTGGAGGCTGAGATGGGAGGATTTCTTGAGCATGGGAAGTTGCAACTGCAATGAGCCATGATGCCACCACTGCACTCCAGAGCAAGAACTGCAACAGAGCAAGAACCTTGTCTTAGAAAAAATAATAATAAAGTATGAATACATAATATTCAGTTTAACATACTTTGAATAAGCATCTGGTGCTAAACCCTGGAATAGGAGATGATGAAGTCAGTTCTTGTCCTTGAGGAGCACACAGTTTGTTGGGAAAGACACATAAATAAATACAGAGAGCATTCTGACATATCTATATAAGTGTAAACTAGTTATTGAGCACTTACATTACACCAGGTATTGTTCTAAGTCCTATAAAACTGTTAACCCATTTAATGCTCACAGCATTTTACAAATGAGGAAATGGGCACAGAGAAGTCAAGTAACTGGCCAGCTAGTAAGCTTAGAACCGGGATTAGAACCCAGGGAGCTGGCACCAAAGACACATATTTAACGACTGTGCAGCAGTAAAGAGAAGAAAGTACCAAATGAGGCAGGAACCCAGGAAAGAAGACAATCAATTCATTGTTCCAGGGAAGAGGTAGCTAAGACAATGGCAACTGAGATGCAGCAATGTTTGAGCTGGATTTTGCAGAGTGATTTTTTTTTTCAGTCCTTCTTTCTTCACTTTAACGAATGGAATAGTCCCTCCTAATTAGTCACACAAACGTTTGAAAGGAAACCAAGTTTTCCCACTGGTTGTCATTATAATTATAAGGGTTCACCCTACAAAGCATACCTTTGCTACATTAAGTTCTACTTTGGAGTGAGAGGAGGTTGAAAAAGTGTTGGGGACTTAAGAATAGGGAATGTGTTTTAAACTAGTTAAGCCTTTCCAATCTGTTGTTGATTCTGAAATATCATTTTCATTCCCCCAGCTCCGATATTAATATCTACCCTAGTTTCTCCCTCTCTGGGCTTGGCACCCAGGATGTGCCCACCTTCTTCCTCATGAGGTGCCTTCAGTGTCTAATGTGGCCTGGTTGCAATACCACATGTCTCCAATAGGAGTCACTAGCAACAACAGGATAATTTACCTGAGGTTGCATGGAGAGAACCCTGGGTCCTAACTTAAAATCTTGTCTCTGGCTTCCTCTGCGACCTCGGTTTCTTCATCCATAAAATGGATACAACACTCCCTGTCCACCTTCCTCACAGAACAGTGGTGAGAAATGTGAAGATGAATGTGGACATCTTCCAGTGTGATTCAGAAGAGGTGCACTGTCTGATTTTCTCATAGCTTCTGTCTGGATGGTTTCAAAAAACTAATCATTCCACAGCTACGTTTTGAGCATCACTCATCATGCCAGGCACTCTGTAGGATCCAGGAATTATTTCTATCTTTGCACAAAAGGACTTTGAATAAAAGTTTAAAGCAGGGTACGGTGGCTCATGCCTGTAATCCCAGCACTTTGGGAGACTGAGATGGGAGGATCACTTGAGCCCAGGAGTTCGAGACCAGCTCTGGGCACCAAAGCAAGATCCCATCTCTACAAAAAAAATTAATAGCTGGGCATGGTGGTATGCACCTGTGGTTCGAGCTACTCGGGAGGCTGAGGCAGGAGGATGGTTTGAACCCAGGAGTTTGAGGCTGCAGTGAGCCGTGATCGCGCCACTGCACTCCAGCCTGGGCGACAGAGGGAGACCCTGTCTGAAAAAACAACCAAATAAATAAAGATTTAAAGCTAACTGTAACCCTGAGGTTGTAGAGCAGCAGCCCCTGCCCTAGGAATGATATTGGGGTGTGCAGCAGCGGCATATCTACCTCACCTGTGGCTGGAAGGCTCTCCTGACCAATAACTCATCTCTTCCTCACACAACCCAGTTTGCGCCTGAAGAAACTGAGGCACAGAGAGGCGAAGTGGCCTGCCCAAGGACCTAAATACCAGCAACTTCCCAAGCCTTTAATCCCAGAGCATAGAGTGGGAAGGGGCGGTGTGAGAAGGCAAGTGGTGGGAGAGGACCTGGAGGGATGGAGGGGGAGGCCTCCCGGGTCCCCAGGCCAGCCCAGGCCCCGCCGAGGGCGCCACCGCGGCCAGCCTTCTGCAGGAGCGCCCCCTGCCGGTCAGCGCTGCTCGCGGCGGCCGCGGACGCTGGAGGACGCTCGGCGCGGCAGGGACTGTCCTCTCGCGGACCAGAGACCCCCCCACACACCGCAGAGGAGCGCAAGAAGGGCCCTGCGGGGTCGGCCTACCCCTTCACTTTGCACACGGCAAACGCGGAGCTCAGAGGAGGACGTGGTTGCTCAAGGTCTCTCAGCTGGATGCAGGCTTCCCTGTCCGCCTGCCTCACACTGCAGAACCTCCATCTCCTCTGCCTTCATCTACCCCGCACTCCCCAGTCCAGAGGGTCCAGTTCCTCCCGGTCCTGCTCCCGGCCAGCCCCTACCCGCCCCACCAGCCCCTTCTCCTCAAGGAATCCTCTGGCATTGCAGCCCCCAGCGCTCCCTTCTCCGAAGCCCTGTTGCGTCAGGGCGTCCCCACGCCCCCACCTTAACCCGCTCTCAATTTGGGACATGGCTTAGTTGGCCTGTTGGCACGACCTTGAGGACCAGGGACGGGCCTCTTTCTTTCGGATTCTCCACCCTCCCGCCCAGAGGTGCCTGGGACAGGGCTGAACTCTCACTCTCACTCGGTGATGAATATCGATGCATGACTTTCCTTCTTCCCACCGGGAAGCCTCACAGCAGTGTCTCTGATCCAGGACCGCCAGGATACCTAGGCTGGCCTTCTGGCTTTCCTTCCTAGCTGGGTGACCGTGGGCAAGTCCCTTACAATCTCTCAGAGCCTCCGTTTCTCCGACTGTAAATAGGGAGAAAGCTGCTCTTTGGGCTGGTTGTGAAGATTAAATGAAATCATGCGTGTCATGTTCCTGTCACATAGTAGGTGCTCAATAAATGGTAAATTTGATTTGTCAGGCTTCCAAGGAGCCTTGTCTGTCGGCACCCTCTTTCCTAGGGATAAGCCTTCCAACCTGAATTCTCCCACCCTCTGCCTCCTGTTGGAAGTAGCATCGGGAAAGGCGTTCCATGGTGATGACACAGGGGCACAGGAAAGGAGAATGCAGTTGGAAACAGAACCGGCTGCTTTCTGCCTCCACTTCTACTCACACCTACTTCCTGCTGCTTAGAATTTACAGCCTGCAAAGGGCTAATATCCAGAATCTACAAAGAACTTAAACAAATTTACAAGAAAAAACAACCCCATCAAAAAATGGGCAAAGGATATGAACAGACACTTCTCAAAAGAAGACATTTATGCAGCCAACAGACACATGAAAAAATGCTCATCATCACTGGTCATCAGAGAAATGCAAATCAAAACCACAATGAGATACCATCTCACGCCAGTTAGAATGGCGACCATTAAAAAGTCAGGAAACAACAGATGCAGGAAAGGATGTGGAGAAACAGGAACACTTTTACACTGTTGGTGGGAGTGTAAATTAGTTCAATTAGACAGTATGGCAATTCCTCAAGGATCTAGAACTAGCAATATCATTTGACCCAGGGATCCCATTACTGGGTATGTACACAAAGGATTATAAATCATGCTACTATAAAGACACATGCACACATATGTTTATTGTGGTGCTATTCACAATAGCAAAGACTTGGAACCAACCCAGATGTCCATCAATGATAGACTGGATTAAGAAAATGGGCTGGGCACCGTGGCTCGCGCCTGTAATCCCAGCACTTTGGGAGGCCGAGGCGGGTGGATCATGAGGTCAGGAGATCGAGACCATCCTGGCTAACACGGTGAAACCCCGTCTCTACTAAAAATATAAAAAATTAGCCGGGCGTGGTGTCGGGCACCTGTAGTACCAGCTACTCGGGAGGCTAAGGCAGGAGAATGGCATGAATCCAGGAGGCGGAGCTTGCAGTGAGCCGAGATCACACCACTGCACTCCAGCCTGAGAGACAGAGTGAGACTCCATCTCAAAAAGAAAGAAAGAAAGAAGGAATGAAGGAAGGAAAGAAAGGAAAGAGAGAGAGAGAAAGAAAGAAAGAAAAGAAAGAAAGAAAGAAAGAAAGAAGAAAGAAAAAAGAAAGAAAGAAGAGAAAGAAAGAAAGAAAGAAAGAAAGAAAGAAAGAAAGAAAGAAAGAAAGAAAGAAAGAAAAGAGAAAATGTGGCACATATACACCATGGACTACTATGCAGCCATGAAAAAGGATGAGTTCATGTCCTTTGCAGGGACACGGATGAAGCTGGAAACCATCATTCTCAGCAAACTATCACAAGGATAGAAAACCAAACACTGCATGTTCTCATAGGTGGGAACTGAACAATCAGAACACATGGACACAGGGCAGGGAACATCACACACTGGGGCCTCTTGGCGGGGGGGACTGGGGGAGGGAGAGCATTGGGAGAAATGCCTAGTGTAAATGATGAGTTGATAGGTGCAGCACATCAACATGGCACATGTATACCTATGTAACAAACCTGCACATTGTGCACATGTACCCTAGAACTTAAAGTATAATAAAAAAACATATATATATATATAAAGAATTTACAGCCTGTGCATGGCAGTCATGGCTGCCTTGACGCCTGCGTTGTGCCACAGCCATACAGCTTTGGGGCCCAGTGGCAGCTACCATACAACCTGATGCAAGTGTCTGAGAAAAAAGTGGACACCACGCCAGTGCTGCCTGGACCCGCCAGGGGCTAAGAGTGCCAAGGGTCAGGTACCCACAGCTGGTCCCATTGGCAGTGGCCACAAGGACAGAGTGTATGCTGGGTCGCATGGCCACAAACATATTAGCATGAGTTCAGAGCTAATAGAATAAGCATTCCATAAACATAACAATCATCTTTGAAACTCTTGGAAATTCACTTAAAATTCTTTAGAGGCCAGGTGCGGTGGCTCACGCCTGTAATCCCAGTACTTTGGGAGGCCGAGGCGGGCGGAACTCCTGAGGTCAGGAGTTCGAGACCAGCTTGGCCAACATGGTGAAAGTCTGTCTCTACTAAAAATACAAAAATTAGCTGGGCATGGTGGCGGGCGCCTGTAATCCCAGCTATTCAGGAGGCTGAGGCAGGAGAATGGCTTGAACCCGGGAGGAAGAGGTTGCAGTGAGCCAAGATCACTCCACTTCACTCCAGCCTGGGCGACAGAGTGCGACTCCGTCTCAGAAAACAAAACAAAATTCTTTAGAAAAGAAAACAAGCCCCTGGAAACCATTTTATATGGTGAGTAATCCCCTCTCTGTGCACAGGCCTCTATGCCAAATTATCTGTTTTTGTAAACCCGGATTTTTATGGACTGCATCTGCTTGAAGGCTGATATATGCTTATTAAAACAACCCAAATTATCTATGACATTTTACATATACGTGGATGTGTGTGTATATGTACTTTTTAAATTTTATTTTTAATTTTTAAAATTAATTAATTTATTTTGAGACAGGGTCTCGCTCTGTCGCCCAGGCTGGAGTGCAGTGGCGCCATCATGGCTCACTGCAGCCTTGACCTCCCAGGCTCAAGCGATCCTCCTGCCTTAGCCTCCTGAGAAGCTAGGATTATGGGCGAATACCACCATGCCCAGCTAATTTTTTCATTTTTTGTAGAAATGGGGTCTCAGTATGTTGCCCAGGCTGGTCTTGAACTCCTGGGTTCAGGTGATCCTCCTGCCTTGGCCTTCCAAAAAGTTGGGATTACAAGCATAAGCCACCACACCTGGCCTGTGATTTTTTTTTTTTTTTTTAAGGCAGGCCCCGTTCTATCTCTTCTGATCCACTGACCCACTCGGCTGTTCCTCACTTCTCCTTCCTTCCCTCCCCACCTTACCACCAATTATGTGATCCTGTTTCCACAGGGATGGCAAGAGCCTGAATTTTCAGCCAGATGTCTCAGAGAGAAAACAGTAGGGCCAGTGACACAGAGAAGGCTTTTGCTGTCTGTTGCCCCTCCCATGACTTCTGGGAGAAGTGAAGAGGGGGCAGAAAATGCAAAAGGTTCCTCCACCCCCTCAACACAGGGGTTGGAGCAATGGCCTAAAGTTGTCCCAGTACCTGCTCACTCCCTTGGGTGGAGAAAGACGGTGATGTACACGTGGAAAACGCCACCCACCCATGAAGCCCCTCTGAGTGATTTAGAAAGAGGTCCCTCCTCCTCCAGGCACTTTTTTCCCAACTGTCAGAAAACAATCACTGCAAATATGGCCGTGATGTGCACAGTGTCCTCATATGTGGTGTAACCTTTTGCAGTGCACAACATGCACAATTGTGCATATCAGCCCTGAAGGCATATACCAGGTCAGTCCTCTGCCTGGTGAGTGGGAAACTAAATCCCACTGACCATGAGCCATCCCTCCAAACCTTCCCCCAGGCACATTCCCAGCAGGGGCATCACCACCTTCCTGTGTTCCCAGCCTCAGTCCTTTGGAGTCACCCCAGACTCTCTGGGTTCACATCCCACCTCTAGCGTTTATTAGGACTATGACCTCGGACAGGTCACACAGCCTCCCTGGGCCACAAGTCCCTTATTTGTAAAACGAGGGTGGCAGCGGCAGCTCTTGCATGGGGTTCTAGTGAGGATTCGATGGGGAAACAAATGTCATACAGCAAGATGGTGGCCTGGTGCTTGCTGATTCCCCAACATCAGTCCCACCCTCCAGTCCCCCAAATATTCTCCCATTTATACTCCAAATTCTGCCTAAGAAGCATCTGCATTTGGCTCCATGAGTAGGTTATCAGGCCAGCCTTGTCACTGCAGGTGGAGTTTGGTTACATAAGTAAAGGGATGAAGGGGGCAAAACAAATATCATGTGAAATACTTGCAAGGTTCAGCCAGGCACGGTGGCTCACGCCTGTAATCCCAGCACTTTGGGGGGCCGCGGCGGGCAGATCACGAGGTCAAGAGATCAAGACCAGCCTGGCCAACATGGTGAAACCCCATCTCTACTAAAAATACAAAAATTAGCCTAGCATGGTGGCGAGTGCCTGTAGTCCTAGCTACTTGGGAGGCTGAGGCAGGAGAATTGCTTGAACCTGGGAGGTGGAGGTTGCAGTGAGCCGAGATCACGCCACTGCACTACAGCCTGGGCGACAGAGCGAGACTCTGTCTCAAAAAAAAGAAAAAAAGAAAAAGAAATACTTGCAAGGGTCCTATGCTGAGTTCTTCCTAAAGCAAAGGGTTCATTTACAAACCAAAATTGTAATCCCCCAAATTCTTTATTCACACATCTAGCTTTTTAAAAATAATTCCAGGGAGTTACTAAGCAGCATACTTGTGTGTCAACAGGACACAGGTCACCTGGTGGCTTCCAACCAAGACATCACCCCATGACCCTGGCCAACCCTGCTCACCTCCAGCCTGGCTTGCCAGGAAGGCCAGTCACTTTCTCCACAGTGGGTTTCATTTTATCAATGAATTTCCCAACATGCGGCATATTTAGCAAGTGAGAGGCACTGTGCTGATTCATTTCATTATCCTACTTATTTCTCCCAACTGCTTCAGAAATTGACATTACAATGATCACCTTGGACTGTTTCTAATCATCGACATTTACAATGTGACATACTTTTCTTCCTCTTATCAGTGTAAAAAAACACAAAGATATTCAAAGTGCTTACTTGTTTTTTGCCCTTGAAACCCCATTTCACATAGAAGCATGAAGAACCATCTCCACTTTCCTTCTGGGTCCATGAAAAGAGAAAGCATCCCTAGAAACCAGGCTTCATGAATGAAGTTCAAAAAACAGCAGTTCCAAGGAATGCAATTATGTCCCTGCAGCCCTGGATTTCCCTGGGAGCCCCAGTTGAATTCCAATATCACTTCCTCCGCACTCTTTTGGCTGCTTCCTTGGAAAGGGGGTAAGGGTTCAATATCAGGCGAATTTTAAGATCTGTGGTGAGGTGTTATTAATTGCCCCGCCACCACCACAACCGAGACACACACACACACACACACACACACACACACACACACACGTCAGCGTCTCTCCAGCTGCTGTTCCTGGGAGCCCCAGCAGGTGGCACTATGACCCTGACCATCCTCGCAGGCCCCATCCAGAATGTGTGGGCACAATAACTTTAAGGTCCAGGGTCTCCCAGGGGCCCAGAGGCAGGATCTCACCTCTGAGGAGCCCCACCAGGAGAGTCCTGTCCCAGAGAGAAGGGCCGGGTCTCCTGTCTCCACTCTTCTTTAGTGAAGGTAGCTCAACTTCCTGGTTAAGAAGCTAGGCAGGGGTGCAGAGGTGGGGAGTGAAGGGGGCTGAGGGGGCGCAGGCCCTCCTCCCTTCCCTCCAACCCAGCTGGATCTGTTCCTCATTGCATTAGGAGATGTATTCTCCCAACCCTTAACAACTCATCCCTAACCCACCTGACCACCAGCCCTGAGCTTTGGGGACAAATCTTGGCAACTGCTGAGGGCCACTGTAGGTCAGGAATGACTACACTGATGAGAAGCTAGAAGGCACAAAGGAGGAGGGGTAAGTCAGGGAGGCTTCCTGGAGGAGGTGAGGGTGGACCTAAGAGATTAACTCATGGTCACCTCATTAAGAATAAGGGAGACTGGGCTGGGCGTGGTGGCTCATGCCTGTAATCCCAGCACTTTGAGAGGCCGAGGTGGGTGGATCACGAGGTCAGGAGATCGATACCATCCTGGCTAACACGGTGAAACCCTGTCTCTAATAAAAATATTAAAAATTAGCTGGGCGTGGTGGCGGGTGCCTGTAGTCCCAGCTACTCGGGAGGCTGAGGCAGGAGAATGGCGTGAACCCGGGAGGCGGAGCTTGCAGTGAGCCGGGATTGTGCCACTGCACTCAAACCTAGGCAACAGAGTGAGACTCTGTCTCAAAAAAGAAAAAAAAGAATAAGGGACAACATGGCAAGACCTCATCTGTCTACTAAAAATAAAAAAAAATTAGCCAGGTGTGGTGGTGTGTTCCTGTAGTGCCAGCTACTCAGGAGGCTGAGGTGGGAGGATCACTTGACCCCAGGAGATGGAGGCTACAGTGAGCACTGATCGCACTACTGCGCTGCAGCCTGGACAACAGAGCGAGATCCTGTCTCCAGAAAGAAGAAGAAGGAGAAGGAGAAGGAGAAGAAGAAGAGAGACTGAGGGCCAATCTAGGGAGTTTGATGCTGCCTGGGGGAGGAACACTGACAGGTGAGCTCAATGGCCATTTTTTGGAATGCTTCTGGGGGTAAGGTGGGCCTCCAGAGACTCTTCCCTGAACAAGCTAGAGAAACAGAAGCCACAGACTCTAAGAGTATATTAGCGTGGGGGAAGCCCTTGAGGAGCTGGCCAGGGGTTCTGAAGGAATAACAGGGGTGCTGAGTTGTGAGAGGGCAGAGGGAACCTTCCAGGTTAAAACTGGCTCCTCTGCATGGGGGAGGGGTGTGACAGAGGACAGGGAAGGGGAGGAGGCAGGCGAGAAGGACCAAGCCTGTGCCCAGCCTCAGGGACAGGGCTGAGCCCCTACCTACAGCCCAGGAGGTATATTTGCTTGCTAGAGTTGACCGTTCTTGAGATGAAATCAGGGGCAAGCCAGCGAGAGGAGCTTTCCACTCAAGGAGCTCCGTACCCCCTGTTGTAAAGCCCAGCCATGCCTCGGCAGGCCTAGCAGAACTTGCCAGGTGCCCTAGTGGGCTCCTTGGTGGCCTAACTCTCCATCTCCTAATGCGCGCCCTCCCCAGCAGCCTGCCCTCTCCCAGAGGCAGAACCCAGAAGGCCTCCCTCCTGCGATCAGACCCAGGCACCACCTGCTTCTCCAGCCACTGCCCAGGACACCACTTCCCCCTGAGAGTTGGCAAATCCGTCGTTTTGGTTACCACCTCATGGAGATTCAGCCCCTCTGGAAGTAAGACATTTTCTTTTTTTATTTTTTGAAACAGGGTCTCACTCCATCGACCAGGCTGGAGTGTAGTGGTGCCATCCTAGCTCACTGCAACCTCAAATGCCTGGGCTCAAGCAATCCTCTCCCCTCAGCCTCCCGAGTAGCTGAGACTGCAAACACATGCCACCACACCTGACTTAGTTTTAAATTTTTGCAGAGACAGGGTCTCACTATGTTGCCCAGGTTGGTCTCAAACTCTTGGCCTCAAGTGATCCTCCTGCCTCAGACTCCCAAGATGCTGGGATTACAGGTATGAGCCATTCTTGATACCTGGGATGGGACATGGTCCAGAATGGGGACAGGAAAGACTCCAGAACTAGCAGAACCACACACTCCAGCCAGAAAAAGAGGCGAAGGAAGTTGAAGGAAAAGCAAGCCTCCCGATCAGGAGCCCCCAGCAGTTTCTAGCAGGCAGACTGGCTCACTTCTTCCCCGGGCAGGCCTGTTTTCCAGGACGCTCACTCACGTGGGAAACAGCTCAGTGCACACATGCACTGAGTCAAAGCTTTCTTGGAAGATACAGTGATTTCTTGATTTTGTTAGAACTGACTCACACACACCCTCACTCACTCCATGAGCCAGGGAAGCAGGGCTGCCCACCACACTGAGCAGGAGACTGGGGTTTGAGTTTGAGCTCAGGTCGGCCTCCAGCAGTGTCTCGGAAAGCTCAGAGAGAAGTCAGGCAGTGAGGTGACCAGATGGGGAGTCGGGGTGGGTTGGCTGTCCCTTCCTCCCTAACACTCACCTTCTGATTCTTCTTAGAGGGCTGGTAAGGCTCCCAGGACTGGCATTCAGGCCTTGGCATGCCAGAGGATCAAAAGAAACTGCCCGTCCTTTCATGCAATTGATACAAGAAGCAACAGAAATTGCAGCTTGCTTTCAGTGGGACGTTAGAACTTGTGGAAGGAGCCATCACCCAGGGAGCTCAGCTGAAGCGTCAGGGCTCAGGCCCAGCTTCCACGCACATGCTGCTTCCCGGTTTGCTGACGTCCTCTGTGCTGAGAGCACCATGTCACTCCTCAGCTGACATCACTCTGGATTGGCAGCCAGGGCCATGAGCTCGTTTTGTCAACAACCCTCCCCCTCTTTTTGCTCTTTCCTGGCTGTGTGGTGGACTCTTCAGGGACACAGCAGTCACTGCGCTGCAGGGACAGTCCCCAAGTGCCAAGGCACAGCCTAAAGGGGCCTGTTCCCACCATGGCATCCGTGACAAGAACCAGGAGCCAGAATGCAGGTTTCTGGGACTTGTCAGCTCCCTTCTGAGTGCCCTGTTGAGGATTCCTAGAAGTCCAGACACCTCACCCCCCTAACCTGGATGGACCACGCAGAGCCAATAGGAATACTTTTCTGTGGACGTGCCATGTTGGAATCCCAGATCTCCCTGCCCTGCCAGCCCCTGCCAGCTTCCTGGGGACCCAACTGGTGAGTTTCACCCCCAAAGTGGCTGCGACATTGGAAGGCCAGGGCCACCCCTGCCTTTTCCATTGCTCGGCAGCTCAATCGTTCATCCATAATCCCCAGGCGTGGAGGCAGGGCTGGGGGCTCAAGGGGCTCTCGGTGCAGCGGCAGGGGCGGGGGCAGGGGCTCCCCTAACTGCAGAGGCTAGCCTTACACACCCAGCAACACATGTCCCCCTTTATGGCCCGGGCTTTCTCTCGGTGCTTAAAGCCAACTGTGAAAAGAGCAGGGCTGATTCTGGCTGCCTGGCCGTTTCCTGGCAACAGGCCTGGCAGGAGGTCTTTCTTTCTCCCCCCAACCTCCCTTCTCTCCTCCACCACCCCCCTCTCTCTTTTCCCCCCTGTGTCTTGTGTTGTGTATCATTAAAACTTCCCTCCCAGCCACTTCGCAGCCAACAACCAGGCCCTTCTGGGGCTAGTTCCCTCCGGGCAGCTCAGCCGGCCCGGGGTGGGGGCTCCGAGGGGTCAAGGCCCCCAGAGAGGAGGCTTTGTGTTCTGGAACCAAGGCTTAAACTCAAGTTGGCAACCTTTGGCACGTTTGTGAGGGGCAGCCACCAGCACCCCCTCTGCAGGCACCTCTTCCTTCTCTGTCTTCCTCCCCCACCTTTCAGGGTCTCGGTCTCTTCCTTTAGTGCCTGGAGCCTGCCAATAGTGCCACTGGGCACTGCCCAAAACCACGCGGGCCTCACGAGGCTGGGCATGGACAACCCTTCACCTAGGAGGACAAGCCTCTGCTGAAGGCTGGGGTAGCTCTAGCCAGAGGCCTGCAGCCAGCTCTGGCACAGTGTCCTGGTCTGCCCTGAAAGGGCACAGGAACACAAAGGGTGTTGGCCTCAGGGATCACGGGGAAGCAGAGCATTCACTCAATGCATACAGGACCCAAAGAACTCTTCATTTGGCAGTTTCAACCTGCAGGGACACTGAGACCCAGAGGGGGTGAGTGCCTTGTCCGGGGACACACAGCCAGTCAGGAGAAAGCTGAAGCTGGAACCCTGGTTTCCCAGTCCCCTCCTCTGTGGCTCTTCACTGGAGGGGACCCGGAGGGGAACAAGTGGCTCCCTGAGGCCCACGCACCTTTTGGGCCTGACCTGCCTGCCTCCAGAGCAGTGCTCAGGGGTGTCTGAACTTGACCCCGCCACTCTGGGGCCCTCCCCCTCTTCTCCTAGACCCTGAAGAAAGCCTCTGATGGGCCTAGAACAGAGAAGGTGACCCAGGACCTTGCCCAGCCTTTCTGGACAACTGGAAGACAGTTACGCTTCGTCCTCCACCTCTCCCTCCAACGTGAGTATCCGAGTCACAGGGGCCTAGTGCTGGCCTCCTCTGTCATCCAACCCACTCTTAAGGCTGGATGGGCCACCCCAGATCACCTATCTGGTACCTTGAGGCAGAGCAGATGCTGGGGGTAATCTCAGCTCATAGCCAGGTGGCTTCCGGGTGCAATTCTGGGGTTCTGCCAGCTCTAGCCTCGCTCACCCACAGGGTCTCTGGCCAACCAAGATGCCCTGACCACACAGACTGTATGGTCAGGCACTTACAGCGCACCCTGACTGCAAGCCCTCAGCTCTGTTGTCCCATGTTCCGGTGTTTTCCAGACTCCAGGCATTTCCATGCTACCCCCACTCTATAGCTGCATGCATACCTGTTCTGCTATTTTTTGAACACTTTTCTTTACATTGATTTGCATTGTTCTTAATAACGTCAACTGAAAAGAAGATTTTAGATTTACTCATTTTCAACAATGAGGTTTCATTCTAACCAGACACTATGGCCCTGCAAAGGCTCTGAATGTGTGACCTTCTCTCTTTATTAGAAAAGGATCTTAGCAAGTGTTAGAGAGGTGCTGAAGTCGTATTAGGACCAACCAGACTTTTTCTTTGAGGATACTCAGAAGGAGTGAAGGAGAATGGAACAGGGGGTGTGAATAAATGAGCTTTCTCCATGTGTGATTCAAAGTGGTTTAACCCATGCCTCACCTTCTAGAACACCCGTGGCCCTCTCTAGCCATGAGAAGTGTCACCACTAGCCATCAAAATGCTCCCAAAAGTCCAACCTTTGACCAAACTACATTTCAGATTTTCATTTCAGATTTTCTTAAATTCTGGAGAAAAAAGAAAATAAAGTAAAAGAATAAATATTTTGGTTATGCCATGTACTCTGATTTGGGATTCAGAAATATGATTTCTGGCCAGGTGTGGTGGCTCATGCCTGTAATCCCAGCCCTTTGAGAGGGGAGGATCTCCTGAGCCCAAGAGTTGGAGATCAGCCTGGGCAGTGTAGGAAGAAGACACCATCTCTAAAAATAATAAAAAGTTAGGCAGGTGCGGTGGTGCATGTCTGTGGTCTCAGCCACTCAGGAGGCTGAAGTGGGAGGACTGCTTGAGCCCGGGAGGTCGAGGCTGCAGTAAGCCGTGTTTGTGCCATTGAACTGTAGCCCAGGCGACAGAGCGAGACCTCATCTCAAAAAAAAGAAAGGAAATATGATTTCCCACATTACCACACCTGCTGATGTGCATAGCAAAAGGCTGGGTGTGGGGGTGGGGAGGCTATGGTAGGCAAAGGTAGGGGTGGGTGATGAGGATGAGGGGAGGAAGGCTTTTGGGCAGTCTGAGAAAAGCAAGAGAGCTGGGAACATCTCGTCACCAACAGTCCTCAATCACTAAGACAGCCTGGTTAGGATTCTGCCATTATGTTTGGTCTCATGATAATAACAGGTCTTAGGAAGTCAGCCTGTGTTATCTACTAGATGCCCTGAGCTTTTTGGGTAAACTATGCCATTTAACCCTGCCAAGGGTGGAATTAGTATACCCATTTGCCAGATAAGAAACGGCCACAGAGAGATCTAGATAACTTGCCCAAAGTCACAGCTCAGCAGCAGGGAGCCAGGATGTGAACTTGTTCTTTCTGATCACAGAACTCATGCTCCCCCCACCCCACCACAGCATCACTTTGCCCCCACCCCCTACTCCCATCCCAACCTGAGGCTATTTGGCCAGTGAGGACCAGGCCTTAGGAGATAACCATCCCCTCAGGTGAAAGAGTGAGTCCCAGTGTCCCCAGGCAAGGCTTCCACCAGCCCCTCCCAGCAGAGACTTTAGGAAGTGCTCCTGTGTGGCATGGCTGGTGGGGCTGTGCCCCTCCATCCCCGGAACACACTCAGGGAGCCTGAGAATGGCTCCTAGACACCTGAGAATGAAGGGCAGAGGGGAGACTGTAGGAGGCAGGTGGCTGGGCTGCTGCTTTTTCTCTTTTTAAAAAATTGAGGCCAGGCGTGGTGCCTTACACAGTAATCCCAGCACTTTGGGAGGCTGAGGCGGGTAGATCACCTGAGGTCAGGAGTTCGAGACCAGCCTGGCCAACATGGTGAAACCCTTTCTCTACTAAAAATACAAAAAAATGAGCCAGGCATAGTGACACATGCCTGTAGTCCCAGCTACTGGGGAGGCTGAGGCAGGAGAATCACTTGAATCTGGGAGGCTGAGGTTGCAGTGAGCCAAGATTGCTCCATTGCACTCCAGCCTGGGTGACAAGAGTGAAACTCTGTCTAAAAAAAAAAATTGAAATATAATTTGCACACCATAAAAAAATCACCATTTTAAAGTGCACAATTCAGTAGCTTCCAGTATATTGAAAAAGTTGTGCAACCTTCACCACTAATTCCAAAACATTTTCATGAACCTCAAACCCATCAGCAGTCAAGTTGCAGCCTCTTTAGGAAAATGCAAAGGCAGCACTGGGCAGAACTACATTCTTTCTGTTTGTTTGTTTTGTTTTTGTTTTTGAGACAGGGTCTCACTCTGTCACACAGGTTGGAGTGCAGTGGCTCACTGCAACCTCTCTGCCTCTTGGGCTCAAGCGATTCTCCAGCCTCAGCCTCCTGAGTAGCTGGGACTACAGGCACGAGCCACCAACACCTGGCAATTCTTTTTTTTTTTTTTGTAGAGATAGGGTTTCACCAAGTTGCCCAGTCTGGTCTCAAACTCCTGAGCTCAAAGCAATCTGCCTGCCTTGGCCTCCCAAAGTGCTGGAAATACAGGCATGAGCCACCGTGCCCGACCTGGGCAGAACTACATTCTGGATGCATCTTAAACCTCACCTCAACCCTACACCCTCCCTTTTGTTGTTTCCTTTCTCCCCACAAGTCATCTCAGAATGAGGCTCCCAGCTCCAGGCTCCAGTTGCAACCTCACCCCCACCTAGACAAACCCTCAAATCAAGAAAAAGAAGCCCTGGCAGGGCGTGGTGACTCATGCCTGTAATCCCAGCACTGTGGGAGGCTGAGGTGGATGGATCGCTTGAGCTCAGGAGTTCAAGACCACCCTGGCTGGGCAACATGATGGAACCCCATCTCTACCAAAAATTTTAAAAAATTAGCTTGTTGTGGTGGTGTATGCCTGTAGTCCCAGCTCCTTGGGAAGCTGAGGTGAGAGGATCATTAGATCCTGGGAGATGGAGGTCGCACTGAGCCAAAATTGTGCTGCTGCACTCCAGTCTGAGTGACAGAGTGAGACGCTGTCTCAAAAAAAGAGAAAAGAAAAAGAAATCCAAAGGAAAAAAAGAGAGAGACAGAGAGAAAGGAAAAGAGAAAAGAAAAGAAATTTCTGTTGGCCAGGCCCGGTGGCTCATACCTGTAATTCCAGCACTTTGGGATAGGCCGAGGTGGGCGGATCATGAGGTCGGCGGATCATGAGGTCAGCGGATCGAGACCATCCTGGCTAACATGGTGAAACCCCGTCTCTACTAAAAATAAAAAAAAATCAGCTGGGCGTGGTGGTGGGTGCCTGTAGTCCCAGCTACTTGGGAGGCTGAGGCAGGGGAATGGTGTGAACCTGGGGCGCGGAGCTTGCAGTGAGCCGAGATTGCACCACTGCACTCCAGCCTGGGAGACAGAGCAAGACTCTGCCTCAAAAAAAAAAAAAAGAAAGAAATTTCTGTCTCAAAAAAAGAGAAAAGAAAAGAAAAAGAAATCCTAACACTCATCCATCCTTAAGTAAAAGCAACTCACCTTGTAAGTCAGTCTCCACATTTAATCCAACTACCCTACACTAGACATGATGGGTGAGGAGGATACAGATAGTTAGGAGGCCTTTGGCTACAAGTAACAGCCTCAAGTGGGCTAACGAACAAGGAAAATGTATTATTTCATATCACAAGAAGTTCCAAAGCAGGACTCCTCTGAAGGCAGTTAGTGTCTCAGCAATGGTGTCAGAGATGAAGTTTGTTTCTCTCTCTTGGCTCTGTCTTCCTCTGCCGGTCAGCTTCATCTTCAGGCAGCTTTCCTCATAGTCACAGAATGGCTGCTGCAGCTCCAGGTATCCCAACCCAAAACAACAATGTCCAAAAGCAGGGAAAAGATATTTCTTACTGTGTGTCATTTTAAGAGCCCCAAAAACTCTTCCCAGAAACCTTCTTGCACCCTTCAGCTGACCTCCCTCAGGCACATGTCACCCAGTTTAGGCCAATCCCTGGCAAGCAGAATGGGTCCCCGTGATTGACTTAGATCAGTCAGGATTTACCTCTGAGCAAGGTAGGGGAGGAGTAAAGACCAGAACAAACTGGGGGCCTCTGCCATCCTGGAGGAAGGGACCACCAGCAGTGTGAGCTACACTAAATCTAAACAGAAGCCTGTCTTCCAGAAGTTCAAAAACAGCAGCTGAGGCTGGGCATGGTGGCTCATGCCTGTAATCCCAACACTCTGGGAAGCTGAGGTGGGTGGATCATTTGAGGTCAGGAGTTCAAGACCAGCCTGGCCAACATGGTGAAATTCTATCTCTATTAAAACTACAAAAATTATCCAGGCGTGGTAGCTTGCATCTGTAGTCCCAGCTAGGAGGACTGAGGCAGCAGAATCATTTGAACCCAGGAGGCAGAGGTTGCAGGTTGCAGTGAGACAAGATCACTCCAGCCTGGGTGATAGAGCGAGACTTCATCTCAAAAAAAAAAAAAAAAAGAGCAGCTGATTGCCACAGAGGGAGGGAGTGGATGCTCACCGATCATTTTACATGTCCCAGGTGCCATTTCAAACACAGCAGCTATCACTCTGCTGAACAGGCAATTGTCTTTTTGAGACAAGTGTTATTATACCCATTTTGCAGTTGATGAAGCAGGTACAGAGAGGTTAGATAATATGCTCAGTGTCACATAGTAAGAGGCAGAGCTGGGATTCACTGGGGTTGTGGTAGACCTGGGCTCTAACGCAACCACTCAGAGAGGATTTCCCAGTCAGACATGTGAATCCCCATTCAGGCCTTATCTAGAAGCCAAGACAAAGGTGCATAAGAGGTGGGTCCTGCTGGGATGTGGGAAATGCCAGGCAGATGTCCCTGCTTAGCCCAAGGGCCCTCCCACGTCTGTGCCAGCTGTGCCTAGGCCCTTGCCAGTGAGGCAGCTGTGACCCCATTCCCAGCCCACTGGGCCTCCATCCATGTGATTAGGCTCCCAGGACTCAGGGCCCATAGCTGGCCACCCTGAGGTCCCAGCAATGACAGCTACTGGCCATACTGGTCTGTGGAGAAGGTGGTTAGTTGGCAGAGTTCTGGAAGGTGCAAACCAGGACTTCACTAGAAATTTCTTCACCATCTCCAAGGATATTATCAGGCTTGTTCTATTCTATCTCCCTAATGTGCCCCCACAAAAGTCTTCCCCGCAAGACCCCTGAGATGGAGAGAACTTCCACACCTCTGTTTTGTTTCGTTTTGTTTTGTTTTCTTGAGACAGTTTAGCTCTTGTTGCCGAGGCTGGAGTGCAGTGGCACGGTCTTGGCTCACCGCAACCTCCGCCTCCTGGATTCAAGTGATTCTCCTGCCTCAGCCTCCCAAGTAGCTGGGATTACAGGCATGCGCCACCATGCCCAGCTAATTTTGTATTTTTAGTAGAGACAGGGTTTTGCCACATTGGCCAGGCTGGTTTCAAACCCCTGACCTCAGGTGATCCGCCCACCTCGGCCTCCCAAAGTGCTGGGATTATAGGCATGAGCCACCATGCCTGGCCTGGTTTTGTTTTTTAAGGAAACATTTACGTATTTGGTCCTCTGATGAATGACTGTCCCCAGCAGATGGCAAGTTCCTTGCAGGCCAAAACCTGGGCTGCTTTTGCTCATCAGTGCTCAGCTGCCAAGGGGCAGCTGCACACAGAGTTGCTCCATGAAGATGCGTTGAAGAAATGGACCAGGTGAAATTCACAGAGCACCTACTGTGTGCATCAACCGGAGCTGGGTTATAAGGAAGAAGGCAGACTCCTTGAGGGTAGTCCCATTCCTCGTGGAGCCTTGTCCACAGCAGGCATGCAGTCAATGTGTGCGATGAGAAATACAGACACTTTCCGCCCTCAGAGCCCAGGCGGAAGGTGGGGGCCCATCGTGACTAAGGTTGGAGACAGAAGAGACCAAAGATGGCTCCAAGCCCCTCCTGGGTTGCAACCAGGGCTCCCTCCCCTTCCCTGCCTGCTTATGTCCCATACACAGGGGAGTGGAAGGAAAACTCAGGAGCTCTAGTTCCAGGTGACTGAGAGAAACCGTGGCAGCCACACACAGAGGTCTGGCTCTAACTCCTCAGGTAGGATCACAGCCATGCTAGGAGCTGGTCTTGGGTTAGAGCCCCAAAAGCCTTGGGCAGGCCAGCCATGTCCAGGGATGGGGCTCAGGGTTATGAGGCAATGGCAGAATAAAGGGGCACAGAGGGAGGCTGAAGAGAAAGAAAGGGAAGGAGAAAGAGGTGTGGCACATGGCTGGAGAGGCAGCACGAGGGGCCACCAAGCCCCAGATGCCCCCATGTGGCAGTGACTTCCCAACAGGCTGCCCACCCTTAATCTCATCCCACTGGAGGCAGCACAGGGTCCTATGAAAGGGACACAGGAACCAAGCGACAGAGCAGGGTAGCTGGGGTGGGTTGGAGTTGTAGGGGCCAGGGCCACTCAAGATAGGGGCACTGAGGACCCTGAGGGGCCACAGGGAGCCCAGACCTGAGTCAGTGGCCCTTCTATCTGAGACCTCGGCCCTGCCTGCTCCCTCTCCTCTGGGCCCATCATCAACAGTGTTTTCGAGGGGCTGCTAAGTGCTGGATCCCTCACCACTGGGGGTTCAGCAGTCTTGTGGAGGGAGTTTCTTTGTGGAGATTTCACAGTTGGAGACGGACAACATATGCAAGAAACTGAGCAGATATGTCTGCTATGTAGTATGTATAATCAGCCGGGCATGGGGGCTTACGCCTGTAATCCCAGCACTTTGGGAGGCCAAGGCGGGCGTACCACCTGAGGTCAGGAGTTCAAGACCAGCCTGGCCAACATGGTGAAACACTGTCTCTACCAAAAATACAAAAATTAGCCAGGCATGGTGGCGAGCGCCTGTAATCTCAGCTACTTGGGAGGCTGAGACAAGAGAATCACTTGAACCCAGGAGGTGGATGCTGCAGTGAGCCAAGATCACACCACTGCATGCCAGCCTGAGTGACAGAGCAAGACACCGTCTCAAAAAAATAATAATATGTGTAATCACATATTAATCACATCAGTGTCAGGGCTATGCTGGAAAATAAAGCTGAATAAGAGGCCTGACAGGACAGGGCTAGGGAGTGGCAAGGGGTCTGGAGGGGCCTCTCTGAAGTGGATATTTTGAAGTGGGTCTTGGAAGGGGACATCAGACAACATTATCCTGGATAAATCCTTCTGGAGAAGGCTCCTGGGCGCCTGAAGGGGGACTGCTTAGCAGACACTGACTGGGGCAGGAAGAGAGACCTGAGAGAGAGGCTTACTCCTTGCCTCAAGAGAAGAAGGAAACCCAATATTTTGTATTCACCATCCGCAGTCTGGCATTCCGTCAGCACCATTCTCATTTAACGCTGACAGCTCCCTACAAGGTGGAAAGTGTTATCTCCACTCCACAACCGAAGCCAGGGACTCAGAGATGACAGGCAACCGGCCAGTGCCCCCACCCCACCCCATTCCCTCCCTTCTAAAGGACTTTCACCGCAAATCGCTTTCCAAAATGCTCTGGGGAGGCCAGGCATGGTGGCTTGCACCTGTAATCCCAGCACTTTGGGAGACCAAGATGGGTGGGTCATTTGAGGTCAGGAGTTCAAGACCAGCTTGGCTAACATGGCGAAACCCTGTCTCTACCAAAAAAACACAAATTAGCTGGGTATGGTGGTGCATGCTTGTAATCCCAGCTACTTGAGCGGCGGAGGCAGGAGAACCACTTGAATATGGGGAGGTGGAGGTTGCAGTGAGCCGAGACTGCACCACTGTACTCCAGCCTGGGCGACACAGTGAGACTCTGTCTTAAAAATATAGGTCAGGAGTTCGAGACCAGCCTGGCCAACACGGTGAAACCCTGTCTCTACTAAAAATACAAAAAATTAGTCAGGCGTGGTGGCGGGCACATGTAATCCCAGCTGCTTGGGAGGCTGAGGCAGGAGAATCGCTTGAACCTGGGAGGCAGAGGTTGCAGTGAGTCGAGACCGCGCCATTGCACTACAGCCTGGGCAACAAGAATGAAATTCCACCTTTCTATATATATAATATATAATATATTATATATAAATATATATAATATATTATATATAAATATATAATATATAATATATAAATATATATAATATAATATATATAATATATAATATATAATATATGTGTTTATTATATAATACATATTTATTATAAATACATATTTATTATAAATACATATTTATTATAAATACATATTTATTATAAATACATATATATATAAATACATAAAACTGAATGCCCTGGGGAGCTAGAGCTAAGACAGGAGGAACTACTGCCACAGGGAGAACCTCTCAGGTGCCCACAGCGGCCCCTGTGATCTCGGGATCCAGGAAGAACTGGTGACATCCGCCTGCCGCTGGCAGCCTCCCATATGTCAGCGGAAGAGGGAGGCATCCGCAGGGTGGATCTGGCGGTGCCCCAGTGCGCCCTGGACCGGCATCACCTGGGCCCGCTCGCCCTCCGCCTGTCTGGAGAGGAGAGGGGAGCCTGAAGCCATGCACCCCTTATCCCCAGCTAAGCTCCGGGATTGCGAGGTAGATTAAGGGCATTCACTCAGGAGGGCACCTGCTTAACCAAGATCCTCCGAAATCCGGGCTGCTCACCAGCAACAATTGAGGATGCCGGGCCCGCAGGGAGCGGAGTGGGACCAGGCGCGACCCCTTCCTCGCCTGCTGACCTCCCGCCTTGCTATCAGCACTGCCGCCAGGGGGCGCGCCCGCGCCGCTGGGCTCTGAGCCGACCTCCGCGTGCACCTGCGCTCCTTTGTGTGTTAGATTAACATCTGGTGCTTACCTACTATGCGCTTACTCGGTGCAGGTCAGGGGCTTCCTGCATTTCCAGGATGCAGCCTCTATGCCAGCAAACTAGGCTGGGCAGTGGAAAGAAATCCGATTTACTCCTGCGCCCACCACCCACGCTAGGGCCTTCCTGCTTCCAGGCTCTGCTGTCCAGCCTTCCAGTGGCCTCTAGGGAGCTCGCCTAAAACCGCTCTGCGGTTCCTACAGCTCCTAGGAGAAAGTTAAACGCCCTCCTCTCCAGGTCAGAGGCCTTGGAGCCCCCTATGTGCTCCCTTTGCACTGTTCCTCCATAAGCCCTGTGGTGTTAGGCCTTCGGCCTTTCGCACTTCCCCACCTGCTTCCCCGCTGCAACGGCTTCGCCTCTCCCTTTACCCCCCCAGGTTGGTCCGGCTCCCGACTCCCGCCTGGCAGCCCCAAGACCTGTTTCAAGCAAAAATGAATGGCACAGTGCCTGGATCGGAGATTTCCTCCTCCTTCCCCGCGACAGACGGGTAGCCCCATGAGGGCGGGCGGGGGCCTGGCCACCGGATTCTTTGTCTACACGGTGCCTCCGCAGGGGGTCCAGTGGAGCCTCACTGAATACACAGCGGCAGACTCTGAGCCCCGGGGGAGTGCACATCAAAAGGAACCTCCGAGCCAGCTAGAGAGAGGGGTTGGGTTGGGACTGGGGTCCCCTTCCCAGGTCTAAGGTCCCACACATTCACACACACAACAAAAAGTGCTTCCCACGTGCCACCCCATGTCCCCAGGTCCCTGGCCCTTGCTGCCTCTTCTGCCCTCTTCCAAGAGACCACCCTTCCTTTCAGGGCGATGGCCTCCTGGTCCACCGGCTGATGCCTCCACCCCGCCCTCCCTTCCTGGTCTTGGAGTGAATTTAACCCTTTCTCCACCAAGTGAAACCACCCTGGGGCTTGGGGTACCTGTTAGAGAGAGGGTGTTTCTATCTGTGATGTGTGGTCAGGGGCGCCCGCCCTCCCCTGAGAGAAACCATTCCTGCGTTTCCACCCGCGGCAGCGCAAGGGGTGCAGGAGGAAGGAAATTAAACCTGTGTTGAAGGAAGGACACCTGGGGGAAAGGAAGGGACTCAGGCTCCCCTTGTCTGAGGAGCTTTCAAGTGGCGGAAATCCCCACACACACCTCCATTCACTAGGGGCCTGGCAGGGCCGCTGGTAGGTTCCAGTCCTCTCCTCTGTCACTTCCCAGGCGCACATGGCCAGCTCCTAGATTCCACCCTTCAACCCACTTGTTTCCTGCCTGATGCACATGACCTGCGTCTGAGTTCTCCAGGCTGCCTGGAGGAGGCATTCAGGTACACATGACCCCTCAGGGAATGATGTTCTTGCCCACAGCACCCAGGATGCTGGCTGGGCATATCTCAGCCAACACACACTCCCACCGACAGCCTCGGATCTTTTGCTCCCACCTCACAGGGTTGGCACCTGTGGAGTCTTGAGGCCCAGTAATGACCCCAAGAAGCCATCAAGTCCAGGCCCTGTCGCCCCACCATACTGCATCCACAGTGGTGTCTGAGTGGCCAGGGAAGGTAGCCCTCCCCAGCTCTCAGCACCACTGTCATGGGGCTCTGGAACTCCCGAGCCCTTGGGCAGGACTCCAGCAGGCAGCTCTGATCAGAAAGCCACCTGGGAGCCCTGTGGGTGGGACAGGACTCCAGGTAGGACCTAGCAGGCCTCCATCCAAGAGGGAGGTATGTGGAAAGCTCTCCACTGCCAGAGCCTTGGTCCTGAGGCTCTGCATTCATGGCAATGGTAACCCTCTTTCCAGGTGAATCAGAAACAGGGCACCCCAGAATCAGCCCAGCCATGAGGAGCATCTCTAGGGATCCCCATCTCTGCAGCCCCCACCAGGTTCACCACTCCTGGTCAGGTTCACGATTTTTCTTCGCCTTGCAGCTCCTTGGTGCTCTCCGCCTCCCCCCTGCCCCTTTCTTCCTCACACCGGTGGCTCAGCCTCCCCCCGACAGTTTTCTTGGTTTCTGTCTCAGCGTCTCTCTCATCTCTGAGCCCCTCTCTCTCTCTCCTCCTCTCGGATTCTCCTTTTCCTCCCCTTCCTTCCTCTCTTTCAACCTCCCCTCCCACCCCCTCCAGTCCAGCAATGGGCTGGGAACGCAGCAGGAGCCATGACAAGCCCAGGCGGCTCTCCCGACCCTTGGTGCCCCCGAGGCCATTTCCCCGCGCTCCCTGTGCCGGCAGCAGCCGCGTGCGGAGAGGGCTCGCCGACCAGAAGGGGCAGCAGGTTGGAGCTGTGGGTACGGGGGGCTCAGATCAAAGGCCAGGAATGTCTGGCCCCCTGGCGTAAGACTTCCTTCAGCCATGGCCCTCACCTCGTGGAACGCCCGCCGTTCCAGGCCTCTGTGGGACTCGGGTCGGCTCATTCTCTGCCCTTTCTGCCACAGTTCCCTACACAGCGGTCCCTGCTCCCCACCGGCAGTGCTTCCTTCACCCCAGACCGGGGCTGCGCAGAGTCCTGGTGCCTCAGGTGGCCTGGGAGGGGGCCTAGGGAAAGGCACCCAGGTGACCGGGCGTGAGTCCCCAAAACCTGACCATGATGTCAATACCACCCAGGGCTGAGACCTAATTCCTCGCTCTGGAGAGGGAGAGGAGAGGAAGCAAGCCCGAAGGGGGCCTGGAAGGACTCCTTTCCTGTGGGGAGGGGTGGGTAACTGGAGGCATTTGGTGTCCGCACAGGGCAAGGGCCTTTATCGCCAAACCCCAGGCTGGAGCTCCCTATCAGTAGAACCGGGGCCTCAGGCGGGACGGTCGGGCAGTGAGGGGCGCTCCGGAGGGCAGCAAGGTCTTCCAAGGACCTGGGCCGCCCTCGGCCAGAGCTGCGCGTTTCACCGGTCCCTGATGGTCCAACCGAGAATCCCACTGAGGCTGTGGGTCACGCCTCCGACCCGGGCCAGAGGTCGGGCCTGAACCCCTCAAGGAGGAGAAAGTGACCCGACTCCGAGAGCAGGAAATGCGACTGGCCGCTGGTGTCAGTTGCAGGAAATGCAAAGGCAGCAGGAGGTCCCGATACCGATCTGATCCCTGACAAAAGACTCAAATGACACTCGGCTCCGTCCCCCGGCGCCGCCCGCAGCCAGACCTTCGAGCCTCCGCGGACTTTTCCGCACGTTCCTCGGACACCCGGGAAGTGACCTCCCGCGGCCAGGACGAGAGGCCAGAGAGCGGGCGGACTCGGGAGGCTGGAAGCTGGGAGGGGGTGCGTTCCCCCACCCTCTGATCCTGACCTGCCCGAGCGGGGCTTCTGGAAACATCCCTGTGCTTTCTACCCTCGATTCCTCGCGGGCCCACGTCCCAACGGGTCACGGTCCCCGCCAGCAAAGGAGCCACCCGTTCATGCCCACGCCAAGCCCTCGCCATGTGAACGCCCGGGTCAAAGCCCCCGCGCCCTAACCCTGGCCAGCGGGGGACCGCGGCGGTAGCAGAGGGTCCGGCCCACCGCGTCCCCCCGAAGCCCCGCGGCGTCCGGGGCGCGGGCTTTGCCCAAGTTTGCTGGGCGATGCCCTTCCCGGAGCCCGAGTTGTGGGCCGGGCGGGAGGGGCGCGTGATTGACAGGCTGAACTACAGACTCATCTCTTACCTTAGGCCGCGGGCGCTGATTGGCTGCTCGCTGACATCCTCAAACCCGGCTGCTCCGCGCTGGGCTCGGGAGGGGGGCGGCTGCGGGTGGAGGTGCGCTTCTGACAAGCCCGAAAGTCATTTCCAATCTCAAGTGGACTTTGTTCCAACTATTGGGGGCGTCGCTCCCCCTCTTCATGGTCGCGGGCAAACTTCCTCCTCGGCGCCTCTTCTAATGGAGCCCCACCTGCTCGGGCTGCTCCTCGGCCTCCTGCTCGGTGGCACCAGGGTCCTCGCTGGCTACCCAATTTGGTGGTAAGACTCGCCTCTTGTCTGCCCGCGGCCCGGTTTCTCCGCCGCGTCCGGGGAAGGTGGGGGCGCCGGCTGGGGGTGGGCCGCTGCAGGGCTGGGGCTCCTCTCCTCGCCTCCCTCCAGCCCCCCACCCGCCCACCCCTCCTGGATTTTCTGCTGGTGTCGCCTTCAGAATCCAACTCCTGGCTCCTCTGATAATCACCATTTTCCCTGCTCCCCGCTGCAGGGGCTGGAGGACTTTTCCCATCTCAGAAGGTTTCTTATTCTTAGATCCTAACCCTCTGCCCGTCCCAATCTAGAGGCCCCCGAAGACCCCCCATTTGCTTGCAGTTGGGTTTCTGGAAATCCAGCACTGTCCCTGGGGCCCAGCCACTCCTCTTCTCCATTTTGGGGTCTTCATGGGCAAAACCATCCTGTTCCTTCACTGCCACCCCACCTCTGCCGGCGCCTCCATCAAGAGATTCCCCATAATAACCCCCCTTTGCCTTCCTATTTCAGACCCCAAAGGCTTCAGGGCTCCTCCCGGGGCAGGGGAGTGGGTGGGGGGATTTCATCAGATTCTCCCCACCGCTCTAGATTCATCTTGAGCCTCTGAAGTGAATATGGTATTTGCTGATCCGGGATGCCATTGAATTCGGATTTTATTCATTTCTTGCTTGTCCACCCTGGCAAAAGGGGGGTTCCTTGAAAATGTGTTGTCTGGGAGGGGTAGGCTTGTTGTTCTTTGACCAAAAATCCAATTCTCCATGTCACATTTCTTCCTTTTGGAAAACCGAGGACCGAGGAGAAAGGGAGAGGGAAGGGAGAATTCCGTCCCTGAGAAATGTGGATACAAAAGACATTTTAGTAAATAAGACTGGGAAGCCGGGAGCAGTGCTTGGGGGGGGCTGTGCGTGTCTGGGGGGCCTGGGTGAGGAATAAACATCGCTTTGGGAGCCCCAGCTCCAGGAGTCCCCTTGTTTTCCGAGCGGCCCCATCGCCGCTCTCCCACCCTCCGCAGGTCCCAGGGGCCAGAGGGGAAGACACTGAAACCAGTTCTCTAAATTACACTCCGCCTCTCCCCAGTCTCCAGCCCCCTACATTCCGGAAAACTTTAATTAAAGAATCTTCCCCTCCTGGACATAGGAGAGCCTTGGCCTGGGCGGGGGGAGGTGAGGAGGAAGAATTTGGGATCTGTGAGTGAGAAGTGGGCTGTGGCCCCCGGGGTGAAAGTCAGAAAGAAGTGCCACCACGGTGCGGTACCGCCTGCAGGTCCCCAGACTCCCTGCCTTTCGCCAACCCAGAGTCCAGGGTAGGAGGAGCAGAGACAGCAAGACTTGGGGGCCACACCCCGAGTCTTCCAGTTGTTTGGGGATGGCAGCATTTGTGTCTGGGTGTTTGGGGCTCCTGGGAGAGAGGGTGGGGACATGGCCAAGGGTCTCTGTTTAGAGGGTGCTAGGAGTTGCTCCCAGGACAGCCAGCCAAGGGGAAGTCTTTCTTCTGCCCAACCCACACTTTTCCGGGGGGCTGGGCTAACCTGAGGCTTCCAGCACATAAAGAAGTCCATGGGGTGGCCAGGGCAGCCAGGGACTTCAGGAAGGAGGTTCGGCCAGTCTGGGGAAAGGCTGCTGCCAACACCAGTCCAGCCTCACCCGGCCATTCCTGACCCTCTTCCCATTCCCGGGCCAAGGCCATGCCGTTTTTCGCCTTGCTTTCGCAGAGACTCTGGTGGGTTGGGGGAGGGTAGGAAGGAAAGGTTTGGCGGCCCATAGGTGGCAGGGACTGAGGAAGAGAGACCAGTCTCTCCGGCCCTATGAACTAGAAGAGGGCACTCTTCCAGTTGGTGTAGATTCTGGTGTGAAATGGTATCTTGGGGACCATCTAGATAGGGATTGCCCAATAGGAAGAAACGCTGGGGAAACCTGGAAGGTCAAGACATTGGCCCTAACATAATGCTAGACACATGGCTTGTTTGGGAATTTGGTGGGGGACAGGAATGCTGCTTTGTCTAAGCCAAGGAGAGAGGTGTGTGTGTGTGTGTGTGTGTGTGTGTGTGTGTGTGTGTGTGTGCGTGTGTTCTGGGTCTATGACCCTAAGAGGTGTTTTCTATACACCAGTGTGTCTCTGTGTGCAAAAGTGTTTGTGCCTGCAACTGGGCTACTATGGATGTGAAATCGTGTGGGCGTGTTGGGGGATCCATGCCCACGACAGGTTGTGCTGTGTGTGTCTGCACACGAGTGTGAGCAAGTGGCTGGTGCTGTGATGTGTGTATGTACATGTGTAAGAGACAGAGAGAAGTCTAGAAGTATCTTTGCCCATGTAAAGGTCAGAGCCTGTGTCTGCCTGTGACGCTGGGCTTGACTGTGTTCATGACTGGGCATGTGAGTGTGTGTGTGCGTGCGTGCGTGTGTGTGAGTGTGTGTGTGCGTGCGTGTGTGTGTGTGTGTGTGTACGTGCGCGCGCATGCCTTCATGACAGTGTGGGGAAAGCCCCACAGATGTCTTTGTGCATGAATATCAGTGCTCATGGCCATGACCTGATTGTGCTTGTAAGGAGGAGAGTGAGCCTCAAGTCCATAGCTGTGTGAGGGCTGTGTCTGAGTCCGCCTGTGATCCTGTCCCCAGGTGCTGGGCCCAGGGCTGTGTGGCTGTGAATATCTTTGCAGACATCTACCTGTGGGTATGAATGACACCTGAGCTTGGGTGTTTGGTGGGCAGCCATGGGCCTGGAGGGAAGGTCCAACAGGAAGCAAAAGTCTCACAAGGTGGCTGCAGGGGGCACAGCTGGCCAGGGATGGCAAGCTAGAGAGGCAGGGGCACAGGCTTCCTTGACACCAGCTTGTCCTGTCTGTCCAGGCACTAGAGTCACTGGCCCTTCTCTCTGAGGTTGTTTTTCTTTGGTCTTGGAGCTGGGGTGGAGGGTGAGTCACCTTCTCAGGGTTAGGGCTGGGGCTGTAGGGTAGATGGGCCTCTGATTCCTGATCCCATTTCTGCCCCCACTCCCCAACCCAGCCCCCCGCCTGGCAGTCAGATTCCAGTACTTTGAGCATCTAAGCCCATCTTGGCCTGCCCTCTTTGGCCCACCCAGCTCATGCATTCCCCAGGAAGGATTTACAGGGGAAGTCATGTAGCTGGGATTTCTGTCCACGCGGACCCTCAAGCATGACACCCTGAGTCCACACTGCTCAGACCCCAGTCCTGACAGAAGGTTGACCAGAAGGGACAGCTCTAAGGGGCCTCAGACTGACACCCCTGGAAGGAAGAGATGTTCTCCAGGTAGTGACAGAGCCGGGACAGGAAACAACAGCACTGATTTCTCGAATTCCCCTTGTCAGTCCCAGTTAGCTCCTGGTGGAGAAACTTGTCTTTCTTCTTCTTCTTGGGGGCGCTGGGGTGGGGGGATGAACCTATGTTATTAGGGCCTAGCCCAGCACCTGCTACATTCCAGCGATGGACGTGCAGATGGAGGGGGCCTGCTGGAGATCAGGAGCTCACCCTGCCGCTGTGTGACTGAGGACCAGTGGCCACCCATCTGGGTCTGCTTCCTTACACTTCACCCAGGAGTCCCCAGCCTGCCCTGCCTCACAGCTTGGGTGAAAATGTTTTGCAGAGGACAAGGGCAGTGAGCTGGGAAATAGCACACCTGAGTTCTCGCCATCCCAGGACCCATCCTCCCACTCGAGCACCTGCCTAAGACCTACCTCAGTTTCCCCATCTGTCAGATGTCCTGCTGCCTCTCCCACCCACTCCCACCTCCACCCACCTTTCAGAGGCTTGTGAACATGTTCAGTCAAACCCCGTGGGGGTCAGTGGGCTGGGCCCAGGGAGGCACCTGGAGACTGCGGGGGAGGAAGGCCCCAGGCCAGGTGTTAACACTTGTAACAGGCAGGAATTACAGCTCGCTGGGGCTGGGCTGGCTGGGGCTGGTGAGGAGCTGAGCTAGCTGGAGGCTGTTGATCCCACAGACAGACAGACAGACAGACAGATGGGCAGATACCAGATCGGATGGCCAGGCTTTAACCGGGTGGTCTCCCTTCCAGGGCAGACCTTTCCCTGGGGGGGATATGGCGGGGAAATTAGTCCAGGTCTCTTGGAAGTTAACAGCCCTCCCGCTCACCCCGCCCCCATTATGGGTGGGGCTTCGGAGTCCAGAGGGAGCAAAATTGGTGGCCGATCTGTTGGTATTCTTCCGATAGGATCACATTTTGCTTAAAAAGAAGAAAACAGGTCAAACGTTATAATAATACCAAGAGCCTGAGCTGAGTTATGTCCTTAGAAGAACCTGCTGTAATATGTATGTGGATGGCATGGGGGAAGGGGACGCTCTCAGGGAAAGTTCTAGACTCTCAGAGCATTTTGTCAACAGCTCCGGGGCCAAGAGGTGAGAGATGGGTGGAGTCTGAGTATCACCCCCACCTCCACCCCAGGGATCCTGAGGGCTTGGGTCTGTGATGTCTGCCCTGCAATTAATCCTGGCCTGGTGGGAAGACCTTTGGCGATGAGGTCAAAAGAGGCAGGAGCTGGACTTTGGTGCCAAGTCCTTTAGGAGGTGCTTGCTGCAGCTTCACCAGTGGCAAACCCAGCCAGGCCCTACCAGGGCCCACACTCTGGCATCTGGATACATGCTCAATCACTGACAAAGGTGGAGAAACTGAGGCAGACAGCGAGGGCTCTGGGTGGAAATCTCCAAAGAATGCACTCAGCCTAGCAAGCATCTCTCATCCTCCTCACTACAGAACTTAATGCTAATAAACATTAATGGTACTTGGGCAGATGTAGAATTGGAAGAAGTCTCTCCTTGGTCTGGGCAGGAGACAAGGAGCCAGGGGATAAGGAGCCAGGGGATGGCACAGGAAAGGTGACTTATCACAGAGGAGGATGCAGCTAACAAACCCTTCCAGGGAAAAGGAAGTGGGAAAAAGGAAGATTTTTCTGGTCTCAGAATGTGATGAGCCAGGAGTTGAGCAGAACCTTTTCCACCTACCCTGATGTGAGCCACAGAAACCTTCTCCAGCTGCCAAGGAGGGCAAGACATCCTCCACCCCTCATTCCTAACTCAGGGAGGAGGTATGCCTAGCCCCACCCCCACCCCCCGCCAAAGGTTAGAGCCATCCTGATATTACATCTGTACATCCATGTTATCTTGTATGCTGGAAAATGGTGAGAGTGGGGAGATGGAGAGACCTATGTCTGAATTCCAAGTTTAATACCAATGGACCCTGTGACCTAGGATGAGTCCCTTCCCTTCTCTGGGCTTCATTCAAGTCCCTGCCTCCTTCTGGGCTTCATTTTCCTTAACCACATGGAGGGGTCCCTTTTGCCTCTCAGAGTCCCAGGGCTATGACAGGTTCTGGGCTCGTTGCTGTGAAGCATGACACTCTACTGCACACATTCCGGGCCTGTATTAGACAGTCCACCCGTTTCTTTCTGTGGCTCCATCTGACCTAAATCGCAAAGAGCTGGCTGCCCCACTCCTGCCAAGCCAACCTGCTTGCACTTCCAAACCTCGCCCCAAACACTCCCACTCTTCTGGAGCCAGGCCATCTGCATTCACATCTGGCTTTTTCATGTACTACCTGGGTAACTAGGGCAAGTTAACCTCTGCAAGCCTCAGTTTCCTCATCTGTAAAATGAGTGTAATGATTGCCTCTATTTCATAGGGTTTTGAAAATGATTGAGTGAATACTTCTTAGAATGATACCTTGCATACAGGAAGCATATCGATGTTAGCTATTTTCACCTCCTATCTGCAAGCTATTGGCTCACTGAAGCCCTGGAGCCAAACTTGCCTCTTCCAAGAAGCCCTCCCAGATTTGCCCCACCTGGCTCTGTTTTCCCCTTTTCTTCTTTTTGCCTGTTTGCCCCACAGTGCTTTAGCTTTATTCTTAAGTTGAGGGTGCTGGGCCAGGCTAATCTCACTTCAGCTCTTTACCTGCTCAGGAAGGGGAGGGCAGGGTAGAGAAGGTTGCTGGAGTGTCCCCTAATCATTCCCCGACCCCCAGAGTCTGCCAGACTCTTGCTGGGACCTAGAGCCAGGGGGCTGGGCACAGAAGGGGTGGGGGAGGCAGGCTTCCCAGGGGGAGTGGCACCAGGGCCGCCCAGAGCAGCCTGAGCAGAAGTTGCTTCTCTAGGAGCTGAGAGATGATTCAGAAGGTGATTTATAGTCGGAAGGCAGAAAGCTTGGCTCCTGGCAGAAGCTGCTGCTTAATTACATTCTTGGGGCGGGGATAGGGGGGTGGAGGTATGTGTGGGGAGGCAGCAGGGGCCAGACTTCTGCCTCCTCCCCATCCAGGCCCTCCCTGTCCCTTTGGCTGTCCCGGCTCTAAGCAGGGTCCTTCTTTATCCCGCTGCCAGAGAGGGAATTCCCTGCTCTCAGTGAGAGGCTAGGCCAGGATTGCAGGAATAGCTTCTGGGAGTGGAGAAGGTGGGAAAAGAGGAAGGAAGCTGGATCCCATCTCCCGGGACTTCTCCAAGGGAGACTGGATGGCGACGGGCTGGAAAACGGGCCTTCTGGGAAGGAGCACTGGGTCTCCTCCCTGCTTCTGGGCAGCGGAATAGCTAAGGCACCTGGGCAGAGTTGAGTTTCTTTCTTTCTTTCTTTTTTTCTTGAAACAGAGCCTTGCTCTGTCGCCCAGGCTGGAGTGCAGTGGCACAATCTTGGCTCACTGCAACTTCTGCCTCCCGAGTTCAAGCAATTCTCCTGCCTCAGCCTCCCGAGTAGCTGGGATTACAGGTGCGCACCAGGATGCCTGGCTAATATTTGAATTTTTTAGTAGAGATGGGGGTTTCACCATGTTGGCCAGGCTGGTCTCGAACTCCCGACCTCAGGTAATCCACCCGCCTCGGCCTCCCAAAGTGCTGGGATTATAGGCGTGAGCCACCGCACCCAGCCAGAGTTTCTAGAATCTTCTGAGAGGCAACTCCACGCTCTCCTTCGGGCACCCTGTCCTGCTGCTGCCTGGGAGGGCCTGCCTGCAGGTTTGCTCCTTTTCTGTTGCTCAGGTCTCAGTGGGCCATGGGGGCTGGAGAGAAGGTCCTGCGCTCAGAGGCTGAAACCCGGTTCTTCAGCGTTAGGCAGCCTGTCCCTCGTGAGCACAGTGGCTACCCCAGGTGCACAACGGTTCTGCCAGCAGGCACGGCCCCATACCCTCATGTCAAACTAATATCTCAGAGAGTCACCCCAATGCCGCTGGGTGCAGCTACAATCACTTCCGCGCCATTGACAGGAGCCCCCATTCTGTTTCCATACCTGCTGAGTTGACATCAGCATTTCCCATATTAACACTGACCCATGCAACAACCCGCCCGATGACACCTAAGGCCGCTTAGTTCCCTGCATCGCAGCCGTGAATCCCAAATCCCTCACTGCTAGTTCTTAAGGCTGGAAAGGTGTAGGGCGGGCAGGGGTAGAGTTGCTGAAGCCAGTAGTGTCGATTTATCTGTTTGCAGCCTGGCCTGTACAGCCGGGAGGAGTTGGCAGGGGTCAGGATGGGGACACTAGACAGCTCTCTGGTTCCCCCTGAGGCGGGCCTTCTCAAAATGGCCTCATTATGTGTGTGGAGTGAATTCCAGAAATGTCAGGCACACCCATACATCTAGGGAATGAAGGAGATGCCAGAGCGGGCTCTGGGGCGAGAGGGGCCAGTGTGAGGAGGTGGGCGGCTTCCGGGCAGGGAGTTAGGGCACCTGAGACCTGGCTCTGCCACCATCTTGATATTAGGTAACTTCCTGAACTGTTCTGAGTCTCAGTAACTAGGAGAGTTGGATAAGCTGCTGGCCAAAGACTTCCAGCTCCGAGATTGCAGTCATGGAGGCTGTATTCCGCGTTCAGGTCACCCAGCTATTTGGACCATCTGTGCCTGGTGGAGGGGGTGGTCACTGAAAGCTGGTCTCAGGGAAGGGTGGGGGGTGCAGAGCTCTAAACTCTACACACAAAGAGCTGTGAGACAGTGGATGAGTCTCCTCCCTCCCTCAGTTTTCTCATCTGCAAATTGGATGATGATAATAACACGACCACCTGCCCTGCCTGCTTGCAGGGCCGTGAAGAGCTTCAGGTGGAATAATCTTTGTGGGCATGCCCCGTGACCAGTTGGCCTCAGACCTGAGGCCTCTGTGCCCTCTGCCAGGGGCTCTCCATTGAGCATCAGGACCCCTACAGGAAGGAGCTGAGGACTCCTTCCTGAGGACACTTGGGAAGTGTCAGGTTCTTTCCAGAGAAGTTAACTATCACTGTGAGTCCTAGAAAAGAGGAATAAGAAGGCTGGGCATGGGGCTTACGCCTGTAATCCCAGCACTTTGGGAGGCCGAGGCGGGTGGATCACCTGAGGTCAGGAGTTTGAGGCCTGCTTGGCCAACATGGTGAAACCCTGTCTCTACTAAAAATACAAAAAATTAGCTGGGCGTGGTGGTGGGAGCCTGTAATCCCAGCTACTCGGAAGGCTGAGGCAGGAGAATCGCTTGAACCTGGGAGGCGGAGGTTGCAGTGAGCCGAGATTGCACCACTGCCTTCCAGCCTGGGCAACAAGACCAACACTCTGTCTCAAAAAAAAAAAAAAAAAAAGAAAGAAAGAAAAGAGGAGAGGAATAAGAGCTAGTCCCTGCTCAGACAGTGCTAAGAATGGACCTAAGAGCCCCCCTGAGCCTCTGAGCTTGAGGAGTTGATATTTCCAGCAGAGGAAGAAGTGGGGCTGGACAGGGGAGTCCTCAGCTCCTTCCTGTAGGGGTCCTGATGCTCACTGGAGAGCCCCTGGGAGAGGGCACAGAGGCCTCAGGTCTGAAGCCAACTGGTCACGGGGCATACCCAGGTTCACAGCTCAGGGCATGGGGCTTGGTTATCCTCCTGGCCTAATGCAAAAACCACTGGCCAGACCCAGAGTGAGATTTCCAACCAGGGACACATGGGAAGATGTAGGTGGAGGTGAGGGGGGCGAGGGCAAAGGGCTGCCAGCTGGAAGGGGCTCTGCTGAGGCCTGTAGTCGTCAGGGAATCCTAATGGCCTGGGTAAGGCCTAGCAAACTAGGAGACAGGCACAAGCCATTCCCTCCAGCTCGGCTGGAAAAACTGCGAGGACTGAGTGTGTGTACGTGTGTGTTGGGGAGGGGGATGGGAGCAACAGGACCAAGCACCCAGGTCTGTCTGGAAGACCTTTCTGGGAAACCTGCCCCTGGGCACAGAGTCCCACTTATCTGCCAGAGCCAGCTGGGCCGGCAAGGAAAACCAATCTCGCAGGGCCCATTAGGAATGCAAATAGGGCTTGTGCTGTGAGTGAGCAGGATCCCGCCTCCTCTCCAGCTCCCACCAATCATCTTCACAAGGTGGATTGCTGAGGGTGCCACTCCCCTGCTCTGACACCTCCCATGGCTCCCCTCTTCCTATCTGGTACTGAGGCTCCCTATGATTTCACTTCTGTCCACCTGCGCAGTTGTAACTTTCACAAACCCCCTCGATCCCCCCAATAACCCACTTCAACTGGAATACTCACCTCTTTGCTTGTTCATTGAAATACTTCCACCTCCTCTCTCTGACTTTAAAAGGCAGCCCAACCTGGGGCCTGTTGACCTGGGGTCAGTCTGCTCTGCGCTGCTCAGCTCGGACCCCACTTGGCTCAGGTCATGTAGCTAACAGCCCTGAACTATGGAGGGTCCTTAGAGGGTCTCTCAAGGTGGATGGGCCCCTCGACCTGAGCAGGCTGCTGTCCCAGGAGTGGAGATGAGCCTTTTCTCCACAGTGTCAATTCCCCTGGGTTTCTTTTTCTTTTTTTTTAATCCCAGTTCCACTTGTAAACGTTTCCTATTTGTGTACTATTTCCCCCTCCATGTTCACCAGTTCACACGATGCTTAAGTGTCTAAGTCATTAATTTTAAGATTGCAATTGGCAGAAGTTGTTTCTCTATCTAGGAACAGGTTAATACGTTTGTTGACCATGTGCTATGTGCTGATCCCCATGCAGACATCATGATTTATCTGAATCTAATTCTTGCCAGTTTATAGATAGGGAGTCCCACAGTGCAGCCTGGGCATGGCATGGGAAGCCCTGAGCCCACACCCTGTTGGACCTAAAGCCTTTTTCCTTCTACCACCATTCAGGCTCAGTTGTGGACTTGTTATTGGGGTAAAAATTTGCTTGTTCATATTCTACTTTGTTCCCCAAAGGATGGTTTTGAGACAAGTTTACACTTGACCTTCCACTCAAAGGCTGATGCTTTGGGCTTATAGATACTATTTGTGAACGTCTGGGAAGTCTCTTATTTGGGGATGTGTCCTCTTCACTGGCCACCTTTCCACAAGCCATCAGGCTGTCCTCAAGCTGGGATTGCACAGTTGCTGACAGCAGTGGCCATGTGAGGATTTTGTTGCCCCTGGGATGGGTAAGGGGCGACCTTGATCAAATCACTGCCTCCCGGGCCTCAGTTTCCTCATCTGTGAAACAGAAAGGGTAGCGTAAATGACCTCTCAGATTCCTTCCAGCACTAAGCTCTTTCCTTCTACTTAGTCCTTTTTGCTGCTTTGCATCTGGTCTCCATCATATACGTGCTAGAAAGCAGCTGGGCAGAATCTTCTTTCTTGCCCTAGTCCAATTCTTGTGTTGGTATCTCTGAAACAGCCAATTGTTCATTTCACTTTTACAATTCGACCTTCAGCTTTATTTCTCCCCGAGGAGCCAGCATGCTTTCTCCTTTCTGATAAAGCATGCTTCCCTTTATGTCCTGGCTATGAGAAAACTCAGAGGTCCACCTGAAGCCACATCCTTGCACCCGTGTGGACCTTCCCTGATCCTGCTCTTCCGTTTTTATTTTGTTATTGAATCTGATGTGTTTTCCGTCATCAGCCTCTTGAGGGCAGACATGTTGGAGTCTTTGTACCTGGCCTGGGCATAATGGATCCTCAATAAAGACTTGTCTTTGGGATACACATTTGCTGTCAACCTCTTCAAATCCTTTCTGGAAAGAAGCAAGGCACATGCGAATTAAAAAGCAAAATAAACATTGCTCTGGGAGGGAGTTGGTCCTGACTGGATAGTTTTGAGTTATGAGAATTCCAGTCTGCTTCTGTTTCTTTTTTTTCTGTTTATTTATTTACTTAGAGATGGAGTTTTGCTCTTGTTGCCCAGGCTGGAGTGCAGTAGCATGATCTCGGCTCACTGCAACCTCCGCCTCCCGGGTTCAAGCAATTCTCCTGCCTCAGCCTCCCAAGTACCTGGGATTATAGGCATGCGCCACCACACCCAGCTAATTTTGTATTTTCAGTAGAGATAGGATTTCACCATGTTGGTCAGGCTGGTATCAAACTCCTGACATCAAGTGATCCACCTGCCTCGGCCTCCCAAAGTGCTGAGATGACAGGCGTAAGCCACCAGGCCCGGCCTTCTTTCTGTTTCTTTACTGTCAGCTTTTCCCCAAGTCTACAAAGGTCTTGTCTTCAGAGAAGTCGCCTCTTTTTTTTCCTCCATGATCTTCTCCACTCTAAAGCTGAGGTTGGTTCCTAATCTTCCTCTAGGGACTGTCTCTCGTTCCTGGCCAATGACTATGTCCACCCCTACCCCTGGCTCCCTTCACAACTGGTTCCTCCCACCCTCCCTTGCCTTGGAAGCCGACGGTGCTATTGCCACCATTCCACAGGTGACGGAGTGCCCAGGTAGCACCCACCCTCTCTCCAACAGAGCTGCTCCCGTCCCCAGCAGCCATCGTGAGGGCCAAGCCCCACTCTGCAGATGGAGCCCCAAGGAGGAGCAGAGGGGAGCGGCGGCCAGGGATCTCCCCATTCACCCAGCAAGGTGTCCTCACAACTCTAACCGGCTCTCCCCTCCCCTCCGCTTCTGCCCTTGGGCAACACATGTGCAGGTCACCCCACCCAGTCCCTGACTTCGGAGGAGAGAATGTCTAGCCTCAGGCTGGGTGGTTCTCCATCTTAACTGAAGCTTCCATAGGGGATTCTGGAGCCTTTCTCTGCTACCAGTAAGGATGGAGTCTGTGACCTCTGCACTGTCCTGGAAGCTAAAGCAGCCTCGAGAAAGCAGCCTCTTCATCCCCATGTTACCTGTGAGAAAACTGAGGCTCAGCTGGGCGCGGTGGCTCACGCCTGTAACCCCGGCACTTTGGGGGACAAAGGCAGGCAGATCACCTGAGGTTGGGAGTTTGAGGCCAGCCTGACCAACATGGATAAACCCCAACTCTACTAAAAATACAAAATTAGCCGGGCGTGGTGGCACGTGCCTGTAATCCCAGCTACTGGGGAGGCTGAGAAAGGAGAATCGCTTCAACCGAGGGCTGAAGTTGCGGTGAGCTGAGACCTGGCCATTGCACTCCAGCCTGGGCAATAAAAGCGAAACTCTGTCTCAAAAAAAAAAAAAAAAAAAGGAAAAGAAAAAGAAAAAAGAAAAAAAGAAAACCGAGGATCACAGGACCCAACCAGGAGCTGTAAGGAGCTCGGAAGCAAGTGGGCGGCTCCAGTGGCAGCTAGTAATTCCTCGCTTATGATGTCCCGGGTATCACATACATTGAGGAAACAAAGCACACACATTAGCTCATCCTCCCGACAACCCCAGGAGGCAGAGACTCTTGTTATCCCCATTCTACAGATGAGAAACTGAGGCCCTGAGGCACCATTCCATTGCCGAAGGCTCCATGGTTGGTAAACCCCAGAGCTCTAAACAAGAGACAAACTGCCTGAAGCCAGGCCCTTCAGTGACACCACACCACACCACAGCCAGGAAGTTCCTCCTTAGATCTGACTTCAGTCTTTCCTTAATCCAGGCCCAGGTTTTCTTCCTGGGGATGTGAATATCACTGTCAAGTTTCAGTTTGGTTTGGTTTGAGACAGGATCTTGCTCTGTTGCCCAGGCTGGAGTGCAGTGGTACAATCACAGCCCACTGTAGCCTCAATCTCCTGGGGTGAAGCTATCCTCCTGCCTTAGATTGCCAAATCACTAAGACTACAGGCAAGCACCATATGTGGCTAATTTTTTTAATTTTTATTTTTATTTATTTTTGAGACAGAGTTTTCACTCTTGTCACCCAGGCTGCAGTGCAATTGCAAGATCTTGGCTCACTGCAACCTCCACCTCCCCGGTTCAAGCGATTCTCCTGCCTCAGCCTCTCACGTAGCTGGGATTATAGGCGCCCGCCACCACACCTGGCTAATTTTTGTATTTTTAGTAGAGATGGGATTTCACCATGTTGGCCAGGCTGGTCTCAAACTCCTGACCTCAGGTGACCCGCCCACCTCAACCTCCCAAAATGCTGGGATTACAGGCGTGAGCCACTGTGCCCAGCCTTTTTTCTTTTTTTTTGTAGAGATAGCATCTCCCTACATTACTCTTGCTTGAACTGGACTCAAACAATCCTCCTGCCTCAGCCTCTCAAAGTGCTGGGATTCCAGGGGTAGGGTTCCAGTTTGCACTTGAGGACCAGGGTTCGTCTCATCCCTGAATCTTCCTGTGTCTGGAGTTGGTTCCTTCCAGTGGGTTCGTGGTCTCACTGACTTCAAGAATGAAGCCACGTACCTTTGCGGTGAGTGTTACAGGTCTTAAGGACCCCAAGAGTGAGCAACAGCAAGAGTTATCCTGAAGAGCAAAAGAACAAAGTTTCCACAGCATGGAAGGCGACCCAAGGGGGTTGGTGCTGCTGGCTTGGGGGTGGGGGGGGTGGGCGGGGAGGCAGCTTTTATTCCCTCATTTGTCCCAGCCCATGTCCTGCTGATTGGTCCATTTTACAGAGTGCTGATTGGTCCATTTTACAAACCTCTAGCTAGCTACAGAGCACTGATTGGTGCATTCTTACAGAGCACTGATTGGTGCATTTTACAAACCTCTTGTAAGACAGAAAAGTTCTCCAAGTCCCCAGTTGACCCAGGAAGTCCGGCTGGCCTCATCTCTCATTCCTTCTCTAGAACAATTCCTCCCAGGTGACCCATCCTCTACTCACCTTTAACTACTTGTTCTTCCTCTTCTGATCTCTTACCAGCTTTTCTACAACTTCCTGCAAGTCCTATAGCCACAGAATTGCCTTTAAATCAGGGAAAGAGGGGGCCTGCCATCAGCTCTCTGATTTAGAGGCTTCCGTCTGGTGTCTTACAGCACTTCCCTTCCCCATAGGGCAGGGAGTCTGGAATCCAGCATGCCTGCCCTCAAGAGGCTTATGACGGAAAACACATCAGATTAAATAACAAAATAAAAACAGGCTAGTTGTGGTGGCTTGCGCCTGTAGTCCCAGCACTTTGGGAGGCCGAGGCAGGCAGATCACTTGAGGTCAGGAGTTCGAACCAGCCTGGCCAACATGCTGAAACCCCGTCTCTACTAAAAATACAAAAATTAGCCGGGTGTGGTGGCACGCACCTGTAGTCCCAGCTGCTGGGGAGGCTGAGGCAGGAGAATCGCTTGAACCCAGGAGGTGGTGGTTGCAGTGAGCCAAGATCACACCACTGCACTCCAGCCTGGGCAACAGAGTGAGACTCTGTCTCAAAAAATAAAAATAAATAACAAAAACAGAAGAGCAGGATCAAGGTCAAGGAGAAGACAAATATGCAAGTCAAGGTCAATGCAGGTGCAAGGATGGAGCTTGCCCTGAGTTTCCTCACAGCCAGGACATAAGGGAAAACACGCTTTACCTGAAAGGAGAAGGCATGCTGGGTCCTCAGGGAGAAATGCCCGCCTACAGCCTGTGCCCACCCTCTTCAGCTGCGCCATGAGAATTTAGGCTCCTGGAGTATCTGGCCCAGACAGCCGTGAGCCTGCTTCCGGGCTCTGCAGGCCTCTGCCTGGGGCCCATTCTGCCAGGGCAGGCCACACTGCCTGTGGCCAAGGGCTGGTCAAGGGAAATTCATTTGCAAGGGCTGTGGCTGGAGCTTGAGGGTGTGGCTGGGGCCTCCAGCATGGGATGCAGAAGGGATGGGCAGGCTGCAGGCCTGGGGCTAGATCTCCCATGTCACCATTGTCTAGCGTGAACTTTATCAGGTAACCTAGCCCTCTAGGTGGCAAGTAAGGTTTTTGCCAAGATAGGAGGATAGAATGATTGTTTAACTTTTTTTTTTCTTTCTTGAGACATAGTCTTGCACTGTTGCCCAGGTTGGATTGCAGTGACACGATCTCACTATAACCTCTGCCTCCCAGGTTCAAGCGATTCTCCTCCCTGAGCCTTGCGAGTAGCTGGGATCATAGGTGTGCACCGCCACACCTGGCTAAGTTTTGTATTTTTAGTAGAGACAAGGTTTTGCCATGTTGGCAAGGCTGGTCTCAAACTCCTGAGCTCAGGTGATCTGCCTGTCTGGGCCTCCGAAAGTGCTGGGATTACAGGTGTGAGCCGCTACGCCTGGCCAAGTGATTAACTTTTTAATGAAAGTACAGGAAAAGACGTAAACTGTCTTTCCTCTGCTTTCACCCTGCAATAATTGGTACAGAAGACTTCTGCGACCAAATGCGTGCATACACCAAGCAAGCTGTCAATTCTGCGGCAGACATCAGCCAGCGTCCTCTAATCCAATTCAATTCTGATGATCTCCACCTGGACATAGCATCTGATCCCATAGGTTGAGGTCTTAGTTCCCAGGACAGCCTCCCACTTCCAGTAGCAATCCCAAGCCCCAGGCTGCTTTACATGTGCTCCTGACTGACCTGCTATAAATCAGGGTTCCTGTGACTTCCTCCTTGGGTTCCATTAATTTGCTAGAGTGGCTCGCAGAACACAGGAACACACGTTTACTGGTTTATTATAAAGGATATTACAAGGATACAGATGAAGAGGTGCATAGGGCGAGGTATGGGAGAAGCTGCACTGAGCTTCCACGCCCTTCCCAGGCACACCACCTTCCAGGAACCTCCACGTGTTCCGCTATCCGGAAGCACTTGAACCCTGTCCTTTTGGGCTTGTATGGGGGCTTCATTCCATAGGTATCATTGATTAAACCATTGGCCACTAGTGATCAACTTAATCTTCAGCCCCCTCTCCCCTTCCCAAAGGATGGGGTTGGGGTTAGGGTTGGGAGTCCAACCCTCTAATCTTGGCCGGGCACGGTGGCTCACACCTGTAATCCCAGCACTTTGGGAGGCCGAGGCAGGTGGATCATCTGAGGTCAGGAGTTCGAGACCAGCCTGACCAACATGGTGAAACCCCATCTCTACTAAAAATACAAAAAAATTAGCCGAGCATGGTGGCAGGTGCCTGTAATCCCAGTTACTGGGGAGGCTGAGGCAGGAGAATCGCTTGAACCCAGGAGGCGGAGGTTGCAGTGAGCTGAGATCACAACACTGCACTCCAGCCAGGGAGACAGAGTCAAACTCCGTCAAAATAAATAAATAAAAGAAAAGAAAGTCCAACCCTTTAATCCTGCCTGGGTCTTTTGGGGTAACCAACCTCAATCTTGAAGCTGCCTAGGGGCTGCCAGCTCTTCCGTCAGCTCATTAGCATACAAAAAGACATCACTTTGGAGTTTCTAAGGATTTTAGGAGTTGTACGCTGGGAAACTAGGTCGAAGACCAAATATATATTTTATAATATCACAAACATGCGTACAGGCGAGCACACAACTTGTCAGTGTACAGCTTAATGAGCTGGATAGAATATCTTATGTTTAACAGTTTGTGAATCTGGCATGAAACTTTTCAATACTGGGCACATGGTAGATGAGGCTTCGTTGAGTGGTCTCAATGCTACAGCCAGGCCTTAGGGCTTGGCGGGGAAACAGTTCCACTAGGGTCGAACTGGCACAGCATCGGGAAGAAGGCTTGCCTCCTCTAATGTGGCTGCATCATCTCCATCCCTCCCTTGGCAGACCCACAGTGGCACTGCCCTCCCTCACAGCTGTGGTCACTTACCTCCAAGTCCCTTTTTGTTAAACTTGGACCATGTTTTAGCCTTTCTCAGCCTCAACGGATCTTCTTTTCTGATCAGTTTAGTCAGTCTTATTTTAATTTAATTTAATTTAATTCAATTCAATTCAATTTGTTTTTCAAGATAGAGTCTCGCTCTGTTGCCCAGAGTGGAGTGTAATGGCGCAATCACAGCTCACTGCAGCCTCCGCCTCCCAGGTTCAAGCTATTCTCCTGCCCCAGCCTCCCAAGTTGCTGGGATTACAGGCGCCTGCCACCATGCTCGGCTAATTTTTCTATTTTTAGTAGAGATGGGGTTTCACCATGTTGGCCAGGCTGGTCTCCAGCTCCTGACCTCAGGTGATGTGCCCACCTCAGCCTCCCAAAGTGCTGGGATTACAGGCGTGAGCCACCGTGCCCGGCCACTTTGGTCATTTTTAAACGGTCTAATTAGGAGTGCAGCAGCAGCAGATATGACTGTGTTGTTGTATACTCCTCAGCCTGGCCCCTGCCGCCCTGCACCCGCTCCTCTCCCAACCCCAACATGGGTAAGCACATGGGCCTGGGTACAGCAGTCCTGGACTCTAGATGGTTCTGCCTTTTTATCTGGGTGGACTTCACCTCTCCAAGCCTTGGTTTTCTCTCTGCAAAATGGGGATAACGAGGGCTATTGTGAGGATGAAAGGATATAACGCATGTGAGACTAGCACAGGGTCAGGTGTGTACTCAGTGAGTTAGACACACATTTTGCTGACATTAATTTCATGTTACAGTCTGCGTTGTTCTCGTGCACACCTCACTTCTCCGTGCCTCTGTGCTACCCCCTGCCTTCTCTTGGGATGACTACAAACTCCTGTTCGGTCTTGAAATCATAGTTCAGCCATCACTTCCTCTGCGCAGCCTTCCCTCAGCACCGCGGCCCCAGCAAAGGCCCTTCTGAGCACATCTATTTCATGGACTAGACTGTAAGTCACCTGTGGGCAGGACCAGTTCTCCATCATCTTTCAACCCATACCACCAAACATAGCACAGGGCACACAGTGGATCCTCAAAGACAGGTTGTGGGATGAAAGGACACTGTTGAGAGTCACCTGCTGGTCCCAGACTCTTGTCTCCCTGCTCCAGCTGGATTCTCATTGCCTCTGTGATGCTCTGCCAGGAAGACCAGCTGGTACTTGTTGTGTATTTTCCTGTATTCTCAGATACCTCTTCATGTGCATCTGTCTTGTCTTCCCAGTGTTAAGAGTCAGCCCCTGAGGGCAGGGATTCTGCTCTGTAGGCCTCTGCATCACTAGCGAGCCTCACACATCATCCTGAGTGTTGCAGGAGCACAGTTAGGAATTCTGTTATCAGGCCAGGCATGGTGGCTCACATCTGTAATCCCAGCACTTTGGGAGGCCGAGGTGGGCGGATCACCTGAGGTCAGGAGTTCTAGACCAGCCTGACCAACACGGTGAAACCCCGTCTCTACTAAAAATACAAAAATTAGCTGGGTGTGGTGGTGGGCAGCTGTAATGCCAGCTACTCGGGAGGCTAAGGCAGGAGAATCACTTGAACCTGGGAGGTGGAGGCTGCAGTGAGCCGAGATCGCGCCACTGCACTCCAGCCTGGGTGACACAGTGAGACTCCATCTCCAATAAATAAATAAATAAATAGGAATTCTGTTAGCACTTGGCCCAGGAATCAGACTCCTTCCCAAGCAGGCTGCAGTTCAGGCTCAGCTGGTCCCCACTCTCTGGGACAGCACTCCCCTCACTCTGTGATCTCCCAGGAAGTCCGGCTCTGGGCATCTAACCTTGGTGTGGGGAGGCAACATAGCACTCCAGAAAGAGGGTAGGCTCTGTGACAGAACCACCTGTGGTGCAAATCCCAGATGTCCACTTCATAGCTTCTAGAACTTTGCTTTGGGTGGTTGCTTAAAAATCTGAGTCTCAGTCTCTTCCTCTGTATAATGGGAATAAAAAATATGATCTCAAGGTAGTTGTGAGGTTGAAATGAAATAACAGACAGAAACTGGCTAGGCGCAGTGGCTCATGCCTGTAATCCCTACATTTTGGGAGGCCAAGGCGGACAGATCATTTGAGGTCAGGAGTTCGAGACCAGCCTGGCCAACATGGTGAAACTCTGTCTCTACTAAAAATACAAAAAGTAGCCAGGCATGGTGGCGCACACCTGTAATCCCAGCTACTCAGGAGGCTGAGATGGGAGAATCGCTTGAACCTGGGAGGCGGAGGTTGCAGTTAGCTGAGATGACACCACTGCACTCCAGCCTGGGCAACAGAGTGAGACTCCATCTCGAAAAAAAAAAAAAAAAGTAGAAATAATAGAAACTGAGTTGAAGGTGAATCATTAAAGATGTTCTACAGGTCATCTAATGTAGCAGGGTTATAAAAATATTCTCTCCCAGGCCAGGCTTCTTTAGAGCAGAAAGATCTGAATTCCTTCCAAAACAGAAAAGGCTGGCTTCAGGGAATCCCACACACTTTATGTTGGTTTGTCCCAACCAATAAGCCTATCTGAAGAAAGAAGCGGGTGGGGAGGCATGTGGCAGAAGTCTGTGACTTGGTGGACAAAAGGCAATGCAGACTCTGGCATGACCTTGCGTTCTGGTATCCTGTTCAGCCAGAGTACTCACAAAGGCCTCCAGTTCTCAGGAAGGGAAGGGTGAATTAAATGTGGTTAGCTATCAGGGATTTTTTTTTTTTTTTTTTTTTTGAGACGGAGTCTTGCTCTGTCACCAGGCTGGAGTACAGTGGTGTGATCTTGGCTCACTGTAACCTCCGCCTCACAGGCTCAAGTGATTCTCCTGCCTCAGCCTCCTAAGTAGCTGGGACTACAGGCACGCACCACCATGCCTGGCCAATTTTTGTATTTTTAGTAGAGATGGGGTTTCCCCATGTTAGCCAGGATGGTCTCGATCTCCTGACCTCGTGATCCACCCGCCTTGGCCTCCCAAAGTGCTGGGATTACAGGTGTGAGCCACTGCGCCCAGCCTATCAGGGATTTTTATGGGGGTTCCAAGGAGTGGTCTGTGTAGATTTAATATCACCCTAGTTAATGGCTGAGGCACTGGCTGTGTAAGCCCTTGCTAAGCACAGTGAGTGAGTGTGGCTGGAAGTGCAGGAGGCCTGGGTGGGATGCAGGCTGATCCAGGGCTGGCAGTCACTGTGTGCATCCAACCTTTAGGCGAGAGAGGGCTGCTAAACTCTGAGAAGGAATTCAGGGTGAAGAAGAGCTGATGTGCCAATGGTATGGCTGGCACAAGCCTAAGCAGATACCAGCTATTCTCCTGCAAGCTGATCAAAAATATTTTTATTACATAATACTTGACATATACAAGAGAACAATCATATATATTAGACATGATGACAGAATGAAAACCTGAGCCTCACTATGTCCCTGAAGGACCAGACCGTGACTAGGCCGTCGTGTCCATCTGTGGGTCCTCCTCAGCCCATTCCCCATCTCCCTCTAGATGTGACCACATCCTGAATTTTACCTATTTATTCCATTACTTAAAAATACTGGTTTTTGGCTGGGCACAGTGGCTCATGCCTGTGATCCCAGCACTTCGGGAGGCCGAGGCGGGAGGATCACCTGAGGTCAGGGGTTCGAGACCAGCCTGGCCAACATGGTGAAGCCCCATCTCTACTAAAAATACAAAAATTAGCTGGGTGTGTTAGCACACGCCTGTGGTCCTAGCTACTCGGGAGGCTGAGGCAGGAGAATCGCTTGAATCCAGGAGGCAGACGTTGCAGAGAGCCGGGATCACGCCACTGCACTCCAGCCTGGAGACCCTGTCTCAAAAAAACAAAAAACCAACAAACAAAAAACTGGTTTTCCCAGGTAATAATGCCTAAATGAAATGTTTTATTTTGCCTATTTTTAGCATTATAAAAATGGTGTTATACTGCATGTGGCCCTCTATGTTGAGCTATTCTCTCTCTGCATTGTGTTTCTAAGTTTCAAACTGTTCCTGGATCTTGCTGTAGTTCTCACATGCTCACAGTTGCATAATAGTCCATCTTTAGAATATACAGTTTATCTATTTTGTCTCCTGGCCATGGATGTGCATCTCGCTGTGCACAGCAGGGAAAGGTGTTCATGGAGGTACCTGCCTAGGCGTGGAACTTTGGGTTGCAGGATGTGTGAATGTTGAGCTTTACAAGATGATGCCAAACTGTTTTCCAAAGAGGTTGTGCCCATCTGTGCTGTCATCTTTGAGATTGTTTTTCCCATGGCCCAAGGCCCTTCTTCCCGCCCGAGGCAAGCCCACTCCTGAGGACTCCACTGCCTTGGGCCTTCACCGTCTTTCTCTCAGGATCCCATTCCCTACTGGAAAACTCTTTCCTTTCCCTCCTCCACTTGGCCCTGAACTTCCCAGGATTTTTCAAAACCCAGCCTGGAGCTGCCGTCTTCCTGGGAGTCCTCTCAGCCTCACTTCCACTCTCTCCCAGGTTTTTGGAACAGCTTTTCCAGACAGCTCTTGGGCCAGAGTAGGACATCGCATAGTGTGTTTCTTATAACATCAGCCCCACATAATCCTGTTGAGAAAGGCTTCTGGAGTCAAATAAACTTAAGAATCGCCACAGGCAACTTGGAGCCTCTTGGTGTTTATTGTTCTCATTTGAATATTAGCAGCTCATTAGCATAGTTGCAGCACTGAGAGGTCCTGCCAGTGTGACCCGTTTTTATTTGTTTAACTTGTTTTCCAAAAATATTTAACCTTGGAGCCCTTTTCCCATTTTCCCCCATTTGGAAAATGGGATCGAGAAGATTCTCCTGCCTATTTCAGTCAGTTTGGTTTTGTGGTCTTATTTTCCTCGGTAACCAAGCTGAGAGTCCTCTGACTTCTGTTGTAATCATCCCGTGTAAACTAGTTCAGTCCAGACCACCCTTTCTGGAGGGCTTGAGTGGAAGGAATGAATGAATGCACTCAGGAATTAATGAATGAAGCAGTCAGCCAATCAGTCAGCCATCCAGCTGAGCCCCCTCTCCTATGCAGCAGCCAGGAACCAGGGACTGATCAGGCACCGCTCATCTTGCACCAGGGGACACCCGGGCTGTCTGGCTGGTGAATCATTCTCCCGTCTTAGGTCCCCTGTAGTTGCATTTTTAGGATCTGTCACCCAGTGAGGCTGGGAGCCCCTGCGGGGCAGGAACCAAGTTGCGCTTGCCTCTCTGTGTGCCCCGAGTGGGACATACAGATGGGATCTCTCATCCAACTCCTTCTGAGAGGGGCAGGAGAACATTGTGGTTAAGTCTTCAGCCTCTGGAGCCAGACCAGATGTGTCCCTAATTACCTGGGTAATGTGGGCCAATCTCTGCCTCAGTTTCCCCACTGAGATAGGGGTGATGATAACATACCTTCCTTACAGAATTATTATGGGGTTAATATGCGGCAAGCACACAAACAGTGCCTGGCATAGAGGATGTCACTGGTCTTTATTAGCACTATGACAATGGCAACCAACATTTATTGTGCACCTACTATGTGCCAGGGACTGTGATAAAAGCTTTATCTACATCATTTCAATTCTTCCTCCCCGCAGCCTCTTTGAAGTGGGGGATGTTTTTCTCATTAGGAAGTTGAGTCCTCCCAAGGAGACGTGGTAATGGGTGGTAGCAATAAGATCAGGATTGGGGTCAGCCAGATCACAAAGCCCTGGCCTGCAGGCGTGGAGGGTGCCACCTACCACCTGCGGATGGGACAGCTCCTCTGTTTCTTTTTACTGATAATTACCCTGCCGACAACCTGATCAGTTCTTTTTTTTTTAATCCTCTATTCATCTCAACAAAATGGAAATCCATGGTACTGCAAGGGTTAGAATTTAACATGTGTGCACACGTGTGTGTGCGTGCATGCGTGTGTGTGTGTGTGAGAGAGAGAGGGAGAGACAGAGACAGAGAGAGACAGAGAGCAAGAGTGCACAAGTGAAGGAGAAGGAGTTATCTGAGAAGCCTGGGGGTTACTAGCACCTTCATGACAGACCAAGGAAGACAGAGATCCCCGGGTGGGGCTGGCTTTGAGACTGCACAGCGGCAGAATCGCTTGTGAGTCAGCAGTGCCGCAGAACAGCAGGGTGCTCCGGAACTGGGCTTGGTGTCGTCACCCACTGCCCCTTGCACAGGGCCCTGTGTGCCGGGAAATGTTTGCAGGCTGGACACCTGTGGTTGCTTTTAACCAGGCAAGTGAGCTGGGTTAGAGGTAGCCACATGTTCCTGAGGGCTCGCAGCTTTGGATCTGAGAGGGTTAGACAGGGCGTCAGGGGCTGAGGGTCACTGGAGGAGAATTTGCTGTCGTCCCTTTGCCCACGGGCCGGCTGGTCTTCTCAGACCCCAGAGGCCAGCTCCTCTGTTCTTCCCCACCTCGGAGGGGAGCCCCAGAAGTCACAGGGTCAGCTGTCTGCTTTCCACACTGCCTAGGGCTTTATTCTTGCACCATCCCCAGTTCTGGCCACACCAGGGGAGTGAGACATGGGGCGCCGGTAGAGGGGCTGAATGCGCTGGTGTGGGGTAGGAGGTTTCGGATGCACATTCCAGAGGGTGTTTATGGGGGAGCAGACAAGCCTGGGGATTCATTCCTGGTAGGGAACAATTCCCTCAGCACCCGAGGGTGGGAAATGAGGGCCAAAATGGTGGCTCAGAGGGACACAGGTGAGGTAAGCAGGTAAGAATTCCCACCAGGTGTCTCAGAAATGTCCTGGGAAGGGCCTGGCATGGTGGCTCACACCTGTAATCCCAGTATTTTGGGAGGCCGAGGCGGGCAGATCACCTGTGGTCAGGAGTTCAAGACCAGCCTGGCCAACATGGTGAAACCCCGTCTCTACTAAAAATACAAAAATTAGCCAAGCATGGTGGTGGGTGCCTATAATTCCAGCTACTCGGAAGGCTGAGGCACGAGAATCACTTGAACCTGGGAGGTGCAGGTTGCAGTGAGCTGGAATCGTACCTCTGCACTCCAGCCTGAGTGACAGAGCAAGAATCTGTTAAAAAAAAAAAAAAAAAAGAAAAAGAAAGAAAGAAAGAAAAGAAAGTCCTGGGAAGCTGGTGGAAGGAGGTCGAGATCTTCCTGACCTGGGAAAGGAGGGAATTCCCAGGCATCTATAGACCAATAGGACTGTCGAAAGTTTGACTGGTATGAGAATGGGTTAAGGTGCTGAATTTTAGATTTTTATCCTCTCCACGGTGGTACAGTGTGTTCTGCAAACAAAGGAGAGCCAGCCTTGAAGAGCCCTTCTCAGAGCTGACTATGTTCTTTGGCTCCTCAGCCCAGTGAGATGGCCTTAGCTCTGAGCCCTGTGCAATATGCAAACTGGACCAGATGACCCCCAAGGCTCCTTCTAGCTCTGACAGGTCCTGTCGGGGGATCCAGCCTGCATATAGGGCCTGGGCTTCTTTCAGCCCCATAGATGGTGACCCCTCTTCACCGCTAGTAAGATTGAAGCTCATCAGCAGGACCTCAGGCCCTGGCCTCCTTTCTTCTTGGTCCCTTGGGTTTTGGAGTTTTATGTGACATCAATGTCCCAGAAATGCCCATCCTCTTCCTTTTCTCTCAGGGCACAGTCCCCTGAGGTCTTGTGGTTTATCCACCCCCACCCCTGTTCTATGTCCTCCTTCACTTGCTCTCCCCCACGCCCCTCCCACCAGAGAGTTTATAAGCTGGCTGTCCCCTTGCTAACCTCCTGCTGTTCCCTATGAACATGCCTGTTAGATTTCACCGTGTGACACTGTCTTGGTTATGTCCCCGTCGTGCCTAGTTCAGTGAAGAACACATAGCAGGTGCCGAATAAATGCACTCTGCTGGGATAAACTGGTTATCTCCAGAGGGTGGGGTCTGGACAGAGTGGCAAAATAGCGATAGCATGGGATTTGGGGTCCAACTCCACCTCCACTTCCTGGCCGATGGCAATCTGTCATTGGTAAACTGGAGCCGGCATCTCTACTCTCAGGGCTGTTGAGAGGATTCATGGAGAAGCTGTGTGAGGAAATGCTTTGCAGGTTGGAAGGTGCTGGGAACGTGTGTCATCTACCCTGGCCTCTCTCTCAGGAACTCTTGCCCACATTTGTCAGCATCTGCTGGGTGTGTTGTCTTGGGAGAGGTCTTGTTAACCCTCTGCCACCTTGAATTCTCTGGTCCCCTGAAATTCTTTGTCCTGTCTCACACACAAATGCCTCCAGCCCTCAGGTCGGGGGTCTCCTCTCCTCCTGCAATGCCTTGGGCGTGGGTCCAGCCTTGTCTGAGACACAGAGAAATGGACCTCCAGTGCGGAAGATCTGCACCAACATTCGAAAGAAAAAAGACTGATAGGCGGGAGCCCAGCATTTGAATTTACAGGGATGTTAACCCCAACAGCGGCCGGAGCAGCAGAGCAGGACCTGAGCACTTCCTTCCCTTTCTCCTTAGCCTTCCATGAACATGCTCTCTATAAACCCTGTCCTGGTAAATGTCTCCCCTCATTTTTTTTTTTTTTTTTTTTTTTTTTTTTTTTTAGACAGGGTCTCACTCTGTTGCCCAGGCTAGAGTAAAATGGCTCGATCTTGGCTCACTGCAGCCTTGACCTCCTGGGCTCAAGCAATCCTCCCAACTCAGCCTCTCAAGTAGCTGGGACTACAGGTGGTCACCACCATGCCCAGCTAATTTTTTTTTTTTTTTAATTTTAGTAGAAACAAGGTCTTGCTTTCTCGGCTAGGCTAGTCTTGAACACCTGAGCTCAAGTGCTCCTCCCGCCTCGGCCTTTCAAAGTGCCGGGTTTACAGGTGTGAGCCACCTCCCTCAGCCCTCACTGCTTTTTTTGCCATCTCAGTGCCACCATTTCCTAGCTATGTGACTTTAGACGAGTCACTTGGCCTCTCTGAGCCCATGTCATCATCCGTTAAATTGGGTTCTTTGGCAAATTAAAGGATGTATTCTATGTAAAGTGCTTTACATGGCAACTGGCACATAGTCAGGCCTCAATAAATGTTAACTATTATTATTAATAATGGCCACTGGCCAGGCGTGATGGCTCACACCTGTAGTCCCAGCGCTTTGGGAGGCAGAGGTGGGCAGATCACGTGGTCAGTAGTTCGAGGCTAGCCTGGTCAACATAGTGAAACTCTGTCTCTACTAAAAATACAAAAATTAGCCAGGTGTGGTGGCATGCACCTATAGTCCCAGCTACTCGGGAGGCTGAGGCAGGAGAATCGCTTGAACCTGGGAGGCAGAGGTTGCAGTAAACCAACACGGCACCATTGCACTCCAGCCTGGGTGACAGAGCAAGACTCTGTCTCAAAAAAATAATAAAATGGCCACTCTGAGTGCCTCAGTGAATAGGCTCCTTACTACCTTACTTAGAGCAGAGTTGAGGAAATTGGTGAAGTTCTTCACTACCTTATTAGCCACTCTCTACCCAAATAAATGTACCCCACCTTATCTTATTCATTATGGGTAATCACCTGTAAAAGCGTTCTTTATTTCATTCACAGCCTGAGTGTCCCCAAAAAGGTGCTCCATGACGTCATCCCCCCTCTGGAGGACACCTCCTCCCACCCATGGTGATTTGAGCCTTCTCTTAGGCCAGGGTGATTCCTGGGGGAACCTTAACTGGGGCTAATGTGCACTGACATTTTGCCTTTTGTGTCGAACACACATCCCATTTGCAGAGATTTAGAATTTTTTGACTTTAAATGTTCGCTATTTCTATGTATGTGTAAGAGAGAGTTGTTTTCTTTTGTTTTGTTAAGAGACAGGATCTCACTCTGTTGCCCAGGCTGGAGTGCAGTGGTGCAATCACAGCTTACTACAGCCTCAAACTCCTGGGCTCAAGCGATCCTCCTGCCTCAGTCTCCCCAGTAGCTGGGACTACAAGTGTGCACCACCACACCCAGCTAATTTTTCTGTGTTTTGTAGAGACAGCGTCTCGCTGTGTTGCCCAGGCTGATCTCAAATTCCTGGCCTCAGGTGATCCCCCTGCCTCGAAATTCTGAAGTGCTGTGATTATAGGCATGCGCCACCATGCCAGAGAGAGAGATTTTATCTTTTCTACACAACGTGTGTTTCCCCCAGAAGAAATGCCTTCCTACTTTTGTGATGAATGTAAGTAGAATGCAGACAGAAATTACAGAAACTCCCTGTGCCCCAGCACCCTTACCAGGGCATGCCTGGCCTGGTGGAGTGACAGGGTGTTGTACACAGTGAGGGGAAGGAAGGGAGTGGGAGAGGAGGTGAGGCTCTGCAGAGCAGAGTGGACCATTTCTGGTCAGAAAACAGTGAGGAGGCCGGGCGTGGTGGCTCACGTCTGTAATCCCAGCACTTTGGGAGGCTGAGGCGGGCGGATCACTTGAGGTCAGGAGTTTGAGACCAGCCTGGCCAACATGTTGAAACCCCGTCTCTACTAAAAATACAAAAAAATTTAGCCAGGTATGGTGGTCCTCGTCTGTAATCCCAGTTACTCAGGAGGAGAATCGCTTGAACCTGGAAGACGGAGGTTGCAGTGAGCTGAGATCACGCCACTGCACTACAGCCTGGGTGACAGGGCGAGACTCTGTCTCAGAAAAAAAAAAAAGAGTAAGGAAAGCGAAGTCCTGGGTTGGGGGGAAATGTAGCTGCAGGCAAGAACCAAGGAAGGTGTGGAGCCCCCAACCCAGTAGGGAAAAGGCTTGCTGCCTTGAACCCAAAGAGTGTGAGCATCCTGTACCTTTGCAGACAGAACTTCCACTTACTCACAAACAGATACACCCCACTGCACAGCTAAGAAAGCTAAGGGGAAACCAGGAAGAAGGGAAAAGAAAAGAGGAAAACCCCAGAGGAAACGAGGAGTCAGGCCTGGGCAGGGGGTTCCAGATGACGCATGAGGCTGCAGGAGGAAAAGGTTTCTTTTGAAACACATCTTTTATCCTGTCCTTTTCCGATGTACGTGAGCGTGTGTTTTGGAACGCACATAAAACGCGAGCGCAGTAGCCGGCCTCTGATTTCTGCCAAGGTGGACGGAAACGGAGGGGCGTGCCCAAATGCTTCTTCTTCATGGCTGCTGGATCAGGGAAGTTTTGCTTCTCTGGCCGTGAACATGGAGATTTGCTGAGAGGCCAAGGAGAGAGATGATGGGGGAGGGCTACTTCGGGAGAGGAAGTGGACAAGACCAGAGGTTGGAAAACAGGGGACGGGTTGATCCTAACAACTTGGAGGGACTGGTACTGGGAATAGGAGGTGGGGCCCAGGGGGAGGGCAGAGGACCCAGGAGCCCCAGCTGTGGACCCAGGGTGGGGCTGTGGGCAGGTCCCCAGCCCTGTCTGTGACCTAGGGCAGTGCTTCTCAACCTTGAGGGAGGGAGGGAGGATACCACAGAGGGGAGGGAGCACCTAGACCACTTAAATCCCTTTCTCTGCAGGGGGCCCAGGCAGCCTTGTTTCTAAGCTCAGCAGGGCCACTTACTATGCAGCCAGGGATGAGAACCAATGGCCCACCCTGCTGAGTGCTGGAATGTGTAATGAAGTCCTGCGTGGGTCTGTAATGAACCCAGATTCGGCTCCTAACAGGTGCTGAGTGCATGTTTGCAAACCCAGGCGCCTGTTGCAAGGAGAGGACAGAGCTAAAGCAAGGAGCCTGCGGAGGAATGGGTGGCAGGGACTGATGAAGTTGGGGGAAGGAGGTGCAGAGGAAAATGTTGAGGCTCGCTCTGGACTGCCTCGCCTGGGGATGGAGAATGGGGCTGCAAGGGAGGGGCAGCCAGCGCTTTGAACTTGGGTGGGGCCTCCCTAAATAGAGTGGGGGAAGTCCAGGTGCTGGGCAGGGCTGTCTTCACCTGCCCATCCTCAGCGCCGTGGGGGGATGAGGCGCAAAGAAGCCCTCCTGGGAATGTGGTGGAAATACCCACCTTGAAAGGTAGAGAGTGGAATCGTTGCCCTGAGCACCTGGGTGTGGTCGCAGCATCCCCCGTGAGGCCTCCCAACCTGCAGCTGCCTCCTGCGTGCGCATCTGCCACTGCTGGCTTTAGGGCCAGGGCCAGGCCCAGCTGGAGGTCCAAGCTGGAGCCCTGGGCAGTGTCCAGTGCACTGTGGCCTCAAAGTGCCCAGCCATGGTTTAGTACTCCAGCTGGCAAGGCCCTGGGTTCAAACCCTGCTCTGAATTTGTCCAGTTGCTTCCCCATGGTGTCATTTGGTTTGTTCCTCTGTCCCTTGTGTTCCCTGATAACAAGAGGTTACCTCTCAAAGCTTGGTTAGATCAGATTAAACGTCTTTGGCCAAAGAACATCATAGGGAAGGTTGGGGCCTTCCTGCTGCATCATCTCATACCATTCTACTGTCACACTTCTGGTGGAGGCTTTTAATGATCCAGTTTCCTGGACTCCTCTCCAGAGGCTCTGATCCTGCCACGCTGGTGTTGGAGCCTGGGTGTCTGTATTTTTCAAAACCACCCCAAGTGATCTGCTGTAGTGTATAGCCTGCATCCCTGACCCCAGTAGCCAGCTGGTCAGGGACTGTCCTTGGTTTTCTGAAGAGCATAGAATAAGAGAGTGGATGGGACAGTCCAGGTAGGTGCCAGCCCTGGTGGCCAGTGCTATCAGGTGTGAGGCAGGGAGGGTGGCCTCTGGGCCCCCATAAAGAGGAGAATGGGCTTCCTCAGGGCAGCTCCAGGTTCAGGTAAGAGTCCTTGCAAGACCAGGAGTGCCCCACGCACTGTGCTCCCGGCGTCCAGCATAAGGCCTGGCCCAGCGTGAATGTTTATTGAATAAAGACACACACCAGGCTGGTGGCTCTCTGAGGAGCCCTGGGGAGCTGCTCTAAGAGTGAGCTCCCAGCCAAGCAGCACAGCTTTGTGTGTTCCCCACTGGGCTGCTTCTAAGATTCAAACAAAGGACTCCCAAACTGTGGAGCTAGCAGCTGTGTTAAAAGGCCCAGAGAGCCAGCAGGGCCATGGCCATCACCTGCCCTCAGCTCGCCGTGGAGACAGCCTGTGGGACCTGGGAGAGACGAAGGAAAGGACTGGGCACTCAGTGGGGCTGCTGAGGGCAGTGAAAGGAGGCAGGGAGGTCCTCGCAGGGAGGTCCTCGCAGGGCCACTGCACCTGCTGAAGCAGGTGCTAGATTCTACATGGAAACGAGTGAAAGAATCCCTCCTCTCAAAAAACTCACCATCAATGGAGTCGGTGGACAATGCACTTGAGTGCATTGAAGGTTACCTGTGACGGATGTATAAGAGCTGGGGAAATGGCCAGAGGGAACAATTTGAATTGGAGACATTAAAAGGGGATTTAAACATGGGACCTTGAGGGATGAATAGAAGTCTGGAGTCAGAAGCGAACAAGAGGGCTGGGCAGGCTATGTCTTGTCTTTTACCAGAACTGGCTTGAAGGGTATAGCAATGTGGGGACCCAGCAAAATCCTGGTGTGGGAACCAGCAGACTTGGCTGCTCAGAACGGCAGCCTAACTCTGTAAGGTTCTCATTTCCCAATCTGTAAAATGGGAGACTGACTTAGGGTTTGGAGGGGTCAGGAAGGGGAGAAATGTTACAAGGTTAAAATGAACTAAAGATGCAAACATGGCTTAGGAAAAATTTGAATTAGAATTCCACTTAGTGGAGTGGGAGGCAAAGAAACAGATGGCCAAGCTCCAGGAGGAAAAGCTGGCCAAGCTGAGCTCAACTTCAAGGCCCAGCTCGAATGTCACCTCTTTGAAGGGGACTTCTTTGCCTTCTCCCACTTCCTTCCCCTCAGCACCCCTATTCCTTGAAGTCCCAAGTGGGACTTCTCACACTCTGCAACTGACTGGTCACCTGCACTGAGGTGGGGTCACTGAGGAGGGTGGAGGCTACATCTTTTTTTTTTTTTTTTTTCTGAGGCAGAGTCTCACTCTGTTGCCCAGGCTGGAGTGCAGTGGCACAATCTCGGCTCACTGAAACCTCTGCCTCCCAGGTTCAAGCGATTCTCCTGTCTCAGCCTCCAGGGTAGCTGTGATTACAGGTGCCCACCACCACGCCTGGTTAATTTTTTCTGTTTTTAGTAGAGACAGGCGTTTCGCCATGTTGGCCAGGCTGGTCTCGAACTCCTGACTTCAGTTGATCTGCCTGCCTTGGCCTCCCAAAGTGCCGGGAATACAGGCGTGAGCCACCGCGCCCGGCCGAGGCTACATCTCATACATCTTGGGCACATAGTATGCAGGTACTGAATGAGGCCCAGCCTTCAGATGATCAGGTCTGGGGCACTTCAAGAACGATCTGCGTGCTATGAGAGAGACAAGCTCTGGCTGGGAGTCAGCAGGCCTGGGCTGTGCTCTCTGCACTGCCTCCAACCAGTGGAGGAACAGCAGGGAAGGCACATCGCTTCCCTGGGCCTTAATTTCCCCAAGGAGCTGAACTAGGTGATGTCAAAGGTCCCGCTTAGCTTTGACATTTTATGACCTAACACTGTAATAGAATCACTAACATGCGTGGCCATTTACAGAATGCTCCTAAAGCCCTTCCAGGACACTCCTATTGTTCCCCCGCCCCCGCCCTACTCCAATAGCAAGAAAACTTTCACAGGTGGAGACTTTTCTTCAACAGGTCTTTATTGGCTGGGCACGCTGGCTCACACCTGTAATCCCAGCACTTGGGGAGGCTGAGGTGGGAGGATTGCTTGGGCCCAGGAGTTCGAAACCCAGCCTGGGCAATATAGCAGGACTTCATCTCTACAAAAAATTTTAAAAACTTAGCAGAGCATAGTGGCATGTGCCTGTAGTCTCAGCTACTCAGGAGGCTGAGGTGGAAGGACTGGTTGAGCCAAGTAGTTCAAGGCTGCAGTAAGCTGTGATTGTGCCACTGCACTGCAGCCTGTGTGACAGAGTGAGACCCTGTCTCAAAAAAAAAAAAAAGAAAAAAGAAAAGAAAAATGGCCTTTACTGAACATCTATCTTTGTACTGATGAGCACCCCCAGAGACACCTGGGCCCACCAGGGTTTCTAGAATGTTCTAGAATGTTCAGCATCCCCTGAGTTGCCAAGACTAGACATTTAGGGGGAGCTGTATGACAATCACCCAAAACTGATGGGCAGAAATGCTGTGACCCCAAGTAGGCCTCTGGGCCTTGATGACATCCTCAGTAACAGAGAGCACGGCACCCCTTTGTGTGTCTGAAGGCAGAGGGCTGGGACCCTACCTGAGCACGCACAGGGCATCTGGGCTTTACCTGGGAGTCCTGAACTGCGCAGCAAAGTGGAGAAACGGACCCAGCTCTCAGCATGTGTCCTTGGGAGCTGCTCCCCTCTGTGGTCACCAGGCAGCACTTGCCCACCTGTGGGCTTGGTGCCTCTCAGGGAGACGCTCTGGGGTCTGAAGAGTGAGGTCCCTGCCTTTTACCCGTCTCTGGACACCCCTCTGGGCCTAGGCCCTTCCCTGTGAATCCCCTGCCTGAAGGAAGAGACCCACAGCCCTGGGGTTCCTCTGGGGTGCCAAGTGGGGGACTGTGTTTGGTCCTGGGGAGGATGGGCTGGGGCTGCTGAGCAGGCCAGGGGTGCAGGACCCCTCCATCCCCCGCTTCTCCTGTCCTCCTCCTTCTTCCACCCTTGACTCCTCTCACCTCTTGTCCCCTCTTCCCTCCTGTTTCCACTCTCTTTCCTCCTCCCCAGGTCCCACCAGACTGCTCCATGCCCCGGACCACAATTTGGCTGAAGGCAACAATCCCTCTCTCGCACCCTCCTCCCTTTTTCCAGGCTTATCAACTTCACTTTCCTGTGAAATGAAGGGGTGGGGGGGTGGGTAAGAAAGAAGGAAAAAGCACTTCATGCTCACAACACAACAAAAAACAGGTTTAAACATTTTACAGGTTTCAACATTTTTCAGGCGGTCTTGTCACATCTTATCAGATCAGCCAGAGCCGCAGGCAGGCGCTCCAGGAGCTGCTTTGGAGAACAGAAGCTGCAACATTCCAGCCCAGGCACTGCCCCGCCCTCCACACCCCTTCCCTCCCTTCCCTTTTCTCCCCAAAGAAACATCCCACAGGGCTCCCTGGGATGGAGCACAGGGCCCGCAGCCTCTTCCCTCTGACTGAGGTATAGTCTGTGGCCAAACCCTTGGCTTTGAGCTTCTGCCCGCACCCTTTCCTTCTCCCCACGGCTGCCCAGAACCATGGTCCTCCCGGGCTCTCAGGTGGTCCCTGGCAGCTGAGCTGTGCCACCTCCTCGGAAGGCCCCTCGTGGCCCTGAAAGGGAACCTTCAGAAGCTGCGGGCAGAAGGGAGTTGCTAAAGTCGTCCACAGCATGTAGAAGTGGTCATTTGGCCAGCAGGGCTAGTGAGTTTCCGGGGCTCCTGGGGCCTGTCCTCGGGGGCTCCTGTCGGAGGGGAAGGAATAGCTTTTTCCTTGGTTATCTTTTCTCCGTGTGCATGGGTTTTTCTCCTATGGCGTGGATCACTGCCTGGGATATCCCCTTCCACTCAGTCACCCCCAGACCTCACCTTTCTGTTCCTGCTGCACTCACGGTGACATTAGTGACACAATGCAGGGTGACAGGTCCAGGAAGGGCTGGCCAAAGCCCAAAGGCTCAGAGTTAAGCCGAGGCAACGTGAGGGACAGACCCAGAACCTGGATCCCAGGACAACAGGGAAGAGCTGGCTTTGTAGCTTGTAACAGGAGCATGGTTAGGGCTGGGAGGTCCCACTGTGTGGTCAGAGAGGGGTCCCCAAGGGAAGGCAGCTGTGCACTGAAGGCTTAGGATGCATCATAAGAAAAGCAAAAAGGGGAGGCCGGGCACGGTGGCTCACGCCTGTAATCCCAGCACTTTGGGAGGCCAAGGCGGGCAGATCACGAGGTCAGGAGATCGAGACCATCCTGGCTAACACAGTGAAACCCCGTCTCTACTAAAAAATACAAAAAAATTAGCCGGGCATGGTGGCGGGTGCCTGTAGTCCCAGCTACTCGGGAGGCTGAGGCAGGAGAATGGCGTGAACCCGGGAGGTGGAGCTTGCAGTGACCCGAGATCGCGCCACTGCACTCCAGCCTGGGCGACAGAGCGAGACTCCATCTCAAAAAAAAAAAAAAGAAAAGCAAAAAGGGGAAAGCGCAGAGGAGGTAGGGGCACAGTGGCTCCCTCTGTGTAGGTATGTTGGCTGTGCATCTCGTGGGGACCTCGTCCGGAATATGGAAAACACAAGCCAGACCTGGGCGCCTGCTGCCAGTGTTGGCTGGGCAGGGGCTGAGGTTTCGGGAGAGCCCACCTTTCCAGCCTCCTAGTGTGAGGTTCAGGCCCTGAAGCTGGGCTGGCTGCCCCTTGGCCCCCAGCCCCCTCCCTGGTGCCTCCACCCCTTGGCATATGGCATCAATGCTCCCACCGTGACGCTCAGTGTCCTCCCACCGTGTGCCCACAGCCAAGATGGGGCCTAAAGTATAATTCAACTTTTAGCTCCTTACAAGCATCCCCAGATGGATTTCTAGCTTCCGTCCCTCTCTTGGGCCCAGCTCTGTCTCTACGTGGTGCCTGGAAGTCCCTCTGGCCCCACGCACTTCCTCGTCTTGTTCCCAAAGCTGCTTTGCTTCTTACCTTCCCATCTTGGTGGACACCATCTCCATCTTCCTGGTCATCCTGGCTCAAAACTTTGGCCATACTTTCCTCCTTCCTCCTGTTTCTCATGGGACCAAACGGCTACCAGTCCTTATTCACAGCTTCCTGTCTGTTCCTGAAGCCACTGTCCTGAGATGACCAGCGGGCCCATCCCCTGCCACAGACCCCGGTGACCCAGACACATGGGTCTTGGCCCAGCTGCACAATGAGAGCTGAGCCCTGGGAGGTTGCAATGGATCCCCAGGCCCCAGAGTCTCCTTAGCATCCACGTCAACCCCGCCTCCCAGCCGCTTTCCCAGCACCCACCTCTTGTCTCATTTTGCACATAACTAACAGGATGATATTCCAAAGCCCAGCTAAGGAAGGTGCTAGTTTGTCCGAATAATGTCTGGCACTCAGGGCCCCTTTCTAGCTGCTTCCCCTCCTCTGCTTCTCTGTGTGGCTCCTAGACCCTGGCTTGGGGAGGCATGCCACCTTGCCTGGGGCTGTCCCCCTGCCACCTGGCTCCACCTGAGGGCCCCTAGCCATCCTTCTCCAGCTCGGTAGCTGCTCCACATGGAGCCCTCCAGAGGCAGTGAGGACACACTTGCCCCCGTTCCTAGAGATCGCTCGCCCTGACCATGCACCCTCTGGCCCAGAGGTTACTGGGGCTGAAAGTTACAAGTGCCTTGGGACCATGTCTCACTCATTTAAGGCACCCACAGTGCCCAGACCTAGTAGGTGCTCAAGAAATGCTTGTTGGTCTGTTACTGACAGCAGCCTCCTGGGCTGGGTGCTCCTCAGGTGTGGCTTCATTAATCTCCACGTTCCCAGAACCTGGAACCCTGCCAGGCTGAGAGTCATCACTCAATTCGTGCGTGTTGAGTGAATAGGCAGTGAATGACTTTGTTTACCAAGGCCAGACTTTAACCTGCTCTCTGAAGGACAGGCACTTCCACTGACTCCACAAATCACCAGGCCCCAGTCTTGACAGCTGGGGCTAAATCAAGACAGGAGCCCACTGGGCTTAGAGCCCGGGCAGCTGCTCCTTCATGGTTTTATCTCAAGACCTTGGGTCCCAGCTCAGGGCCTGCACCCACTCTACCCTCACCCTTCCCTTCCTGTCCTAGACATAGGCAAGGGTGCTCCCACCCCTGCTGGAGATGCAGGCGAGCCAGAGGGCCCCGTTGAGAGAATGAACTAGCCCCGTTGAGAGAATGAACTAGCCCCTAATGGCAAGGCCCAGAGACATGTCCCACTTCTTTGATGAAAGGCACCCCCTGAGGCACCTTGGCGCTCTCCCACAGCCACAGGACACAGCCCCACCTGAGTCCCTTTGGGCTCAGAAGAAACCCCCTACCCTTGGCCCTGCACTGAAATGTCAAGAAGGTCCAGACCTGTGCTCAGTACCCGCAGGGTGCACATGTGTTCCAGGAGGGCGAGGAACAGTGGCAGCTGGAATCCTGAGCTAGGTTTCTCTGGTTTTGTCACAAGCTCCCTGCCAAGCAGCCAGGTGAGCGGCTCCAGTCCAGGCCTGTGGCCTCCCTCATCCACAGCAGTGATTGCCTCGTCACTATGGGTGTAGTTGGGTGCATCAGAGCCCACCAGGCCCAGCCCCACGGTGTGCACACATGCCCCTGAACTGGCTAGGCTTCCTGTCCTGACATCTGCCAATCCTGAACGGCTTCTTGACCTAAGTGGAAAGGTAGAGGCCTGAGTTCCAAAGCCAACGCTTGGTTCCTCACTTCCTGCTCTTTCCTCAAACCTTTCCTTTCCCTTCTAGAAGTTTCCGTGGAGGGTGGAGCCCTTCTGGGCCCAGGAACAAGTTGGGCCTCTGTCCAGTACTGCCCAGGAGCCAGCAGGTGGAGCACCTGGCCCTGGCCTGTTGTGGGGTTGACAGGAGCACCGTGGCCCCCACCACAGGGAGAGGAAAATGACCACAGGAGAGGTGATTTCTGACTCCTTCTCCTCACCTTCCCTCCTCCTCTCCCTCTCAGCAGCCATGTCAGTCATTTTAAGAGACACTAGATCTTCAGATCAGAGTCTTAAGATGCCTTCCCTTTGAGGCTGGCACAGATGGTTAGATTTCCGCATGGAGAAAGGTAAGGGCAAAGGGCCTATTTCTGCAAAGAAGGCATGACTTGGGGAGACTTGGCCCTGGAGAGCACCCTGAGACCGGAGGGAGGAGGGGAGCCTTTCCCTGGGCCGCAGCCCCTGGGTCCACCTTCTGCAGCCCCACCCATGTGAAGCCAGGTGGGTCCTTTTTGTGCCCAGCCCCAGAGAAGCTTCTGAGAATGTGCATTCATCACCCCCAGGTTAAAAGCCTGGTGGGTAAAAGAACTGTGAGCCCTGGGTTCTCCTCCCACCTCCTGGGCAGCCAGCTGTGTGACCCCGGAAAATGACAAACCTCTCTGGGCCTCAATCTTCCCGTATAGAGGAAGAGGGAATTAGACTAGACCCGGGGCTCTGGAATTTCGTCCTGCACAGGGGCTCTAGGTGCAAAGTTGAAGGCTGGGGATGCAAGCACCATCCCTCCTTTGATTTTTTTAATTTTGCTATTTAACCATTTTAAAGTGTACTATTCAGTGGCATTAAGTACATTCCAATGCTGTGCGACCATCACCACCGTCTGTTTTCATCATCCCAAACTCTGTACTTATTAAGCAGTAACTTCCCACTCCCTCCCTTCCAGAACCCCTGGCAACCTCTGTTCTACTTTCTGTCCCTGTGAATTTACCTAGACACCTCATGTAAGTGGAATCATACAGTGTTTGTCCTTATGTGTCTGGCTGCTGTCGCTTAGCTTCTTTTCAAGTTTCTTCTATGTTGTAGCTTGCATCAGAATTTCATTCCTTTTTTTTTTTTTGAGACAGAGTCTTACTCTGTTGCCTAAGCTGGCGTGTCTTTACCTAGAACTTCATGTAAGTGAAATCATACAGTATTTGTTCTTCCGTGTCTGGCTTCTGTCGCTTAGCTTGTTTTCAAGTTTCCTCTACGTTGTAGCTTGCATCAGAAGCATCAGAATTTCATTCCTTTTTTTTTTTTGGTTGGGGGGACAGAGTCTTGCTCTGTCGCCCAAGCTGGAGTGCAGTGGCGCAACTGGCTCACTGTAACCTCTGCCTCTCAGGTTCAAGCAATACTCCTGTCTCAGCCTCCTGAGTAGCTGGGACTACAGGCACGCACCACCAGGCCCGGCTAATTTTTGTATTTTAGTAGAGATGGGGTTTCACCATGTTGGCCAGGCTGGTCTCGAACTCCTGACCTGAGGTGATCCACCCGCCTCAGCCTCCCAAAATGCTGGCATTACCGCCACCACACCCGCTTCCTTCCTTTTTCTGGCTGAATAGGGTCCCACTGTATGTATGGGCCACCTGTTGTTTATCCATTCATCTGCTGAGGACTCTTGGGTTGTCTCTACCTTTTGGCTGCTGTGAGTAGCACTGCCGTGAACACTGGTGTACAGGTGTCTGTTGGAGTCCCCATTTTCTTTCCTTTTTTTTTGAAACAGAGTCTTGCTCTGTCACCCAGGCTGGAGCGCAGTGGCGCCATCTCAGCTCACTGCAAGCTCTGCCTCCCAGGTTCATGCCATTCTCCTGCCTCAGCCTCTCTGAGTAGCTGGGGCTACAGGCGCCTGCCACCACGCCCGGCTAATTTTTTGTATTTTTAGTAGAGACGGGGTTTCACCGTGGTCTCGATCTCCTGACCTCGTGATCCGCCCGCCTCGGCCTCCCAAAGTGCTGGGATTACAAGCGTGAGCCACCGCACCTGGGCGGAGTCCCCATTTTCAATTCTTTTGGGCGTATACCAGGTGTGGCATTGCTGGATTATAGGGTGATTCTATGTTTAACTTTTTGAGGGACAGGGCCCTCTTTTCATATGTTCTGTATGTAGGGGAGAGGAGGGAGATTGTGTGTGATTCCATTTGGGAGGCCACCTGGTTGGGTGCAGGACTGCCTACCCTAATGGATCACTCAGGGGAGTGGGTGCTGGCAGCACAGTGGGTGTCCCTGGCAGCACAGTCAGACCCCCATCAGCAGGGGATTGGCCGTCACTGGGTGGACGGCAGCATCTGAGGCCAACAACCCCAGTGTCAGATCAGGCAGGACGCACTGTACAGGGTGCCTTTAGGTGTCTCACCATATGTTAGGTGCGTAAGTCAATGCAGCATCCAGGCTGACCTGAATTCACTGATTAAAAATGTTCTCTAAAAATGTTCTCTATGGCCAGGCATGGTGGCTTACGCCTGTAATCCCAGCACTTTGGGAGGCAGAGGTAGGTGGATCACTTGGTCGGGAGTTCCAGACCAGCCTGGCCAATATTGCGAAACCCTGTCTCTACTGAAAATACAAAAATTAGCTGGGCATGGTGACGCATGCCTCTTATCCCAGCTACTTGAGAGGCCGAGGCAGGAGAATCACTTGAACTCGGGAGGCAGAGGTTGCAGTGAGCCAAGATCACGCTTTGTACTCCAGCCCGGGCAACAGAGCAAGATTCTGTCTCAAAAAAAGAAAAAAAAGGTCCTCTCTGCCTTGTGCTCACCATGCAGGCCTCCTGCAGCCCTCTGGCCACAGCAGGCGTTATCAGGGTAGAGGCACAGAACTGGGGTGGGGATGGGAGTTAGATAAGGCCATGCACAAGGTTTAGGTCTTGCCTATTTGTGGAGGGATATTTCACTCCAAGGGGTCAACACCAAAGTTTCCACAAGCAGCCCGTTGTGCAGGGCACCCGCAGCCCATCCGCCTGGCTGCCCGTGTGTGTCCTTGGCCCAGCTGGGCAGTGGGTGGTCGGAGTGGAGGATGAGCCGGCTTCAGGAGGAGGGTGGCAGGGTCCTAGGGAAGGGAAGGGCCGGGCCAGGAGCTGGGTATAAATAGCCCCTGGCCCAGCTGCGAAGGCCTGGCAGGGTCCTCCGCCCTCCCCCTCACCAGCTGTCAGTGCCAGGCAGGTCTCTATCCCCCTTGGGAGCCTGGCCATCATCTCAGATCCTAAACGTAGGAACTTCCTGAGCGGAACCAAGGAGTCTTGTCCTGTGTGTAGGCGGAAGCTCCGGATGCCGGGAGGTCTGGCGAGTGAGGGGCATCAGGCTCGTCCTTTGGAAGAGTTCTTCATTCCTTTCCTCCAGAATCATGAATACCTAGCATGTGCCCGGCCCTTTGGAAGACCGAGTGGGCTGGGGTGTGTGTGTGTGTGTGTGTGTGTGTGTGTGTGTGTGTGTGTGTGTGTGTGTGTGTGTGATGGGGTAGGGACCGGGGAATAACTGGAGAAAACACTACCACTACCTCTCTTCTTGGAGACTGAGACTGGCATAGCCAGATGGAATTGGAAACAAATCAGTTCAGCACTTTGGGATAAGAAGGTTTGAATTAGGTACAGGAAAGATTCAGGCGGAGGAGAGGTGACTTCTGTCTGGAGCTCACAGAAGGCTTTAGAATGGTGGTGACCTAGGAATCAGGTTTCGAAGGATGGTGTAGAATGGTTGCCGGGGGCCGGGCAGTGGAGAGGTGCTTCGAGCCGAGGGCTCAGCATGTGCAAATGTGCAGAAGTGTGAAACAGCCCCGCTGGAGTCATTCAGCTGGCTAGGCAAATCCGTCAAAGCCACGCACACTTTGGCACAAAGAATCGAGGAGCATGAGAGTCACTGTGCCGCCTCCCGAAGTGGAACGTGTACTTCAATAATGGGGAATAGGAGTGGCGAGTTAAAGTAATGTGTCTGCGATGGTGGAATTTCAGCAGTGTGCGGGCAGGAGGCTCAGGGTGGGGGTGGCCGGGCATGTTTGGGGAAGGGCAGCCATCCTGCAGAAATCAATCCCATGGCCACAGCCTCTTTAGTCTCCGACACTGGCCCAGGAGCTAAGCCCCATCGCCAGAGGCCTTGCTAATTACTCGCAGGATGACCCCATCTGAACTGAAGCCTTTGAATGGAGCATCCTGAAAATGTCCTTTTGCCTGCACTCTTTGAGTGACCTTGAACCCTCATCCAGATCACAACTGTCTTTGTTCTGCCACCCCTGTGAGGACTGAGGTCTGATCCAGGCATCCTTTCCAGTGTTGGATAGGAAGGGGCTGAGATTTCTGATGTGTTCTACCAAGTCAGGGATGCAAGGATAGGAGAAATGAGGTTGGTGACAAGGCAGGGAACAAAGTGCTGGGGACAGCTCCACACACACCGTAACCATAGCAACCACCATCTAGCAAGGGCTCCCCACGTGCCATGCACTGGATTGTGTCACTTATTCCTCCTGTCGTGTCTATTTTACCGATAAAGAAACTGAGGTATAGAGGTTAAGAAAATTGCTGAGATCAGCAGCTAGGAAGTGGTAGAGCTGGATGGGACCCTGGCACCATGGCTCCCAGGTCCACAGTTGGTGGGACCTGGGCAACAGGAAGGAGACAGGGTTTGGTGGAAAGAGGGAAAACAGCTCATCATGACTGAGGCTCAGGAATTGTTCTCAGAGGACATCACACTGGGAGTCAGACAAACTCAGGGCTTGAATTCTGGCTCAGCCACTTCCTTGCATAAGTCGCCCAACTACTCCATGCCTCAGTTTCCTCATCTGCAAAATGGGGATAACAATGCCCACCTCCCAGAGTTGTTGTGAGGATTCAGTGAGATTATGTATTTGAAGTGACTGGCACAGAGCAAGTGCTACATAAATAGTTGTCATTAGTATTGCCAGTATCCGGGTAACTGTGGGGACAGAAGGAAATCCCTGTGGGGCAGAGGAGAGACTGCGTCTGCACAGCAGGAAGGGCTCAGTGGCACCTTCTTCCTGGAGATGTCTGGGAAGCACTCCGACCTTTGAGGCCAATCAAGCCATGCAGGCAGTGTGCCAGAGCTCAGGTGCTCTGCTGGGCTGCGAAGACCCACCTGGGACCCTGAGGGAGGTAACTGGTGAAACCAGGAAGCAGGGAGCCCCTTGGAGAGCTGGGTGAGGAGCCGCCTTGCCAGCATGGGCCCCCCGACTCCTCAGTCCCCCAAGCCAGCCGGCCTGGCTTTCTCTGTGGATATGGCTGTGTGACCTCGCACAAGTTGGTCCTCTTTCACGGCCTCTGCTTTTTCTTTTTCCTTTTTTGTTTTGAGACGAAGTCTCGCTCTGTCGCCCAAGCTGGAGTGCAGCGGCATGATCTTGGCTCACAACAACCTCCACCTCCCAGGTTCAAGCGATTCTCCTGCCTCAGCCTTCTGGGTAGCTGGGATTACAGGCGTGAGCCACCTGGCATGGTCGGCCTCTGTTTTTCATCTGTATAATGGGCTTTGTGCTCCCTTAGGGCTCCTCCTGTGGGTTCTGCTGCTGGACCAGGGCTCAGCCTCCAGTTTAGCTTGAGGGTGCCCAGGCCTGCAGAAGGTGTCAAGCAAGGGCTGGGAGAGGGGGAGGAAGGAGGAGGCAGGAAGGCAACGGGAGGGGAAGGAGGAGGGCAGAGGAAGGGTCTCCGAGTGCCTCTCACTCCCGCCTCAGCTCTCCGCTCCAGTGGTCCCATATAGGGCTCTGGGTCCCAAACACCAGAGGAAGGAGCGGGGACAGCCCAGGCTTCTTCCCTGGGTCTTGTTCCTGAGCTGCCCATCTAGGATGGTGCAAGGCCGAGTTGTCTGCACTGAACTCTCCCTCAGTTTCCCCTCCAGTGATTGCAGGGCTGTGGGGGCAGCTGGCACAGCAGGGCTGGGCTGGAGATGCTGCTTAAGAGCACGGGAGGGGCAGCCTGAGCCCAGAGGGAGGCTCAACGGGGACCTTTGCAGCCTGGCAGACAGGGCAGGGTACTTAGCTCCCTGGCCTCAGTTTCCTTATCTTGGAAATGGGACAATGGCGATGATAATGAAGTTTTTATTACAGACCTGCCGTGAGGATTACATAAGGTAACAGACACAAGCACTCAGAACTGTGTCCAGCACATGATAGGCCCATAATAAACCACAGGGATTATATGATCACTCTAACCTGCTTCTAACAGGGCAGGGGCAGTGCTGTGTGCGCCGTGTGCCCATCAGGGCTCTGGGCTCACTGACTCTACCCACTCAGGCATGTGCTCAGTATGGAGGCCCAGGGTGCAGATGGGCCAGGCCTGAAGCCACCTTCACCCCATGAAGACCCAGGCAGGCACTGCCCAGCAGGCAGGGTCACATAGTGATGACCCCCATGGGCTCTGGAGTCTGACACCCTGGGTTCCAACCAGCAATTCCATAGGAGCTCTGTGGTCTGGGGTGCTTCATCAACCTGCAAGGCTAAGCCATCTGTAAAATGGGGCTAATAATGACCCTACTTTGTGCTGGGGCTATTTTGAGGATTAAATGAGGCAAACCCAAGGAAAAGCCTCTGCTCAGGGCCAGGCACCGGGGAAATCAGTAATTAGCCATTACCACCGATAAATCAGAACTTCTGGGCCGGGCGTGGTGGCTCGCGCCTGTAATCCCAGCACTTTGGGAGGCCGAGGTGTGTGGATCACGAGGTCAGGAGATCGAGACCATCCTGGCTAACATGGTGAAACCCCGTCTCTACTAAAAATACAAAAAATTAGCCGGGCGTGGTGGTGGGCACCTGTAGTCCCAGCTACTCGGGAGGCTGAGGCAGGAGAATGGTGTGAACCCAGGAGGCGGAGCTTGCAGTGAGCCGAGATCACGTCACTGCATTCCAGCCTGGGTGACACAGCGAGACTCTGTCTCAAAAAAAAAAAAAAAAAAAAAAGAACTTCTGGCTGCTGCTTCTTTCTCTTTAGAAAAAGCTCAGTGCTTAAGACCTGGAATGCCTCACAGATGTTACCATCCAAACTCCCAGATCTGGCTCCTCAGTTCCTCCACCCAAAATAAACAAATGGAAAAAGGAGAACCTGCCTCTCCCCCTGACAACTGAGCCTGGAGACAACCAAGGTGGATGGGTAGCATGCCCCTGCACGGTGCCCAGGGAGCTCTGTGCCTTGGAGTCTCCACGAATTGGCCAAGGCCAACATCAAGCTCAAGTATGGAGGAGGGACCCGGGGGAAGGCACATGGCACTCTCTGACCCACCACAGACCAAAAAGCCGTAGGCAAGCTAATTCACTCTCTAAACCTCAGTTTCCTAGTCCAGGAGATAGTGATGTTCTTCATGTTTGGGAATTGATCAGAAATGTTGTATATAAAGTGCCTGGCAAGCAGTAACAGTTGCCAAATGGCAGATGTTTGGCTCGGCCCTGTGTCCAGCCCAGAAGCTTTTGTGTACTAAAAAGCACACAAAAAACCTCACCCTGCCCCATGGGGTCTTCTCCCGGCCCCTCTTTCCGAGGCTTTTGCCCATCACTTTTTGTGGGAAACTTGACTTAGGCCAATGCTGGACCAAAGCCTTGGTCAGTGCTGGACACAGAGGGAGAGGAGATGGGCCCCTTCTTCCAGCTCACACTGCCCCTGGTCATAGAGCAGATTGCAATTGTCCTTGAAGGCCACTGACACTCACGGATCATTTTCTCAGGTTCTCCCAGAAAATGTCATTTCTGCTGTTCCTGTGCTGAGGGCAGGGAACGGAAAAGTCGTAATTCCTACCTTGGTTTTCTAGTATTTTAAACTCTTCTGCCCCACCCCCATAAGGTCATTCTTTCTGTTGTTGACTATAAAACCTGAGAGAGTTGATGGGATATTGATTACAAAGCGAGGGGCAGAGGAATGGAGTGAATTGACCAGTCACCTGGTGTTGGGTGTGGGCAGTGAGATCTGAGATCTCCCTTCTGACTCTGTGCTAAACTTGTTTTGACACAAAGCCAAGCTCCAGTCTCTCATGAGAAAAGAGGTGGAGCTCTAGAAACTTCTAGGAAACTGGAAAGATGGTCATGGAGGCCCTGGTAGACAAAGGACTTGGTGCAAGCCAGCAATTCCTTGGGGAGATACTGGGAGGCTCTGGGCTGGGCTGGCACCATCGCAGGGAAGAGGCTGAGGGCATTGCCAAGGGTAGTGTGTGTGTGTGCGCGCGCGCGCGTGTCCCATGAGTCACTGGAAGTGTCCATGTGGCCCCAGTATCCTGGACTGCCTTGGAAATTGCCCAGCCTGATCTCTTCAATGCCCATCAGGGAAGCTGGACCCAGAACCTGGAAAGGACTGGATCTGGGCCCCAAATACCATCTTTCTAGTCCAAACCTCTTTTCATGGCTTTGCATTGCCCCCAAGGGCCCCCACAAGCGGCTTCTGCGGTCCCATCCCCCTGCAAGCTGGATGCAGCCAGAGGGCTGACTTGCGTGGGTCAGAGCTCTGCGCTTTGAGGGGCGGCATGCTCCCGAGGTCAAAGGTAGCACATTCAGGTGCCAGGGCACAGGCCCTCTGCCTCTCCACCTACCCCGGAGGGTTCACAAAGCGGCCATGGTGCCCAGGATGGGCTCTGTGCTTTGTGCCCACAGTGTTACTACCCTCTGTCTGCCTGCAGGTCCCTGGCCCTGGGCCAGCAGTACACATCTCTGGGCTCACAGCCCCTGCTCTGCGGCTCCATCCCAGGCCTGGTCCCCAAGCAACTGCGCTTCTGCCGCAATTACATCGAGATCATGCCCAGCGTGGCCGAGGGCGTGAAGCTGGGCATCCAGGAGTGCCAGCACCAGTTCCGGGGCCGCCGCTGGAACTGCACCACCATAGATGACAGCCTGGCCATCTTTGGGCCCGTCCTCGACAAAGGTACTGCCTTGGGGCTGAGGGGGGGGGAGGGGCTGGGTGGGGGGAGGGATCAGGACTGTATGCCCTTCCACCCCAGTCAGGGTGCCTCTTCTCTGAAGCCAGGGTCCCTCTGGGAGGGTGATAAATTTGGTTGCATGACTGCCACACCTTCCCAGGCGCTGCTGGGGGCTGGGCCGCCTTGAGATGCTCCAGGATCCTGAGGTTTGAGGGCCGACACCAAGAAGGCCACAGACTTCCTTCCTGGCTTTTGCACAGTGGGCGCCTCAGGCTCCTGCTGTGGACATTTGTGACATTTCCCCAATGCTGTGTTAAGTGCTATGCAAATACCGCTTTGGGGTGGGGGTGAGAGCATTGCCACCCCTAGGTCCCTCCCATCTAGAAAGTCCTCAGTAGGTGAGGAAGCTGCCTGGTGCTGTGGTAGCATTGCGTTGCCCCCAAGAGCCCCTCTGGGTTTCTGTTCATCCTCATGCCCTGTCAGCTGGATATGCCCAGGAATCATGGTGGGGCTAGAGGGTGCACTGGCCTCTGGGTAACTTTCCGGCCGTCTTGCAGCCTGGGAGTCTAACTGGCTGTGCCTCAAGTGGACAGGGAACCACATGATTTGACTTTGAACCTGCAGGCCCTGGGAGGGAGGCTAAGTGGGACAACTCCTCCCAAGAAGGGGACTTGGGGGCTCATGGACTGGGTGGAAGATGGGCAGCTCTTTGTGGAACGGCAGTGTCCAGGAATTTAACGATCCTGGCCGGGCTGGCCACAGCCAGAGTTGCTCTGCCACCCAAACCGCTGAGCCTGGCCCTCCCTCCTATTAGAAGCTAGGGAATGAATGAGAGCTGCCTATACAGCCAGAAAGAAAAGGGATCTGACGTTCAGGTGAAGGGGTGGGGTGCTGGGTGGGGTTGGGGGGGAAGCTGACAACCCCCATTTTAGAGTGCAGTTCCCCTTTACCGGTGCCTCAGGTGCTCAGGGTCTGTCCCACCTACAGGCAAAGTGCTGGCTATTGTCATGGGACAGGAGGGTAATTAGCAAATCAATGGATGATGATTCTGTTTACGCTTCTATTGCCAAAACTAATTATTCCTTGTTGACATAAAAGATTTGGCCTCTTAATTGGGGCCAAGTGGCGGCGGTTTGCATTTCAAACTCGTTCTTGTCGGTGTGTTGGTCTCAGCGCTTTCCGGTGCCCCTCCTCGGGCCAGGTAGCGCTGAATCAAACAACCCTGCGTCTAGACGCGCTCCCCAAAAGCGAGTCACCTCTGATCGCTCTTCCCGTCTCCGGCCAAGAGCCAGGGGAAAGCGGCTCTGGGAGCGCTACCCATTCACTCCGCGTTGAACGTTTTAAGTCACCACCGTAGGTTCTGGCACACGCCCCGGTCCCTAGATGGCCCGAGGACAGGTTTGGGTTGCGGGGGGAGGGGCGATGTGTGCCCGAGAGTTTGGGAATTTGCTGGCGGCGGCGAGGAGAGCATCCCGGAAGACGCCGCGAGCGCATACGCGCCCCGGTCGGTGCCCAGAGCCCGGACCTTGAACCCAGGTTCGCGCCCAGCTCCGGCCCCACGTTTGCACCCCGCCCCCGGCGAGTCCCCACACCACCGCCGCGTGGGCGGCCAAGGGTTAATCTCTGCCCCGCGCTTTGAGACCCGGGGCGCAGCGGGTCGGGCAGCCCGGGGCGCGCGTCTTCCGCGAGTCTGGGGGCGGCGGGGTCGGCGGCCGGAAGGGGCGAGGCGCGGCGGCGGCGCGGCGGGCCCGAGGCGCTTCCCCAGGCGGGGGCGGGGGCAGGGGCGGGGGCGGGCGCCGGAGGGGCCTGGGCGGCCTGAAAAGCGCCCGAGCACCGCCCCCCCACCGCGCGGCCGCCGCGCCATTCACACGCCCTCTGGCCATTCGGCGCGGCGCGGCGCGGCGCGGGGGCGGGGGGCGCCGCTTCAATGGGGATTTCGCGGCCCGGCGCCGGGGCCGGGGGCGCGGCCCGGCCGCGGGAGCCGCCCGTTGCTACGCGGTGGCGGCCGGCCCGGCGGCCCGGGCCCGGCGGCCGCATTATGCGGGTAATGCGGTGTGACACCGCGCGAACAAAGGCGGATTGAGCGGCCCAGCGGGCCCCGCCGGACGGGGAAGGCACAGCGGGGCTGTCAGCGCCGCTCCCAGGCTAATCCCCGCCCCGCCCCCGCCGCCCCCGCGTTCCCGGGGCTGGGAACCCAGCGCGGCCCGGGGCCCGGGCGCCGCTGCCGCCGCGAGAGGCCGCAGGCCGGCCGGAAACGAGGGGCGCCCGCCCTGTGAACCCGCCCTCGGCCCCTCTTCCCCGAGGCGCCCCCAGGGCTGGGGCGTCTAGGATTGGGGCGAGTGAGCGGCGCGGCTGGGACCCCGAGGCCGGGAGCACAACTGGACGCGGGACGTCGGGCCCCCTTGCCGCCGTCCTCGGTCGGCCCTGGCAGCGCAGGCGCGGGGCGCGGGCGGGACCAGCTCTGCACTCTTCGCCCTCCCGTCGTTGGAAGTGGGACGGGCCCCTCTGTAGGTGGCTCAGGAGGGCGTGGGGGCCGCGGAGAGCGGCCGCGGGAGCCAAGAGGGGTCCCGGGCTTCCTTCTTGCAGCACTCGGCCAACAGCCCAGGAGGGGAGGCGGGCGCCTGGCTTCTAAATAAATTTGGTCACATTTATGACCAATTTTGCCGACTAGGCCGGCCCGGCGTTTCACAGCCTGTGTCAGGTGGCGAGTCACCTCCGGCTCCCGGGTCCTGCCATGAGGAGAGAGATGGTTGGGCTGCAGGTCTTGCAGGCCTTGGCCTCCCTAATCGTCAATGTCCACATCTATAAAATGAGTAAAACTTTCCATGTGAATGAAGCACATGCAGAGACGATGACCGTTGTGAGGAGGCTGGAGCACACCCTTGAGAGTCTCTCCTTTCCCTGCGCTGGACCCTGGGACAGAACCAGGGGAACTGCCCGGTGTCCCTACCCTTCTGGGAGGGAGTTGGCCGTGCCTGGGCGTGAGGGCAGGAGAATGGGGATGGGGAGACTGAGGCACGGGCCACTGCCCTCCTGGTGAGGGGCTCTAGGAGCGGAGGGAAGCCGTGTCCATTTTACAAAAAGGGCGACTGAGACCGAGAAAAGGAGAGGGGCCGTCCCTATGCATCCACGTGCGGAAGGGGTGGGCCTGGGCAGGTTTAGGCTGTAGATTCCCAGGCCTCCCTCCTTACAGACCTGGATCTCACTCAGGCGTGGGAGGGCTCAGGCCTGTGCAGGGTGGTCTCTGGACTTTGGGAAGGTGGAGGGCAGGGGGTGTGGGACCAGGACAGAAGTGGCTGCCTTATCTCTGCAGCAACCTGCCAGAGCTTTGGTGTCGGCGCCTGTTTCTAACAGGCACTGCTTTGCCCTGTGGCATTTGAGGTCCTGAGCTAATCAGCAGCCCAGGGCCTCAGTTTGCTCATCGGTGAAGTGGGAATACCCAACTGGGTCTAAACCAGCCAAAGAGGGTGGGGAAGCTGCCTCCCTCTTGCCTCAGGGCTGGTGAGCTCTTCAACTCTTCCTGGCCTCGTTCCCCTCACGTCCTGGCCTGGGAGGTGGAGGCAGGGCAGGCGCTCCCAGGCCGGGTCCTGAGTGCTGCCTCCCCACGACCTCCCCGCAGCCACCCGCGAGTCGGCCTTCGTTCACGCCATCGCCTCGGCCGGCGTGGCCTTCGCCGTCACCCGCTCCTGCGCCGAGGGCACCTCCACCATTTGCGGCTGTGACTCGCATCATAAGGGGCCGCCTGGCGAAGGCTGGAAGTGGGGCGGCTGCAGCGAGGACGCTGACTTCGGCGTGTTAGTGTCCAGGGAGTTCGCGGATGCGCGCGAGAACAGGCCGGACGCGCGCTCGGCCATGAACAAGCACAACAACGAGGCGGGCCGCACGGTGAGCCCGGCTACCCTCCCCAAACCCTTCAGGGAGCAGCCCCCCGCTTCCCCTCCGGAGCTGCCCTGGCCCCCACCTCACCCCTTCCGGCAGCCCTGTGGGTCGCGGGCTCCTTTTCCCCTTGGCCAGGCTTGGCCTCCTCCCCACCCCACAGCCACTTCGTCTGTCCACCCTCCTTCCTCCTTGGGCAGTTCCTGGACTCCACCCCACCCGGGATGAGTCGGCCTGGGAGCATGGCCACCCCGTGGGATCAGGTGCCACCCACCACCCATCCTGTGCACCTTGGCACGCGGTGTAGGGCTGTCAAGTCCTGGGAACCTGGCTTTGAATTCAGCCTCCACTCCCTTACTATGCTTGTATGATCTAGGGTGAGTCACGTTAAGTTCCCAGCCTCAGTTTCCCCATGTGTTAAATGGAGATAACTCCTATTTCTTTTTTCTTTTTCTTTTCTTTTTTTTTTTTTTTTGAGACGGAGTCTCGCTCAGTCGCCCAGGCTGGAGTGCAGTGGCTGGATCTTGGGTCCCTGCAACCTCCGCCTCCCGAGTTCAAGCAATTCTCCGGCCTCAACCTCCCAAGTAGCTGGGATTACAGGCGTCCGCCACCACACCAGCTAATTTTTGTATTTTTAGTAGAGACGGGGTTTCGCCATGTTGGCCAGGCTGGTCTCAAACTCCTGACTTCAGGTGATCTTCCCGCCTCAGCCTCCCAAGGTGCTGGGATTACCACCGCGCCTGGGCAACAACTCGTATTTCATGCGCTGTGAGAAGTGGACGTGCTGTCTACCCATGCTTGGGGTGTGAAGGGGGAGGGAAACATGGTCACTATTCTTTAGGTCTTGCCTCAGTCCCCATCAGTTCTCTTCCTGTCACAGAGGAGTAGAGAAGGCTGGAGGGAAGGGGGTGGGCAGTGGCAGAGAGGGAAGGCCTGGATGTGCCCCCTCGTGGGGTCGGTCTGTTGGCCAGCTGCCACTTCTCTCCCCCAGACTATCCTGGACCACATGCACCTCAAATGCAAGTGCCACGGGCTGTCGGGCAGCTGTGAGGTGAAGACCTGCTGGTGGGCGCAGCCTGACTTCCGTGCCATCGGTGACTTCCTCAAGGACAAGTATGACAGCGCCTCGGAGATGGTAGTAGAGAAGCACCGTGAGTCCCGAGGCTGGGTGGAGACCCTCCGGGCCAAGTACTCGCTCTTCAAGCCACCCACGGAGAGGGACCTGGTCTACTACGAGAACTCCCCCAACTTTTGTGAGCCCAACCCAGAGACGGGTTCCTTTGGCACAAGGGACCGGACTTGCAATGTCACCTCCCACGGCATCGATGGCTGCGATCTGCTCTGCTGTGGCCGGGGCCACAACACGAGGACGGAGAAGCGGAAGGAAAAATGCCACTGCATCTTCCACTGGTGCTGCTACGTCAGCTGCCAGGAGTGTATTCGCATCTACGACGTGCACACCTGCAAGTAGGGCACCAGGTAGGGCTCCGGGAAGCAGGGGGGAGGCTGGGAGCCTGGGCGCAGGGAATGGGGTTGTTTGCCCATCTCGTCTTCTTGACGACCCCCTTCTGTTTCTAAGCTATCCAAGACACACAAGTTCCCACAGCCAAAATAGGAAGCTAGGATTTTTCAAGCATCCGTGGGAATGGTCCTTGGGCAGAGACTTGGTGGATTGCACAAAGCACAGATAAAAACCCAGTGTTGGCCGGGCGCGGTGGCTCACGCCTGTAATCCCAGCACTTTGGGAGGCCGAGGTGGACGGATCACCTGAGGTCAGGAGTTCGAGACCGGCCTGGCCAACATGGTGAAACCCGTCTCTACTAAAACTACAAAAATTAGCCGGGCGTTGTGGCAGGTGCCTGTAATCCCAGCTGCTTGGGAGGCTGAGGCAGGAGGATTGCTTGAACCTGGGCGACAGAGGTTGCAATGAACTGAGATTGCACCACTGGACTCCATCCAGCCTGGGCGACAGAGTGAGACTCCATCTCAAACAAACAAACAAACAAACAAAAAAAAACAAAATTCAGTGTGTGCACATTAGGTGCCAGCAATTGATTAACATTTTTACACAAGTTAGTTATGAGCCAGATCAAATTTTTGCATAGCTGCTAGCTGTCATTCTTGAGCATTATTTGGAGATGGGGGGCTGGAAGCTGGGAGACCTGACGTCTGGTCCTAACTTTGTCAGTAACTTCCTGTTCTTTCACTTTTCTGGGCCTCAGCTTTCTTACTATAAAGTGGTGATGGTGGTGAAGGGCAGGGGGCAGTTTAAATACCTCAAGCAGCGAGCCAAAATGTCTCCTCTACCCCTGAGGCAGAGTCAGTGTGCATCCACCTTGAACTTAGAGGGCAAGTTCCTGCACAAGCATAAATCGTACCAACCTCAGGGAGGTGGGTGGGGGGAAGCGGCATATAAGCCCATATCCTGACAGATCTGAAGCTTGGGTGGAGTGGGGAGCACTCTCACCGAGTTTATGGATGATGACGGGGAGCAGGAGGGATTCAAGTTCAGAGTGGCTGGGATGAGTAATCGAGGGATCAAAGGCGGGTGGATTTTGTTCCCAAGCTTCCCAGAGGTGGCCTGCATGGGAGGCGCTATGCACTGGCCCTGGGTTCCACAGCACCCCGGGATAGGTCAGCATGGATGAGGAGTGGTCCTGGACCCCCGGGGTGGAAGGTTTTAAGGCTGGGGTGCCCTTTCTTCCTTTTCTGTCCCCTGAGAAGGAGCCTAGTGTGTCGAGGCATGAGCATGGGTGTTGGAATTAGGCCCTGCCCTGCTCCAGCTCCTACCACTTGCCAACCGTGTGACCCAAGCAAGAAATTCTTCATAGACCTGGTTCCTCATCTGTCATCCTCCCCAGAGATGCTGTGAGGGACAAATGAAAGGACACCGAGGACAGGGCTTGGTTAATTGGGAAGCACTTCCCTGCTGGGTCATTGTTGTCTGGGGTGCTGCTGGGCGAGAGCAGCCTGTGAAAGGGTAGAGTGCCCCCTCTTCCTGCAGTTCCACAGGGCACCTCTGAGCTACTGGCACATGTCTGTGCCATAGGGAGTAGGGGAGGGAAGTGGACGGGCCTCTCTGAGATATGGGAGGTACTTGACGTCATGGAGAAGAGCTCTGGCTGAGGGGCGACTCACTCAGCCCATCTAGGAAGCCCCTCGGTGTAGCTCAAGTTCTGTCCTGGTGGGGACAGTCCAGAAAGGCAGCAGGTGGCACTACCTTTGTCGGTATCTGAACAAAAGCAGTGTGGGGAGTGGGAGAGGACGAAGGTGAATCCAGCGCCTCCACTCGTCCACTCAGCTGTCTGGCCTGGGAGCGCCAGTTTCCTCCTCTGTTCAGTGGTGGTGACAATGGGAGCCCAGCAGAACTTTTTTTTTTTTTTTGAGACTGAGTCTCTCTTTGTCGCCCAGGCTGGAGTGAAGTGCGCAATCTCGGCTCACTGTAACCTCCGCCACCTGGGTTCAAGCGATTCTCCTGCCTCAGCCTCCTGAGTAGCTGGGATTATAGGTGCCCGCCACCACGATCGGCTAATTTTTTTATTTTTAGTAGAGACGGGTTTCGCCATGCTGGCCAGGCTGGTCTTGAACTCCTGACCTCAAGTGATCCACCCGTCTTGGCCCCTCAAAGTGCTGGGATTACAGGCGTGAGCCACCGCGCCCGGCCAGAATCAGTACTCTTCATCAGCCCTCTTTCTCCCCATTTCTGAAATGGACAATGAGTGTTTTTTTTCCTCAATCTTATGTAAAGTGCTACATAGATATGGTTTCAAGATGCTGTGTCCAAGTGGTTCCTACCCGGAACCCCTTCTCTGTGGAAGCTCTGGAGGCCTCACTCTGTGACCAGTGGAGGACACTCTCCCAACATGGTGCCCTTCTGATAAACACTCCCAGGCCAGCTCTTCTGCCTCGCTGAGCCCTGGCTTCTTCATTTGTGAACTGGGGATGAGAACTGTGTTCTGTGTAGGGTTGTCCTGTGGACTGGAGACCCTGCACATGAAGGGCCTGGCCCAGGACCCAGCTGCTCACAGGGCAGCCACAGAGGCTCCTGGGCCAAGCAGAGCTGACCTCCCAGAGCCACCTCCCCAGGCGAGAGCCGCCTGCTCTGGAGCAATGGGCCCAGGCTCGGCCGAGACTCCGCTAGGCAAGACGGGAGCCTGCGGGATGCACTGGCAGGGATGGCAGGGGACAGAGTCGTTAGCTGTTCTCTTGTCTTCCCTGACAGTCTTGGCAGTGCAGGCAGGAGAGAGAAGGGAGTCGCAGAGCAGGCCCCGGGCCCTCCACACGGTGAGGAGAGAGCGCCTGTCAAATGGCTTGTGTCCTTCCTTTGTGGGGAAAACACCTTTTCTGTAGCTTTTTGTAGCTTTTACCCAGTGTCTCTGGCTAACCATTGATTTGGTGCCTTACAAGTGCCAGATTTATTCCTCGTCACTCTGCTGTTGTGAACATGGTGAGCTGGAGCTGGAAAGGTTCTGGCAAGAGTCGAGTGGCCTGGCTGCGCCCAAGTCCTGGATCTGTTACTGCCTTGCTGAGAGACCTTGGATGTGTCCCTTCAATCTGGCTGAGCCTGTTTCTGCCTCTGTAAAGTAGTCTTATCTTGGCCTTGTCAGCCCCCTAGAAGAGCTGGGGGTTGACTGGGAATGCCTCAAACCCTTTGTGAGATATGACTATGCAAATGAGTAAAATGAACACACTGCTGCTCCAATGGGAAGGAATTGTTCGTAATTAAGTAGGCTCTCTCCCATTTGGACAGCTCATTATCAAGCTATTTGGTGCGGTACAAAAACACAGTGCATGCCTGGCGTGAGCCCAGCACAGCAGTTGACTTGGAGTTGGGGACTGGGCCCTCGGCCAGGCACCGTTTCTCCCATCCTGAGTGACCTGCTCCTGGGCTTCCTGTTGCCCAAGGCCCTCAGCTAGAGGTGGGGGAGGTAGAATTTCGATCCCATTCTGTGGACTCGAAAGCCTTACTGCTCCTGTGACTCATACGACCTCCCTCAACAGCAGGCCCAAAGCACAGAGGAGAGCGTGGAGAAACCACCCAAGTCCTCATCACCTCTGAGCACCAGGGACACGTTCAGATCCATCAGCAGCCTCTGATCTTTGAACCCCAATGGGTGGTCTCTGGGAATGGAATTATGTTTCTAATTCTTCCTCTTGATTTTCCCCAAGGGCGCTGGGAAGGGGTGAAGTGTGTGGCTGGGCGGATTCAGCGAAGTCTCATGGGAAGCAGGACCTAGAGCCGGGCACAGCCCTCAGCGTCAGACAGCAAGGAACTGTCACCAGCCGCACGCGTGGTAAATGACCCAGACCCAACTCGCCTGTGGACGGGGAGGCTCTCCCTCTCTCTCATCTTACATTTCTCACCCTACTCTGGATGGTGTGTGGTTTTTAAAGAAGGGGGCTTTCTTTTTAGTTCTCTAGGGTCTGATAGGAACAGACCTGAGGCTTATCTTTGCACATGTTAAAGAAAATAAAAATGAAAAAAAATTTGACTCCAACAGAACAGGCTGGGCTAATGTGAGCTCTCAGCCTGGCAGTCAAGACATCAGCATGGGCAAGGTTCTGTTTCCAAACTGCTGCTTCTGGTGACATTCCAAGACGCCTGGAGGGTGGGAGTCAGGAAGTAGGACACACCCCTGCAGTCTCCTTTTCTTGGTCCACTCCCATTCAAATTTGAGCTAATTTCTCATTCTGATAAAAGCCATAGGTTTAGCTAGGATGAAGTGGTAGGAAGGTCCGTGGCAGTTGTTAGAGTAGGATTTGGAGTTTGGAAGAACTGGCAGCTCAGGGTGGCCTGGTCAGCCGTTTGAAGAGCAGCCATGTGTTCTTCTCAGTCTCATTTTCTCTATAACCCTGTTCTGCACGAGGGGCAGTCAGATCTCAAAATCTTTTTCTACCATTCTGCAGTTTCCACCGTCAATGCAGTTTTTTTTTTGTTTTTTTGTTTTTTTTTTTTTTTTGGTGGTAGTGGACCTTGTAAATAGGCTATGTAAGGGGGCAAGTCTTCTCTAGCTCAAATGGCTTCCTAAATAAATAAGCGGTATCTTCAGAAGGGGCCATTCAGTCCTTCCCAGCCCTGCTCACCTGCAGATTCTCTGTACAAATAACTCCAGGTAGAGCAGTTGGACTCCAGGTCACCTTAGTATAAGTTAGACAAAGGGTCCGTGAGGGAGTAGCCATCAATTCCTGAAATTCCAACTTTGTGACTAGCAGATGGGGAGGATGAAAACCATCCCTTTGCTTCCTCTCCAATACGGACCCATCTTACTGTGTCCTTTCCTCTCTGGGGCCAATGTGAGTAAACACAGACACAGAGTTCTTTCCCCCAGCTCTTCCTCCCTCACCTGCATGCTGAGATAGCTTCCATCCATGCAGTTCCCAAGGATCTGGATTAGAAGTTCAAAGGGGAACCAGCAGTCACCTACTCCCTTAGGTGAAGCATCTCACGGCTGAGTTCTCCCTGAGGCATACTGGTCCAGCTGAGCGTCCTAGAGAAAGCTAGCAAAAGGGAGGCACATGGATTTCACAGTATGAATTGGTTCAACAACTGTCTTAGGGAGAATCAGAAAGAAGAGATGCAGCAGGGGAATGAGCAGAACAAAGATTTTTCTTTCTCCCCCTTCTCTCTGGGGTCTACCTAACCCTGACCTAAAATACCAGGGCAGCGATCTCCCAGCTGGTGCAGGTGGGCTTGCCAAGATGGTCGTCCAGGAGCCCGCCTTCACTTCTAAATCTGCTGGCCACAAGCCCTGCTAAAGATACACATCTCACCCCCTCCGCCAAGTCTGAAATGCCCCTCCCCATCTCACCTTAGACTGAAAAGTTTTAAATCATGTCAACTGGATAATACTTGCTTTATGTGAGAATACTTCAGCAGAATGGATACGAATTTTCAAAACAATCTTTTCATATCTATGTATTCTATATTAAAAGTGATAAAGTCATGTTTCTGGGGCGTATTCAAGTAGCTGACAAGTAATTATTTAATAATAGTACATGAGTGCATTGTAATGATTCTCGCCGTAGTCAGGTAATAGTATCCAACCGAAATTTCCTACCAACCTGCTGTATCCAAAGTTTTGTAAAAAGTTGTAGAAGTTGTTGATCTTTTTGATTTTATATTCAAAAAGTCTCTTTTTATAAATATTATTTATTATACAATGTATATACCTTTGAGTTAACTAAGATTATATATTATATAAATATATATATATTTGGAGAAAATATATTTCATCATGCAGTTTTTTTCTGTTAAGTCATTAAAGAGAAGGTAAACAAACCTAAAATGGATACATTGTACACTGTGTGGAGTTTCCAGATTAATGCTCAGGAGGTCAAGGATACGAGATTCTGAACATGGTGGCCTCAGCTAATTAAATGACCAAGTGAAGGTTATTTCCTCTGTTTTCTAAGCAAGATCATCAGAGATGTCACGGACAGTGGGTCTGATACACCACAGTACATTTTTAAAGGCTTCTTTTGTTCTAAGTTAACTTCTAACAATGAATTTCCAGTTTTAGAAAACAACAACTTGTGTACTAATTCATTTCACAGACTCAAGTATTTTCAATGTATAAATTAATGTCACAGGCACTCCTAAAAGATGTGGCCCAAGGCCAGCAGACCGCAGGGGTGGCCACTGCCTTAATCCCCTCCTCACCACGTTTTCAACTCCATTTAATGGGAAAATAGGATTTTCTCTATTGAAAATGAAACTTGACTGAAAATTGTCTGTCCCCTGCTAGCTCCACTGTGAGAGCTAAGCCGTAGAGGGAGGTAGGCTGGTCTACAAGAAGAAAGCGTGTGCCCTGGGCTGTGGGCTGTCTGGAACAATTGTCATTTGAAGTTGGGTTTGGGTTTGGGTAGAAAGGGCCTGCCAGTGGGCATGCTCTGGGGATGGGCACCCTCTCAGATCGCCACTTCACAGGACCCACTGGAAGCTCACAGGTTATGCCTTCTCAACAATGAGATGCCACAAGTTGGTTTTATGACAACAGACAATCCTTTAGTTTTCAGACCTACCCATAAAATGTCACCTTTGGTTTATTCAGCACATTATTTCAGAGAATAACAAAAATGTTTTTTCTTTTTATTTCTCCTGACCTACCTCATTTAGGAACAAATCTTACCTCACTACGAAGAGAAATAATGAGAACAGGCTGGGTGGGGTGGCTCAGACCTGTAATCCCAGCACTTTGGGAGGCCGAGGTGGGTGGATCACTTGAGGTCAGGAGTTCGAGACCAGCTTGGCCAACATGGTGAAAGCCCGTTTTTACTAAAAATACAAAAATTAGCAGCTGGGCATGGTGGTGCATGCCTGTAGTCCCAGCTACTTGAGAGGCTGAGGCAGGAGAATCACTTGAACCTGGGAGGCGGAGGTTGCAATGAGCTGAGATCGCACCACTGTACTCCAGCCTGGGTGACAAGGCGAGACTCCATCTCAAAAAAAAAAAAAAACAAACAAAAAAAAACCAGGAAAATAAAGCCATGAGCCGCCTATGGTGGAGGCGGGCTGCTCTGCGCTGTATTCAGACCTGTGACCTGAGGTTAGGAATAGCCACCAGAAGTTGATGCACTCTGTTTTGTCCATGATGTGTCTTTAGCCCCTGAAAAGCTGAAACCACAAAAACTGTTACACTTCAGCCATACAACGAATCGGACACGTACAGGATACAGATCTCCTCTACATCTTACAGTCTGGTCATTTTTATTTCATTTCGACTTTTTATTTTTCTTTTGCATAAAGCTAATGCAGGTTGACTACACCTTTTCTGAAATGCTTGGGACCAGAAATATTTCAGACTTTGGAAGATTTGCATATATACAATGAGGTATCTTGGGGATGGGACCCAAGTCTAAACACGAAATTCATTGATTTCATATGCACCTTACACACATAGCCTGAAGGTAATTTTATGAAATTTTTAAATAATTTTGTGCATGAAACAGTTTAGACTGCATTTTGAATTTTGATTGCCACCTGTCACACAAGGTCAGGTGTGGAATTTTCCACTTGTGGCATCCTGTCGGTGCTGAAAAGTTTTAGATTTTAGAGCATTTCAGATTTTGGATTTTTAGATTAGGGATGCTCGACTGAACTTATCTATCCCAGAATTCTAGGTACTTTTTCCTTTTTTTTTCTTTTTTTTTTTTTTTTTGAGATAGGGTCTTCCTCTGTTGCCCAGGCTGGAGTACAGTGGTGTGATCATGGCTCACTGCAGCCTTGACCTCCTGGGCTCAAGTGACCTCCTACCTCAGGCTCCCGTGTAGCTGGGACCATAGGCATGTGTCACCATGCCCAGCTAATTTTTTAATTTTTTTTTTTTAGAGATGAGGTCTTGCTATGTTGCTCAGGCTGGTCTTGAACTCCTAGCCTCAAATGATCTCCCACCTCAGCCTCTCAGCATTGGGACTACAGGCATGAGCCACCCTGCCTGGCCAGTACTTTTTCAATCAATAAGATTGCCAAATATTTAAATGGTCCCTATTCATACTAATGAAGACCATTTGTAATCGTATGATTAGTTTTTAATTTTTAAGAGACAAGTGTCTATGTCACTCAGGAGTACAGTGGCATGATCATGGCTCAACACAGCCTTGACCCCCTGGGCTCAAATGATCCTCCTCAGCCTCCCAAGTAACTAGGACTCAGGCGCACTCTACTATGGTAATTAAAAATAAAATCTTTTGTAGAGATGGGGTCTTGCTGTGTTGCCCACTGGTCTCAAACTCCTGGGTTCAGGGGGTCCTCCCACTTCAGCCTCCCAAAGTGTTGGGATTACTGGGTGAGCCATCACACCCTGCCCAGTCTTATTTGATGGTTAAGGAGAATACAGTTGATAGCTGTGCTTGAACATGTAGTTTCTCCTTATGTATAAGTACTTACAAACGTCTAAACACAAGAGGACGTTGTTTAAAAATCTGAAAGAGACGACATAATTAGAAGATATCTTTCAAAGCAATATTATTTTATGAAGAAAGAAGGGAAGGAAAGCATGTGAGACAGTTCAAGGATGAGGGGATGAGGTACAAAGAAAGGTGGAAGGAAAGAAGGTAGGGAAAAAGAAAAGCAAGGAAACATGATGGCGACATGATTCTTGGTGTTACCTAATGCCGTCTCCCCTGGTGGCCCTGGGCATAGGGACATGTTCTTGTGTGTGTGGCTGGTCTGCACACTCGAGTGAAGTCAGTGCAGCTACGCATTGCTGCTACACTGCCACTGTTTCTCCTAGTTTAATAGAGAACCTTCTAGGAGGCAAAAATTTCTTACCATTAATCTTATACTCCCAAAATAGTGAGACAGAAGTTGCATGGCGTCTACGCTGGGAAAATTTCAAACATGATCCCTCCTTGGATATTTTGTCTTCACCCACTTGGGATGCTTGCCAATCACAGGCGCTATCTCCCGCATCTTTATGCCATGGTGCCCGTCCAGCACACACCCTTGTGGGCTCGTCTCCAGGACCCAGTCTCAGTACGGCTTGCCAGCTGATGAGAAACTCTATATCATTTTGCAATAAATTCTGCAACTTACCTGCTTTCTTGAACTCTCATACACACCCTTCCCCAGTCACTTATTTTATTTTTCGAGACAAGAGTTTTGCTCGTTGCCCAGGCTGGAGTGCAGTGGTGTGATCTTGGCTCACTGCAACCTCTGCCTCCCAGGTTCAAGCAATTCTCCTGCCTCATCCTCCCAAGTAGCTGAGATTACAGGCATGTGCCACCATGCCCGGCTAATTGTGTATTTTTAGTAGAGACGGTGTTTCACCACGTTGGTCAGGCTGGCGTCGAACTCCTGACCTCAGGTGATTGCCCGCCTCAGCCTCCCAAAGCTCTGGGATTACAAGTGTGAGCTGCTGCGCCCGGCTGCCCCCAGTCACTTCTTTAAAGAGGCTATGGACCAAGTTGTCAGGCAAGGAAAATGAAATCCTGCTTTCACCTTCTGTGTTTGGGCTGGGGTGTTTGTTTATAGCTGACTCACTGTTTCAACAAGTCTGTTGATCAGGATTTGATTATTGTACACACTTCAATCTACTCCATGATTTTGTGACTTGTTGCTGAAACTTTTAAAGGGGAGGCTGCAATTTTTAGGATATGAAAAGACAGCCTTAAAGTAAAAACATATTTCTGACTTTAACCACAATTATGCAATTTTTCTGTGTGACATTGAAAAAAAGTGTCCCAGTGAAGATGTACAAATTTAGAAAGGATAAAATAACCTCCTCTTTTGAGGTTTTGATCTCAAAAACATCTTATGACAAAAAAATAGCCGGTTAACAATTCGCCTATAGATGAAGAAACCTAAGGCAGCAGCTAGCTGGAGCCTCCTTTGCTTCTTCACAGGCCGTTCTGTAATCTCATACGCTCTGCTGTACAGCACTGGCTTTGAAGAATATTTGGGCAGCTTCAAGAACCCACCTTCTCAAGGCTATGCAGGGACCAGGTCGGCCTCAGGGTCCTCCTCCCAGGAACTCCCGTTGTGGAAGTTCTTGAAGCTGGCCTCTTCCCCACAGGGCCTTGTGGACTTTCTGAGCTGCCTCCTGTCCTAAACTGAGCCAATGCTAAGGATCAAGGTTTAGGAGGTTAAGAGATCTGATAGCTCAGAAAAATGTAAAAAACTATGGAGGATACAAAAGTGAACCATGTGAAGCAATCTCACTGAGAGCCTTGAAGTTCCTTGGTTTGTACATTTCACAGAAAGGAGTAATTCTAATTGAGTGGCAACCCTCCTTTCTGGTTTATTACTAACCTTGTTTGTGGCTTAGGTACCTGAGTTGATTTTTTTTTTTTCTTTTTCTGAGACAAAGTATTGCTCTGTTGCCCAGGCTGAGTGCAAGTGGCGTGATCCTGGCTCACTGCAACCTCTGCCTCCCAGGTTCAAGCAATTCTCCTGCCTCAGCCTCCTGAGTAGCTGGGATTATAGGCATGTGCCACCACACCCGGCTGTTTTTTGCATTTTTAGTAGAGACAGGGTTTCACCATGTTGGCCAGGCTGGTTTTGAACTACTGACCTCAAGTGATCCACCCACCTCAGCCTCCCTCTCGGATTACAGGCATGAGCCACCGTGCCAGGCATTTTTTTTTTTTAGTAAGATAAAATAAGTATAAAGCATAAAGATGGTTGTATATTAACTTTTTCTGATACTCTAATGATGTTTTTAAATAACTATACTTTCTAAATAAGAGATTTTTAAAATAAAAATCATCCCTCATGTTATGCTACTTGTAACAAAACACGGAGAGGTTTCTTTCCTGAGCCCCCTCCTTCTTCCTCCATTCCTATCAGCTGTTCATGTCGTTCTATATGAAACACTGGTCTACAGAACATTTTCAAGTATATTTACTCTTTATTGCATTCCTTCATTTGCATTAAACAATATTTTTTCAATACAGTTTTGGACAAAACACAAAGACATTAAGCTCATTTAACAAGAGACATAAGTTAACACAATGTGTGCTGCTTTCATGAGGAGGAAAGAGGCAAGATCTTAGAGGAATCCAGGATACTGGCCACCAGGAATCACAGGATCTCACAATACAATCCACTTCTTTAAAAGCCACAAAATAAGCTAGGGAAGAAAACCCAAAACAAAGAAGATATGACATCCAAGTCTCCACCAAAAGTATACAAATGGCAAGATTTGGAGATGATCTGCTTTCTCACATGAGGACAAATAACAGAGGAGCCACACCCAAGTGCCACTGTGGCCACAAGCCTCATGGGTGGCGTGTGAGGTAAGCACCTTAGGATGGCTTCTAATTGCTTGTCCTTGCATTTTAAGCAGCAGTTGGGAGAGAGAGGCACACTCCATAAGTCTCATCACCAAATATGACCTAATTAAATTCCTGCTAAGTCAGTCAGTTGTAAGACAAATCACCCTCAAAAGGACTCAACGGGTGCTTCCTTTTGGAAGAAGTGTGTGGAGGGTAAAGGAAATGTGTTCAATGTATTGGAATGGACAATAAAGGACTGAGGGAGAGGGCTAGAAAATGATTGATTTTTCTGGAGAATAGTGTTTTAGACACTAGATAGTACAGATCATTTAAAATAAAGGATAAATTCTAAGTAAGTCATTAAGCTAAGGAAAAAGCAGTGATACTAGTAAGCCTTAATATTATACTAAGGAATTGACCCACTTGGAGTTGGACACTAATTAGTGCTGAGAGGTTTGTAAATTACTTTAATAACTCCTTTCTGTTTGGGGGTGTATGCTTTTTCCATACCTATCTTTCACATGTTTTTAACAACATCTTCTAAGTGGTAATAATGAGCATATCTCTTACCACAGAGCAAATTAGTTATACTTAAGGGGAAGTCACAACCAACACGGTAGTCATCTGACTTTCTATTAAGAAAGATCTTCTGACTGCAACTTGAAAACATCTCTGACAATGATTGAGAACAGCATTTTAGAGATTCAATGCCTTGTTTCTTCAGGCAAAGAGAATACCAGTCTTGTGGGAGACCTTTAACCAAATACCCAGTGACTTTTAGTGTTAGCTCAGGACAGCTGTCAGAGGATCTCTGGCCCACACCTCGATTTACTAAGCCAGATTTGCATGTAGAAAGTCTGCCTTCTAATCGGCCAACTGTTGTCATGCAACATTCATGACACTGACTGAGAGTTTTCAAGGGTGATGGTGCTAGTAGAGAGGTTGAAACGTGTAGTGTCCACAAGTACTGGATGGTTCCCACCCAGAGGGACTGAGCAAGAAGGAATCACTTTAGCCTGCATGGGAAGGTAAGCGCAGCATTCTAAACCAAATTGACACCTTCCACGAGACACTAAGCTATCTCAGTATGCATAAGGAAGGGAGTTTTATTGCACTAATCATGCAGAGCGAGCACATGTTGAAGGTAGAGAACGTTCCACTTAGTCCAGTATCTTGAGTAAGACAGTGAAGATCCTAGGCCATCTTCACCTTGGTCACTTCCCTTGGTCACTGTGTGTTTCAAATAGTTCATTTTCAATCAAAATCAAGGGGGCTACTGCAAAAGAAATACCAAAACACAAAAAAACAGATGAGGGTCCGTAAAAAACTATTCATCAAAAAAAAAAAAAAAAAAAATCACTAAAAGCTTCTTAATGGTTATCCTACATTTCCCACTATGCATTTGCTATTAGATGAGCACTTCACAAAAGAAAATGGTCACAGCTCCATGCATGTAAAAGCAGGTTCCAATAAATATGTACCATTAAGTTTTTCCTGCATTGTGACAAGGAAGTTTTGCGAAGCAGGACAGGGAGAGCAAACCAACAGTACAACCAACTTCCTTGCTTGGTCTCTCGGACCTACAACACAGCGAAGAATTCAAATAAATGGAAACAAACTTATCTAGGAAAGCAACTCTTAGAATAGGCACAGGGATTTAACAGGGTGGTAAGTTTGGTTGATGGTCATTAAATGTTGTATGTACTTACGCTCCTTCTTCTCTTAAGAGGGCCAAGAATTTTCTCACACGGTATTCAGGATCCATCTAAATACATCAGAAGAAATGAAGATGGGTTAATGGTACCTTCTAACAACTCTGCACTTGCTTCATGAGAAGGCAGTGTTCGGTTTCACACTTCATCAATGCTCTGCTAGGTCACTGAATGTGTTACCTGCTCCTTGACCAGCATTCTCACACAAAACAAAGCAGATCACATCATTTGGAGGAAGTGAATGGGGTTTTCCAGAACTATGTACACTGGGTTCCAAAAGACCCAAGCCCGCTGGCCATCATAGGCACTTGGGCCAGGCGTGCCCTGTGCTGATGCCTGTGAGGCATCGCTGTGAGACTGGACAGGGCCATTCATCAGAGTTCAAATGACAACCAATTCACCTGTTGAAGGTGTAAAAGGCTACTAAAGTCACAGCAAAGTAGAAGATACCAAGTTGAGGTTAATTCAACAACTAAAAAATAGCTTATTAACTCTACATAACCAACCATGTAGCTTTTCTTAGCCTCAGTATCCGTCATATAGTTTCTTCTTTGTAGTAACAAAGTTGTGCTAAAACTAAAAAAATGAAGAGTACTGCTGATTCCTGAAATCATCTCCAGATGAATCTGGGTCTCCTGTGACTGCGAATGTGTCATGAGTCTAAGAAAAGATGGCGCAACTTTGTTTCAGGTGCTTCGTTCAGGTCGTTATTATTAGCTATCTCGACTGGTTTTCATTTTCTATTCATATTTATACTAACTCGTTAAATGTACTTTATTCTCGTAGGCCCACAGGAGATATGAAGTTATCTAGAAAACAATCGTTAAAAACATCTTTAGTTCCTGAAGATGAATTTTTATTGTAAGAAACACACCTAACTTTTAAAATATGTTTCAGAGCAGGAGTCTGTTTCCCAAGAGGGAACTCCCTGCCCTCCAGGAATAACTTTCAAATGCTCAGTGCAGCTGTGGGGAGATGTGCAATTGGACTCCCACTCCAACCACGGATTTTTTTTTCTTTTCTTTCTTTTTTTTTTAAGATTTCTTCTATCCCAGAAAAACACTGAACAGAAGTTTCAAATGTATCAAAGGTAAGAGGTCAGACTACAAAGGACTAAGAAAAAGTGTGAATAGCTAACAAAAGAAACATTTTTCCTTTTTGGGAATAGAATTACATATGAATCAATTGTCAAGTTCTTAAAAAAAAAAAAAAAAAAAAGAACTGGCTGGAGCGCAGTTGTAGTTGGTACTTGCAGTTCTTTGCCCATTAAATATATTTAATATGTGTGAGCAACAACTTACTGACTTGCCTGTAGCTATGGAATTAAAAGTCAGGAGAAAGGGAGGAAAAAAGTAATCTAGATAAATGACTTTATTCCCTCAGGTGACATCCAGTCAGAGCAGATCCTCAGCTCTGTGCAAGTTTTAACAGAATAGCATGTAGTGAACAGAGAGGTACCACGACTTATATTCTGCAAAACTACATGCCTCTTCACTTAGGTTCAGCCTCTCTAAGGCAGATCTAAAGAGAATTCACTCAGCTGCACGAAATCCATTTGACATGAAGGGGTTCAAACTCAGAGGCCTATGAAATGTCAGTCGCTGAAGATCAGGCCTGAGTGCCCCACTCTCACTCTCTATCCCACATGCATAAGAAGCATTAACTTGATCACTGACCTGCAGGCATCAAAGGAAGGGAAAGGGATGAGGGTTGGGGAAAAAATCCACATAGTTTCTTCTATGCAATTATTGAAAAAAAATTATACTGAAACTTAAAAAAAAAGAAGCTGACAATCTGACAGATTTATCTTTTTTTCAAGGAAAGAGCCAATACACCTGTATTTGCACTTTTACCAAGAATAAGTCTAAACAAAGTGGTTAGTCTGTGACTTTAATTTATGGCTCATAATGGAAAATAAATTAATTGACTTAAAAATAGTCCATCTGAAAGCTCAGTAGATTAAATTAGATTTCTGAAAGTCAAAAAAATTTTATTTTCAGATAAATTTACCAGAAAAGATTAAAAAGCATTCACTTCACGTTTCCAATTTGTTATTGGTCCAAGAGCCTATTTCAGATGTAACTGTGAAACAGAAACTTCACCTCTGCCGCTCACTGCCCACACTAGCAGAATGCAGGACCATCAGTAAGTAACACATGATGCCTAGAATACAGCCACTCTGTCCACCTAGATGGACCTAGTAACACCTAGTAACACATGATGCCTAGAATACAGCCACTCTGTCCATTTACCTAACTGTAAAATGAATTTACAGTTATTCATCCAACAGAAGTTTACTGGCCGGGCGCAGTGGCTCACACCTGTAATCCCAACATTTTGGGAGGCCGAGGCGGGCAGATCACCTGAGGTCAGTAGATCGAGACCGGCTTGGCCAACATGGTGAAACCCCATCTCTACTAAAAATACAAAAAATTAGCCAGGCATGGTGGGTGGGCGCCTGTAATCCCAGCTACTCAGGAGGCCGAGGCAGGAGAATCCCTTGAACCCGGGAGGTGGAAGCTGCAGTGAGCCGAGATCATGCCACTACTCAAGCCTGGGCAACAGAGCGAGACTCCGTCTCAAAAGAAAAAAAAAGAAAAAAAGTTACCGAGGGCCAGGCATAGTGGTGCATGCCTGTAATCCCAGCACTCTGGGAGGCTGAGGCAGACGGATTACTTGAGCTCGGGAGTTCAAGACCAGCCTGGGCAACATAGTGAAACCATGTTTCTACAAAAAATACAAAAATTAGTTGAGTGTGGTAGCACACGCTGGTAGTCCCAGCTACTTGGGAGGCTGAGACGGGAGGAACGCCTGAGCCTGCGAGGTCAAAACTGCAGTAAGCCATGATCATGGCACTGCATTCCGGCCTGGGAGACAGAGCGAGACCCTGTCTCAAAATAATAATAATAATAATAAAAGTTTACTGAGCACCTTCATATGTGTTGGCTCTGTTCCAGGGGCTGTGGACTCAATAGTAAGAGCCAAGGTCTCTGAACTCATAGGGCTTGATAGGGAGGTATTTATCAGCTACCTAGTATGTCAGATAAGGACAAGAAGACACAGCATGGGCACATGGAAGGGTGGAGTTCTAAAATGAAGAAAGGTAAGTTGCCAGGAGATATGAGAAAGTCCCAAAGAAGTTTCATCTGTCTTTGCCCAGGCAGCACCCTGGGGCTCAGTTTTCTATGTGATTCTGGATGCTTCAACCCTACAGTAGTTTGCATGAAATTTCTAGGAGCCCAGCCAGGGACAAATATACAGATCCCAAGTCTAGACTGCACAACTTAATTAACTTGTCCCTTAAAGCAGTCTCCCAGACACCGTTTGGTATATGTGCAGTCGCTTACTGACTTGAGGTGCAACACCATCCCTTCTCCATCAATAACCTGGTGATGTGATCTTGGATAATTCACTGACAGCCTGTGGCTCACATAGTATCCTCATCTCCAAAATGAGGGGGCAGAAGAACGACTGCTCTTTGAAGTCTTTTCTAGTTCTAAGACCTAGTGGCTCCCTAAATGAAAACTAACTTTATAATCTTTCCTTCCATTTTTGAATTTTAAGAAGTTAAAAAGTATTGTTAAGTGATCAATCTCAGAAGCAGGCTACTAATACCAAATTAAGTTTGGAAATAATATAAGAAAATCAAAACTTAAATTAATTAAAACCTTGGCAAAGGAAATACTGAACCCTCTTGGTGTGTCCTGAAGCTTTGTTCTGTCTGAGTCATACGGAGAACGAAGTACCTTACCTGTAGGGACATCTCGATCAGCATTAGTAACTTCTTGATTCCTATCCAGACCTTCTTCCCTTTGACTTGCTGTGCAATTGTGGTGCGTTCCTTATCCTTGAAGTTGCCCAAAAGCTACAAAAACAATAAACAATAATCAAAGCACTTTTACAGTGAACACATCAACATTGGTTAATTCTATTTACCTTTAAAAGAAGAGTGATAAGAACTACCTAACTGTTCAAGTTGATAGAATTCTCTCCTACTTTAAAATCCAGTCTGACCTTCACCATCCTAAACCCATTAGGTGCAATCATGAAAGTGAAAACTGGTATCTTAAACCCTGTTTTCTTATGGACCGCTATGTAACTTATATTTTCTGGGGAAAAAAATAGCTCCAATCCATAATAAATATAAGTTAAAATTTTTAACATTCTTTTCTAGGAACAATCTGTATGTGTCAAAGCAAACTCCTTTAATTCTCTTACCCAGCTTCTGCACAAAAGCTGTCTACATGGGTAACCTGAAAACATTTATCATATAGATAAATTTCAATTTTGTTGGGGGCCTTGAGGACTTTAAGAAGCTTTACTGACTCCACCACTGCTGAACAACTCAGTAGATAATATTTTCCAATAGAGCTCACCAAGTTACTTGTGAATATTGATATTAAAAGTTAAATGAAGAACGTTCTTTTTTAAAAATGACTGTCATTTTCAAAAAATTAAGAAAACATTTCTATTTCTAAACTTGTTAATAAAGTTCCTTTTACTTCTGTAGCTTTTTTTTTTTTGACATTTCTAAGGCTTTAATCATTGTTCCAACTTATTAAATGCAAGGAAATGTGCTAAAAGCCACTATGAATGGTTAATTTTTCTATACAGTGATTACCTTACCCCCACACCACCACCCATTCAAGTTTCTGGTCCAAGTAATCTATATACATCACTCATGCTGGATACAGAGCAATTAATTCCTGGCAGTTTGTAGCTGCCTACATTGAGGAATGGGAAATTAACTCACTGTCATGTATATTCATCTTTCTTCTCTAATTCCTGAAAACAACTGGAGGTACAGGTTGAGTATCCCTAATCCAAAAGTCTGAAATCTAAAATGCTCCAAAATTGGAAACTTTCTGAGTGCCAACATGACATTCAAAGGAAATGCTCACTGAAGCATTTCAGATTTCCAGATTAGAGATGCTCAACCTAAATATAATGCAATATTCCAAAATCTGAAAAAATCTGAAATCTGAAACACTTCTGGTCCTAGGCATTTTTTGTTGTTGTTAGAGTTTTGCTCCCTCACCCAGACTGGAGTGCAGTGGCACAATCTTGGCTCACTGCAACCTCCGCCTCCTGGGTTCAAGAGATTCTCCTGCTTCAGCCTCCTGAGTAGCTGGAACTACAGGTGCCCACCACCATGCCCAGCTAATTTTTGTATTTTTAGTAGAGACAGGGTTTCACCATGTTGGCCAGGCTGGTCTCGAACTCCTGACCTCAAGTGATCCACCTGCCCCGTCCTCCCAAAGTGCTGGGATTACAGGCATAAGCCACCGTGCCTGGCCTAGTCCCAGGCATTTTGGATAAGGTATATACAACCTGTAATATCCCCGGGTCCCATGTTCCAGATTAGCATAAAAACCAAACACCAGGTATAATGTGGTACTACTTATTTCAGCCTCAATTCCTTTCTTATAAACAGTGTGCAATCCATTGACTCATTTTTACCTCCAAAGCTTCCAACAGCTGCTCTCCTGTGGCAATGTTGGGCACGTGGATGGTGGTGCTGAAAGCGTTAAGCATTTCCATCTCCTGAAGGACATCTTTGCGGCTAGTGGTCCCAATGATAAGAAGCTTGCGGCCCTGATCATAGGGAGAAAATGTGTTAAAATGTACATAATAAGACTAATTAGGAAACTACAGTAAGCTTGAACACAATTTGCAAAAGACTTTTATTTAATCTTGCCGATGCAAATGATTAGGCAAAACAGAAGAAAACAATTCAGGATTTTCCTGAAAATCCTGAAAAAAGGTACCAACCACATGATTCAGAAAGTGGCAACATGTGAACAGCTCCTTCTCATTCACATCAATAAAACAATGGATTAGTAAATCAAGAAGATACACAAACAAATGGAAAGATACTGACGTGTATGTATGTAATTCCTTCCTCAGAGCCAACATGGCACATGTATGGTGGGAATTGGGGAAAAAAGATGAAATGAATAGAAAGTATGTGGCGCTGGCTTTACAAGGCTTTAGTACACTTTTTAGAAGGAGCAGGGTAATAAGAGTTTATATTTATGCAACACTGAACTGTAAAAGGCATGGGCTAAAGTGCTTTCCATAATTGTCACATTTAATATTTTTCATTTTTACTTTTAACCCCAAAATATTTTTTTAAAAAAAGTTTAAAAACTATGCCAGGCTTATGCTACCATTCTCAGTTCCCTTTCTTCAAAGGCAACCATTTTCAATTCTCTTGGCTTTTCTTCTTATATTTACTTCCTTATCTTCAAATAATAATGTTACATTACTGGTTTTAGATTTTTGTTTTCAGCTTTAAATATGATTTACTAACTTCCTACCATGGAAGATGGGGATTTATTATTAATTTTGCACTACCCCCCTTCCCCCACCACATGCCCCTTTTTACATCCTTCCGATACAGTTATTTCACAGTCTTTAGTTAAATCTATATTCAGTATTTATTATGTTTATACAAATGTGGTTTACAGCTAGGCCATGCAGAGTACTATTCAATTTCCTTTCTTGGACAACATTTTGTTTTACTGGAGTTAATTGCCTTTTTCCCCTTTGCTTAGTTTACCAGGTACTTATCACAAGTTTGTCTCTAAAACAATCACAAGTCTCCTTTCAGTATGTTCAAACACATTACATAGTTTAAAGTTGTGTTCTTGAAGAAATTCCCCTCCAGGAGTCCTGTGTGTTCACAGTTCAATCTGAAGCGGTGACTCTCTAGGCCTGGGGCACAGCTGTAGTTCTGGAGCTTTCCTCTCTCTTCTGTTAGATTCCCTGTATCCCAGCCTTCCTTTTCCTCATCTATTCCCCTGTCTATGCTGCATGTACCCAAAAGCTTCCTCAGAAAGAGTGAGGGAGGTAAAATTTTAAAGACCTTGCATGTCTGGAAATACCTTTATTCTAGCCTTACTATTGTATCCTTTGTCTTAATAGTTTGGCTAGTTGTAAAAAATAAGGTTAGAGGCCAGGTGTGGTGGCTCATGCCTATAATTCCAGTGCTGTGGGAGGCCGAGGCAGGTGGATCACCTGAGGTTCAGGAGTTTGAGACCAGCCTGACCAACATGGCGAAACCCCATCTCTACTAAAAATACAAAATTAGCTGGGCATGGTGACACGTGCCTGTAATCCCAGCTACTTGGGAGGTTGAGGTAGGAGAATGCTTGAACCCAAGAGTCAGAAGTTGCAGTGAGCCGAGCCAAGATCACGCCATTGCACTCCAGCCTGGGCAACAAGAGCGAAACTCCATCTCAAAAAAATAAATAAATAAATAAAAAGGTTAGAAATAATTTTTTTCTCACAATTTTGAAGGCACTGAAGGCTAAAAGACAAATGCTATCTGATCTTTGATCTTTTGTTTCTAACCTTTTTAATACAAAACTTTCAGAATCTTTTCTTCATTCCTATGTTCTGCAATTTGAAAACTACATATCCTAAGATGGTTCTTTCTATACTCATTTTGCTGGCACTAGATTCCTTCTTTCTAAACTGGAAATTCCAATCATTCAGTTCTAGGAAATACATTTCCTTGAGATTTCCTCCCATTCATTTTCTCTGTATCACCCACTGGGAACCTCTTAGTTGGATACTGATTCTCTAGGACTAATCTTCTAATTTTCTTATTTACTCTTAGTTTTTATTTCTTTCTCTTTCTAATACTTTTCAGGTTAGTATCAATTTTATCTTCCAACCTTTACACTAACTTATTTTTCAGTTCTAAGAGCTCTTCTTGTTTTCTGAATGTTTTCTTTTTTAATTGCATCCTGTGCAATTAAAATACAATATCTTGTTTTAGATCTCTGAGGCCGGTGGCTCACACCTGTAATCCCAGCACTTTGGGAGGCTGAGATGGACAGATCACTTGAGCCCAGGAGTTTGAGACTTGTCTAGGTAACATGGCGAAACCTCATCTCAACAAAAATACCAAAATTAGCCGGGTGTGGTGGCAAATGCCTGTCGTCCCAGGTACCTGGGAGCCTGAGGTGAGCAGATCGCTTGAGCCAAGGAGTTTGAGGCTGGAGTGAGCCGAGATGGCACCACTGCACTCCTGCCTGGGTGACAAAGTGAGACTCTGTCTCAAAAAACAAACTTGTGAATATTATAGATTGCAAAAATGATGTTTTCTTCTGTTCCTTGTTTTGTCTGTTTCCTATGACTTGCCCCTTTTTCCAATTTGTTTTCTGGAGGCTTTCCTCAAGTGTCTGGTGATTGCTGGATAGCTAATTCACATTTAAGAGCTAAACTATGAATGGAAATACTGTGTCGGGGGGCTTCACTATAGGATGATCAGGTAAGACCTGGCTGATTACTGGGGGTCCTTCAAAGGTCAGTATGTGTACATTTTTCCCAGAGAAGAATCTTCCAGTCTCCTTCCCAAAGACTATAAAGCCTCGTTGCCAGCATACTGGAGTCAACAGGGTAATGTTTCTGGGTATCTCGCCATTTAATAGGGACACCTCCACTTAATCCTCTTTGTAGTATGGCACCTCTCCAGATCAGTCTCTCAATTAATTTTCATTATAATCATGAAAATTCAGTACTACTACTATCCCCATTTTACTGATGAAGCTATTGAATCTCACAGATATAAGTCATTTGTGTTCAAGGCAAGTCATTTGTGTTCAAGGCCAAATAACCAATACATGATGGAGCCAAGACTGGAAACCAGATCCAGACCTAAATCATATACTGCCTGTCTTTACAAAGAAAAACACATTACTAAAAAAGTTTACTTGGAAAATGAAAAAGGAATAAGTTTTAAACTTATGTCACTAGATTTATAATACACACTCAGTCCATAGATAAGTCTTCAGTAAAGACTAATCATTGAACCTATACACAGATCTTGGAAATTCAGAACATTAAAATAAATGGGCTATCGGGAAAAGATTTTAAGAAACCAAAATAATTTCAATTTGGGTTTGGTAAACATTATACCACTACTGTCAATAAGACACATTAGCCTTTCTCAATGTTACTCATTGTTTTTATCCACCTGCTGTGCCAAGAATGGGCAAGGTACCACCATAAACCAATGCAGATCAAAGAAACAAAGTTGAGACCCTCTGGTACAATTAGCCATTAGCTTAACAGATGACTGCGCATAGAATATGAGATAGAAGTACACCTGTGAGCATTCAGATTAAAGGGTAATCATTATTATTATTTGAGGAATCAACTAGGAAAAAATCAAATGCTTATCATCAGACATTTACCAAGTTCCTAGATGAATATGCAACAGACCTTCCACAGAAAGACAGATGCAAAATAGATAATTATAGTACAATATGGAAAGGTGGAGGTATTACGCACAAGGATGTCAGGTAGAGGGAAGAAACACGTGGCAGAGAAAGCTTTTTCTGGAGGAGATGATACATGAGTTGAGTCGTAAGGAATGAGTAGGTTGATTAGGAAGATGAAGGGGAAGGACATTCTAAGCCAGAGGAACAGAAATACCTAAGTCCAAGGGCAAAATAACAACAAAAGCTGGGTGTTGAGGTAATTACAATCGAGTAAAGACATACATTTTTACTATAACAAAAAGTGGTGCTGTTATATTTAAAGTATTTTTTAACACTAAATTCTAATGGCAAACTTGGGAACATAGCCCTAAAGGCTAACAGATGCCAAAGGCCACACATGCTGATACATCCTCAGTATGATTAAAGGTAACTGTTACTTCTCTTTTTTAGCTTTTTAATGTTCCATAGTCCATAATGCAAACTTCCTCATCTTGCTCCTCTCTCACAAAGGACAATGTTGGCCCTAGAACAGTGGCACTGAGGAAGAAGCTTCTTACTCATTCCAGAAAGCCGGACTTTTAAAATCGCTGCCAGTTTCCTCATGAGATGTTCTCTTACATTAACAGTGACTATGCTCTTCAAAGTGTTGAAAGATTGGGAAATGTAGAGCAACCATACTGGAGACGCTAATTTATGTTTTGCTTTCCTTCTTGTTTAACAAGACTCCAAAAACTGCAAAGAGGTCATGACCCAGGCAAGTTTGGGTCTTGACTTGTAAAGCGTCATCTTTAAGAAAACATTGAAAAACATTACCAAATTATTAAATTGTGCTGGGCCATTTTGTGTATTAATTAGTGGTAGTGCTCATAAGGAAGCTTTATCATGAAAAACAGCTCCGAATATATTAAAGTGATACATTGCATGGGATTCGTCTGAAGGGAAACACTGCCAGCAGCATGAAATGGGGATGCAGCTTTAAAAACAAAAGTGGTGCTCAACCCAAGAGGGGACCTCCACCTTCCTAATGTGTGGCCACCAGTCTTAATGTCCACAGTGCCCAAACATGCCCCTTGACGGAAAGCAAAAAAAAAGCACAGAGTGATAACCTATTTGGGAAAAAAGAAATTGCTCCCAGCATACTCTTTACTGAGATTTGCTAGTCCTGATGCTATAAAGAAAAAGCCTAAGTAAAATGACTATCTGCCAATCGGATTATGATAAACATTGTTCCAAGGTTAAATAAGTATTAGTTAACTAATTCTTAGTACCATAAGCAGCAACTCAGGTGAAAACATTTCCATGAAAAAGGCAGGGCTCAGTCAGGTGTTGATCCTTCAAAAAAAACACTTCTTTACATGATGAAGAATGAGCGAGTACTAAGCAGCATCTAAGCCTTTTGCCACACAAAGGACCAACCAGATAATCCACACCCTTTCATAGGTCTTGCCCATTGATTGGACCCAATAAACTGATTTGTAACAAAAGTTCAAGTGGAAGAAAGCTTTTTTTTTTCCCTAAATAAAAATGCCACTAATATAATACTGCAGTGAAATGGAAGGGCTGATTTCAACCTATGAACAAAAGTAAAGTCAGTTATGCAGGAAAGAAAGGCCATTCTTTCCATATCATTCAATGCTGAGCAAGTGTAATACACCCTTGGTAAGAAGAATTAACTGTGAACAATTGAAAACCCTGAAATGGATTAAGAAGTGAGTTTAAAAGTGCAACTCAAAACTGCTATGTGCTGGGGGCATTAAACTTTATTTTCTGCTTAGTAGAATCTGATGTTTTTGTAAATGAGAGTGAAATATTTCAGAATATTAAGCATTTGTAAATCTGGTAAGTAAAATATGAAATAGACATTAGCCAATTGGAGCATTAACAATAATTTACTCCTTTTAGGTACTTAATAGAATTATGAGATTTGGTTTGTGCCTTCAAATAAGTTACAACTTAGCTGGGAAAACCAAATAAATATTCAGGGAACACAACCAAGTAACACACTCGCAAATACAAACTAATCATGGCGGAGGGCACCCGGTTTATGGGGACAGTTTCCTGGAGGGGGGTTATCTAGGAAGGTTATCCGTAGTACTGCAAAGACAATGACAACAAGTAGGCACTGGCAAGGCCCTTGAAAAGAAGGGACAGGTCCTGAATGCGCCTAAATCCTATGTGTGTGGTAGAAGCAGCTGAGACAGAGCACCAAGGCTGAAAACGAAGTTGTCTGCAGACACAGGGAGGGAACAATCAGCAAAAGGCAGACTCGGGATGCTAAACTAAGGGAAATATTTAATATAAAAAGCAACAGGAAACCAGAGAAGGCTCTTGAGGAGGAAGACCTGTGATGGAGAAGAGGGTTCTGGCAGCCACAGGCAGGAGGTCTACCTCTTAGGGGCCTGTGAGGAGCTGCTGCCCCAAGGACAGGCCAGTTGTAAGAGTGAGCATCTCCAGGGACCATGCTGCACCTTTTAACCAGTGTCTTATGCATATGATGTCCTTTTTAAGGCAAGCCCAGGGCTGGCAGAAAGCAATGGTGAGGCAAGTCCCCTGATGGACAGGTAGCTTGGTGCAACAGAAGTAGAGGCCCCATCACTCACAGCTGTGTGATTTGGGGTAGATTATTTAACTTCTCAGCATCTATCTCCTCCTCAACCATAAATATGCGATGAGAAAATTCTACCTACTTATGAGAATAGAGTGTGAGGTGGAGATTCCTGAGGCGGGGTCTCTGTCATCACAGTCAGAACAGGCAAGAAGGAAAAGAAGCAAGCATCTGAACAGGTGGGCTTCAGAGGAACCTGAAGAATAGTCCTCTGCCTGTGGTGTCAGGAATCCATACGGTTAGGTCAGGTGGGTGAGGGACGGGATGCCTGAAAATCCCTCTCTTCCCAAAAACAAACACAGGGCACTGGCAGCAAATGACGCAGAGAGGCCAAGGTTGGCTCTGGGTTAGGGAAGATGAGAGCTCCCATCTTCAGCTTCACAAGGGTTACTGTGAGGCCCAGAAGAGGCCTGAAGCAAGAGGTCAGACACCCCCTCCGAAGGAGTCATGGCAGTGGGGTGACTCACAGGGAGTCAGAAGGACTCATGGCAGCGTGGGGCCTCAGGGAGAGGCAGCAACTTCTGAGGAGGAAATTGGCTCAGAGCCAAGAGTAAGAAGCTTTCCTGGTAGAGGTCCTTTGGTCTATCACTTAACCTGGCTTCATTCTTGAAATAGGAATAATTTTTCATATTTTCTTAGCTTGTATTATTCAACAGAGACCCTTAGAAAAATTCTACCTTGCCATAGTGCTTCTCTGCATTTATCTTCAAGCCTGAATCTTGTTTCTAGCCTGTCAACTCCCCGATGGTAGAAACCACGTATCATCCATCTGCGCCCTTGCAGTACTCAGCATGGCATGCCTGGCACACAGAGAGGATTCCTCTGCCTGGAATGCTCTTCCCTTCCATAGCCACACAGGCCTTTCCCTCCAAGTCAAGGACCTGCCTGAATGTCAGCTTTTCCACAGGCCAACTCAATCCCCACATACCTCCATTTAAAACTGCAACTCCCCAACCCTTATCCTGCCCTTTCCCTCCTCCAGTTTGGATCGCCTTTTACATACTATATACTTACTATATTTACTGTATTTCTTGCTAGTTCTCCTTCATCAGGACAGGACTTAAGTCGGTTTGGCTTTACTGATGTTTCCAGGGCTAGCATACTGCCTTGTACAAAGTACAAAGTTAATAAATATGCACTGAATGAATGATAATCCCAGTATAGCTTTCAAGGGTAGCAGATCACTCCTTCATTATTACTTTCTGGTCCTAGAAAAATGCACATTATATTAAGTGTCCAAAAGGAAAGTAACTATCATTTCAGAGTCTACACCTCTGAGCCCCAAGTGTTGATAGCAACAAATTTTAAAGAAAATAATCTAGAATGAACGGCATGTATGCTTCGTGCCAAAGTCTGGCTTATCTCTTTTAATCAATTGATTAGCTATTGACTGGATAACACAGACTTCTCTAGCAGAGGAAAGATAAGATTCATTAGCTGTCATTAACCTAAGCTAGTGAGATAACAAGTACTATTGGCCAGTGCAGTGGCTCACACCTATAATCTCAACACTTTGGGAGGCCGAGGCGGGTGGATCACGAGGTCAGGAGTTGGAGACTAGCCTGACCAACATGGTGAAATGCTGTCTCTACTAAATTAGCCAGGCGTGGTGGCACATGCCTGTAATCCCAGCTACTAAGGAGGCTGAGGCAGGAGAACGCTTGAACCTGGGAGGCGGAGGTTGCAGTGAGCCGAGATGGCGCCACTGCACTCCAGCCTGGGCAACAAGAGCAAAACATCTCAAAACAACAACAACAACAAAAACAAAAACCAAGTACTATTAACATCTCCTACAACTCTTGGTTTCCCCAAACCAAGGGAAAAGATCGACTACCATTAAAAGCAACCAGAGACAAGTGAAGGGAGAGGAATTGGGCCTCTTTGCATGCATTTCTGATTTCTCTTGTTTAAATGCCTGTAACTTTTTCTTTTCTTTTTTTTTTGCAGTTAAATGTTTAAGCTGAATACCAAAGGAAGGATGTTTCAAATAAATCATGCCACAACTAGGCAGGCAACTACACTTAAACTCTCCATTAGATTTTACCCTGAAGCAAATTCTTAGTCTACTTCTTTGTAACCATCCTCATGGTGCTGCAAGCAGGACAGAAGACAATAAGGGGGGGAATTCATGATACAGACTGAATATGAAACGAGAAACTGAACCCTTAATAATTTAAAATACTATAGGCAAAAGCAGACTTCATGATATTAAAGGATATCTAATTCCAATTTGTGAAAAAGACACTGAATCATCAGATTTTACATTGGGAGCAGCTCTTAAAGATTACCTCATTCCCCCAAACCCCCTCATTCTCTGTCTCATTTTGCAGATGAGAAACCTGGGGTGAGAGGTAAAGTGATCTGTCTGAGGCTCTCATGTCCAGTGAGGGAGCTGAAACTACAGTTCAGGCCTCATTGCTATTTTCACTATGCTTTGCTGTCTACTGTTTTTATTTGTGTAATTTTAAACTAGATTTGGGGTCCACTCTTGCCCCTGCCCCCACAAGCCCCATATCAGCAATGGCTGATCTCTTAATTTGAGTTAGGGAGATTTATTACCTAGAAATAATGACCTCTGTGCTCTTAGGAGAAAAGGTTAAATAAATTAAGAAGATATTGAGACGGGCAGATCACCAACGGTCAGGATTTCAAGACCAGCCTGGCCAACATGGTAAAACCCCATCTCTACTAAAAATACAAAAATTAGCTGGACGTGGTGGTGCATGCCTGTAATCCCAGCTACTTGTGGGGCTGAGGTAGGAGAATCACTTGAACCCAGGAGGCGGAGGTTGCAGTGAGCCGAAATCGTGCCATTGTACTCCAGCCCAGGCAACAAGAGCAAAACTTGGTGTCCAAAAAAAAAAAAAAAGAAAAAGATAAAGTTGTACTGACCATGCCATAGTATTCTTAATACCTTAAAGGAAGGGTTCTGTGCATGCTCTCTCATTAGAAACTTAACTAAGATGACCACACATTAATCAGCAAATCCAAACTCCCCACTCTTATATCCACAGTAGATTTTCCCTACCTATCTCAGCTTTTAGCTTGATATACCCTAAATTGACCCCTGTGTTCTAATCAGGTCAATATTCTCCTTTCTAATTTAATTTTTACCTCTGTGATTTTTATCCATAGCATTTGTTTATTAAAATGCTTTCTCCAGTTTTCTGCCAATTTGCAATTGTCTCTTATGTTCACAATGTTTCAAAATTTGCCTTCTCACCATACCCTGCCCTCATTTAACCCTACAGAGCCCACATTGCTCCTTTAGGCCCCAAACTTCCAGAACATGAATTTACTATATCCAATAATAATGCCTTACTTATCTGGAGGCCAATCTGCTAAACAATTTCAACTATCCAGAGCACAGCCAAGAACCAGAAATAAGCAAAAATCCTCTCACTCCTAGTACTGAAAAAACAATGTGAGGTTCAAGTAACTTTAAAACTGACAGGCAAGGACAACTTACCCACTAGACACAGTGCCCAGGGCCTATGAAACTTTGAGGAACCCATGAAAGTATTATTCTAATTTCTTTTAAAATCAGGCCAGGCCTGTAATCCCAGCACTTTGGGAGGCTGAGGAGGGCGGATCACTTGAGGCCAGGAGTTTGAGACCAGTCTGGCCAATATGGTGAAACCTCATCTCTGCTAAAAATACAAAAAATTATCTGGGTGTGGTGGTGTGCGCCTGTAGTCCCAGCTACTTGGGAGGCTGAGGCATGAGAATTGCTTGAACCCGGGAGGCAGAGGTTGCAGTGAGTTGAGATCGCGCCACTGCACTCCTGGAAAAAAAAAAATCAGAAAAAAAGAACTTTTTGGTGGAAGAAAATATTAATATAGTAATATATTCAGCTTTGTACCAACAGGTGGAAAATTTATTTTTTTTTTTAGTAGAGGAAGGGGCCCACAGGAGTCAAAATGGGGCCTTGCTCTCTGGAAGGCCTCTCCAGCTCTCACTGCAGCCCAGTTTTATGTTTTTGTGTTTTTTTCGAGACAAGGTCTCACTCTGGTTGCCCAGGCTGGAGTGCAGTTGCATGATCTCCACTCACTGCAGCCTCGACCTCCTGGGCTCAGGTGATTCTCCCACTTCAGCCTCCCGAGTAGCTGGAATTACAGGTGTGCACCACCATGCTTGGCTTTTTTTTTTTTTTTTTTTTTTTGAGACAGAGTCTCGCTCTGTTGCCCAGGCTGGAGTGCAGTGGCGCGATCTCGGCTCGCTGCAACCTCCACCTCCTGGGTTCAAGCGATTCTCCTGCCTCAGCCTCCTGAGTAGCTGGGACTACAGACGCCTGTCACCATGCCTGGCTAATTTTTGTATTTTTAGTAGAGGCGGGGGTTTCACCATACTGGCCAGGCTGGTCTCGAACTCCTGACCTTGAATGATCCACCTACCTTGGCCTCCCAAAGTGCTGGGATTACGGGTGTGAGCCACCGTGCCTGGACTTTTTTGTATTTTTAGTAGAGATGGGGTTTTGCCATATTGCCCAGGCTGGTCTAGAAGTCCTGGACTCAAGCGATCCTCCTGCCTTGGCCTCCCAAAGTGCTGGGATTACGGGTGTGAGCCACCGTGCCTGGACTTTTTTGTATTTTTAGTAGAGATGGGGTTTTGCCATATTGCCCAGGCTGGTCTAGAAGTCCTGGACTCAAGTGATCCTCCTGCCTTGGCCTCCCAAAGTGCTGGGATTATAGGCGTAAGCCACTGCGCCCAACCACAGTTTAGTTCTCTTACTGTATGAACAGCTCATGAATCCTGGTGGTTGCCTGCCTTAATTTATAGCAGATGAAAGCAGCACACTGGAAAAAGGAGTCATCAGAGGCAGGCCAGCTGACACAACTCACTTGGATTCTGCAAGTAACAGCTGATAGCAAAACCACTAAAAAAAGAAAAGGTACAAAAAACTCAACAAACAGGGCACACCGTATCTACCTAACAGGCACCAGGACGGAATCCTGTATATTCCAACAGTTCCTGCTGAGTCCCACCCATGAAAATACTGACCCATCAATTATGGTTTGTTATGATGGTCCTTATTCATTAACATAGAGTTTATTATACTTTGCTTCAGACACTAAGAATGTATGTAGCAATTTTTTTCCTCTTAAAAAAGGCTAAAGTATAATAATTGATATTTAAAGAGGTTAAGCTTCAGTCACTTAGAAAAAATGAAGCCTATAATTTCTTATGAATTTCTATTCTTCCCTCCAGTGAAACTATGCCATATGAAGCCTAAGATAAGTACACAGAACATATCCTCAAATTCTCAAGTATCATATTGTACGTTAATTAAAAAAATTTAGGCTGGGTGTAATGGCTCACACCTGTAATCCCAGCACTCTGGGAAGCTGAGGTGGGTGGACTGCTTGAGCCCAGGAGTTTGAGACCAGCCTGGGTAACATGGCAAAACCCTGTCTATACAAAAAATATAAAGATTAGTCAGGTGTGGTGGTGTGCACCTGTTGTCCCAGCTACTCCAGGGGCTGAGGCGGGAGGATCAATTGAGCCCAGGAGGTAAAGGCTGCAGTGATTGAGACTGCGTCACTGCACTCCACCCTGGGCAACACAGCAAGATCCTATCTCTAATAATAATAATAATAATAATAATATGCTAATTTTAGCATACATAAATCCTTCACCTTCTCTCTCCATTGCTGCAGCGCTTGAATTCCTTAGCATGGCACAATGGCCCTGACTAAATCTCCCTTTTACTCATCTTTCAAGACCAGGATCCGAAACTACTATTTGTGAATGATTTGCACATCTTCTCAGGTAAAATGGACCACACTTTCCTTTATGTTCCACTGGAACCACGTAACATATAAAACCTAACTCTATGCATCATGTTTTCACATCTTTCTCCCACCCTGGATTGTGACAGGGACACCAGTTAGCTTCTGCATGGATCAGAAAACACACACACACACACACACACACACACGCACACACACCCTAGGTGAACAAATTAGAAAAAAGCAATCATCTGGGTGAGTGCGGCCACCCTTGCTTCCTTCCCCAAGCCCCAGCACCTCGTATGAGCTAAAAGGCACCCTCTTCCTCTTGTTCAGCGTTAGGGTTGCTAGAGAAATACCTGAGTATAAGTCTGACCAAAATATGGGATATGCTGATGCTAAAAAATTATGTGATGTTTTTCTGAAATTTAAATTTAACTAAGTATCCTATATTCCTATCTGCTAAATCTGGTAACCTTACTCAGGGCAGATTCAGTCCCAAACCAGGGTGGACTCCTTGGTGGGCAGCATGTGGGCTGGATGTTAACCTTCATTTGCTACTTGACCTGTGCCCACCTTGTGCACAAACTTCACAATTGAACAGTGTTCTTGGACTATGAGCCATCTGAGGGCAGGTACAATGTCTTATTCATCTTTTTATCTCTATACTGAGAAGGATTTCTTAAATGTACATCTAATAAAAGCAGATGTTCCTTAAAGAAATGTTTTAAACTTCTATGTCAAAAGAAATATTTTTGGTGAAAAAGAAACTTCCGATCTCCTTTCAATGAAGCTTAAGACAATCGTTACCATCTACCTTGGTCAACTTTAGTCACACTGGCATTCAACCATGGTAAGTTTAGATGGGGAGCATGGCACTGAGCCAAGTGCCAGGTGGGTTTCCCAGGACAACTGTGAGAGTTAGGAGGCACTTGCACACTTTTACTCCAAAACCCACAGCATATTTCAGATATTCAATTAAATCTTAAGTCATAAAAAGAACAAGGTTAAAAATATATTATACATAGACAAGCTTAGATACAAAGGTAGTCTCATTTAACCCTAGTGGTTAGCAGCAAATTAGTACCAAAGCAATGGAATTAAGGAATTTTTGACAGTTATACTGCTAAGTTAAAAATAATTGTATACACATTTTTTATTTTTTCCTGATTATCAAAGTAACATATGCTTATTGTAGAAAATCTATAAAGTACAGGAAACAATAAAGCAAAATAAAAAAGAAATCACCTATAATCCTACCATCCAAGATTAACAGGGTAAGGAGTAGAGGGAGGGCCAGGGCTTCTGGCCATTGTGAGATCCCCAAGGACACAGGAAATCTCCAAAGATCTGCATTCTTGTTTCTGGGACAGAAAGGTAGGAAAGAAACTGTGAAGCACCACTTTGTTGCACCATGAGTTAGGAGAAAAGGGGAACTTCAGCCACAAGCAACAGGTGGTGGCAGGGAAAGGAAGCAGGTGGGCCAGTCCCTGGAGGCTGAAGACAAGTGTGACCTGGTGGTGGCCTACTGATCTTGGCAATTCCTGTCTCCACTTCCTACTTCTTTCTACAACAGGAATCCCTAATCCCCAGACAAGAGTATTTGTCTTAGGATGTAGGAAGCTTCTAAATTTCAGTGAATGAGAGATGGGGAAGCAGGTTTCTTTTCCCAGTACTGCAAATGAGGGAAGTTGGGTTCAGGCATTCCAAAGTGGGAGCTCTGAACTCACTTCCTATGGAAACTTCCTCTATATAGCAGTTATTATACGTTCTTCAGTTTTCCTATCTTACAAGCTGAAAAGGTTCTGTGGACTATCCAAAGGCAATTCTTTTTTTGAGACAGAGTCTCACTCCATCCACCCAGGATGGAGTGCAGTGGTACAATCTCAGCTCACTGCAAACTCCGCCTCCTGGGTTCAAGCAATTCTCCTGCCTCAGCTTCCCGAGTCGCTGGGATTACAGGTGCACACCACCACGTTGAGCTAATTTTTGTATTTTTAGTAGAGATCGGGTTTCACTATGTTGGCCATGCTGGTTTTGAACTCCTGACCTCAAATGATCCACCTGTCTCAGCCTCCCAAAGTGCTGGGATTACAGGCATGAGCCACTGCGCCTGGACAGCTCATGTAGTCCACCAGTTTACAAAGGGCTTCACTACACATTATCTTAGCTGACCCTCAACAGAGTAGGTAACACATGAGGAATTATCTCTATTTTACAGATGAAGAAATAGACACCAAGAAATTAAGGGACGTTCAAGGCTATAATGCCAGATGATATCTGAGCTAAGACATAGGTTTCTTTTTTTTTTTTTTAAACCTCAAGTTCAATACAAAGAGTAAGTTCTACAGAAAGGGTGCTCTTAACTAGAGTCATGGCACCCATGGACTACTACGACGTTATAATCCCCACCTTTCAAAAGCTAATGTAATGCCACAGTAACTTATTTAAGGCAATGGATCTGGAAGAATACATTCTAGCAATGAAAAAATATTTCGTCTCAACACTATTAGCATTTCTCTGATGATTAAAATTTAGATATTTAATTTTGAGTTATCAGAAAATGGCATATATATCTTATAATTTATTCTGGTATTAATATCTACTATAGATGTGCTCTACCAAAACCAAAACAAAACCCTATTTTGAAAATTTGATTTTATTCAGCAGATATCTGTAGCAATGTTTTATAAAATAATTTACTTCACTGTTTTTTGTTGGTTTTGTTTTTAGAGACAGAGTCTTGCTCTATCACTCAGGCTAGAGTGCGGTGGTAAGAATCAGCTTCCTGCGGTCTTGAACTCATGGGCTCAAGCGATCCTCCTGCCTCAGCCTCCTGAATAGCTGGGTCTACGGATGCTCACCACCACATTCGACTAACTTTTTTTTGTAAAGACTGGTCTTACTATGTTGCCTAGGCTGGTCTCGAACTCCTGGCCTTAAGCAATCTTCCTGCCTTGGCCTCTCAAAGTGCTAGGATTACAGGCGTGAGCCACAATGTCTGGCCTATTTCACTGTTTTTGATACATTTGAAATTAATCTACATATATATGTACTATATATATATGTTCTTTAATACTGTCTATCTATGTAGTCCACAGGTTTACAAAGGGCTTCACTAGGCATTATCTTAGTTGATCACTATACATTCACTATACATTATCTTTCTGTCCAGAAAACAAGAACACAGATCTCTGGAAATTTCCTTTGTCCTCAGAGATATGTATATATACACACACACATGTTCAATCTACAAAGGACTTTCCAAGAAAATCTACTATACTAAGCAAAGTATACCTAAAGAGAATATTATAAATATAGTAGGTATCTAATGTCACTGACTTACTAAGCAGGCCACTAAACTGTCAAGCATCATTTTTTTTTTTAGATAAAAGAAATGAAGCCCAATGCAAAAGTCACCACATCAGTGGATTAAAATTAATGTGTCTGGCAAAATGACTAAGCCTCTTTCCTAAAGTGGTTATATATCTTATTGAGTCATATCATAGTCATTAGCCAGAGTTAATTTTGAACAAATAGATGGAGAGATACTCATGTTTAGGCCTGCATGATTTGGAGTCTCTTCCATTATCTGCTTATTTCACTAAAGCAACCCAAAGCCTAAAGAGTTGCTTAATATTATCAAGATACCAAGATGTCCTATAACCATATCTGAAGTAAGACTGCTAAGATGTCATGTAAGGACTACATGAAAGCAATGTTGTCTAGAGACTGCTGATGTTAAAAACAAAACTCATGCAGAAACAAGTGTGTCTACCCAAGTCCCCATCCTGAGAATGCTGACAGTTTCTTATTGGTCCACACCTTAGGTCCTCCAAGCTTTAAGCTGTATTTCTCTCTTATTAGGTAATATTCCTAGGTGTCAGAGCAGCGAGGAAGTTACTATTCTCAACAACATCATAAAATTTAGCCAGAACACTAATAACTGTTAGGTCTGAGTTCTACTTCAGTAATACTGCTATGACGTTGGAGTGGTAATTCTTCTTTTGTAAAAGTTTAAAGTTTCCAAAGAGTTTTCCAATCGTTGAGCTTCAAATGAGTTATACCTGGACTAAGATATCAATTCCTGCCAGCTGTTGGGAAGGCTAGAGCCCTGGCCAGTTGTGAGTGGCCTCATCCACTTACCCAAGTGTATCATCAGATGTTATCATTTTGTATGCACCATAATCTAAAAAGGTTGGGAAGCACTGAACTGAGGAAGGATTGCTCCTCCATAAATTACGAGGCTACCCTGTTACATACAGATGAGGTTTTCCAATTTGATGCACAAAAGTGTCAAACCCAGCATTAAACAGTGAGGTTAATAGGCTTAACTACTCTCACACTTGTTGAGGAAACTGGGGAATCATGTCATTTTACAGCCCAAGGAGTTCCTTTTCAGACACTCTGTCTCCCAAAAAGAAAAAAAAAAGAAGGTGGCAGAAGAGATCTATGAGGAAAAATCAAGCCACTGGTCCTGCAGGCTGCAGGAAGAGTTACCTGGCCTTACCACTCACTACCGCTTCCTCCTTGACATTAAGACCAAGGCTTTCATCCTCCTGATCTTGAAAAGCACATTCCCCTCAACTTCCATAAATCTGCAAAACTTGAAAAGAGCCCCAGTGTCATCAAGTAAAAGAGACGGCGTTAGGAATCTCACTGGAAGGAGGGGTGTCTTCAAGCCTCTCACTGCTAAGCCGGACATTTCCTAACACTGGACAAATTGTACGTCCAGCTCAGGGAGGGTGAACTGCAGTGGTCTTTTACCCTCCAAGCCAATTGTTAGCTTTTCACAGGAATCAGCAGGGAAGCACATGTGAAACCTCTGTGTGACAGTGAGCACCCCCATGCCTTGTGTGACTCTGCATGTAGATGAAGCAGGCTGGGAGCTTTCTTAGCTGCTGCTGCTGAGTTCTCAGAGAAGCCCTTTTTTCCGGCTTGGCTCCCTGCTGGGACAGCCCTTTTCAATTTTTCTATCCCCTCTCGATCTCTTCTCCTGCAGAACACAGGGAAACTTGATTGAAATAAAGACCTAGGGAACATGTTTTATTTTCTCCTGTTCAATCCATTTTAGAAAAGCTTTTAATTGGTTTTAAAAAGATGCTAAACAAAATGTGATGATGTTTTTCACTCTTCACGAACTGCAGATACCACTTTTTATACTTTCAAAGGGCTAATAAATCAATCATGAAATTAACTCTGCAGCTAAATTTAAAGCAAATCCACTGAATACCAGGTTCATTAAAAATCTATGCATTTACTTAGAAAAATTTAAAATTCAAAGAAAATTATCCTAGTAACTGAAATCTGACTTGAATTTTTAGTTCTACACTGAAAATCCAAGACCAAGGCAATCACAAAGGGAAAAAAGGAGGGCTTGGGAACCAGTTTTAATAAGCCAATTTACAAGAAGGGAGGGGGTGGTGGGGGAGGGGTGGAAGGAGAAAAGAGAATATCTGGATACATAACAACATAGTGCCCCTGAAGGGATTCTTTTATTTGAGCACGTGCACACATGCACACACAATTTTTCTGTGTGAAAGCTGGAAATACAACAAATGCAAAATTGAGGATTCTGTGACTGATATGATTACTGTAGTGTATATAAGTATAGTTCCTCCTTTTAAAGAAAAATGCTCACAACTTTTGTTTTCTTACCAGTAATAAATATTTTTCTATCACTCTATGCATTTCTACAATATTTAGCTGAATATACCTTTAATATTTAATTAAAAACATCTGAAAAAACTATATGCTAATGGTTTGACAAAGTGAATGCTTCCATTTTACAATGACTAATATTCTTAACACTTGGATCAGCCTGAAAATTTCCCCTTATTTTCTTGAGAGAATATAAACATTTTAAAAAGCAAGGTGGTATGACAAAGCACATTTTTATTTTGTTAAATACATGCCAACTAGAAATACTACAAATATTAATTTATCCTGTCACTGATTCATGTATACTGCAGGTAATCTGGCAGTCCAGGTCAGAGTCACCAAATTCAGATTAATGACCAGATGGTATTCCCTTCAGAGAGAACCCCTGCCATTTCCAATCACTAAGGCAACCACATCTCTTACTTCTTACATATTTCTATATTCTTCCTCTTCAGTCCTTAGATAAATTCACTCCATGTTCTTTTTAAATGATCCAATTCCTCTTTCTCCCAAGCTGGGCCACGTACCTTGGATGCTCACCCCTCACTTCTAACTCTATGTCTCCTTTCATCATTTAAGTAGCTCCTAAACCACTTCTAAAAAATGTAATCGCTTGAGATATGGTTCACAGAGCACACAGTTTACCCATTTAAAGTGTACAATTCAGTATTTTAGTATATTCACAGATATACACAACACCACCAAAATCAATTTTAGAGCATTTCTATCACCCCAAAAAGAAACCCCATACCCATTAGCAGTGACCCTCTCACTCTTCTCATTCTCCCCTCCCAGCCCTAGGCCATCCCAAATATATTTTCTGTCTTTATAGATCTGCCAGTCCTGGACATTTCATGTAACTGGAATCATCCAATATGTGGTCTTTTTGACTGGCTCCTTTTGCTTAGCATGTTTTCAAAGTTCATTCATGTTGTAGTATGTAATGGTACTACTTTTTTTTATTGCTGAGTAATATTCCATTATATGGATATACTAGATTTTATCAGATAAATGTTTAGTTATGAATAATGCTGCTATGAATACTCACATACAAGCTTTCATGTGGACATATGTTTTTCATTGCTTGTAGGTGTATACTTGGTGGAATAGCTGGGTTATATGGTAACTCTATGCTTAACCTCTTTGAGGAACATTCTTACCAGCAGTGCATACAGGTTCCAATTTCTCCACATCTGCACCAGCGCTTGTCATTACCTGACTTTTTGATGATAGCCATTCTAGCAGGTATGCAATGAGTGGTATCTCACTATTGGTTCTGACTTGCATTTCTCTGATGACTAATGATGTTGAGTACCTCTTCTTATACTTGTTGGCCATTTGAACTTTACTTATTTTTGAATGTTTTCACTCTTATCATATCCTGTCTAAATATAAACTCCAGCAATATGAAAACACTTGAGCCCACTAAAATGAAAAGACACTGAAAAATTTTTTTTTGTTGATAAGGTATTTGTGAAGCATGTACGTATAAGCCTCTATGCCATTGGCTGTGAGATTTAAAAGCATAAGATAATGTTCCTTCCCTCAAAAATCTTACAATAAGTTTTACAACACAGAAACAATTATTCTTAAATCTTAGTGTGGCAGATCATTCGTTAATAGTTTCTGTTTATTTCTGTTAGTATCTACTTTGGATCACAAATGCTTCTCAGCCAAGGGGGTGTACCTCTGTTTAAATCAATGTGTATAGTATTTAACAATGTAAAGAACAAGAAGTATAAGATAGCACTGAAGTTAATCTTCCTTCTCCCAAGTGACTTTTAGCATAAATTATTTTCAGCTAAAAAAGAAGAACTATTTTAAGAGATAAATTTAAATGCCTAGAAAAAGTCTCACATTCTAATAGTTTTTATAATTAATATGCTGACATAAAGTTTTTTTGTGTGCATAATATATGTAGATGTTGGGGGTAATTATTTCTGTTTCAGCAACTTTAGATATATACGTTTACTTATTTATGAAAACATTGGAGGAATCATGATATATGTAGATAATTATTTCTGTTTCAGCAACTTTAGATATATACGTTTACTTACTTAAGAAAATATTGCAGGAATCAGAGAAAGGGAAAATACACTCACCTCTCTAACTTCACCCTTAGTATAAGCTAAGACTCCAATTACTAGGAATGATGGTTTATGAAAAGCTGATTTAAAAATCCTTCCACAGTACACATATGTTGCAAATCTTCAAGACTATTATAGGTTATGTTTCTTTTCATTATTTTAGAAGTTAAAAAAAAACTCCAGAAAAACCAAGACAAGTCATTTACTTTTAAGTGCAAAATACACGCACATATATAACTGTTAAATTAAAAATTAGATTCACCAGTTTAAGAGTAAATATTTTCCTTACAGATTAGTTTCTATCTCTAACTTTAAATATGAGATTCTCATACAGACATTAAGATGCTTTTCAAGTCAGTGCTTAACTGCTTTGTACCTGCCTTTGATTGGCATTTTTCAAGGTTACAGCATGCAGAATCAATCAAGAGAACTCATGTCTTGTGACACAGCCAAACATGCTCTGGCAGCCTCTACATAATTAACATATTTAACCAACCTTCATAGGTTGGTTTTAAATTTGTTAACCTACCAAAATCACAAGTCTCTAATAGCCACATCAGTAAAAATGCAAACACAGGAATCAAGATCCTGGCTATAAATTCACTCCTCAAAAGTGCCACATGACCCAAGAAAAATAACTCAAGATCATCTGTTAAAAATAGTTTTTTAACTGCCCAAAGAAAATAAACTTAAATATCCCCATAAACAAATTTTTAGGAAAACCCATGAAATTATAAATGAAACATATGGGAACATATTCAATGCCTTCTCTATTAATATCATAATCTCCCTTGGCAGTTGGAGGTAGTAGGGATATGTAATATGGTGGAAAACTTACAAAACAACAAAATACAATGCTAATTGTTGTATTCCACACAGAAACTGTGGGATTTTGATTTCTTCAGAAAAGGAATGGAAAAATTCTGTTGATAAAATAATTTACCTTAAACAGAAGTCAAGACTGGACGACCTTTCAAAATCCTTTCAACAACAGAATTTTATGTTTATGATAACCTGCTTATTTAAAGATTGTATCATTATATGCGATTTACTGAAAAACTCTTTGTTAAAATATTCCTTATTAGTAGTATTATTTTACCTGAGGAGGTGCCTTTTTCAGTAAAACGAGAAGAGCCTGTAATACAAGATTTGAAAATCGAGGGCCAATAGGGACGTAATCTGGAAAAGAAACATTATTATGTTTAGGGATTTGATACACATGTACATATTCCAAACATTCAGTTTTTGTTTTTTTTTTTTGCATCAAAAGTAAACACAGTCCCTACATAAGCAGAATATGTATAGAATAAGAAAAAAAAAATTTAAAGAGTAAACAGTCTTAAATAACAGTCATAAAACTATTTATAATAAGAAAAAATATCTCTAATAACCTAAATGCTTAAAATATAAGAACTCTTATCTGTAACTTTTTTTTTGAGACAGGGTCTTGCTATGTTGCCCAGGCTTGTCTTGAACTCCTGGGCTCAAGCAACCCTCCTGCCTAAGCCTCCCAGGTAGCTGGGATTATAGGTTGCCATAATCCCACTGTACTCGGCTCTATAAATTTTTTGAAAAAGCTTCTAAATATTCACTTTGAGTTCATGTAGATGTTTTTTCTGGGATTATTTTGGAAGGAAAAAAAAATTCCAGGTGTATTTACCAAGCATTTCTAAGAAGTTACTGCAAACCATGGCCATTCAGTACACTGATATTAAAACATGATGTTAGAAAATGGGCAAAGGGGAAAATAAGGAATTTCAATAAAACGGAAACAATGGCAGAACCACTAAGATTGGCCCTCAGATGGTAAGGAACAGATAACTTTCTAAGAGAACATCTGACCTGTTAAACATTTACCAATAATTCAAGATTCAGCGTAAATGCCACCTGCTTAGCTTTCTCTGCATACTGCATATGCACCTCTGCCCTGGGCTTAGAGCTACTCGCAGGCCCCCTGAGGTCAAAACTGATCCCTCCATTTTCAGACTATCCACCTGATGAGAACAGTGGGAGGGAAAATAAAAATAAAAAAAAAAACAGAATATCCAAAATACATGGCACATTCTACTTTGCATTAACATTTGCCAACATATGTTATAAAGACAGGCAGCAGCGTCTTTTTCTGAGACTCTAATACTTCTACCAGAGGAGGAAGGGCTCAGCAAGTGCTTATTGAATAAATGAGCAAGCATGCACAGATGATAACTATTCATACCAGTGAAATGTACTCAGAGGGCACACATTCCTGACATGGTAGTGTTGCTATGACCACACACCTCAATTGTGTTAAGATAAAGGAATTTACACAGAGCTATGAGTTTGTGCCTAAAAGCTTTTAAAGAAATCATCCCATAAACTGGGCTGAGATGTATCAAACCTAGCAGACCCAAAACCCACTATCAATTTATGGAGACCTCACAGATATACCTGCTTTGCTTTATAACAGACACTGCCAAAACTTAAAAAAATAAATAACAGAGGACCAAAAGCAGGTCTGAAAATCATGGGAAAAATGCAGTAAGAACAGTTAGCTTGAAATCACGACTACACCATTATGGACAGCTTAAAGAAGAAGGGATTATTCAGACACTGGGTAGTATTTTCAGATGTTATTAAGTCACCAGGTGGGTTTCCATTTCAATAGAGTGTATTACCCCTTCCTGAGCCATTGTTGTAATGAATTTATGTCAGACTGATTTAATTTTACAGTGAAATAAAATTAACAACTTTCTGGCCCTTCCTTGCAGTTTATTTCTTATGAGTTAAGTGCCAGGACCAAGTCTTCTTCATGTTTGTATTCTGTAGGAGTGCACTTCAACACAGGAGATATTTAATACATATTTTAAAAATTACTATACTGCACTTTTAACTTACAAAATTTTTTCAAGATTTATTATCCCATTTTTGTCTTCACAATTACTCTGTGGGATAAGCAAGAGAGGGATTATAGTCTCTGTTTTGTAAGAGCAGAAACTGAGGTGCAGAGAGCTTACAACTTCTGCCCTTAGTGTTTTAGTGAATTTGCAGATTTCTCTGTGATCCTAAACCCTTCTTTCATTAGTTCTGTCAAAGTTCACAAGTGAATTTCTGAGCTCAGAGGTCCTAAATAACAGATATACTCATCAATGAAAATTACTAATCATTTACTATGGCAAGGGCACACTGGAAGATACAAAATGAGACATGGGCCCTTACAAGAAAGCAGTTTATAATGGTGTTATAGTCACAGGGCATATTAAAATGAATACTATCATTGATGTCAGCTATTTAAGAGAGAACATTATATTTCCTTGTAAGACAAAGAAAGGTATTTCTATTGCTTTACAGTTTATAAATACTTGTTAATTTTCTCTTGTAACTTTTGAGATATTAGCTGTAATGTGGCAAAGATAATACAACAGCAGAAGTTAGGACTCACCAAGCAATCTCTCAATGTCATCCACAACCACACAACTGAGCTGGGATTTGTACGCATCATCAAAGATCTGAAAGAAAACAAAGTCATTTATTATCTCACTGTCCTCCACAGTTACGACAATTTCCAAGAAGTTTAGTTACTTCTTGAGCAATACTAAACAAAGCACAGGAAAACACCAACACTTTGGACTACAATAAATTAGAATTGACACACTGGATCACCGCTGAACAGAGAGCAGGCTAAGGCTGTTTTCAGCACTAACAGCTGTGTGTGTCACACCTGGGCAGGCTGGGGACTAGCTGATCATTAATCAACTGACACATCCCATCACTTCTATCACACTGGTCTCTGGTATCTGTGTCAGGAGCAGGACTTTAGTGTAATGACTCAAGAGCTAGATGGAGCCACAAGAGATGTGTAAAATAAAACTAGATGCCATTTTATTATCTATAAGAATTGTGGCTCTGTTAAGCAAAAGTAACACTGAAAGATCAGAATTCTGTCAACTCAAATCAGACCATAATGGTAAAAGAGCTTACAAAAGAATTAAAGGTTGAGTATGAAGGATCAGATAGATGTACGTATAAAACCAGACAAAAGATATGAATGCACTGTCTTAAGATGGTCAAGAAAATGAGAATGAAATTAAGCAGTGAAGGAACGGTTTTAGCCTGGCAAGGATGTAGTAATTTCAAATCAGATAGAAGAATTAGCTTATCTGCAAGTTGAATAGAAGTACTCAAGGCCTTGAGACTAGCCTTTTTGGAAATGAAGGTACTATTCCAGAGACTACAGGTGGGGCTCAGGAAATCTCATCAGTGTCATGAGTAAGAATTAGTTTCTGCATCCCAGCCCACTCTCTCTGGTTGGTAACCAACCTCAGCACACCAAGATAGTAAACCCGATCCCCACCCGCACCAACATCTTGCTTGGAATGGCATATATTCCTTCCTGGGTATCTTTTAACCATTGAAGACTTATAATTAGGTACAGAAATAAAGTCAAACTCATGATATTAACCATTTTTCATGTTAGGTTTAAAAACAACCTGTGTATACTTGGTTTTTAAAGTATTCCTAACAATTAAGTTACCATAATAGAGTCTCACTGTGACCATCTTGATTCAGTTCCTTCCTTACCTCTTTCCTGGCATAAATACTGACAATTTCTCCAGATATTTAATCAGGTCAACCCCTCTGGTGAAAACGTTTTCCTATGCACCATCCCTTTACCCCCTAATTACCCTCCCACACTCTGTCTAAACCCCATCTATCCTTTCGTCCTAAGCTATCTGTCTCCCCACTGGACTGTGAGGTGGATAAAAGCTTTATTCTGTTCATGTTATGTGTAGTGCCCAGCACAGAACAGAATTCAGTAATGATGTCTGCTCTGTAGGTTCAATGGTTGAAACAACACAAGTTCCAATTCCATCTTGCCATAAATCACTTGTCTTCTCCTTTGGCACAGGATTTTGTATATTACGTATATATATTATTGATTCATTGTACTATTTTTGTATTATACTAGATTGCAAGCCCTCAGATGGCAAGTGCTGTCTTAATTACCTCTGTATCCTCATATCATTTAATATAATGCCTTATTAGAGAGTAATTAAGAAGTATTTACTAAAAGAATAAATTTACACATTTTAAATTCAAGTAGAAATATTAAGTGAGAAGTTGGAGATATCTGATTGAAGTCAGGGAATGGAAATCACTCTCAGGGCAGTGACTGCTGAAACCATGACAGAGGAAGCCATCTTCAAGAAGAAATGGCAGAAGAAGAAGAAAAAAAGGCCTAAGGATTGAGTCTTGGAGTGCTGCCTTATTCATTCACTCACTCAACAAATATTTTTGAATTCTTATTATGTATCAAGCATTAATGAAGGCACTGCAGAGGATAATAAATAAGACAAAAATAATCCTACTTTCACAAAAGTTAGAGTTGGGGAAGCAAGTCACATGTAATTATAACAAAGCATGACATTATTAGGCTAGGGGAAATACAAGATGATACGGGGGCACAGGGTAGGCAGTATTTCCCCAGTGCCTTGGAAGTTAGGCATAACTATGGGGCTTGCTTTGGTTAATGAAATATGAGGGGAAATACACCCCTTTCTGAAAGAAGCCTTAGGAGTCACTGCATGATTCACCATACTCCTTTCCCTGCCTTGGCTATCATGGAATCAGATGTAAGGCGGGGCCTCTATTATCTATTAGCTTGAGTCTCTGAGAAAATATAATGAACAGAACTCACTGTCTGAGCCATGACGGAGATATAGTAGTGTAAATAAAAAATAAACTTTGTTGTGTTAAGCCACTGAGATTTTCGGGTTGTCCTTTCATGCAGCATAACTCAGCCTATCTTGACTCTTAAATGGACTTAGGGAGTCAGGACAGTTTCCTAAATTTAGGAAGTGACACTTAACCTGAGACTTGAAGCATGAACAACAGTTAACCAGTGGAAAGGGTGGAAGAAAGTGTTCTAAGCAGAATATACTGAAAATTAGGAGACACAGAGATGTGAACATTCAGGAACACTGCAGGAACGGTCAATAAGAATTAAAATAAAGTGGTGTTGGTGTCAATGCAGTGGAGTGGTAGGTGAGATGAATTAGAAGAGGTGATGAAGGAACTTGGACGTAAAGAGTCTTACAAATTTCATGAGTTAAAATTTTACTGTAAAGGCAATAACAAGCCACTAAAGGGTTATAAGCAATGGACTGACATGTCAGGCTTATGTTTTAGAAACATTTTCCTGATTGTATAGAAAAGCATTAGAGGGGAATAATAGTTAATTGAGATTGTGGAGTTCTAGGTGAGAAATGATGGTGGCCAGGGAGTGGGTGTGCTGGTAAGTGGACAGAATCTAGAGATGTTTAGGAGGAGGAACTGAAAGAACTTGGTGAATGAATGGGTGTGGTGATGAAAGAGAAAACTGGAGTCAAGGATCTGTCCTGATTTGGCAACTGAAATAAAACACAGAGGTGAAGCTGGTTTGAAAATGGATCATGAGTACATTTAAAGAGCAAGAAGGGAAGGGCCTTTTATCTTCTCCTCCCCAAACACAGAAAAAGAGAAAATGAGAATAGGATATTTATTTCAGTCTCTTGATACACAATGATGGTTCCTTTTGGCTTTGAGTTGGTACATTCGAGACAACTGAAAAGCTCAGAAGCAGTTCTACAGCGGTTCTTTGCTACTTTTTTTGAAGATGGAACCGCAGCCAATGTGGTATCTTATAAACTCAGGTAATTTTAAGGAATCACTGAAAATAATGCTTTGCTTTTCAAAACATTTTTCAGAATTCTACTAAAAGCTCTGATGCCAGCATATAACTCTGACCATCAGGCTGTGAGATCATGGATTAGAGCCACAGGGACCTGGAACACCACAGCCTGGCTGGTTGCAGTAGTTCTATGTTTTTCCTTCTCAAAACAATGTACAGCTTATATGGCTGCAAGGACCTTACTCAGGACATTGCTTAGGTCTAAACTAATGATGACTTGCTACATGGTATGTAGTCTCACCAACTTATCTCAGACACTGTAATTCACAAAGCATTCCAAATCACTTCACAGTTGACTGCATGGCCTACACATAACATTTGAGAGGAAAAATACCTGCAGCAGTCACTTAATATCAAGTAGTGACGTTCTTGTTTTTTGCAGTCGGTCTCTGTGCTAATTACTATCAGAGGGAGAGGTGCACTCACAGCAAGCTCTATTAACACACCGACCATGACGAAGGCTGTGCAATTCCAGTTGTAACTTGACTAGTTTCAGGTAACCAGTCAACTGAAACTCCTCCGGGTAGCTACTCTGCTCTAATTTAAATACATACATACACACACATCCCTTTCTCTTCTCACATGTACATTTTCTTCCTTATCTAGTCACTAGTGTAACCTGTGCTCATAACTCTTCCCAGGATCCATGATTTCTGCCTAGTCTCCTCAGTCCCTTAGTCCCTTTCACCCTTTCTGGCCCAGGCCCCAGCAGAATTCTCACTAAGAAGATACTCAGAGTTGGCTGGCAAGTACGTGAGGTTAGCTGCCACAGGAAAATCCAAGTGAGATATTTACATACTAAGCCGGGAAGCTGCACCACAACTTTAGGTAGATAAATCCCAGCAGGAGGAGAGGTACTGGAAAGAAAGATGCGAGAAAAGTAAAATTGTACAAACTGCCCTAGCCAGACTAGTACAACTGAAGTGCCAAACTCACCGTGAGTTATAGCACACAGCAGGTCACACAGTGCTTGCTCTAGATCCAAAGATGCCCCAACACAGAAGATGCCAGGAGGACTGAGGCTGGAGGTAAGAAGGTAAGAACCGTATCTTACAGACTCCCCCCAAAATTAATCTTAAGAATGTAGGGATTTTGACGTGCTCTCGCGAGATTTGGGTCTCTTCCTAAGCAGGCGCTGCAAGTTCTCCCAGGAGAAAGCCATGTTCAGTTCGAGCGCCAAGATCGTGAAGCCCAATGGCGAGAAGCCGGACGAGTTCGAGTCCGGCCATCTCCCAGGCTCTTCTGGAGCTGGAGATGAACTCGGACCTCAAGGCTCAGCTCAGGGAGCTGAATATTACGGCAGCCAAGGAAACTGAAGTTGGTGGTGGTCGGAAAGCTATCATAATCTTTGTTCCCGTTCCTCAACTGAAATCTTTCCAGAAAATCCAAGTCCGGCTAGTACGCGAATTGGAGAAAAAGTTCAGTGGGAAGCATGTCGTCTTTATCGCTCAGAGGAGAATTCTGCCTAAGCCAACTCAAAAAAGCCGTACAAAAAATAAGCAAAAGTGTCCCAGGAGCCGTACTCTGACAGCTGTGCACGATGCCTTCCTTGAGGACTTGGTCTTCCCAAGCGAAATTGTGGGCAAGAGAATCCCCGTCAAACTAGATAGCAGCCGGCTCATAAAGGTTCATTTGGACAAAGCACAGCAGAACAATGTGGAACACAAGGTTGAAACTTTTTCTGGTGTCTATAAGAAGCTCACGGGCAAGGATGTTAATTTTGAATTCCCAGAGTTTCAATTGTAAACAAAAATGGCTAAATAAAAAGTATATATTCACACACACACAGAAAAAGAATGTATAGTCAGCCCAGTTCTATTATGAAGTTTCCTGTAGAACAGGTAAAATTATCAACATACATATATAGGGTCTTAAAGTTAGGAGGGAAGTCTGAAAGAGAAGGCTAAAGAAAAAACAGGAAGAACTGAAGAAGGAAACAATGTGGGAAAGAGTGGCATCAGTCAGCCTGTGTCTCATGAAATAACGGGAAGTCTACTCTAAAGGAAGGAAGAGCAGCTCTAGAAAACACAGAAGCCCGTTATGTCCACCTGTGCACATAATGAGATTGTCATATTAAACTGTAACCTCTCTTGCATGCAAAGGTGGAGGTACGACACAGGCTGGAGGGGTATGAGAGACAACCCAGAGTGTGGGGAGCCTGGGCTTAAGGCAAGAGTGTGCCACATGCACTCCGTGAGCACTGAGGGACAGGAGAAGCGGGGCTCTGCCACGCAGGGATTAGGGGCAGGTCTGAATGTGGTGCTCAAGGACACGGCAAGCTCTTAAGTCCCAGAGCCCACTCCTGGGATCTTCAGACAACTGGGGAGCCACCTGTGTGTGGGACAGGGGCAGCAGCTACGGGCTCCAGAGTCTACACAAGTGCAAATGGGAGCACACCAGCATTAGTTCCATTAATCCCAGCCTTTCGGGATCACAAGCCACAACAAGCATGCTCTCAGGAGATTCAGCCCTCCATCCTCTGGGACCTCCTTAGTGCCCTTAGGTAAGCAAAGCCAAACACTCTGGTTCTTCTGGGAGCTGAAAGAGTTCATCTCAGTTCTGAAGTACTTGGCGTGAAGTACCTAGTTAGTAGAAATCTGATGACTGTAGGAATCTCATAGCTTAGAAAATCCCTAATGCAGTAAATCTGTCAGCGATTAGTTAAAAGCATACTCTAATCATATTTGGTAGCATATAAAAACGTAAATGAGCAAATTCAAATGGGTGCTATCAGTAATAATCTCGTTTCTAAAAATAACTTGGGAGTAGACCAAGCAAACATTAGCTGTCTGCTAATGAAACTGCCTCAGGAAGTGGACCTAAACTTTTGGCAAAGCTCTAAAGCTTCCTGGAATGACCTTAAAATCCTTTATTTGTTCTCCCTGCTTTTCAGGAAAAAATCTTACATTTTCTCATATCGTGAGCCACAGAGAAGGGTATTCTTAATAATATAAAAAGTCACAAGGTCTGAAAGTTCTGCACCAGCCTCCTTTCTACGCCAAAGAGATACAAATGCCAAAAGACACAGTGTATTGAACAAAACAACAACAAATGCCCACCTCCCCAGCCATACAGGGACCTGTAGTCACTTCCGGAGTGCCCACTTCTCTCAGCTAATATATGCAAAAACTTCAACAAATCAGCTACATTATATATTAGGATGTTAACCAAAAACATCCAAATTCTGTTGCTTAGTAACTGCTGTCAAAAGATCCAATTTCCAGCTCTGCTCTTTGTATAGACTAAACCATGAAAAGAGGAGGATTAGGCATCACGATTCTGTTCTGTGCAGACTACAATTTGCAGTGGGATTTACAGGAGGATATTCAAAGAAGATTATTTCTTTCGTGCAAAGCTAGTGGAAAGGAAAATTTCTTCCATTAATTTTCAATCCTTTGAAAATAAGACTATATCATGTTATTAATGGGTACAGTTTTATAAATCACTGGTAGTTTTACTTAATTTTGTTCAAACAATTTAGTTCTATCTGATTGTTCTACTTCATCTCTACTGATTGTATACTCAGAAAGCATCAAGATTAGGTAATTAGTTAAAATCAAATTCTGCTTTCTTCTTTTGTTCATTTAATGGCACGAATAGAACTAGTAAAATAGATTTTTAAACAAGTATTGATGCAAAAATGGATAAAGGAATTAAAATTTAAAAATAGAATGAAGTTTGGGAAGCAAACGTAAAATAGGGGAGAAGGGGAAGGTCTGTGAATACTTCAAACATCTTAATGGAACATATGGTATACCCCCCAGAACGTGAGGACAATACCTCATACATACTTCAGCAGTTTTGAGGAGTTTATCCATGGAGAAAGGATTCACTAATAAGCAAATTAAGAGAAGTACAAGGTGAATTTTAAATTAATTGAGAATAAACTACTTTCACGTATTTTAGCACCATCCATTTGTGAAAAAGAGGCAATAGTATAATTATAATAAAATCTCATGTACTCATTAAAGCAAGCCTAACAGCCCTCTCTACTAAAACTCTTACCTGTTGGTTTAAGTAATAAAGTGGTAGGTAAAGATGCTCTATGAATTAACTAATTCAGACCACACATCTTTAACAAAAATTAATGTGTTACATATTTTTCAGTTTCACAGACTATTGTCATTGCAAAACATTTTGAAAAATCTTAAATTTGAGCATTTAGTCATTGAAATGTAGCTAAAGAAATAACTAAATGCCAACCTTCTGCTTATCCAACTGGCAAAAAATATTTTAATAATATCAAGTACGGGTGAGAATCCCAAGAAACTCATACTCTTATATGGTGAAGCTACAAGTGTAAATTAGTACAACATTCTGAAGGCGTAGGCTTTATAAAACCAAGAGCATTTTTTACCTAAGAGTTTTGATAGCACTATGTATCAAAAATCTTTACAATACTAATATTTTTACCTTAGCAATCCCACTTCTGAGAATTTGTCATAAGGAAATAATAAAAAATGTATGTATAATAATAAGTAAAAATAACCACTACACTTCATTGATTTCATATTATATCCCAGGCACTGTGACACTTTACAGAAATTACCATCTAATTCTCATAACCCTATAATGCAGCTATTAATATTATCTTCATTTGACAGATGAGAAAACAGTGGCTTATAGGTTAAATGACATATCCAAGGTCATTCGGCCGGTCAGTGTGGAGAGCTGAGCAAGCCCAAATTCTCGGTCATGTTATACTACTCTAGTGAAGAAAAATCTAATGAGAAAATGGGGGCAGTAATTTCCCTAGTTTGGTAGTCCTATGGAATACTGTTTTTATATAAATTTTAAATTTTTAGTTATGGCTACATAATAGTTATACATATTTATGGAGTACATGCACCATTTTGATACAAGTATAAAACATGTAACGATCAAATAAGGGTAGTTGTGAAACTCATTAAGCATGTATCATTTCTTTTTGTTAGGAATATTCAATTTCCACTCTTGTAGTTATTTTGATCTATACATAATTTTTTTTTTTTAATCAGCTTTCACTGAGCTTCAGGTGGGGCTGGCCCGGCATGGCCAGTATGGCAGGGTGCCCTCGAGGGCCAGTCTGTGGCATGACAAGAAATGCAGGGGTGCACGTGTTGGGGCTGCCCTTTGGCACTCACTGGGGTGGGTCAGGGGAGAGCAAACACCAAGGTTCTCTGGAGACCGGAACCAGCCAGTGCAGCCATTTGGCTTCTCCCTCAGGACCAGCTGTCAGTCCCCAGGCCCTGAGGTGGTGCCTGCATCCTAGGTCTGTGGGGCATTACTGGTGTCACTCTGAGGGAGAAAGATGGCCAGCTGCTCAATCAGGATGATGAGCAGGCTACCACCCACCACTAGCCCCAAGTAGATCTGGCAATGGATGTTCTCCCAGCACTTCTTCTGGGCCAGGGTCTTTGTTGTCTTGCTGAAGGCTGAGCTCATATCCAGGAGTTGGTCTGAACGCTGCTCCAGTTCGGTCAGCTTTCCATCATGCTCCAGGACCTTGTCAAAGTTGTTAAGCGTGATTTCCGTCACCTTGTTCGCTTGCCGCTGGCACTGCTCCAACTCTTTCCCTGCCACCGCCACTGCCACCAGGCCCACTCCCCGAACGACACATTATTTTATTTTATTTTTTAGATGGAGTCTTGCTCTGTCGCCCAGGCTGGAGTGCAGTGGTGTGCTCTCAGCTCACTGCAACCTCTGCCTCCCGGGTTCAAGCGATTCTCCTGCCTCAGCCTCCTGAGTAGCTGGCATTACAGGGCACATGCCATCATGCCTGGCTAATTTTTGTATTTTTAGTAGAGACGGGGTTTCACCATGTTAGTCAGGCTGGTCTCGAACTCCTGACCTCATGATCCCCCCACCTCAGCCTCCCAAAGTGCTGGGATTACAGGCATGAACCACTGTGCCTGGCCCATGATTTTTAAGTATAGTTAATTTATTGTGCTGTCCAACACTAGATCTTATTACTTCTATTTAATGGTATTTTTGTTACCACTACCCTTCCCAGCCTCTGATAACCATCATTCTAACTCTACCTCCCTGAGTTCAATTGTTTAGTTCCCATATATGAATGAGGACATGTGATATTTGACTTTCTGTGCCTGGCTTCTTTCACTTAACATGAGGTCTTCCAGGTCCTTCATCCATGTTGTTGCAAATGACAAGGATTTCATTCTTTTTAAATGGCTGTGTTACAGTCCACAGTGTATATGTGTCACATTTTCTTTATCCATTCATCCACTGAGGGACATTCAGGTTGATTCCATTCCACTACTGTGAATACTGCTGCAATGAACTTGGGAGTATAGATAACTCTTTGATATATATTATTTATAATTGTGAAAAAAACCTGGAAACAACCTAATTGTCCAACAAAAAGGGATTGTTCAGATATTAGACAGCTATTAATTTAAAATAATGTTCAGATTAGCTTTAGTTACACTGAAAAAAGTTCATAATATTTTAAGTGAAAAAAGCAAGTTTACATCAGTATGTTTCAATGTAATCCCCAATATATAAGGGAGGGGGTATATGTGTTCATGTGTACACATGTGTCTGAGTAGAAAAGAGAATTGAAGGACAAATATGAATTTATTGTTATTTTCTTCTGTTCTTTCTTGTATTTTCTAAATTATTTCTGTAATTAGAAAAAGCTACCTTAATTTTTGCACTTACAACAACAAAAGAAAGGTTTTCTCCAGAATTATAAAACTCTATAAATTATTTGTGCTCTGAAAAAAAATTAAAACATCTTCTTTCCATCCTCACACTAAAAATGGAGGTGCAGGCCGGGCGCGGTGGCTCATGCCTGTAATTCCAGCACTTCGGGAGGCTGAGGCGTGCGGATCATGAGGTCAGGAGATCAAGACCATCCTGGCTAACACGGTGAAACCCCATCTCTACTAAAAATACAAAAAAATTAGCCAGGCATGGTGGCGGGTGCCTGTAGTCCCAGCTACTTGGGAGGCTGAGGCAGGAGAATGGCATGAACCCGGGAGGTGGAGCTTGCAGTGAGCTGAGATCACGCCACTGTACTCCAGCCTGGGCGACAGAGCAAGACTCCATCTCAAAAAAAAAAAAAAGGAGGGGCAAGAACAGTAGTGGGAGGTAGACTAGAACTTATACTAAAGAATGACATTTACATTTCATTTTCAAAAACAACCTGGAAGACTTAGCATCTTTAGACTGGTTTGACCCCTCAGGCTTTTGTCAACCTATCATTAGGTAACAATGTGAAAACTATTTGCAGGGAAATATTTTGTAATATTTCTAATATATTTCTAAGAAACCTATGCTTCATTCCTTTCTCTTTTCTGAACTTTAATGACAAAGAATAATATTTTTCCCCCAAGGAAAACCAAAAATTCTAATATAAATTTGTTATACTGCTGAAGCAGAAATAATTTTTATAATTTTAAGAGTGCACGGATGATCCGGACAGTGAATCATGAATTAAAACAATTTTGAATAAGCTTGTATGGACACTTATTTTTATACTCCCTAGCTTTCTACTCATCTGAAACTCTACCTTGAAAGGCTTCAACAATTTGAAGATTAAATAATAAGTTATTAAACCATTAATTTAACCATTTAAGCCTCTAAAATCAGCACATATTACCTTCCCCCTTCAAGTCAATTTGCAAGAGATTAAAATAATAAAAATGATAATATCTCACACTTACAAAGTAGCTTTGATCTGCAGAAGCCTGAAGTACTTTTTAAAAACTTTATAGAAAAACTAGGACCATCCACCCACATCTCAGAGTACATCTGAGGTAGAAGCTGGCAGCTGGTGGAAAGCAATGGAGTAATTTACCATCTGCAAAGATGACTACTACTTTTGAAAAAGCACAGGAATAGATGATTTAGGAGAATGCAAATAGAATTAGCTATTCAATAAATAAATGGGACATTCAACAGCTACAGATTTCAAGGGCTGTTATTTAAATTTTTACCAGAAGAAGTGGGTTAAGGGTTCCCATCAGAGGGAAAACGAAAAACAAAGAAAAACAGCCCTACCTACTCTAGGGAAATCACTGGTCCCAGTTATTCTATTCAGATTTTCCTGGGAAGGACAGATACTATTGGTTTCACCTCAGAGACAGAATAAACTATGATATTATAAGTTCTTTTTGCATCTGGCAATATTTCCTTTTCACACTCAATTTCAAACATTTTTATGTATTTCTCTGGACTCTTCAATGTGTATGCCTGGAATCCTGCTACAAGTTCGGCTTCCTCCATCCATCTGAAGTACCCTGTGCAATTTTCTGCCACCTGCACAAACAAGAGACTAGCTTCTCAAGCTTACATTTTTTGGGAGTCATCTTTTAAATCTATTTCTCTTCTTCAGTCTCTTTCCCAAAGAAACACCGAAGAATTCTACAATACATCTTTATAAAGCGAATGCCTAAGAGCAATGTAAAAGAAAACCCTGAGCTGTCTTTACTAGGGAGCACTTCAATTCTCAAGATTCTTTCACCTCATTCTGATTTTCCCACATCTCTTGGACTTACGGTCAGTTCATATCTATAAAAGATCAAGCATGAAAAAAAGAATTTAAATAAAAGAAATACTTCAGCTGGATACAAAAAATAATTTCTTGACTGGCAGTATGCAAAATTAGAATAGCAATGGAAACATGATCTAACAAGTAAGATGGAACAGCCATTTAGAGTCTTCATCATTGATTTTTGTTGTTGTTGTTGCATGGCACTTGCTTGAATGTAAGAGAGATGGACCAAATGGTCTTACAGTCTTTTCAGCTCTAGGATTCTATTCTATGCTGTTCTAACTTCACTGATGGTAGAAAGTGGCCATGTTAATTAAGAAGGTGACGAGTGGCACTTGGAGAAAGGAAGATGTATGAGAACTGCATTAAGTTACCAAGCAGATTCTGATTATTACCTAATATAAAACTATCCTTTTGTAGGGATTCCTGGGACTATTTTCCCATTGATACATCTCTGTCTTCCTCAACTTAATTGACCCCAAAGAGTTCAACTTTGTACAATAATGAAAGAACTTTAAAAAATCCTAAATGAATTTGTCCACTTTATTCAAACACTTTCAACTATAACTCTTTTAATCAAATTGATACAAAACTAGGCAATGAAACTTAATATGTATTAAACAAAGCATAATTTAGAAGGTAAAGGTACTCAATAAAATACATTACAAAGTTAGAAAATCTAAAACAGTCACTGCTTCCCCCATATTCTGCTGATAATTTGGTTCCACTTGAGAAGAACATAGTTGCTATGGGTTTATATGTATACATGTACAAAGGCATATATATGTGCACACACACACACATTTAAGAGATAGGAAATTAAAATGAAAGTAAAATCTTGATACCTTCTTCATGGCCTGACATTTGGCTGTTTCAGAAAAGCCAATCATTTTATCAGGAGAACAGATCTTGATGAACGGGAAGTTGGATTCCTCTGCAATTTTTGCAGCTAAAGCAGTCTTCCCACTGTGAGGAGGGCCTGCATAAAGATATGAGCAAGTCAGGGGAAAAAAGCCAACCTAAGCAAAGGGAAATAAAACAAGTTTAAACTTTTATCCAGAACATACTGAGGTCTCGACTAGTTGCTCATTAACATTTCCTGACACAATTTCACAGCAGACATGTTTTCTCTTATTTATTAGCAACTAAACTTAATGAACTAATTAGCATTTCTCAAAAGTATGGTGAAATACATGCCTCCTGACATTCTCACATATCCTTAATCTTTCAAACTTTTGGCAAAATATACAGAGTGTAAGGGTTTTGCTTCTTAAAAGAACGCATTCAAATGCATATTAGTACTTATGTTGTTAGTTCTATCAAATCATTTGTCTAACAAAAAAAGACAATCTTAAGAGCTGATATTGGGGGCAGGGGAAAACTGCCTTATTAGAAGCAAATGTGATGTAAAAAGTTAGAATTCTAAAGACTCAGGCCTTCTCATAAAGGCAAGCAAATCTACGAACTTACCTACATTTAGACATCCCTGCCTTCCCTTCCCTGTTTTGGAAGCTGTGTCCCTCGTTCAACCATAAACCAATCAAATCTTCCTTTCCATCTTCTCAGGAACATGACATTACTGATTGTTCCTTTCTCCCATATGTTCGACTTCTTCCTCTTCCCTGAAGCCTTTCCAAAAGTGTTTTAGCATGTTCTAGTCTATCTGACAGTTTAATACATAACAACAAAAAACTCTTTCTGAACATCATACCCCTCAAAACTGCACCTTCTTCTCCCTTCAAAATGGAACTTGCCTATGTAATTATTTACACTGGCTGCTTTTGTTCTTCACCTCCCACCCATCCTCACTAAATCTTACGGCTCCCATCCCCATTACACTGAACAGGCTCCCATCAAGGTCACAAATGATCTCCATGTCATCAAACCCAACAAACATTTTGGTATCTTTTTCAGCCTCTTAGGAGCATTTGATACAATTCATAATTCCCCTCTTTCTTAAAATATGTTTCTTTTCTTGGCTTCTGTAACACACATTCTCTCTTTCCCCTTTCCTCTCTGGTTACTCTTGCTCAGTCTCTTTTGTCAATTTTTCTGCTCTGTTTAGTCCTTACGTGTTAACATGCTTCAGAGACAAGTTCTAGGCCTCCTTTTCGTCTCAACCCACACCCTCACTGTAAGTGATTTCGTTCACTCCCATGGCTTCAACCACAGTCTATATACTGGCAACTCATGAGTCTACTGCTAGCCAGACCCACATATCCAACAGGCTGCTCAACATTTCCGATTTACTTCTCCTATATGACCCTTGAATTTAACATGTTCAAAACTGAACTCATCATCTTTCTTCCAGAAATCTGCTTTCCATTAGTGTTCCCAATCTTAGTAAACAGCACCATTTATCGGGCTATGTATGCCAGAACCCAGGGGGTCATGTTTGATACCTCTGCCCACATCCAATCTAACAAATATTTCTAGGCTTCAGCTTCCCCACCTACAAAATAGAGACAACAGCAGCATCTACCCTTGGAGGACTGAAGTGGGGTTTAAATAGATAATATGTGCACAGTGCTAGTAGAGTGACTGGCAAATAGCAAGGGCTCAAAAACTGCTAGCATAATTATGATTGACAATAATAATGAGGTCATTTTTATTCTATCTTCTAAATATTTCTAATTAGTCTACTTATCTCCATCTACACTACTCCACATACTTCAAACCACAATCGACTCTCATTAAGACTAATCCAACTGCTTCTAACCATTAGTCTCTTCTGTATCTTTTTGCCCCTCCAATCCATTCTCCATCATAAAGCAGTGATGATGATGTGGCTTCACTGCTTAAAATCCTACAAATGGCTTCCCATTGCCCCTAAGATAGTTTAAATCTTTAATATGGCCTACAGGGTTTTATATGAACTGGCTTCTATCTGCTTCTACAGTCTCATGTCAGGATAATCTCCCTTTCTCTTTCAAGCTCCTTCCTGCCCAGGACTTTTTCACATGCTCTGCCTCAAACATCCTCCCCAGTGACTTTGGCTGGCCAGAGTCTCCTCATTGGTCAAGTCATGGCTTAATATGTTTCTCCCAGGGAGCTCTCATCCCCCAGACCTTTAGAGGTAGTTAGGTTCCCTTGTCATGGGGCCTCACTGAACTTTTCTGCCGTCATACTAATTATAACTGTAAATTAATTATTTGTGAATGGAATGTCCTTCCCCTTTTGTCTGTCTACTCAATAAAATCCTAACTGGTCTTTCAAGGCCTAGATTAAATAGCATCTCTAGTTTTCCCTGACCACCCCTATGCTAAATGACTTGTATTCACACACACCTTTACACACATACACCGTAGTCAGGAATTTCTTTACACTGTCTTTGTTCATGACCAGACTGAATGAACACTTGAATGTCTTTGTATCCCCAGCAACTAGTTCAATGACTAAAATACAAGTACTCAGTAAGTATTTATTTAATTGAATTGAGGCTAAGTGGCATCATTCAGTGTATTAAGTGCCACAGAAATACAGATATAATCCTACAAGAAAACTAGTTGCTATCTTTCCTCACTAACATTCTACCCCAAGAAAATTTTAATTTGTACACAATATTGGTACATAGATTGGATTACTATTTTCAGATCAAGAACAAGGTTAAAAACGAAAAAGAATTCACTTTTCTAGAATGTGCTTACGGGCTTTTAAAAAATGCTGCTTTTTTTCCTTTAACTTTTAATGCCATCTCCTCATTCATTCTCACCTTCCAGAAGCACGCTGACCAATGGTGTGCGGTCACTGTTCTTAGTCTGCTGCACCAGCAGCTCCCCATCATCTAGAACTCGAGTAACTGGGTCACCCCATTTGATGATACCGTTCATAATGTAACTTGCATAATCTTCTTGGTTTGTGCCAAAGGCCTATTAAGAAAAAGGAGTCTAAAGCATTTTGAGCCTTAGTGTTAAAAACTAACAGTATAAAAGACGAGTTATAATTCGTACATGCTAAAGGTATTGATCACTATCCCATATTAATATAAAAAGCCTGGAAAGCAAAACAACTTGTATAATTTCTCATTTAACTTTTTTCCCAATAGGAAAAAAAAAGCTGCTTTGGGTGACTTAATGGAATAAAAACAATGGATTCTAGGCTGAGATTCCACCAGACTCAAACCCTCATAATTCCTGAGAGAAAGAATATGTTCCAATGTGCTTATTTTTATCAACAGTATGCAGTTTGAGGCTGTTCTGTTAAGAACAAAGGAAAAAAGAGATTATGGACTTAGAAACAGCGCAATAGACAAATATGCTACCTTAACACTGACTGCAGGTGCTATGGATTAACATGAGAATACGAAATGGTAATGAGAAGATCATGTTCACATCAACTTTGTGGTAGGGGACATAGTTAAATGGCACCAATGTTAAGTTTATATGTGTAAATATAAGATTTAGGATGAGATAGAAATGAGGAGCTGTAATAAGAAGGATATAAAAGCAATTATTTCAGATAATAATTCTATTTGTGTTCACTACATATTGGAGCTTAAATTGCACCCTTCTTCATTGTCAACTTTTAATCTCAAAGGTTATACCTCCCATCAAAACAGCTGCCAAAAGTAGTCAATAACTTTAGTATTTACAATTGAACTGGATTTTCATGAGGTTAACAGAATAAATAGGAAAACATAACCTACTACATGTAAAGATCATGTACATGTAAAGATCATGTATCTTGAGAATTTCAATTTTTTAAAGATCATCACATCCCTCAAAATTCAACTTTTGATTACCTGATGTATGGAATAGTTTTAATAGTTCTTTAGAACATGCACCTCACATAAAGCTGTTTTTGTAATACTGTCTTTGAAACAGTATCCAGTGATCTCATATCTCTATTACTTTGCCACAAAATAATTTTTCAGACCACTTTTTACGTAGTCTCTTTGCATATACTGGTCCTTTGATTCCTGAATACAGAGGAAGGTTCTCATTCTTTGGCCTAGATATGGCAAATTCAGTAGCAGTGTAAAAAGTAATGATGAAACTAATCCAAACTGGCTAAATGGCTGTTCTAAGAAATTTTCATGGCCGGGCGCAGTGACTCAAGCCTATAATCCCAGCACTTTGGGAGGCTGAGGCGGGTGGATCACCTGAGGTATGGAGTTCCAGACCAACCTGGCCAACGTGGTGAAACCCCATCTATACTAAAAATACAAAAATTAGCTGGGTGTGGTGGTGTGTGCCTGTAATCCCAGCTACTTGGGAGGCTGAGGTAGGAGAATTGCTTGAACCCGGGAGGCGGAGGTTGCAGTGAGCCGAGATCACGCCACTGCACTCCAGCCTGGGAGACACAGCAAGACTCCATCTCATTTAAAAAAAAAAAAAAATTATAGGCTGGCTTTTGTCTTTAATTTTTCCAGTTATATACTCCAAGCCTCACAGCAGAAGCTTTAAGATGCCTGAACCATAAAACAGTGACTCTCCCAAGATATATAACGTGTATATCTTCCTTACATATCCCATAATTTCATTTTTTTTTTATCCTCCAGACCCTTGGAATAAATAAAATTAAGTTTTTAGTTGTCACTTCCTCATGGCCAAATTACTTGTTGTTAAAAAAATCTTGGAGTTACTTTTGAAAATGATTATTTTATATTTAAAAGTCACAATAGTAATAAAAAGACAGGGCTAACCAAATTGGCTTTTGTCTTTAAAGGAGATACTTGGAACAAATAATTATTGTTAAGAATATATAACAGGCCAGGTGCAGTGGCTCATGCCTGTAATCCCAGCACTTTGGGAGGCCAAGGTGGGTGGATCACGAGGTCAGGAGATTGAGACCATCCTGGCCAACAAAGTGAAACCTCGTCTCTACTAAAAATACAAAAATTAGTCGGGCATGGTGGCGCAAGCCTGCAGTCCTAGCTACTCAGGAAGCTGAGGCAGGAGAATCACTTGAACCCAGGAGGCGGAGGTTGCAGTAAGCCAAAATTGCGCCACTGCACTCCAGCCTGGCAACAGAGCAAGACTCAGTCTCAAAAAAAAAAAAAAAAATATATATATATATATATATATATAAAATAAATGGTGGCCAAGTGCAGTGGCTCATGCCCATAATCCTAGCACACTGGGAGGCTGAGGTAGGTGGATCGCTTGAGGTCAGGAGTTTGAAACCAGCCTGGCCAACATGGTGAAACCCTGTCTCCACTAAAAATACAAAAAAATTAGCCGGGCATGGTGATGGGTGCCTACAATCCCAGCTACTGGGGAGGCTGAGGCAGGAGAATCACTTAAACCTGGGAGGCAGAGGTTGCAGTGAGCCGAGATTGTGCCACTGCACTCCAGCCTGGGTGACAGAGCAAGACTGTCTCAAAAAAAAAAAAAAAAAAAAGGATATGTAACAAATGGTTGATAAGCATATGAAAAGATACTTATCACCACTAATCATTACGAAAATACAAATCAAAACTAGAATGAGATGTCACTTCATATTCATTAGGATGGCTACTACCAAAAAAACAGAAAATAATTTGTTGGTGAGCATGTGGAGAAGTCAGAATTTTTGTGCACCACTGGTGGGAATGTAAAATGGTGCAGCCACCGTGGAAAACGGTATGGTGGTCCCTCAAAAAATTAAAAATAGAATTACTATATGATCCAGCAATTCCACTTCTGAGTATATACCCGAAAGAACTAAAAACAGGGTCTTGAAGAGATATCTGTACAGCCATGCTAATGACAGCATTACTCAAAATAGCCAAAACGTGGCAGAAGCCTGGCTGCCATTGACAGAGGAATGGATAACAACATGTGGTATGTACATATCATGGATTTTTTTTTTTTTTTTTTTTGAGACAGGGTCTTGCTCTGTCACCAGGCTGGCGTGCAGTGGCACAATCTCGGCTCACTGCAACCTCCACCTCCCGGATCCAAATGATTCTCATGTCTCAGCCTCCCGAGTAGCTGGGATTACAGGTGTGTGCCACCACTCCTGGCTAATTTTTGTATTTTTTAGTAGAGATGGGGTTTCACTATGTTGGCCAGGCTAGTTTTGAACTCCTGACTTCAGGTGACCCACCCACCTCAATCTCCAAAAGTGCTGGGATTACAGGCAAGAGCCACCACGCCTGGCCCATATAATGGAGTATTATCCAGCCTTAAAAAGGAAGAAAATTCTGACATGCTGCAAGATGGTTGACCCTTGAGGACATTATGCTACGTCAAATAAGCTAGTTACAAAAAGACAAATACTATGATTCCACTTACATGGGTACTTAAGATTACTGAAATTCATAAAGATGGACAGTAGAATGGTGGCTGCCAGGTGTTGTAGGGGAGGGAAAAAAGAGTTATTATTTAATGGGTATAGAGTTTCAGTTCAAGAAGAAGAAAAGAGTTTTAGAGATGGATGGTGGTGATGATTATACAACATTATGAATATACTTAATACCACTGAACTATACATTTGAAAATGATTACAATGGTAAACTTTATATGTATTTTAACACAATACAAAATTGAGAAAAAAAGAGTATATAAAGAACTTGTATCAATCAAATAAGCAGTACAACAGAAAAACAGGCAAAAGACTTGGACACTATTTCACACAATACATGCATATGGTCAATTAACATATGGAGAAATGCTTAAGTTCTCTAATAACTAAAATGCAAATCAAGACTGAAATGAGATCTCATTTTACACCTAACTGAATGGCAAAAATTAAATCTGAGGCTGGGTGCAGTGGCTCACGCCTGTAATCCCAGTACTTTGGAAAGCCGAGGCAGGCAGATCACCTGAGGTCAGGAGTTCGAGACCAGCCTAGCCAACATGGTGAAACCCCGTCTCTACTAAAAATACAAAAATCGGCCAAGCATGGTGGCAAGCACCTGTAATCCCAGCTACTCGGGAGGCTGAGGCAGGATAATTGCTTGAACCCGGGAGATGGAGGTTGCAGTGAGCTGAGATCACACCACTGCACTCCAACCTGGGCGACAGAGTGAGACTCCATCTCAAAAAAAATAAATAAATAAAAAATAAATCTGATAATACCAAGTGTTGGAGAGGATACAGAACAAGAGGATATGTTTCACAGTATTGGGGGCAGTGTTGGTTCAACCACTGGGAAATGTTTTTTTAAAGCGGGACATTCATATATCCAACAACCTAATAATTTTATTCCTAAATAAGAGAAATTCATTCAAGAATTCTTACGACAAATCTTTTTTTAATAACAAAATACTGGTAACATTCACAATTGACAGGAAAATAGATAAATTGTGGTACTCACACAATGGAATGCTATTCAGCATGAAAATGAATGATGTCTAGCTACAAGAAATCATATACATCAGCAGTCCCCAACCTTTGTGGCATCGGGGACCAGTTTTATAGAAGATAATTTTTCCATTGGGGGAGGAGGTGGTTTCGGGATGTTTCAAGTGCGTTACATTTTTTTTTTTTTTGAGACAGAGTCTCGTTCTGTCACCCAGGCTGGAGTGCAGTGGTGCGATCTTGGCTCACTGCAACCTCTGCCTCCTGGGTTCAAGCGATTCTCCTGCCTCAGCCTCGTGAGTAGCTGGGATTACAGGCACGTACCACTACATCCAGCTAATTTTTGTATTTTTAGTAGAGATGGGGTTTCACCATGTTGGTCAGGCTGGTCTCGAACTCCTGACCTCGTGATCCGCCCGCCTCAGCCTCCCAAAGTGCTAGGATTACAGACACGAGCCACCATGCCCAGCCCAAGCACATTACATTTATTGTGCACTTTATTTCTATTATTATTACATTGTAATATATAATGAACTAATTATACAACTCACCATAATGTAGCATCAGTGGGAGCCCTGAGCTTGTTTTCCTGCAACTATATGGTCCCATCTGGGGGTGATGGGAGACAGTGACAGATCATCAGGCATTAGATTCTCATAAGGAGTGTGCAATCTAGATCCCTCAGATATGCAGTTCACAATAGGGTTCATACTCATATGAGAATCTAATGTCACCACAGATCTGACAGGAGGTGGAGCTCAGGTGGTAACACGAGCAATAGGGAGTGGCTGTAAATACAGATGAGGCTCACTCACTTGCTGCTCACCTCCTGCTGTGTGGCCCAGTTCCTAACGGGCCATGGACCAGTACTGAGGGTTGGGGATCCCTGATATAGATGACTCTTGGTAATAAAATATTTAATAAATAGCAAGTCCCAGAAAACTACATATACCATATGTTATTTTACATGCCATGAAAATACAGACTAATAACAGTGTGTCATAAAGATTAAGATTAATCTTAATGGACCTGAGGTCCATTTAAGAAAGAAAAGCACACACTTCTTTAAGAACTGGGACTTTCTACAATTTGTTTTTGTATTAACACAGGACTCTAAACAAAAGTTACTCAAATGTTAGTAGTTGTTTTATAGGAAAATGGGTTAATAACCTTAAACTGTATTCTAAAGCTCCAACTATGACCATTTTGAGTGCGTTTTAAGAAAACTGACACTTTTTAAGTCTTAGAAACTATAGTAGTCAGAGAAACTAAATGTACTGAGCAAGAAAAAGGGATGCCTTGGAAGAGGCTGAGGAAAGGAAGAGAAAGAGAGAGAGAGAGAGAGACAGAGGAGGATATGAGAGTTAATTTTAAATATCCTAATAACTGACATATGGAAGATGGACTGAAGTTAGGTTTCTGTAGCTTGGGATTGTATAAGAACCAATAAGAAAATTAGTTCTAGTTCAATATAAAGTAAAACAATAACTGGAAAGTCTCAAAATTGAATGGCCTGCCTTACAAGATGGTAAGCTTCCTATCATGAAAATATTTCAGTAAATAATATCACCAGCCACTAGGATTATTGTACAGATGTTTCTCATACTGAACATTTCCAATACTAAAATTTTCTCATTTTATGAAACTGCATATGCTATAACCTTCCATAATACTGAGTAAATGGCACTTACTTTTCGCCTGAGTTATTATTATCATTACTTTTTGGCCTATATATCACTCAATGGGCATACTCACTGGTTTGATATCATTCTCCAAAGAAGCAAGGAAGTCTCCTCTCGTCACTTGCAGGCTTTCTGCTTTCTCCATGTCCACTTCCACTTTAGTACTGGCCTAAGAAGAGATAAAAACAAAATGTAAGGACTTCCAAGATTTAAGAATAGTTAAGAATATATTCAGTTTAAGAACGTAACTCTTGAGGATTTAAAAGCATATTTTCACACATAAAAAAATCTGAAATATTTGCAAACCATATATGTGATAAGGGATTAATATCCAGAATACATAGAGAACTGCCAAAATTGAACAACAAAAAACTAAATAAAAAATGGGCAAAGAACTTAAACAAACATTTCTCCAAAGAAGATATACAAATGGCCTTAAATAAGCACATGAAAAGATGTTCAACCTCACTAATCATTAGGGAAATGCAAATCCAAACTACAAAGAGATTTCACTTCATACTCATTAGGATGGCTACTACCACAAAAATGCAGAAAATAAGAAGTGTTGGTGAGGATGCGGAGAAATCAGAACCCTTATGCACTGTTGGTGGGAACATAAGTAAAATGGTTGAGTCACTGTGGAAAACAAAAATATGGTGGTTCCTCATAAAATTAAAAATAGAATTATCATATGATCCAGCAATTCCACTTCTGGGTATATACCCCCAAAGAACTGAAAACAGGGTCTTGAAGAGATATCTGTACAGCCTTGTTCATGACAGCATTACCCACAATAGCTAAAATGTGGAAGAAATCCATATGACCATTGACAGAGGAATGGATAAACAAAATGTGTTACGTACATACAATGGAATATTATTCAGCATTAAAAAGAAAGAAAATTCTGATATCCTGCAACATGACGAACCTTGAGGACCATATGCTAAGTTAAATAAGCAAATACTGTACAATCCACTTATATGAGGTTCCTGGAGTAGCTGATATCCAAGAGACAGAAAGTAAAATGGTGGCTGCCAGGGGATAGGGAGAGGAAGGAATGGGGAGTTACTGTTTATGGGTATGGAGTTTTAGTTTTACAAGATGAAAAGAGGTCTGGAGATGAATGGTAGTGATGGTTGCACAACATTAATAATGTATTTAATGCCACTGAATTGTACATTTAAAATGGTTACACGGTAAATTTTATGGTTTTCTGTTTTTTGTTTTTTTTTTTTTTTTTTTTTTTTGAGACGGAGTCTCACTCTGTCCCCCAGGCTGGAGTGCAGTGGCGCGATCTCGGACGCTGCAAGCTCCACCTCCCAGGTTCATGCCATTCTCCTGCCTCAGCCTCCCGAGTAGCTGGGACTACAGGTGCCCACCACCACGCCCGGCTAATTTTTTGTATTTTTACTAGAGACAGGGTTTCACCATATTAGCTAGGATGGTCTTGATCTCCTGACCTTGTGACCACCCGCCTCGGCCTCTCAAAGTGCTGGGATTACAGGCGTGAGCCACCACGCCCGGACAATTTTATGGGCATTTTAAAACAATTTTAAAAATTGGAATCAAAGAAAACACATCTCTCAAATTCACAAATATATATATCCTCTGAACAAGTCCACTTCTAGTAATTTATCCCCTAAATATATTCACAAATGTGTACAAAGTTATATGTACAAGTATATCTACTAAAGTAACTTGTTATGAAAAAAGATGGGAAGCATATTAATAATGTCTACCAAGAGGGGATCAGTTATGTAAATTAGAACACATCTGTACCAAGGGACACTGTATAGCCATTTTAACTCATGAGGCATGAGTAAGAAAAAATACATACAGAGAGTAAGAACAGTGAAAAATCCATACAAAAAGAAAATATATACAGAAATGAAAACACAGCCATACTTGGCTGCATATCAGAATAACCTCCAGAGCCTTCAGAGATATACAGGCGCTCAGTCCCATTCCCCACGGGATTTTGATTTAACAGGCCTATTAGAGGGTCTTTATAGTTTTACCAAGTACCACAGGTGATTCTGGTACTGAACCAGGCTTAAGAACCATTACTCTAGGAGACCAAGAACCTAAAACTTTCATTTGTATTAATACATTGTGCTTCAGAATCTATGTGCCAGCTCCAAATAGTCTGCTTACTGCACCTGGAGCTAGCATTTAGACATCTGGAGAAGCATCAAGGCCTTTATCAGCACTTGGAGCTGCCTGGACCAGATGAGTGATTAAGATACCAACACGTGTTTTAAAGCGACTGGGCTCACTACCAATAGCACAAAACAACACAGCCTAATTTTTAAATTGGTATCATGGCTTTGAAAAAAAAAGCATTTTCAAAAAAAGCTGACTATAAAACAAACGCATGTTAAATAAATATCAACCTTCCATCAATTATTATGAAATATGAGTCATATTTTTTTTAGGAAGAGACTGTGAGACAAATGAAGTGACAGATATAAAAAAAAGTCATCCTTGTGGGATAAAAAGAACTATGGCAGGAAGCTGGGTGAAGATGGCAAACAGAACACAGTTATTTATCTTCCCTTCCGCCCCAAATCCCACAAAATGACAGAAAGTGAGACAGAAAGGCTACAAAGCATGAAAGAAATATCCATAAGTTTTAACTGTGATCTAACAGGAGTCTCAGAAGGAGAGAACAGAAAGAGTCATAGAGAAGAAACAATAAAAGACAGAAGAGAAAAAAATTTCCTATAGCTGAAGAAAGGTGTGCCTCTGCAGTTTAAAGGGTTCAGTGAGTGATGATCGGGATAAATGAAAAGAAGCACACATCTGTCCAGACCCACTGCTGTAAACTTTCAGAGCACCAAAGGTGAAGAGAAAGTCCTAGAACCTTTCTGAGGGACAAAACAGGTTTCCTGCAAAGAAACCAGAACGAGATTGGTATGATAACTCTCACTGGCAACACTAGAAACTAGAAGACAATGAAACCATGTCTTTGAAAAGACATTTGGATGGCTACCCTAGAAAATGATTCCTTGTGTGCACAGGGAGGCAAGTAAGCATTTTCACAACAGTATTTTTTCAACAGCCACAACCAGAAATAATCCATATGTTAAATAAATTATTCATTAATTCTATTTACTGAATACCTACCAGACACCAAGCACTATCTGAGGAACTGGAGTCATAGCAGTAAATAAAACAGAAAAGGTCCCTGTGTTCATGGATCTTATATTTTCCATTATGTGGCAATATTCTAGAATACTCTGCATTTGTCCAAAATAATGAAGGGGACTTACATACACTGACACAGAAAGCTATCCAAGGAATATTTGCAAGTGAAAAATGTAAACTGCAGTATAATTCCATTAATGTTCATTTTTTTAAAAAAGCACATACGTATATGAATGTAAATATTATATAAAGAAAACAAACTTCAAAGATATATCCCAAATTTTGGCTAACTCTGGAGAGGGAAAGGAAAGTGGTGTTAGAGATGGCCTTTCTCATTTTTCCCTATATGCTTTGACATTCTTGAATCTTTTACAAAAAGAAAGCCATCATCTATAACTTCTATACTTTTAAAAATAAAGTAAAAAGTAACAAAGAGACAAATATTTTACTTCAATAGAACAATTAACATTTAAATTATTGGGCTGGGCATGGTGGCTCACGCCTGTAATCCCAGCACTTTGGGAGGCTGAGGCAATAGGATCACCAGGTCAGGAGATCGAGACCATACTGGCTAACACAGTGAAACCCTGTCTTTACTAAAAATACAAAAAAGTAGCCAGGCGTGGTGGCAGACACCTGTAGCCCCAGGTACTCAGGAGGCTGAGGCAGGAGAATGGCGTGAACCCGGGAGGCAGAGCTTGCAGTGAGTTGTGATGGCGCCACTGCACTCCAGCCTGGGCGACAGAGTGAGACTCCGTCTCAAAAACAAAAACAAACAAACAAAAAAACATAAACATTTAAATTATTAATAGGGCTTATATTGGCACATATGAGGTTTGATAAATATTAATCGCATTTATTTGGCATTTCTAAGTTTAAAAAAAGAAAAATGGGCCTGGCACGGTGGCTCACACCTATAATCCCAGCACTTTGGGAGGCCGAGGCAGGCGGATCACCTGAGGTCGGGAGTTCGAGACCAGCCTGACCTACATGGCGAAACCCTGTCTCTACTAAAAATACAAAATTAGCCAGGCATGGTGGTGGACACCTGTAATCCCAGCTACTCTGGAGGCTGAGGCAGGGGAATCGCTTGAACTCGAGAGGCGGAGGTTGTGGTGAGCCGAGATCACGCCATTGCACTCTAGCCTAGGCAACAAGAAGAAAACTCCATCTCCAAAAAAAAAAAAAAGAAAAAAAGAAAAATGGTGTCACAGGAAACAAGCATATCCGTGAAAGAATTATGATAATTAATAATATACAAATGTCTACAGTTCTTTATAGTTTATAAAGTATGTTCATACACACTATCTCATTTCACCATATCACATTATCTCATTTTATACTTATACAAACCTGGGGGTTTCCATAAGTTATAAAAGGCAGATACAGGACTTCCTTCCTAGATACCCTTATATAAAAGTTTTAACTCTGATTCAAACTTTTTGATACATCTGAAAGGATTCTACAAGATACAAACTCTCAGGCCAAAGGGAAGACAAGAGCTCTGACCGAAACATTAAAATCTCAACAAAGCTACCAGCCTCACTTTAAACACCTCTTTCCTACACAGGCCTAGGTTTTTACCATAATATTTTGCATTCTGATTCTCTTACAGTAAAACCGAATTCAAATGATAGATACATACAGCAGTATGAAAGAAAAATCTTGCCCATCTTTCAAAATTTGCCAAAAAATACGATAGATTTTAGGACTGAAGCTGGTATAAAACTTGTCATTTTGCTAATTATTAAGAAAAGACTCACCCAATTAATTGCTGAGTCCTTTCTTAAAAGTGAATTAAGATGGGTGTGGGGAAGAAGTATTTCAAAACAAACTGTTTTCAGGCACATAAGGAATTCTGTAAGTTACATAATTGTAAGCCATCAATATTCCAATTGTCAATTATTCCTACCTGCTCATTAAAATAAATTTTCTAAGGACTGCTCTTAGCTGACTTTTAGCATTTTATCAAAATTTGTAAAATTTTAAAAAGTCTATAATTCTGAATTTTTACTTTTTCAGAAAACCTTTTCTCATTTGTTTGAATTAGCAACATTTTTCCTGCATTTTATTTATAACAGCTAATCAATATAGAAGAGGCAGCATCTTTCAGCTTATACCTGCAGAAACTAATAAACTTGTATTTCAACACTAGCAAATATCAAGTGGTCACCCTTAAATTTCATAACCTTTTAAATCTGACCTTTCAAAGTTCTTATCATTCCTCTTAAATTAAGGGTAGAATGACCTTAATCAATCAAAAATTCTGCAAAAAAATAAGAAATAATTTTATGAAATTCTGTAAACATAACTTAGAGCTTTGACTCAGGTGGAAAGTGTATGTGAGAGAAAGTGTGTGTGTGTGTGTGTGTGTGTCCTCAGTTTATTTCCTCACAACAGATTAGAGAAAAAATTTGGGTTATGAATCTTCTCAACCTGAAGCAGAAATTCCTTTCAAGATAAAAACAACCAAATGTCACATGAATTTTAGTTGACCGCAATCATAGGTTCAAGTATAAATGACATGAACAACAGGTGTTTCTGACCAGATTTTCCACTTGTCTCAGAAAACCTGAAAAAACAGTTTAACAGGAAAGACCTGTTTAGTCCACCTGACTAAATCTTTCTTTAGGCCTCAATCTTTTGAAAAGGAAGCAAAATAACACCAATAATGGATTTTTAAAATACAAAGAAAGAACATCATAACACTTGTACGTTTTGAATGTTTTAAAGTTCAGTAACAACTTTATAAGTTTCAATTTAAATATTTATTCATCAATCACTATTAAAGCTACAAACATCTATAGCAATGGAAGACTAAAACTGTACTTCTTTTGTTTAGCCAAGGACGAGTCATTGGAAAAATAGTCTTTAAAGACCTTCTGACAATGCAGATTTTTTAAAATGCAGAAGATGAAATGTTAGTAATATTTCTTTTTGGGGGTAAGGTTAGTGTCTTACATAGCTTTCTCATCCCTAAAGTGCCTACATAGTTATTCCATTGATATGGTGAAAAGTTAGGAGCTGTTTGGTACAAGGAGCAATGATCGCAAGTCAATACATATCACCTGAAGCTTACAGATAATTCTATCATGTGGAAAAAAGTGATGGAAACATGAACTATTTGCACTACTGCTTACTTGCAAATCAGAAGGATAATATATTATGTACAAGGGTGACAAACATTTTAGCTTTACAATTAGAAAATGTGTAACTACAAAGAGTCAATAAAAATCAGAAATTCATATATTGAAAAGTACTGATATCCTCTCAAATCAGCCAATTAAAAAAATGGAGATAACTAGCATTTATAGAGTTTACAAGGCACTTTTATATAAAGTATTTGCTTTCATTCTCATAAAAATCTGATTAGATAGGTAGTGTCTCCCCTTGACAGGTCAGAAACAAAAAGGTGGAAGAAATATAATGCATAACCACACCTTCTGACTACGATATCTGCGATCTTCCCACCATCCCTCATTGCCTCATATGTAGATAAACCCAATATATGCTTGAAGAAAGCATGTTTCTTACTGAGACAACGGCTTAAAGTGAAATTTTGGGATAGGATTATTGTAGTTAAAATGACAGATGACTAAATAAGAGAAAAATTCCATGGCCAACACATATGAAAAATATGACAACTAGTAAACTAGTTACTGTGGATTACATCAAGATGCACCCATGTGGTCTGAGATGAAAGATCAGTATGGTAGGGACCAGTTTTCACACTGTTTACATCATTTTTCTTGAAGTTGCCATCTCTTCTTATTAAAACAGTATAGCATGGCCGGGCATGGTGGCTCACGCCTGTAATCCCAAAACTTTGGGAGGCCGAGGCAGGCGGATCACGAGGTCAGGAGATCGAGACCATCCTGGCTAACACGGTGATCCCATCTCAACTAAAAATACAAAAACTTAGCCAGGCGTGATGGTGGGTGCCTGTAGTCCCAGCTACTTGGGAGGCTGAGGCAGGAGAATGGCTGAACCTGGAAGGTGGAGCTTGCAGTGAGCCGAGATTGCACCACTGCACTCCAGCCTGGGCGACAGAGTGAGACTCCGTCTCAAAACAAACAAACAAGGAAGAATAAAAACATAGTCCCTGAATGGATCCATTATATAAAGACCCAATACAATATTCCCACACCATCCAAACCTTTGGCATTCTTGAGCTAGAACAAATCCACCTCTATTATGTAGGGAAATTATGACTTATGGATAGAGCGTGATTCAGAATAGTTACGTAAGTTTACTCATTTAAAAAATATTGGCTGGGCATGGTGGCTCACACCTGTAATCCCAACATTTTGGGAGGCTGAGGCGGGCGGATCACGAGGTCAGGGGTTTGAGACCAGCCTGGCCAACATGGTGAAAACCCATCTCTACTAAAGATACAAAAAATTAGCTGGGCGTGGTGGCACATGCCTGTAGTCCCAGCTACTTGGGAGGCTGAGGCAGGAGAATCACTTGAACCCAGGAGGCAGAGGTTGCAGTGAGCGAAGACTGTGCCACTGCACTCCAGCCTGGGCGACAGAGTAAGACTCTGTTTCAAAAAAAAAAAAAGAAAAATAATTTACTGGACACCTACCATGTGCTCATTATTTAGATCTATCTGGGGTACTATGGGAGACTCTGAGGTGAATAAGATAAGGATTTAAAGTCTAGAACAAGGGCCAGCAAACTTCTGTAAAGTGGCAGATAGTACCTAAAATAAAAGCACTAAAATAGGCTTTGTGGGCCATGCAGCCCCTATTGCAAATACTCAACTCTGCCACTGTAGCATGCAGGCAGCCATAGACAGTACACAAATTAATGTGTACTGTTCCAAAAAAGCCCTTTATTTATAAAAACTGGTAGTTGGCTGGATTCCTGGTCTAGAACCAGTGATAGGATATACCCAAATATCTACATACTCAACCTAACTGTTCAGGCTTTTATTTCTTGCCTGAACTGTTATAAAAGCTCCCCCTCTTGTCCTGTGTCGCCAACTCCACTCCTCTAACTACTCCACTCGACAGAGCTGCCAGAGTGATCTTATGTTTTAACACTATGTCACTGCTATTCTTAAAACTCAATGGCTTAGCACTACTCACAGAAAAAAAGTCCATACTTCTTAGCAGAGTATAAAAGGCTCTTTGTGCTCCATCCCTACTTTAGTCTCCTGACTTATCCCCCACAATCTCTCTACCATCCCTCCCCTAACTTCCATGCTGAAGCAATACTAAACTACTCCAACGCACTATGCTATTCTGTGTCTCTGCTTCTTTGCATATGTTGTTCCCTCTACCTAAAAGGCCCTGCTCTACCAACAGACATGCATATGAAGGTTTCTCTCACCCCACAAGTTGACCATATCTGACACGAGTTCACTCTCTTGCCTTGCATGTACTTTCTGTTACTGCACGTGGAGGGTTAGACTGAGGGCAGCTTAATGGTAGGTACTTTACTTCTTTGCAGTCGGGGTATTAACTCCTAGCACAGGGTCTAGCATGCAGTAGATGCCGAATAAATCTACTGTGAACCAAAGTCAACTGACAGTACCATAAATGATACATTACTATTTCAAGAAGGAAACGGGTATAACATTCTTGAAAGGGAAAATGTGAAAAGGTGTGAGGACAGTGGTAGCATATGAGCCAGGTTTTGAAAAGACAGGTAAACGTAGAGGATGAAGATCCTCAGTGATGCAAAAAAAACAAAACCAAAGCAGAGATGTTGAAAAATAAATTAATGTCTGATGACCGGTGATTATTTAAGTTTGGCTGAAGTATGTGGAGAATAATCAGGAGCACATTTGGAAAGGCCAGTTAGGGTCAGATCTAGAGGACCCAAAAGACCCAAAAGAAGCCTGTACTTTGTTTTGTAAATGATGGGGAATCACTGAAAGTGTCTGAATGGTTGAATGATATGATACAGGAAGGTTAATCAAAGAGAAGGTGGGTAGTGGCAGTGAGAACTAAAAGGCACTGCCAAGACAGAACTGAAAAAATTTGGCAAGTGACTTGACCTAGGGCACAGTAGAGTGCCAGGAATCAAAGATAATCCTGATGTTTTAAGCCTGGGAAATTGGGATAAACAGGGAAATGCGAGCAGAAAGGAAAGTAGTAAAAAAGACAATAAATTTGGTTTTGCAATATTAAATCTGAGACCTGATAAAACATCTAGGTGAGGGTATTTAGTACAAATCTGAAAGTAGGAGACAGATATGTTCAGTAAATCTGTCTACAGGTGGTAACTAAAACCTAAAGGAGAGAAGAGATGGAAGATCAAGAGCACTTTATCAAAATAAAAGTATCCTAGTACGTATTTCTACCATGGTAACTACAATATTATTGTACTAATTTGAAAATATGTCCATTTTCCTGACTCTGAACTCCTTGAGGGAAGAGTTCACAATTATCTTTATGTCTCCAGCCCAATAGCTTGAACACATCAACTATTCAATATATTTGCTGAATAAAGCAGCCCCCAAAATTCTAGTACGTGGAAACTCCCACTTCCTCTGACATATTACAACTTTTTTTTTTTTTTTGGAGACGGAATCTCGCTCTGTCACCCAGGCTGGAGTGCAGTGGCGCAATCTCAGCTCACTTCAAGCTCTGCCTCCTGGGTTCACACCATTCTCTTGCCTCAGCCTCCCGAGTAGCCGGGACTACAGGTGCCCGCCACCATGCCCGGCTAATTTTTTGTATTTTTAGTGGAGACGGGGTTTCACCGTGTTAGCCAGGATGGTCTCGATCTCCTGACCTTGTGATCCGCCCGCCTCAGCCTCCCAAAGTGCTGGGATTACAGGCATGAGCCACCATGCCTGGCCATATTACAACTTTTAATACAATACAAAGATTTAAAAACACTTCTTCAAAATTTTCACTTTACGTGTCTGTGTCAGATGGTGATGACCTAAGGTAGATGAGTCAGTGGTTACTACAGGGCAGATGCAAACATTATCTTCCTTCCTGCTACTCTGAAGATTTAGCAGTTGACAATTAATTCTTATTCCTTTTACCATCTCTTCTCCACCAAAAGTCAGCATTTCCCTACCCCTTGATATGCTTGAAAGGAAAGAGAAAGAATACTGGCATAATGTTTATAATCTGTTTAGCTGATTTTCCTGACCTTTATGTGTCTATTCATAGCAGTGGACTGGGCTGCTCGCACCAGACCCTCCAATTCAGCACCACTGAAATTCTTGGTCTCCACGGCCAGTTCTTTAATGTCTACATCAGCAGAGAGTAACTGATGCCCTCTCATTCTTGCTGTGTGGATGTGAAGAATCTGTAGTCGGCCTTTCTCATCTGGCAAGCCTGATGAAATTAAAAATAAAATAGGCATTTTCCTAGTCTCGAAAGCACCATCAGAGGAGATTATCATTATTATTATTACTATTATTTTGAGACAGAGTCTCGCTCTGTTTCCCAGGCTGGAGTGCAGTGGTACGATCTCAGCTCACTGCAACCTCTGCCTCCTGGATTCAGGCGATTCTCCTATCTCAGCCTTCCGAGTAGCTGGAATTACAGGTGCACACCACCACACTCGGCTAAGTTTTTTGTATTTTTAGTAGAGAAGGGGTTTCACCATCTTGGCCAGGCTGGTCTCGAACAACTGGCCTCAAGTGATCCACCTGCCTCAGCCTCCCAAAGTGCTGGGATTACAGGTGTGAGCCACTGCGCCCAGCCTAGAGGAGATTATTATGATCCTAATGTTTTCCTTATAGGTACTCAAGCATGTAAACATCTACTTCTCATGATATAAACCTTTTCTAAAAAATACTACACCATATGACATTGTTCCTGTTAATGAACTCTAAATGCCTCCACTCCCCCCACCACACACCCAATCAGTGACAGATCTCCTTACCTATCTCCATTTTAACTTCCAGTCTTCCAGGTCTAAGAAGAGCCTCATCTATCAGATCTGGTCTATTGGTCATTCCTGAACACAGATGTTAAAACAAAACAACAAATGATCAGAGTTCAAAAATAAAATCAAATGTCCTTTTAGTATATGTAAGAATAGTAATTTCCCTAACAAGCTAAGGAGACTTTGCTTTACTATTTCACTACTGTATAAGCCAATGGAATATAAATGTTATGAAAACTTCCAGTATTTAAAAAGAAAATTTAAGATTCAAAGGGTAAATAATCTGTCAAAGTGACAGAGGGGCAATGTGACACGATCTCTCTGACTCCAAAGTTCCTTCTCTTTTTTACAGGCCAGTGGTTTTCAGACTTCATAAAACAGCAGGGTGTTTTTTTTTTTTTTCCCCCAGAAGTCATCTTCAGAAGCACCTCAGTACATAAAACAGCTAAAAGAGGAAGTTATAATAGTGATGTAGGATCTGAAACGCACTCCCTGGCCCTCACTGACCCTGAAAGCACCTCTGAGGACCCCCGAAGGCCTGCAAGACCCAGTTTGAAAACCACTGCATTCCATTGTTTCATGTGTATTTTTCATTTTTGGGTGAGCTATAAGCTTCAACCTACATCTTTTTCACCTGTGGGTGAGCTATAAGCTTAAACCTACAAGTGACTGAAATCCATCTTTTATTTTTCCTATTAAGCCTAGGCATTACAATAGATTCTTCAATATCACTGGATTCTAATTTGGAAACACTGGCAAAACAGTTTAATCACAACCTACACACATCTTAATTCAGAACTTATGGCTAACGTTTTTGAATGAATAGTACTTTTTTAAAAAGTAAACATACCAATGACTAGGATGTTGTTTAGCTGCTCCACGCCATCAATTTTGGACAGCAACTGGTTGACAACAGTGTCATGAACTCCCGTGCTACCAGCCATGCTCCCTCTCTGCTTGCAGATGGCATCAATTTCATCAAAGATGATGATGTGCAAACCACTGTTAGCACCAAGCTATTAGGGGAAGAAATTATATTAAAGATCATAATTTGAATGTCTTATTAAACAAACTAATCAGAAAAACAAAACAAAGCTTTCAACAGATTGACTTCGCTTCATTTTGACTAATAAATATGGCAAGTGCAATTGTGGTTGTTGTCCTCTCAAAGGTGTTGGAACTAGATTCTCAGAATTCTGCAAACTGAAAACTCATTCTAGAACCTCATATTTAATAGCTATAAAATGAAAATACACATTATATACTGATAGTGTGTGTGTATAGATAGAAAGTAAGTAGTCGATCAAATAATTTATATACATTTCTTATCTCACTATTTGAAAGACCTTACATTTGTCAGATACTTTCATTAAGTCAGTCAGTGGCAACACCCTCCCATTTTCCCTGAGTTTTGGTGAGAAGACTGTCCCAGAAGCAGTAGGTTTAATGTTTGTTTCGTTATATTATGTAACTAAAGGTTAACTCCACCTACAGGTTGACTGGGAATTGGACAAATGAGTGAAGAAACTCAACATGACTCACATGTACTTATATTACATGAAAACAGATTACGCCTTCCTAACAATAAAGTGAGAACAGAGACGGTTTATAAAAAGAACATGGTTAACAGGGTGCTGTTTCTTCTGCATAATGATTTCTGCCTTAGTTTACTAGAAATAGAATCACCATTAAAAGAAATTAGTTTGTATATTTTGAATCTTTAACAGATACAAACACTTCTGAATGCTACTAATTCATTAGGTTAATTTAACACGTACCTTCTAAAATTTATATTTAAGTAATTTAGTCTCCTATCAGGGAGTAAAGTGCACTCTGGAAATTTTTTCTTTTATAAACAAAAAACACGGCCGGGTGCGGTGGCTCCTGCCTGTAATCCCAGCACTTTGGGAGGCAGAGGAGGATGGATCAACTTAGGTCAGGAGTTCGAGACCAGCCTGGCCAACATGGTGAAACCCTATCTCTACTAAAAATACAAAAATTAGCTGGGTGTGGTGGCAGGTGCCTGTAATCCCAGCTACTCTGGAGGCTGAGGCAGGAAAATCACCTGAACCCAGGAGGCAGAGGTTGCAGTGAGCCGAGACTGCACCACTGCACTCCAGCCTGGGCGACAGAGTGAGACTCCGTCTCAAAAACAAAAAATACTAGGGATTAACAAAACTGGTAAAAAATGAACATAACCTAAATATGACAACATACGGATAATAAAAATTAAATGAGCATAATGAGACTGAGGATTAAATATGGTTAGTATCCATTAAATCTCCGATAAGGATATAATCGTTGTTTTGTTTGTTTGTTTGTTTGAGATGAAGTCTTGCTCTGCTGCCCAGGCTGGAGTGCAATGACGCAATCTTAGCTCACTGCAACCTCTGCCTCCCGGGTTCAAGTGATTCTCCTGTCTCAGCTTCCTGAGTAGCTGGGATTGTAGGCATGTGCTACCACTCCTGGCTAATTTTTGTATTTTTAGTAGAGACGGGGTTTCACCATGTTTGCCAGGCTGGTCTCGAACTCCTGACCTCAGGTGATTCACTCAGCGCAGCCTCCCAAAGTGCTGGGATTACAGGCGTGAGCCACCATGCCCAGCCTAATCTTTGTTTTAATAAGAGAATGTTTTTTAACTTTTTAAAGGAGTAGTAGATTTGTTAACAGAGCAAAAGTTGTAAAACAAATAAAGTGTAAAAATAAAGCTGGGCAGAGTGGTACGTGCCTATAGTCCCAGCTACTCTGGAGGCTGAGGCTGGAGGAATCCTTGAGCCCAGGAGCTGGAGTCCAGCCTGGGCAACACAGTGAGATTCCATCACTAAAAACATAAATTAAAATATACTACATTTGCCATGGCTTGTGCCTGTAATCCCAGCTACTTGGAAAGCAGAGGTGGGAAGACTGCTTCAGGCCAGGAGTTCAAGACCAGCCTGGGCAACATAGTGACATCCCATCAATAAAGACCCATCTATAAAACATCATTACATTACCTAAAGATAAGTGCTGTTAATGGTCCACAGATTTCTATATTTTAACTAAATATTAAGAACTTACTGCACCTTGTATTCTCTTGAATATTATTCTTTGAAAACGATTTTCAATGGTTATTTTTGCTTCCAATTGCAAAATATATAATTATAAAAAATGTGGGAAAATAGCAAAAAATAAAGAAATCACAATCATCTCAAACTCAGCCAAAATGGAGCTATGTAATACCTTGCATCCTGTTTTTCAGTACAGGTATTATTTTAAACCCTTTCCCATCCCTATACAATATATATATATATATATTTTTTTTTTTTTTTTTTGAGACGGAGTCTCACTCTGTTGCCCAGGCTGGAGTGCAGTGGCGTGATCTTGGCTCACTGCAAGCTCCGCCTCCCGGGTTCACGCCATTCTCCTGCCTCAGACTCCCGAGTAGCTGGGACTACAGGCGCCCACCACCATGCCCGGCTAATTTTTTTTTTGTATTTTTTTTTTAGTAGAGATGGGTTTCACCGTGTTAGCCAGGATGGTCTCGATCTCCTGACCTTGTGATCCGCCTGCCTTGCCCTCCCAAAGTGCTGGGATTACAGGAGTGAGCCACCGCGCCTGGCCGATGATATGATTTTTAATAGCTCTATAATATTTAATCATATGAATGGTTTCACAGTTTAACTCTCCTACTCCATATTCATTCCTTACTGTTAGATATTTAATTATTTCTAAGTTTTTAGTATTATATATGTTGCTGCAATAAACATTTTCTTTTTTCATTCTTTGTAGAGACAGGATCTCACTCTGTTGCCCAGGCTGGAGTGCAGTGGTGCGATCAAAGCTCACTGCAGCCTCAAACTCCTGGGCTCAAGCAATCCCCCACCTCAGCCTCCCGAGTGGCTGGGACTACAGATGCGTGCTACCACGCCTGGAAAATATTTTATTTTTTTTTGTAGAGATGGGGTTTTGCCATGTTGCTCAGGCTGGTCTTGAACTCCAGGACTCAAGTGATCCTCCTGCCTCAACCTCCCAAAGTGCTGCGATTACAAATGTGAGCCACTGTACCCAGCCTACAATGAACACTTTTATACTTAAACGCTTGACAATATAGATGAATACTTGCTAAAGGCAAATTGTTAGGTTAAAAGGTGTGTTAAGTATTTTAAGGCCCTTGAAATAGGAACACTTGAAAAAGTAGAAACACTTTTCCAGAAAGGTTTTATCAATCTATAATCCCAGCACAGTACCTGATAGTGCCTATCTTGGTATATTCCCACAAGTAATGAATATTAGAAACACTTTAAAAGTAATTCTCAATTTGATAGATGGACAATAGTATCTTTCTGTTGTTTTTAAATCACATTTATCTAATTACTGAAGGGGCTGGTGCTGTTAAAAAATCATGTTTTTACCATTGGTAATTTTATTAGTATTTGATATGTCTTCTATACCCTTTTCTGTTGAAATTCAAGAGCTTTTCCTATTGATTAAAAAATGATTTATACATTAGGGCCATTATTATACTTGTAACTACTTTATTCTAGTTTGCCAGTTGTCTTTTCTTTATGGCATGTGTGCATATATATAAGTATATATATTTTTTTGAGATGGACTTTCGCTCTGTCGTTCAGGCTGGAGTGCAGTGGTATGATCTCTGCTCATGCAACCTCCGCCTCCCAGGTTCAAGCGATTCTCGTGCCTCAGCCTCTCACATCTGGGATTACAGACGTGCACCATCAAGTCTGGCTAATTTTGTATTTTTAGTAGAGACAGGGTTTCACCACGTTGGCCAGGCTGGTCTCAAACTCCAGACCTCAGGTATTTGCCCACCTCGGCCTCCCAAAGTGCTGAGATTACAGGCGAGAGCCACTGTGCCCAGCCTATTTATGGTATATTTTCGGTAAGTGGAAGGCGTTTTCTGTTTCTACTAAACAGCCAGCACAATTTTTATTTTTATGATATTTTCATTAGTTTTATCCTTAAAATTGTTCCCCATTACAGACACTGATGGTCACATATTTTCTTTTCTTAAATTTTTGCTTTACATATAATTCTTTATCTGGTGTTTTATTTTTGTGTATGGTACAAGTAAAGTGAGAAGCCAACTAATTCTTCTTCAAATAACCGACCCAGCATTGTTCCCTAAATTATCCCTCCTTTCTTCGTTGACTGAGCTGCCATCATACCAAGGTTTGGACTTTGATGTATGCTAGGTTATTACCAGCCTGTCTACTCTGCTCAATGGATTCATTCATGTTTTTATCTCCATAACTTTACAGTAGTACATTGAAGAAGCTCTTCTCCTCTATACATTCTTCTTTTTCATAACTATCTTGGCTATTTCCAACCATGTGTATTTCCAAATGAACATCAGAATCATTCTTATGAGGGGGAATAACCTCCACCAATTAAAAATAAAAAAATAAAGAACAGACAAAAACCCAAGCTCTGACTGAAATTAGGTTAAATATCTAAGTTTAGGAAATACTAAAATCTGTATAGCATATTTGGTTTTTTAGAAGAATAATGCCTCTCCAATTATTCAACACTTTTACGTCTCTCAGTAAAGTTTTAAAATTTATTTTTATTTTTATTTTTAGAGATAAGGTCTCACTATGTTGCCCAGGCTGGTCTTGAACTCCTAGACTTAAGTGATCCTCCCACCTTGGCTTCCCAAAGTGCTAGGATTACAGGCGTGAGCCATTGGGCCCAGCTTCCCAATAAAGTTTTATAGTTTTTGTTGTTTAAATTCCTTCATTCCTTCATAAAGATTCCTAGCTATGTTTTTTGGTGGCAATTGTGATGGGATTTTTCTATTATATTTCAGAAACAGTATAGAAGTATGAAGGAAATATATTTTTATGTATTTATTTTATATATGGCTACTTTACTCTTATTTATAATATCTAAGTTTTTAAAAAAATCTGACTCTTTTGAATTTCCTAGGTAGACAATCATACCACCTACAAATACAACTTGTATCCTCCTTACTAACAGGTATACCTGCTTTTGGGTATGAGAAGCTGTACCAAAACAAAGACATATAAAAGGGGAAAGAGAGGGTCTAATAGCTAAGAAGTTAGAAGCATGTGGGTTCAACTGAACAGAAGGCCCAGAGGCAGTCAAGGTCCTATAAAAGGGATAATAAAATTTACCTAATGTGAGAAGCAGAAGTTATAGTACTATCATGACAGACTGAAATCTAGAATTAGGCCTTCCTACTGAAACAGAGGACATCAGTAAATGAACTGCAAAGTAGAATGCTCTTTATATAAAATGATTTTATTCTTGGCTTTAGGATGAAAAGGAGTATGCACTTGGAAGGTCAGTGAGAAACAAATAATGGTACATAAATGAGGCAAGCAGAATCTAAACAGAATGAGAATTTTGGTGACAGGAGTGGTGATGACCAAACAGCAAATGCTAGATTTGATTATTGCTTGCATGTAGGGTGGAAGACTGACAGTGAAGAAAAGAAATTACCCTGTAGTATGATAAGGAAGCTGCAGAAGGGAAAAGATACAAGGGAATTTTTTTTGTTTGTTTGTTTGTTTCTAGCATGATAAGATTAAAGAGTTAACAAGACATCTATTTGGAAAGGCCTCCAAATAGAGAACAAGATATACACAACTGAATAAAAAAGGATAGCAAGATACATCTGAACGTCTTCTGCAAATAGTAAAGAATAGTCTTGTAGCAAGCCGTAGATACCGTAAGAAGATGGATCATATAATTAAGCTGGAGGAATATAAAAGCAGGACAGATTCTGGGCTACAATACCAGAATATACCTATAGTAATCTGAAGAAAAGGGGGAATAAAAAAATGACAAAGATGAAAGATGAAATGTTACATCAGACATAGGAAGAAAGAGTTCCAAAAATGACCTGAAGGAAATTCAACTGGGTCAAAAACAAACCCTGAATATATATTTTTAAATAAAAAATAGATAAAATGCTATATGACCTAAAAATTCCACTACTTGGTTTATAGCAGCTCTGCTCATAATTGCCCCAAACTAGAAAACAACCCAATTGGCCTTCAGTGGGTCAAGAGATAAACAAATGATAGTACACCCACACAATTAAATACTATTCAACAATAAAAAGGGATGTTTGACACATGCAACAACTTGGATGAATCTCAAAGGCATTATGCTGAAGACAGCCAGTCCCCAAAGGTTACATAGTGTATGACGCCATTTATATGACATTCTTGAAAAGATAAAACTACAGGGATGGAGAACACATTGGTAGTTACCAGGGTTACTAAAAAGAAAGGGTGACCAGTAAGGGACTGCATGAAGGAGTTTTTGGGGGTGATGCAAATGTTCTACATCCTGATTTTTACAGTGGTTCCATGAATCTATACATGTATGAAATTTCATAAAACTACATACAAAAAGAGAAAAATTCATTTTACAGCATAATAAACCAGATAAAATAATAATAAATTCTATTCTTTAATGCAATTGTATGTAGGATGACAGATGTCCATCAAAGTTTCTAAAGTTTCATTAGGTTTTATTTTTGTTCCTGAACATTACTTACAAATTGTTCTCCCTCCATATTTTAAAACCTAATTTCAAATCTGAGGGAAAAAAACTTCATTTTTCTGTATCATTGCATTTACTGAATAGATATCTAATGATAAATAACTTGCTTCCTAAAAAAAAATTCAATACCAAAAACTGTTCATCTTTCCATCTGGAGAAAAAATTGGAAATGAGGAATTGGAACTACAACCTTAACTTTGCCAAAGTACTTCTATACAGCAGGATATTAATTCTTGTCATCTTCAGTGACAACAAGGATACTTCTGTTTGTGACTGAAAAACTGTGAAATTTTACATTATTTTTTAAAGTTTTTTTTTTCTTCAAGGTTGTCTGCCCTATACAGCATGAAACAAAAAGCTGCTATAATATATGAGTTTTACTGTCAATGTGCCTTATGTTGTTGATGGAATCATGATTTCCTTCTCAGCCCAACCTCAAAAATCACGTATGTGGACAAGGACAAAGACAATACGAACACTGTTTGATTAAATGATCACGGAGGCAATCTGTTCTAAACATAATTCAGTACAATTCTGACCTTTTCAGAACCTTACTAATCTTGTTACCTGTCATCAGGTCCCTTACCCCACCTAGTCAGTACAATAACATCAAATTTTACATTGTGTGTTACTTAAATAAAAGCAAGATCTTATTCCAAGAAATTGGGAATTGGGTAAAGAAGATGTCAAGATTAACGTTCACAGACTAATATAGCTGATTCATCAATAAACCCTTTATCAAAAAAATTAAATTTCCACAGCACAATCCTCTTCCATTCATTGGCTTCTAGCTCTGTTTTTAACATCTGCAAAGTCTTTCTCCATAGAAACAGAGCTGACGCTGTTGAGCCCTGGCAACAGCTTTCAAAAGCGGCTGTTCTATATTTAACTAGTTTGACCTATATGCAAGTGTTCATCTCCGTCAGTGTGGACTGTCCAAAATTACAGAAGTGATGTTTTTCTTTATTATGTAACACACATATATATCCTGCATGAGGTCATTAGCTGAGTACATCAAGCCATTTCTGGATGTGAGAAAGGTATAACTGAAAAGGCTGGCTATAATTAATATCGAACTGGAAATTCTTTGCTAACTCAATTTTATCATCAGTAGTTTAATATTTAAATTGCTTGCAACTTTAAAAACAGCACCAAAGTTACCTATGCAGCCATGTGGTTAACTATCACAACTGAGATGTTATAAAATGCTTCTCCATATGGCATTTTAACTCACTTCTGCCTAGTGTTTAATCCTCAGTATCTCATTAGGGTCCGTTAGACCCAATCTCAGTTTCTGAGTTTCTGTTTTAAGTAGTACTATTTATAAAAATTGATATCTCATGACTTTTTTCCTTTTTCCAAAGAGCAAACAAACAAAACAAAAAACCCAATATTTAAAAAAATAGAATAAAATTCTATCTTACAATTGCCATTTGGATCTACTAGATCTTTTTATGAATCTAAGACACATTATGCTATTTCATCACACTAGAAATTACATCATTACTCATCAATTATTCTCAACTATGCTTAAAAAGGATTAAAATAAGAAAATAGAAGAATGAAGTCTTTGCCCATGCCTATGTCCTGAAAGGTATTGCCTACGGTTTTTTTTAGGATTTTTACGGTTTTAGGTCTTACATTTAAATCTTTAAACCATCTTGAGTTAATTTTTGTATAATTTTCTGCATATGGCTAGCCAGTTTTCCCAACACCATTTATTAAATAGGGAATCCTTTCCCCATTGCTTGTTTTTGTCAGGTTTGTCAAAGATCAGATGGTTGTAGATGTGTGGCATTATTTCTGAGGCCTCTGTTCTGTTCCTTTGGTCTATGTATCTGTTTTGGTAACAGTACCATGCTGTTTCAACAGTGTGGTGATTCCTGAAGGATCCAGAACCAGAAATACCATTTGACCCAGCAATCCCATTACAATCATTCGACTATAAAGACACATGCACACATGTTTATTGAGGCACTGTTCACAATAGCAAAGACTTGGAACCAACCCAAATGCCCATCAACGATAGACTAGATAAAGAAAACGTGGCACATGGAATACCATGCAGCCATAAAAACAGATGAGTTCATGTCCTTGGCAGGGACATGGATGAAGCTGGAAACCATCATTCTCAGCAAACCAACACAGGACCAGAAAACCAAACACCACATGTTCTCACTCATAAGTGGGAAATGAACAATGAGAACACATGGTCACAGGGAGGGGAACATCATACACTGGGGCCTGTCAGTGGGTGGGGGGGCTAGGGGAGGGATAGCATTAGGAGAAATACCTAATGTAGATGACGGGTTGATGGGTGCAGCCAGTCACCATGGCATGTGTATACCTATGTAACAAACCTGCAAGTTCTGCACATGTATCCCAGAACTTAAAGTATAATAAAAAATGACTAAATTACTTAGAAACAGTGAAACAAGTATCACTATGACATCACTCTTCAGTTTTCTTACTGTGTTGTGCAAGATATGTGTTATCTTTCAAGAAGGCATAAAAGAAGTCTGGAGCTAACATCTTTTGTGACCTCATTCTACATTTTATTGAATACGATTAAGCATTAACATTTGTAAGTTCTCTAGCCAGAATGACGAAGAAAATCTGAGGAAACTGTTTTAGAATTATTAGATGAGTCAGAAGTTGAACACAAAGAATAAGATAGGAGCACTTAGGACTCTAATAAAGATGCTGAAATTGATGATTATAAGTAAAATCTCAGTCTATGTGTCTTCAGATGATGATGCCCTACATACATTTTCTCAAACTCAAGAATCAATGAGTGAATAATATACTTTTAATCTAAGGACAAAGCATTTTCATTCAGTTACTTATTCAATAGAAAGTCTTCTTTGTGGAATATCTTGTGACAAGAAATGAGGCCATCCCATTTTGCTAAAAGGACACATGACAGTATTCTTTCATCTTTTATTTCATTTGTGCACCAAATTTTCTTGATATAGTTTAAAAGTAGACAGATGCTGAAGGCAGGTATTACAGAGAGATAGCCAGAAGAAATAGATGAAGTAGACATTAAAAAATTGGATTGACCATAAAAAACAGAATTGATCATTCTGAAAGGTATCTACAAATCTAAAAATAAAAATGTTTTGCAACTGTGGAACATATAATGGTCATCCTCTCTTCAACAAAATTAGGAGCCAAAGATCTCAAAAAAATTCTTAAAGCATTATGTTTTGATGCTGTAAGTGCAAGAAGAACCAGAAGTAATAATAATTTAGAAGCCAACAAAGATGTATTTGAAACTTAGAATCAGTATTTGTAAGTTCATGCAGGACAGCTGATGAACAGTTACTGCATTCAGAGGCTCCTGCCCATTTGGGGTATACAGGTTGAGTATCCCTAATCCAAAAATTCAAAATCCAAAATGTTCCAAAATCTGAAAGGTGCACCACACACAGGGGGTTACTGTATGATAATCTTTTAATCAAAACACAACATCAGCTGGGCATGGTAGCTCACACCTGTCATTTCAGCACTTTGGGAGGCTCAGGCAGGAGGATCGCTTGAGCCCAGGAGTTTGAGACCAGCCTGGGCAACCTAGGGAGACCTTGTCTCTACAAAAAGATTTTTAAAATTAGCCAGGTATGGTGGTGCACACCTGTAGTCCCAGCTACTCGGGAGGCTGAGGTAGGAGGACGGCTTGAGCCCAGGAGTTTGAGGCTGCGGTGAGCCATGATGGTGCCACTGCATGCCAGCCTAGGCGATGGAGTGAGACCCCATCTCAAAAAACCAAACCAAAACAAAAGCCCCCCACAACATCGTAGGTGGTGACTGAAACTGTTGCTGTTTGGTGTTGCTGTTGTTTAACAGCTTATCCAGGTATTCTGGTGATGCCATTGTGCTGCTTAGTTACCCTAAACTCACTATTTTTTCACTGTATTAATGGTGTGTCATATTTTTTACTGTTAAGTACTTGTGTCTCAATACATGTATGAAAACGATTATTTATCAGGCATATAAATTTACACTCAGAAACAATGGTGATGCCAACCAACCACAGACCATCCACATCTAGTGGCTGAGATAGTGATGCCTTAGCTTTCTGATGGTTCAATGTACACAGACTTTGTTTCAGTAACAAAATTATTTAAAATATTGTACAGAATTACCTTCAGGCTGTGTGTACAAGGTATATACAAAACATAAATGGATTTCATGTTTAGACCAGAGTCCCAACGCCAAGATATCTTAATGTATATGCAAATATTCCAAAAACCAAAATCCAAAACACCTCAAGACCAGGGAAACATGGCATAAAAATTTTATTTATATATTTAAGTTCTTATTTAATTTTTAATAGTTTTTTATCTCTTTATTCTTGTATTTTGTAAATTATTTGGAAAATAATCTAAAATAATTTTTAAGCGGAGTTTATTCAACCTAGATAGTATATGGTGATGACTGTTTTTCTTGGTACACTGAGGTAAGTTAAAAAGATAAGTGAAGCAGAAACAATCTTAGTATTAGGAATGAACTGCAAAACTGACTGGTTCCGGGACTTTCTGAAGAGTTGAAATAGTGAATGGACTTGCACCAACCCACCAAGACCCACACCTGCTAGAACCAATGAGACTGATCTAGCTGGAGACCTGAACAAGAACTTAATGAAATGCTGGAAAGCAGGAAAGGAAACGACCTTGTATAAAATTGAAACAATTAAGGACCCAACAAGCAGACTTAAAGCACTAAGAGGATTGCTATAAAGGGAATATTTAATATTATTTTACCCTCAACAAAAATTTTAAATGGTAGGATAGATTAATTCAGTACAGCTTACTAGGTTTTTTTTTTGAAGACGAGATGTTATATTTCTGAGTGTTATTCATGTCGATCTATGTAAATCTATTATTCATTTTATTTTTTTGAGACAGGGTCTCATTCTGTTGCCCAAGCGGGAGTGCAGTGGCACTATCACAGCTCACTGCAGCCTTGACCTCCCCGGCACAAGTGACCATCCCACCTCAGCCTCCTAAGTGGCTGGGACCACAGGAATGTGCCACCATGCCTGGCTAATTTTTAATTTTTGTAGAGGTGGGGTCTCACTATGTTGCCCATGATGGTCTTCAACTCCTGGGCTCAAATGATCCTCTGCCTTGGCATCCTGAAGTGCTGGGATTACAGGCGTGGGCCACTGTGCTCAGCATATTCATTTTAATATCTGTATGCTATTCCATTTCCTACTAAGGAAGAGTAATGATGTTTCTTTTTCCTCTATTACAAATAGCATGACAATCAACATCCTGGTACATGTCATGTTGTTTATCATAGGTAGTGGTCTTGAAGTAGAACTCATGGGGTTTGTGCATTTTCATTTTTGTAAGATGTCAAATTTATTTGCAAGATACTACCCACTTGGTATATTCTTCTAGTTTATACTCCAACTAGCAATGTATATGAGACCTTGTTTCTCCATAACCCCACAAACTCTTGGTTTTACCAGCTGTTGTAAATTTTGCCAGGTTGTTTAAGAAATAATCCCTCTTTTATTATACATTTTCCTGAATATCTTTTCATTTGCTTTTCTTCAATTGTGTTCTTTCTCTGAGAACTACGTGTTAAATCCTTCGACAGTTTTTTTAAATTGTGGTATTTATATTTTTCTTATTATACAAGACTTTTTATAGAGAATTTATTATAGAGGATGCCAATTCTTTGTAGATTATATACACTGCAAATATCTTCTCCCAGTTTGAGACATTTGTATTCAGTGTAATTTGTCATACAGAATTTTCTTTATATTAATGTAGCCAAATTAACACTTCCAATGGATTTACTTTCTGTATCAATTCTTCCCTAGCCTCAAATCTTAAAACATTTTTGCCTATTTTTCTTCTAAATAAGTTTTCCTCCTATAAATTTTAGTAGGCTTTTATGTTTTTGTTTTTTTGTAAATCCACTTGCAATTTTGTATGCTGTGAGGTAGGAATTGCATTTTATCTTTTTCCAAATAGGTAGTCAATTATCTCAGCTCCGTTTAAGGCACAGCCAGCCTATTACTCCCCTCTGATCTGTATCATCACTTGTCATAGAGCAGGCTCTTCCTTCCTGTGTTCTATTGTTTCCTTGGTCTGTTTTTGCATGAATATATAACATTGTTTCAATTACTATTGCTTTCTAGTAAGTCTTGATATGTGATAAAAGTAAATCTTCATTATTCTTCAAAATTCTCATAACTCTTCAAGCCTCAAAAAAAATTAGAATCAAGTTGTCAAATGTTAAAAAATTCCTATTAGGCTTCACTGGAAATACACTCAACTTACAGACCAAGATGGGCAGAACTCATTTTTATGACATTGTCAGTTCTCCCATACATGAACATGTTATATCTTACCATTTATTAGCTGCTTAAAAAAAGATTTTCAAAAATGTTTAGAATTTTCTCCTTAAAGGTCTTGCACATTTCCTGCTAGATCGAATCCTAGGCACTTTACATTCTGATTTCTGCTATAAATGAAATTGTTTTTAAAATTACCTTTTTATTATCATCACATTGTCTTTGAGTCTTGTTATTTCTTTCTTGCCTTCTAAAGTATTTGAATTTCCACTGTTTCTTTCCCAGCTCCTCCCTATGCTTTGGAAAAGTTTGGGCACAATGTACAACTTTCACATGCACATTTGACTTAATGTTAACTAACATTATTAGCTTCTTTTTTTTTTTTTTGACATGGAGTTTCACTTTTGTTACCCAGGCTGGAATCCAGTGGCACGATCTTGGCTCACTGCAATCTCCGCCTCCCGGGTTCAAGCAATTCTCCTGCCTCAGCCTCCTGAGTAGCTGGGATTACAGCTGTGCGCCACCAAGCCCAACTAATTTTTGTATTTTTTTAGTAGAGATGGGGTTACACCATGTTGACCAGGCTGGTCTCAAACTCCCTACCATCTTCCCCAATAATATAAGGAGCTTACATGAATTTAATCTACTTCCCAAACGTTTTTTTCCATATTTTAGTTCTATCCTTTAAAAATATTCATATCATTATTGTTTTTCTCAGTGAATGCTATTAAAATTTATTTTTAAAACTTTTAATTGCAAAATACATCACACATAGAGAAAAGTTACAAAATGTGAATATATGCCTCAATGAACTGTCACAAAATGAACGCCTACGTAATCATAAGAAACAGAATACTGCTAGCATCCTGGGAGCACCTCCTCACAACCCCTCCCAAGCACTCCTCCCTGACCTTTCCCCATGGGTAACCACAATCTGATTTTTATGGTAATAATTCATTTTCCTTTATAGTTTTACCACCCAAGCATGTGTTGTTAAACACTATACTTTAGGTAAGCTCTCTATAAATGGAATCACACAGTATGTGTTTTTTGAAATCTGGTTTCTTTTGCTCAATAATTTATTTGTGAGATTCACAACTGTATATAGCTGTAGGCTATTTATTTTCATTACTGCCTTGTATTCCATTATATATTTCTATGATCATTCATCCATTTACTGGATATAAAATTCTAAGTTGACAGTTATTTTCTTTCAGCTCTTTAAAAATGGCCTTTGATTGACTTTTTGTTTCCATCATTTCTATTGAGAAGACAGCTACTAGCTAGTTGTTGCTTATTTGAAGGTAATTTTCCTTTGCTCTCTAGCTCCTTTTAAGATTTTTCTCATTTTTGGTTTTCAGCAATTTAACAATAATGCCTATATATGTAGAGTTCTTTGGTATTTCTCCTGCTCAGGGTTCATATCATTTCTGCAATTTATGGACTAATGTTTTCCATCAGTTTTAGAAAGTTCTAAACCATTTTCTCTTCAAATCCTGATTTTGATTCATCCTCTTTCTCTTGCCTTTCTGGAACTTTAAATACACGCACCAGACCTTTAAACGGTATTCTCTCTCTCTCTCTCTCTCTCTTACTCTCTCTTAATTCCTTTCATTCTTTGTCTCTGGTTATTTTCATCTTATATCTTTCAGTACACTAATTCTCTCTTCAGATGTGTCTAACCTGCTATTTAAACTCATTCACTTGAGTTAATTTTACTTACTGATTTTCTCAGTTCTAGAATTTATATTTGTTTATTTTTAGTTTCCAGTTCTCTGCCAAAAATCTGTCTTGTCTTTTATCCCCTTGAATGTGGTAAGTATAATTATTTCAAAAGTCTGTATCTGAGAATTCCAATATCTAGAGGCTGTTTGAACCATCTTTTCTTTTTCTTGATGTTGTTTGTGTATCTGTTTCCAGTTGCTTTTGATTATAAGCCAGACATTGCATTTGCAAACTAGAAACAATTTGTGACCTTACATGATACCACTTTCTTCCAGGAAGGATTTACAATTCTGCCAGATGCCTAGGGGCACTAGCAATTTAGGAACCCTCAATCTAATTTTAGGGACTGACATGATTCAAAGCTGATCTGCAGCCTCAGTGAGAGTATGTCTACTCCTGGTTAACCCTTGCTCCTATGGTGTAGCCCTTCAGGGTCTTGACTCAAAATGAGTTATGTTCATCAGGTGTCCCCTCCTTAGGGGCCATGGGCACTAATCTCTGCCCCCATTACTCCCACTAGCCTGTCAAAAGGGCTGCTTAGGTTTTAGCAGCTTCCTGCAGAACTGGCTAATATCTCGAGAGGAACAGTGACCCAGTATACCAGGAGGACCTTTGTTCTAGGCCTCCATTTTTCTTCTTTGATACCTTCAAGCAAAACATGTTTAAATATTGTGTTGAGCTTTTCTGGTAGTCTTCAGTGGAACACATGACTCAAATGACCTAATTTGCCACTACTAGAAGTAGAACTCCCAGACTTTATCTATATTTTCACCAATTTCATTGCTCATCATTGTTTCTTGGCTCTACTGTTTCCTTCTGGGTTCAACTTCCTTCAGTCTCAGTACATCTTGCTTCATAATCTTCCAACAAGCTTCTGCAACTAGTTAATTCTATTATCCTTTGCCTGAAGAAAAAAAGTCTTTATTTCACCCTCATTCCTGAATGAGAATTAAGCTGGGTATTAACTTTTAAGTTGACAGTTATTTTCACTTAGCTCTCTGAAGATATTATTCTACTGTTTTTTGTTCTCTCTTTCTGTCATGGAAAAGTTTGCTATCAACATAATGGATACCCCTTTGTAAGTCATCTCCATGTCTTTCTTTTGTTACTAAGATTTTTTTTCTTTGGCATTCTCCTATAACAAGTCTAGAAATAAGTTAATTTTCATTTATCCCATATAGGCTCATGGTGCTACCTGAATCTGAGTACTTATGTCTTTATTAATTCTAGAATATTCTTAGTCATTCTCTTTTTGAATAATGCCTCTACACTATTCTATCTGGACTTCTTGTTTTAACTCTCTCATCTCAACTTTCATCTTCTCCATCCCTTTATCTCTCTGTGCTACATTCTGGGTGATTTCTTTAGGTTTATTCTTCTGTTTACCACTTCTCTCTTCAGCTGAAATTTGTTGTCTTATCTTAAACTTGGTTGCTGAGTTTTAAATTTTCATGACTACTTTTTCTATTCCTTTCAGCCTAGGTTGTTGGAGCACCCCCTGGGGTTTGCTTATATCTGACAACTTATGCTATCACTAGCCCAGGACTAATTTTTTTCTTCCTTAACATAGGGTCTTGCACTGTCACCCAGGTTGGAGTGCAATGGCACAATGAGAGCTCACTGCAGCCTAGAACTCCTGGGTTCTAGTGACCCTTCCATCTCAGCCTTCCAAGTAGCTGAGACTACAGGCATGAGCCACTGCACCTGAATAATTTTTTTAACTAATTTCTCAGCTTCGGGTTTCAAGCCACATAGGTAGCATACATTCATTCAAATTCTAAACCAGCATGAACAAGGATCCATGGTTTACAATTCCCATGGGAGGCCGGGCATGGTGGGTCACGCCTATAATCTCAGCACTTTGGGAGGCCAAGGCGGGCAGATCACCTGAGGCTGGGAGCTCGAGACCAGCCTGACCAACATGGAGAAACTCCATCTCTAGTAAAAATACAAAATTAGCTGGGCGTGGTGGTGCATGCCTGTAATCCCAGCTACTGGGGAGGCTGAGGCAGGAGAATTGCTTGAACCTGGGAGGCGGAGGTTGTGGTGAGCCGAGATCACGCCATTGCACTCCACCATGGGCAACAAGAGCAAAACTCCATCTCAAAAAAAAAAAAAAAAGAAGAAGAATTCCCATAGGAGATTTCCCAGCTTCCATTCCAGAACCCAGGCAGTTAAATATTTTTTGTTAATTTCCCTGTGGTGGCAGCAGATATTTTCTAGTCCACTCTTTTCATAGACACAACCCCTTTGAAGGTACCAGTTCCTAGTCCACACTGTAAATGGATTCAAGGACTCATGTTCTGTTCCCTAGTGGGTACTAAAACCCAAACCCATACATTATGAAACCAAAAGCTGCAGCCCGTATCTCACGACTCTAATTTCCTGGAGATCCAGTTTTCTTTCTGAAGAGCTCAATTATGCATTTAAAATGATTTCAGTTATGTTTTACCCAGAACTTTTAAAAGTTTTATTTTGTGTTTAATTGGCACATAACTGTGCATATTTAAGGGGTACAGTGTATACCTAGCATTTGAAGGTGTTTATAGAAGGAAGGTTTTCTGGTTACCTAGTCTACTGCATTGCTAGAACCAGAAATCTCATGGCATTGTTCTTAAACTGTCAATGAAAAAAATATGTTAGTATTAGGATAATTAATCAGAACAGACAAACAGAACCAATAGAATGTTCGTGTATGTGTGTGTGTGTGTGTGTGTTTTCCTTATGATAAATCTCTATGAATATGTATGTATGCATATACACCCACATATATATGTCAGCCTCCATAATCGTTTTAGCCAATTCCTTGGGATAAATCTACAATTTCAGAGGCTGACAAGTCCCAAGATCTGCTGTCAGCAACCTGGTGACCCAGGAGAGCTAATACGCATTATTTAGTTCCAGCCCAAAGGCCTCCAAGCCAGGAAGAGCTGATGTTTCGGTGTGCATCCAAACCAATGTCCCAACTCAGGGTAACCAGGCAAGTCGAAATTCCCTCTTACTTGCAGGAAAGTAAGCCTTTTTGTTCTGTTCAGGCCTTAAACTGATTGAATGGGGCCTGCCCACATTAGGGAGGGCAATCTGCTTTATTCAGTCTATCAACTCAAACGCTAATTTCATCCAGAAACATCCTCACAGACACAACCGAAATGTTTTACCAAATATTTAGGCACTTTATGTCCTAGTCAAGTTGACATGTAAAACTATCAGAATTAGTAAATTCTAGCTTGATTTTTAAATAATTTCATTTCTGAGACGCAAATCAAGCTTTCCTTTGAGCTCTGACAACTCAATCCTGTCACTCTATAACTGAGCAAGACTCAGTGTTAAGTAAGATAGCTTTTTGCATATGAACCTTACATAATACGATTTCATAAGTCTATTTATGGATTTAATTTCCCCTTTTCTTCCAAAGGATAAATGAGCACAAGTCTCTGGAAGCAATATGGAATAAAAGTGTCACCTGAAAATATATTCATGACCTATTTTTGCAAAACCTCTGGCTTACACAATCACCTACCTTTGTTTATAGGAATATGTGGGCAACAACATCTGCTCATCACGTAAATCTTCCACAGTCCCTGGTGCAGTGCCATATATAACCTAGGTACTAGGTAAATTTACCTGTAAGTTGCTTCAAAATATAAATCAAAGCAACAAGTTTGTCTCCATAACTCTGGGTCTCATTCATCGTATAGCGAGTGATAAACTTTTACTAAATCACACTTATGTTCACATTACCCTCCTTTGCTCCTCTTCAGCATCAGCAAAAAGTTTGCGAATGTTAGCCTCTGATTCTCCCACATATTTGTTAAGGATTTCTGGCCCATTGACCACTTTGGGCTCTCTTGCATTCAACATCTTGCCAATCTGTCGAGCCAAGAGAGTCTTACCACAACCTGGGGGTCCATATAACAGGATGCCTTTAACATGTTTACAACCTGAAAAGGAAAAGAAAACAGTCTTATATCAGCTAACTAGAATCTAAGTAAGACTCTAAAGGAAAGTGTTCTTTCTTCTTCGTATGCACTTTAGGAAAAACACAGTGATGCCATTCACATATGTTAATGTCCATGAGCCATGAACAAGAATATACAGCCAAAAATCCAGAAACAATTCCTATAACTGTACTAAAGTTTGAGGGGGAAATGCTGCCAGTTAAAGGTCTCTGGAAGAGTCCATTCATGCTATGATTTTGAACAAATACTTTTTACTCTGAAAATGTCTAACTGGGAAATATTACTTATTTTTGGCTGGGTGTGGTGGCTCACTTGAGCCCAGGAGCATGAAACCAGCCTGGGCAATACTTTGTGACCCTGTCTCTATAAAAATAAAAAATTTGCTTTGTTTTACATATAACGATAAATTATATATAATTATTATATATCATATATGTGTATACACACACACACACACACACACACACACACACACACACACACCCCATGGAATACTATTCAGCCATAACAAAGAACGAAGTCACATCTTTTGCTACAACATGGATGGAGCTGGAGGCCATTTTTCTAAGTGAAGTAACTCAAGAATGGAAAATCAAATACCATATGTTTTCACTTACAAGAGGGAGGTAAGTTATGGGTACACAAAGGTGTACAGAGTAATAGACTTTGGAAACTCAGAAGTGGGGAAAGTGAGGGCATGAAACCAGCCTGGGCAACACATTGTGATGGCAGAAAATTAAGAAGTGGGGAAAGTGAGAGGGGAGTGAGGAATAAAAAACTAATATTGGGTACAGTTTACACTACTTGGACAATGGGTCCTGCACTAAAATCTCAGACTTCACTACTATATAATTCATCCATGTAACCAAAAACCACTTGTACCTCAAAGGTTATTAAAATTATATAATATCTTTATATTACACCCAAAAAAGCACTCTGTGAAATAATAGATTATCAGGTTTCAGTGTCACACTCCTAAGTATGGGTAAAAAGGGAAATTTCTGAAAATGCAATATAAATAGTGTGTCGCCATGGAAAATGGTTTGTCCTTATCTGAAATGAAAGCATTAAGAAGTATATCTTTAAGAAAAAAAGTACAATACATTTGATGACTCAAGTAAAATCACAAGATGCAAACAACTCTATTAGAAATTTTAGATTCTGAGGAGGAAGACCCTTTGGGCTGTCAAAATTGGTCTTCACTTCCTCCTTTATGCTGAGAAAAGACTCCTTTTTAAATCCTTGAAAGTAATAAGAACTGTGCCTTTGGTTGAACATGGAGAGGGAGGGGAAACACTTGATGGCTTACAGTCTTAACCCTCTGCATCACAGAGTAAATCCCTTCCCTAAGAACCACTGCCCAATAAAATGCTTTTTGGCCTTTGACTCACCCTCCAAGTATGAGTGGTAGGGAGATAACAGGAGAAGCCTTGAGCTTCTCCTAGAGGCCAATACCACCAAGCACTACCAGCATCTAAGTTACAGGGACACGCTGGATTAGCAGCACGTTGAAGTCTGGCTCCTAATCTTGCCCTCTGAGCCAACTGTTACCATCATGATTTGAAACTATTCATATGTATAAACTGTAGCTGAGGCAGGTTGTGGTGGTGAAACATTCATAGGGAGAGGACATCCAGAAAGAAGAAAATGAAGATTTTCTGAGTTCCTACAAAGCACCAGCCCTTCTGATCTCCAACTTCTTGACTTCTACATTTTCTCCAAGTTTATCAACTTCCTCTTAACCATACTGCCTTCCCTAGTAAGCCATGCTTTCTTTGAAGGACTTTTAACTATTTATTCTTTGTAAATTTCTGTTATAACCACCCCATAGTCCCTGAATACAATATGGCTTTATTCACTACACATTGGCCACAATGTGTATAATTTCTCCATAGCACAGCTGGAGAAAATTATACCACTGTGCTACTGACTGATACCTCCAGAATTTCATGCTATCCAGTTTCAGTTCTATGCTCACTGCTTTCTCATGCCACTCTTTACTTGTCTTTGTTAGCTCATCTCTAATTCTCCTTATTAATTATCCAGATCTTCACTGTTCTTCTCAAGAGCTACCCCCTGCTATGAATTCTTAGAGATAACCTAGGTTCCTATTTCACATATCAAAAAAAAAAAAAAAAAAAGACTTCACCTCTCTGCTTCTTTATCTATAAATTGATCAGCAGACTCATCCATTCTCAACCTAATCTCGGTTCTCAAAGTAGTCTTCCTTCCTCTCCTCCAAGGTTTATATTGCAATTCTCTGTTTACATGGCTTCTTCGCTATAAGACTGTAAACTATTCAAATGCAAGTACTATCTCATTCACCCAGCATGATGCCCAGCACCTACTATGGACTTCAGGAAAGGCTGAATAAGTAAACTGTTGATTCTTTTCCTACAAAACTCAAAGAATATGAAGGATTTTAAAAAATTATTTGAAGCTCTTAATTTATGGACCGTGCTTATTCTCATAGCTGAGCTAATTTAAATACTTAAAAAAAAAATACATTTGCAAGACTGAGACTTTCCGAATTTAACAAAACAACATAAACACAAGAATCTTAACTTTGCAACTATGCTTCTGTACACAGAAAATGCTCAAATTAATGTGTTTTGAACTAAATTTACTCAGATATTATAAAATAAACAATTCACAAATTATTACCATGAAGTTTAAAAGAGATAAAATGTTTACCCATGCAACTTATTATATATAATACAGATATGTGAAACGATAGAATATATTTAATATAACTTCAACAGGAATGTAATAGAAGCTCTAGTCTGCTTTAGAACTATAATTCTTTTAGGATCTCAAATGAGCACATCAAAAATATACACTGACATGTGAAGTCTTTCAAAATGTACTTCCACAAAGGAAGCTGTTACTTGAATAAGCAGTGGAAATGGGACTTTATTATTACTATTATTATTACAGCCTATTCTGACTTATTAAGTAAGCATTGGTCTCTAATTTTAAATGAGTCATAAAAACTCTTTATAACTAATTCCATTCAACAAAAGTGTACTAAGCTCATGTTTAGACTAGATGCAAAGGTAGCTGTTAGGGATACAAACATGAAAAAGACAGTCCCTAGCTGTAGGGCATTTCTGGCTTAGTAGGAAAGACAGAAATAAAAATAGGCTATCTACAATATAATATGACATTATCAGAGATATGTATGAAATGTTTTTGGACTCTAGCCAAGAGATACTGATTCTGCCAGAGTGATGGCAGAAAATTAAGAATGGACTCAGGTGAAGAGCTAACATCCATTGTGGGCCTGGAAGAATGAGTAGGAGGTTCACAGGCAATGGAGAGGAAATGCCACCCCAAAGAGAGAGACTAGCATGATCAAAGGCATAGGGATATGGACACAGACACTGTTCTCTCGAAACAGCCAGTAGTAACCTGCTGTAGCCAGAGCCCTGGAAGTGAGGAGAGGGCAGTGCCTGGCGACGAGGCTGGCAGGCTCCTAACTGGCAGGCCTTGAAACCATGACCATGATTTTTTAACTTGTTTCATAGGTGATTAAAACCCCACATTTTTGGGTGATTAGTCTAATCACCCTTAGGTGTAAGTGACAATCACGGAAGGCACACCAGGAGATATGTATTTAAAAGCTAACTGTGTTGGCAGAGTGGAGAAAGAACGAGAGACCAAACAGGCAAAGGAGGGGAGGCTAGCTGGGGGAATGTTCTGAACCTTTTTCTGGGGATACCAACTCACTCTGGATTCTTGCCAGTTAAGTTTTCATATCCCTCTAAGTCCTTTGGAAGCACAGGAACAAATGGGTCCAGGGGCCTCGGGAGGACACCCTCTGCTCCTGCTGATGCCCCAGCTTTCTCCTGAGCTTCTCTAGGATATTAAAGCCTGGATCTGATATTGAGGAGCCTCTGATCTCTGGCTGCTGGACTGACTGCCCAGCTGGACTGACTAATGCTGCTGTTTTATTCTTAATATCTTACATGCCACCTCACTCCTCAGAGATAAGTGCCTTAGGTTAGTGACCTAAATAACAAAGGCCAGGTATAGAACGAGAAATCAGTGGACCTGATTTAAATTGTCATTGTCTCTCATTCTATTCCTCTCTTTCCCACAGAACAGTCTAATGGACCTCCCCAGGAAAATGCACATGCATAAAAAATTTGCATACAAATTTGAGAGAGTTCTTTAATCCTTTGAGGTCCATCCATGGAATCCAAATTAGAAACTCCTGAACATATTACTGAAATAATCCAGACAAAAGACAATAAACAGAAAGAGGCAAGAGTCATAGGAAATAGTAGAAAAAGAAAAGAAGATGCGGGAGATACTCATCAAAGCTTAGAAACCAAATGGAAACCAGAGAAGGAAGAGGAGTCAAGGATGACCTTGAGGCATCTAGCATGGGTACATGGATAAAATGATGGTAACCTCAGGGATACCAAGACATAGCAAGAGGAAGAGGAATCAGTTTGGAGATTACAGGAAATCATTACTTGTTTTTGGCTATAAGGCATTTGACATTTAGGCAGTAGTGCCTATTAAAAATACTGGTGAAAGCTCAGAAAAGACATCAAAACTACTGCTTCAATATTTTTGAATGCCTGCCCTGGGTACGTGAAAAGCTGTGAAAAGTTTTAAGCAGAAGAATGTGACAACAGAGATAAATGCTGCAGTGATAGAGGATGAGGCCTGGAAAAAGGGCACTAGGTTTAGAAATCAGGAAATACATGCCGCTCTAGGCCACAGGGTCTTCGAACAGGGTCAGAGCATTTGGGGTTGAGTCCCTACCTTTCACTTAGAAGAAAACTAAGTAGCATAAGCAGATATGGAGACCACACTTTCAGAAACTTTGGCAACAGAGGAGGAATGGAGAGGGAGAGCTTGTAAAGACACCTCTCCTTCTGAGACCAGTTAAATAAAGGGACAAGGAGGAAGAAAGCTGAGGTTATTCCTGTTGGGTTCTGTTGACTATGTGAAGCAGGAACTAGGTCATCAACAAAATGAGGGATGAAGAGAGGATACTGGGAAACATGGTAAAGGTTTGGAAAGCACATGGGGAGTTGGGAAAATGTGTCTGAGCAGACGGACGCTGTTACTAAGTGAACTCAGCATATGAGATTCAGGTCATCGAGGGACCATCCTTTGTTGTATTTACATAAGCAATTCACAGTATTAGGTAAGGTGTAGATTCTTATTCAGTTCTATAAATACAAATTTCATCTAAGCTGGCATACAAATTTTGACCTTTTTGGTTTTACCCATCTCTTTTTTTTCAAATCTTAATTTTAAAGGTTAGCAATATGAGGTAAATAACAGGATTAAATTAATGTAATGTGCAGTCAACATACGTATAGCTCAATTCTATTATCTAATTTTCCCATCAAAAGTGTAAGGTAAAAACTATCACATGACTGTTTTCAACATTTTTTCCTCCATTTTCCACAAAGTTTGAGGCCTTAATCTTCAAAGTGATTCCCATCTTTTCTCCTTCATCTATAACTTACTTAAGTAAGAACTAAGGTGGGCTAAGGGTATAATCAAACATAGTTCCAAAGCATTTCTTCTCTCAATATCCTATGTCAAGTACTTTTTTAGAGACAGGGTTTCACTCTGTCACTCAGGCCAGAGTTCAGTGGTGTGACACAGCTCACTATAACCTGGAACTCCTGGGCTCAAGCGATCCTTCCAACTCAGCCTCCCGAGTAGCTGGGACAAGCACATACCAGCAAGCCTGGCTCAATTTCCTGTATCCGGGTATTTTACTGCTTGTTTTACTAATTGCTCCCGTTAATCATTTTCTAAAAAATACCTACTTTTTATTTGGATGAGGCACAAACATAGTAACAACTCTTGGTTATAATAAGAGAAAGGAAAGTGGTAGTAAAGAGTATAATCTCAAATGGCCAAAAATCGATTTTTATATATGGTTTTGGAATTTAAGTTGCTAATTACATTGGATATAGGAGCAACTGAAGTTCTAGGACATCACAGTCTTTCTCTCATTCAACCAATCATACATCTTGTGGTGGGAAGATGAAGAAGATGAAGAAGTTCTCTTCTGTTTGCCTCTATTTCCTCCGTGAAGTAAAGATTCCAGGTCATCAGCTGCTGGTAAAGATGGAAGAGGTGGTGCTTGGGGGTTGAGCCAAATAGAGAAGAAGAACTAGTCATCTCAGAGAATAGGAGAATAAATGGATTGGACTAGGGAAATACAGAAGGAATACTAGGAATATCTGTTCCAAGAAATACTGAGGGCTCACTTGAGATTTGGTTCATAAATTTAAAGTGAGATCAGACACTGTGGTTTTGTGTTTTTCTTAAGCCATGCTTAACAGCGAGAATACTGGCACAGAGTAGGCAGGTAGCTGAGAAACACTTGTGGATTTGACAACAGAAGATGAGGAGCAAGGCTGCTAAAGGTGTATACAAAGAGGATATATGTGATAGACCATGGAGGTTAAGCTGGGGAAAGAGGAGAGAGAGAACAAAAAGATTGGGAACTGATAGAATAAATTATACTGGAGGTTCCAGTGGGGTCCAAGTTGCTGGAGTTGGTAACAGGAGAAATGCTAGGAGTAAGCAAGGAAAAATGGGAGGCAGCGCGAGAGCAAGATGCTTACATCTGAGATCCCCAAAGTGGTGTGGTTGCTGGTAATGGCAAACAAAGTCTTGTGTATAATCGAAGAATGAGTGGCTGAGGTGGACTTAAGGAAAAGGTTAATGAAAACAAGGAGGTTGAAATCAGAAAATAAATCAGGTGAAAAATCTCTAAAGAACTTTAAAAATTACTAAGAGTCCCACTTTTCTAGTCAGTGGTTCTCAAATTTAGATTTCACAACTAGCAAAAGAACATTTGTTTTCTTTAAACTGGAGAGCAGTGCTGTCATTGGGTTGTTTTAGTTTTAGTTTTGCAAGGTAAAGATTTCTTAAAAAAAAAAAAAAAAGAAAATCAAACCTGACATCGTCTATCACCACCATTTCATATAAAAAGTACATTTTAGTATTGAAAGGTAGACACAATCTCAGGTTAAAGGACAGTGTTTTCTGTTAAATAAACTCAGTTTTATGTGTAGTGTTAAAAGTGAGGGCTCTGCAGTCAGTTTGCCTGGATTCAAATCCTGGTTCTTCCACTAACTAGCTGGAAATAATAATAGTAACTACCTCAGAAAGTTACTATAATTAAGTATAATGCACATAAAGCACTTAGCATACTTTATGGTGGATAGTAAGAGCTCGTAAATATTGGCTATTAATTAATAGCTTATTTCTCTCACCTTTCTGCAGATGAGTGATGAAAATGGAATTAGACTCCCAACTGGTGACAATTAGATCACAATTAGGTTACCAAAAAACTTCCAAATAAATGACTATTTTACTTACCAAATTACTTCTGAGACTGACAGTTGTGACCATCTGCTCCTTAAAACTTTATCTACCAGAATTGTCACTTGAACTTTGCAAATTATAGTACCCATTCCACTGATGAACTTCACGCTCCAAATTAACATAGTAGTAAATGAGTTAGACTACAGCAGTTTCACAGACATGTTACTAGTGTTTTGGTAAGTCAAGATTCTTTGTAGCTATAGCCTCTCTTCCAGCTAGACTACTATCAGAGTCAATTCTGCCTGCTTCTACACAATGGAATACAATTCATCCATAAAAACAATGAAATTATGTCATTTGCAGCTACATGGATGGAAGTGGAGATCATTATCTTACATGAAATAAGCCAAACACAAAAATACAAAAATCAGATGTTCTCACGTATATGTAGGAGGTAAAAAATTTGAACACATGGAGGTAGAGAGTGGAAAAGTAGACAACAGAGACTGGGGAGGGTGACTGGGGATGAAGGGAGGCTAAGGAGAAGTAGGCTAAAGGTACAAACGTACAGTAAGATAGGAGGAATAAATTCAATGTTTGATAGCAGGGTAGGATGACTATACTTAATAAGAATATATTGTACTGGGGTGACAGATCCCTTGAATACCATGACTTGATCACTACATATTACATACATGTAAAAAATTTCTCATGTATCCCATAAATTTGCACAAATTAAAAAAAAAGTTTTAAAATCCTGCCTTTCTTATGCCTCAAACAGTTCACGCATACTGATTTCTCAAGCTTTCTAAGCTCACTTAAGGGTCAACATGTACCCATTCATAGAAGCCAAGCTACCATGATTATCAGTTCCACATGTGTACAGCCCTTGACCTTTTCTCCTGCCTCCTCTATCATAAGTATATTTATTTTCCAAAGTTCCCCTTTATCTTGCCAATTGCAACTACTCTCATCGCCCCTAACTGCCAGACATTGGAAAGCGGTCACTGCCCTTTCTTGGGGAGCACACACCCTGCTCTGCCGGCATTCACCTGGGACGAGCTGATTCTAGTGAAAGGAACTGGGGCTATTTCTGGGCACTTCATCCAAAAGTGTTTTTGCAACGCTAGATCAACATAGCCCATCCACCATCCTTTGCTTCTTAGTTTGAGGTGGATTAGTATTACCTGTATATTCTTTCTCACCTTATTTCTAGCTACAACTCTCAGTTAAATCAGCAATCCTCCAACAATATACAAAATTTGGATACTGTTTGAGCCACAGGTGTTGACATCCAGTGATTATAATAATACAAATTTTGGTGGGGAGAACTTTAATAGGCTTTAAGGTGTGTGCTACAAATAACTGAAAGTGATTTCTGATCTAAAAGTCAGAATAGGACCGTATCCGCTATGATAGGTATATCCACCCCACTGATGAAAATGATTCATGAAAATACTTACATCTTATATGTAAATTGTAAATAGCTCGATAAAAATACATAGCCTTACTTCTGAAACACAAGAAATAAACAGCAATGTTTACTGTTTACACTCTTTCGAAACACCCGAAAAAAGTGACAAATTTGTACTTGTTAAGCTCTTCTATTTTACAAAGCAGTATATTTTCTTCATTTTTTCTGGATGTTATCAGAGGCAAGCTGCGTTGAGGAAAAACTGTCAGTCAACTTTGAGGTATTCAAAGGGAGAAAAAACTATAGCAAACACTAATTTTATATAAGAGTAAGCAGGATGATAATAAATTAGAAGTGGTCTCTGTCAAATTAGCATTAAGATAAGAGTGTTCAGTTCATTTTGGGGGCAACATGATCTATAAAGAGAGAAAGAAGTGCGAAGTGGGTTTTGAACAATGACTGATGTTTAAAGAGGAATCCCAAGTGGCTTCCAGTACAAATGCAGACTAGCCATGTTTGCCAAAGAAGGAGGCTATCAAAAGACTAGTAGCAAGTCAGGACATATTCGGCAGTCTTGCAAGCTTCTCTGTGCAGTTGTGCAAACCAGATTTGAGTGCTCAATTTTAAATAGTGCATGCCCTTGTAGAAAATATAATCACAAATTAATATTTGATCTTTTAAATATAATCATAATTATTATTATTATATTTTTTTCAGACAGAGTCTTGCTCAGGCTGGAGTGCAGTGGCACAATCTCGGCTCACTGCAACCTCCGTCTCCCAGGTTCTAGCAATTCTCCTGCCTCAGCCTCCTGAGTAGCTGGGATTACAGGTGCCACCATGCCCAGCTAATTTTTGTATTTTTAGTAGAGATGGAGTTTCACCATGTTGGCCAGGCTAGTCTTGAACTCCTGACCTTAGGTGATCCACCCATTTCAGCCTCCCAAAGTGCTGGGATTACAGGTGTGAACCACTGCGCCTGGACACAAATTAATATTTGATCATTTAAGTTTCCATAATTACAACTTCTCTTATGGTTCTGTTGAAAATTGTAAATTGGAACTAGAGTCATGAGTATTTTCTTAGTTCTACTTGACTTACCATTTCAGTAGTACAATATAATTATTTACTCTAAGAGCATAACTTTCATTGACTCATTATATAGGAGGGCCTTTTGTTTCAAAAACCTTTTTTTTTTTTGAGACAGGGTCTCACTCTGTTGCCCAGGCTTTGGAGGGCAGTGGCACTATCTCAGCTCACTGCAATCTCCATTTCCCAGGCTCAAGCCATCCTGCCGCCTCAGCCTCCCGAGTAGCTGGGATCACAGGTGCATGCCACCATGCCTGGCTGATTTTGTATTCTTTTGTAGAGATGGGGTTTCACCATGTTGCCCAGGCTGGTCTCAAACTCCTGGGCTCAAGTGATCAGCCTCCTCGACCTCCAAAGTGCTGGGATTACAGGTGTGAGCCACCACGCCTGGCCTTAAGACTCTCAATCAACATCTAAAATAGGTTGTCATCTACACTTGTTTATCTGTGCACTTATGAAATCTTTAAGAAATGGAAATACTTAAGACCAAGACCACTACTCCTGATACCATCTGGGCAGTCAGGACTTTGACCATCCATTTTCGTGGCACTATTCTGTCTGGTAGAGACTTGCTGTTGTCCCACCAACTTCAAAATGCCAAGAGCACTCTGAGTTTTGCTATGCTAGTGAAAACAGCCTATTTCCTGAGCACCAAGCAGCTGTGCAAGCTGTCTACCATCCGACTGGTCTATATCCAAATCAGTCAACTTAGATTTAATATAGATTTTCTCATTAGATAGCCTAGAACTAAAGATGAGATGTGTGTAGCAATGCTCCAAACTAATCTTTGCTGACACCCCCACCCTTTTACATTCCCTCATAGGGTGTTGCCTGGTATTTCATGAATTCTTGATGACAAAGATCATGCTTCTTCTATAGCAGGTCTGCCTTGCTGCCAAATGGCAGCATGTATCTTTACTGGTTTCAGAATTTTATAGTTTTTTCTTTCTTTGTTTTTTTTCCTTCCGTCCCTTAGCTTTTAACTCCTTTTATGTGCTGTTCTATTGGGCCCCTAATTCAGCCTAGCAAATATCTTCCCTAGCAGACAATTTATTTCTTCTTTACTACACCTGGAATTTCTACCTACTCTAACAGTTCATGTTCTTCTGTCCCCAGAAATCACCTCCTTTATTAATGCCACCTAATTCTGATCATATCTTTGGGCTCAATCCTTCAGTACTTAGAGTAGCAGCTGTCAACCTTTAATATGCACCAATGTCCAATGGAGCTTGTTAAAATGCAGATTTCCAGACATCACTCCTAGAAATCTGAATTCATTAAGTCTGGAGTGAAACTGAATATTTAACAAGCGCCCTAAGTAACTCTAATGTAGGCCAGAGGACACACTTTGAAAAACATCATTCATGGTTACAACTGACAATACATTATGTTGTTTTATTCTAAGAGTTCTTAGCTTATTTTTTTTAAGTGTATATGTTCTATAGCCTCAATTAAATCATAAGCTGATAAGGACACACTGACAAGTTGTAGCTATAGAAGAGAAAAGAGCTATTCTAACAAGATAAAAGTTATCAAGAATAGATGTTTTCTGTACTTGAGTACAGCTGGGGGAGATACAGTTTTGTGAGAGATGACTGGGAATTTCATTCATTAGTAAACTAGATAAGCATTAAGATAGAATGTCGATGTCAAAAATGTTAGCACAATTTCGGCCTACATTAAAGGACTAGTGTTTTAAATAAAGAATAAATAGTTCTGATCTATTTTACAACAGAGACCACATTTGCATTACTCCACTAAATTCTAGGTTTCACAGCTTAACATTAATATACATAAATGTTAAAGTTCACAGAAACGTGAATAGGATGGTAAAGGGCTAAAAAGACTGGCTAGAAAAAACCAACCAAGCTTAGGAGAATTAGCTTAGAGAAAAGAGGAATCTGTAGGGAAGTCTGGACAATAGCTTTCTTCATACCTAAAGAGTGTTCATAAAGAAGTAGTATCATGCTTGTTCTGTGTAGTTTCAGGGGAAGAACCAGAGCTTGTAGGAGAAGATACAAGCAAATACATCTTACCTTAACATAAGGAAGACTAAACTTAAACCTATAGTTGTCCAAAAGAGGAATGTAGCCTTAGGAGGGAGTGAGATTCCTGTCACTGGAGGAACTTAAGCTTAGCCTAAGGAACCTGGCAGAAGTTACTCAGCAGAAATGCAGAAGAGGGCCAGGCATGAGTAATCCCAGCACTTTGGGAGGCCGAAGCGGGTGCATCGCCTGACGTCAGGAGTTCGAGACCAGCCTGGGCAACGTGGTGAAACCTCGTCTCTACTAAAAATACAAAAGGCTAGGCACGGTGGCTCACGCCTGTAATCCCAACACTTTGGGAGGCCGAGGCGGGTGGATCACCTGACCTCAGGAGTTCGAGACCAGCCTGGGCAACGTGGTGAAACCTCATCTCTACTAAAAATACAAAAGGCCAGGCACGGTGGCTCATGCCTGTAATCCCAACACTTTGGGAGGCCAAGGCGGGCGGATCACAAGGTCAGGAGATCAAAACCATCCTGGCTAATACAGTGAAACCCCGTCTCTACTAAAAATACAAAAAATTAGCCAGGCATAGTGGCGGGCGCCTGTAGTCCCAGCTACTAGGGAGGCTGAAGCAGGAGAATGGCGTGAACCCGGGAGGCGGAGCTTGCAGTGAGCCGAGATCATGCCACTGCACTCCGGCCTGGGCGACAGAGCCAGACTCCATCTCAAAACAAACAAACAAACAATCAAACAAACAAAAAATTAGCTAGGCATGGTGGTGCACGCCTGTAATCCTAGCTACTTGGGAGGCTGAGGCAGGAGAATCTCTTGAACCAGGGGGGCAGAGGTTGCGGTGAGCCAAGATCATACCACTGCACTCCAGCCTGGGCATTAGAGTGAGACTCCATCTCAAAAATAATAATAATAATAATAATAATAATAATAAAAAGAAATGTAGAAGAGATTCAAATAAAAAACAGGTGTGTGCACTAGATGGCTAAGATCCTTTGCAATACTGAGATTCTGTGATTCCTTTGATGTTCTCTGATAGAATCTGGTATTTTTGTACAGTAAGCTCTGAAATAAATATTCCAGGATGGAAAGGAAGAAGACTAAAGGCAAGGAAGATAATAAAGAGGCTACTGCTGTAGTGCAAGGGTAACTGACTAAAGCAATGAAAAAGAAAAAACAAATGATAAAGGCAGAAAAAATTTAGGAGTATTCAATAATAAATTTGACAAATGCATGAAAAACAAAGGAAAAGGGGATAGATGTATCATGACTCCACAGACCTAAAAAAGAAAGGTAACTGGGAAGGGATAACTACTTGTGGAACGAGAAAGAATGTAACAAAGTTTTAAACATTTCAAGAATTCATTTCAGTAAAAATTCTTATGGCGGACGGTGAAAGCATCTGAAGATATGTGGTAAAGGTCATCTAAAAATGACCACTAAATGCCTGGATAAAAGGAATTAATAAATTTAATGAAATACTGTCTTTCGGAAATGGGATTATTAGACCTCCTCTTTGAGTGGTACAGATCTGTGCTTGTGGACTGAGGGAGGAGGAAGGCAAAGGAAGTGTAGGAAGGAATAAAGGGTTCTATACCATGTGTTTGTAGTTAGGCAAGATTACCTGCATGTTCTGTGCATTTTATTTTACTTTGCTGTGCACATAGTGTATACACATGGTCCCCGACTTAAACTGGTTTGACTTTTAACAATTTTTTTTACTTTATGATGGTATAAAAGCAATATGCATTTGGTAATGCTCTTCGATTTACAATCAGTTACGACAAGATAAACCCATAGTCAACTGAAAATACTGTAAGTCAAAAATGCACTCTCAACTTAGGATATTTTCAACTTACGATGGGTTTGCTGAGACATAACCCATTGAGGGTTATCTGTACAATGAACAAGCAAGTCCTAATTTTACATCTTGTTGTCTAGATGATAAAGAGGTTGCTAATGTTTGACAAAAGAAGAGATGATGAACTAAAACATATTATATACTTTTCTTGTATGCCCGAAAACTTCATAGGTAAGACTATCTTCTGAAAACAACTTTTGGAACGCTGATATTGTCCTTTGGGCTGATAATGATAAGAAGGAAGTGAGAAGGTGAAGTGTACTTGGCTATAATATTCATATTTAGAAGATACTTTCAGATTATAGCCTTTGTTATATGCACACAATTTAATCAATGCTATCATTATACAGTAGACGTTTGAAACATGTAGTCTTCACAAAATAACACACTTTAAGTAAGTTTATGTCAATTAACAGGAATGACTGTCTTTAGAATGGAACTGTTAAACTTTTATCTCTTTGAGCTACATATTCTTTGCTCATTGGGTAGTAAAGGAGGTGGGAGAGACAGGAAGTGACGGTGGAAGAGTTCTGTGCCAGTGTGTTTTGAGATAAATGCAGATTATCTACTCGTCGTTCTGCAAGTGCATTTACTTAGCATTGTTGAGTATGCAAAGGACAAACAAGGCCCCAATGCTGAGAAGTGCCCAAAGTATGCTGAAAGTTTAAGAAGTAAAATGATTCTTTGATAAATGTCCTCTTGTTAGAGTTTTTAGCAAGGCTTGTTGTCTGGGAGTGACTGTTGTTAACCCATCTCGTAGAGCTATATGCATTTCTGTACTTATTCATTGAGCTGAAGAAGGAAGAAGAAAGGCAAAAGGAAGGTTCTTTGCAAGTATGTTCATATCTAGAAGATAGTTTCATATTGTAGCCACAGTTCTAGGAAGTGATTTTTTAGTAAAGTGCCTCTGTTTATCAGTCCTTACTTCACAACACTAAGCTTTCTAGATGTTATGAGGTGACAATGTATAAAATAGAGCTAGTGAATTAACTAGATAGTAAATTAATTTCATTAGAAAAGAAGCATCTTGGAAATGGCAATGTTAAACCACCTATGAGCAGTATACATCAGTACGTACTGGATTGCTAAGGGGCAGAAAGAAAGGTAAGGGAAGAGATATATATAGATATGTCCATATTTACAATCTGATTATAACCACTGACATATGTGTGCTTTTTTCTTGGTATACTTTGTGAATACTATATGAATTGTTAAATAATTAAGTAGAAACATCATTTCTGGTAATATTTTAATAGTGCAGATCTCATACTGAACTATCTAAGAAGCATTATACTTACTTGACTGCTTTGTATCTCATTTTATATTGGGTATTAAGTGAACACAGTATTTAACTATAAACCTGCCAATATGCATTTCCAGAGACCTGTTGCCATTTTGTTTTTTAAGATAATTTTGTCCCCACAAAAGATAAGAAAATGTATCGTGAATATTTACCAATGTCTGAATCCTAAAGCCCTGAGTATTTTGATACTCAAGTACTCATGATATGCAAGAAAGCATGGCACATACTATATAAGTGTAACCATGTAAAAAGGTATACTCAGTTATGTATATATGTATACACATACAAGGACTGGAAAGATACATCAGAATGTAAACTGATTCTGTTATGGATGATTTTTTAGTTATATGCCTCTTGTGTTTTTCAGTTTTCTATAATGAACATATTAACCTCTAAAAGTTGAAAAAATATAAATGTTATTTTAAAAAGAAACAAATAAATAATAAATGCATATAAGATCCAAGAAGTTACAGATCAAGGCCAGAACTGCAGATATGGGAAGGGCTATACTACGTGTTTTAATATGTTCTCTTACGTAATCATTTTTAAAACTATGAGCTAAGGTATTATTTTTACCCTCTTTTTAAGGAAGAGGTACTGAGGCTTACAGTGGTAAAGTGACCTTCCCCTGGTAAGGGGAAGACACATCTGGTAAGTGGCAGACCTGGAACTTGAATATCAATTTGCCTGACAAAGCTAAAACCCCAAGGAGAGCTCAGCTATTGACAGCGCTGTGTCTCGGCTTTGTGCCTGACACTCACATTCAGTGTACTTGAGAGCCTGGAAATCTGTATTTTTTTTAACATTAAAAATTCTGGGCCAGGCAGGGTGGCTCACACCTGTAATACCAGAAAAGGTGGGTGGATCGCTTAAGGTCAGGAGTTCAAGGGCAGCCTGGCTAACATGATGAAACCCTGTCTCTACTAAAAATACAAAAATTAGCCAGGCATGGTGGCATGTGCCTGTAATCCCAACTACTCGGGAGGCTGAGGCACAAGAATCGCTTGAACCTGGGAGGCAGAGGTTGCAGTGAGCTGAGATCACACGACTGCACTCCAGCCTGGGTAACAGAGCAAAACTCTAAAAAAAAAAAAAAATTCTGATACACACCAAAGACTGAGAACCACTGTGTTACTGAATAGGAAAGACCCCACCCCGCCAAAAAAAAAAAATAAATAAATAAAATAAAATAAAAACAAAAACAAACTGAAGAAATGTGGTGAGCTCTTCAAAGCGAGAACAGACAATGCTCAACAGGAGGAGGCTAGGCTTTGCTGTTATACACTGGGGAACAAGGTATCACTCTCAACTTCCACAGATACTTACTGAGTCTCTATTATATACCCAAGAACTATGCTAAGCCAAGTGCTTTCAGGAGATGAGTAAGATAACCTCTGTTACAAATACCTCAATATTAAAAATCAAAGATACAACTATACAGAACCAACATTTAAAAAGGGCTATGAGGAGCCAAAAAGTAAAACAATTACTTCTATTAGGAGGACGTTAAGTGTGACAGACCTTCCAAAGGCAATCAAGCTGAAACTTGAAGAATGAGCAAATACATGGCATCTTCCCTGCAGAACTTATGTACAGACCTTTATATTTCACTGAAACAACATTCATAAGGTGACTATTCTGAAAAAGTTTCTATTTCTAGTCTATCTTCCCATTTTTATAATGAGGAAACTAAGACCCAAAAGTCACAGCCATTCAATGACAAATCCAAAACTAGACTCCAAGTCTCTTGAAACCTTGTCTATTAGTTTCTCATGAAACCATTATATTTTTTATATTTCTATTTCTCTTCCAGAGTACCTGCTTAGTGATTGCTTTGATCTCCTTAACATTTGACTTTTCAAAAAGGAAGTCTAAATTTGGCAGTGCATGTCAAAAACATTTACACTTGTGAATCCTTTTTGATTCAGCAATTCTACTTCCAGGAATTTATCTTAAAGAAATATGAATGTGTAGAAATATTTAGTTTCTAAGGTGCTTGTTAAACATAGTGTATAATAGTAAAAAACTGAATACAATTTTTAACTAGAGGGGATTGATTAAACAAACCACAGCATTATCATTCTACAAAATAAAGAATGTTGTAGAGAATATTTAAGAAAAACTGTTAACTTACTGAGTGGGGAGAAAACCAGTTATAAAACAGCAAAATGCTTTTTTTTTTTTTTTTTGGCTCTATGTATATACAGCTAAAACTAGCTGGATGATATACTCCAGAATATTAATGGTACTTTTTCAGGGTTTTTTGTTTTTTACACTGAGTGATTGTTTTATTCTTCTTATTCATCTACATTTTTGAAATTTTCTACAATAAACATGCATTACTACAACTATAAGAACTAATAAAAGTCTTTTCATAAACATAGATCTAAGAGTCCCTCTAAAAGCTGAGGAGAGGACTAGGTGAAAAACAAAGATATTTTTCCTGGATCCCTGGGGCCCACTGGGGAGGCTGCAATAATCTAAAGGCAGTAAGGGGCTTTCTGAATCTAATTCACGTTCCAGAAAACAGTGAAGCTTATTTTGGAGACTGGGAAGTACAGTTTCATATCCAAGTTATGAAATCTAGAATTAAAAAGCCCAACAATAAATCAAATTGTCTTAAGTGGCTGAATCATGAAGCCTAAAGGGCACCAGACTAAGCAACCTGGATTCCAGCCCCAGTAGACAAGCAGTGACTTTAGCCTAAATAAGTTGCCTTATTCTTCTGAGGTCCCAATGTCCTCATCTACAAAATAAGAATGACACAGGTAAGATCAGCATTTCTCAAACTGGTGTTCCTTGGAAACATAAATAGGTCTGTCTTCATGTAAGCATGTTAAGTTTAAATAAATTTGGTAAATGCTACACTAGATTATTCCTTAGGTCTCTGATTCAAATATATAATTACCTTAGTGCATTTAAATCTATAGCTATAGATACACTGTCTACTTTTGATTTTCTCATAATAGAGAGGAATACTAGATAATATGAAATAGATGACAATCATCCAAAGAAAAATTCATACCTTGACAGGAGCAACTGAAAACAGGAAGCAAAGGGTTTAATAATAGCGAGAGGGGCAAAAATAGCATTCAAGTAAGATAATAAAAGTCATAAATTTAAACAATGTCTTTCAGTCTGTTTTGTCTCTCCTTCCAAATGATCTTTTTCTTCAAGTTATTTTATGAGTTGCTAAAATATTATAAGTTCAACCCATTCCTTTTTTTTTTTTTTTAAAGATTCATTTCTAGATAACATGAAAAAAAAGGGTTCGATCTTTTGACTGTGGCAATAAACTATCATCTGCCTATCCTTGGTCTGACACAGTATCCCACCTGGAGCCATTACGACTTATAAGACAAATCCAAATTTTGGGGAGTTGAGTTCTATTTCATTTAGTATCACCCATGGTCATACTGCAATAGCCAGATAAAGATCAGACTACAGAGAATTTGTAACTCATTTAAGCGAGTCTTCCCCATCTCCCTTTCTCTAAGCTCATCACAGCCACAATTGGCTCCCTCAGTAGTCACAGAGGAAGCCAAAGTAATCAGGTAACACATACAAAAGTAAAAAGTAACAACAAAGAGAAGTTTTACAGAAAGAGACGTCTAGTAACACAGGAAAGTGTAAGGTAAAGGGGTAGTTGTGAATCAACATGGAAATGTCCCTGGAATGCACTAATAACCTTCAATGTGGATAATTCTCCTGTGTATATTTGAAATTTGATGGGATATATCTAACGTGTGGATTAGCAACATACTAATTATAGGTTTATCCTACAGTAACCAGTCATTATGAAAAGGTGCTTAAGTCTTGCTAAGATTTCTCCCTCATGATGGGATTCTAGATAGAATTTAAAATCAAAGCACTTAAAAAAATCATATCATCGAGGATAAATTCAAGTAAATACTTGAGCAAATAGCATAGACGTTCAAGCTACAGATGTGTGCATCTTTATAAGTTTGCAGTCACTTGAGTAAAAAGAGGATTTGTAAGAAAAGGATTCAAACTATTACTTGCTCTGATAAAAGATACTGTATTAAAGCCAGAGGTGTTGGTAAAGAAGTCAAAGCCACAAATAAATCTTTGAATATCTAATACAGTACCCATAATAATTTTCAATGCCTAATTTTGCACTATGACTAAAATGGTATATGGAAGGGATTTATTGCTATCTTCTGTAACTTCCTTTACAAACCTGAAATAACATTATGTTAATTCTTTAAAAAGCAAAAACGTGAAACCCAAGTTTCTTGCAGGTTTTTTTTTTTAAAGTATGACCATATTAAACATATTAAAGGTAGACTGCTCTAAGTAACAAATCATATGGAATTCCAAGGCAAGTCTTATTTGAATCATGGTAGAAGTACTCTCAAATAATACCATTTAAGTCCTGGGTAGCTTTTTACTAGCATTATTGTTAACATTCTAATTCTTCTCTTCCTCTGACATCCTATTCTCTATTGTGTCTATCAAGATAGCTGTTGTTTTTCCAAGTTAGTGTATCACATATAAGATACACTTTCTTATATGTGATAGAAAATTTATAGAGGTGATAGAAAATTTATCTGCTCCTCTCCGATGTAATGTGATAAAAATTAAATATAAATCAGCCAAAGTATGACTTCACAAATAAAGAAAAAATATTTCGAAGTGTCCCCTTGACTACCTTATCAACAAACACTGTTCAAAATGGGTAATTATAAAACAGCATAGGAGGAAAATCTCAGGTGTTAACTATTTTCAACAGCAACAAAATTTAAGATAAGAAGAAAACACATCTTAACATTAGATTAAAGGGATTGGGTTATAAATTTTTGCCTTTTACAGAGCTCCAAAAGTGCCTCTTGGCAATATAATCATACCAAGTAACTATCATCCATGGAGTGTTTGACAGTCAGCCAGGTACTGTGTTAGAAAACTTACACACATTAATGTTACCTACCAATAAACAATTTTTCAGGCAAGGGTACCAAGGCTCAAGTAGCTGAGCGCCCAGGGCCCTGCCGCATTGAGAAGCCTAGGGCCATACAAGTGAGTAGAAAGGAGACGCAATGCCAACCTTGTTCTGGTGTGTGCCTAGGAGCCTTCTTACTGCTGAGGAAGAGACGCTAACTTACCATGACGGGACTTGTGTGGATGCAGATCTGCTAATACTATTTAACTTTTTAAAAAATAAAATGTTATCTGTGTGCTTTATCACAGAAAAAAACCCAAGATACACTACTAGGTTGAAAAAAAAAAAAAAGTCAGGCACAGTGGCTGATGCCTGTTATCCCAGCATTTTGGGAGGCTGAGGCGGGAGGACTGCTTGAGGCCAGGAGTCTGAGACCAGCCTGAGCAACATAGTGAGACTCCAATTCTACACAAACACACACACACACACACACACACACACACACACACACACACAAATTAGCTGGGTGTAGTCCCAGCTACTTGGCAGGTGGAGGTGGGAGGACTACTTGAGCCCAGGAGTGCGAGGCTGCAACGGAGTATGATTGCACCACTGCACTCCAGCCTGGGCAACAGAGCAAGACCCTGTCTCAATAAATGAATGAATGGATTGATTATATATTATTGTATAAATACTTAGGAAAGGGTTTGAAAAATTCATACCAATCTCTTTACAGTGTCTACCTCTAAGAGAGGGAGTAAAACTGGAGTGGGTAGAATGAAGGGAGATTTCACTTTTTACTCTATCTGTGCTGTTTTATGAGGATGCATTATTTTTATAATGTGTTTCTATTTAAAAATAGAAAATACATGTGTGCATTCACATGCACACAAACTCACACAGACGCAATATTGACCTGATGCCCTTAAATGTGAACACTCTTGTTATAGTGCCCTTACATAAGAATGGCAGTTCCCAATGAAGCAAATGGTAGCTCACAAGTACCCAAGAAAATACTCTTCCTTTTCTTATTTCTGGAGCCTAGTGCCATTCAGGACCAATCCAAGAGGTCTTTCCTAAATTCAGAATCTAAGAGGATCTACATGGATTTAGTAATGAATTATAAACATCATATCTGCTTTGACTTTTAAAGATATGGCTCAGTCTTGCTCTTTAAATGCATCTGCTGCTTCTCCATGTGGCCTACTTTGCTAATCTGGTTCACAATGCACCTTATGTTTTACACAGTACTGCTTTGGGATGTGCAAATACAGTGTTACTCCCACACAGACTGTAAGTATCATGAGGGCAGGGCTTGGATCAAACTGTCTAAGTGTTCTATTTAATTAATCAAGATTAATCAAGTTCCTGGCATTTATTTATTTCCTGAAAACTTATAAGCCAGACACCATGCCGGGAGGAGAGAATACGACAGTGACCAAAATAAACAAGGCCTATTCCTTACTGAAGGTATACTATGTTTGTGAGGGCAGGGACATGGAGAGAGGACTTGGAATACAGACATGTAATAAGCAATTATAATACAATGTAATAATGCATAAAATAACATGGAGCTATTAGAACACACATGAGGAACATTAAAGCCTACTCATTCTAGAAACAGTGAGTTCAAAGCTTTGGCCTGAAGAGTGAACAGGAATTGGATGAAAAGATGGTTAAGAAAAAAAAAAAGCAAAAAAAAATAACCCTAGGATATAGAGGTAAGAGAAAGTAGCATGGCAAATTAGAGGAACTGAAAATAGCACAGGCTGGCTGGAACCCAGAGTATGGGGGAGGGGCACGGGCTGAGAGGCGAAGCAAGAAAGTTTAGCAGGAGCCAGATCACACAGGGCTTGTAAACCATGTAAGGAGTTAAGGCGGGCTGCTAAAGAGTTTGAACCAGTGCAGTGACAGGATCAGACTTGCCTTTTTATAAAAATCACTCCAGTTACAGTGTGGAGAATGGATTAGAGAAGGGCAAGGCTGAGGGCTTATGGAGCAATTCAGGCAAGAGATAATGGTGTCCTGAAGGAAGAGTGGCAGGGCGAGGTAGAGAGAACTGGAGGGATTTCAGAGAGATTGCGGAGATTGCAGAATTGACGGTCTATTCTGCGACTTACTGGAAGTGGGAGGTGAGGGAAAGAGAGGAGTTAAAGGTGTCCAGATTTTTGGCTAGAGTATTGCCAGAGATAGAAAACACAGATATAGATGCATGTTTAGAGAGGACTGAGGGGGCAACTGAATGTGTTTAATTTCAAGCTTACTATGTGATCATGAAATACCCAACACATTATGCTGGTACAAATCCAGAGTTCTAAACTGAGACCGAGGTGGCATATGCATATTTGAGAGTTAGCAGCATAAAGATACTAATTGAAGCTATGAAACAGATGTGATTAATTTGGAGGAGAATAATTAGAGAAAAATAATAGGTCAAAGACAGACTCCTGAGGAACCCCAACATTTTAAGGGACACAAAAGAGGTTGAAAAGAGACAGCCAGAGAGGTAAAAGGAAAACCAGAAATGCTTGGAGTGAGAAAAGCCAAGTAAAGAGGGTATTTCAAGCAAAAGTAGTCAACAGTGTGTTTCCTAAACACGTGCAGACTGATTGAAGCTAGGCTTCAATAAATTGAAATGCCAGTAATTCTTCCTCTCTTCAGTTCAGCTTCCAGTTTCCTTTCACGATATTGAAAATATGTGCAATGATATTCTCTACTTTTCCAAAACTATGTTCTCCTGAGTTTCTCATTTCCAACATTTTCTCACAAGACCTGAGTCTCACCTCCAATTCTGTCACCCACAATAACTATTGCCAAATTCTGCCAGTTTCATGTCTGCAATTTTTTCATGTATTTTCTTCCCATTCCATTCCTGTTGCCTTCACCCCAATCCAGATTCTAAGTACCACACACTGGACAGCAATAGTCTACTGGTCTCTAAGACTATTCGCCTCACCTTTTCTCTAAGGCATCTGTTCAAAAAATTTCATTCATTTTGCAAATATTTACATAGGCCAGTGCTTCTCAAACTATGTATGCTAAGGTCCAGCTGTATTTTTTTTCCTTTTAAATTTCCAATCCATTGCAGACCAACATTTTTGTAAAATATAATTTTAAAAAAATTGTGATAATGTCAAATTGCTATAAACATTTGTAATTACTTATTCTTAATTTCCAATATTTGTCTTATTGTGGACTGGTAACAGTGGTTCATGGTCCAACAATGACCTGCAACCTACATCCCAACACCCCTGATGTTGATAATACATGGATAAGAAGACATTACAGTTGTGCCTTCAAAGGCCTTTGAGCAATGGTTCTCAACACAGGACAGTTTCATCACATTTCTTTTAATCGTCACTGGGGCTCGGAGTGGTGAGGAAGGGAAGTACTGACATCAAGTAGAGGCCAGGGATGGCGCTTAACATCCTATGATGCACAGGTCAGGCGCCCTACAACTAAGAATTATCCAGCCTAAAATGTCAATAGTGCCAAGGTTAAGAAATTCTGCCTTAGGAGTGTAATGCAAATGAATAATTACATTAAGAACACAGCTGGATTCTAAGTATATACAAGGTGCAGGGAAACACAGGAGAAGCACCTGAGTCTGTCTGGAAGGTTCTGAGTCTGTCTGGAAGCTTAAACAGGGACAGTACTTTAAAAAGAGTCCACATCTCCTCACAGATTTCCACAACCCAACCCAAAACTAACTTTTTAATCCTATTTCCTGTTTCTTCCAAACAACAGCTCTGTTAGACTGGTCTAAGTCATGAAGTCTATACCGTGTTTAGTCTGTCACTCTTCCCAGGATATGGACAACTATCCCCTTCCCTCCTCCTATCCAAAACCGCTCAGCATTTAAGGCCTTACTCAAGCTCTGCCTCTTCTATGAAGTCTTCTCGATGTGATTCCCTTTCAGTTCCTGTAGGGCTTATCAATTGTACTGCTCATCTGGCACTTAATCAAATACTGGCCTTTGATATCACTTGTTACGTTGCTTAATTTTTTAATGATTATTTAATTTTAACATTTATGTTCCCTCTCCAGGTTGACAGTTTAAGACAGCTTCTCTGACACACCCATTCCAGTTCCTTCCTTCCTGTATTCTGCTACAACACGTGACAAAAAACACATGAAAAAAGTGGCATTAGGTATTACAGCCTACCACCAAATCTTCATGTCTCTTGAGCTCATGACAATTTGAACACATCAGATTACTAGAAAAGTTAGTTATTTACAATGCAAAGGACACCCAGTCCCCAGACCAAATAATTATACAGCTCAAAATCTCAATGGTGCCATGGTTGGCCCTTGGCTAGAACAAAGGCTGCCTCAATGATTGCTTCAAAGGTCCCCAAAAAAGTGAAGCTAGAAAGCCCATTAAAATGGTTTTACACGATGGGCTTTCATGGGAGAATAACATGTAATGGTTAAGGAAATGAAATCTGGGGCTCGACTGCCTGGGTTCAAATCTGACTCTACTACTTACTAGCTGTGTGTCTTGGACCCATTACTTCACCTTTTTGAGACAGAGATTCCTGCTCCATAATATGGAGACAATACAGTGTCTACTTCTGAAGGTTGTTGTGAGGATTAATAAACACAATAATAAAGCACACAGAACAGCGTCTGGCATTATATAAGTATTAGCCACCACCCTCATTATAATCACCAACTTACGTATGGGAGTAACGCAGGAGAAAACACCAACCGCTTCACTTCAGGAGTCATGGGAATTCGATTCCTCAAGAGAATGGTTTTTGAAGACTAAAAACAAATTCACGCCCAGTTCCTCAAATGTCAGAAGCTCTGCTCTCCCTCAGCTCGCTCTGCTCCCACTCTTTCTTCTTTAATGCTGCCTTGGCTGCCTAAAGGCCTGGATGCAAATGTTCTCATGTTTGAAGGGCAGACTACTTACACCATTACTATAATGCAGAACATTCTGGGGGAAAGCAGTTTGTTATATATGGAGAAACTTTTTCTCTTCTTGACCAAATAGGATAGGTGTTCTGTCTACCCTCTAAGGGGCTGCCAGCAAAGCCCTTGGAATCCAGGCCTTTTACCCTGCACTCTCCTCCTCCACAGAAAACTTCATGAAGGCGGAAGGATGTACCTGTTTCCTGCTGACTTTCCATGCTGATGGTAGAGTCACCCCAAGAAACATACTGTGATATTATCTTTTGTCTGTTGGCTTTTAAAATCACACATTAGAAATACAATAAAACATTCAGACATAAAGGTAAAATTGAGTAAAAGAACAAAACTTTCCCTTTATTCCCCATCTTAGCTTCCCTTCCATGGAAGTAAACACTTTTTTTAATTTTTAAATTAAATTTTTAAATTAAAAAAATAAATAAATGAGACAAGGTCTCACTATGCTGCCCAGACTGGTCTTGAACTCCTGAGCTCAAGTGATCCTCCCATCTCAGCCTCCCAAAGTGCTAGGATTACAGGTGTGAGCCACCACATTCAGCCATAAACCTTTTTTCAATTTAATGTATGTCCTTAGAGATTTTTAGAATGCATTTGCTTTTATATATTTTTTATTAACACAAACATGTCTCTACATTTGGAGCTATATCATTTTAAGATTGCCTCTAACCGGTTTCTTACTGGTGGGCACTCAGGTTAACACTTAGATCTCAACTTTGTAGTGACCCAACTGTTGATCTGTAAGTAACTCAACTGTAGTTGCCAGGAAATCTAATCCATTTGGTGACTCTGTAGACAGCACTACCTCTCCAAAAGATTTGTTTCTTAAAGTCTGTCTATAAATGCAAAATGCCAGGTGAATTTACATACAGTTTGACTTTCAGATATAAGCACAACTACTGTTCAAATATACATTTAACTTAAAAATTTAAAACCAATGGAAAAATTAATTCAAGGTTAAAAAAATTACAATTTATAGAAAGTTATCTAAAGTATTTTTTAGGGTCTATGTTTTGTCTCTAAATCCTGATCTAGAGATTTTTGAAATCACATGGTCTTAAGCCATTTTATTCTTCTAATTAAAAAAAAATCTTTATAAATTTCCTGACCTGAAGTTTTCAGTAAATTATTACATTCTTCGTATCCAGGTATCATCTATAAGTACTTAGTGGAGAACAGGAAGGCAGAAATTTTGCATCTCTAACTAGTGAGCAACTGCTGTCTTTTCCTCTGCTAATAAATTACAGGCAGACTTGAACAGATGTCAGGTTGGCATTCAAAACCTAAAATATAGCTGAAAAGCAAGTTATGACTAATACAAGAAAAAAAGATGAATGTCAGAAGGCTTCATTTTTTTTTCTTTTTTTCAAATTTCAGATAAGCTCTTTAGCCTTAGGGTTCCTTTTACAGAGCCCTGGAGTTCGCCTGGATGTCTTAACCCCCATTTAAAATGCAATCTCTCCTCATGAGTGGGGGTGTGAAAATGCATTTTAAGAGTGTCAGTGTTTATGTTAATCTTAGCAAGAACTCCCTCTCTCCAAAATATGGCATGCACAAAACCTTAGTGCCCTTTCTTCCACTATGTTTTATTTGCACTGTTTTTAGTATGTGAAAGATGTCTGTGTGATTGAAAGGTTCCTTATCTTCTCAGCAGTTCTGTTTCATAGAGTAACTACAATTTCACTTATGATATCAGAAAAGAGTTGCTTTCCTCTTGAATTTCAAAAGAAACCTTAAAAATACGATTGAAAATGGGCTTACAGAGGGAGACACTGGGGAAAGGAGACCAAAAAGAACACAGTGTCAGTTTCAAAGAATGGGGGCACAAGACCATAACAAGTGGCTTTCCTCCCCACTAGGTGGCCTGAACATCTACACCCCACAGATCCACTGAAAGACAGTGTGAGGCTGAGGTCTTCCCTCTTTACATCCTTTTCCTTCTAGGTCTTTCCTTGGGTAGATGTGAACCTATTCCCAGGATTACATTAAGAGATGCTGACTAATTCTTTAACAATTATTCCACTGTTCATTGAAAACGATGTGTTTTTTTGCTTTGACATTTATAATTTAGAGAGAATTGCCAGGGATGCTGAAAAAATGAAGTTTCTTGGCAGAAACGCTATCTTTGCTAACAAAATAGCTACAGTGAGAACTGAGGTAATCAATCATTTATTTATCCTGAACACTGTCCACAAAACTGCATACAGGGGAATAAGTGTGGTAAATGTCCGAACACAAGTATTCAGTATCTATTCAGTTAACACCTGAATATGCTGAAAGACAGCAATCAGCTGTTGAATTTATTCACCCATACTTCCAGATACCAGCTTTGATGTTCACATTTCTACCCTGGGACTCAAATGTGGCTTCTATTAGCCCATAAAATTATGGATTTAAGGTAATTCTTAATTAAAAATCTGTTTTGTGGGGGGTTGGAAGGCATTCTAACTAAATATCTATTTGGTATTTACTAAGTGCAAGGTATAGGTTTAGTTTTCTTCGCTCGTTGCTCTCATATCCTTCCAAGGAAGGGCTGCCCCACTTGGGTTTGGGTGAGCTCAACTGCTTCAGACAAGGGGAAAACTCAACAGTTACTCTGATTAAAACAATAACAAAAACAAAAGTCTAAATTGATATTCCCCTAAATAATCCCTTTTCCTTTATCCCTCAGTCTAGAGAGCTTTATGTGACTTCCTTTCTCCTTTAAGGGTTTCCTTGATTTTAATTCTACAAAAATATAACAAAACTACAAAAGCAGAAAGGCATACATTATCTTCTTCTTTTTTTTTTTTTTTTTTTTTTTTTTTTTTTTTTTTTTTTTGAGATGGAGTCTCGCTCTGTCGCCCAGGCTGGAGTGCAGTGGTGCGATCTCGGCTCACTGCAAGCTCCGCCTCCCGGGTTCACACATCCTCCTGCCTCAGCCTCCCGAGGAGCCGGGACTACAAGCGCCCGCGACCACGCCCGGCTAATTTTTTCTGTTTTTAGTAGAGACAGGGTTTCACCGTGTTAGCCAGGATGGTCTCGATCTCCTGACCTCATGATCCGCCCACCTCGGCTTCCCTAAGTGCTGGGATTACAGGAGTGAGCCACCGCACCCGGCCTAAGGTATACACTACCTATTTGAAAGACCTTCAAGAGAGAAACTAACAGATTGGAAACTCCATGACAGTTATTTTCAAGTATATTACCTCATTGGTTCCCTAATTTTACTGCTTAATTGTGTGCCTCTCGTTAAGTCCTTTAGTCCTCCTATATCTCATCAGCAACATTCTGTTCGTAGCTAAACTATATTTTTCAATTTTGAAAAGGCAACATGAAGTTTTATAGACAAAAAGAAAGAACTCTGTTACCTAGAAGCATAATTATCAGTCTGATGAACATAATGACAGAAGAGAAGAATATTCTAAATTTATCACTTTGTAAATTTGAAAATTGATATATAGGCAAAAAATCCACTTAGTTAAGATTCCTGTTTACGAAGTAGACATCACTTTAGACTCCATGGTAAAGACAGTAATTTGGTCTCAAGCCAAAAGTAAAGTTTTCTGCTTAAAACAAAAAAGCCCCATAACCTACATAAATTATTCTTTTCTAATCTTTTTTAAAAATTAGAACTGATTTAACCAGTCATACTCAGTGTCCAGCTGAATCCCCAAACCATATAGATCTGTCTATTTAGTTAACAAAGAGTGGGGGAAAAAAATCCATGTTGTTCCCACCTGACATGTCAAAAAAAAAAACAACACAGAATATGCATAAAAATAATTTGTATAATTTTATTTATATTCTGTCAAAATATAACCATTTTTATTTATATACCTTTACCAAAGCCTAAGGAGAACTTTATAACCACACTGTAATTGGAGTGCAAGAAAGGATTTTACTATATAATTCCCCCAAAATTCAAAGGAAAAAAGAAGCCTCTATTGGAAGACAGGGAATTATACATGCATTACAAAAGAATTATTTCTCAGCCATTTAACCATTAAAAAAAAAAAAAAGAAGAAGCTTTACTTTTTTTTAGATACCCAGAAACTTCATCCAGAATAAAGAAAATAAGTTTTTCAATTCAGCTCAAAAGCCAGGACAGCTTTATACTAGTTTGTCTTTTCAATGAAATTGGTAACAAATGCTTCCTGATGGCAAAAAGCCATAAAGAGAAAAAAAAAAAAAACTTTTCCAAAAGGATAGAATTCATTTTTTGTCTAATTAAATTAGTGTAAAAATATTAGAAAAATAAATCCATAAAAAAGGTTCTGGACAGTGGCACTCACAAAATTCAAATCCATAGTGCTTAGTCAAAAAACACATCAAAAACAACAAAAAGCACACTACTGTAATTCAGCTCATTTCAATACGGATATCAGAAACAGATGAAATTCACTAACAAATTCCAAATCTGTTCTGATTTAATTTAAAACTCTCCAACAGCTGGCAAGGTCACAAACTGACCAATGTGAGACCAACTCCTTTACGCATTATCTACCCAACGCATACTGACATTGCGCGTAGCTTCAAGTGCAGGATCTAGATAATGCACAAATAGCAAACTAGTATCTGAATAACTGTTATCTTCAATAGCTTCCAAACAGTGAGAAAACATTTATAATTAAAAGAGACGGCTTACTACCAATGCAGTTATTTTTCTACTTTTTGGCTAAACAGTATAAATGTTCTAAGAAACAGAATCATTAGACTCTTCCTGCACTAGATCTCAGTTCTGAAAACCAGTAAAAACATTCCACAAGAATAACTTAGAACATTTGGAATCATCTTTTTATCCCTGCTTTTACCCAAAATACACTTAAACAATATTTTCATGTCTTGATCGAAAATACACATTACCAAGATAGTGAACTACCACATTTTAAAATATTTTCCCAATTAAAATTCTGCTTTTAATGGACGTGGCCTTTGTATCTTTGAGATAAAAAGTATGCTATTGCCATTTCAAGGTGTATAAAACTCAGGTGATGAGGGTCTCTGTCATTTTCTCTTAATCCAATTCCAAACTCGACCTTTACTCAGTGAACAGGTGTGTGCCGTGCCTGTAATTTATCAGAGTGAGCGACCAGGCAGAAAGGCTACCAACAATAGAAGGCTAATACAATCCAAGCACTTAGTGCCTAGAAAGCAGTTCTTATCCCCACTATAATAAATATACTTTTATCTTCCAGTAGCAATTTAAAGATAAAGAATGATGGGGATGAGCGGAGTAATATATTCATATTCCTTCCATTTTTTTTTGGATGCTGTTTTTACACTAATAGTCTGCCAGAAGCTGTTATGTTATACATTCCTTTCTCAGATATTCTGTTGCTCACATTCCAATCCAACGAATGATATGGACATGAAAACAGTCATGACAGCATTTCCACTGGGCAAATAAAGTCACTTCACACAGATAAATTAAATAAACCTTCAAGAAGAAAGTGGTAAACGAATAGTGCACTTCTTTGTATGCAATATAGAAACTCCAATGTATATCCTGCATTTGTCTTTTTGGATCAAACTTATTTAATTTAAAAATATGCAAGTACCCATTTATTAGGTATGAAGATGTACTAACTGGGTAATGCAACAGTACAATAAAAAGGAACGGCAGCTAATGTCAGAACAATGCACACAGCCTAATAGATAGTTATTATTCAGCAGGGTACATCTGACCCATAGTGATCTTTAGAGTCAGGTGAACTTTCTAAATATGCCCTATAGAAAAACATTCTTACGCAAATAAATAAATAAAATGGAGTCACTACTAGTATTATTACTGTCAGGGGAAGTTTCTAAATATGCCCCATAGAAAAGCATTCTTCAATAAATAAATAAACAAAATGGAGCCACCACAAGTCTTATTTCTATGATTTCCCCATAAAATTAAAATGTAATTTTAAAAGTTCTGGTATTATAAAGTTTTTCAGAAAATTTATCTGTTCATTTTTAAAGAAAAAGACAAAAATAATGGGTCTGAAAAATAATTTCAAAACTATTGAAAAGAGATTCTTCATTGCATTAATTTTTTTAACAACACAAGATTTTATAACATTTTCCTTTTTAAACTTACCCATCTGCTCCACAATCTCTGGAGGAAATACTCGGGAAGCAAATGCTCGTCGGAAAATATCTGAAAATTCCTTGTCTAGACCTCCTATTCCCATTTTTTCAAAGTTCCAGTCAGGATTGATAATTGATTGGCGATTTTCCTTGGTTTTAGCTTTGCCTATGTCAAACGAATATTATCAAATGTGAAACAAGGACTTTATCACTAAGTCTAAAAAGACAGACAGAACTCCCTGAGCATCCTAAATGAATAAAGAAAAGCTACCCTTACATATACAAAACGAACAATATAATCTTAGCTGATTTTACAGTCAGAAGGGTAAGTTTTGCTATGCTATCTACTTTGTCTGATCTCCATATATGGTAACACACTGTCAAAATGACTAGCTAAACTTATGCTGTAGTCTATTTGTATCAGTCCATAAAACTTAGTTTTATTAACCTTCAATCTAACTAAATTAACTAACTCGGTTGATCAGAAGAAATGCCATATCTGATGAAGACAACACTAGCTGGCAGAAATGCAACTGAAATCTCGCAGTCACTGAAGTCTCCTAACGCAAGTTTATTTTAAAATACATATATTTATCCAGATTAAGCTTATACAGGTAATTGGGCATATAACCCCTCAGCCTAAGGAAATATACTGAACAAGTTTGATGTCTTCTTTGCTTTCTCTTCACTTGGACACAAAAGTCTGAAATCATCCTAAAGACTTCAATGATTACAAAACTCATGTTTAAAAATTCTCAAGAGGACAAAAATTATCTAACTTAAATGTCAGAGTGCCACCTAAAGTAACTCAAGAGAACCACATTTACTATTTCAAACAAAGAATAAATTAAGTACCTTAGTATGCTCTATTATAAACAAAAAATAAAGTAATAATATGGTTTTTATAAAACCAGGGAAGAAAATGTCACATTAAAAAAAGTTTATCCTAAGAAATGCTAAATATTTGAGGTGATATGTTAATTAGGCTGATTTGATCATTCTACAATGTATACATGTATTAAAATATCAAATTGTACCCTATAAATATATACAATTATTATCTGTCAATTAAAAATAAAGTAACGCTTTTTAAAAGTTTATACTAGATGATAATTTTATGGTTAGAGTTTTGAGGCCTTAAGATTTCCTTTGGAAAGCGATGAAAAATATTTTTTTCTTACACTCTACTGCCCTCTTGTGGGCAAAATTTACTGAATGCCAATTAACTACACAATTTTTTTCCCATGGATTACTTAGAAATACCTATGAAAGTTATGCAACTCCCTTGGGATATCTTAACAAAAGGTACACAAAAATAAAATACAAAGAAGTCACTTCATAAATGTACTAGATCAATAACAGGAAAATACATCCTACCTTCATAAAATGACATACAGGCATTAAAAATCATGTTATAGGTGTATATTTAAGATGTTTGAAACATGCTAAGCAAAAAAAGCAAATTACAAAACTATGAAAACAGAACCAAATTTTACAGTGTGTGAATTGTTTTCGAATGCCTATCCATATTTTATAAATAAAATATTTTATAATTAACAAAAAACAATAAGGGGGAATGGTAATTTGTGGACCAGGAAATAAAGGCCACGCACTCAAAGACTGTTAAGTGACCCTGGACATGATGATGTGCAACCAATGAAAACCCTCTACTCTCTAGTAGGGTAGACATCAACATAGTTAAATCAACCAAAAATAAGAATTAATGCCCAGTTAATGTCACATTATTCTGGTGAGTTACTATTCTCAGAGAATAAGCTGCAATTGTTTTAATATGACAAAAATTGTGCTAGAGTACAAGAGTAGGACTGAACCATGAATCTGCTGGGAAGACTTGACCTGCACATTCATCACTTAATCACTAAAAGAAATGATGATGCTATCTCATTTAACACAAAACCAAGTGAGGGGCATTCTACAAAATAACTGACCAGTTCTCAAAGTCATAAAAGACAAAGTCTGAGGAACTGTCAGTGACTGAAGAAAACTCAAAAGACAGAACAACTAAATGCAATATGGGATCCTAAATTAGATCTTGGAACAGAAAAGGACACAATGGAAAAACTGGTGAAATCTCAATAAAATCTGTAGTTTAGTTAGCAGAAATGAAACCATGTTCATTTCTTATCATTGTACTTTTGAAAATGTCAAATAAGACATTAACATCAGGGTAAGCTGGTAAAGGGCATACAGAAATTCTCTGAGCTATTTCTGCAAATCTGTGAACCTAAAATTATCTCAAAATTAAAAGTTAAAAAATTAATTTGTTTCTTATTTTAGTGCAATTTCTAGGAAATTAAAAATTACACATGTGGCTCACACTCTATTTCTATTGGACAAAGTTGATCCAGATGAAGGTTTTAAACGTTTTCATCAGCAAACTGACCAACAGGAAATACCCCATGCTTCTGTGATAAACTCTCTCAAGAGAGATGCCCCTCTTTCCTTTCCCCATTTGGAAATCACTGTAGTTGAGTTACATATAGAAATAGGCCCACTTCATTTCAAATCTTCTAAAAACTGTAAATCTTACCAATAAGATTAAGTGACGAATTTTCTGCTTTTTCAAATGCAACTTGACTGTTTCCAACAACCAGTCCTACTTCAATCTGTAGAGAAAGACAATAATTAGTAGTCTAATAGCAAACTTCTGGACTTCTCAAAGCAAGGCCAAAAGTGAGGGGGAAATGAGGTCTCTCTGGGCAAAGCAAACCTTCCAGACTATCATCTGAGCTACTTTTACTTTTCTCATAACTTTCTTCTACAATTCTTACATGCCTTATTTCCATGCCTATATCTTTCCAATAATGCGTTTCTTATTATTTATTTACAATAAATATCTGCATTCAAGCAAATTATATGTACATATACGTCTACATTTTACATTAATATTAGGTCTGCAAATAAATACATTTTAAGCTATATTTTAATAACAATGATGGCTATGAAAGCAATTTTTTCTCCCTACTATCTTAAAAGGGTACACAATATGAAAAAAATCACTAAGCAACAGATAGGAAAATTATAATCAATCTGCACAAATTACATTATAAAGATGATCTAGTAAAGATGATCAGAAATAAAAGCTACCTTCTGCCTTTTCCCTGTCGCAGGCTCTCCCTTCAGGATGCTAGGATCCATGGCTTCAATGTCCTTCACCAGTAAGCCAAAAAGCTTTTCATTGAAGCTAAAGACAAGCTATGTAGAAAAGAGGTAAGGGGAGAAAAATCACTTCATAATATAATAGTTTGATCCTCAGATCATCACCAATGTTTTTCAAATGCAGAAAACCAGTTTATCTTATATACTCCTCTCCAATCTGCTCCTCAAACAAACTACTCACAGCCAATGAAGAAAAGGGAATTAGCACTTACGATCAGTGTTTACAAAATGACTGCAAAACTCATGTTTAAAATTTCTTCCACATGGATAAAAAATATCTAATTTAAATGTCAGAGTGCCACCTAAAGTAATTCAAGAGTACCACATTTACTATTTCTAACAAAGAATAAAGTTTCTTAGTATTTTATTCAAACACTACAGCCAGTTATATAATATTCACAAACACTCTTGGAAGCAGAAACTACGACTCCATTTTACTAGTGAGGAAGCTGAGATGCAGAAACAGGCTATGCAACAAGGCTCAAAGTCACAGTAAATGAGAGCGCCAGAAGTCAACCCTGGGTCTGTGACTCTACAATTCCTGCTTTTCTATCACTAGTACAAAATGCTTGCCCTACAAGTGCAGAGACAGCTTCTGAATGCTCAATTACTCATTCACCAAATCTTTGCTGAGTCCCTTCTAAAAGTTTGGTCTTCTTCTATGTGCTGGGGTATAATGGTAAATATTACAGGTTGGGCTGTCTGTCCATTCTGCTACTACGAGATACCACAAATGAGAAGAAACAGTTAAGGACAGTGATCTGGAGTAAGATATTTACTTCTTCTCTGAATTACGAAAGATTCTCTTTCATGGATTTACTGACTTCTACATGCTACTGAGTTTTAAATTATTATAAATACCAAAGCATTTTCTATTAAACGTTCTCCTAAACATTTTCTATTAGGATACTAAAACTAAAAGCAAAGGTAAAAACCATCAAGTTTAGCTAGGCAATCTGAGCACAATTTTGGTCATCCAATACACAACAGCACCGCAATAGCTCTCTGGTGAATTGTCCTGATCTACTTTCATCAGAGACCTAACTGTACATGGTATTCCTGTCTTATTTTCTGTTTTCTTCAACTAGAAAGTAAGTTCTATGACAGCAGGGATCATATCTATTTTGTTCACTGCCGATCTGCAGTGTCTAAAACAGTGACTGGTACTAGGCACTAGGTACTATCAAATATGTGTTTAATTAATTCTTATCTCAACTATGTCCCTTAGCTGTGTAGCCATGGGCATACCATTTACCTTCTTTAGATCTTAAATTCCTCATTTGGCCAGGCGTGATGGCTCACACCTGTAATCCCAGCACTTTGGGAGGCCGAGGTGGGAGGATCACTTGAGGTCAGGACCAGCCTGGCCAACATGGCAAAACCCCATCTCTACTAAAAATACAAAAAAAAAATGGTTGGGCATGGTGGCTCATGCCTGTAATCTCAGCACTTTGGGAGGTCAAGGCGGATGGATCACCTGAGCTCATGAGTTCGAGACTAGCCTGATTAACATGGTGAAACCCCATCTCTACTAAAAGTACAAAATTAGTCGGGTGTGGTGGCGCATGCCTGTTATCCCAGTTACTCGGGAGGCAGAGGCAGGAAAATCACTTGAACCCAGAAAGCGGAGGTTGCAGTGAGCTGAGATGGTGCCGCTGCACTCCAGCCTGGATGACAGGGTAACACACCATCTCAAAAAATAAATGAATAAATAAATAAAATTTTAAAAAATAAAAAAATAAAATTCCTCATTTGTATATGTGGAGTTACATAAGGTAATCTCTTGAGGTTCATTCCAATTCTAGTACTCTTTTTAAAATAATGTACTATATCCTTTTCCTATCTAGCAGGAATTCAGTTTTTTAAGATTCTCAAATAAGCCCATAACCAAAATAAGAACTTTTTTTTTTTTTTTGAGACAATCTCGATCTGTCACCCAGGCTGGAGTGCCGTGGCACAATCATGGCTCACTGCAGCCTCAACCTCCCAGGCTCAAGCCGTCCTCCCACCTCAGCCTCTTGAGTAGTTGAGACCACTACACGCAGCTACTTTTAAAAAAATTTTTGTAGAGACAGGGTCTCACTTTGTTGCCCAAGCTGATCTTGAGCTCCTGGGCTCAAACGATCCTCCCAACTCAGTCTCCCAAAGTGTTGGGATTACAGGCATGAGCCACCATGTCTGGCCAAGAGCTACATTTTCTACAGAACTATATTAGTGAAAGAGACAGACATTCCAGAGGCAAAACAAATGTCCTATGATATAAAAAGGAATTTCAGATATATATGTCCACAGGGTTCCCAAATTTGCTGAGGGAAAAGCTGCTATAATTATACATGACATTTTAATCTAAAAGCTACTTTAGAATTTTTCTGAACAGACTCCTTGAAGTTCAGTAAATACATCTCCCTCACTTTTATCACTCACCTTGGATATACGAGTTGATACGCAAAGCCCCTCTCACTTTTTAAAAGGTGGAATTAATTTTGGAAAACTGCAGAAATTAGAATACCTATAAAGTTAAAGGAATGAAAGAAAATTAAAAACTACCTGTTGTCCCACTGAGAAGGCCTGGTTGTTGAATTGCTGAATAAATTCTGCTGCCATCTTGTCGGTGTCATAAGGGTTGGAGTCAATGCTTTTTTTCTGCAGGAAATCAATCTCGATGGTCATTGTGCCAATACACTGTTTGGCTTTGTCAAATGTATATAAGGAGACTAGGGGAAAAAAAGAAGCATTTTTTTAAAAATCACAGGAGTACAAAATACCTGTAGTGTTTCTAGTAACTAAAAGTTTCACATAAATGAATCATAAACTACTTCACCAAAAATGGGGTTTAAATGGCCTTCACTGGAGGGACACACAGGTACAGGTTTAAAAAATAATAGTCACTAGAGATTTTCTTCCCCATCTGAATTAATTAGAAATACTGAATGGCAGGCCGGGCGCGGTGGCTCACTCCTGTAATCCCAGCACGCTGGGAGGCCGAGGCGGGCGGATCACGAGGTCAGGAGATTGAGACCATCCTGGCTAACACAGTGAAACCCCGTCTCTACTAAAAATACAAAAAATTAGCCGGGCGTGGTGGCGGGCGCCTGTAGTCCCAGCTTCTTGGGAGGCTGAGGCAGGAGAATGGCGTGAACCTGGCAGGCGGAGCTTGCAGTGAGCCAAGATCACGCCACTGCACTCCAGCCTAGGGCAACAGAGCCAGACTCCGTCTCAAAAAAAAAGAAAGAAAGAAATATTGAACGGCAGTCTCTCTGTTGTTATCCCTCATCCCACTCTTATCAGGATCACAATCCTCCCCACATGGCCTCTGCATCTTTCTCCTCATTTAATGCAATACAGTATGGGATGCCCCAACACAGTTGGCATAACATGCTATTTCCAAATAAGATTTTTGTTTGACACAAAAAAACAGCTAAGGTGGGATGTGGATGAATTATTTTGGCCTAAGAAAGTAGGACGCAAGGCAAAAAAAAGAAGCTTGAAAAACAATGTTTACTAGCGGAATTTGCTCCAGAGCAAGTTAGAGTTTGACATTTCTTTTTTACTACTACAAAAATGTTTCCTGAGCACCTGCTACATCTAGGGAACTACAGTAAGTTCTACATGTACACATGTAGATAAGGGCAAGGACGAGGTTTTTAACTCCTCTTCCTATTAACAGCATCTAACAGTTTCTTTCAGGTGCTTAATATATTCATGAACTGTTTAAATGAAACAACAATAACAGAAAACCCATGGTCTCCATGCTAATAACAAAGGAGGCAATAAAGCATACATACAAAGCTTTGGATAAGAAAATTCCTGTTCAAGCCACATAAAAAGTTTTAAAATGAATTTTAGGTTACAATGTAATTAATATTAAAGTGTTACACATGATTTTACATCATGTAATAACTGTTCGACCAAAAACCTTTAATTGTACAACTACAACACAGTTTACATATCATATTTTTAGAAAAATATATGTTAAAACAAATTTTGCTAGTGACAGATAATTACAAAGAAGCATTTCCCTAGAAAAAAAAACTTGATTCTTAAATCAGCTCAAAAAGTATACTTATAAATGCCAGTTTATAAACAAACTTTTAAAGCAAAAAATTTTACAGTGCTGTATACTGTAGTGGTACTATTAGGAAAGAGTAGAGTAGGCTACCCAGAAAAGTTCAAGAGGATTTTTGCATTTGAGTTTCCCCAGGAGGGCAACTTGATTACGCCTAGTAAGAAAGAGTCTATTGCTACTCTTCAATAAGGCTTCACACACGAGCACACACACACACACACACACACACACACACACACACACACACACACATTTATTTTCCCTTTAGGTTCCCTGAAGATACTTGTCCTAAAATTTACCAATGGCCCCTTAAGGATACAGTAGCAGCTCTCTTAAGCAACCTCCACTGAGCTGAGTCATCAGAAAGCTGACCAACTTTTATCCCTCCAACATATACCCATCAGCCTATGGTTTGCCTAACGCTCAGAGCTTGTAGACAGGAGTTGCTACACATCATGGGTCAACCAAGTTCATTCTGGTATCTGTCTGTGCTAGTTACACTTGTTACAGTTAATTATGAAATATAATTAAATAGTATAAAAACTTCTGAAGGCCTGGTTGTTGAACTGTTATTACAATGACTTTGACATTCTAGAATAGATATTATAAGTTGAAAGCTTTGGGAAAATTTTTTAAATGAAGTGTTTCTTCTAGAAAAAAAAAATACTGCTAACTAGGTATAAGCATTAAAATTAGAAAAGGTTGGGAGTGAACTCTACAAAAATCCAAGAGGTTTTGGCACTCTCAGATGCTCTACAAAGTCTAAGTTCTCCAGCCATTTCAAAGAAATCCACCTGGAAATTATGGGTAAAGTGTATGCACAAAAGATAATACAGAACTCCAATCCATGGACCACACCTCCAAGAAAAAGCCTTTAACCAACTTTTCACTTAATTACCAGTCCAAGTCACATTGGGTAAGTGAGCTTCTACAGTTCTCACCACAAAAGCAGGTTATAAACAAAGACTGTTTTTTCACACTTGCTTTGAACAACAGGCATGGCATTTCTGTGAGTTACTGAGGTCAAATAGCAAGAGGTAAACAAAAGAAGTCACTGTGCAGTATTAAATGTCTGTTGCAAAGATTCTAGTGGTTTACAAACAAAGCTGTTTTCTTCAAAGGGACTTTGAGTATGTGTGTTTCAACAGATTCTGCTAGCAATCAGAAGAATCCAAGTAAATAATTTAAGTTGTCTGTGCCTTGATTTGTCACATCTATAAATCAAGACTGAACTAGATAAGTCTTTATGGTCGTTTCACACTCTAAATTCTGTTCTAAACTTATTTCTTAAATTCTAGACCCTTGAGTTATGTACAAGGATTTTCTGTAAACTCTTATTTTATATTTGAGACAGAGTCTTGCTCTGTCACCCAGGCTGGAGTGCAGTGGCACGATCTCAACTCACCGCAACCTCCACCTCCCGGATTCAAGTGATTCTCGTGCCTCAGATTCTCAAGTAGCTGGGATTACGGACGCACACCACCATGCCCAGCGAATTTTTGTATTTTTAGTAGAGACAGGATTTCACTATGTTGGCCAGGCTGGTCTCGAACTCCTGACCTCAAGTGATCTGCCTGCCTTGGCCTCCCAAAGTGCTGGGATTACAGGCGTGAGCCACCACGAACGGCCGATTTTCTGTAAACTCTTTAAATGAAATTGTTTGTATAATCAGATTTCTGTATTTAAAGGGGGACATATACATATTTTAACTACTTCAAAAGCAAAATAACAAAGCCTGAGGAAGGAACATAAAACTCACTGAAGATCAAATAATAAGTTCAAATTTTGGCTAAAAGTTTCAGAATACTCTCCTGTCTCCAATTCTGGATGGCTTGCTCCTTCTTAACATTTCCTAGAATGGCCAGGCACGGTGGCTCATGCCTGTAATCCCAGCACTTTGGGAGGCTGAGTTGGGCGGATCACCTGAGGTCGGGAGTTCGAGACCAGCCTGACAAACGTGGAGAAACCCCGTCTCTACTAAAAACTACAAAATTAGCCGGGCGCAGTGGTGCATGCCTGTAATCCCAGCTACTCAGGAGGCTGAGGCAGGAGAATCGCTTGAACCTGGGAGGCGAGGCTGCAGTGAGCCAAGATCGCACCATTGCACTCCAGCCTGGGCAACAAGAGTGAAACTCTGTCTCAAAAAAAAAAAAAAAAAAAAAATCCTAGAAAGTACAGGTTATATGCTGAGTAACTTTGATAGGCAAAAGAGCTTAGTTGTTTCCCTCATGTAGTTTGAAAACATTTATAGGTTGAAATATTAATGTAAAAATGAATATGATGATTCAGCAATTCCATTTCTAGATGTCTGTCCCAGAAAGATGCTAGAACATTTGTCTAACAACACATCTACAGGGAGGTTCATTGCAGCATTATTTATAGTACTTAAACATTGAAAAATGTTTATCAGTAGGAGAACAATGAATAAAATGTAGTATATTCATAATGTAGAATACTTTACAGCAATTTTTATTGAAATTAAAACTTGGCCAGGCACAGTGGCTCACACCTGCAATCCCAGCACTTTGGGAGGCTAAGGAGGGAAGATCACTTAAGTCCAAGATTTAGAGACCAGACTGGGCAACACAGTGAAACCCTATCTCTACACAAAATTAAAAAATTAGCCAGGTACTGAGGCTGCAGTGAGCCACGACTGCACCACTGCACTCCAGCCAAGTGAGACCCTGTCAAAAAAACAAAAAAAAAACAAAAAAACAAAAACCAACTTTATGTATATTTATTAAAGATGGACGGCCTGGCCAGGCGTGGTGGCTCACACCTGTAATCCCAGTACTTTGGGAGGCTGAGGTGGGTGGATCACCAGAGGTCAGGAGTTCAAGACCAGCCTGGTCAACATGGTGAAACCCCATCTCTAATAAAAATAGAAAATATTAGCCAGCGTGGGGGTGAGTGCTTGTAATCCCAGCTACTCAGATGGCTGAGGCAGGAGAATTGCTTGAACCTGGGAGGAGAGGTTGTAGTGAGCCAAGATCACACCACTGTACTCCAGCCTGGGCAACAAGAGCAAAACTCCATCTCAAAAAAAGATGGATGGCCCTTGAAAACATAATATTGAGTGACAAAAGTCTACTGCAGAAAGGTTTGTACAGTATAATACCATTTTGTGCATTAAAGACACCAAAACAATATCATAATGTCATAATGCATATATATGTGTGTATATACATATATTCATGTCATCTTCATACTGAGAAATTTGAATAAGTATATTTAAAATATTGGCCAGGCGTGGTGGCTCATGCCTGTAATCCCAGCATTTTGGAAGGCTGAGGTAGGTGGATCATTTGAGGTCAGGAGTTCGATACCAGCCTGGCCAACATGGCAAAACCCCTTCTCTACTAAAAATACAAAAATTAGCCAGGTGTGGTGGCACATGCCTCTAATCCCAGCTACTCAGTAGGCTGAGGCAGCAGAATTGCTTGAACTGGGGAGGAGGAGGTTGCAGGGAGCTGAGATCATGCCACTGCACCCCAGCCTCAGCGACAGAGCGAGATTCCATCTCAAAAATAAATAAATAAAAATATAATTACTACTGACTGTAGTAATGCACTGACTGTAGTTTTCAAATGCATTTTAATTTAAGGCCAATGTTCCTAAATAGAAAAGACCAAACTGTTACAATTTCAAGTGCTATGGGCAGCACCATGGACAGTATCCCAGGCAGCACCACAGTCAGCACCATGGTCAGTCCCAAAGGGACAAGAGTCCTGAAGATTTCATCCTGGATCAAAGAAGATTGAGAATGTTTTCTTATTTTACGGCTAATAGTAATTTAATATAAAAGACTAATAAGAAAGATTTTATAAGCAAAAAATAAGTGTATCCAGTTCTTTGAATAAACTTGGACTTTACAATAATAGGTGTATATATAGTGGTCAAAACATTAGCCTGTAACACTTAAAATATGGCATTGCCAGATGGAAAGAAGACCGACTAAATGATTCCTCCAGAAGATTCCCTCAGACTAAAATCACTGATTTGACTAAAATGTTTCACCTTACGGAACTCCCATTCCAGAATACTTGAGCACTCCTTCAAACCACACCTCCTATCCTATCTTGGTCTACATCACTACTTAAACCAAACCAGTTTTCTATCTTTATGGCTACATCATCCACATCACTTGGGCCCCAAAACCCTACCTTCCCTCAAGCTTACTCCACTTTAGTCCCACCTATCACTGGGTTTTACAATTTTGCTTATTAAGTCTGTTTGAGCCACTTCTTTAAAGATCTGACTTTACAATCCAGATAAGCATTTCTGTTAGCAGAAGAATGCTTTTATAACTTAAACCGCAAAACACATTTCTCAACTCATCAAAATTTATAATCTTGAATTTCTGTATCTTGTCACAATAGAAAATATCTAGATTCAAAGTTTTAAGTACTCTTAGCCTCATATTTAGAAAAATTAATTTATGAAAATTAGAAACCTAAGCTACATACTACCCCACTTTCTCATTAAATTTAACAAGTGTTCATACTTCCACAAAGAAAAAGCTAACTAAAAATAACACCAATGTTGGCTGGGCGTGGTGGCTCACATCTGTAATCCCACCACTCTGGGAGGTCAAGGCAGGTGGATCACGAGGTCAACAGATCGAGACCAGCCTGGCCAACATGGTGAAACCCCATCTCTTCTAAAAATACAAAAATTAGCCGGGTGTGGTGGCAAGTGCTTGTAGTCCCAGTTACTTGCAAGGCTGAGGCAGGAGAATCGCTTGAACCCTGGAGGCAGAGGTTGCAGTGAGCCGAGATTGCGCCACTGCACTCCAGCCTGGCAACAGAGCGAGACTCCATCTCAAAAATAAAATAAAATAAAATAACCCCAATGTTTAAATTCCATCTAACTTAGAAAAAATTACAAGTTGTCAGGTTCCTAAATGAGGAGTAGGATAAAAGATGTGTGTGTGTGTGTGTGTGTGTGTGTGTGTGTGTGTGTGTGTGTGTGTACAGAGAGAGACAGAGACCCAGAGAGGAAGACAGGGAGCCAGAATGATAAAGAAAATATGACAATTGGTAAAGCTGGGTAAAGGTAGTATACAGAAATTCTTCGTATTATTTTTGCAACCTTTCTATAAATACAATTTTTTTTTAAGTTTTAAAGACAAGCAGAAGAAAAGCTGGTTTAATTACACTTGCATTTTCTTTCCTTCCCCTACTGTATCCATGAAGTTGACATAAAATCATCTGACTAAAGACGACTCATACTCCATTTCCTAACTTTGCCACATTGCCTGAGACAATGCCACTTTTTGCTTATTAGTTCTTTGGCTTATTATCTATTAGCAGCTTAGTCTTTCCACCCCGCCACGCCCCCAACTGGAAGTCATAAATTGCTTTCCTTGCCTTGAACTATGACGACCTTATCACACACTTCATAAAAGATATAGGAACAGAGGTACCATAACTATTTCCTTCCCATTCTCATAGATGTAACCAGTCTTCTGATACAATGAATGTTTAAGATCTGACCACTAGTAATAGAAAATTGTACAGATCTCAATAACTGTGAGAAAATCACATAGAAAATCTTTATCAGGTGGCTAAAAAATATACCTACCTTCTATTTCTTGCCCAATAGAAAGCCCAGCCCATTTTCTCTGTAAAGGAGAAAAAAAGATACTTAAAACCAAAGCCATCAAAATTAGACAAGAGAAAAAGAGGAATTTTAATGAATTTTAGGAATACACTCAAAGATCAAAACATGGTATGCTATTATGGTTGAACTGTGCTCTCCCCCTCCAAAGTATGTTGAAGTCTTAGCCCCCAACACCTGTGGATGTGACTTTATTTAGAAATACAATCTCTGCAAATGTATCAAGTTAACATGAGGTCATAATGAATTAGGGTGAACCCTAAGCCGATATGACTGGTGTCCTTCTAAGAAAGAGACATAGACACACAGACAGAATGCCATCATGTGATAGCAGAGGCAGAAATTGAAATGATGCAGCTACAGCCAAGGAACACCAAAGGATTGCCGGCAACACCAGAAGCTAAGCACAGAACAGGTTCTTCCCTAGAGCCTTCAGAGAGGGAATAGCTCTACTGACACCTTGATTTCAGACTTCCGGCCTCCACAACGGTGACAGAATAAATCTCTGTTGTTTTAAGCTACCCAGTAATGGTTCTTTGTTACTTACCCTAGGAAAGTAAAGCATGTGCTACAGTTTACATCTGAACATCTGTTTCAAAACGTGCAAAGCTTGCCTTTTGCAGTAAAGCTGGCACCACTGAGGAGGATGTTCCTTTGCGCAATATGATGCTACAGAAGGTCTTCACTGTATCAGATCACACTTCAGTGTTCTAAATGTACTGCTGCAGTTAGTTTTACTGTTTGTTACAGTATCTCAAAAAGGAAGACATTCAATTCATGAAGACTAAATTAAAACTGGTCAGAAAATCTATTTTGAAACCCAGTCAGGGACTGAAATCATTAGATGGTCATGGCTACTCTTTGTATACTAGCCAGAAGATTTTTAGACATTTACAGCTAGATTTCAGGCTTTCCCAAATCCCTACTGTTTACAATGGCAAGAAGTATGAAGGCAGGCCAGATTGTGTTTAGGCAGGAATCTGGGGTTTGCTTGGTATAGATTCAAAATTAGTAATTACTGATAACACTCCAAAGAACAATGAGAAAAACAATTTTTGGTTGAAAATCAGTAGTTCACCTGCCCATCCAAACACTGCAGACTTTGTGGCGGGTAATTTAGAAGACACTGAACTGTGAATATGTGCAACAAGTGCTCTCCCTTGTGGCTTTCTTACCACATCCTGTTTCCCTCCACTCTGCCCTTCACCTCCCCCAGAAGACCTCTTCTGTAAAACCCCATCCCACTTCTGGCCAACCTGAAATTTAGCACCATGCTCGTTAAGCTTAGACTTTAAGTCACAAGGAAGCCACATTTAGGTTCTGTACTTCAATCCCAAAGACAGCTGATATGGTTTGGCTTTGCCCCCACCCAAATCTCATCTTAAATTGTAGTTTCCATAATCCCTATGTGTTATGGGAGAGACCCAGTGGGAGGTAACTGAATCATGGGTGTGGGTTTTCCCATGCTGTTTTCATGATAGTGAGTAAGTCTCAGAAGATCTGATGGTTTTATAAAGGGCAGTTCCCCTGCACACGCTCTCTTGTCTGCCGCCATGTAAGACATGACTTTGCTCCTCCTTCGCCTTCCACCATGATTGTGAGGCCTCTGCAGCCATGTGGAACTGTGAGTCCATGAAATCTCATTTTTCCTTATAAATTATCCAGTCTCCAGAATTTCTTCATAGCAGTATGAAAATGGACTAATACAACAGTCCTTAGGGATAACAACAGTAGCTATTGTATAAGGTTGTTTGGAGAATTAAATGAGCTAACACATGCCAAAGTACCTAGAATAGAGGCTGGCCTACAGTGAATGTCGGGGAAATTTTTTTTTTTTTTTTTACAAAACAGAGACAAGGAGAAACTGTCACACCTCAAGCTATTGCTAACAATCAGAATCCCAAATGGAACTCTGTAAAAGCTGGAGAACCCTGGAATATCCCAAACTTTTAATCTATAGAAACAAACGTGAAAGTGGTCTGGATAATGAAGAGGCATCAAACAGACAGGTGGAATAGTAAGTGAAAATTTCCTGTAATTTTTGAGGGCTTCAAGAGATCTTCAATAGTTCCTTTTTTTTCCCTTTTTTTTAAGAGACAGAATCTCACTCTGGAGCAAAGGCTGGAGCATGGTGGCACAATCATAGCTCACTACAGCCTCGACTTCCTAGGCTCAAGTGATCCTCCCAACCTCAGCCTCCCAGGTAGCCTGGACTACAGGCATGTGCCACCATGCCCAGCTAATTAAAAAAAATTTTTTTTTTTGTAGAGACTAGTGCGGGGGACAAGGGTCTCGCTATGCTGATCTGGAATTCTTGGTCTCAAGCGATCCTCCTCCACCTCCCAAAGCACTAGGATTACAAGCGTGAGGTACCTGGCCCATCTAATAGTTTTTGTTTTTGTTTTTTTCTTTTTTAAACAGGGTCTCACTTTGTCACCTAGGCTAGAGTACAGTGGCACTATCTCGCCTCACTGCAGCCTCAACTTCCCGGGCTCAAGTGATCCTCCTGCCTCAGCCCCTCAAGAAGTTAGGACTACAGGCATGCACCACCACACTCAGCTAATTTTTATATTTTTAGTAGAGGTGGGGTTTCGCCACGTTGCCCACTGGTCTTGAACTCCTGGACTCAAGTGATCCACCAGCTTTGGCCTCCCAAAGTGCTGGGATTACCAGCATGAGTCATTGCACCCAGCCTAATAGTTCTTAAATGAGTGTTTGATCTCTTTCTCTAAACCTTCAGGGAAGTCAACCAATGCTCATTAGCATACTAGGAGGAGGTAGGAATTCCATTTACATTACTTAGGACTGGGGACAGTCAGCAGCCTGAGTAAAATGATAAGGGAGAAGAGGATACAGACTAGTATTCTTGGTGCTTTATATTATGTATGATGTGCCTGGGACAGCACTAAGCAATCTAATTCTCTGGATTCTACAGAATCCATCAACAGTTGTAACTGTAATCACAACCCATCCAGTTGTTATGGGAGCCTAGCAAATTATGTTGTAATTTGAGACTCTTTCCAAATTCTTTAGTATAACGCCATCACATTATAAAATCACCATTCTTAGATATCAACTTCACAAATAAAATGTTTTCTACTTTTCTATTACCCTGGCAGTTAACATTAAAATAACTTGACGCTTTATGTGATAGCTGACTGATTTTACTGCAAAATCTTTAAAAATTAGGGAAAAAAAATCAAGCCAAAAGAAGGCAGCCATAGCAAAAACTGGCAATTAAGAATCTGTCTTTAGGTTGGGCATGATGATTCACACCCTATAATCCCAGCACTTTGAGAGGCCAAGGTGGGAGGATTACTTGAGCCCAAGAGTTAAAGACCAGCTTGGGCAACACAGTTAAGACACCATCTCTACAAAAAATTTTAAAATTAGTCAGGCACAGTGGTACAAGACTGTAGTCTCAGCTACTCGGGAGACTGAGGTATGAGAATTGCTTGAGACCAGGAGCCATGATCGTGCCACTGCACTCCAGCCTGGGTCTCAGAACGAGACCCTGTCTTAAAAAAAAAAAAGAAAAAAAAAAAAAGAAGACTGTATCTTTAAATTCCTTATATAATACTTAGATATTTTTCTTCAATATGAATCAATACAGTCACAGGGTGATGCTTGCTTAAAATGAACAGATTATTCATATTCTATGACTTTCAAAAACAGAAGAGAACAAATTAACATCTGAGTTACCTGAGGTAAACTGAATGCAATGCTCCCTGGAACCACCGATGGATGTGTCTTCAGTGTAAATGTGTACCTGTGATTGGGAGAGGTCCTCACAATCACATGCCTAAAGGACAGAAACACAGTTAGTACTCCACATTGAAGGAAATGAAGAACATAATTTCAAAATGTATTTCTTGTCAAACTGATATTTAATGAGTATCAGGTGGAAACGACACTATCTGTGTCTTGAAGAAATAGAACCACAAATTTAGTTTCCCAAACTATCAGCAATCCCAAATGTTTTCCAGATATAAGGAGCACCTTGGGTCAAACACTCATCAAGTAGAATCCAGCCAAAATACCATCCAAAATACCAACTTCCTTACATTTCCAGTTTACATAAAACTGAAGCCAGTGATTTAGAGTCCTTGATATCAAGTAAAAACTAGATGCATTTCCTCTCCTGAGAATTACTTCACATCCTAATAAGGAGAAGAGAGCCAAAGATAAAAGAGCTAGGATATAGCAATCAAAAAAAAGTTAGTTTTTAGACTACTCATTAAATTTATTTGCAGACTCTCTCAACAGGCTAAAACAAAAACAACCTACAAAATAAAAAAAAAAAAGATTTAAAAAATTCCTAAAATACATCAGCTTTCATGTAGATATCAATATTTACTGTTTTAAAAAATTTTGTGCTAATTCCCTGTTCAGAAATTACCTGTAAATAAAAAAAAAAACAGTCCTCTCATGATAATCTCCTATACCAGGTAACTAAAAAGTACTATGTGTAAGATAGAAGCTTCAAATCCTGTTATGCAGCAGCAGTATCTTTTTTTTTTTTTTTTTTTTTTTTTAATACATGTGGTCTTGCTATGTTGACCAGGCTGGCCTCAAACTCCTGGGCTCAAGAGATTCTCCTGCTTCAGTCTCTAAAGTAGTTGGGACTACAGGCATGCCCTAACATGCCTAGCTCACTATCTTTTTAAACATTATCTTTTCAGAATGCTGTAATTTTTCACATCAATGGCTAATGTTTCTATACGTATTTTTTTTGCCACTAGAACACATGTTCCTTATATCAACTACATTTTGAGTAACCCCACCATGAGTACAGTGAACATTTAACATATGTAAAAGAATTCCACAAATTCTCACGTTGATTATCTATACTTCAGTTTATCTGTTGAAAATCCTGTGCTCAATTTAGCATCACAGAATGTTTAGCACTGGAAACAATGTTAATATCACCATATAGTACAGCCTCTTACTCTGAAGCTGGAAACCAAAGATGATTAGCATTTCTAACTCTGTGAAACTCAGGTATTTCACAGATAACATTTTAAGAAAAATGCTCAGTTAAAACCCTACCACCTTGCCTCTTATTTCCCTACAGCCCCTTCATCTCCTTATCTGTACCAATCTCAGAAGCATATGGATGGCACTGAACTTGCAGCAGGGTCTTTAGAAGTCCTGGCAGTGCGGTGATATGAATCAGTTAAAATAAATTACAGTGCAAAATGCCTTTAAGGATTCTACATTTGCTTTGCAGCTTCCAATTTTCTTTTTCCTTTACTTTTTTTTGAGACAGAGTCTCGCTGTGTCACCCAGGATGGAGTGCAGTGGCGCGATCTCGGCTCACTACAGTCTCTGCCTCCTGGGTTCAAGTGATTCTCATGCCTCAGTCTCCTGAGAAACTGGGACTACAGGCGCACACCACCATGCCTGGCTAATTTTTATTTTTAGTAGAGATGGGGTTTCACCATGTTGGCCAGGTTGGTCCCAAATTCCTGAGCTTAGGCAATCAGCCTGCCTTGGCATCCCAAAGTACTAGGATTACAGGCGTAAGCCTCCATACCCAGCCCATCTTCCAATGTTCATGTCTCTTGGATTATCATGGTAATAATAATCATAACAGCTAATATTTACTAAGGGATTGTTAACATGTTGGGAACTGTTCTAAGTGCTTTATTTATGTAACTCAATCTTCATAGCTACCTTGAGGAAGAGATCATCTCCATTTTACAGATCAGGACATAGAGGTACAGAAATGGTCACACAGTTTGTAATTGGTAGAGCCAGGAAAACTCAAACAATCTGAGTTTGCCAGAACCAAACACCTAACAACTCTGCCATATATGATTCATACAACCAGTATGTTTAGCTCTACTAAGAAAACTGATGAAAACTAGAGTTTTATACATAAAACATTTTTAAAACATTATACAGTATTTATCAAAGTTTGACACAGTAATGATTCAAATACATAACTTTTTCTCATCTTCTCCATTTTCCAACTCAGCAAGAATTTTTTAAAAATATTTTCCAACGTTTCCTAAAAATGACTCTCTGGAAGTTTCCCGAATGCCACTTAGCAGGTTAAAAGAAAACAAAGTCAGATACTCACTGGCCAGACTGGAAATCCTTTTCATTCACAACTGCACAATTGGTTAAAGATAATTCATCTGTAGGACATCTTGCCGCTTGCATGCTCTGTAAGAATCAATGATTAGGAAAATCAAATTAAGTCATGTTCTATTCCCTTAAAGAATATTTTATGCCTTTCTGTCCTCTCTTCATCACTCATTGCTATAATGAACATCTATTATTTTTGACTCCCAGCATCCCTTCCTCTGCATTAAGAGCAAACCCTTCCTTTGGGAAACTGTTCCTTTCCCATTCCATGTGGTTTAGTGAGACTGCCAGTCAGCACACATGCAACCACATCTACTCTATCCCACCCACAGGATTTTATATATGCTGGCGCTAGACCAAAGGCATTCTTCTGCAAGCCAGAGCACCACAAGGAGGAAGATTTTCCACTCTAAAAGGGTAAAACTATCACAGAGACACAGACAAGCTAATAGATAACCTGGAAACACAGATCTGGCAACCAAGTTCTTGAGACCAGTCCTGAACATTAGTTACGAGCCAACAAATTTTTTTTGCTCAAGCTTTTTTGAATTAGCTTTCCATATCTTCCAAAGAATCTTGACTAATAAAAATGTACTGAAGTAAATTCAATAAATTTGGTAAACTTATGTATCAAATTTTATGTATATTATCAAAAGTATATTATGAAATGTTATGCATATTATAAAGAGTATACTATGAAAAAGTATCTTTTTATAAGAGATCCCAGGTGGCTACGAACTGTATCTCCTATAGATTGAGAAAAACCATCTTCCAAATATCTTTCAACAAAAATAATTACAGACTATATTTAAAAAAAAAAAAACAGCCTTTTTGGTCAATAGCAACTAGCAAAATGTTCCTTTATATAATATATTTAACCAATAACCCTTCCATGATTCCCTAGGGTTTCCTAGTGAGCTATGACAGGTAGTCATAGTCTATGACTGAAGGGTTCATTCTTCAAACCTCAAGCCAAAGCTGATTTTTTTTTTTTTTTTTTTTTGAGATGGAGTCTCACTCTGTCACCCAGGCTGGAGTGCAGTGGCGTGATCTCGGCTCACTGCAAGCTCCGCCTCCCGGGTTCATGTCATTCTCCTGCCTCAGCCTCCTGAGTAGCTGGGACTACAGGTGCCCGCCACCATACCCAGCTAATTTTTTGTATTTTTAGTAGAGTCAGGGTTTCACCGTGTTAGCCAGGATGGTCTTGATCTCCTGACCTCACGATCCGCCCACCTTGGCCTCCCAAAGTGCTGGGATTACAGGCATGAACCACTGCACCTGGCCAGGACGATTATTCTTAAATGTGTCTCCCAAATATAAATTTATAGAGGAAAGTGAATTATTTTTGGCTTTGCTTTTATTTTAACTAAAAGGCCAGTTTCAATATCATTATCCCTGTTGTTTAGGGCATTAGTCTCCAAAGTGGGATATGTGTACTTGAAGGGTGTTTGTATTATACGATAATCCTTTGGGGTATAAAAATAAAATATTAGTACTGGTATTTATATTGACTTTACACAATTTCTTATTTATGTGTTGTTTTGTTTTTTGACACAGTCTCTCTCTGTTGCCCAGGCTGGAGTGCAATGGTGGATCTCAGCTCACTGCAATCTCTGCCTCCCTGGTTCAAGCGATTCTCATGCCTCAGCATCCCAAGTAGCTGGGTTACAGGCATGCTCCAGCTAATTTTTGAATTTTTGGTAGAGTCGGGGGTTTCATCACGTTGCCCAGGCTGGTCTCGAACTCCTGAGCTCAGGCAATCCGCCCGCCTCGGCCTCCCAAAGTGCTAGGATTACAGGCGTGAGCCACTGCGTCCAGCCACACCATTTATTTATCTATTTATTTATTTATTTTAATTTGTTTGAGACAGAGTCTCACTCTGTCACCCAGGCTGGACTGCCCTGGTGCGATATCGGCTTACTGCAAGCTCCGCCTCCCGGGTTCACGCCATTCTCCTGCCTCAGCCTCCCAAGTAGCTGGGACTACAGGTACCCACCACCACGCCTGGCTAATTTTTTTGTATTTTCATCAGAGACAGGGTTTCACCGTGTTAGCCAGGCTGGTCTCGATCTCCTGACCTTGTGATCCACCCACCTCGGTCTCCCAAAGTGCTGAGATTACAGGTGTGAGCCACTGCACCCAGCCCATTTTTTATTAAAGATGAACCTCACTCTACATGTCTACTCTACCTTAAGATATAATCTGATGGCACGAACAAAGTCCTCATAATCCACCAGGCTTTTAAGTGTTCACTGCAAGAGTTAAACGTCTATAATTTTTCCACCTATGTCTAAAGTCACAGGCTATTTAATGTGACACTTCACAAAATTGTACGAAAGTTAGTGTCGAAACTGCTAAGGTTTCCCTAAAAAAAGCCAAGGACCATAGCTGAAATTATACACAGAAATAAAAATGGTGACAAACTAAATGTATTCTTTTATTGGTAAGTATAGTCAAAAGCTCTTAGAAAACCCTAAAGACTTGAAGATATCAGGACAAATACAGTGTGTGGGGTTTGCTATACAATTGGATAAAAATACAGATGATTCTTTCATCTTAGGGTATTTGCTGGGTAATTATGAAATATACAGGAAATACAACTTTGTAAGATACCAAGGAACAATGTATTAAAAGGGAGGTATTCTTAACTGTAAATGAAACAAGGTGCTTTATGGGAAAACTGTAACCACTGATGAAATGACTGCTTTGACTGGAATTTTAAAAAAGAATTCTGGCCAGCTGCGGTGGCTCACACCTGTAATCCCAGCACTTTGGGAGGCCGAGGTGGGTGGATCATGAGGTCAGGAGATCGAGACCATGCTGGCTAACACGGTGAAGCCCCGTCTCTACTAAAAAATAACAAAAAATTAGCCAGGCGTTGTGGCGGGCACCTGTAGTCCCAGCTACTCGGGAGGCTGAGGCAGGAGAAAGGCGTGAGCCCGGGAGGCGGAGCTTGCAGTGAGCTGAGATCGTGTCACTGTACTCCAGTCTGGGCAACAGAGCGAGACCCTATCTCAAAAAAAAAAAAATTCCAGAACAAAGTTACAGTGATAGCATCTGATACAAAAGCCTTTAACGGCTTCATTCACAGGTAAACTATTGCTGCAATTAAGTCAGAACAAGGTACCTCAGATGTCACTGAGGTTAACTGTATGAATATAGAATCTTCCTATACTCTGGGAGATAGAGAGTAGCCACTGAATTTTTTTTTTTTTTTTTTTTGAGAGATAGTCTTGCTCTGTCGCCCAGAATTGAATGCAGTGGCGCATTCTCAGCTCAGAGTAGCTGGGACTACAGTTGTGTACCACCACTTCTGACTAATTTTTGTATTTTTAGTAGAGATGGGGTTTCACCATGTTGGCCAGGCTGGTCTCAAACTCCTGGCCTCAAGTGATCCACCTGCCTTGGCCTCATAATCTTTTTTTTGTTTTTAAATCCACACAGATTCACTAGTTACCACAAGAAATGTATTTAAAAGATTTGTTAAATGTAGATGAGTTACACAATTTTTTTAAAATAAAAAGACTAGAGTTCCAAACTTGCTAAATATTTCTGAGGAGGTTATAAGTAGTATGCTACCAAGAAGATATTAAAAAAACAAAAAAACTCACTCTGCCCCTACAAAATAAAAATGTTTAGCAACATGTCAGAATTATTTTCAGCTTTTCCAGAAAAAAGAAAAAGAGAAAAAAATCGGCCGGGTGCAGTGGCTCACGCCTGTAATCCCAGCACTCTGGGAGAATGAGGCAGGCGGATCACCTAAGGTCAGGAGTTTGAGACTAGCCTGGCCAACATGGTGAAACCCCATCTCTACTTAAAATACAAAAATTAGCCGGGCGTGGTGGCGGGCACCTGTAATCCCAGCTACTCGGGAGGCTGAGGCAGGAGAATCGCTTGAACCCAGTAGGCGGAGGTTACAGTGAGCCAAGATGGCACCATTGTACTCCAGCCTTGGGGACAAGAGAGAGGCTTCATCTTTAAAAAAAAAAAAAAAAAAAAAAGAGAGCGAGAGAAAAAAAAATCTTTCCTAATAGAGCATTTCAAAATTGGATAATTGGAAACATTTCCATTGCTAAGTTATTCTGCTGTTGAAACAATATATACAAAATCTAAAAAATAAAGACACCAAAAACTCGTATCTTCATGCTTTATAAAGTCAGAAACAGAATATTCTAAAACTTTTTAAAATATCTTCCAAATGAAGACTTAACAGTGATTTTTGGAACCCATTTATTAACACAATAAAAGTATAATATATTTTTATTAATCTGCAAGAAAAACTAATAGATGGATATTTACCAGCCACATTTCAATAAAGCATTTCCATAAATAGTGAATAAGTTTGGAGAAAGAAAGAATATGATTTAGAAAGTGCAGCCAAATTCTTCCATTTTGATCCAGGCTTTGACTGCCATTAAAGTATCAAAATAAACTGAATTTAGAAACAGCCCTCTGAGCAGCTGTATCACATAATATTAAACGAAGATTTTAAATAATGATGTACCACTTTACTTTCTGGGTTTTTTTTTTTTTTTTTTTTTTTTTTTAGATGGAGTCTTGCTCTGTCGCCCAGGATGGAGTACAGTGGCATGATCTCGGCTCATTGTAACCTCCGCCTCCCGGGTTCAAGCAATTCTCCTGCCTTACCCTCCCGAGTAGCTGGGATTACGGGCGTGTGCCACCATGCCCAGCTAATTTTTGTATTTTTTAGTAGAGATGGGATTTCGCTATATTGGTCAGGCTTGTCTCAAACTCCTGACCTCAAGTGATCTGCCTCCCTCAGCCTCCCAAAGTGCTGGGATTACAGGCGTGAGCCACTGCACCCAGCCTACTTTCCGTATTTTCAGTAAAATTAACACTGTGAGAATATTGTACATGCCATCTTTAGCTCATCCTTTTAATTTTTTTTGTTTTCTATACATGTTCTACTGCGTATATAACTTTTAGTACTACATATCATCTATAAACAAATATTGGCATATAATCAATATATGAGGATACATAATCAAAACATTTTTTACTTATGAGATTCATGATCAAATGTTTGGAAATCACTAATTTAGCACAAGATGAATAAAGTCTAGGTCACAAGTCTCCTTTGTGAATGAGACAGCATTTATGTGTTCAACAAATGCTGACAGCATTTTGCCCAGTCACAGCTTGATCAGCCATATGACAGAAATGTACTGAACTTTTTCAGTTTCCCACTTTCCCAGGGTCATTTTCACCTGCAAGCTTCTTTCTTTTATATAATCTCCGCCACTAACCCCTGTTCCATCCCTGGACAACTCCCACTCATTCTACAATTCTCCACTTAGACACTACTTTTTCTGGAAGGCATTCCTAGACACCTACCCCTCCCCACTAAACTGATGAAATAAACTTCAAATGGAAGCACTCAACTATAATTTTATTCTGTCTACATGTTTGCACTGCATATAAGACACTAAACTTCTCAAAGACTGAGACTATATCTTGCTCACATATGTAGTTCCCAGTGTTAGTACAGGGCCTAGTACACAGTGAATACTCATTAAATGTTTGTTGAACACAAAAATTTATAGATCAATAAAAATCTGTCTCAACTGCAGAATAAACAATCCAAAGAACATGTAACAAAGGACTGATCGTCTCAAGGTTATTTAGGAAGTGATAAAATTGAGCTAAAATGAACTGATAGTTCAAAATATACAGAACGATATAGCTAAAGTAATAAAATAAATTTACAAAATGCTGTTAACTCTTTCATTTATAAACTTGTTTATTTGTCAAGTGTCCTTCAAAAGGAGTGAAAAAATCCACAGAAGTCATCTGGCTGGCCAACCAAAACAGATGCTGTGAACAAAAGGCCTCCCTACTGGAATCCAGAAACATCTGTGTTTTTATGGTAAGCCAGGCATGGTATCTCATTTTTTCAACGAAGTATAAGTCTCTATAAATAGTAGCTGTCTACTCACCACAGCAATGCCAAGGGAAAATTCCACAATTTTTCTAACATTGACCTTGCCCCTAGGAAACAATAATGAAAGCCAACCACTACAGTCATGCAGTTATTAAGAAATGAAAGTACAGGCTAGGTGCGGTGGCTCACGCCTATAATCTCAGCACTTTGGGAGGCCAAGGTGGGAGGACTGCCTGAGCTCAGGAGTTCAAGACCAGCATGGGCAACATGGTGAAACCCCATCTCTACTAAAATACAAAAAATTAGCCGGGTGTGGCGGTGTGTGCCTGTAGTCCCAGCTACTCGGGAGGCTAAGGCAGAATTGCTTGAACCCAGGAGGCGGAGGTTGCAGTGAGCTGAGATTGTAGATGACCAGCTGGAACAGCCACCCTTGTTGGACACTGTTTGATTCAGCTTTTTATTAATATGCAGTTCTGAGATGGCATCCTTATGCACACGCCCACATATTTCCTTAGGTCAGGTCTATAGATGTGGAAGCCAGGTCCCACGCGTTGGGTATGGCTGTCACCCTGAAGATACCGCAGATCGCCAACATCACATTCCCCAGTCCCCATCTAGTGGCCTCCAGTGGCCCATCTACTGGGCCAGCAGGGGCCAGGAAAGGAGAAGAGGGAGACCAGTGGGGCTGAAGGCACTGGTGCGTCTGTGCAAGAGGAGGAAGCCCTGTGAGAGGGCAGCAGCCTCCGGACTGGTACAAGCGATTCTCCTGCCTCAGCCTTCCGAGTAGCTGGGATTACAGCAAAAAATAAAATTATTTGCTTATCTTCATCAAAGAAACTGGGGTGATTTAATCAGGACTCTTCTGGACAACACTGCACAGTTTTGGAATTTAAATCACATACTTTCATCCAAACGTCCACTTTAAAAACTGGATTAAAGTACGCTTTACTATTTACTAAATAATTTAATAGGGCAAAATAAACAGAAAGAAAAATAGTGTGGCATCTGACCAAAAGAGCTCATTACCAAACAGCTTCCCCTACCTGAACTGTCACCCTTATGAATCCACTGGTTCTTCTTCTGTGGTGCTCTAGGCTTTGGTTTCATTTCTCCCACAGGAAAGGGAAGGACTGAAAACACAAACCTGCCCCAGGGCCAGCTCAGCTAACAGGTCTCACTCAACTACTTCTTGCTAGAGGATCTTTCCTGAAAAATAACATTTCAGAACTACACTGTTCGGTAATCACTAGACATATTTCACTATTCAAATTAATTTAAAGTTAAATTCAATTCTTCAGTTGAACTAGCCCTACGTTTCAAAAGCCACCTGTGGCTAGTGGTTATCACTGCAGAAAGTTTCATCGGATAGCACTAGCCTAGAATAATGCAAGAAAGGCCATCAGTACTAATCTTCAGGCCTATGGAATCCCTCTGTGCTACATATTCCTATAATAATAATTTCTGTTAAAATTCTGAAGTCACATGTGACTAGAAGTGATGGGGTAGAAATAAGTTAAACTTATATGTCCTATAGTTATCTCTTGAAAAGCCTTTAGGGATATCCTTGACATTATCTATCTCAAACTAATAACTGTTCACATAGATGAACCTCCTGCCTGGCATCCCTTAGAACTTTAAAATTCCTTTACAAGTTTATAATGAAAAGAAAAACAATTCCCATTTTGGTCTTTTGGGGGGAAAAGCATGCACAGAAAAATATAAAAGGCTGACAACTTTCAATATCGGCAAAGATGCAATGCAGTTTCTACAAAGTTAATGTGACCCAACAAGTGCACCCCTAGGTTTTTAGTCAAAAGAAATGAAAATATATCCACACAAAGACTCGCACACAAATGATCACAACAGCTGTACTCATAATAGCCTAAAAATGGAAACAACATGAATGTCTACCAAAAGATGAATGAATGAAGAAATTATAGGAGAGCCATACAATTGACTACTACTCAGAAATTAAAAAGAAACTAGTCCAGGTGCAGTGGCTCATGCCTGTAATCCCAACACTTTGGGAGGCCGAGGCAGGGGGATCGCCTGAGCCCAGGAGTTCCAGACCAGCCTGGGCAACATGGTGAAACCCTGTCTCTACAAAAGATACAGAAATTAGCCAGGCGTGGTGGTACATGCCGGTAGTCCCAACTACTTGGGAGGCTGAGGTGGGAGGACTGCTTGAGCCCAGGAGTATGAGGCTGCAGTGAGCTATGATCACACCACTGCACCCCAGCCTGGGCAACAAAGCAAGACCCTGTCTCTACAAAAAAATAAAAACTAAACTTAAAAAAAAGATACACACTAAACTGTTAACAGTGGTTACCACCAAGGAGAAAGACAAGAAAATGTCTTTACAATTCTGAACTCTTTACAATTCTGTAAAACTCTTTACAATTCTGAACTGCTGGAACTGTTTTTACAATAAATAAACTTTGTCTCACAAAAATCATTTTAAATATAGAAAACTTTTATGTGTAATTTTTTCCCTACAGCATTATTTTAACAGTGATGAATTAGGAGTAACCTAAAGGTCTTGTTTCAAAGTAATGGTTCTGTAAACTACAACGTACCCGCACTTGATTATATATATCATATCATATAAGGATCAAAATCCTCATAACACACTAAGGTAGGGTTCATATCACAGAATTGTATACAGAACTTTTACTTTACAGCATTTTTTTTTTTTTTTGTGAGGCAAGGTCTGGCTTTATCACCCAGGCTGGAGTGCAGTGGCGCCATCTCAGCACACTGCAACCTTTGCTTCCCTGGCTCAAGCCATCTTCCCACCTCAGTCTCCCAAGTAGCTGAGGCTACAGGCAAGCACCACCACACCAGGCTAATTTTTGTATTTTTTGTAGAGATGGGGTTTCATCAGATTGGCCAGGCTGGTCTCGAACTCCTGACCTCAAGTGATCTGCCTGCTTCAGACTACAAGTGTGAGCCACCACGCTCAGCCTTAAAGCATTATTTTTAAAAAAGTATGGCAAACCAACTAAATGGAAACACACCAAAATGTGAAAAACAACTGACTGGATAACGAAACTATGGGTGATTTCCAGCTTTCCACACTGATTTTAAACCTCATATATGAAGTTTTCAGGTGTATCTGGTTCTATTTCTGGGTTGGTTGTTCTACTTCCTTAACTATTTGTCTGCTTTCTATACTAATACCACATTGTTTTAATTACCATATATGGCATATTTTGATGTCTAGTTTTGTCAGATTCGTATCAAAAAATTAATATTCTTAACTTCACAGAAGCATCTCAGGACATGCATCTCAAATGTTTAAAGAGGCAGAAGGCTCCCTACCGTCGTTTTTTTTTGTTTTTTGTTTTCTCTTTTTTGAGATGGAGTCTCACTCTGTCACCCATGCTGGAGTTAGTGCAGTGGCTCGATCTTGGCTCACTGCAACCTCCACCTCCCAGGTTCAAACAATTCTCCTGCCTCAGCCTCCCAAATAGCTGGGATTACAGGCAACCACCACCACACCCGGCTAATTTTTGTATTTTTTGTAGAGACAGGTTTCACCATGTTGGCCAGGCTGATCTCGAATTCCTGACCTCAAGTGATCCACCCACCTCAGCCTCCCAAAGTGCTGGGATTACAGGCATGAGCCACTGCACCCGGCTATCCCATCACTTAATCCCACCCTGCCAATCTTTGCTCTCTTGAATCTTGGCACACTGCCAGTAAGCCTCTCATGGGTCACTTAAAAAGCAAAAATCCCATAATTCTACTTTATTTTAATTCTACTCTGTAGTTCTTTTAACTCATTTCAAACTAGCACCCTTTTCTCTCTTCTCTTTATTACCAAATCTCTCAAGTCTCCCTTCCTTGCCTTCCATGTTCTCATCCTATGGCTATCTTCTTCAACCATTCTTTGAAATCCTTTCCAGCAGCCACTTTACTGTAACTGCTGTCTTCAAAATCACCAATGACTAAATGCCAAATTCAGTGGTACCTCCTTCTCCTCAGTATTCACTTTTTCATTTGTTTGTCTTGCTATGTTCCTCATCTGTTAATACCATCATTATCCTTTCAAGTCATTAAATTCAAGATTTCAGGGTCATTCTTCCCTTCACTGCCTATCCCTGGAATGCACACATAAACAATCAAGAGTCTACTAAGTCTACTGCACTGTCACTTGGATGTGCCTCCCTTCCAGCCTCACAACCATAACCTAGTTCAGCCATATCACCTCTCCTAAAAAACTACAATGGTAATAATTGTTGTCCCTGGTTCTAGCTTTTGTTCTCCTCCAATTCAGCCTTCCCTCTGCCACCAGACATGACCTGAAACCAAAAATATGATTCATAAGTAATAAAGCCCAAACTCCTTAGCATGCTACTCACAGCCACCTATGCAAGATCTATCTTTAACTTATTTTTCTGCGTCATCTACCTCAATACCCCACCCCAACCCCATGTACCCCACATTCCAAACTCCATTCCTTCACTCACACTATTCCTTTTGACTGAATTCCCTATTTCAAACCCCTTCCACCTGTGAAAATCTTTCCCACCTTGCAAAGCCAAGTTTGTGAAACTCCCTGGTTCCTAGTAAGATAGAATATCTCCTTTATTTGTGCTTCTTCAGCAGTCTTAGTACTACTTATTACAAGCTGCCTTACACTAGACTTATTTAAGTACCATGCCTTCCTCACAAGATTCTAAGCTCTGATTCTCCTGCACCACTCAGGGAATATACAGTATGATAAATATTAATTGAGTTCTCATTGCCGTTTTTGAGATTTTTTTTTTTTTTTTTTTAAAGACAGAGTCTCGTTCTGTCACCCAGGCTGGAGTGCAGTGGCATGATCTCGGCTTGCTTTAACCTCTGCCTCCCGGGTTCAAGCAATTCTCCTGCCTCAGCCTCCTGAGTAGTTGGGACTACAGGCATGTGCCACCATGCCTGGCTAATTTTTTGTATTTTTAGTAGAGACGGGGTTTCACCATGTTAGCCAGGATGGTCTCCATCTCCTGACCTCGTGATCCGCCCACCTCTGCCTCCCAAAATGCTGGGATTACAGGTGTGAACCACCACGCCCAGCTGATATATTTCACATAAAATTAATCATTTAAAATGTATACTTGGGTGGTTTTTGTTTTTTGGAGGGTTTTGTTTTGAGAGACAGGGTCATGCTCTATCACTCAGGCTGGATCACAGTGGCACAATCACAGCTCACTGTAACCTCAAATTCACAGGCTCAAGTGATCTTCCCACCTCAGCCTCCAAAGTAGCTGGGACTACAGGCACACACCACCATACCCAGGTAATTAAAACAATTTTTTTTTTTTTTTTGTAGAAACAAGGTCTTGCTGTGTTGCCCAGGCTGGTCTTGACCTCTCGGCCTCAAGCAATCTTCCCGCCTCAGTCTCCCAAAGTGTTGGGGTTATAGGCATGAGCCACTGCACCCAGCCTTTGAGTGGTTTTTAGTATATTTACTATGTTGTACAACCATAATCACTATCTAATTCCAGAACAGTCCCATCACCCCAAAAAGAAACTCTGTCCCTACTAGCCGTTAATCTCAATTCATCCCTTCTCTCACTCCTTCTCAACCACTAATCTACTTTCTGTCTCTATGAATTTGCTTATTGTGGACATTTCACGTAAGCAGAATCATACAATTCGTCATCTTGGTGACTGGATTTTCACCTAGCATAATGTTTCCAAGGTTCATGTTGTGGCACGTAATAGTATTTCATTCTTTTTATTTATTTATTTTGTAGAGACTGGGTCTATGTTGCCCAGGCCAATCTTGAACTCCTGGCCTTAAGCAATCCTCCCATCGTGGCCTCCTAAAGCAATGGGATTACAGTTGTGAGCTACTGCACCTGGCTTCTTCATTCCTTTTTACAGCTGGATAAGATTTCATTGTATGGATATACCACATTGTATTTATCATTTCATCAGCTGATGGACATTTGGGTTGCTTCCACTTTTTGGCAACTATGAATAATGCCACATGTTAATGTATGTACAAGTTAATGTATGAACATATGTTTTCAATTATCTTGGGTCTATACCCAGGAGTAGAATTGCTGAGTTATTCTATGTTTAGTTTTTTAAGGAACTGCAAAACTTTTGTGCAGTAGCTGCATCATTTTACATTCCCATCAGCAATGAGGGCTCCAATTTCTCTACTTCCTTATCAAAACTTGTTACTGTCTTTAAAAAAAAAAAAAAAAAAAGTATGACCATCCTAGAGGGTGTAAAGTGTTATCTCTCATTGTGGTTTTGATTTGTAATTCCCTATGGACTATGATGTTGAAGATCTTGTCATGTGCTTATAGGTCATTTGTACATCTTCTTTGGAGAAATGTCTATTCTATTCAAATGCTTTGCCCATTTTTAAATTCCATTGTCTTATCTTTGTTGAGTTGAAAGGGTTCTTTGCATATTCTGGATATAAACAACATATATATAAAATATATATACTTATCAGAGATATAATTTGCAAATATTTTCCCCCATTCTGTGAGTTGTCTTCATTCTACAGTGTCCTTTGATGCATGAAAGTTTTTAACTTTAACAAAGTCCAGTTTATCTACCTTTTTCTTTCACTGCTTGTGTTTTTGTGTTATATCTTTAAAAATCACCATTTAATCCAAGGTCATACAGATTTTCACCTATGTTTCCTTCGAAGAACTTAACAGGTTTAGGTCTTTGATCCATTCTGAGTTAATTTTCATATGTGATGTGAGGCAGGGATCCAAATTTATTTTTTTACATGTAGATATCCAGTTGCCCCAGCAACATTTGTTGAAAAGATTATTCTTTCCCCAGTTAATGATCTTGGCGCCCTGGTCAAAATCAACTGACCATAAATGTATGGGTTTATTTCTGGACTCTAAATTGCATTCCATTGGTTTACAAGACTCTCCTCATGCCAGTGACATGCCATCTGGATTACTGTAGTTTTGTAATAAGTTTTGAAATCAGGAAGTATGAGTCCTACAATTTTGTTCTCTTTTTTTCAAGACTGTTGTGGCAAATATGGCTCTGCAATTCCATATGAATTATAAGATCAGGTTGTCCATTTCCGGGAAAAAGGCAGTTGAGCTGTGATAGTGATTGCATTAAACCTGTAGATAAATCTGGGTAGCACTGTCATCTTAACAATATTAAGTCTTCCAAGCCATGAACACAGGACGTCTTTCAATTTATTTAGATCTCTAATTTCCTTCAACATGTTTTCTGTTTTTTAGTGTACTTTTTAGTGTACTTCTTTGGTTAACTTTATTCATAAGTATTTTATTCTTTCTGATGTTATTATAAATGGAATTTTTTCTATTTCATTTTCAGATTATCCATAGCTAGCATATAGGAATGCAACTGATTTTTAGATAATAATCTTGTATCCTGCAACTTTGCTGAACTCATTTATTAGTTCCAATTTTTTTTGGTAAATTCTGTAGGATTTTTCTACATGTAAGATCATGTCATCGGTAAATATAGTTTTATTTCTTTCTGATATAAATGTCTTTTCTTTTTCCTGCTTAACTGCCCCACCTAGAACCACCAATAGAGTGTTGAATAGGAGTGGCAAGAGCATCCTTGTCTTGTTCTGATCTTAAGGGGGAAAGCTTTCAGTCTTCAACCATTAAGTATGATGTTAGCTGTGAGTTTTCCTGTTAGTTGGATTTTGTTTGTTGAACTGAATTTTGACAGTGCCAACTCATAAGGTTGTGCTGAGAATCTAATAAGAAAAGATCTGTGAAGGTGTTTTTAAAACTGTAAAATATCGTTTAATTTCAAGATCGTCTTATTCAGTGACTTGGTACTCTTACTCTAAAAAGTTTCAGAGTAATGTTGTTAAATGAATCAAAATGTTTCTGAAGCTTTTTTAATTCCCAACATCCTGACAAAGCTTTTGCACTTATGTTGTTTTGAAAGGGGAAGAAAAAGGGAAAACTCTTTGGAGAAGGAATCAGAACAAGGATCCAAGGCCTAGAGCCTCTCCCCTGTCCCAACAAGGGAATGCCAGCCCAGTAAGACTCAGGATGTTCAGGAAAGCAGAAAGGAGAAATGCAAAAATGGGCAAGAGGCAGCATGGTATGGAGGAACGAACACGGGATTTAATGGAAAAAGACAGCTGAGATTCCAGTTGTTCAGAAACAACTGAAGAAAACAGTGAGGCTGGGTGCGGTGGCTGAAAACTATAATCTCAACACTTTGGGAGGCCAAGGAGGGAGAATCATTTGAGGCCAGGAGTTCAAGACCAGCCTGGGCAATATAGTGAGACCCAAACTCTACAAAAAGAAAGGAAGAAAGGAAGAGAGAGAGAGAGAGAGAGAGAGAGAGAAAGAGAGAAAAGAAAGAAAGAAGGAAAGAAAGGAAAGAAAGAAAGAAAGAAAGAAAGAAAGAGAGAGAGAGAGAGAGAAAGAAAGAAAGAAAGAAAGAGAGAAAGAAAGAAAATAAATTAGCCTGGCTTGGTGGCACAAATCAGTAATCCCCGTTATTCAGGGGGCTGAGGTGAGAGGTTTGAGCCCAGGAGGTCAAGGCTACAGGGAGCCCTGATCACGCCACTGCATTCCAGACTGGGTGACAAAGTGATACCCTATCTCAAAAAAAAAAAAAAAAGAAACAGTGAGACACCCGAGAATATTAGAAGATCTAGTAAACTGCACATCTTCAATGCTGCATGATCTTACGGACTTACATCCGTAAGGCCACACTATACTTATCTAAATTGTTGATACTACTTTTAGTCATTATAACACAGCATGCTAATAATTTATGATGTGTCCTTAATATTGAGAGGTTTCTCATTTAATAAATTCAGCTTACTAATAAATATAAACATAATAGTATTTACATATTTTATTATTTAGAAACAACTGAGTAGAAATCATATTTACAAATAATTGAATCAAAAACTGGCTGTTGGAAAGCAAAAAGAAATTACTAGCCTACTTCTTTTCCATAGAACAAATATTTAATAAATATCTATAATGTCCCAGGCACTGTGCTAGGTGCAGGAGATGCTCAAATTAACAACAAAGCAGTGACTACTTTTTATATTTTTTGGACACTGAACAGGAATAAAATATGTATAAAACACAGGCAACACATAAAACACCATAAACCTACTACCCAGTTTAAGAAAAAGAACATTATTTAAATCAAGTTTTTATTGAAGAAGAACATATATACACAAAAATGCATACATTGTACGTGTTTGGCTCAATGAATTTCTACAAGTGAACACACCCAGGGTAACCAACAGTTAGGTCAAGAGGACATTACCAGCATCCCATACTGCCCGCTCCTAGTCACTATCCTTCTACTCAACCACAGATACCCACTAGCTTAATTTCTGTCATCAGAGATAGAAATCATGAATAGAAATATATTCACTCCTCCCACCCCCAGGACTATAAGTGCTGGGTCATGGGCATCATGCCTACATTCAGTTTTAGGGAATTCTGCTAGTTTTCCAAAGAGGTTGTGCTCATGCATTTTCATCAGTTCCAGCTGCTGCACATCCTCATCACCACTTAGAATTGTCATGACAGGCCAGGTGCGCGGGCTCATGCCTGTAATCCCAGCACTTTGGGAGGCCAAGGCAGGTGGATCGCTTGAGATCAGGAGTTCAAGACTAGCCTGGCCAACATGGCAAAACCCCATCTCTACTAAAATACAAAAATTAGCCAGGCGTGGTGGTGGGTGCCCATAATCCCAGCTACTCGGGAGGATGAGGCAGGAGAATCACTTGAACCCAGGAGGCAGAGGTTGCAACAAGCTGGGATTATGCCACTGCACTCCAGCCTGGGCGACAAGAGCAAGACTCCATCTCAAAAAACAAAACAAAATCAAACCCAGAATTGTCATGACAAATGTGTTCTTAATTTAACTTTCTGGTGGGTGTGTAGTAATATCTCCCTGAGGTTTTAACTTGTATTTCTCTGATGACTAATGAGGTTGAGCATTTAACATACGTTACAGGTAAGTTCTTTGTGAAATCCCTGTTTGAATCCTTTGTTCATTTTTCCATTGGCTTTCTGTCCTTTCTTTTTATTCTTGATTTGTAGTTCTTTATATATTCCAGGTACAAGTCCTTGTCAAATACATGTATTTCTTTTTTTCTTTTCTTTTTTTGAGACAGAGTCTTGCTCTGTCGCCCAGGCTGGAGTGCAGTGACGCAATCTCGGCTCACTGCAAGCTCCGCCTCCTGGGTTCACACCATTCTCCTGCCTCAGCCTCCCAAGTAGCTAGGACTACAGGCACCCGCCACCACGCCTGGCTAATTTTTTGTATTTTTAGTAGAGACGGGGTTTCACTGTGTTAGCCAGGATGGTCTCGATCTCCTGACCTCGTGATCCGCCCAGCTCGGCCTCCCAAAGTGCTGGGATTACAGGTGTGGGCCACCGTGCCTGGCTGTCAAATACATGTATTTCAAATACCTTCTTCCACTCTGGTCTTTCTCCTCAATGGTGTCTACTATGGAGTGAAATGTGCACTCCCCACTGCCCCCAACAAAATTCATTAGTCAAGGCACTTCCCCCACCCCAACTATTTTGGAGATAGGGACTTTGGGAGATAATTGAGGCTAAATTAGGTCATAAGCGAAGGGCCCTAATCTGACAAGACTGTGGCCTTATAAGAAAAGGAAGAGAGATGGTGAGATCTTGCTGTCTCTCCGCCACACAGACACGTGGCAAGAAGCCTGTGTGCAAGTCACGAAGACAGTGCTCACCAAAACGCAGTCATACTGGCACCCCGGTCCCAAACTTCCAGCTTCCAGAACCGTGAGAAAATACATTTCTTTTGTTTAAGCCACCAAGTCTATAGTATTGTGTTATGGCAGCCTAAGCAAACTAAGTCAGTGTCTTTTGATGAAATCCAATTAATCACTTTTTTCCTTTGTATCTAGTGCTTTTTATATTCTGTTTAAGAAATCTTCACCTGTCTCCCATGTTTCTGCCTTTTCTTGTCATTAATTTCTAACTTGCCCACATTATGATCAGATATTATTCAGAGATCTGCACCTTGGATGTGGTGTTCAATACTCAATTATTAATATTGTTAATTATATTAAGTCTTCTAAATTAATGCAGTGCAAAAGTACTTTCTGTGCTGTCCAATACAGCAGCCATTGTCACATGTCACTAGTAAGCCCTTGAAAAATGGCTATTGCAACCGAGAAAATGAATTTTTAATTTTAATTTTCAGCTGTAACCATTTTGTCTTTTTAATTTTTCAATTAGGGAGTTTTGAAACTCCTCACCATGGTAGATTTGTCTATTTCATCTTATAATTGTGTCATTTTGTTCTTTGTATATTGAGGCAATTATTAGGTTCACACAAGTTTGGAATTGTTTTTACCTTTATGGATAAATAAACCTTTTCTCATTGTTGAGGGACCTATCTCTAGCTGTCTCTTTTGTCTGAAAGATCATATTGTCTGATGCTAATATAGTTAGTTTACCTCCCTTTTGGTTAGAGTTTGCCTGATAGACTTTTTCCATCCTTTTGCTTTCTATCTTTCTACATTCATATGTATTAGCTATCTCTCTTGAAAATTATAGCTGGATTTTGTGTTGTTTCAGTAAGTTTGTTTGCTTGCTTTTATTTATTTATTTATTTATTTTTGAAACAGAGTCTCACCCTGTTGCCCAGGCTGGAGTACGGTGGCATGATCTTGGCTTACGGCAATCTCCGCCTCCTGGGTTCAAGTGATTCTCCTGCCTCACCTTCCCAAGTACCTGGGATTACAGGTGTGCACCACCACACCCAGCTAATTTTTGTATTAGCTGGCCATGGCCAGCTGGCCGTGTTGGCCAGGGTGGTCTCGAACTCCTGATCTCAAGTGATCCACCCGTCTCAGCCTCTCAAAGTGCTCGGATTACAGGCGTGAGCCACTGCACCCGGCCTGCTTGCTTTTAAATAATCCAATCTGACATTCTTTGTCTGAATGAAGCATTTAGTCTACCATATATTTGATTTGATTTCTATATTTTATTGTTTCCTCTTTATCTGACCTTTTCTATGTTTTTCACTTCTTCCTTGCCTTTTAAAAATTGTTTTTTCTGCTATAAATTATTCCTAATATTTATATTATTTTAGTAGTTACTCTGAAAATACTAATACACATACCTATCAAAATCTAAAGTTAATTGAATAGCTTTACCTTTCTCTTCAACAGTATAAAGATCATAAAATACTTTAACCACTCTTTTGATTTGGATGTTGTTATCATATATTTAGTTCTTTTTTTTTTTTTTGAGACGGAGTTTTGCTCTTGTTGCCCAGGCTGGAGTGCAATGGCGTGATTTCGGCTCACTGCAACCTCTGCCTCCCAGGTTCAAGCAATTCTCCTACCTCAGCCTCCTGAGTAGCTGGGATTACAGGCATGCGCCACCACACCCGGCTAATTTTTTTTTTTTTTTTTTTTTTTTTTTTTGTATTTTTAGTAGAGACGAGGTTTCTCCATGTTGGTCAGGCTGATCTCCAACTCATAACCTCAGGTGATCCGCCCACCTCAGCCTCCCAAAGTGCTGGGATTACAGGCGTGAGCCACCACACCTGGCCTATTTAGTTCTATTTTTAAAACCTCCGCATACATCATTTTATAAAGCCAATATTTATTTCAATATATCCACAGATTTACCATTATTCTTTACTCTTCAATCCTTCTTAAATCTCAGACTTTACATCAGTGGTCACTTTTTTTTTTTTTTTTTAGCCTTCAGGAAATTGATCTGAATTTCCACTAGTAGGGAAGGTTTGATGGTTACAACATTGAGTGTTTGTCTGTTTTAAAGTGTCTAATTTTGCCCCCATTCTTCACAAGATATACAATTCTTGGTTGACAATTATTTTCTCTAAGCATATGGAAAATATTACTCCCTGTCTTATGGCTTTCATTATTATAGACAGGAAAACAGCTGACAGCCAAATACTTGTTGAAGGTAATATCTTTTTTCTCTGACAGCTTTTTTTTTTTTTTTGAGATGGAGTTTTGCTCTTGTTGCCCAGGCTGGCATGCAATGGCACGATCTCGGCTCACTGCAACCTCCACCTCCCAGGTTCAAGCAATTCTCCTGCCTCAGCCTCCTGAGTAGCTGGGATTACAGGCATGCACCACCACGCCCGGCTAATTTTGTATTTTCAGTAGAGACAGGGTTTCTCCACGTTGAGGCTGGTCTTGAACTCCTGACCTCAGGTGATCCACCCTCCTCGGGCTCCCAAAGTGCTGGGATTACAGGCGTGAGCCACCATGCCCAGCCTCTGACAGCTTTTAAGACCTCTCTATGGTATCATGTAGTTTCTTTCAAAAATGTTTATGTGTGAATTTTTTTTCTTTTTATCCTTTCTGGGATTCTTTAGCTTCCTAAATTTGTAGGTTGTTTTTCATCAGTTCTCTGTCATTATCTCTTCAAATACTGCCTCTGCCTCATTCTTTTCCATGCCCCTGCTCCCCTGCCCCAGAATTCTGACTAGACTGAACCTTCTTATTCTACCCTCTGTATTCTCTTAACTCTTTTATTACTTTTCATTTTCTTGCCTCTATACTGCAATTTTTTCAGATCCACTTTACTAAATCTTTCTTTAGCTGTGTCTAATCTGTTATTAAATTTGTACACTGGTCATTTTTGTATACTTGCTCCTCATTCCTATTTTAAATTTCTTTTTTTCTATAAGCATATTAAATATATGTACTTATAATCTGTGTCTGCTAACTCCAATATGTGAACTCTTTGCAGGTTCTGATTCTGCTCTTTATTGTTTCTGCTTCCTCTCATTCATTGCATCTTATTTCTTTCTGCATTTTGTGAATGTGAGTTCATATTTCTTACAGCTTTATGTTTAGGAATTTTCTAAATCCTAAGATCAAGATGGGTTCTCCCAAGAAGCTTTGTATTTGCTGCTTTTTAGGCATTCTTAGGCATTTTAAGGCATCGTCACTCTTGTACCACTTTTATATTTAATTACTGGCTTAAGATTTTCATACCATCCAGGTAATATAAAATCAGGATTCAAACCTGCATGAAGGTCAGCTTGTGGGTAAAACTTCTCAGGGAATTTCTGTACCCTTCCCATCACCACCAAAGTTTGAGGCAGGAAATTTTTCTTTCCGATCCTTAGACAAGGTACGTTTATTACTAGTTCTCATTTATTATGATGTATAGACCCTTGGGGTACCATCTTTACCAGGAGAGGTGGGACGTTCTACCAGAAAACTACTTTTATCTTCCGTTCTCTGAGCTTCTTGAGGCACAAGCACAAGTTAACTAGGTTTTCCAAGTAATGTCATTTGCAAATAATGTCCTCAAGGCAGCAGTACTTGGCTTATATCTCTGGGTTTTCACCTTCACATAGTTTTTGGCCTGATTATTCCTTACTTTTCAGCCAGCTATCTCCATGCACATAAGGTTTTTACTTAAAAAATATTTCATCTGCCAGGCACAGTCACTCACACCTGTAATCCCAGCACTTCGAGAGGCCCAGGTGGAAAAACTGCTTGAGCCCAGGAGTTCGAGACCAGTCTGTGCAACAAGGCAAGACCCCATCTGCACAAAAAATAAAAAAATTTGCTGGACATGGTGGTGTGCACCTGTGGCCCCAGCTACTCGGGAGGTTGAGGTGGGAGGATCGCTTGAGCCCAACAGGTCGAGGCTGCAGTCAGCCATGTTCACACTACTGCACTCCGGCCTGTGTGACGGAGCAAGACCCTGTCCTCCCTCCAAAAAAAAATTATCTAGAATTTTAAATTGTTTATCTGGGAAGGTCAGTCAGAGTACCTAATTCACCATACTGCAGCAAAATAGCCATGCTTTCTTAAAAGTTTGAAAATTGGATATAGATGAAGGTATTAATGGGAAGAAGACGATAACCTTGAAACCTATCAGTAACAAGGTTGAGCACATATTTGGAAAGAAATCTGGAAAAAATATCTTCAACAATTTATAAGGAACTAAATTGGAGAGCTCAAAACACTAAGTGAATGCTTCTCAACTTTAACATACATCAGAATCACCTGGAGAATTTATTGAAAGAGAATGCTAAGCCCTACCCCAGGGTTTCTAAATTAGTCAGCCTGAAGTGGGAACTGAGAATTTGCTTTTCTAACAAGTTCTCAGATAATGCTAATTTGCTGGTCTGCAGAACCCACTATCAGAATCACTGTACTAAGAGAAATAAACTTCATAAAAACAGGAACACTGACAGGTTCATTTCATTACCTTCTACAAAAGAAGAGAAGAAATGTGTGGAAATGAGATTTCAATAACACTCTTGGTCCATCTCATCATTTAACTTATAATTAAGTTAATTTGATGACTGATAAGTAGATTTACTGAAAGGCTATGTATACAAAACAGTTATCAGACTCAATATCTGCAGGTGAAGAAAAAGGACTGGAGTGCAGCAGCTGTTTAAAGCTAGATCTATAATACTAATGATTTAAATAATAGAATAAACAACATTATTTAGAGTATTCAATACCTTGGCAGAGAATATCAAAATTCAAACTACAGACATTGTCAGAAGTGATAATTTACTAAGATGTTCAGAAGCAAATGTCTTGTTCAACCATTCAAGAATCATAATATCCCCACACCAGGCTCTATTCTCAGCAATGGGAACTGTCTGCTATGGTTCACAAAATTATATCAATATTATTCTCTAGGAGAAAAATAGTCAGGATAATTAAATTTAAAAATTTGACACAGAGGTTCATTGGAAGACTCAGAATTAGTGATAATTGGTAGTTTCATTGCTTGTCAAAGCAACTACAAAAATATTTGTCAGCACATAACACTAAAAACACTTCACAATTTTTTTTAAAAACCCACCAATGCAGCCCTTAAAGTTTTTATTATGTGGTGATTTTAAAAAGAAATGAATCTTGCATTTCAAAAATGACTTCTTACCTGAAATTAATAATTTTCCCATTTCCTCCTCCACCAAAGATCTATACAGCTAGTGCAAATCCATCAGCACTTTAACATTTCTTTCTGAATTTAGCAAAAGACCAAAATACCCTGCATTACTCATAAACAGCTGATGCTAATTGATTTGGTTTCAAATCTATAGAGCACAAGTTGTGAGAAATTAACACTTTCAGCTTAAAGTCAAAGAAAAGGAGATCAGGTTAATAAAGTTATTGAGCTGAATTTTATTGAAGTGCTCTCTGTGTCTACTCTTATAAAATACAAGAGGAAAAATGTAGGTCAAAAATCCATAGCGGAAGGTTAAAAGTGTCTTTAAAACAAACAAACAAAAAACTGTCTCGTTCTGTTGCCCAGGCTGGAGTGCAGTGGCACGATCTCAACTCACTGCAACCTCCACCTCTTGGGTTCAAGCTGATTCTCATGCCTCAGCCTCCCAAGTAGCTGGAATTACAGGAGTGTGCCACCATGCCCGCTAATTTTTGGTAGAGACAGGGTTTTGCCATGTTGTCCAGGCTGGCCTTGAACTCCTGGCTTCAAGTGATCCACCCGCCTCAGCCTCCCAAAGTGCTAGGATTACAGGTGTGAGCCACCATGCCAGGCCAAAGTGTCTTTTTTTTTTTTTTTAAAGGAGTGGGGATTAAGTTGTTCCCAGAATTCATACGGAAAAGAGCCAAGAAATGCCAAATTAAGAAAGGTAATGAAAGTACGCCCTATGAAATAACAAGAATAATTTTAAAGCTACAGCAATTAAAACAGTGTTATTGATGCAAATATGGACAAAAAGAATTATGAAACGGAATAGAGTCGACACTTAGACCCACACATATATGGGAACTGGATATAATACAGAGATAGCATTGCAAATCAGTAAAGGAAAAAAATGGACTCAATAAATGATATTGAGACAACTGGTTATACATATGGAAAAGATAAAATTAGTTCATAATTCACACCAAACACAAAAATAAATTCCTGATCAATCACCAAAATGTGCAAGGCAAAATTTTAAAACTTTTATAAGAAAATGACTTCAGGGTGGAGAAAGATTTCCTGAAAAACACATAAAAGCACAAATCACCAAGGTAAAAAAAAAAAAAGGGTAATTATAACTATAAAATTTAAATCCAACACTCTATAAACATCATGAAAAGACCATCACTGTCTGAGAGAAGCTATTTACAACAAAGGATTAGAATCCAAAGCATACCCTACCCCCCAAAAAACGAAAAATTATACAAATCACTAAAAAAATACACAGCCCAACAGAAAAAATGAGCAAATATACAAAAGTAATTCACAGAAGGGGAAATCCCAATGACCAATATGAAAAATGCTTAATCTCACTAGTAATGAGGACAACATGCAAATTTAAACAATAGTTTTACACCTATTATATTGTAAAAGTTAAAATGTCAGCAATATTAAGTGTTGGAGAGGATATAAATAACAGGTACTCATATACTGCTAGTGACAGTATAAACTGGCATAACTAGGTAAAGATGAGTATGACTTATCGCCCAGCAATTCTACCTCTGGACACACATGCTAACTCTTACACATATATGCATGGAGACACACACTCATGTGTTGCTTAACAATAGGGATACATTCTGAGAAATGTGTCACTAGGTGATTTCATCGTTATATGAATATCATAGAGCGTACTTACACAAACCTATACGGTATAGCCTATTGCTCCTAGGCTACAAACCTGTACAGCATGTTACAGCACCAAATGCTGTAAGCAACTGTAACATAATGGGTAATTGTGTAACTAAACATATGTAAATATAGAAAGGTAGAGTAAATATATGGCATTATAATCTTTTGGGATCACCTTCCTATCTGCAGTCCCTCACTAACCAAAATATCGCTAATGTGGCAATGGCACTCGACTAAAATAATGTACATTCCGGGAAAAATAAAATTGGAACTGCCTAAATTGTCCTCTAATAAGAAAGTAGATGATTGTGGTATATTCACAAAACAGACTACAGAGTAGCTAAGCAGAATTAATTGGCTCACTATATATCCACAGGACTAAATTTCAAAATTATTTTAAGTGAAAAATGCAGGTTGCAGAAAGAAAGATATAGCATAAAACCATTATATACATTTTAAAGACACACAAAGCAATATATTGTTTTTGAGCATAAACATGCATAGATGTAGACAGAAAGAATCTATACCAACTTCAGGACAGTGATTACTTCTGGGAAAGGTCAGTGGTCTCAAGAAGGGATACTGCCAGGTGTGGTGGCTGCCACCTACAACCACAGCTACTCAGGAGGCTGAGGTGGGAGGATCACTTGAGGCCAGGTGTTGAGACTAACCTGAGCAACACAGAGAGATCCTATCTCTAAAAACTTTTTTTTAATTAGCCAGATGTGGTGGCACACCTCTGCTAGTCCAAGCTACTCAGGAAGCTGAAGCAGGAAGATTGCTCGAGCTCAGGAGTGTGAAGCTGCAGTGAGCTATGACTGCGCCACTGCACTCCAGCCCAGGCCACCAAGTGAGACTCAGCCTCTAAAAAAAATTTTTAAATAAAACTAAAAAAAAAAAAAAAAAGGAGCAATACAAAGAAGAGTCAATTGGATCTGTAATGTTCTATTTTTTATTTATTATTATTATTTTTGAGACTGAGTTTCACTCTTGTGGCCCAGGCTGGAGTTGTGATCTCGCTCACCGCAACCTCTGCCTCCCAGGTTCAAGCGATTCTCCTGCCTCAGCCTCTCGAGTAGCTGGGATTACAGGCATGTGCCACCACGCCCGGCTAATTTTGTATTTTTAGTAGAGACGGGGTTTCTCCATGTCAGCCAGGCTGGTCTCGAACTCCCGACCTCAGGTGATCCACCAGCCTCAGCCTCCCAAAGTGCTGGGATTACAAGTGTGAGCCACCATGCCCAGCTGTAATGTTCTATTTTTAAAAAGATAAATATCTGAAGCAGATATCATATGTTAACATTTCTTAAACCTCAGTGGTAATCACATGGATATATGTTATTCACTGTGCTTGTCATGCTTGAAATCTCTTAAAGTGTGCATGAATTATACTCATTCAAAAATACTTAGGGCTTCCAGAAATGGTTACATCTACAAAAGGAATATTTAGTTTTCACTATAAAAAAAAATAAGTTGGAAATTAGTAGTTTAAATCACTAGGAAACTGAAGTCAGTATAAGGTAGCTCTCAGAGCAATATTAAGGATATCAGTACTAAAATACGAAAGAGTATCTCACTGAGAGATTTTCACTTAAAATACCACAGCCAGAGTATAGATGTTTTAAAAAGCATTACAGCAAGTGCTTAGTGTATTGCCCAATGAAGGTATTTGTAAGGGTTCGCTCTTCTGCCACTGCCAAAATTTTCAATGGTAAGATAATATACTTTACCTTATACTTTTGCACCTTAACTTAACTACTTGAAAAAAAGAGTCATCCTATACATAAATTCCTCTGGGTTTCAGAAAGAAGAAGCTATCTAATGATGCTTTAAAGAATTGTTTTGTTTCCTAAAATTCATTGCATTTGAAGATACTTTTAAAAATATCCACTAAAGCGATACACAAAACTAATAACTACTGCATGTAAGACTGCAGAAAGTTGATATACTTTGGACAAACTTTCATTCAGGAAATGGACTACCAAACACTTTATAGTATTTGTTTTGATTTGTAGTACTGCACATGAGCTATCCACAATTTACAGCTTGAGTTCCAAAGTTTCATCTGAAAGTTTGTTTGGTAATGATGTCATTCACCCACAAAATGTTATAAATGACTAGGTTTCTAAACAAAGGCTACAAAAGCTTCTGATATTGATACTGATACTGAATATTCTGGCCTGCCCTAGTCAAAACACTAGATTCGACAAATTTTACCTCTAACATCTTTCCATACCCCTTTCAACTCCTAAGCAAGTTCTCTCTCGTTGGTTCCTATTTCACATTATCTTACTCCTATCTCTGCCAAACAGATGACCTCGACTAGGTTTAAGGACTTATGAAGAAAGAGATCCACTGGCTTTATTTGCACTAAAGTATGTGTATTTTCAGAAAGGGACTGCTGAATCTCCAGTAAGTGAGATTTCTGGCAATTTTAAAAGATAAGCATACAAAACAGTTCAGGCACTGTGGAAAACTTTTCTTTTTTCTTTTCCAGTAGTGGGAAGGTAGTGGTATCTTCTGATGACCTAGAAACTGTACACTGAATAACATCACACATTTTATTCTTCAGCCAATTTCCCAGATAAACTATATACGGTGCTTCATTGGAAAAAACTTCAATTACATAGTGAATATAAATCCCACTTATAAGATGATGTCAGAATATCAAAAGTAGTAAGAATGCAAAATAAACTGTCCCCCACAAAAAGGAAATATAAAACCCATTAAGAGTATCACAACAGCCGGGCTCAGTGCCTCACGCCTGTAATCCCAGCACTTTGGTAGGCCAAGGCAGGCAAATCACTTGAGGTCAGGAGTTCGAGACCAGCCTGGCCAACATAGCAAAACCCTGTCTCTACTAAAAATAGAAAAATTAGCTGGGTGTGGTAGCACAGGCCTGTAATCCCAGCTACTAGGGATGCTGAGGCAGGAGAATTGCTTGAACCCAGTGAGTGGAGGTTGCAGTGAGCCAAGATCGCGCCACTGCACTACAGCCTGGGCAACAGAACAAGACTCTGTCTCAAAAAAAAAAAAAAAAAAAAAAAAAAAGAGTATTGCAACAACAACAAAAACATTTGATAAAATTCAACATCCCTTCATGATTAAAAAAACTCTCAACAAATTAGGCATAGAAGGAATATATCTCAAAATAATAAAGTCTATACACAACAAACCCAGAGCTAACATCATACTGAATGAGGAGAGGTGAGATCTTTCTTCTAAAAGCTGGAATGAGGCAGGGATGCCCATTTTCACCACTCCTATTCACCACAGTACTGGAAATCCTAGCCAGAACAATCAGACAAGAGAAAGAAATGAAAGGCATCCAAACTGGACAAGAGAAAGTCAAATTGTCTCTTTGCTGATTATATATCTGTAGGTTTAGAAAACCTTTAAATCAGTAGCATTTCTATACATCAATAAGGATCTAGCCAAGAAAGAAATTAAGAAGGCAATCCCATTTACAATAGCTACCGAAAACAAACAAAAACCTAGGAATACATTTAACTAAGGAGGTGAAAGATCTCTACAAAGAAAACTACAAAACACCAATGAAAGAAAATAAATCAAAAAACATCCTATGCTTGTGGAAAGAATTAATATCACTAAAATGACCATATTGCCAAAGCAATCTACAGATTCAATGAAATCCCTATCAAAATACCAATGTGATTCATATGGGACCAAAAAAGGAAAAAGAAAAAAGCCCAAACAACCAAACCAAACCTGGGCAAAAAGAACAAAGCTGCAGACATCACATTATCTGACTTCAAAATATATTATAAAGCTATAGTAACCAAAACAGCATGGTATTGGTATAAAAATAGACATGTAGACCAATGGAACAGAATAGAGAATCCAGAAATAAAACCACATAATTATAGACAAATGATCTTCAACAACACTGACAAGAACTCACACTAAGGAAAGGACACTGTCTTCAATAAATGATGCTGGGAAAATTGCATAACTTCATGCAGAAGTGTGAAACTAGACCCCTATCTCTCACCATATACAAAAATCAACTCAAAATGGATTGAAGATTTTAAGACCCAAAACTATAAAAATACTACAAGAAAGTCTAGGGAAAACACTCCTGGACATTGGTGTAAGCAAAGAATTTATGATTAAGACATCAAAAGCCCAGGTAACATAAAGAAAACTAAACAAATGGGACTTAAGCAAACTAAAAAGCTTCTGCACAGCAAAAGAATAATCAACAGAATGAAGAGACAACCTGTTGAATGGGAGAAAATATTTGCAAAGTATTCATCAAGCAGAGGACTGATATCCAGAACATACAAGGAACTCGAACAACTCAAAAGGAAAATAACAAATAATCCCATTAAAAAAGAAGACATACAATGGCCAAAAGAAGACATGGAAAAATGTTCCACACCACTATCAGAGAAATGCACATCAAAACCACAATGAGATATCATCTTACCCCAGTCAGAATGGCTATTATTAAAAAGACAAAAAGTAACAGATGTTAGTAAGGATGCAGAGAAAAGGGAACTCTCACATACACTGTCGGTGGGAATGTAAACTAGTACAACCACTAAGGAACACTGTATGGAGATTTCTCAAAGCTAAAAATAGAATTACCTTCCATCCAGCAATCCCACTACTGGGTATCTACACAAAGGAAAAGAAATCAATGTATCAAAGGGATAGCTGCACTTGCATGTTTATTGCAGTACTATCACAATAGCAAAAATATGGAATCAACCACCTAAGTGTCCATCTACAGATGAATGGATAAAGAAGATGTCATACATGTACACAATGGAATACTATTCAGCCATAAAAAGAATGAAATCATACCATTTGCAGCAATGTGGATGGAACTGGAGGTTATTCTCTTAAGTGAAATAAGCCAGGCACAAAAAGACAAATATTGCATGCTTTCACATATATGTAGGAGCTACAAAATTTGAACACAAGGAGGCAGGGAGTGGAAAAATAGATAACAGAGACTGGGAAGGCGGAGTAAGGGAGAGAAAGGCTGAAGAGAAGTGGGTTAAAAGGTAAAAAGATCCAATGAGGTCAGTCGCGGTGGCTCATACTTGTAATCTCAGCACTTTGGGAGGCCAAGGCGGGTGGATCACCAGGTCAGGAGTCCAAGACCATCCTGACCAATGTGGTAAAACCCTGTCTCTACTAAAAATACAAAAATTAGCTGGGCGTGGTGGCACATGCCTGTAATCCTAGCTACTCAGGAGGCTGAGGCGGGAGAATCGCTTGAACCCGGGAGGCAGAGGTTGCAGTGAGGCCAAGATAACACCACTGCACTCCAGCCTGGGTGACGGAGCAAGACTCCGTCTCAAAAAAAAAAAAAAAAGATCCAGTGATAGGAGGAATAAATTCAATGTTTGATAGCTGAGTAGATGACTATACTTAATACATTGGACTCATGTACCCTGACTTGATCACTACACATTATACACATGTAAAAAAATTTTCATGTACTCCATAAATATGCACAAATAAAAGTATTGCAACAAGGTGAACTATTTTTGCTAAAAATCACTCAGTAGTTACTAGAAAATAAAGGCTATCAGAAGAAATGATAGACAATCAGATGGGCCAAAGTTTTTCAGATTTTCCAAAAGGTAGAAGATAGTTTCTGAACATTATTATGTCCAAAAAGTTCTAGGTGAGGTAAACCTAGTCTTTACTACACTCTTGCAACTAAGCTGGTGAACTAGGTAACAGTACCAGGCTGATCTGAGTTCAAATCTTGACCCTGCTTCTTGCTGGCTATGTGAACTTCTCAAGTTACTAAATCTCTCTCTCTTTCTCTCTGCAAAAAAACAAAGATAATACTACCTACTTTGCAGGTTGTTTTGTTGGAATTAAATGAGACACATCTGTATTTAAGCAACAGTGCCCAAGTGTATTAATGGGTATCAGTCTAGAGGCATGTCACTGGCAGCATGTCCAAGGGTTATTTCTGACCCTGTCTTATTCTATCCTTTACCAATAACTCAAACGTAGAAACAGAAGTCATGATTAAACCTACAGATCTAACCAAACTGGAAGAGACAGCTATTATGTTTCCTAACATGAAAGAACTAAGAATCCAGATTACCTCAACAAACAGCAGACATGCACTGACCTAAAAAAATGAATTGTAAAAGGATAAGGTCTTGATTTAGGTTCAATAAAACTGCTCTAAACCTAGAATGGAGCTAGGGAGCTGATTTTAAAAGAACATGAGTTTTCACTGACTACAAGCTCAGTATGAGCCAAGAATGTGATTTACTATAGAAAAAACGCTAATACAATTTTATCTGGTATGAATAATGGTAGTGTCCATCTCAAGACAATAATAGCTTAAGTACATTCTTCTCTGATCACTGTGTTCCACTCTGGGCACATTTTAGAAGAAAGGTTGACAAAACAGTAACATTAGGTTACTTCCAGAGGAAGGTAGCCTAAATGATGAAGGGTTTGGAATATGAAATATGCTAGGAATTGGGGGATGTTTAACTTGCAAAATCGAAAATCTGAGGAGATATGTAACCTGTATTCAAGTAAATGAGTAGCTTGAGTAGCTATTACATGGAAAAAGAATTGTGTTTAGTTCCGTATGGCTTGAAACAGCAGAAATAGTAACTACGTATAAAAGTTACATGGAACTCCAGATAACAAAGACCTAACATAGCTGTATGACATTACAGGCAAGCTTTAGGGTAATATACCATCTATCACCAGAGTGTTCAGAGACTGATTCATTTTCAACAAAAATGTATTGAGTACCTAAGTCCCACAAGGTACACAAAGCGCAGTTGATAATGACTAAATAACTTGTATGTTCTCTGCTTTTCACTGAGGTGAAGTGGTAGAAGCAAATAATAACACACACTCAAAGTAACAAAAAGATAAATCTCTAAGGAGAGGAATACAGTTCTTCAAGAGTATATAACAAAGGATCCTGACTTATAATGTGGGGTCAGAGTAGGCCTCCCTTGAGTAGCTAAGTGATGTCTGAGTAGGAGGTAAATGGTTGGGGGGAAGAACGTTACAAAGAAAGGAAACACCACTCGCAAAGACCTTGTGGTAAGAGAAACTACAGGTTCAAGGAATTGAAAGGCTCGTTTACCATATAACCTGAGCACACAGAGTAAGAGAATGAGTGGAAAGAAGCAGGAGCAGAACCACAAAGAGTCCTGAAGGCCTCATTAAGGATTTGGTTTTCTCCCAAAAGTAATGGGATGCTGCTGAGGAGGGGTTTAAGTAGTAATAGGCACGGGAAGGAACAATGAAGGTCAAGAATGAATTGGAGGTGGGCCACATGCTCTAAGAAGACTACTTGGGAGGCCGGGCACGAATCTCAGCACTTTGGGAGGCCAAGGCAGGTGGATGACCTGAGGTCAGGAGTTCGAGACCAGCCTGGCCAACATGGTAAAACCCCGTCTCTACTAGAAATACAAAAATTAGCCGGGTGTGGTGGTGGGCGCCTGTAATCCCAGTTACTCAGGAGGCTGAGGCAGGAAAATGGCTTGAACCCAGGAGGCGGAAGTTGCAGTGAGCAGGGATCACGCCATTGCACTCTAGCCTGGGTAACAAGAGCGAAACTCCATCTCAAACAAACGAACAAAAAAATACTTGGAAGCTTCCTGCAGTAGTCCAGACCAGAAATGATGGTAGTTTGGGAAAAGGAGGTAAAAATGAAGATGTGGAAAGGTGGACAGACTGGAGATTTTTAGGTTAAAATGACAGAACCCATGTGACCAATCCAGATAGTCCAGTGGGTGACTTGGAACTAGTCTAAAGCAACCATTCCCCCAAACCAGAGTCTTTGGCCCTAATTAAATACCTTTATGGGGGGCAGGAGCAGAACTCTGACAAATTTTACCGGGGGATAGGGCAGAGGACATGGGTACAGCAAAAGAGAGACATAAAGGGTTACCCACCCTCTCCCTCCCTCAGATTCCCAGCCTATATAACTGGGTGGATGATGGTATCATTCAGTGAGATATTCCTATCTCACTGGATAGGTACAGATGGTCCCTGACTTACAATGGTTTGACTTAACATTTTTCAACTTTACAATAGTGCAAAGGTGATAGGCATTCAGCAGAAACTGTACTTTGAAGACCTACACAACCATTCTGTTTTTCACTATCAGCACAGTAATAAATGACATGAGGTATTCAACATTTTATAATATAGGTTTATGTTAGATGATTTTGCCCAACTGTAGGCTAATGTAAGTGTTCTGTGCATGTGTAAGGAAGGCAGGCTAGGCTAAGCTATGATATTCGGTAGATCGGGTGTATTAAATGCATTTTCAACTTCTGATACTTTCAGCTTACAATGGGTTTATCGGAAGGTAGCCCCATCGTTAAGTCGAGGAGTATCTACACAAGTTAGGTGGGCTAAGATCCTGGGTTCGGAGTTGAAAAAGCTGCGTTTCGGGACCTTGATTTTAAATAAGCAGTTGGACATATTAACCTGAAACTTAAAGGGCAGGTCTGGACTGGGGGTAAAATATTGAGAATCACTGGCATATAGACAGTTGTAGCTATGGGCTTAGAAGAAATTGCCTGAGCGGGAAATTGAGAGTGAGAAGACGGCCTTTGAGGAATACCAGCAATGAATAACAAAGTAGAGGAGGGTGAGGCCGCAAAAGAGAGGTCTGAGTCAAACCAGGAGCGAGGCATTCCAGAACACATGTGAAGAGTGCTTTCCGTCAAGGAAGCCATGGTCAACAACGTCAAACGCTGCTGAGATATCAAATAAGATAAGGATTGAAAGGTATCAATTAAGTTGAGGGACAGGTTTCAGTGGGATGATGGGGCAGAAATCAGACTGCAGTAGGTTGAAGGGTGAGTAGGTGGTAAGCAAATGGAAGACAATAAATATAGACAACTCTATCAAATTTCCTGCTGTAAACTGGGACGGGAAAAGGTGACAGCTGTGGGGGTGGGGGAAGGGTTTAAGATAGAGAAGCTTGATTATGTTAAGAAGGAGCAGGTGAATATACAGATAGGGTCTGAAGTACTGGCAGAAGGACTAGCCTTAAAAGGAGAGGCCATGGGGAAAAGGAAGAGAAAGAAGCCAAACTAAATGACCTTTAAGATCCCTTCTTACTCTAGAATCTCATGACCTACAAGTCCCTTCAGATAGGGCATTTGCATATATGCATAAATCTATGCAAACTTATTCAAAAATTCTGTTATAAATAGATCAGTCAATCACATCTTTCACCCCCAATGACGCAGTTAATGTCCTCAGGTTTATGACCAGTGTAATCTCCGGGCAGGACTCATCCCTTGAGAGCTTTTAGCTCAAGGCAGACTGCAATACAGCACTCAACCAGCTCTCTCTCCTCGCCAAACCCATCCTACCCAACGATCCTAAAGGCTAAAGGAGGAAGTAAATTTAAAACCCTGAAACTACAGCATATCCTGCTGCATTCGAAGCGAGTGTCATCCATAAAAACAAAACGTGACACCCCAAATCCATCCTCACTCCAAGCTAAAGCCAATTCCTGCCTGACCCGACAGTTGACAGGTCCCCCAGATGGCCGGGCTTTAACACTAAAAGTCATTGGCACCCCCTCCTCTTTCCCAACGACCTTTAATTTGTGAAGAGCCAGACATGGGTTCCTGAAGATCCTTCCTACACCCCTTGCCCCGAATGCAGCAGAGGTGCTCCCGGCAGTTACTCCGGCGCCCCCTAATAAGCCCTCGCAAGGGGGTGCGGAAAGACCCCCAGAGCCCGTCAGAGGGGGCTTCGGCGACCGCGACCCTGCGGCTGTGTGGAGGACGAGGGAACAAGCCCCAAGGGATGGGAAGGGAGGATGACGGGAGGCGCAGCAGACGCGTGTAACGAGGGGTCATCTCCCCTCGAGGGGGGTGGAGTTGTTGAGGAGGGCTAATCCCCTGCCACCGCTCCCCTGCTACCCTCAAGTCCCGCTCTGGCCTCGCGCCCCATTGCTCGGATTCACTCCCACTCCTCTGGGGCCGCCTGGACCCCAGAGTGCCCGCGAGCCCGGCGCCCCTGCCTCAAGCCTGGGCTCCCAGACCGGCACTCACCCGGCCCGCCATCTTCGCGGACACGTCCGGCTCGGCGGCTGCAGCTCTGCGCTCGGCAAAGCCCGCCCCCGCCGCGCGCGCGCCCCCGCCGCCCGCCCTCGCGCAGGCGTGCAACCGCCGTGAGGACGCGCGCGTCCCTGGCCGCGTCCCCGGCGTCCTCGCTCCACAGGGCGCGCGCGCGGGCTCGGCGGCCGCCTGGGGTGCGCGGGGTGGGCAGAGCGGCGGCGCCATTTTGGCTGGAGCTGCGGGGCTGTGGTGGGTGACTCCGTTTCCAACGTGCGTGTCAGTCCGCCGGGGCCTGGAGGGCTGCGCCTGCGAGTCTCATCCCCCACTGGCGGTTCGCGCCGGAATTTGTCTCAAGGGCTTTAATGCTTCGGATCACTTATCCCTTTGCCAGCTGCTGTTCGCCCTCGAATGTCCATTTTGGTCTGTGCTTCCACACTCTCTTTAAACATGGTCTTGCTGATGAGAGCGCCCGGCGCGTTCCCTGGCTTCCCCCAAAAAAGATCAGCTCCGAGGAGTTGGTTCTGAGTTCAAATTCTCCATGAATTTTCTCACTTTTCTTTGTAGGCGTACTTGTTTTCCTAGTTGCTGGAATTGTCATCGTTGGCAGTTTTATTTATGTGTAGCCTGGAAAACTCAGTATTTTCAGATTTGAAAGTGAATTGTGATTATTTTTATACATTATTTTTATTAAATATTTGTCTTTATTTAATAAAGGCAACTTGCATCTTCGACCAACCTTTTCATTCCCCAGTGTTGTTTCATTTTAGACAATATATATGGTAGAATCTGAATAAAATATGCCCTAAATTGAGCCTTGTTGAACCTCAATGTTTCCACCATACCATTTCTCCACTGGAATCTCAGAATATCTAACTGCAAGCACGCTGAGAGGAGAAAGATTCTGCCGAATGGATTCCCTGATGCTTTTATTTACCCCACTATCATATCTCTCTTCATATTTGCACAAGACAATAGGGAATGATAGGATTTGTTCGCTTTCATTTCTCACAATTAGAATAAATCGGGGTTTTTTTCCCAACATGAGGAAAGAAGGGAAATAACTAGAAGAGCTGAGCATGCATAGTGATTTAAATTTGAGAACTAATAAAATCAGACAGTGACCTGAAGATGAACTAGGGACAGAAGAAAAAATTCATGCCAGCCAGGCGCGGTGGCTCATGCCTGTAATCCAAGCACTTTGGGTGGATCACCTAAGGTCAGGAGTTCCAGACCGGCCTGGCCAATATAGTGAAACCCCGTCTCTACTAAAAATACAAAAATTAGCCGGGCGTGGTGGCGGGCGCCTGTGATCTCAGCTACTCAGGAGGCTGAGGTGGGAGAATCGCTTGAACCCCGGAGGCAGAGGTTGAAGTGAGTTGAGATTGCGAGGCTGGGCAACAGAGCGAGACTCCGTCTAAAAAAAAAAAAAAAAAAAAAAATTCACGCCTATTTCATTAAGTCTCACACTGAACCTGAGGACCAGGGTGCTTGGTTGACCAAATCAGATGTTAGCTAAATCATGGGTGGGTCGGAGAGGTTATCAGGAAAGATAGGAAACTAGTTGAGTTCTGACATACTAACGTGCAGAAGCTACTAACTTACAAAAACAAATATTAGAATGGCTTGGGGAGTCCAAAGGGTTAGGTTCTTTTCTTTGTCCCTATCTACCCATCACCTGTGTACCTTCATCTCTCTGAGCCCAGTTTCCTTATTTGTTTTTGTTTGTTTGTTTTTGAGACGCAGTCTTACTCTGTCACCCAGGCTGGAGCACAGTGGCATGATCTCGGCTCACTGCAACCTCCGCCTCCCGGGTTCTAGCTATTCTCCTGTCTCAGCCTCCCAAGTCGCTGGTATTACAGGCGCCTGCCACCACACCCAGCTAATTTTTGTATTTTTAGTAGAGACAGGGTTTTGCCATGTTGTCCAGGCTGGTCTCGAACTCTTGACCTCAGGTGATCCACTGGCCTTGTCCTCCCAAAGTGCTGGGATTACAGAAGTGAGCCACCACGCCTGGCCTAGTTTCCTTATTTGTACAGTGAGAGGTATAATTAAATAAGCTTAACAGTTGTATCCTTTTTTTTTTTTTGACACCTTGACTTTGAACCTAGAATCAAAGAGATTTTGTCCAAATAATTACCAGATCCAGAAGATGACATTGGTTCTCAGTCCAATAATCTGACATTATTTTCAAGGTTGGAAAATAATGCAAACATGTTTCTCCCTATCACTGGTTAGTTTGTCTTGTTTTACTAGATAAGCTAGATTGCAAGTACAAATGTCTTCAATTTCTCCAACAAGGAGGAATATTTATCATCTTGGAAGGATATGCCTGCTGGAAAGTTTCCAGTGTATCAGCTAATGTGCATATCTACCCATTATAAGAGGCCCTCTGTGCCCTCTCAAAGCCCTCTGTGCCTTCTCACAAGTAGTAAAAATTAAATAGAATCATTTGCACAGCCCTGCAGGGCCTGCCAAATAAATTGCAAGCAAAGATAGCTCTTGTCCTTAAGGTCCTTAGCATCCAGCAGGAGAGGAAGGATCCTGAGACAGTGCTCCAGATACTCCACATGTCTCTGCAACCTGTTTGTGCCTTGCTCTGACATTCAAGGTCATCTTAGAAATAGAGGGGTGCTGATTCTGCATCACCCTCTGAGTAATCCTTGCAGTGATAGTCGATAAGCAATAAATGTTTTTGCTGCCCCAAATTCACTCTGCCCTTTTCTGGTAACAGCTCCTCTGGTTCATGCAGCCTTGGAAGGACTGTCAGACCAGGTACCCTGCCTCCCCCTGGCCCAGGAGTGAATACAGAACCCAAGTTCAATCAGTCAGATGCTCTGTCTCTCCTAAGTAACTGCAATCTTGAATACCCTGAAGAATAAAGACAGAAATAGCTAGAGCTCATTTACTGCAATGATGACACCCTGAAGAGACCATTTGCTAGTTCTCTAGATCTCTAGAGTTTACCTGCTTTCTGTCATCTGAAAAATCTGATTGTCCCCCTTTGTCTTGATTTCTGTTAGTCACTTTCTCTTCCTAGAAAAATACCTCCCTCAGCTCTTCGTCGATCCCTGAAATTCTTTTAATATGCTTTCCTTTCACAGTGAGAAAGTTAGTAAGACGGCTAACAGAATGATTAATTTAAATCCTAAAGTGTAATGACTAACATCATTTTTTAAGGAAGGAAGGGCTTTGAGTGGGGGGTAGGAGGTGAGTCTAGGGATAGGGTCAGAGAGGAAAGGTACCTGAAAGGTGGGGAAAGAAGATGAAGACATGATAAAATGGAAATAGCAGGACCCAGAATGAAGAAGAGTGGGGCATAAGGGCAGGGGCAGGGTTTGACCAAGGTCAGTTCTTGCTGAACACAGCCCTTGTGATCCAGTGTGACGGTTAATTCTGTGTCAACTTGGCTTGGCCATGTTGCCCAGATACTTGATCAAATATTATTCTGGATGTTTCTGTGAGGGTGTTTTTGGATGAGATTTACATTTAAATCTGTAGACTTTGAGTAAAGAAGGTTGCCCTCCATAATGTAGGTGGGCCTCATCCAATCACTTGAAAGCCTGAATAGACAAAAGGCCAAACTCATCCAGAACAAGAAGGAATTCTCTAGCAGGTTACCTGTGGACTAGAACTGTAACTCTTCCCTGGGCCTCCTGCATGCCAGCTTCTCCCATCAGATTTTGGGCTCCCAAAGCCTCCACGATCACACGAGTCAATTCCTTAAACAAAATTTCCTCCTATGTATATACACATTCTGTTAGTTCTATTTTTCTGGAGAACCCTGATGAATATAGTCAGTTTCCTGTCAGTTACAGGGATGTGATTCCTGGTTTTTACAAAGTGATCCTTAGCATCACCTGTTGCTCCCTGATAGGTAACCAACATCTATAGGTGGAGGCCTGATTCAAAGACTTGAAAACAGTGCACAGATAGAATTTTATGTTCAAATTATGTCCCATTAAACATCACTTAAAATGTGCTCTATTGGAATGGGGCTGACTAACATTTTGGTTATATAGACATTTGTTTGTAATGGTTGTGGTAACAGAATTTAACTGGGGGAAAAATAAATATCTTCTGTGATTTGTGGAGTGAGGGCAATATAAAACATAGAAGTGAACAGATTCACCGTAATCCACTTTATTTAACAAAGCAATCTGACTATTTGGTGTTTTCATATTAACCAAAAGAAAACTACCTTTAGTCTGTGGAAACTGTAGGGTTAAACAAGTGGCACTGGGGACAGAGTTTTTAGTCACTGCAGGGCTGTTTCAAAGGTCTTCCAGCGGGATTGTATGTAGGTGTTTCAGGGAACAGTCCTGTTCGGTGAATTCACTACTGTATTGTAATTGTCAGAAGGCGTCCTGCAGTGTGTGTGTGTGTGTGTGTGTGTGTGTGTGACAGAGAGAGACAAAGAGAGAGATGAAGACCTGCACTTCCCCTCTTGCAGAAGATGTCACTGTGAAGCACACAAAGGTGGTCTTCAGAGCCCCTTTTATTCCCTTCCCGCTGCACCCCCTCCTCTCTTTCCCAAGTTCTTTCAGTATTAGTAACCTAACGTATTACTCTTCCCAGGAGTATTGGCAATTTAGGAAAATACTGACAGGACAGCAGTGCCTGACCTAAGAAAACAAACCTCAAAAGGCAACACTTCAGAGACTGTGACACTGTATGGGGAGCCATCTGTGTATAGAAAGCCTTCTCTTGCCCCTCCAATCGTAACTCACAGGTCAGCCACACATACCATGCAAGCCTAGGCTTTCTGGGAGCCCCATGAACACTTAATTTTAGAGCCCCGTCACAGCCAGTTTTAGGATGATGGAGTTGCCATCTGTTTGTTTTCTGTCAGAGAAACCTGTTTTCCAAAATGATGGATAAAGCTAGAGAACGGAGCAAAATGGAGAAAGGACATGGAATTTTTAAATGAAAGGAAGACCAGCTGATGCAATGCAGTATTCTAGCTGCAGTCAGTTGCGGGGCGGGGCGGGGGGTGTTTGTTTTAAATGAATATGTCTTTTCTCTTTGCAGGATCAAGGACAAACACCTATAGTCACAAAAAACAATTCATTCTGGAAAGCCTGAGTGAGCAGGAGAGATGATAGAATCCTCCGTGGAAAGGAAGGACTGTTGCTATGGAAACCAGATGATCCTTCAGTGGGGGCCCCAGTGCACTTGCCAGGCTGCCTAACCCTGTGTATTAACATCATGGGGCTGGAAGGCTGCCTGCATCTCTTTGAAAAGAGATTTTTCAGATATTGGTGTGATGAGACTTTATGCACCTTGAGAAAAGTAAATCAGCATCTCCTGGGAGGGGCTAAGTTGCCTAGAACCTTAAAACACTAGAGGCCCACACACCACAGCCGACTGGGGTGACTATATTGGCTACTCTTGACATTTCTCCAGAGGGCATCCAAGAAGGTGTGTCTTAAGGATTCTCTCTCTCTCTCTCTTTTTTTTTTTTTTCGAGATGGAGTCTTGCTCTGTTGCCCAGGCTGGAGTGCAGTGGAACGATCTCAGCTCACTGCAACCTCTGCCTCCCAGGTTCAAGCAATTCTCCTGCTTCAGCCTCTCAAGTAGTTGAGATTTACAGGCACGCACCACCATACCTGGCTAATTTTTTTATTTTTAATGTTTATTTTTTGGTAGAGACAGGGTTTCACCATGATGGCCAGACAGCTCTCGAACTCCTGACCTCAAGAGATCCACCCGCCTTGGCCTCCCAAAGTGCTGGGATTACAAGCGTGAATCACTGTGCCTGGCCAAGGATTCTCTTAAGGGCAGGTTTATGGAGGGCTGTTTCTGAGGTAAGGAACACAGCTTTCCAAGAGAGGAAGAAGACATCCCTTGAGCAGAGGTTTGATTAGAAGAATAAGTTTAGTGGCACTTGGGGGAAGGTGGTCTGGGTATTCTGTGTGACATTTAAACTGTAACTACCATACCAATACCACTATTACTACAACTATCCCTAATTACACTATTAACTAATTTTAAAGTCTAAGCCAGAGATGAGGAGCTTTCTCCAAATAGGTTTCTCAGAGTGAAATTCTCTTTCTACTTCTCCCAAGAGCACTTTGTCCTTTCCATGCTTTACAAATAACATTATATTGATAAGATGTGTTTTCTATTAAGGAAAAAATAACTCTATTAAGTCAATATCATCACAAGCAATTCATGCTTATTGAGTCGTTGCAGTTCGAGATTTATAAACTTCCCTGAGCAGCCACTGTGATTTCAATTAAACCTCCCTCTTGTCAGAGTTTTAATTTTTAAAAAATAAGTTGAGTTTTCCATTTTAAAATCAGTACACTATTTTCCCTCGATCACTTAAAAACAATCACAGTCCTACCTCCTGAATATATTCACTAGTAAGTTCGGCCTATTTTTAGCCTCTTCCCCTATACATTCCTCATGCATATCATTATAAAATTCTCCCTCTTTTTCTCTCTCTATATGAATGTATTTTGTTTGTTTGTTTTTTGAGACAGAGTCTCACTTTGTCTCCTAGGCTGGAGTGCAGTGGCACTATCTTGGCTCACTGCAACCTCTGCCTTCCAGGCTCAAGCAGTCCTCTCATCTCAGTCTTCTGAGTAGCTGGGGCTACAGGTGCACACCACCATGACCAGCTAATTTTTGTATTTTGTATTTTTTGTAGAGATGGGGTCTCACCATGTTGACCAGGCTGGGCTTGAACTCCTTGGCTCAAGCAGTCTACCCAACTCAGCCTCCCAAAGTGCTAGGATTACAGGTGTGAGCCACTGCACCCGGACGTATGTATTAAATATATATTATATATATATATATATATATATATAAAACATATACGTATATGTGTATGTATTTATGTGATTATAATTGTTTAGCAATTGAATGCCATGTGGGCAGGAACTTTGTTTATTCAGAGGCTTGTGAAAGGAAAATAAAAACTTGGGAACCCAATTCATTCTGCCAAAAGAAAAAAAATTAAGCTGAAAGCTGAGTCATGCAAGAAGTTGCCTTTCCTTTCATTCCTAAGCAGGACTGACTGCAGCTAACTACTCTATGTCCACCTTATCTTATGGTAAGCACGAGAGTAATACATAATTGACTATTCCCCTACTTGCTCCTTGTCTCTTGCAACATGTGAATTCAGTAATGTGACCATACTCTCCTTCTTTCCCTTCCAGCCTGCTTTTCCATTTTAAATATTAAATCCTTGCCGGGCACCGTGGCTCACGCCTGTAATCCCAGCACTTTGGGAGGCCGAGGCAGGTGGATCATAAGGTCAGGAGTTCGAGACGAGCCTGGCCAACATGGTGAAACCCCGTCTCTACTAAAAACAACAAAAATTAGCTGGGCATGGTGGTGTGCGCCTGTAATCCCAGCTACTGGGGCGGCTGAGCCAGGAGAATGGCTTGAACCCAGGAGGCGGAGGTTGCAGTGAGCCGAGATTGTGCCACCGCACTCCAGCCTGGGTGACAGAGCAAGACTCTGTCTCAAAAATAAAAAAATATAAATAAATAAATAAATAAATAAAATATTAAATCCTTCTGGCCGGGCGCGGTGACTCACACCTGTAATCTCAGCACTTTGGGAGGCTGAGGTGGGCGGATCGCCTGAGGTCAGGAGTTGGAGACCAACCTAGCTAACATGGTGAAACCCCGTCTCTACTAAAAACACAAAAATTAGCCAGAAGTGGTGGCACGCGCCTGTTAATCCCAGCTACTTGGGAGGCTGAGGCATGAGAATCATTTGAACCTGGGAGGTGGAGGTTGCAGCGAGCCAAGATTGTACCACTGCACTCCACCCTGGGCAACAGAGTGAGACTCTGGCTCAAAAACAAACAAACAAACAAAACTAAATCCCTCAAAATCACCTTTGGAAAAAGGCACAGGCCTGTCTCCCAGGTAAGCATCCTTAATTTTGGCAAAATAAACTTGTAAATTGATTGAGACATGTCTCAGATACATTTTGGTTTACAGGCTCAGTGCAGATATTGGGAAAATAATGAATATTCTTAGGCTATGAGGGATGGAAGGATAAATTCTCATAATTATCAGCTCCAGCATTCCTTCTGTAGGAACAAACAATGGTAAGTAAAAATCTCACCTTCGTTATTTCACCTTTTTTTTAGGTTATGATGACTCCATTCAAACAACCTTCATAGTTCCTGGCAAAACAACTTTCTATCTTTCCCTTGGAAGTCAGTAGGACATGAATATATCATTTCTAATAGATGAAATAAAAATACTAGTAAACATTTGGAAAAATAGCAAGTCATCAAATAAATGAAAATTAAACTAGCATGAGTTTTTTGTTGTTGTTGTTGTTGTTTGAGACAGAGTCTCACTCTGTCACCCAGGCTCTGCACCCAGTGCAGTGGCTCTATCTCGGCTCACTGCAACCTCCGCCTCCCGGGTTCAAGCAATTCTCCTGCCTCAGCCTCCCAAGTAGCTGGGATTACAGGAATGCACCACCACGCCCAGCTAATTTTTGTATTTTTAGTAGAGACGGGGTTTCAGCATGTTGGCCATGATGGTCTTGATCTAACCTCATGATCTGCCCGCCTCGGCCTCCCAAAGTGCTGGGATTACAGGTGTGAGCCACTGCACCCGGTTATGTATAATTTTTATAGTCAGAAAAAACATACTTTAATTTTTAAGGAGTCATATGTATTTATATTAACCCTCATACATATAAGCACTGTAATTAGAAGAGTAAGTAGTACTGTAATTTAATAGTTTTGTTTGCTCAATGCACAGTGAGTCAGCATACAGAGACACCTGGCTGCAGCAAAGAAAGAGTTTAATAATCACAGGGCATCTGAATGAGGAGATGGGAAGAAGCCTCAAATCCACCTCCCTGAGAGGTTTGGGGGGCAGGGTTTTTAAGTCCTCTGGACAGGGGCTGCAGTGTGGGGATCGATGATTGGTCAAGAAGTGAAGGGCGAAGTCATGAGACAGGGAGACCAAGAAACCTCATTCTTGTGCTGAGTGGGTTCCTTGGTTGGGGACGTCAGAATTCAGGATCTGAAAAACAACCCGTTCTTGGGCAAAACGATCTTATGAGTCTAGCGTCAGAAATTCTTACTCATGGTAAGAACCATGGAGAAACAGGTAGGAGGTGGTCTAGCACGTGGAGTGATGTTCAGTGAGTTAGCAGCTGCAGGGAAGTGGGTCAAAGTACACTTGTGCACCCTGGATAACAGCTAACTATATATAATGCTGCCTAAAGCCTGGCTTGTAACTCTCCTTAATCCTGTGAGGGCAGTTTCCATTCTGTATTTGCTTAAAAAGATTAAGGTGGCCAGGCGCGGTGGCTCATGCCTGTAATCCCAGCACTTTGCGAGGCTGAGGTGGGTGGATCACTTGAAGCCAGGAGTTCAAGACCAGCCTGGCCAACATGGTGAAACCCTGTCTCTACTAAAAATACAAAAATTAGGCAGGCGCAGTGGCACATGCCTGTAATGCCAGCTACTTGTGAGGCTGAGGCAGGAGGATCACTTGAACCTGGGAAGCAGAGGTTGCAGCGAGCCGAGATCGCACCACTGCACTCCAGCCTGGGCGACAGTGAGACCCTGTCTCAAAAAAAAAAAAAAAAGGAAAAAGAAAGAAAAAGATTAAGGTGTGGGAGTGGGACAGACCCAGGCTACTTAATATTTTTCTGTAAAACAGCAGGGATAATAGTTTCTTTTCTTTCTTTTTTTTTGAGACAGGGTCTTGCTTTATCGTCTAGGCTGGAGTGCAGTGGCACGATGTTGGCTCACTGCAACCTCTGCCTCTCAGGTTCAGGCAATTCTCCTGTCTCAGCCTCCCAAGTAGCTGGGATTACAGGCGTGTGCCACCACGCCCGGCTAATTTTATATTTTTAGTAGAGATGGGGTTTCTCCATGTTGGTCAGGCTGGTCTCGAACTCCCAACCTCAGGTGATCTGCTCGCCTCGGCCTCCCAGTGTGCTGGAATTACAGGTGTGAGCCACCACGTCTGGCCAGGGATAATAGTTTGTAATTCACTGGGCGTTACGGTCCTGCAGGTAACATTGTTTTTCTTATTTATTTATTTATTTATTTAGTCAATTCTAGCAGTATCTTCTAACTTTTTTTGTTCGTGTTTTTTGAGACAGGGTCTCGCTTTGTCACCCAGGCTGGAGTGCAGTGGCATGATCACGGCTCTCTGCAGCCTCTACCTCCTGGGCTCAAGTGATCCTCCTGCCTCAGCCTCCCGAGTAGCTGGGACTACAGCCGCTACCATGCCCGGCTAATTTTAAATTTGTTTTTTTTTTGCAGAGATGGGGTTTTGCCATGTTGCTCAGGCTGGTCTCGAACTCCTAGCTCAAAGCCTTGGCCTTCCAGGCGTGAGCTACCGCGCCGGGCCTGCTGAAGTTCTTGATATAGTTTCTGGCACATAGTATATGTTTAATAGATGTTTGTTGTTCTGATGATTTCAGTTATGTACCATTTACAGGCGTTTGTAACCTTTTTAGCTAACAAGTTGGGCATTTAGGGAACTGACTATAGAAAGCATTTCTCGGAAACGAGGACTGGTTCTGCGACGTCTTAACGAGGTGCGGGTGGCCAGTATTTTCCCCAACTTGAAAATCTGTGTAGAGGTGGGAGGGCAGTCTAGCCTCAGGCGGAATAGGAAAACTTCCTTATGCCTAATTTCAGTGTCAGTGTGTGGTATTTCCTACGCGGAACACCGCCCCAAACTAATGTCTACGTTTAACTCAACCGCGGTAAATTTCCTTCCATGGCACTATTAACTTGGCCCGGCCCACATGTCCCCTCCCGGTTGGTGTGAACGCTCCGAGGTTAGCTCAAACCTCGGCGATTTTCCCAGCTGATTGGCCGTGCAAATAGACAATCCTTTTGCTTTTCTGATTGGTCGCACATGGCATCGGGGGTGGGGGACGTGGGCGTGTCTCGCCAGAATTCGTTTAACTGTGATTTGAAGATGAACATGGTATTGCCAGAGCTTCATGGCGTCGCCTACGGCGCTCCCTCCCTCCCAGGCCCTTACTCTTCTTTGCATTGGCCAGATATGTCGTCACTCACAAAACTTCGAGCTCATTGGTGCAAAAGCTCCAGGAGGCGGTGGGTGATTGGTTGGTTGCTGTTCCTGCCCCCACGCCTGTCGTGGTTTAGCTGAACTGAGCTGAATTCCTAAAGGCCGCGGAGTCGGCGGTGTTGTAGGTAGCGGTACCTTGAGTGGCAACAGGTGAGTCTCCGGCTGCAGGGATGGGGCGGCAGCACTCAAGACCTGGCTGGATCTCCACTTCGTCTGCGGGCCAGAAACTGGAGGGCGGCGGTGGCTTTCGGAAAGGGATTGGGCTCCGCTGTTCCTTCTTCGCCCTCTGTAGGGCCGGAGCAGCGAGGAACCGAAGGAGGCTTCATAGGTTCCACGCAGGGCCCTCTCTTTGCTCTTCCAGGGGCGCACAAGTTGAGAAGGAGCGGCCTGGCAGCCGGGGCAAAAAAGGGGCGTCCTTCCCCGGGAGCCGGGCGTGCCTGGCTGCCGCGCACGCTCACCTGGGCCACCACGCTTGTTCGCGCCCTTGACGTCGTGCCGACGTTTCTCCCTAATGCACTTTTGGCGCTTGGGGCTGGGAGACTGAGCGTGCCAAAAAGGCCCTGTAGTCGGAGCCATCTTACCTTAGAGGGGTCTCCAGCGGCGCAGGGGTGTCAGGACCACGGGCGCCTGGGGCACATGAGTAGCAATAAGAGGAAAGAGAAGGGAGAGGGAGGTCAAGGTGGTGTGTCTGTGCGGTTGGCAGGGGGAATTGGGACTAGCTGCCTCAAGGGGCATCTGAGCGGGAAGTACCTTCCCTCCCCCAGCATGTTCCTGAAAAGTCTCCTCATCTGTGAGATTTGTTTTTCGAAACAAAGAAAAGGAATCTCTAGTTTTGTCGCCCGGCAAGATTTTGAGTGCTGCAATGCACTGGACTTTTATAGACCTATAATGGACTTTCTTTGAATGATTAAAACATTTATCATTCTTTGGTCACTTACGCCACATTTGTGAACAGGATAAATTCTGTGCTCGCTTTCTCTCATCCTAGAAAGGAATGTTGTGTACTTGGGCGTAATCCATGATATTAAGCTACTGCTGGCCACTGTTGAATTTCAGCGGTGAGGCCTGTGGAATTTGGTTACCTCCGCTCTGTGGTTACCAGAGTCCGAATGAATGGGAGATTGGCTATCCTCCTTGTGTCTTCCTCCTCCCCTGCCCAGGAGTAAAGCTTTCTTTGGTTAGCAATTTAAAAAGAAAATAAATCACAGTCTCTGGAACAAGGATGTATGTCTTTTTCTTTTTGAATTTTTTTTTGTTTTATTATTTTTAAAAATAGAGGCAGGGTCTCGCTATGTTGCCCAGGCTGGTCTTGTACTCCTGGCCTAAAGCAATCCTCCCTTGTCTTCTGTTATCTCAGTAAGCAAAAACTAAAGTGACCCTCTTGCCTCAGCCTCCCAAAGTGCTGGAATTACAGGGGTAAGCCACCCTGCCTGGTCTGAAGATCTTTACAGACTTCCAAGAGCTTAGTTAGAGGTGTAGACCCAGCACTGCTTGTAAGTCTTTACTTAGAATGTCAAGCTCACATTTCAAGTAGGCTGATCTCAAAGAGACTGTAAATTTCTGTAAGTTAGTCTGACTTTACTATTGACTTACTTTATATAACCTACCATGATTTCTACTGAAAAATAAAATATTGAACATTTATGCTGTTAGAAGTCAATATAGTGATTACCTTTTATGGAGTAATGACTGGGAGGAGGCACAAGGAGAATTGGTCTGATAATCATTTTTTTTTTTTTTTTTTTTGAGATGGAGTCTCACTCTGTTGCCCTGGGCTGGAGTTCAGTGGCCCAATCTTGGCTCACTTCAACCTCCACCTCCCAGGTTCAAGTGATTCTTGTGCCTTAGCCTTCTGAGTAGCTGGGACTGCATGTGTGTGCCACTACACCTAGCTAATTTTTGTATTTTTAGTAGAGACGGGGTTTCACCATTTTGGCCAGGCTGGTCTCGAACTCTTGACCTCAGGTGATCCACCCACCTTGGTCTCCCAAAGTGTTGGGATTACAGGCATGAGCCACTGTGCCCAGCCTGATAAATCATCTTTTCTTGATTTGGTTACATAGGTGTGTTTGGTTCATGAAAATGTATTGAACTTTACAGTTATCATGTATGTTTATATCTGTATGTAAATTATACTTAAATAAAAAGTTCTAAGAACTGGTTGAGAGTAAGGTGATAGTTACAGCAATAGAACACTGGATACTGGCTGGGCCTGGTAGCTCACGCCTGTAATCCCAGCACTTTGGGAGGCTGAGGTGGGAAGATCACTTGAGCCCAGGGGTTCGAGATTAGCCTGGGAAATATAGTGAGACCTCATTTCCACAAAAAATACAAAAATTAGCTGAGCGAGGTGGCGTATGCCTGTGGTCGCAGCTGCTCCAGAGGCTGAGGTGGGAGGATTGTTTGAGATGGGGAGGTTGAGGTTGCAGTGAGCCGTGATTGTGCCACTGCACTCCAGCCTGGGTGACAGAGCGAGACCCTGTCTCAAAACAAAACAAAAAACTCAAACGAAAACTGGATGCTGTGGTGCCTCCTCAACTCTGCCAAGTTATCTCTCTTGGCAGTGAAGCTTCCCAACGCTGAATTTCTTTGCCTCTGAAATTTCTTAGGTTATTTCCAAGGTGTCTGCTAGCCATAAGGAACTACTACGTTTCCAAGGGATATTGTTGTTTAACCTGTCTTAAAGACTTTGTTTTATAGTGCATAAAATAAAAAGCTTCTCTGTTTCATAAATTCTCATTTCAGTAGAGTTTAGAATGAGGTATAGTTGTATTTGTTGTATCATTGCTTCTGTACTTGTTTTTTAAAAAAAATTAATTAATTAATTAATTTTTTGAGACAGTCTTGCTCTGTTGCCCAGACTAGAGTGCAGTGGCGTGGTCCTGGCTTACTGCAACCTCTGCCTCCCCAGGTTCAAGTGATTCCTATGCCTTAGCATCCTGAGTAGCTGGTACTACAGGCGTGCACCACCGTGCCCAGCTAATTTTTGTGTTTTTAGTAGAGACGGGGTTTCACCATGTTGGCCAGGCTGGTCTTGAACCCATGACCTCAGGTGATCCACCCACCTTGGCCTCCCAAAGTGCTGGGATTACAGGCGTGAGCTACCGCGCCTGGCCTTGTACTTCTGTACTAAATGACTAAAGGCTGCCACTGTCATAGCAGTGCTGAGGCTATGTTGCATATCCCACTTGGATGCTGCAGTGGAAAATAGAATTTTCTGGTAAGGCATGGAAAGGTTTAGTTGAGTTTCCCTTTGAAGACAAGACTCACTACTCATTGGCCAAAGTGTACCTAAAATTGTTGAATTTTTCCTGGGAGCCATTTCTAATTGACACTTGTATTTTCTGCGTGTTGCTTCTATATCTCTGCAGAGAACAATTATTTGGCTTGCTTTTCTTGTCATGTTACAGAATTCGATTAAATTACAATGGGAAACATTTTTGAAAAGCTCTTTAAAAGTCTACTTGGGAAAAAAAAGATGCGGATTCTTATATTGAGTTTGGATACAGCTGGAAAAACCACCATCTTGTATAAATTGAAGCTGGGGGAGACTGTGCCTGCCGTCCCTACAGTAGGTAAGTTAATGAAAGACCTGTGGCAATTCCAGTTTACAATTTAGTATGTTATATATATTTTTTAGGTTCTGTTTCACCAGAGAAATATGTTTTATTTTTACATGCTTCTTATGTTATTGAATAATTCTTTTTAAAAATCTTGTCTACTCCATGAGCATACATTTTTAGAGGCCAAAAACCAGGTTATATTATATATCCTTTTCTTTTTTTTTGACTCTGTCACCCAGGCTGGAGTGCAGTGGTACATCTCTGCTCACTGCAGTCTCAACTTCCTGGGCTCAAGTGATCCTTCCATCTCCCTCCTGAGTAGCTGGAACTACAGGCGTGCACCAGCATGCCCAGCTAATTTTTGTATTTTTAGTAGAGACGGGGTTTTGCCATGTTGCCTAGGCTGGTCTTGAACTCCTGGGCTCAAGCGATCCTCCCGCCATGGTTTCCCAAAGTGCTGGGATTACAGGCATGAGCCTCCGCGCCTGGCCAGGTTATGTATCCTTTTCTAGTGGCTTGCACATTCTTAGGTTCACAAGGGAGACATGTGAACACATGGAGGCTAAGCAAATTTAACCCCATTTGCTTGGCAAAAAAGAAAAAGATAATGGGCAAAACAGGGAGGGTAGTTCTGCCCCTCATTCCTCGCAGCTAGTGTCCCAGCAGAAGGCTGAGGTGGGAGCTGGGAATCTGCTGGTGCCTCCTCAGTCAGCCTCTGTTCCAGCTGGCCTTCCTTAGTGGCAGCATCTCATCTCTACACCAAGTACGCTCCCAGTGCTTAGAGATGGAGTGTGATTTCTTTTCTTCACTCTGGCTCAAACCAACTGCTTGAGATGATGTCCAACTAGAGAAATAGACAAGCTGGCTGCACTGCTCTTACTGTGAACCAGCACTGTGTTTTACGGGCTTGTTAAGAGATTTACAAAGCGAGTTTTGACAGAACTGAATCTTTGCCTTGTGAACTGCCTCTAGATCCAAACTTCTGACTGAGGACACACCCCACAGGTGGCATGTGAACATTACTACTGTTCTGTTCTGAATATTGAATTAGGCACAGGACTCAAATGATCAACTTTCTTTTTTTTTTTTTTTTGAGATAGAGTCTCGCTCTGTCACCCCAGGCTGAAGTACAGTGGCGCGATCTCGGCTCACTACAACCTCCGCCTCCTGGGTTCAGGCGATTCTCATGCCTCAGCCTCCTGAGTAGCTGGAATTACAGACGTTCACCACCATGCAAGGCTAATTTTTGTATTTGTGGTAGAGACAGGGTTTCACCATGTTGGGCAGGCTGGTCTGGAACTCCTGACCTCAAATGATCTGCCCGGCTAAGTGCTGGGATTACAGGCGTGAGCCACCGCACCTGGTCTCCAAATGATCAACTTTCAACTTGGGCAGTAGCTGCAGAGATTGCATCGATTGAGGAGTGGGAAACCGAGGAGAATGTTCGAGTTATGAGATGGTTGTGTGTAAGGTAGTAATTTGGTTAAATTTTTCAAATGGATAAGCCAGTGCTGCCCAGGAGGCACTTTCTGCAGTGATTAAAATGTTCTGTGTCTGTGCTGTTTAGTGTCGTAGCCAATAGCCATGTGACTGTTCATGTGCTTGAAATGTGGCTAATGCAACTGAGGAACTGAACTTTTTTGTTTTTTGAGATGGAATCTTGCTCTGTCACCCAGGCTGGAGTGCAGTGGCGCGATCTCAGATCACTGCAACATCCGCCCCCTGGGTTCAAGTCATTCTTCTGCCTCAGCATCCTGAGAAGCTGGGATTACAGGTGCACGCCACCACACCCGGCTAATTTTTGTATTATTAGTGGAGACGGAGTTTTACCCTGTTGGCCAGGCTGGTCTCGAACTCCTGACCTCGGGTGATCCGTCCACCTTGGCCCCCCAGAGTGTTGGGATTACAGGCATGAGCCACTGTGTCCAGCCGGGAACTGAACTTTTAATTGTATTTAACTTTAAGTTTATTTTTTATTTATTTTTATTTATTGATTGATTTTTGATTTTAACTTTAAGTTTAAATAGCCACGTTGCCAGGCGCAGTGGCTTATGCCTATAATCCCAGCACTTTGGGAGGTTGAGGTGGGAAGATCACTTGAGACCAGGAGTTCGAGATCAGCCTGGCCAACGTGGTGAAACCCCATATCTACTAAAAATACAAAAATTAGTAGTGGCATGCACCTGTAATCCCAGCTACTCGGGAGGTTAAGGCAGGAGAATCACTTCAGCCCGGGAGGCACAGGTTGCAGTGAGCTGATATCGCACCATTGCACTTCAACCTAGGTTACAGAGCAAGACTGTGTCTCAAAAAATAAATAAATAGGCCGGGCATGGTGGCTCACGCCTGTAATCTCAGCACTTTGGGAGGCTGAGGCAGGCGGGTTACCTGAGGTCAGGAGTTCGAGACCAGCCTGGCCAACATGGTGAAACCCCGTCTCTACTAAAATTGCAAAATGGGCGTGGTGGCAGGCGCCTGTAATCCCAGCTACTTGGGAGGCTGAGGCAGCAGAATCACTTGAATCCGGGAGGCGGAGGTTTCAGTGAGCCGAGATCGCACCATACACTCCAGCCTGGGTGACAAGAGCGAGACTCTGTCTCAAAAAAAAAACAAAATAAAACAAAAACATAAACAAATAGTCACAAATGGCTAGTGACTATGTATTGGACGGTGCTGGGGTAGACAGTTGTTCAATGTCATTTATTGAATAATTTTTCCATGCTGATTTGAAATGCCTTCGTTACATACTAAATTCTCACTGGTATGTGTGTCTTTTTTTGGGCAAGTACCTGTTGCATTTATATTTGAACTCTATTCAAGTGTTACTAGGGCTTGGCATATCCTTAAAAATAATTCATTACTCATTTTCAGAGATTTCCTGGTTATGCTTACTTGTTTATTTCTCCAGGTTAAATTTTAGATAATTTTGCTAAGTTTCCTGCCCCTGCCCCTACCATCATTATAGGATTGGAATGGCATTGTATTTATTTATTTAGCAAGAATTTAGATTGTTGCAATGTAACGAGTGTCTCTCACTAAAATAAGGCATGACTAGAATTGAGGTTTGGAAGGTGAGCAGACCCAGCTTGCTTGGGTCTTGACAGTCATGTTTGGGATTTGGGTGTGGGAAGCCGCTAAGGGGACATCTTTCCTTCTTTTCCTTTCCTTCCTCCCTCCCTTCCTCCCTTTTCTGTCCTTTCCTTCCTCCCCTCCCCTCCCCTCCCATCTCTGTCTCTCTCTCTCTGTCTCTCTCTTCCTCTTTTCTTTCTTGGATGTTATTCTGTCATCCAGGCTGGGGTGCGGTGGTGTGATCTCAGCTCACTGCAATGTTTGCTTCAAGCAGTTCTCCTGTCTCAGCCTCCCAAGTAGCTGGGACTATAGGCACACGGCACCAATGCCTGGCTAATCTTTGTGTTTTTTTGTAGAGACAGGGTTTCACCATGTTGCCCAGGCTGGTCTCAAACTCCTGAGCTCAAAGCAATCTGCCCACCTCAGCCTCCCAAAGTGCTGGGGTTACAGGTGTGAGCTACTGTGCTCGGCCTATTCTTTCTTTTTTTTTTAATTTTTAATTTTATTTTTTGGGGCGATTATTCTTTCTTTTTTAAGTTTGAAAATATTCCAATCAAACATAAATGTGTAGAGAAATGACGTGACCACACTATGTGTTTTTAAGCTATTGCTTTGTTTAGAAGATGGTGACCGGATGGAGAGAGGGAGAGTGGCTGAGGTGAAATTAGTTATATGGTTTCAGGAATTGAGGCTAGAAATGATGGTCTGTTGGGTTAGGGTGACTATTAGTTGTTGAAGGGGTTGAATTGATAAGGTGTGGTAGTAGGGTTCTAGGGGTGCGAGCATCGGATGTTACCAGGGCACCTCTCAGGCTATCAGCTTGTGGAACGAAGTCAATGATGGGATAACTAGCAGAGGAGGAGGTTGGGGGTAGGGACCTTAAATTCCATTTTTTGACTGATCACCTTGTTTTGGGGCCTTGAAGACATTTGCCAAAGCTGTTAGATTATGAGCCTGAAGCTCAGGAGAGAGGGCTAGGTTGGGGGATATAAATCTCAGAGTTAGTACAGAGATAGGAATGAAGTCGTGGGAGTGAGTGAGATTGCCTAGGGAGGGGTGCAGAAAGAGGAGAGTGGATGGGGCCAGTGAGAGCCAGGGCGACTCCCATCATTGCAGGATCAGTTAAACGTGGCTGAGTTCACTAAGGAGACTGAGACAGTACAGCCATAGAGATAGAAGGAAAAGGGAAGCTGGGGAAGGGTGTCAAGGAGGGAGTGAGCAGTAGCGTCAGATAGAAGATCAAATTATGGAAGAACTGAGAAGGCCTGTGTTAGATTTATTGACCTGGTGATCACTGCTGACCTTACTGAAAACCAGCTACCCAATGGTGGAGCAGAGCTAAGGTGCTGTTGCGTGAGAGGACCAAAGAAAGCTTAGTGGACAGGTTGCTTGACCTCAGGAGTTTTAGACCAATCTGAGCAACATAGTGAGACCCTGTGTCTACAAAAAACTTTTTAAATTTAGCTAGGTATGGTGGCTCATGCTTATAGTTCTAGCTGCTTGGGAGGCTGAAGCAGGAGGATCCCTTGAGCACAGGAGTTTGAGGCTGCAGTGAGCTATGATTGTACCTCTGTGCTCCAGCCTGGCCAACACAGCAAGGCCCTGTCTCTTAAAAAAAAAAAAAGCAAATAGAGGGTGAAGATGTGAAGGAAGAGAGTGCGATGAAGATGTGGGGATCAAGGAAAGGTTTGTTTTGTTGTTTTTAAAGATGTAAAAGGCTTAAGCATGCCAAGGTGAACAGATTGGAGATATTCAGATATGGGAGAGAATAGGAATAGTAAAAAGTTCCAGACAGTCTGGGTAGGGTGGATCTGGCTCATAGAGGGAGGGAGTTGGTGGAAGAGAGTTACCTTCTTCTGTTGTTCCAAGAGGGAGGAAGAAAAGCATGGGTAAAGATGTAGACTGGCTTTTACACTGTATGGTGGAAGTGGAAGTCATTCCCATCGGCGGCTTCTCTGCTCTGAAGTACACTGTGATAGTCTCCTGCTGAGAGAAAGGGCAGGTGCGTGGCTAGAGATTGGAGAGTAGAGAAGGTTTGAGACACCTGTCCTGATGAATGGGCGAGGGGGCCAGCACATTCTCTTTGAAGGCTATAGATCTTTGACTAGCAGGCTGCTTTGTAAATTAAAAGTACTGTCCGCATGTTGAAATTATTTTGAATTGTTCAACCAGCACAAATCATAATTAAATGTTTTCCCCATGTTTCATTTAGGTTTCTGTGTGGAGACAGTAGAATATAAAAATAACACCTTCGCTGTCTGGGATGTTGGCAGCCACTTCAAAATCAGACCTCTGTGGCAGCATTTTTTCCAGAACACAAAAGGTAAAGATTATTCGGTTTGTAGCCTCGATACTGTTTCTGTGAAATGTCTCTAAAGACGGATGCTTGAAGTGATACCTTCTGGTGCTCTGCTCTATTTACACTGTCAGCCATTTCCTCTCTTAGGGTCTCTTTATACTTACTGGGGAGGTTTCTTTTGTGAGACAGAGTCTTGCCCTGTTGCCCAGGCTGGAGTGCAGTGGTGTGATCTTGCCTCCCTGCAACCTCCGCCTCCCAGGTTCAAGTGGTTCTTCTGCCTCAGCCTCCCAAGTAGCTGGGGTTACAGGCATGCACCACCACGCCTGGCCAATTTTTGTATTTTTAGTAGAGATGGGGTTTCACCATGTTGGTCAGGCTGGTCTCGAACTTCTGATCTCAGGTGATTCGCTCACCTTGGCCTCCCAAAGTGCTGGGCTTATAGGCGTGAGCCACTGTGCCCAGCCCCCCTGTCTACTTTAAATCACTACTAGATTACTTCTTATGTCTACTAGCATGTAAATGCTATATAGTTAGACTGTATTATTTGTATTTTTTTTTTTACTGTTGCGTTATTATTTTTATTTATTTACTTATTTATTTATTTTTTGAGACGGAGTTTCACTCTTGTTGCCTAGGCTGGAGTGCAATGGCGCGATCTCGGCTAACCACAACCTCCGCCTCCCGGGTTCAAGTGGTTCTCCTGCCTCAGCCTCCTGAGTAGCTGGGATTACAGGCATGCACCACCACGCCCGGCTAATTTTGTATTTTTAGTAGAGACGGGGTTTCTCCATGTTGGTCAGGCTGGTCTCGAACTCCCGACCTCAGGTGATCCACCCGCCTCGGCCTCCCAAAGTTCTGGGATTATAGGCGTGAGCCACCGTGTCCGGCCTGCGTTATTACTTTTTAATATTTTTGGTTCAAGGTGGGTTGAATCTGTGGATACAGAGGGCTGACTATAGTTTTTACACCCCGATTTTCATGTAAAATATTAACCATATGGAATCTACAAATTTCTCATTTTAGAATTTATTTGGAGTCTGTTTGTTTTGAAGATTCTCCTGCATGTACTTGATAGTAAAGACTTACATATTCGTCAGTCTTTCCAGATGAAATACCCAAGTCGACTGTCCCTTTATATTTTATATCATTGTTTTAGCTGTTACCTTTGGCAATTAACTCTATTTGCAGTTATCTTTTCCAGGCTATAGATTTTAGAATGTTTTTTCTCAAAGTAGTGCATTTATTTTTTTAACTTTTTTAGTGGAAAATCTAAAACAAATACAAAGACAGAGAGGATAACATAACGAACCCCCATGTACCCATCACCAAGCCTCAACAGTTATAAGCATTTTGCCCATCCCAGACATGATGCCTTTTATTCACATGTCCTTTAGTGTTCATTTCCAACTGATAAGGCATATATATATATATAAAATCTTCATGCTATTATAACATCTCCAAAATTAATAATAATTCTTTAATATCTAGCACCTAGTCCTTATTCTAATTTCTCCAGTTGTATCAAATGTATCCTGGCTGAGTGTGGTGGCTTACACCTGTAATCCCAGCACTTTGGGAAGCCAAGGCTGGTGGATCACCTGAGGTCAGGAGTTGGAGACCAGCCTGGCCAACATGGTGAAACCCTGTCTCTACTAAAAATATGCAAAAAAAATTAGCCAGGCTTGGTGGTGCATGCCTGTAATCCCAGCTACTCGGGAGGCTGAGACAGGAGATTCTCTTGAACCCAGGAGGCGGAGGTTGCAGTGAGCCGAGATTGCGCCATTGCACCCCAGCCTGGGCGACAGGGCGAGACTCCATCTCAAAAAAAAAAAAAAAAAGAGAAAAAAAAAGTATCCTTTCTACATCTTTTCTACATCTGCTTTGTTTGCATCTGGATCAGAGTTCGCACAGTGCATTTTGTTGTTTTGCCTCTTTAGTCTTTTATTCTACAGCAGTTGTTCTTTTTCTATGCCTTTTTTTTTCCTTTTTTTTTTTTGAGACAGGGTCTCGTGCAGTGGCACAATCTTGGCTCACTGTAACCTCTGCCTCCTGGAGTCAAGCGATTGTCTGACTTCAGCCTCCCAGGTAGCTGGGACCACAGGTGCATACCATCACACCTAGCAAATTTTTTTGTACTTTTTATAGAGATGGATTTTCACCATGTTGCCCAATCTGGTCTCAAACTCCTGGGCTCAAGCATCTGCCCACCTTGGCCTCCCAAAGTGCTGAGACCATAGTGTGAGCCACCTCGCCTGGCCTCCCCCCCCCTTTTTTTTTTTTTTTTTAACTGCTTATTCCACATTCTGGATTTGGTTGATTACTTTATTATAGTGCCATCTAACTTGCTTGGCTATCTGTGGATTTCCTGTGAACTGGTTGTTTATTCTAGAGACTTGATTAGATTTTGGTTCATTTCAGGGGCAAGAATACTTCATAAGTATTCTTCCTATCCTAACACAGAAGTTCGGTTGTCACACTTAGACATTTTTAAAAAAATTTTTATTGTGGCAAAGTATATATAATATAAAATTTACAAGTTTATTCTTAAGTGTACAATTCAGTGGCATTAAGTACATTCACCGTGTTTTACAACCATCACCACTGTCCAGTTCCACAATTTTTTCATCATCCCCAACAGAAACTTTGTATCCATTAGCAATAACTGCCCATTCTCTTCTCCCCCACCCCTCATTAGCCTTTATTCTATCCTCTGTCTATGAATTTGCCTATTCAGTGGAATTGTATATTAGTCTTTGGAAGTTTAGCTGCCTGGCCTCTTTCACTTAGTACAATGTTTTCAAGGTTCATCTATGCTGTAGTATGTATCAGAACTTAATTCCTTTTATGGCTGAATGATATTCTATTTTATGGATATACCACATTTTGTTTATCCATTCATCTATCGATGGACTCTTGAGTTGCTTCTGCTTTTTGTCTATTATGAATAGTGTTGCTATGAAGATTCATGTCCAAGTATCTGTTTGAGTCCCTGCTTTGAGTTCTTTGGGTATATGCCTAGAAGTGGAATTGCTGGGTAACTATGTTTTCTTTTCTTTTTTTTTTTTTTTTGAGACGGAGTCTCCCTCTATTGGCCAGGCTGGAGTGCAGTGGTGCAGTCTCGGCTCACTGCAACCCCAGCCTCCTGGGTTCAAGTGATTCTCCTGCCTTAGCCTCCCGAGTAGCTGGGACTATAGGCGTGAGCCACCACGTCCGGCTAGTTTTTTTGTATTTTTAGTAGAGACAGGGTTTCACCATATTGACCAGGCCAGTCTCGAACTCCTGACCTTGTGGTCCACCCGCCTCGGCCTCCCAAGGTGCTGGGATTACAGGCATGAGCCACTGCACCCGGCCTCATTTTTTTTTATTGTGGTAAAATACACATAACTTAAAATTTAGCATCTTAACAATTTGTTTTGTTTTGTTTTGTGGTAGTGATGTTTTTGTGAGATGAGGTCTCTATATGTTACTCAGACTGGTCTCGAACTCATGGGCTCAAGTGGTTCTCCTACCTCAGCCTCCTGCATAACTGGGACTACAGGTGTGCAACACTGCACCCAGCTCTATCTTAAACATTTTTAAGTGTATAGTCAGTCATAATATTCTGCAACCATCACCACCATTCATTTCTGTAACTATTTTCATCTTGTAAAACCAAAACTTTGTGCCCATAAACTATAACTTCTGTTCTTCCCCCACCCTCTCCCCTTCCTCCCTGGCAGCCACCAGGTTGTCACATTTTTAATGATGCCAAATGGTTTCAGATGGTATCAGCCTAATTCCCCTGAATTAAAATTCTCCATCAACTTTTCACCTAATCGTTTTAGCATCCATTGAAAACTGTTGCCTAGACCCATTATTTTATTAGAAGTCACAAAATGGTGATTTCTCCCCCCTCCTAAATCTTGTTATTCCTCTGCATTTATTAGCTAAAATCCTTCTAAACAAAGAATTCCCTCATCAAATATTTGGTTTCCCTGAAATATAGTTTGTAGAAGAAAGGCTGGAAAAATGCTTTATTCTTTTCCTTCATGGATTTTCAGAAAAACCACTGGATGCCCCGCAACTTCCATGGTGACTCTTAGATGTTTGTATCTTCGTGTTTTGATCTGCAGATTATGTATTTTTTTGATACTCAGAGTGTCCATTTATCTTGGACTGGCACTTGACAAATTGGCAAACTCTTGCAGTTTCTTAACTGTAATAAAACTAGAACACATGGGTTTGAACCACAGCTCTGTGGTGAAACCTTGAGAGAGTTAGGTAATCTCGTCTGTCTCAATTTCCTCATCTTAAAATGGAGATAATACTTACTGCCTGCATCACTGGGCTTAAATTACTTATGTAAAATGCTTCATTTCGTGGCTGGATGACAGTAGGCACTCAAAAGCCCAAATTGTTTGAGGTTTCACTTCATCATTTCTCTGGCAGAATTCTTTTTTCTTACCCTACTGGGAGTTTCCACATTCAAATACCAAGATGAAATAAATACCTTTATTTCTTCAATCTTCTCTTCATAACAAGCCTAATTTTACTGAGTTTTGGTAGCTATTGTTTTTGATGGTAGGGAGCTGGCTGTACTCTAGGACCTTGGGGTGGGAAATTTGGACTTTTCATAAAATAGCAGTTGGGAGCTGCTGGAAGAATGGACGTGCCGTGAGTGGTCTTGGATGCAGCCCCTATTTTTTCTGCCAGTTTCTAAAGATCAGGCTGTCTTTTAGTTCAAATTTTTTTCATCAGTATGTTGAGTATGACAGAACTTAATGCTTTTAGCTCTCTATTAAGACATTTAACTGTGTAGGTTTCACTTGTATAGATTGGAATTTGAACAGTTTCTGATTTCTTTTTTATTTTTTTGAGACGGAGTCTCGCTTTGTCGCCAGGCTGGAGTGCAGTGGCGCAATCTCGGCTCGCTGCAACCTCCACCTCCCAGGTTCAAGCGATTCTCCTGCTTCAGCCGCCCAAGTAGCTGGGACTACAGGTGCGCGCCATGCCCAGCTAATTTTTGTATTTTTAGTAGAGATGGGGTTTTACCATGTTGGCCAGGATGGTCTTGGATCTCTTGACCTTGTGATCCGCCCGCCTTGGCCTCCCAAAGTGCTGGGATTATAGGCGTGTATCACCGCGTTTTTTGTTGTTGTTGTTGTTTTTTGAGGCGGAGTCTTGCTGTCACCCAGGCTGGAGTGAAGTGGTGTGATCTCGGCTCACTGCAACCTCCACCTCCTGGGTCAAGCAATTCTCCTGCCTCAGCCTCCCGAGTAGCTGGGATTACAGGTGCCCGTCACCATGCCTGGCTAATTTGTTTATATTTTCAGTAGAGATGGGGTTTCACCACGTTTGCCAGGCTAGTCTTAAACTCCTGACCTCAAGTGATTTGCCCGCCTCGGCCTCCCAAAGTGCTGGGATTACAGACGTGAGCCACTGTGCCCGGCCGTGATTTCTTAATTGATATTTTTATAGACGGCGTAAGATGGTCCATTAGTTATTAGGGATAAATATTTTTCTCCTTGATTGTAGGTTCAGTTATTTTAATTTGTTGAATTGCAGCGTATCTGTCTGGTTCAAAATTCGAAAGTAAGAAAAGGTGTATACTCATCCTTTGGTATCTGTGGGGGATTAGTTCCAGGACCTCCCATAGATACCAAAATCCTTGGATATTCAAGGCTTTGATATAAAATGGTGTAGTATTGGCATAAAACCTATGCATGGTGCCATCTTGGCTCACTGCAACCTCCGCCTCCTGGGTTCAAGCAATGCTCCTGCCTCAGCCTCCCTAATAGCTGGGATTACAGGCACCTGCCACCATGCCCAGCTAATTTGATATTTTTAGTAGACGCGGGGTTTCACCATGTTGTCAAGGCTGATCTCAAACTCCTGACCTCACGTGATCCACCCGCCTCGGCCTCCCAAAGTGCTGGGATTACAGGCGTGAGCCACCGCGCCCAGCTGTCTCATAGTTTTAGACACTGTCTGTTGCCTTCCTGGTAAACCTGGCAAGGACTTAGCTCTTTTACACCCTAGCCCTGTCCATTCTTGAGGTTTGGGTTTGCCACAATTTGTAGAAAATGAACAGTGTTTACAGAATTGTGACTATATAAATATTATTCACCACAGAGCTTAATAATGTGCTGTGAGGTCAGGCATGGTGGCTCATGCCTGTAATCCCAGCACTTCGGGAGGCCAAGGTGGGCGGATCACCTGAGGTCGGGAGTTCAAGACCAACCTGGCCAACATGGAGAAACCCCATCTCTACTAAAAATACAAAAATTAGCCGGGTGTGGTGGTGCCCCCCTGTAGTCTCAGCTACTTGGGAGGCTGAGGCAGAGAATCACTTGAACCTGGGAGGTGGAGGTTGCAGTGAGCCGAGATCATGCCACTGCACTCCAGCCTGGGCAACAGAGTGAGACTCTATCTCAAAATATAATAAAATAAAAATAAAATACACTCTGATGATGGCTGCTTCCCCCAAGGGTGCCTCAAGCTCTCTCCTTTTCTTTCAGTGCCATCTGCCATTATCGTGCCCTCGTTCTCTTCCAGTGCTCTGGCGGAGCAGGTGGCGCCCAGGCCCACAGTGCCCTCTCCAAGTTCTGTCCTCCATGTGCTCAAGTTATCCCCTAAACTTGTCACATGGGTCATCCTGGAACTTTGCTTAACTGCTTCCTGGGTTGGGGCCTTTATTTCCTGGCTCCCTTCTCTTCTTGCTTAATTTCCCCTCCCTTTGCTGCAGCACATACCCAGTTAATCCCTTTCTAACATTAAAAAAAGAAAAAGAGAATAGTTCTTGGACCTCCTCATGATAGAAATTATATCTTTAGGCCGGGTGTGGTGGCTCACTTGTGTAATCCCAGCAGTTTGGGAGGCCGAGGCAGGTGGATCACTTGAGCTCAGGAGTTCAAAACCAGCCTGAGCAACATGGTAAAACCCTATCTCTACAAAAAGTACAAAAATTAGCCAGGTGTGATTGCATGTACCTGCAATCCCAGCTACTCAGGAAGCTGAGGGAGGAGAATCTCTTGAACCCAGGAGGTGGAGGTTGCAATGAGCTCTGATCATGCCACTGCACTCCAGCCTGGGTGACAGAGTGAGACCCTGTCTCAAAAAAAACAAAATAAAGTTGTATCTTTAATATCCATTAACTGAAAAATAAAAATAAAAATAAGGACCAAAAATTACTATGTGGACACACATGCTTTTAAATGAATTTGTGTGTTATTAACCACAGTAACATCTATGAACTTGTGAAAAACTGTTACTGGTTTAGGCTTAAGGGTTTGCCCAGTCTAGCTTCAATGTTCAATGGGTGGGCATGGTGGCTCACACTTTGGGAGGTGGCCAAGGCAGGCAGATCGCTTAGTCCAGGAGTTGGAGACCAGCCTGAGCCACATAGTGAAACCCTATCTCTACAAAAAATTTAAAAATTAGCTGTGTGCGGTCACGCGCACCTGTAGTCCCAGATATTGGAGGGCAGTGGGGGGTGGCGCTGAGGTGGGAGGATCACTCGAGGCCAGAAGGTCAAGGCTGCAGTGAGCCGAGGCTGAGTCACTGCCTGGGAGTCACAGCAAAACTCTGTCAAAAAAACAAACCAAAACAAAACAAAACAGACAAACAAGAACCAAAGTTGGATGCAGTGGCTCATATCTGTAATCCCAACAACTCGGAAGGCTCAGGCAGGAGGATTGCTTGAGGCCAGGAGTTCAAGGCCAGCCTGGGCAACATACTGAGACCCTCGCCTCTGAAAAAATTAAATATTAATAAAAACAAACCCTAGTAGCTTCAGTCTTTGATTCTCCATCCCTCATTTCATCCCTTTGTCTTCTGGTAATAGAATTTCCTTCTTGTTTTTCTTTTGGGATGAGCCACCTTCGCTCCCTGGGATTCTGCTGGGATTGAGTTACCGCCTTCCGGGCTCAAGCGATCCTCCCACCTCAGCCTCCCAAGTCGCTAAGACCATAGGTGCATGCCACCATGCCTGGCTAATGTTTTGTATTTTCTGTAGAGCCGGCGTTTTGCCCTGTTGCCCAGGAGTTTTTCCTTTAATGTTCTCCTGCTACTTACTAATTCACTTTGTCACCCTGTGAGCTCATAAGAGCAGAGAGATAGCAACAGGAGCTAAAAAAACTCTAAGCTGTGAAAAAATATTAAATATGAAATCATGATAGCTATTAGCTTAATTTGTTTTAGGCAAATTGCAAAGTAATTTTTTGGGAATCAGTGTCCCACTGCAGTGATTCCATATGGGGATTCCTAATTCCCAGTATGTTTTTAAAATAATTTGTAAACACCTAGTACAAATGCATGATATGAAATTCAAGAGGTACAAAAGGGCATACAGCCCTGCACTCTCCCAGTTTCCCTCCCGGAAGGCAACCGCCATTACCAGTTTCTCGTGTGTGCTTCCAGAGGTATTCTTGTCCAACAGAACTTCAGTGATGAAAACAGTTGCCTGTGCTGCCAGTTTGGAAGCCATTAGCCACACGGGGCAGTTGAGCACTTGATATGTGGCTAGTGTGTCTTAGCAGCTGACTTTAAAAATTTTTTTTTTTTTGTTAAAGACTCAGCGTCTTGCTCTGTTTACCAGACTGGACTGCAGTGATGTGTGAACATGGCCTCAAACTCCTATTTATTTATTTTTTGAGACAGGGCCTCACTCTGTTGTCCAGGCTGGAGTGCAGTGGTGCAGTCATAGGTCACTGCAACCTTGACCTCCTGGGCTCAAGAAATCCTCCCACCTCAGCCTCCTAAGTTGCTGGGACTACAGATGAATGCCACCATGTTTGGCTGATTTTTACAATTTTAAATTTTTTGCCTGGGCGCAGTGGCTCATGCCTGTAATCTCAGCACTTTGGGAGGCTGAGGCGGGCAGATCACCTGAGGTCAGGAGTTCAAGACCAGCCTGGCCAACATGGCAAAACCTTGTCTCTACCAAAAATACAAAAATTTGCTGGGTATGGTGGTGCGTGCCTGTAGTCCCAGCTACTTGGAGGCTGAGGCACGATAATCGCTTGAACCCAGGAGGCAGATGTTGTAATAAGCTGAGACTGCGCCACTGCACTCCAGCCTGGGTGACAGAGTGAGACCCGTCTCAAAAAAAATAAAAATAAATAAATAAATAAATTTTTTGTAGAAAAGGGGCTTCACTATGTTGCCCAGGGTGTTCTTGAACTATTGGCCTCAAGCTATCCTCCCACTTGGCCTCCCAAAGTGCTAGGATTACAGGCATGAGCCACTGTGGCCAACCTAAATTTATATGTAAATAGCCATATGTGGCTAGTGGCTACTGTATCAGACCTCACAGTTCTGTACAGATAACGCACAGCGCACAGTAGCATACTATACACGCCCTACTAAATCTTGCTTTGTTCCCTTAACAGCACCTATGCATCTTGGAGATAGATTGTCCCAGTCTGCCTCATTTTTAAAAACTGCTGCATAATATCCTCTTGTAATCCACAAAGGGAATCCCAGACCCAGCCTGGGGGGCCATGGGTCATCACTTTTTACAACAAGCTCTAAAATCTTCCACATGTACCATAATCAAGGCACTTCAGAACAACCCTAGGTTCCTCATGCCTCTACTTTTATTAGCCTGGGCCTGACATAGTTGGACATTGAATAGTCACTTCTGGGGGCTGGTGGAAATAATTTACCATGAGTGACTGCCCTAAAGTATACTCTCCACCCACGTGGCCCGTGCCTGGCATTCACTAGTGCTGGTGGCATTCTTTAAGGTTGCTCATATCTCTAAGTGGTTCTCCTTTAAAGAGCAAAGTCTCCTGGGAAAGGTGGTCATTAAGCAGAACATCTGGGGCTCATCTTGCTTTTGCCCTGTTGAGAGGGGCCAAGGGACTTGGTAGAGCAGCAGGGGCTCTGACGGTGAACCTCATTGTTTTTAAAATTATTCATAAGAGGCCAGGTGCATTGGCTCACACCTGTAGTCCCAGGACTTTGAGGAGCAGAGGCAGGAGGATCATTTGAGTCCAGGAGTTCAAGATTAGACTGAGCAACACGGGGAGACCTCATCTCTACAAAAAATTTAAAAGAAAATTAATTGGGCATCATGGCACGAGCCTGTGGTTCCCGCTACTCGGGAGGCTGAGGTGGGAGGATCACCTGAGCCCAGGAGGTTGAGACTTGCAGTGAGCTGAGTTCACACCACTGCACTCGAGCCTTGATGACAGAATGAGACTGTCTCAAAAAAAAAAAAAAAAAAAAAAAAATTGTCCTTAAGTCCATGTGGACCCCTGACTAGGTTTGTGCCCTAGACAGCCTTCCTCTGAGGGCAGTTCAGGTGGTGAGACTCCAGCTTTAAATGGCCTCTAGAGAAATTTCACTAACCTGCCTTGGTGTTTGACCCTGTATAACCCCTTTCTTCTGGAGGTCCCTTTGGGTGGCAGTAGATACGGGATTTGGTGTCTGACAGCTCTGGGGACAGATCCCAGCTCCAAATGGCAGAGTCTCTACAGATTACAAGCCAAATACTTAGCACTATGTGCTGATCTTCAGGAAGTCAGTCTATATTTCATAACAAGTCACATGGGGATAATGAAGGAATGGCCTAAAATGCTCTCAGTAATATTCCTGAGTCATCCCTCAGGGCTAGGCTTGGTGTTAGGCATGGCGGGGAAGGGAGCAGAGCTGTGTGCAGAGGAAGATGCAGTTCTTGCCTTGTCAGGGTCCCTGACCTGATGGCGACCCATGGTGGAGTCTTCATAGTGACAGACACCACTGTAAAAGCAGATCCAGGTTGTGCAACCCTCAAAGCAGGTCTCCTCACTCACCGGGATAGATAGACTATTGGCCGTACCTGCATCCACCGCTTGCCATGGTTTCGTTGTGGGTGGAGGATACTTTCCTGTCCCCTGGCTTTGGGTTTGCCCACGTGGCTTGCTCTGGCCTTGGAATGAAGCAGAAACGAAAGGCTGCCAGTTCCGAGCCCACGTCTGAAGTCGCCTTAGGTGGTTCCGCGGGCCCCGTGCGCTCCCACCTTCACCCAGAGGGCCTTCTCTGGTGCAGCCGCTGCTTCTTCAGCCTCCGCCCAAAAGGAACGGAGCCCCCTGGCCGATCCGCAGGCCTACAGGGAGCCACAGAGCGCAGCGGCTGGACCAGCGTTCAAGCCCAAGCACAGGCCTGCGAGAACCTTGTTCCAGCCGCCGTTTAGGATGGTTGATTAGGACGCGTTGCAGTGGCGGTAGCTCACCAATCCAGTGCGTGCACCCGCTCCTTTATTAGGCTATAGAGCCAGTGGCTCCCACAGGGACCTGATACAACAGTGCGTTAAATAAGGAGCATATTGAGCTCTCATGTCGTAAGCCAGTGGAGAAGTCCAGGGCTAGTGTGGGGGCTCCGGCGGGGGCTGTGGCCCCCATCCGCATGGAGCCTCCCCATGGTTCACAGGTCTCAGTCTTCGGAGCCTTCGGCCCTGCGAGCCCGAACAGTCCACAGGGCGGCGCCAGACCCTCTTTCGAACGCCATCCTCTAAAGCCTCGGCTCCAACCGGTTCCACTTCTTCAGGCTCAGGATTTTCACTCTTCTCGAATGGGGGTGGCCCTCCCCCAATCTTCTGAGTCGCAACAGCATCTCCCTCCCTCCAGGACCTCAGAGCCAGAGCTGGGCGAGAGGCCCTGACCTCCGGGGTAGGGTGGAAGCGTCCCTGTGAAGGTGCAGTCCTGCCTCCCATCCCCAGGCGCCGGGCCTCTCCCACCCTCAGCGCCCTGCTCACCTCCAGCTGAAGATGCCAGGGCACCTCTGCTTCCTCCCTGCCCTCTCTGCAGTACCGCCGAGTGTGCATAAAAGGGTTTAATATAGGCTTTGCCGGGCGCGGGGACTCCCACCTGTAATCCCAGTACGTTGAGAGACCAAGGCGGGAGGATCACTTGAGGCCAGGAGTTCAAAACCAGCCTGGGCAACAAAGTGAGGCCCGTCTCTGAAAAAAAAAAAAAAAAAAAAAGAATAAAAGAGGTCCCTTTTTCTGGGAGATTGATATAGGGGAGTGTGAGTTAGAAGGGAGGCATCGAGGATCAGTCATTTAAAGCAGCATCCAAGGGTGTTCAAGGCTAGAGATCCACAGGTGTATTTTCAGAAACTGAATTTCCTGGCGGGGCACAGTGACTCATGCCTGTAATCCCAGCACTTTGGGAGGCCAAGGTGAGCGGATCACTTGAGGTCAGGAGTTCAAGACTAGCCTGGCCAACATGGTGAAACTGTTTTTAGAAAAAAAAAAAAAAAAAAAATTGGCCGGGCATGGTGGTGGGTGCCTGTAATCCCAGCTATTCGGGAGGCTGAGGCAGGAGAATCACTTGAACCTGGAAGGCAGAGGTTGCAGTCAACCGAGATCACGCTGCTGCACTCCAGCCTGGGTGACAGAGACTGTCTCCAAAAACAAACAAACAAACAAAACACAAAAAAAACCCCAAAACCCAAAACAAGCCAGGCGCGGTAGCTCGCACCTGTAATCTCAGCCCTTTGGGAGGCCAGGGCGGGTGGATTACCTGAGGTCAGGAGTTCGAGACCAGCCTGACCAACATGGTGAAACCCCATCTCTACTAAAAATACAAAAATTAGCCGGGCATGGTGGTGCATGCCTGTAACCCCAGCTACTAGGGAGGCTGAGGCAGGAGACTTGCTTGAACCCAGGAGGCGGAGGATGCAGTGAGCTGAGATCGTGCCATTGCATTCCAGACTGAGCAACAAGAGCAAAACTCCACCTTAAAAGAAAAAAAAACAAACAAAACTCCTGAATTTCCCTGTGGATATCTTTTCTCTGGCAGCCTTTTTCAATGAGGGCTAAGTTTTCTCCAATACTATATGGCCTGCAGACCGCTCAGCTTTCATTCCAGTGAAAACATTCCAGAAAAAACTCTGAATCAATCCCAGGTGTTTCTCCAATCAGCTCAGGATGATTGTGTGTTACCTGCTGCCCAGCCAGTGACACCTCTCCAGGCCTCTGACTTAGCTAGGTCTCCACCATGTGACTCCACCATAGACTCCCCACCTTCTTCTTTTGCAAAGCCTCAGACACCCAAACACCTACCAAAAGTGGGTAGGGCACCAGGACACTCCAAGTGTAAGTGGGGCTCTCCAGCACACCTGGATGTGGAGGTGTGATGCAGAGTGGTGGCTGCTCGTGACACTCATTTCACCCCTTTCTGTGCAGGTGCCAGAAGCCCAGGAAGCACACATCAAGGCTCACTTGCCAGCGGGGTGCTGCCAATAAAATGTAGTCACGTGGAATTTGGAATGTGGAAAGGAGGTAGAAGTCATCCTTTCCTCCCCCATAGCAGCAGGTGTGCAGGCTCTGGTGGTCAGCTGGACTCCATACTCCCCCACCAGTCACCAGCCTGGGGACCGTGGGGCTGCAAGGACCTCAGCAGCGGTTTCCCAAGTTTCCTGACTTCTTCCATCCTCTGGAAATCAGCTGTGGTAAAGTAGCCTGAAAGCCAGTGGTGCAACCCCATCCCCACAACCTTCACCACCTCTAGCCCCTCCAGTGATAAGCACTAATTGCCTATATACAACCCTTTTTTGTTTGAAATATCTAGAGTAATTTCTGTTTTCCTATCTGGGGTAGTGTAACATAAGAAGAAATATATATTTGGTCTCTGCCCCCAGTTCCTAACACAAAGCTCCTAAAACCCTTGGAAATTCCTGAATGATGGCGGTGCTAAGAGCATTGTCCTTTGTTAATTTATCATTTTTCTTTTCTCCTAGGTGTTTTTTCCTTTTTAAACTTTTCTTTTAGGTTAGGGGGTACATATGCACGTTCGTTATATAGCTAAACTTGTGTCATGGGGGTTTGTTGTACAGATTATTTCATCACCCAGGTACCAAGCCTAGTACCCAATAGTTTTTTCTGCTCCTCTCCCTCCTCCCACCCTCCACCCTCAGGTAGGGCCCAGTGTCTGTTGTTTATGAGTTCTCATCATTTTGCTCCCACTTAAAAGAACATACAGTATTTGGTTTTCTGTTCCTGTCTTAGTTTGCTGAGGATAATGGCCTCTAGCTCCATCTGTGTTCCTGCAAAAGACATGATCTCGCTGTTTTTTATGGTTGCACATCTTTTGTTCTAACATTTGGTCCTTAAACCTGGTTCCTGACACAGAGCTCCTAAATCCCTTGGAATTTTCTGGGTGATAGAAGCGTCCTTTGTTCTCATGAGGTGACTCTTGGTGGGCTCCTTATTTGGGGACTGGTCACCAAAAAGACCTATGGTTGGAAGCGTTGTGCTGTCAGCCCCATTCCCCATCCTCTGGCGTGGGGAGTAGAGCTGGAGCTCAATCATGCCTATGTGATAAAGCCTCCAGAAAACTCCTTAAAAGACAGGACTTGGAGAGCTTCCGGGTTGGCGAACACATCCATGTTCCAGGAGAGTGGTGCACCCCAACTCCACAAGGACCCTTCCAAACCTCACCCTGTGTATCTCTTCAACTGGCTTCATCATTTGTGTCCTTTAAAATATCCTTTGTAATAAATCAGCACTAGTAAGAAAACTGTTTTCCTGGGTTCCATGAGCTGTTCTAGCAAATGTTCAAACCTGAGGAGGGAGTTGTGGGGACCTCCAATTTACAGCCAGTTGGTCAGATGCATAGGTGATGCTTGGCCTTGCACCTGGGGTCTGACATGGGGATGGTCCTGTGTGACTGAGCCCTTAACCTGTGGAGTCTGGTGCTCACTCTGCTTAGGGCTTCTCTTGCCTTTTTAGTGTCCTTCTAGGCGGCCTTTCCTTCCTCTTGTCAGCTCAGAAAACTTTTCTTCCACTTCCCTTCTTCTAAACCATCCCTTACATCTACTCCTTTCCAGCCGACCAAGAGCAGAACCACGGCTGGTTCCACTGCCACCATGCTGTCCCACACTGTCTCCTCAGGATGTATTCAGATGTCCAGCCCTCCCCCCAGTCTAGGAGCCCCCCCTTTGAGGAAAGGGATGCTGGCCTAGTCAACTCTTTCCCAGCACCAGGTACAGCATCTGGCACGTTCCATCTTTTTCATGGACTCTCCCCAGGCGGCCTGACCTTCCCTCCTCTGAACCGGTGCATTTCTTGTCTGCATCATGTTTGCCCTAATCAGATATCACCTTATTTCCTCTTTTAAAAAATGCTTTTTTTCTCTGGCAGGCTTCATCGGAATCACAATTTTCATTCATTTAGTAACTGTTGTTGTTTATTCTATGTATTTTTGCAGGAGGCCTGAGGTGGGCTGTGTTCTCCTCCTATGGCAGGGCTTCACTCTCCTCCTCCTCCGTTGGGGCTTCGCTGTCCCTGGGATAAGAATAACAATGCCAAGGTTTTCATTCTTGAAAGGAGCAATTAAGCTTCTCACCCCCTCCTCATTTTAGATGGGAACTGTGAGGGCCCCATCATTTACCCAGGGTCCCTGTTGAGGATCTTGTCCTCATTAGATGACTTCTTGTGCAGCTTCCATGCATGATTATTTATTCTTGTGGCACTGAGAGGTTTGTACATATCTTTAAACCAGAGCGGCTGTCCAAATGAGGAAAGTCCATCCTAGAAGATAGAAAGGGAAATATTAATTTTGCATGTCCTCTGCTTTCCCTGGCCACAGCAATGAATCCTCCAATGTACCTGACTCTCCCTTCGCGAAGAGCATCCCCTCCGTGGCAGAAATCTGAAAATGCCCCTGGGGAGACACATGCACAAGACAGTGAGTGATGCAGCCGTTTCCCACGTATCTCACAATGTACTTCTCTGGTCTTATTAGGACTAAATGAGTATCTCAGTCCATAATCACAGGGAGAACCACCACCACAGACCACATACCCGGGGTCTTGAAAATAATTCCATGCATGTGGGACTTTCAGAAGCTCTCCATGTCTGCCCAGAAGGGCCCCACAATATACTGGGGGGACTTTGTATGTGGCTCAGCATGGAGCAGGGGCAGGATTTTCAGTCCCACTCACTCCCTTGGCCAAGTGCCCTTGTGCAGTGAACAAACTGCACAACCATGCTGGGCAGAAGCATTTTATATCAGTCCCCTTCGGACTTAGTCTCACAGGCATCATTTGATGGGGGATGGGAGATGAAGTGGTTCTTCGTTTTCTAGATACTTTATTCTATAAGTTGGATCACCTCAAGCAAATGCGTGAGTGCAGCTAGCCAAGTTCTCTATCTCACAGTCTTCATATGGCTGGCTGTCGCTGATGAGTGAGTGAGCTACGAAATCAGCTTAAAGCACAACATGTTATTTTTGAATTTGAATAAAATAGGAAAAGGCAGAGTGCATTGTGTGACCATGGGGTAAGTAAGACACTCTCCCTTTCTCCTTCTCAGTTTTCCTGTCATAAAAGGACAAACTACTATCTAAGGTCTCCGTAGTTAAAATTCTTTTTTGTTGTTTTTTTTTTTATTTGAGACAGTTTGGCTCATTCCCCAGGCTGGAGTGCAATGGTGCTATCTTGGCTCCCTGCAACCTGCGCCTCCTGGGCTCAAGCAGTTCTCCTGCCTCAGCCTCCCAAGTAGCTGGGATTACACGCCTGCGCCACCACACCCAGCTAATTTAGTATTTTTAGTAGAGATGGGGTTTCACCATGTTGGTCAGGCTGGTCACGAGCTCCTAACCTCAAGTGATCCCAAAGTGCTGTGATTACAGGCGTGAGCCATCCTGCCTGGCCTTTCTGGTTAAAATTCTGTGAGGTTTGCATAAAAGGAATAGAGTAGGGGCCCAAAAACCAGTAAGATGAGAAAATAGTGTTTCCTCAGTTCTAGGATCCAGGGGAAAAAAAAAAGAAATAAAAGAGAAAATACTGTTTCCTGCCACTTAAGAGGAAGGACTCACATATCCTACCTTCCATCAGCCTTGAAGGAGACAAGTGCCCTCTCTCTCACACCCGGTGGCCTTCCCTTCCCCTTTCCCAGAGCCTCCAAGAAGGCCCCTGGCCTGGCCTGATGCCCACCATCAGCAGCAATAGGCACCAAAACCTTTCTCCTTCCTATCCCTCCCCACCTCCCGAAAGGGCTGGGGACAGCAGGTGTGTCCTTGTTAGTTCCATCCAGCTCAGCTTTGGCTGGGGAGCTAATTTCACTGGAGCCAGGCTAAGCATTAGGGTAAGTATTTGTCCTGTCTTGGGCAGTTTCCTCACTGAAAAATGAGGGCAGAGTTCTAAGCCCTCCTCTAATTCTAAAATTCTAATTAAAACGTCGCGAGACTAGTGGTGCATGCCTGTAATCCCAGCTACTCGGGAGGCTGAGGCAGGAGAATCGCTTGAACCTGGGAAGTGGAGGTTGCCGTGAGCCGAGATCGTGTCATTGCACTCCAGCCTGGCAACAAGAGGGAAACTCCGTCTCAAAAGAGAAGAAAAAAAAAATCACCAGACTAATATTTACCTTGAGAATCCTTCTTCATCTTCTTGTAATGACCTTCGGTGACAACATATCTGTTTTAGAAGAAAACGCAATTAAGATTATCTATGACAACAACCACCGTCTCCAAATCTGTATTGATTCCTTTTATTCATTATAAGTCTCATCTACCTGATGAGGTAACTTTTTTGAAGACAGGAATTGCATACTGTGTAACACTGCTTTGATTCTTCCATAGTTCAGTCATCCTTGCTATCTTGCGGGGGATTGGTTCTAGGATACCGCCCCCACACCATACCAGAATCTGTGGATGCTCAATCCCTTACATATAATGGTGTAATATTTGCTTATAACCAACACGCATCCCCCCTATACTTTATTTACTTAGCGACAGGATTGCCCTCTGTTGCTTACGCTGGAGTGCAGTGTCATCCTCTGTTACTCAGGATGGAGTGCGGTGTCACGATCACAGCTCACTGTAGCCTCAACCTCCTGGGCTCCAGTGATCCGCCCACCTCAGCCTCTTGAGTAGCTGAGACTACAGGTGCATACTACCACACCTGGCTATTTTTTTTTTTAATTTTTAATAAAGACAAGGTCTCACTATGCTGCCCAGGTTGGCCTCCCAATGTGTTGGGATTACAAGTGTGAGCCACCATGCCTGGCCCCATGTAATTTAAGTCATCACTAATAAAATGTATACATATTGTACATTGTTGACAGTTGTTATATTATACTTTCTGTTTGTATTTTTATTGGTTTTTTTTTCTTCAAATATTCAGCCTGATCTAGTTGAATCTGAAGATGTGGACCTGCTGATGAAGAGGGCTGACTGTATCTAACTTAGGGTCTTGCATGCAGCTGGCACTTAATACATTTTATTGACTGTTTTAGATAACATTCAACAGATAATTCCTAATAAAAACTCTTAAAAGTAGGAGAAAAAGGAAACCTGAGTCCTTCCTCTGAAGTGGCAGGAAAACCAGCCTGGGCAACATAGCAAGACCTTGTCTCTACGAACACATTTTTTAAATTAGCTGCCTGCCTGTAGTCCCAGCCACTCAGGAAGCTGAGGCAGGAGGATCCCTTAAGCCCAGGAGTTTGATGTTACAGTGAGCTAGGTCACACCATTGCTCTCCAGCCTGGGTGACAACAAGGCCCTGAGAAGGGAAAAAAAAGGAAAGGAAAGGAAAGGAAAAAGGAAAAGGGAAAGGAAGGAAAGAGTAGAAGTATTGGAAAGGAAGAGACAAAACTATCATTATTTGCATATTAAATGATAAATGTTAGCCAAAGAAGCCTAAGAGAATCAACTAAGATTTTACTGGAAGTAATGAGAATTCAATACAGTGGCTATCTACAAAATCAAGAAATCAGCACACAAACCTCAAATACTTTTCCCATGTACCACCAATAACTAATTAGAAAATGGAAGATCCCATTTACAATGGCAATACAAATGTATGAAGAATTTAGGAACAAAAATACAAAGATCTTTTATCTAACAAAAGATGTATAAGATCTATATATGGAAACACTAAAGCTCTTCTGAAAGACATTAACAAGAAATGAATACATGACATGAGATAGCACGTTCCTAGAATGTCATACAGATGTAAATTCTCAAATTAATCTACAAATTTAACGTAATCCTATTCAAATCCCAAGATAGTTTTTGGTGGTGGCTGTTTTTAAGACAGGGCCTAGCTGTGTTGCCCAGGCTAGAGTGCAGTGGTACGACCACAGCTCACTGCATCCTCGACCTCCCAGGCTCAAGCGATCCTCCCACTTCAGCCTCTGAAGTCTCTCATATGGTGTCCAAGAAATGGTGACAAATCTCACAAAGGGACTAGGCTCAGCAGGGCTGGAATATTCAGGGAAGGTGTCAAGAAGAAAGATGAACTTGAGTTGGCTTTTGAGAGATGCATAGGACTCCCACAGGCAGAGTGAAATAAGGGCATTTTAGATGGACAGACACACAGACAAAAGCAGAAATGTGGGTGGTGTGACTGGGGTTTGGTGAGGGGCTGCTGTGGCTGGAATGGAGGGCTGCCACAATAATGGAAATGGTAAATGAGGCAAGTAAGGTTGGACTGGTGGCATAGCGTCAAGGTTGCCAGCTTTATTAAATCACTCTTCCAATATGCTAGCACTGGCCTGTTGGGAAAAGTAATACATCATGTAATCGAACAAAAGACAGAGGCAAGCTCCAGGAATGGGCACTGTAAACAGGACTTGTCCCAGAGTAGCCAGATGTAGGCTTTAGGTAAGTTGATGCAAGCTGAGCATCTCTAATCTGAGGGGGAATGTCTCACATGGTGTCCAAGAAATGGTGACACATCTCACAGAGGGTCTAGGCTCAGGAGGGCTAGAGTATGAGACGTTCCCCCTCACCAGTGAACTTAAAAATGTGGCCAAAAATTTTTGTAAAAGATGGCTACTCTGTAGTGCTTTAACTGGACCTATTTAGACAATGCCTTACACACTGGAGGACGATACTGTGTAAATCTAATAAGTCTACAAGACAATACGTATGTCTTTTGGCTCTCTCCTTCCTCTCCAGGGTGATGACAACTCCGTGAGGGTGGAGATTATACCTCTCTCATCATTTCAGCACCAAGGAAATAAATTAGTGGCAGAGTAAGGGTGACTTGATGAGTACATCCAATTGTTGACATAGTTTTGGGTGGGAGAAATTTTGCTATTATATCGACTTCTTAAAATAGTCTAGTGGGATTCACATGGTTTCAATTCACAGAGATCTGAAAGCGAGGATCCTTTAAAAATCCTGAAATATACACTGCAGTAAAAGAACAAAGCATACACCTCAGCCTTAAATGACTGAAGAAGTATGTCAAGTAGCAGCAGGTGGGAAAGTGGCTTTGGTTTTCAGTTTGTGAGCTCTGAATCCACACAAAGACAGGACTGCATTCTGAAAACCTGAATTAATTATTGTCCTTACCACAATGAGGCAGAAAAGTATAATCAAAATCGTTAGTATTCCAGTAACAATTAATGCCAAGATGAGTTTGTCAGTATAGCCATATCCTGGAACTTCTTTTTTGAGCTAAAAAAAAAAACACACAAAAAAAAACCAGAATGAGAGCTAACTATTCAAAACCCCAGTATTCCAGGTGAGTAGCTGACAGGTTCTTTTTTATTTTTTTGAAAGAGGGTCTCACTCTGTCACCCAGGCTGGGGTACCGTGGTGCAATCACCGTTCACTAGACTCGACCTCCCTGGGCTCAGGTGATCCTCCCACCTCAGCCTTCCAAGTAGCTGGGACTACAGGCACGTGTCATCAACCCAGCTAATTTTCTTATTTTTTGTGGAGACAGGCTTTCACTATGTTGGCCAAGCTGGTCTCAAACTCCTGACTTCAAGTAATCCACCCACCTTCGCCTCCCAAAGTGCTGAGATTACAGGCGTGAGCTACCACCCCCGGCCTACAGTTCATCTTGTGCCCTAATCTATTTCTCTCTCTACATGAGCAAAGTGGGAGATCACTGTCATGACCAAAGTTACATGGCCAAGATAAGCTATGGCCTGGGAGTCCCAGACTCTTCTGTGTGGGCACTTTCCTGGGATATGCTAAATGATGGGAAATCTGGGTCTCATGTTTCTGTGTGGTCCTCACCTCAAGCGACTTCTCTTTCTGTTCACTCTGGGCTTCTGTGCTCTCATTAATGTAGTTCTCAATCTTCCATTGGTCCGTATCCCATTCTATCTCGGATGCCTTTACTTCCTGCTGCCCACTGAGAAGCTTCATCAGGTGGCCTGTCCTGGAGATGAGCTTGGCACAGGTCACTTGCACATGGGCCCCAGAGCAGTCCATCTTCAAGGTCCGGATAACATGAGCAATGAGCCTTCTCACATTGTTGTTGGGGATAAGGGACTGTAGCTGCTGGGTTAGCTGAATTTCAAACTGATCACCTGGGGACGAGAGCAATGGGTAATTGAAGCTTTTGGGCTCGGGGGACAGGTCAGTGCCCACGTTGTTGTATTCCCATTTTGTCTCAGTTTGTTTAACAGTTGGCCCTAAGTTGAATGCAGTCCCAGCGGAATCTGCCTCAGGAGGATGATTGTAGTTTGTGTTTTCAGAGATGGTTCCTTCTGGCATGTTAGTGTTTTCCATAAAATCATTTTCTTCAAAGGCATTTCTTGCAGTTGTGTGTTTTGTATTATTCTTTTCTATAAAATGTTCTGAAGGAGCAGATACTTCCAGAAAAGGGTTTTCTTGAGGACTCAGGTCTCCTAAGGATGAAAAAGCCCCTTGTGAAGGGGAATTTATGAGGCTCTTCGCTGCAGAGAATGGAAGCCTGTTTGCGAGCATCAGTCTACTCAGATAACTTTTCTTTCTGACCTTTGGACTCTTTTTGACTTTGGGTGTTCTGTGGGTCACGTGGGAGCGAGTTTTGTGAAAGCGGTATTTTTTTCTGGCATGTACGATTGGTTTAGACGTCTTCGTATTTGTAACTCTAGCCTTTGCACTTTCTAAAATGGAAATAGCGTGGGTTAAGTCTTTCCATCTGTCTCTCACCTGTGGTAGGGCTTTTGCAGGGCTGGAGGTAGAAGGCGCGCCCTTGGAGAAGGGTTTCAGCACAGAGACTGCTGCCTTATGCTCTTGGGTGAAGGAAGGCTTGGTGTAGACGGCGTTTCCCGCTAACTTCTCAGGCCCCTGCTGTGTGTGGGGCTGTTCCACCTCCCTTGGGGCTGGACTCCCGAGCCTTTTTTCTTCGGCAGCGTTCTCCACAGATGCCTGGGCACCCTGTTCCCTCCTGATGCTCTGCCTTCCTACCTCTTTGAAGTGCCTTTTCTGGATGCTCCTTGGGCCCATGAGGACTCTCTTCACTCTCTGCCGGTTTTGGCCTACAGTTTGAATCTTTGCCAGGCTGTTTCCTGTGGTTGGCAGTTTAATTAACGGTAGTAACAGTGATTTCACATCTAGGTTTACCGCTGAGAAATAAGGCAAGATGTAACTTAGTGTACTGATAAAATCACTCTCGTCATTGGTGTCTAGCTGCTCACTCCCAAAGCCTGACAAGTTGATGCCACTGCTGTCTGAGGGCTCCTCTGGCTCAACAATCAGCTCAGTGCTTGTGTAGTTCTTCCGGGCTTGTAACACCTTCATGAACGCTCCTTCTGGATTCCCTACCGATGCTTCTTCAGCTGTCAAAAAAGAAGAGACTGCTTTGATCATGAAAGATGATGGGATGGGATGCATCAGTCCATAGCTGTACACCCCAGTCACACAGAGTAGGAGTCAGCAAACATTCGAGTGCCATTCAGAGAGGAGAAACACACACCCAATCCTAAACCTATGAAATGGCAACAACAAAAGGAGAAAATACATCTTTTGAAAACACGGCCACCTACTTGGAACATTCCATAGTGTGACATAGAGTAACTCTGTTTAGGATTATTTCGTTGATCCCCAGAGGCCAATTGCCCAGTGCTCAGTCAAAGCCCAAGGTGGAAGACAAGTGCTTCCCTGATGAGCTGGCCTCTCTGCAGACTGCTCCGTACCCTGTGCTGTCCTGCCTCAGATGCAGAGAGAGCACAAGGCTCCTGCTCTCCTCGTCCTCGGTGCACCTGTGTTCGTGCTACCATCACAGCTGAATGCAATGAAAGGCGGTCCTCTGAGAGGAGCAGGGTGGAGATGCTAAAGTGGAGGCCCCGTCCCATTGCTGATAGATCCTCATCTGGCATGCGCTCCACCCTCCCCATTCTCTGCTCCCACGTATCGTAGCCCCATCACAGAAGATGCGACATGGAAAAACGCACTGTGTCCACCCTAGTTCTTAAATTTGGGCAGGGATTTGGGGTGTATGTTAAGAGTTTTTCAAATTTGCCAGATTGCATGCCTATGTTGTTAAATACACAATGAATCCCTGGTATGATAGCAGTTTCTGGATAAACATTACTTGAGGTCCTAAAATGCAGAAGGGAAAAAGCAACTTTTGTCAGATGCCTACTTTGCTTTCATTTCATCTCTAATATTTTGGATGGGGAATCATCCAAAGCTTCTGACTGCATGAAGGTCAGGTGTGCCAGTGTGCAGCTGGGTTTCTTTTCTAGAATTAAAAGTACTTTGGGTGGTGGTGAGGGTCAGAGGAAGAAGTAAAGATTGTGAGAAAGGGGAAGAAACATGGGCTTGGGGAGAACCCAGAATTGGGGCCAGAAGACCTGGCACTAGGCTACAGCACTTAGCACCTCTGATCTTGTTTTTCCTCATCTGTAAAAGGAGGTTAACAAAGCTTTTCTGCCCACTTCTTGGGGAGAAGGGAATAACATAATTGGTAAAAAAAAAAAAAAAAAAAAAAAAAAAAAAAAAAGTTTTGAAAAATAAGCAACACTGACTTTATGTAACCAAGCATTATTAATTCTCCACCCCATATCACTGGTAGATACCTGTATTCAAGCTATCTGGACATGAAAGCAGTCACATTTTAGAAGTCATGAAGTTGATGCTAATAAGCCTAATCTACAGAAACACTCTTGAAAGCCCTTGAGCGTTTGTTCTGTGAATAGAAAGGTTTGAGATTCGGAGCAAGTTCAGAGTTGGATGGTCTAAGAATGGAAAAGCCCTCCATTCCATTAGAAGAGCCAGGTAGCAATTTCTGGTTATGGAACCAGAAGCTCTCAGGCTTCAAATAAAACAGCATCACTTGTACTCTTATAAAACTGTAAAAACAGAAAGACCAAAACCGTATCTACATCTGTCCTATAAGGCAGAGAGTACTTGAGATCTCATGGATTTAAAACCAGCTTACAAACTACATTGCACTATATGAAGAAATTATCACTGTGGGCAAAGCATCAAGCAGAGAGCACAGTATACAGTGTGTGGATGTTAATGTTATTCCCTAGCCTTCCCATTCCTTTGTCTTGGTCCTTTCTGCATATGGAACAGTTCTATTATTAAATTTTGTAATAGTAACTGAGAACCTGACTTTCAGCAAGGGAGTAGTTCGGAAATTGAGGGAGTTTAACTCTGAATGAGTAAATAAAAATAAAGCAATTATGTCATTAGCTTAAAATTTTATCATCATTAAAAATAAAAAGTTTGAAAACAAATACTTAATGTAACAATTTATCACCGCGCAATTTGGACTCACGACAATGTGTGGTGTTTGTCAGACATGCACTGTTGCAATGCAGCTTGACTGTCTTGCAGACAGCCTCAATGCTGTTTTTAAATTGGCAGAGGCAGCAGGCCATATGGCTAGGTAAGATCCTATAGATGAAAACAGAGAGCAATAAATTAGCGGTAAAGCGGTTACTTGAGTAGGTAAAGGAGGCAGCCAACGCTACCACAGGTGTGGGAAAAAGGTGTCATTGAAGCCTATGGACTGGACAGTTGGGTAGGAACCAGAAGGCCAATAGGAAGGAGGACAAAAGTGCCCAACTGAAGGGTAAGCATGGCAGTGAGTATGGTATGCCTAGAATAAAGATGGTTGGGATTAGAATTGGGTGACAGTGATTAGTAGTTTCAGAAGTATCTCTTCCCAATTCAAAAGTCTCACTTTGGGCTGAAAGTACAGAGGAAGAAGGTAGACTTTTAAGAAGTCTGAATAAGCCCCCAACTTCTGGAGTCCCTTTCTCAATTCCTGTTGGGAGTGGGAAATATTATAAATTACTCTGGGCATTAAAAATAGCTTAGTTTAACCTGGATTGCGGAGTTAAAAAATAACAAAGACTGCATTGGTCAAATCTGGACAATTTGAGCATTCAAAAGAATAACAACAATAAGTTACAACATATTTAATATAAAGAAGAATCCACGAAGAGTGATATTGAAAAAGAAAGAGGAGGAGTTCTTCTTCAATGAAATAATGCCAGCTAGTAAATGTAGAAGGAATGACAGAATTTTTAAAAGTGTCACTTTGCAACCGTCAGTGTAATACAAATTCATTCAGACAAGGATTATCATTGATGCACATTTGGGTGAAAAAACATTTGAGAACAGGATCTTCACTGAACTCAAAGTAACAACCCACAGATTATTTATTAATTACCAAGGGGAAAATTATTATTTTTTATTTTTATTTTTATTTTGTCACCCAGGCTGAAATACAGTGGCAAAATTATACCTCAATGCAGCCTCAACCCCCCTGGGCTCAAGGGATCCTCCAAATTCAGCCTCCTGAGTAGCTGGGAGTATAGGCTTGCACCACCATGCCCAGCTAATTTTTTTTTTTTTTTTGTACTTTTGTATTTTCAGTAGTGACAGAGTTTCCCCATGTTGCTCAGGCTGGTGTAGAACTCCTGGGCTCAAGCAATCCTCCCACCTCGGCCTTCCAAAGTGCTGGGATTACAAGTGGGAGCCACTGTAGCCAGCAAAATAATTACAATGGAGAGACCTGGAAGATCACCTTAGTCAAGTGATCAAACTTAGTATTACAGGCCATCTGCGGTTACGAGGCAGGAAGGATACATCACCTATGCAGTATTTTTCCCAAAAATGCTTAACTTGAATTTCATCATGAGGAAACAGACAAATCTGGATTGTGGGACAATTTACAAGACAACTATCTTTGACTCTTAAAAAATGCCAGTGTCATGAAAGATCAAAGAAAGTAGAGGCATGTTTTAGATTAAAGGAAATGAAGACATGACATGCAGTGCCTGATCTTTGATTGGATTCTGTACTATTCTTTCATCTTTCTGGCTTGTTTGAATTTTTTCCAATACGTAAATTTGGGCAAAAGAGGTAACCGAGACAATTGATTAATTTATTGTTGTGGCTTATTGGGGGCACTTTCAGAGAGATAAAAACAATCCCTGTAACTGAAGTAAAAGGTTAATCTTAGGCAGTATAGCATGGTCATTAAGAATACAGATTCCATAGCCAGACTATGCTTCAATCTCAGCTCTGCTAATAATGTGAATTTGGGCAAATTGTTTAATCTCTGTTCCTTGGCCTTGTCATTATAATAGTACCTACCTCTAATGAATTTTGAGGATCAAATGAATCAATACCTGAAAAATGCCTGGTGCACAGTCAGTGCTCAATAAGAGTTAACTATAATTATTGTGTTGCAGAGGTTGTGGGGGGCCTTTTCTGAGTCCTCCAAAAGGATGGCTTTATTGGGGCCATATTAAGACTATGAAAACAGAAGAGGGTTTCATGGATACAAGAAGTCTGTGAGTTGGGGGTACAATGTATAGAGTTTTAGATTAAAACTGCATCCAATAAGTTGGCCTGAGACATCTTTCAAACCTATAAAGGAACAATCACAAGTGACTAGTAGTATTCCTTTGGGTCCAGTGGAAGCCTCTGATCTTCATATGGAATGGACCCGGAACCGTAACCCAGCATTTTGTTGTATAGCAACCTTACCTCTGCCACAAAGGTGTTTCTTTTGTTTATTTTGAGGCCGGGTCTCGCTCTGTTACACAGGCTGAGTGCAGTGGTGCAATCTTGGCTCACTGCAGCCTCTGTCTCCTGTGCTCAAGTGATCCTCCCACCTCAGCCTCCTGAGTACCTAGAACTACAGGTGTGTGCCACCACACCTGGCTAATTTTTGTATATTTTGTAGAAATGGGGTTTCACCATGTTGTCCAGGCTGGTCTCGAACTCCTGGGCACAAGCAACCCTCTCTCTTTGGCCTCCCAAAGTGCTGGGATTACAGGCATGAGCCCAAAATTTTTGGTATTCTTTTTCTGCCCCCAAGTTTTTATTTTAAACATTTTCTTTTTTTCCTTTAAGCCTTAGGATGGCTGGGAAACATTTTCAAATGGTATAATGAACACCTGTATAACTTTCATCTGGAATCAGTAGTTGCTAATACTTTGCCACATTAGCTTTCCGTGTGTGTATGTCTATACATTTTCTGGACAAAACCATTTGAGAGTCAGTTGCAGACATAATGACCCTTCACCATTGAAGACTTCAGTGTGCAGCCCCTAAGAACCAAGGCATTCTCTGACATAACCAGAGGACTATCATCACTCAATGGAACTTCATATTATCATTGTCTACTATGCGGTCCGTATACACATTTTCACAATTGTCCCAATCATAACATGGCTTAAAAAATTCACAATCCAATCAAACATCAGACATTACACTTAGTACATGATTCTTTAGTCTCCTTCAATCTAGAACTGTTCCCAGGATTGTTTTAAAGTATACTGACAAATCTTTGAGACTGTAAATGACCTGAGGTATACTTGAGAATAATTTTTCAATACACATGAAAGATCATTACACATGAGCCAAGACTCAAATGAGCTGGCCTACTTACTTTGTACATAAATGTGTAAACTCCTGAAGACTTCCAATAATGAACTCCCATAAGACATTTAGTTCAATGTCTTTATGGCCTTGGTGACAAATCATTACAGAGGATGAGAGCATTTTTCCTATCCAATAATGGTCAAGAAAAAAGCAGACAGATCCTCACTATCTTAGAGAACTAAGTGAGAAAGCTGGTCGATGAAGGGGACTTCATCCAGAGAGGAAGGGATCCAGCTGATGGGGAAGATGCTGCAGGAGGCTGAGGAAAGTGAGGCTAGAGCAGTAAAAGAGATCTGACAACCTGGTCAAGATAAGAAAGTGACCTGACAAAAATGAACGGAGCAGAGTGCTAAATGAAGGGCCCTTTCCATGCTAATCTTGCAAAATGCCCTCAACCAGCCCTAGCATAACTGAGTCTCTATTTAGCTTGCCATATTGTGGGGGCTGGTGGCACAATTGAAGTTGCAGTAAATTGTGTAACAAACTCACAATAGGGCCCCGCAGGCATACATATACATATATACACGTACATATATATAAATATATATATATTTTAGACAGGGTCTTGCTCTGTCACCCAAGCTGGAGTGCAGTGGTGCCATCTTGGCTCACTGCAACCTCCACCTCCTGGGTTCAAGTGATCCTCCTGACTCAGGTTCCCTAGTAGCTGGGACTACAGGCGTGTGCCACCACACCTGGCTGATTTATATATATATCTATATCTATATATATATCCTGCAAAGAAGGCCAGGCACGGTGTCTCATGCCTGTAATCTCAGCACTCTGGGAGGTGAGGCAGGAGGATCACTTGAGACCAGGAGTCCGAGACCAGCCTGGGGAACATACTGAGACCTCATTTCTACAAAAAAATAAAAAATAAAAAAGATACATCACATATGCAAATTAACTCAAAATGGATCATAGACCTAAATGTGTATCATTTCTGGGAGAAGACATAGGAGAAAATCTTTTAGACGCTGGATTAGACAACAGGTTCTTAAAGATTTCTTAGGTAAGAAACAAAAAATCACAAGCCATTTAAGAAAAAAATGCTAACTTAAAGCTGGTCAAAATTAAAAACTTCTGCTCTTCAGAAAACATTTTTATTTCTTACTTTTTTTTTTAGACAGAGTCCCACTCTGTCGCCCAGGTTAGAGTGCAGTGGTGCAATCTCGGCTCATTGCAACCTCCACCTCTCAAGTTCAAGCACTTCTCGTGCCTCAGCCTCCTGAGTAGCTGGGATTACAGGCATGTGCCACCACACCTGCCTAATTTGTGCATTTTTAGTAGAGATGGCATTTCCACACAACCGGAATACTACTCAGCAATAAAAAGGAGTGAACAGTTGTCCCTCGGTGTCTGCAGGGGATTGGCTCCAGGACCCCCTGCAGATACCAAAGTCCACAGATGCTGAGTTCTTTTTTATGAAATGACATAATGTTTGTATACAGCCTCAGGTATACTCTAAGTACCTAATACAGTGTAAATGGTATGTATATAATTATACTGTATTTTAAATTTTCTACTGCTTTTATTGTTGTATTGTTGTTTTATATATTTTATTTTTTCCAAATATTCCCCATCCATGGTTCGTTGAATCTATGGATGAGGAACCTGCAGATATGGAGGGCCAGCTGTAGTGATAGGTGCAACAACATGGATGGTAGCATAATCTCAAAAAAAATTCTGCTGAGTGAGGCCAGGCAAGGTGGATCTTATCTGTAATCCTAGCACTTTGGGAGGCTGAGGCAGGCGGATCACTTGAGGTCAGGAGTTCGAAACCACCCTGGCCAACATGGCGAAACCTTGTCTCTACTAAAAATACAAAAATTAGCCAGGTGTGGTGGCATGCGCCTGTAATCCCAGCTACTCGGAAGGCTGAGGCAGGAGAACCACTTGAACCTGGGAGGTGGAGGTTGCAGTGAGCCTAGGTCATGCCGCTGCACTGCAGCCTGGGCGACAGAGTGAGATTCCATTTCAAAAACAAAAAAAAAAATTAGGCTTTGTGAAAGGAGCCAAACACAAGAGGCTATGTGCTATATGATTTCATTTATAAGACATTCTGGAAAAGGCAAAAGTATAGGAACAGAAATCAGATTAGTAGCTAACAGGGGCTGATGGTGGGAGGATGGGATTGCCTACAAAGGGACAGTAGGGGCCTTTTTGAGGCATCAGAAATGCTTTATATTGGGAATGTGGTGGTGGTTATGTAACTATACATTTGTCAGACTCATCAAACTGTACACTTAAAAAGCGTGAATGTTACTATATGAAAATTATACCTCAATGAACCTGACTTAAGAAAATAATAAAACAAACCTAAAGAACCAACTAAGTAAAAATAAATCTCAGAAAAAAATAACTTACAGTTTTTCCAGTTCAACAGTCATCATGAGAATGTTCTTAAGTGTTGTAAGTGGGACTAGCGTTGTTCCCATGTCTCTGAAGAAGAAAGCCGAAACATTCATGATATGAGCCCCAATAAAAAATTCTGTACTTAACAATTCAATTTTGGCTTCTCTATTAAACAAGCCAGCTCAAGACTTTATTTGCTGTAGAATTCCAGGGAGCTCTTATTAAAGAAATTAAAAGTTGATTTGCATCATCAAATTAATGATACTCAAGAGCAGAACTGACACTTTTTTTTTTTACCATTATCTTCTCATTTTCATATTGCACTCACCATCTTATTTACTCTTTTCTTTATTTTTAGAATAATGAACACCTTTTCCCCTTTGCTTTCTTGGTTAAATAATATTCCTCCATGTGTCTACATGTTCCAAATCTATATGGGTTCTTCAATGCTGTTCTCTTCCCCTGCTGGCTGTCTTGACCATTATACATCCTCTTAATTTTTTTCTTCGCCAATAACTTTTTTTCAATAACCCAGTTAAAATTTAAATTATGACATTTTAGCCTAAATGCAAAATACTTAAGCTTTGATGAAAAATTTAAAAAGCATAAATCATCTCTTGACTCATGAGAGTACTATAGTACTTACAGATATTTTAATGCTGGCAATTTAAAGAGATACGGATCTTCAACAGTTGTCAGAGGATTGTGATTGAGAATTCTGAAAAATGGAATGGAATTAAAATAACCTGCATTTTCAATGTGTAAAACTGCATGAAAAGTTTACATTCATTTTTTGATATGGAACTTGTAGGTAAAAAAGAAAAAAATGTTTCCTGTCTTTACCTAAGAAATCACCATTAGACTCCGTAAAGCACTATTCCTATGGGAACTACCAAGGTCTCTAGAAGATAAAGGATAGAACGCGGGGAAGAACTACAAGGAAAAAAAAAGTGGATAGCAAAGAAAAAATATGCCACAGAACTTTTCAGGTCAAAAACCCTAAAAGTGACTATGTTGGTAGGAAGCCCTGACTGTGGAGGAAACAGTATTTCTAGCATCCTCCATAATTCAAGTTGCTCATCATAATTCAAGTTGTTCATCTATTTTTTTTTTTTTTTTTTTTTTTTTTTTTTGAGATGGAGTCTCGCTCTTGTTGCCCAGGCTGGAGTGCAATGGCTCGATCTTGGCTCACTGCAACCTCCGCCTCCCAGGTTCAAGTGATTCTCCTGTTCTGCCTCAGCCTTCCGAGTAGCTGGGATTACAGGCACCCACCACCACGCCCAGCTAATTTTTGTATTTTTAGTAGAGTCGGGGTTTTACCATGTTGGTCAGGCTGGTTTTGAACTCTTGACCTCTGGTGATCTACCTGCCTCAGCCTCCCAAACTGATAGGATTACTGGCATGAGCCACTGCGGCTGGCTGCTTGTCTTTTATCTTTATAAAGTTTTTAAAATTTATGGTTTAATTTGCACAGTTAAAAAAAAATAGGACCAATTCTTTTGCTTTATAGCCAAAGAAGAAGGAATAAATCTAAGAGGAGGAACTGGTCAAAACCATACTCCCACTTGTCTTCTTGTATGACATCACAGCCTTTCTTACATTGCATGTAATCACCTGTCCACTTGTCAGGCTCCTGGACTATGAGCGCTTTGAGGGCAGAGACCACATTTTTTTTTTTTTTTTTTTTTTTTTCTGAGACGGAGTCTCACTCTGTCACCCAGGCTGGAGTGCAGTGGTGCAATCTTGGCTCACTGCAATCTCCGCCTCCCAGGTTCAAGCAATTCTCCTGCCTTAGCCTCCCAAGTAGCTGGGATTACAGGTGCCTGCCACCATGCCCTGTCATCCCCGTGCCTGGCATGATGTCTGAAATGTATTAGGCATTTAACAAATGTTTATTGAATAAACAAATGACATTTTGTTCATATGTCAATAAAATGAATAAATTGATTTTGATGCAAATTTTTATTCCAAAATGCTGGAATCGATTTTCTTTTTAATTCTTTAAGGTGAACAAGAAAAATAAAAGAAACAGGAAGAAATAAAAGAAAATCTACCTTTAGGTTAACCCAAGAATCATCTTTGTACTTAGGCAGAAATTATAAAAATAATAATTATTACAGTGAGTATCTACTGGGTTGCCAGGTATTTGTGATCAGCAAATACCTTATGTGGTAGATATTATTATTGCCCTATTTTTAAATGAGGAAACTGAGGCACAGAGAGGTTAGATAACTTGTCCTAGGTCACCAAGCTATTAAGCAGCAAAGCTGTAATTTGAACTCGTGTTTAATCTGTATGAAGAAAAAGGGTTTATTTTAACCTTAGGTTTTTAAAAAATTTTCATTTTTGTTCTTCATTCTTTTTCTCTCTCTTTTTCCTTCCTTCCTTCCCTCCCCCTTCCTTCTTTCTATTTTCTTTCCTTTCCTTTCTTTCCTTTCTCCTCTCCCCTCCACTCCCCTCCCCTCCCCACCCAAACAGGGTCTTGCTCCATTGACCAGGCTGGAGTGCAGTGGCGTGATCTTGGCTCACTGCAACGTCCTCTTCCCAAGCTCAGGTAATCCTCCTTCCTCAGTCTCCCAAATAGCTGGGACTATAGGCACGCACCACCACGCCTGGCTATTTTTTGTGTTTTTAGTAGAGATGGGAGTTTCACCATGTTTGCCAGGCTGGTCTTGAACTCCTGATCTCAAGTGATCCGCCTGCCTTGGCCTCCCAAAGTGCTGGTGTGAGCCACTGGGCCCAGCCTTAATTGTGAGAAGACTAAATACAGAAGTGCCTTTCAACCTTCTTCTACTCCTCTGGGAGGACCTCTATGAGAATTACAATTTCTCATTAGCAGGGCACGGCAGTGCTTGCCTGTAATTCCAGCTGTTTCAGAGGCTGAGGCAGGAGAATTGCTTGAACCCAGGAGGCGGAGGTTGCAGTGAGCCAAGATCAAGCCACTCTACTCCAGCCTGGGCGACAGAGCAAAAAAAAGTGGATTACAGTTTCTCTTTTTATGTCTTTCCCCTAATCATTTCCCATGATTAAATAGTTTATTAGTCTATGGTCAATGAGACTTTTTTTTTTTTTTTAAGAGACACATTCTCACTCACTGTGTTGCCCAGGCTGGAGAGCAGTGGCTATTCACAGCCATGATCCCACTAGTGATCAGCATGGGAGTTTTGACCTGCTCTATTCCTGAACTGGGCTGGTACACCCCTTTTTAGGCAACCTGGTGGTCTCCTTTTCCCGGGAGGTCACCATACTGATGCTGAACTTAGTGCGGACACCCAATCAGCATAGCATGCTACAGCCCAGAATTCCTGGACTCAAAGGATCCTTCTTCCTTTGCCTCCCGAGTATCTGGGACTACAGGCATGTGCCCAGTGAGCCTTCAGAGATTTAAAATCATGTCGTAAGTGACATCAGTGAAAATGGTGGAATAAAGACATGCAGGCTGGGCGCAGTGGCTCACACCTGTAATCCCAGCACTTTGGGAGGCTGAGGCAGGCGGATCACGAGGTCAGGGGATCGAGACCATCCTGGCTAACAAAGTGAAACCCCGTCTGTACTAAATATACAAAAATTAGCTGGGCGTGGTGGCAGGCGCCTGTAGTCCCAGCTACTCGGGAGGCTGAGGCAGGAGAATTGTGTGAACCCGGGAGGTGGAGCTTGCAGTGAGATGAGATTATGCCACTACACTCCAGCCTGGACAACAGAGTGAGACTCTGTCTCAAAAAAAAAAAAAAAAAAAAAAAAAAGAGACATCCAAAAATTCATCCCTTCATAAAAGCAACAAATACCAAAAAAAATAGCAAAAAAAAAAAAAAAAAAATTGACCACAATAAACTTTTTCAGAACTCTAGAAATGTAACCAAAGTCTTGCAGCAACCCAAGGAGCATTTATTCAAGAAAAATTTCTGTAAGAACAGTGAGATTTGTGTTAACTTGCCTTAGACCATTCCTCACCCTCTAGCTCAGTAGTCGCCTTGGAAAACAGCCCACATCCCCAAACAGAGGGAGCAGAATGGAGCTGGAGCTCCTTCAAAGCCTTATTCTCAGTTAACTGTCATGATGTCATCTGTCTGGTGGTTCCCTGGAAGACCTCATTTGAAAGGTTTGTCTTTATTTGACCAGAATGAAAGCTGTCTAGTGCTAAAGCCTCTCCACAGAGGGTGTTTTTGGAAAACAATTACAGACAAGTGTTTTAACATGGCAACTGTATTCGGCAATGAATAACAGTTTGGGGGAAAAAAGCCTAATCAAAAAGCTTAATAGGAAAAGCTGAGGAATAAGATGTCCACAGGAATTTGAAACACTCTGATATATGCTTGGGAAACTAGAAGTCCATAAGACATATTCCTGGCAATTTGGAATGTCACGCGCATGCATAGGGCAGACTGTCAGCATGGTCAGGAAAGACCTACTAAGTTCATAAACTCTCACCCCTGGCTGACACCTTGAGGTTCTGCACAAGCAAGAAGTGAAAGCTAAGGCATGGCTGTAAATTGTCTAGCTGAGTGCTGAAGGTATGCCCCAACATGTACACAGAGCCCCTTGGCAAAAACTAGGAGACTTATCAGTTCCAAGAATTTAAGTAAATCTTCATTTAATCATTACCTGATCGGTAAGCTAACCGAGGAGGGACTTTAGTGGGAACACATGACATATAATGCGAGACTTTACAGAAGAAGTTCAGAAAAGTCACTAAATAAATAGCAACTACTAACACAAGCAGGAGTAACACCAAACCCTGGCAGCATGGATCTGATTTTCAGAATTGCTACATTATATTATTTAAAATATTCAATTTTTAACAAACATTTATGAAAGATGCAAGGAAACAAAGTATGGCCCAAACACGTGGTTGGGGGAGAAATAAGCAGAAATTGTCCCTGAGAAGGACCAGATGTTAGACTTACTAGACAAAGATTTTTTTATTTTTTATAGGTGGGGTCTTGCGAAGTTACCCAGGGTGGTCTTGAACTCCTGGCCTCAGCCTCAACCTCAGTCTCAGCCTCCCAAAGTGCTGGGATTATAGGCACGAGCGACCATGCCTGGCCTAGAGAAGGATTTAATTCAGCTATTTAAAATATGTTCAAAGAGATAAGAGAAACGATTCAGTTCTGTAGACTAGAGAACTAAAGGAAAGTATGAAAGCAATGTCTCATCAAATAGAGAATATCAATAAAGAGATAGAAACCATAAAAAGGAGTCAAATAGAAATTCTAGAGTTGAAAAGTATGGTAACTGAAATGGAAAAATTATTAGAGGTTCTCAATGGCACATTACAGCAGGCTGAAGATAGAATGGGGAACTTGAAGGTTAATTGAGATTGTTGACTCTGAGGAACAGAAATAAAAATGAATGAAAGTGAATGGAATCTCAGAGACCTGTTTGTGGAACACATCATCAAGCTTACTAACATACACATAATGAGCGTCCCAGGAGAAGAAAAACAGAAAAAAGGAGAAAGAATATTTGAAGAAATGATGGCCCCAAACTTCCCAAACATGATGAAAAACAATCTGCATATTCAAGAAGCTCAAGGAACTACAAGTAGGAAAAACTGAGGGATCCACATCTAAACATACTGTAATCAAACTGACAGAAGCCAAAGACAGAATATCTTGAAAGCAGCAAGAGAAAAGCAACTCATCACATACAAGGGATCCTCAATAAGATTAATAGCTAATTTCTCTTCAAAAACAATGCAGGTGCTGGACATGGTTGCTCACACCTGTACTCCCAGTACCTTGGGAGGCTTGAGGCTCAAGAATTGCTTGAAGCCAGGAGTTGGATACCAGCACTGGCAATAGAGTAAAACCCTGTCTCTACAAAAAATTTAAAAATAACTGGGCATGCCCGTCTGGGATGTGAGGAGCGCCTCTGCCCGGCCGCGACCCTGTCTGGGAGGTGAGGAGCATCTCTGCCTGGCCACCCCGTCTGAGAAGTGAGGAGCCCCTACGCCTGGCAGCCGCCCCATCTGAGAAGTGAGGAGCCCCTCCGCCCAGCAGCCGCCCCGTCTGAGAAGTGAGGAGCCCCTCTGCCCGGCAGCCGCCCTGTCTGGGAGGGAGGTGGGGGCCAGCCCCCGCCTGGCCAGCCGCCCCCTCCGGGAGGTGGGGGGGCGCCTCTGCCCGGCTGCCCCTTCTGGGAAGTGAGGAGCCCCTCTGCCCGGCCGCCACCCCGTCTGGGAGGTGTACCCAACAGCTCATTGAGAACGGGCCATGATGACGATGGCGGTTTTGTTGAATAGAAAAGGGGGAAATGTGGGGAAAAGATACAGAAATCAGATTGTTGCTGTGTCTGTGTAGAAAGAAGTAGACATAGAAGACTCCATTTTGTTCTGTACTAAGAAAAATTCTTCTGCCTTGGGATGCTGTTGATCTATGACCTTACCCCCAACCCAGTGCTCTCTGAAACATGTGCTGTGTCCACTCAGGGTTGAATGGATTAAGGGCGGTGCAAGATGTGCTTTGTTAAACAGATGCTTGAAAGCAACATGCTCGTTAAGAGTCATCACCACTCCCTAATCTCAAGTACCCAGGGACACAAACACTGTGGAAGGCCGCAGGGTCCTCTGCCTAGGAAAACCAGAGACCTTTGTTCACTTGTTTATCTGCTGACCTTCCCTCCACTATTGTCCTATGACCCTGCCAAATCCCCCTCTGCGAGAAACACCCAAGAATGATCAATAAAAAAAAATTAAAAAAAACAAAAACAAAAACAAAAAAAACTGGGCATGGTGGTGCATGCCTGTAGTCTCAGCTACCCAGGAGGCTGAGGTGACAGCATTGCTTAAGCCTGGGAGGTGGAGGCTGCAACGTTGTGAGTGGTTGCACCACTGCACTCCAGCCTGGGTAACAGAGCAAGACCCTGTCTAAAAACAAAGCAACCACACACAACACTGGAGGACAAAAGGCAATGAAATGGCATATTCAAAGTGCTGAAGAAACTGTCAACCAATAATTCTATACCTGGCAAAACTACCTTTGAAATTGAAGAGAAATTAAGATATTCTAGATAAATAAAAACTGAGAGACTTTGTTGCTAGAAGACCTGCCCTATAAGGAGTACTAACGTGAATCTGCACAAAGAAATAAAAAGCACTGGCTGGGCGCAGTGGCTCAGGCCTGTAATCCCAGCACTTTGGGAGGCTGAGGCTGGAGGATCACTTGAGGTCAAGAGGTTGAGACCAGCCTGGCAAACATGGTGAAACCCTGTCTCTACTAAAAATACAAAAATTAGCTGGGTGTGGTGTTACGTGCCTGCAGTCCCAGCTACTCAGGAGGCTGAGGCACTAGAATCGCTTGAACCTGGGAGGCAGAGGTTGCGGCGAGTAAAGATTGTGCCACTGCACTCTAGCCTGGGCAACAGAGTGAGACTCTGTCCCAAAATAAAGAAAAAAAAAAAAAAGAAAAAGATACTTACATAATGCAATAATTATAAATCTAGTTGATGAACATAAGGTATATAAAGATGTAATGTGTGACAATAACAGTATAAAGGAGGGGGTGAGAGTGGAGCTTTAGAGAAGCAAAGTTTTTGTATACCATTGAAACAAAGTTGGAATTAATCTGAACTACAACGTTATAAAATTAAGATGTAGCTGAGACTACAGGTGCGCACCACCACACTCGGCTAACTAAAAAAAATTTTTAGAGATAGGGTCTCACTATGTTGCCCAGGCTGGTCTCAAACTCCTGGCCTCAAGCAATCCTCCTTCCTTGGCCTCCCAAAGTACAGGGATTATAGGTATGCACCACTGCATCTGGCCACAAACATTTTGTTTTCTTACTGTTCATTTTTCAAGACAGGTTTTCACTCTGTTTCCCAGGCTGGAGTGCAGTGGAACAATCATGGCTCACTGCAGCACCGATCTCCCGGGCTCAAGTGATCCTCCTGCCTTAGCCACCTGAGTAGCTGTGACTACAGGCATGTGCCACCACGTTCAGCTAACTTTTAAATTTTTTTTGTAGAGATAAGCTCTCAGTATGTTGCCCTGGCTGGCCTCGAACTCCTGGGGTCAAGCAATCCTCCCACCGCAGCCTCCCAAAGTGCTAGGATGACAGGTGTGAGCCACTGCACTGCAAAAATACAGAAGACCAAATTATTAAAACTAGAAATGAGAGGGGACATTACTATTGTTCTTAGAGACATAAAAAGGATTATAATATGAATAAAAAGGATTATACATATAAACAATATATGCTAATAATTGGATAAGCTGGATGAAAGACACATTACCAGAAAGATATGAACTACTGAATCTGACTTGAGAAAAAAACAGAAAATCTGAATAGACAGACCTATGTCAAGTAAAGAGATTGAGGTAGTAATCAAAAAACTTTCCACTAAGAAAAGCTGAAGACCAGCAGGCAGCCTCACTGGTGAATCTACCAAATACTTAAAGAAGAATTAACACCAATCCTTCATAAAGTCTTTCAAAATACAGATGAGGAAAGAACATTTCCTAACTTATTCTATGAGGGTGATATTAACCTGGTATCCAAACTAAAGACATCACACACAAAAAATTACAGACCAGTATTTCTTATGAATGTAGATGGAAAAATGCTTGACAAAATCTGGCAAACCAAATTCAACGGAGTATTCTGTAAACATGAAGCAGATAATAATAGCATGATTCTCCAAACTGATCTATGGTTTCACTACAATTGTTGTTTTTTTGAGTGAAAAAGTTTTCATTTATTGGCTGGGCATGGTAGCTCATGCCTGTAATCCCAGCATTTTGGGAGGCTGAAGCAGGTGGATCATCTCAGGTTAGGAGTTCGAGAGCAGCCTGATAAACGTGCTGAAACCCCGTCTCCATTGGAGTCTCACTCTGTTGCCCAGGCTTGAGTGTAATGGCGTCACCTGAACATCTATGTGCAAAATAATGAAGGTGGACCCCCTACATCTCACACGATTATAAGAATTGATGCAAAATATGTCAAATACCTAAATGTAAGAGCCAAAACGATAAGACTCTTACACAAAAACATGGGAGTAAATTTCATGACCTTAAATTAGACAACAGTTTTTTCTTCTCCAAACTGGATTTTTTTTCTTTTAAAACAATTTTGTCTTTTGAATTTAATGAAGTATTACTAGCTGAAGGCAGCCTGACATGGTGACAAGAATGTCAGACAGATGAAAGGGACACAGCCTGATTTAAAACCAAACACTGAACCTTTTTAAAGAAGAATAAGACATTTTATACACACACATGACACCAAAAGCACAAACAACCAAAGGAAAAATAGATACATTAGATTTTATCAAAATTAAAAACTTTTGTGCATCAAAGGACACTGGCAAGAAAGTCACAGAACTCACAGGATGAGAGAAAATATTGGCAAATTATCTGTTAAGGTCTAATATCCAGAGTATCCAGAAGATATAGAGAAATTCCTATAATTCAATAAAAAGACAAATCAATTTTTTAAATGGGCAGAGGATGTGAATAAATATTTCTTCAAAGAAGATATATAAATGGCTCATATACACATAAAAATGTTGAATGTCTTAAATCATTAGGGAAATGTCCATCAAAAACTGCAGCGAGATACTACTTTACACTCACTGGGATGGCTATGAGAAGAGACAGACAACGACAGTGTTGACAAAGACCCGGAGAAATTGAAACCCTCAAACATTGCAGATGGAAGTGTAAAATGGAGCAGCCACTGTGGAAATCAGCCTGACAGGTCCTCAAAAAGTTAAACATAAGAGTTGCCATACGATCTAGCAATTCTGCTAGGGATGCACCCTAGAATTAAAAACATGTCCACGCAAAAAGTAGTACATGCATGTCCATAGCAGCATTATTCATAAAAGCCAAAATAAAGTAGAAACAACCACATGTCCACTAAGTGATGAATGGATGAACGGATATAGTGATGGCTCCATACAATGGAATATCACTCAGCCTTGCAAAGGAATGATCCATGCTGCAGCATGGGAGGACCTTAGAAACAACATGCTTCGTGAAAAGAAACTAGACACAAAAGGCCACATACTGTATGATTCGTTTATATGAAAGATCTAGAATAGGCAAATCCATAGGGACTCAAAGTAGATTAGTAGTTACCTGGGCCTGCGGGAAGACAGCACTGGGGAGTGATGGCTAATGGGTACCATGTTTCTTTTTGGGATGATGAAAATGTTCTGGGGTTAGATAATGGTGATTGTTTGCTATACAACCTTGAGAATATACTAACCACCACTGAATTGTACACTTTATAATACTGCGTTGATGGTACGTGGATCAAGTCTCAATGTAACACAAAGAAGCATGTTGTACTGTATAGAACACCAGGTGCCAGAAGACCAAACATGCTGGCAGATGGAAAAAAGAGGAGTGAAGATTCACTCTCCCTTGACCAAGATCAGAGTGAGTCAGTGGCGAGGCTGGGAGCCACACAGCTTGTCCTGCCTTGTGATCCCCCTCCTCTTTCCTATTCCAGATGGTTTTTCAGTGCCATTAACTTGTTTTGTAACACTAATATTCAATAAGATGATGTTACAAAGAGAAAGAATGTGAGTGCCACATGACTGGTTAAGTATGGATTCTCAAACTAGGGCTTTAAATATCCTTCGTGATTTTTTTTTGGCATGAAAACTTGTAAGACCACTGGTGGGCTCTGTACAAAGTCGGCTACCCCCTCATTCTATATCTTCCTCTGCCCACTTTCCTCCCAGCTATTAAAAATGAATGTAGGCTGGGCACAGCATCTCAAGCCTGTAATCTCAGCACTTTGGGAGGCCAAAGCAGAAGGAAAGCTTGAGCCCAGGAGTTTGAGACCAGCCTGGGTAACAAAGTGAGACCCTGTTTCTATTTTTTTCTAAACACCAAAAATAATGACTGTAAGGCAGTATGTAGCCAAACAACTTGGCAAAGTTTGTTATCTTTCCTCCAAAATTCTCTCACTCTCCAACCTTCCCTCTTTCTTGATAGCTCATCCATAGCCTTGAGCTCAGCATTACCTCTGAACTAGGAAGCTCTTCTCCAGCTGACATTAGGATCTTTGCATTTGTCCCTAATGAAATCAAAATATAGGGCCATTCGATATTATCCTCTTTTCCTCCTGTTCTAAGGCATTCTTTTCTTGACTAAGGTTGTGCCTGGGCCATGGAGAGACTGAGTGGGAACTGGCTCAACGGCTCAAGTTTGAGGACTCTACAGCAACTCTTTTCCACAAACCAAATGATATGAATGTTTTTATTTATTTATATTTATGTTTCCACTTTTTAAAAGTCTTTTTGTAGAGATTGGGGTCTCACTTTGTTGCCCAGGCTGAACTTGAACTCCAGGGGCTCAAGCGATCTGCCTGTCTTGGCCTCCTAAAGTGCTGGGATTACAGGCATGAGCCAGCGCGCCCAGCCTTGAGTGTTTTTAGATTCACAGTAGATGACCATTTCCATTTCTGGTTCAAGTCCTTCATTTTATACATTAAACTAAGGTGCACTGACTCCCAGTCCATCGCCTTTTTGGTATCTTTATGGAAGTAAAATGTGGCAAGCTTTTTTTCAGCCTCAAAGACTGTCTCAGAGTAAAAGTTTAAGAAGTACTGCTCTAAATAATTTTATTAAATATGCCTTATTAGATGAGGAAAACTGAAATATTTTTATACAAGCCTTTTGCTGTAGAACAATGGGACAGAATAAAGGTAGCTCACAAAATAAGGGAACATTTCTTGCCTGTTCTTTTTTTTCCCTCCAAATTCTTCTGTACAGGTCCAGATAGATGAGCTATGTTTCCTTTCTATTAACTGAGGAGAGAGAGATGAAAGGACTGGAGCATGTCATCACTGTCTTAAATGTACTGAAATCCTAACAGCTCTAGCTGAAAAAATGTCCAAAGCAGGCCGTGAAAATAAATTTAAATGACAGACTCCAAAATGATCTATGCTAGAATCCCAAGGCTGTCAGGGAAAACTGGTTCCATGGAAGAAGGTAGTCAAAGAAATAAGCAGATGACCTAGACCCTCACCCAATATGCGCGATGTACTTGGGGAGAAAGTAACCTCTTTCCTTTATTCACCTACATAGGTTCGTGAGCCACACATCTCCCCACACCAAGCTCCTCCATACAAGACCTCGGACTGCATCACGTAAATGCTTTTTCAGGGGCAAAATCTAGAGAATCTGAAATGGTGAGCCTTTTTCCTTTTTTTTTTTTTTTTTGAGATGAAGTCTCACTCTGTTGCCCAGGCTGGAGTGCAGTGCAGTGGTGTGATCTTGGCTCACTGCAAACTCCACCTCCTGGAGTCAAGTGATTCTCCTGCCTCAGCCTTCAGAGTAGCTGGGATCATAGATGCCCGTCCCCATGCCTGGTTAATTTTTGTATTTTTAGTAGAGACAGGGTTTCACCATGTTGGCCAGGCTGGTCTCGAACTTCTGAGCTCAAGTGATCCACCCACCTTGGCCTCCCAAAGTGCTGAGATTACAGCATGAGACACCATGCCCAGCTGTGAGCCTGTATCTTAATCAAAGTCCTGAGAATAACCTTGAAGAAGACTCCCTTGCAATGAGCAACAACAGAAGAAGCAAGGGACCTGGAATCTGGCAGACCTGGGTTTGAATTCTGGCTCTGTCACTTTCTGGTGAAGTGACTTGAGTAATGAACATGAGCCTTTCTGGGTAGCGTTTACAGCACAAAGCAATTTGAGGAATAAATGAAAGAGCACGTGTCTAGTGCCTAGCAATGCGCTGGACACAGTGCCGGTGCTCAGCCATCATGTCACACCAGCACTGACCGGTGAGCATAAACCCTGGGGATGCCCAGAGCTGGTACAGCCAGGAGCTCCAGAAGCGTGGGATTCTCAGAGGGAAGTGGAGCTCACTGCTCTACAGGTCCTCTTCAAGTTAGAAAGTAAGATACAATGCACACAAAGCCAAATTGTCATCATTCAGCTCCTATTACAGGGGAACTAAGAGCTGCATTGAAAATTATTTGCAAAGCTTGTAAGTGGTTCTGCCACTTATTAGCCATGTGAACCTTAGCAAATTACCTAGCATCTCTGAGTTTCAACTTCCTCATCTACAAAATAGAAATGATAATAATAACCGCATCGCAAGAGTTGTTGGAAAAATGAAAATGAGGTATCATAGGAGGTAACATGTATGGAGCATTTACCATAGGCCAAGCACTGTTCTAAGAACTTCGGACATGTTATCTCACTTGTATAAGTACTTAGGTGCCTACAACATAAACAGCACCTGGTAAATTAAGTATTGAAAAAATGCTATGGGGCAGAGGAAGAAATGCTAAGCTTCTGTGAGAAGAGAAGACAGCTTGTTACACAGGTGAAAAGAACAAGCTGCAGCTGAGAGAAGAAAAGTATAAGAGTTGCTAGGTGTGACAATCTCAAGACTTTTCAACCACTACAAATTTAAACAGCCACCCTAAATCACCCCAAAGGACAGACTCGAGTTGTTCTTTTTGTCTTTAATGTTTGCGCCTCTCCGAATCAGAGAAGAAGCTGCCAGGATTCCAGTACATACCAAAACATGATGACAATACCCTCAACTGTGCAAACTTTTGTGCATCTACCGCTATGTAAAGGAAGCTGATGTCAGTAGACTGGGGGGAACAGTAAGGCATGTTTGTGACCGAAGCTCAATTTGCCATCACAGTGTGGCCACACCTACCTCACTAATATTCTAATAGTGGGATAAATAATTCAATAGGGATAAAGCCTGGATTTTCCTCTTATTCTCTCTTAGTGCTTACATTCTTGGCATGATATCGATGTGCCATAGACAAGCCAATATGTGAGTGTACTCTATCTGAATAAAGTATAGCCTTTCTACATTGCAAAGTCATCCAGTTTCTAAAATTATTGTTAGAACCAATGAAGTGACTAAGAGAATTTTAAAAAATAAGCCATCAGTCTGGACCTGTGTATAGGAATGAAGGAGAAGCACTTTAAAGTCAGGGAAAAAATATAAACATACTTAACATTTAGGATTATCAACCATTGCTGCTTTTCCATAAACCATTTCATTCATGATTTCATCTGTAAGAGATATGATTATTGCCCCCATTCAGTGAGGGACTTTGATAGTTAGCCGCCTGGTCCTTCTTGCTTGGATGCCCTGCAAATAAATGTCCTCCTTTCCCCAGTGCAAAACCTCGATATGGTTGTTTGACTTTACTGCGCTTGGGCCAGCAGAATCCAGTTAAGTCCACTAATAAGCTCTTGGCCTGTCTTTGAGATGGATTTCAGATTCAAAATAGACTGACCCTATCACCCTGCTAACTTGGCCAGTCAGTATTTGTCAATAACATAGAGGCTTCATTCAAGAGATTTACTGGGTTGTAACTATTGGAACCCAGGGATGATTTCAGGATTTTGTGGGGCCTGAGCCTTATCTAGTAAAAACATTAAAAAAATTATGACTACAAAAATTTCCAGGGGCCCTCCCAGGACCTTGGAAGGGCCTGTGCAAGTGAGAAGCCTGGAAGGTTAGGCTCTATTCAATTCATCATCGATCAACCACAGCTGGGGCCTCTTTTTTTGTTTGTTTTTTATAAACTTGTGTAATGCAGGGAAATATATTGTTTCAACTTACAAACACCACAAAATGGTGTCATATTGGTCATAAAATTACTGGCACCTTCCCTTGGCATCTTGCCTTTGGAAGGAAATGCAGTGGGCCTATATGTCACATATGCCAAATATGACTGCAGTGTAGCTTTGTTTACCAGGAAGATTTGACTCCAACGGAGCCCAGCCCCTAACATACACTTGATGTGTTGAGACCCTTGTGCCAATCTTTGAAAGTAACTGTGACTTAGTTTGAAGGGTACAGCTCTATTCTGTTTATATGAAATGAGTGCTAGTTTCCAATATCAGCTAGCTCTGATTTTTTCATCACCATGAAGCAAATGCCTTTTTCTGTTCTTTAAGATGAACACAGAAACTCAAGATAAGCAAGTTAGTGTCTCTCAAGTCTTTCTTAACCCAGCCCCCATTCCTGCTTTGTCTTCTCCTTGTCACCCTGCCGTACAGATCCCCACATGGCTCTCATATGTTTTCCCATCAGCATCCGCTTCCTCCTTGAGGAATGAAAGTCCCCTGGGGACAAAGTCCTCATCTTGGTGTGTCTTTGAGATGGATTTTGTAGCCCCAGCACTTAGTACAGTACGTGGCACAAATGGACATGGCACTCTGAATGTTTTTGAATGAATTCATTAATTTTTATCAACTGTGATTCCAGTGTTTTCCTGGTGTTGCCTACGTAATTGTAGTGAAGCTGGCTAGATGATGATGATGATGATGATGATGATTATTATTATTATTATTATTATTTGAGACAGAGTCTCACTCTGTCCCTCAGGCTGGAGTGCAATGGTGCCATCTCGGCTCACTGCAACCTCCGCCTCCTGGTTTCAAGTGATTCTTCTGCCTCAGCCTCCTGAGTACCTAGGATTACAGTTGCCTGCCACCATGCCCAGCTAATTTTTGTATTTTTAGTAGAGACAGGTTTCACCATGTTGGTCAGGCTGGTCTTGAACTCCTGACCTCAGGTGATCCACCCACCTGAGCAAAGTGCTGGAATTACAGGCATGAGCCACTGCTCCCGGCCACCAGATTTTTATGAGGGACTCCCAGTGGTATAAAGTGCTTAGTAAAGATGGTGAGTTTAAAACATTTGTATTGATGCTACCTAAACCTCTTGGTGGAGGGACCTAATGAGCCTGTTCTCTGGTGTGAGGGCAAAAGAAAAACAGACCTTTAGTGTACTTTTCCTAAGTTATGCATCAGCAAATTAATGAGGACAGAGGGGAGCATGTGCAGAAACTGCTGCTCTAGTCCAGACACATCCTGAATGCCTCCCTCTAACTTGAAATGAACTGTGTGAAACTAGATTTCTGAACCACAAGGCAGGTGGAAAGTCTTTTCTAAAGTCAGATGTAGAAGAGAATCTTCACCTTGAGTCCCCTTCAGGCCACTGAATATACCCACTCTGATTTGATGGGTATGTTATACAGAGAAATCATAGAATTTTTGCAATTATGGTAGAAGAGTAGTCAGGAAAGTATATGGAATTAAGATACAGCGATATATTTTCTTTACAAAAGTTTTTTTTTGCACAATAGCTTAACATAAACACCATCTTGGCCAGGCATGGTGGCTCACACCTGTAACCCCAGCACTTTGGGAGGCTGAGGTGGGCGGATCACCTGAGGTCAGAGGAGTTTGAGACCAGCCTGGAGGGGAGGTTGGAGGGTAGTGGCACAATCTCGGCTCACTGCAACTTCCACCTCCCGGGTTCAAGCCATTCTCGTGCCTCAGCCTCCCGATAGCTAGGATCACAGGTGCCCGCCACCATGACCTGCTAATTTTTGTATTTTTAGTAGAGATGAGGTTTTGCCATGTTGGCCAGGCTGGTCTCAAACTCCTGACCTCCAGTGATCCTCCCACCTTGGCCTCCCAAGGTGCTGGGATTACAGGCATGAGCCACCATTCTGGCCCTACAACTTTGGATTTGATTCCTGCTCATATGCAGAGTTTCTAACTGCTTAAATGTCTGCAACATTTAGCTGCAAGGAAGGAAGCTTAACACAAAGTCCTCCAGGGAGCAAAAAACTGCACCACCACGCCCAGCTAATTTTTTTGTATTTATAGTAGGGACAGGGTTTCACTATGTTGGCCAGGCTGGTGTTGAATTCCTGACCTCGGGTGATCCACCCACCTCGGCTCCCAAAGTTCTGGGATTACAGGTCTGAGCCACCCCGCCCAGCAACAAGGCTAATTTGAGGGTCACTTCTTTGATGCCTTTTCTTGCCCATGCTATAGGTCAGAACTAGGACAAGCAGAGGAGGTCATATATAAGCTACGTAAGTCTCTTGGCCTCTTTGTACCTTAGCTTCCCCATTTGAGAAAAATGAATGGATCTTAAGACACGCTTTTCAGAGTTGATAATGGGCTTATACCCAGCTACCCAATAATTGTATGAGTTTTTGTACATAAATAGTTGTTTACATGTATTCATCTTCTATTTCACTTACAACTTATGTAAAAACTGCATTCCGTGCCAGGCCTGAAATGTTCCAAAGCTGAGTTCTGTAATTACATTGCAACTAAGATTTCTAAAAAAAAAAGACACAAGCCAAAGAAAAAAAAAATTATTTCAGAACATTTATCATTTGCCATGATTCTAATTTATATAGGATGGAACATAACCTCAATCCTTTCTCTATGCACTAAGGAAATCTGACTGTGGAAGATACTGGCTTATGATTTATACTTTAACACTGCACATGTGGTGCATTAGATACAAAACAGTGAATGCTCAGTAAATACCTGTGTTAAGTGATCTTTATTTCTCTAGAACAGGATTTCACAACTTCAGTGCCATCAACATTTTGGACTATATAACTCTTTGCCATGGGGGTTTGTCTTATACCTTGAAGGATGTTTAGCAGCATCTCTGGCCTTTGCCCACCAGATGCCAGGAGCACACCCACAGTTTTGTCAACCAAAACTGTCTCCGGACATTACCAAATGCCACCTGAGTGCAAAATCACACCACCTGAGAACCACTGCTCTCTGATGATTCACTAAGATCTGTGTAATAATTCTCACAATAATCCTTGCTAGAGACAAAAAGGATTTGCTGTATAATTTTAGTAGCTTTCTACTGGTAAAATTTTAATCATATTTCAAGAATAGCAAAAAGGTTTATAATTAAGTTTTATAAAAATTCCAAATGTAATCAAGTTATATTTGTAACTTACATAAACTTCAAAAATGGTAGTGGTTCAAATGTATGTCTTTCAATAGACTGTATTTTATTGCAGGATAAATCTCTAGGAAAACAAAAATATTGCCTTGATTAGTTATTAAATGTCAATTGGTATGAATAACAGCAAGAGTTTAGAATAATACTGAATACCTATTTTTCATCTCAACTCTAAACGTTTGGACTTGTATTTGAACATTCCAGAGCCCCTAACCCTGCCCATACCTCTCCTAGAGTCTCACCTTCATGGTTTTAATAAATATACAACATAATAGACTTTGGAATTAATTTTTCCTGAGAGCAGTAGACTTGATTAGATGCCCTTTTGTAGTGTCATCAAATCTTAGATTATGAGCTCAAAGATTTTATCTCTATATACACAATTTCTAATATTAAAAAAAATAGTCGGGCCGGGTGCGGTGGCTCAGGCCTGTAATCCAGCACTTTCGGAGGCCGAGGCTGGCAGATCCTGAGGTCAGGATATCGAGACCATCCTGGCTAACACGGTGAAACCCTGTCTCTACAAAAAAAAAAAAAAAATTAGCCGGGCCTAGTGGCACGTGCCTGTAGTCCTAGCTGCTCAGGAGGCTGAGGCAGGAGAATGGCATGAACCCAGGAGGCGGACCTTGCAGTGAGCCAAGATTGCACCACTGCACTCCAGCCTGGGCGACAGAGCGAGATTCCGTCTCAAACAAACAAACAAACAAACAAACAAGTCTCACATTTCTACACCTTCTTAGTTTAGGTCTGTTTTCCTAAGCCACTTCAATATCAGAAGAAATAAAAGACATCCTTTCACATCATTTGAAAGGAAGCTACCCCTTTACCTAATACATAACTTTGAACTAATTCAAATCATATTAATAGAATTAATTTCTATCATATTAATAGAAATTCATTTTTGGTTTTGTATTGCTTTAATATTTCATAAAAAAAAAATTTCTTCAGTTATACAGTGATGGAGTTTGTCCCTCCCTCTTTACCTGGATGGTGTAACGTTGTCTGGCTGATATCTCCATCTCTAGTCTCTCCCTACCTAAACTATCCTGCACACAGTCATCATATAAACTCTCCAGAAGTGGCTTGCAAAGACCAGCATCTCCTGGGAAATTACTGAAGATGCAAATTCTTGGTCCCACTCTAGACCAACTGAATCAGTAACTACGAGGGTGGAGTCCAGAACTGAGTTCTAACGTGCCCTCTCAATGACTGTGATGCAGATCTACCTTACAGCGCTGCTGTGGTAACACGGTTCCCCATGTTGGCTCCTCAGCTTGGCATTCAAAGCTCTAGAAGATCTGGCTCCATTTTCCTACTCTCCCTTCTTGTACTCTACGGGTACTCATGGCATTCCTTGAATACTTTCCTGTGTTTTGCCCTCCCATTTTCCTTTTGCAAGTTTAGAGTATTTTCCCCAAGATGTCTGTCTGATGTTACACAATGGCCCTTCAAAGTCCTATTCAAATGGCATTGTTCTAGTAACATCCTCCTGGGTCCAAATTGAAGGCATTTTTTCCTCTTCTATGTTCGAGAAACAATTTATCCCTCCTAGTGCCCACATCCATTTCTTCTTCTTAATGTAGTTATTTTTTATCCCATTTCTTCTGAGCATAAACTCCCTGAAAGCATGGACTAGGTCTTGCTCATCTGCATTGCCCACCATGTTTAAAACTGACACATGGAAATAAAGCAAACTCAAATATTTGTAAAATAAATGAATAGCTGGGGGAGTGAGTAGAAGGAAAATAACTATTTTAAAGGAAATGTAGTTTTATTATTTCATGGTCTCTGTAGCACTTTGGCATCCACCTGAGGGTCTTTACACCCACTTTCCTTAAGCCTTCTATATTTGAAAGAATCTGTTTGCAAAAGAGCATCACTAATGAGCTTAATAAGGATTAATGACATACAGACCTCTATGGACAAAGGGTAAGAATCAAGCTTTCATAGCAATGAACATAGTATCTTCTTGTCTCTAAACAGACAGAAATACAGGGATCCCTTTCTGGTAACAGGGCTGGGGCGATCGTTATTTTGTAATTAGTGAAGAGTTAGGGGCATTTCTGATGTGCTTCTTAGTGTAAACATTTCTAGCTCTACCAGTTAACCATCATTTTAAACATCTGTTTTAATATAACAATTCCTGAAATGAAATCCTTAATACCAGTCTATTCTCTTGGTAGCTTAATATTCTTGATAATATTATTGATATAATTCAGCTATTTTTAATATTTAAATGTTAATTTAATTCCGATTAAATTACCAAAAAATTCTGGATTAATGATGTTCAAATGAATGCAGGTGGTCTCCATTTTCTTCTCCTTTAGGCAACCATCTGAAGTTAACTTTAGTTCCTTTCATCCTACTAAACCAACTTTTTGAAATTTTTTTTGGTGAAGGTCAGACAGTAAATATTTTAGGTTTTATGGGCCACATATGATCTCTCGCATATTTCTTTGTTTCTTTTCTTTTTCTTTCACAGTCCCTTTAAAAATGCAAAACCCATTCTTAACTTAATGGGCTATTTAAAAATAGACCATAAATTAGATTGGATCTATTGGTTGTAGACTGAATAGAAAAATAATGATATGTGAACCCTTATAAAACAAGGTTCATATGGGTGTCAGTCACTGCTCAGATTTTCTTACCATGTGAAATGTTTTTGTCTGTATTTTGTCTATACAACTTAAAAACTGAAAATGCACAGGAGGTAGCTAGTGCTAGAGATGGGCTGAGACCCTATACAAACTTACAGAATTGCAGAATTTTATTGCTCAAAGAAATCTGAGAGATTATCTAATTTGAACCCCTTATTCATTTTACAGATAATATGACTAAAAACTCATAAATATAATTAACTAACTTACAAATACTGGAGGGATAGCAGGCCTTCAAATGAATCCTTGTGTAATTCAGTCAAGTTATTTTCTCTGAGAATTCTGGAAAATGAAGAAGTTATTTCTAGATTAAAATGCAAACTACAACTATTTGCTACACAGAACCATCTCCTGCATGTGGAGGAAAGCTGGGTCATGGTCACTTCAAGATGGTGGGATCTGCTCTGCTTTCATTCAAACCTTTTCTTATATTTTCCTTTTTGTTTCCATCTCTCTCCACCACCACCACAAACACACACACACACACTCAAGCACACCCCTTGAAGAGTGGGTTTCTTCCCACCAAATTCTATTATTTCATGCCTCCTCTCTAGATCACAAAATCCCTTTTAGAATCCAACTCTGGGTGGCACCAAGATCAGCAGAACCTCCATTTCCTCCTCTCTTTTCCCAAACCTTATTATGAAAGCCCCACATGGAACCATGTCAGGGCTGCAAGTGAAGCCATTCAACCTTTTTCCCCCCATCAAAAAAACTGGAGAACTATAATGTGCATAAAGTGCACATAACATAAATGTTGTTTATATTTAATTTAATTTAATTTTTGAGACAGGGTCTCACTCTGTTCCCAGACTGGTCTCAAACTCCTGGCTCAAGTGATCCTCCTGTGTCTGCTTCCCAAAGTGCTGTGACTGCAGACATGAGCCACCTCACCTGGCCAAAATATTCAGTTTAATAATTATGAAGCAGATACCCATGTAAACATCGTTACAAAAGATCATTGCTAGCATGCCAGAAGCCCCAGTGTGCCCCTTTCCAATCATATCCCTCTCTCTAACCCTAATAGGTAACCACTATCCTGACCTTTGTAATAATTTTCTTGTTTTTAAAATGTAGTTCTGGCCTGGCGTGGTGGCTCATGCCTGTAATCCCAGCACTCTGGAAAGCCAAGGTGGGTGAATCACCCACGGTCATGAGTTTGAGACCAGCCTGGCCAACATGGTGAAACCCTGTCTCTACTAAAAATATAAAAATTAGCTGGGTGTGATGGAGGGCACCTGTAATTCCAGCTACCCAGGAGGCTGAGGCAGGAGAATCCCTTGAACCCGGGAGGTGGAGGTTGCAGTGAGCCAAGATCGCACCATTGCACTCCAGCCTGGGCAACAAGAACAAAATTCCATCTGAAAAAATAAATAAAGCAATTCTCCTGCCTCAGCTTCCCAAGTAGATGGGATTACAGGCACCCACCACCACGCCTGGCTACTTTTTGTATTTTTAGTAGAGATGGGGTTTCGCCCTATCGGCCAGGCTGGTCTCAAACTCCTGACCTCAGGTGATCCGCCTACCTCCCAAGGTGCTGGGATTAAAGGCGTGAGCCACCGCGCCTAGCATATGTTTATTTTTAATTTAGAACTCATCGTGGCTTGTCTATATACATTGAAATAATGATGTGACACACAAACTGTTGTGAAAAATGTCAGTTACTTTGAATGTAAGCATTTTTTCCAAAATCACTTATGTGTCTAAACCAATTCCTTCTATAAATCAGTAAGAAAATGATAAAACAATTCAACAGGAAAATGAACAAAGGCCAGAAAACTCAGAGAAGAAACACAAATGTTCAATAAACATATAAAGATACTAAATTAAATTCATGAGTAATCAGAAAAATTCACATTTAGATGGAATCCCTTTTATTCATCCATAACTTCAGCAAAAAGTTGGAGAATACCCAGCGGTGAAAAGGTGTTGGGAAATGAATGCTGTCATATTCTGCTGACAATAGAGTAAGTTGGCACAAAATTTTTGAAGGCAATTAAAATTTTATATCTACATAGTCTTCACCCCAAGAATTCCATTTCCAGATATCTATGCTACAGGAATACTTGCACATGTTCACAAAGAAGCATGTACAGGGATTTCATTGCAGCAATGCATGTAACAAGAAAACTAAGCATAATCTAAACATTCATCAATGGGGGAATTATTAAATAAACCATGATGCATCCATACTATGGATTATGCAGGAGTTTAAATGAATGGGGTGACCCTCTCAGTACTGGGAAGGAAAGAAATCTAAGGCATATCATGAAGTGAAAGAATCAAGTTGCAAGATGTTACCCTTTATGCGAAGAAAAAATTTTAAAACCACAAAACAAATCTATTTTGCTTTATGTAAATATGTATGTAGGTAAATGAGGAAAAGTCTGGAAGCATGTATACTAAATGCAGAGTAGCATTACTTCAGGGATGAGGGAGTAGGGCACAAGGAGAGTTTTTGTTATATCTGTTATTGCATTTTTATATATTAAAAATGGAATCATGGGCTGCGGGTGGTGGCTCATGCCTGTAATATGAACACTTTAAGAGGCCAAGGTGGGAGGATCACTTGAGCCCAGGAGTTCAAGACCAGCCTAAGCAGCATAGGAAGACCCTGTCTCTACAAAAAATACAAAATTAGGTGGGTGTGGTGGCATGCACCTGTGGTCCCAGCTACTGGGGAGGCTGAGGTGAGAGGATCACTTGGGCCTGGGAGGTGAAGGCTGCAGTGAGCTGTGATTGTGCCACTGCACTGCAGCCCAGAGGACAAAGTAAGACCCTGTCTCTGAAAAAAAAAAAAAAAAAAAAAAAAAAGAGAACAAAAAGGAATATAACCATGTACTATTTGTATGATAAAAAATAAATTTAAATTGCCTCTTATTTTAAAGAGAGCCTACCAAATTTAATTTTAAAATAACCATACAATTGCAATCAACAGTGGTTGATTTGGGGCGTGGAGGAGAAATATCTTTCCTCAGAGGTACCGACCTCAAAATTCTGGACCAAGAAGGATCTTACAATGCAGTTAGCTTTTTGTCATATTTGGAGAGAATATACTCACAGTTTCTCGGTCCAACTGTATGCTTTCCATACATTTCCATCAATGTAAGAAATATAGTTTCCTTGGAAATTTCTGTGAAGAAACACAGTTTATATCCTTGAATAGGTAGGAAAACAATGAACACGATAAGTAAAAGAATCATTGCAACCTTGTTGGGGATATTCAGAAACAGAAAATAACACCTGCTTTCTCATTTCCAGAGCTATCAGCTTCCCAGTTTGCACAATTCATCAAGAAATTATGCGGGGTCACTGGCACAAATGATGAGGCATCTCCTGGAAGCTTAACTTCTTATCCATCCCATCTCTTGGACAGATGATGCCAGTTAATTACTTTGAATGTAAGTATTTTATCTAAAAGCACTTATGTGTCTAAACAGACTTCTACAAATCAGTACCAAAATGGTAAATAATTCCACAGAAATATGGGCAAAAGCTTATCATTATCAACAAATGAGAAGAAAGAAACCCTATGCCAGGTAACACCAAAGCTTTGGCCCAGTGCCCTCTGTTGAAACATCCTAGGCTTTTTCTTTCCACTCCTATTACAACTGATCTGATTTGGCCCCTTCACACCTCACTCCTAGATTTTGCTAGACCTTTCTATTTTGTCTCCCTGAATTAAGCTTTTCCTTTTGGACACTTTACATATGGATTCTAAAACAATCCTCTGCATGTCTACACTTGCACATAATGCAAAAAACAAAATAAAATAATCTTCCTGTTTTGATCATGTAATCTCTCTTGCTTGGAAACTTTCAATGGCTTTCCATACCTCATTGTGTAACTTTCAAACTCCTGTAGCTGATAATCAAGGTTTTACAGAATCGTATCTTCATTGCTCCCTCACCTAATTCTTTGTAGCCACATTGGTCTACTAAATTCCAACCATACCTGTAGCCATGCGTTTGCCTAGACTGTACTCCCATTTTTCTCCTATTTAACAAATTATGGCTACTCTTTAAGACCCAAGTAAAGTTTTAGCTTACCCATGTAGCATCTCCACACCTCAAGGATCACAGATTCTGGCAAATTCTAGCACCAATGGTCTGCATTATCTTTTAGTACTTAATTATATATACCTCCCTTTTTATGCCTATTCTCTTTCTTCCCTCCTATCATTTTTTTTTTTTTTTTTTTTTTGAGATGGAGTCTTGCTCTGTCGCCCAGGCTGGAGTGCAGTGGTGCAATCTCGGCTCACTGCAAGCTCTGCCTCCCAGGTTCATGCCATTCTCCTGCCTCAGCCTCCCGAGTAGCTGGGACTCCAGGCACCCACCACCATGCCTGGCTAATTTTTTTCTGTATTTTTAGTAGAGATGGGGTTTCACCATGTTAGCCAGGATGGTCTTGATCTCCTGACCTCATGATCCGCCCGCCTCGGCCTCCCAAAGTGCTGGGATTACAGGCGTGAGCCACCACACCCAGCCTCTTCCCTCCTATCATTTTCGTGTTCTGGAGACAGTAGCATACTTGGCCCTGGGTTTGACATAAAACTAGTTCTACATATAGAAAGCTAGGGACAAAAATGAGTTCTGGACAAAACTAAAGGACTGAATAATCATGTGAACAGCCAACTCTCCTACATATGCTAAGCACTGATGAAGTGTTTCATATATTCACTCACCTAAATTTCACAACAATCCTATGAAATGCTAACTAGCATGATCCCCAGTTTAAAGGTGAGGAAATTGAGTCACAGGCAGAATAACTTGCTCTGGGTCACCAAGCTAATAAATAGATCTGGGTTCAAACCCAGGCAGCCTGGCTCCGGAATCAACTCTTAACCACTTAGAGCATCATCACTGAGATCGGGAGAGGGACAGGCTGCTGTAAAGAGGGTGAAGCGAAAATGGGAGGAGAGCAGCGGTTAAGCAATGATGTGATGGGGCTAAATAAAAATGGATACAAAAACGAGTAAAAGACCAGAGTAAAAGGAAAAGACTGGAGAAGGGGCCTAACATTAAAAGAGAATGAGGAGAAGGGAGAGTTGACAAGCAAAGGTGAAAGCAGAAAGTCAGTTGTCCATATGGCTTGGGGAGATAAAGAAGGCCCAGGAAGGCCTCCAGGAAAAGGCTGCCATGTCAGGCAGGACACAGAGGACAATTGAGGAAAAGTGATTCTTACAAGATGGTGAAGGTGCCATTGTGGGTGTTGGGCTCTGGCACAGGCACTTGGCGGAGCCTCTGCTCTGGGTTGAGATCAATACATGACAACATCTCATCTCCGCAGGTACAGAGCTCACATATGTTGGTGCTTGTGGAGGCCTTGTGTTCCTCTGGTGCAGTTAAAGCCTTATTTTGGGTGTAACTTTCAGACTGCACCAGTGAATCCTGAGCAGGTTCTAGTTCAGTAGGTGGACCTGTGACTTCAGTCAGGCTTCGATGCAGAGTCTGAACCCGGTCTGGACGAGGAGCTGTAGTCTTCTCCAGGGCTGTAGAATGTCCAGTCTCTGTAGTGGGTTCTGGAATGATGGCAAGTCCCAGGTCTGGAGGCTGAGTTGAGGTCTCCTCCGTGGTTGGAGACGGTTTAACCTCTGTAGTAGGTTTTGTAGTTATGGTAAGCTCCAGGTCCAGAGGTTGAACGGTGGCTTGAGTCAGGTGTGAATGCTGAGCCTGACCCTTGTCTGAAGGTGGAAGTGTCACCTCAGGGTGTCCTGGAGGAGGAGCTGTAGTCATCAGGGCTGTAGAAGGTTCAACCTCTGTCATGGATTTTGGAGTGATGGTAAACCCCAGGTCCAAAGGTTGAACTGTGGCTCGAGTCAGGTGTGAATGCTGAGTCTGAACCTGGTCTGGATGTGGAAGTGTCACCTCAGGATGCTTTGGAGAAACTATAGTCCTCTTCGGGGGTGTAGAATGTCCAACCTCCGTAGTGGGTTCTGGAGTGATGGTAAGTCCCAGGTCCAAAAGTTGAACTGTAACGCTGGGTGACACTGGATGCTGAGCTTGATCCTGACCTGGTGTTGGATTTGTTACCCCTTGATATACTCGAAGTTGGGGTACAACTTTCTTAGGAGGCTGAGTTGGGGTCTCCTTCATGGTTGGAGAAAGTTCAACCTCTGTCATGGATTCTGGAGTGATGGTAAACCCCAGATCCAAAGGTTGAACTGTGGCTTGAGTCAGGTGTGAATGCTCTGGAGGTTGAGCTACAACTACATTAGGGAACTCTGGAGTCTGAGCTGGGGCCTCCTGATGGGTTAGGGAAGACTCACCCTCCTCAGCGGTCTGTGGATGCTCAGCTGCAGCCTCCTGCTGGGTTGGAGAGGGGTTCTCATTATTAATAGGTTCCGGAGATTGAAATGAAGTCTCCTGTTGAACTGCTAAAGGTCCAGCTTCTTCTGATGACTCTGAAAGCAGAGGTGGGCCCCCGTGCTGGATGGCGGGAGGTTCTATATCATTACCTGACCCTGAGAGCCGAGTTGTAGCCTCCTGCTGGACTAGAGAAGTTCCCACCTCTGCACTAGGCTCTGCTGCTATGGTGAGCTGCACGTCTGGAGGCTTCACAGAGACACTGGGTGAATCTAAATGATGAGTTTGATGGTCACCTGGAGGTGAAACTGTGACTTCATGATGTTCTGGAGGCTGACCTGGGGTCTCCTGCTGGGTCGGAGAAGATTCGACCTCCCTAGAAGTCTCAGAAGGCTGAACTGGCTGCTGCTGCTCACTGATGGAAAGTTCATGCTCCATAGGAGGAACTGGAGGCTCAATTGGGGCCTCCTGTTGGGTTGCAGAAGGTTCCACCTCCTCTGGAAACTGAATTGGGGTCTCCTGCTGAGCTTGGGAAGATTCTGTCTCATTGGTAGCCTCTGAAGTTATGGTAACCTCCACATCTGCAGGTTTAACTGTAATGTTGGGCAAGTGATAATAAGCTTGATCCTCACCTGGAGGTTGAACTGACACCTCATGATTCGGTAGAGTTAGACTCTCCATAGAGGACTCTGGAGGCAGAGCTGGGGCCTCCTGCTGCATTGAAGAAGGTTCTTCCTCAAGGAGCTGTGGAAGCTGTGCTGGGGCTTCTTGCTGGAGTGAAGAGGACTGGATGTCTTCAAGGGTCTCTGGATTTTGAGTTTCGGGCTCTAGATGGAATTGAGAAGGTCCAACTTGCTCAGAGGGCCCTGGAGGCTCATCTGACTTCACCCGGAGTTCTGGAGGCAGGCTACCGGGATACGGTGTATCTGTACTGGAATATTCATTCTGCAAAGTCTGTTTCTGACTCTGAGGTGTGGATAATTGGCGTATAATTCCAATAATCTCAGCAAGGCTCCAACGCTGAGCTGGATCTTTCTTCAGCTTCTTGGGCGAAACAGGGAGCCTTTCCTGTGGACTCAGCTTGTCCTTTAAATCCTGCTGTGAAGCCAAGAACTGCTCTGGCTCCAGGGGCAGCTCTCCAGCTGAATCCCAGGTGTCCAGGAATGGAACCAAATTTTCAGTCGATTCCTGGGGTGGGGCTGGCATCTCTGAGGAAGCAGAGGGCCCCAGGTGATCAAAGTCCCACGGGTCTGCTGGGAGAGTAGGCGCATGGGGAGATTCCCGTGGGAAATGGGAGGAGTGGGAAGACCAGGGCTCAGGCGGCCCCAGGGGGTTAGAGGTCAGCTGGAGCGGGTCCTTGACCCACTCCAGAGGCTGAGCCTCCTTGACTAGTAGCCACAATAGTTGCCACATAAGGAGGGGCCATGGGCCCCAGAAACGCAGCGGGGACATGACACACGCTAGTGCCGGGCACTGAGCGGAAGTCATTCTGGCAGCTCCGAGACGCTCGTGCCCCTTGTAAGCATGAGTCCCGCCCTGTCTTTATGACACCTTTATTTATGCCACAGAACTGCTCCATGTCACCAGGGCACTCATGTCACAATCCCGCCCAAGCACGCCTTCCCATCCTGCCCTGCCGGAGCACCCCTCTCCTCCCCTTAGTGAGGAAGGATTTGGGCCTCAGATCCTGGTGGTCCCAGGACTCCAGCGCCTGCTGTGGTGGGGTAGGGTGGGGTAGGGTGGGATGGGGGCGCGGCAGAGCTTCCCAAGGAAGTCACCGGACCTCGCCTCAGGATATTCAGAAGTGCTAGTTCAGTTCTGGCAGCCTTCCTCCTTTAAGGTGAAATCCGAGAACACTCTTCCTTCCAGGGAGAGCAACTGACCTGCAAAATGGGCGCCAGGATGTACATTACAGTCATTTATTCCAAAGTGTTGCCATTTTCGCTAAACTGTCGCATGTTTGATAATTAATTCACCACCCTATTAGGTAGGGGCTGCCAGGGAATAAGCGAGGACTCCAAATTTTCTGTAGGAGGGGTGTTGGGAGTTGGCAATTCGGTCTGGGAGAGAAGGTTTTAATCCGAGTGAAGAGCCCTTTGCACTAGCCTGGGAGGAGGCTGAACTGTCATCCTGCCTTGACTCAACACAGCCATTCCCCTAGAAGTTACAGCACTTCTAGGGTCACCTGTGTTCAGAGATCTACCCTGTGTGCACACATGGAGAAGAGGCTTAGGTTGTTAAAGTCAGCATGTTAAATCATTTCCTGAAATGCGACTGTAACTAGAACCCAGCTGACTTCCCCCACAGCCGTTCTTACCTATTTTATTACTGTCTGGCATAATTACCAGCATGTAAACTCCAAGAAGGTGCTTCATCTTATTTTAGTGCCTGGCATAGACATAGGGTGCATAGTGATGGCTTTAAAATTGAAGGGGGGCCGGGTGTGGTGGCTCACACCCATAATCCCAGAACTTTGGGAGGCCGAGGTGGGGGGATCACTGAGGTCAGAAGTTCGAGACCAGCCTGACCAACATGGTGAAACTCCGTCTCTACTAAAAATACAAAATTAGCCAGGTGTGGTGGTGCATACCTGCAATCCCAGCTACTCAGGAGGCCAAAGCAGGAGAATCGCTTGAACCTGGGAGGCAGAGGTTGCAGTGAGCCGAGATCACAACATTGCACTTCAGCCTGGGCAACAAGAGAGAAACTCCATCTCAAAAAAATAAAATAAAATAAAATGGAAGAGATTCCAAGATTCACCTCATTTAGGGATGGAGCTATTATTATAATCAGATTTCTGAAATGAGTGCTGACTTCCTCTCACATTTCACAGGAAGCTAGACTTCTTAAAGCTTGAAGTCTCCTTGGTGGGTTTTATTTAAATTGAATTAAAATAATTATTTTACAGGGAAAAATTTCAAAACACTTTGCAACTTTGGGGTAAAAGTTAAATAAAACACTGTAGCCCCAAGTTAAGTTCCCACTGAAATGATACTTTTGCTCCTTTTTTTAAAAAAAATTCCATAAATAGTAAATAATGACTGTTTTGAGATTAATTTAGAAACAATCCCTATTTAAGAGCTTTCATATGCAGTCATGCATTGCTTGCCACGTGAGGAGCTTGAGAAATGGGTCACTAGGTTATTTCACCATTGTGCTAATATCATAGCGTATACTTACACAAACCTAGGTGGTGTAGCCACCATACCTAGGGTACACGGTATGGCTTAGGACTCCTAGGCTACAAACCTGTACTGTATGTTACTGTACTGAATACTAAAGGCAACTGTCACAGAATGGCAGGTATTTGTGTATGTAAACATGGAAAATATATAGTTAAAATACTGTGTAAAAGATAAAAATGGGGCCTGGGCACAGTGGCTCATGCCTGTAATCCCAGCACTTTGGGACGCCAAGGTGGGTGGATCACTTGAGCTCAGGAGTTCAAGACCAGCCTGGCCAACATGATGAAACCCCATCTCTACTAAAAATACAAAAATTAGCTGAGTGTGGTGACGCGTGTCTATAATCCCAGCTACTCAGGAGGCTGAGGTAGGAGAATCACTTGAACCTGGGAGGTGGAGGTTGCAATGAGCTGGGATCATACCACTGCACTCCAGCCTGGACAACAGAGTGAGACTCCATCTCAAAAAAAAAAAAAAAAAAAAAGATAAAAATGGTATACCTATATAGGGATAGCTCCATTATACGCTTACGGAACCACCATCATATATGTGGTCTACTGTTGACGCAAACTTCATTTTGCAGCACATGATTGTAAATGATTGACAGAAAGATCTTCAGCAAAATATTCCACCCAAGATACGTGGGAGATATTGAGATCCAAGCAATAAGCCATATTTGAAAGGCATTATAGTTTTCAAAAGCTGTAGCGCAATCATTCTTAAGGCCAGTTACCTTCTCCCCACATCTCTGGGATCCTGTTTGAAGGGAGTTCTAACAAGGCCTGTGTTCGAGCAGCCCAGCATCCCTTACTCCTGGAGCGGGGGGAGACTAACCCCTCTCCTGTGTCCACAACTGTAGTAACACAATCCTCGGTTCTGCTCTCCAAACTTCAAATAAGGGGTCAGAGCCAAGGGTCAAGACTTTAGGAAAAGCCCCGGAAATACCCTGCACTCAAAAAGCAGTTTCAGAGTTTCACATTTTCCTGAGAATTAAACAAATTATCCTCCAAATTCTGCTGCTTGTTTTGAATTATGGTTATACTGGCAATGTTATCCAACCCTTGAGTTGTTTTTCTTTTCTTTTTTTTTTTTCCTCGAGAGAGTGTCTTGCTCTGTCACCCAGGCTGGAATGCAGTGGCATGATCTCGGCTCACTGCAACCTCCGCCTCCTGGGTTCAAGTGGTTTTCATGCCTCAGTTTCCCAAGTAGCTGGGATTACAGGTGCCCACCACCACACCCAGCCAATTTTTGTATTTTTAGTAGAGACAGGGTTTCACCATATTGGCCAGGCTGGTCTTGAACTCCTGACCTCATGATCCACCCACCTCGGCCTCCCAAAGTGCTGGGATTACAGGTGTGAGCCACAGCGCCTGGCCTGTTTGTTTTTTGAGATAGAGTTTCACTCTTGTTGCCCAGGCTGGAGTGCAATGGTGTGATCTTGGCTTACCGGAACCTCCGCTTCCCGGGTCCAAGCGATTCTCCTGCCTCAGCCTCCCGAGTAGCTGGGATTACAGGCATGTGCCACCATTTCTCCATGTTGGTCAGTCTGATCTTGAACTCCTGACCTCAGGTGATCCACCCGCCTCAGCCTCCCAAAGCACTGGCATTACAGGTGTGAGCCACTGTGCCCGGCCCTGTTACCTTTGAGTTTTTATCTCCACATACTTATATTAAACCGTGTAGTTCTTCTTCCCATCTGACATCTACAATCTCTTCACTGGGTCTGTACTCCATAGCTATTTTACCACTTTCTGAAATAAAGTTAGCAAGGATGAATTCAGAATCTTTTTCATTCCAAAACTTCCTGCATATAATGGTAGCAACCCACAATGAGACATTCTTTTAGTTTCTAAAAGCAGGAAATAAGCATTTTCCTGAAAGTTTCCTCATCTCTTCATCATACACTTCGATTTTTGTTTTTCTTTTTTCTTTTAGACAGGGTCTCACTCTGTCACCCAGGCTGGAGTACAGTGGCACTATCATAGCTCACTGTAGCCTGGAATTCCTGGGCTCAAGTCATCCTCCTGCTTCAGCCTCCAGAGTAGCAGGCACTATATCACTGTGCCCATCTAATTCTCTTTTTTAGAGACATGGTCCCGCTTTGTTTTCCAGGCTGGTCTCGAACTCCTGGCTTGAAGTGATCCTTCTGTCTTGGCCTCCCGAAATGCTGAGATTTCAAGCGTGAGTCATCATGTCTGGTCTCACAGCTCAGTTTTTAACATATGTATGAAATATCAACTGTGTTTGGTTCAAAGGACTTTATGATCTTACAGATAGGAACTAAGGAATAATAACATAAGAAATAAAAAATGTGGAAATAAAAACGTTCAATCATAATATGATTAAAAGGTAAGGCACCAGGTGGGGGGTCGAAGTAAGTTCAAATCCAAAATAGAGACCACTGGGCTAGTAGACACTTCACATTAGAAGCATGGCTAGGTGTCTACTCCCTGAGAACCAAAATTCCACCAGATACAATGAACAAAGCTTTAGAGAGAGAAAACATTTGAACATTTTACGGGCAGAAAATGGCCCACATACTCTATAGACAATACAATTTCCTTCAAGGCAAACTAGAACTATAAGGCTTTTGGTCTAAGAAGTGAGTGTGTGCAAGGGATACCTTTGCATACTAGGGAGGGGTAGACAACCCACACATTTAGCTTGGTTATTAAATGTCATTACTCAGACTTGACAGTTGATGACCAAGGAAGTAAGACTTTCACTAGAAGGGCTGCCCAGGTTGGAAAGCTGAGAGCAATCATGGCCACCTCTTACAAGCAAATAAAGGTCTGTAGTAACTTAATTACAATCTCAGTCTCTAAGCCTTCAGGGTTGTGAAGCAGAAAGGCAACTCTGTTCAGGGACTCGTTAAACACCAGGTTTCCTTTGGGCACAGGCTATGACATTTGTGCCACTGTAGAACTGAATAGGAAATACAAGCAGTGCCATTCAACAGCATGACCACTTCCAAGGCTCACAGCAAAGCAGCTGATTATTGTATAAGAATCATATTTGGCCAATATGTCAGTGCCAGAAATGAGAGCTGGAACTGAATTCTCGATTCGAGAAACATAATCTAATAAATTCTTCAGCAGAGTTTATTTATTCAGAGAGAAAACAATCACAACAATAGCATATTTTGTCTGCTTACCTTGTAAGTATAGTTCTGAGTTTTTACACTTGTCATCTCATTTTTTCTTACAATATCCGCAATAAGGTTGATTGGATTACTAACCCCAGTTTGCAGATAAAGATTGCAGCTTAGAGATATTAAATATCTTCAAATCTCTCTGGCCATAAGACCTAAAACTGCATACAAAAATCTAAGAGACAGAGTTAGGACTCAAATCCATGTGTCCAGGGCTTATAATCACTATTCTGTACGATAGGCATGCAATTAAAGAAGACCTGCCTCAAACATTTTCTGTGTGACCTGAGGCAAGTCCTTTTATAGCTATAAACTAGGGACAATATTTGCTGTCATTTTTTCTACAAATGTCACAAAGAACAAATTTGAGCCTGTCGCTGTGAAAGAACTTAGCAAATGAAAGCATCCTAGGGAGTGTTTTAGATATCGATATTTTTATCCAATTAACTTTTCAAAATGAGTTTATTTGCTCACTGAAACTGAAGTACTTCAACGACGATTAAGAAAGTTTTACCTAGAACCACAATCAACAGTTTCTGGAATGCATCTGACAAAGCCTTCTCAATAGCAATCTGGGCTATCTTCCCTTTCATAGGAATGACAACGGTCTTAAATCCAACCCAAACTAATGGATTTAAGATGCCTATCTGAGTGATCATTGCTACATGTTGGTTAAAAAATAAAAATGCATCCACGAATCTTAGCTCATAATCTTCGTGATTAAAGGCAGACAGCACAAGGGTATGGTTGAACGTCTCTGTTATAGGTACATCCTGGCAGGGCCCATTTTTACTGCCTCCATCTAGTTGGGAAGTTCCTAAAGTACTAGAGGGAGACACAAGCCAAGAACCTGGCACATATCTCACATCACCCAGAGATTTAATTCATCAGTTAAGGCTACACTCCTATGGACCCCACCCTCCTATGCATCAAGGGCTGGAATCACTCACTGAAAAAAAGCTTTGTTGGCTGGACACGGTGGCCCATGCCTGTAATCCCAGCACTTTAGGATGCCAAGGCGGGTTGAGGCCAGGAGTTCAAGAACAGCCTAGCCAACGTGGTGAAACCCCATCTCTCCTAAAAATACAAAAATTAGCCGAGTGTGGTGGCACACACCTGTAATCCCAGCTACCTGGGAGTCTGAGGCACAAGAATAGCTTGAACCGGGAGGCGGAGGTTGCAGTGAGCCGAGATCATTCCACTGCACTCCAGCCTGGGTGACAGAGTAAGACTATTTTCAAAAAGAGGCCAGGCACAGTGGCTCATATCTGTAATCCCAGTACTTTGAGAGGCCAAGATGGGCAGATCACTTGAGGTCAGGAGTTTGAGACCAGCCTGAGCAACATGATGAAACCCTGTCTCTACTAAAAAATTTTTTAAAAATTAAAAATTGGCTGAGTGTGGTGGTGGGCAGGAGGGAGGTGAACTGCTTGAACCTGGGAGGTGGAGGTTGCAGTGAGCCGAGATCACACCGGTGCACTCCAGCCTGGGCGACAGAGCAAGACTCTGTCTCAAAAAAACAAAAAAGGTTTGGTACAGATAATCTGGCTCCTCCCTGGGCATCATCCATGAAAGCCTACTCCCCTCCATTAGCCTACAGCCCTGCCTCTGACTTCAAACCCTAAGCCTGAGGGCCATGAGTACTAGAAAAAAATCTCAACGTCAGTTATCAATTGAGTACCCTTTCTAGTATCTCTAGTAGACTCTTGTTCCACTGAAGCCCTTCTACGAGTAAAAAAAAGGCTGAATGGGCCGGGCGCGGTTGCTCATGCCTGTAATCCTAGCACTTTCAGAGGCCAAGGCAGATGGATCACGAGGTCAGGAGTTTGAGACCGGCCTGACCAACACAGTGAAACCCCATCTCTACTAAAAATACAAAGATTAGCCAGGCATGGTGGTGCATGCCTGTAATCCCAGCTACCCAGGAGTGTCAGGCAGGAGAATCACTTGAACCTGGGAGGTGGAGGTTGCAGTGAGCCGAGATCACACCACTGCACTCCAGCCTGCGCGACAGGGCAAGACTCTGCTTCAAAAAAAAAAAAAAGACAATGTTTACACAAAACTTTCTGTAAATCTTTACATGATGACTTGGCATGGTGGGTGGCTCATGCCTATAACTCCAGCACCTTGGGATCCTGGGGCAAGAGGATCACTTGAGGCCAGGAGTTTGAGACCAGGCAGGACAACACAGCAAGACCCCATCTCCAGAAAAAATAATTAGCCACATGTGGTGGCGCACGCCTGTAGTCCTGGCTAGTCAGGAGGCTAAGGTGGGAGGATCCCTTGAGCCCAGCAGTTTGAGGTTGCAATGAGCTATGAGCATGCTACTGCACTCTAGCCTGGGCAACAGAGCAAGACCCTGTCTCTAAAAAATAATAATAAATAGATAAACAAATCTTTAGATAATTTTGTTGGGATAACTGAAGGCTATAAGAGATACATATTTGAAGGACTATTTTAGACGAGATTGGGCGCGTTCAGGGTGGTATGGCTGTAGACTTGAAGGACTATTTTAATACAAAGCAAGTTCTTAACCGAAAACTGGAAAAACATTACTTCCTTCTTCCTCCTACGCTTCTTGGCAGGAAGTACACTGTACAATTTTAAATTTAAAGGTTCTGGCCGGGTGGGGTGGCTCACACTTGTAATCCCAGCACTTTGGGAGGCCAAGGCAGGCAGATCACGAGGTCAGGAGATCGAGACCATCCTGGCCAACATGGTGAAACCCCATCTCTACTAAAAATACAAAAATTAGCTGGGTGTGGTGGTGGGCGCCTGTAATCCCAGCTACTCAGGAGGCTGAGGCAGGAGAATGCCTTGAACCCGGGAGGCGGAGGTTGCAGTGAGCCGAGATCACGCCACTGCACTCCAGCCTGGTGACAGAGCAAGACTCTCTCTCAAAATTAGTTAATTAATAAATCAATGTATTAAATAAATTTATTAATTAATAAATCAATGTATTAAATAAATTTATTAATTAATAAATCAATGTATTAAATCAATTTATTAAAGCAATTTATTTACTTATTTAAAGGCTCTGTCAGGTATTGCCTAAGGTAAAAGTCTGTATTGTAAGACAGAAAACCTCTGCCCAGGACTTCAGTAGCTCAGAGAGGGAAAGGCTTGATATGTGTCTGAAAAGACAAGTTTTAGACAGCAAGAAAAAAGAGATCCTTCCCATTTCAACTCCTTACCCTCCTCTACCCCCAATGAAAACAGACCTTCCTTCGCCTTATCCACAGGCTCCTCCACCAAGCCAAGGCCAGACTCCTGCAATCATAGGATGGCAACACCACCTCTAAAGCACAGAACTTCAGGCTTTGCTTCGGAAGTGGCACCATGGTCTCTTCATTTTCCCTTTCTTCAAGGTCAGAAAACTGAAGCTGTTAGGAGTTTTAGTGTTAAGTTCCTTCCGAGGATGTTAATTAGGCTTCAAACTGTTTTGTTCTGAGAAATAAAAACTAAACTCCAGTCATTCAAGCTAACAGTTGAGGTGTTCTATGGCTTCAAAATCAAGTAAGATTTGTAAATGAATTGCTAGGTGCAACCATTACTTATTATATGCCACACAAACAGTGGAGAAAATTATGGACACCACCATCCAAGTGATTGAGATTATTAATTTTAGGTAGCAGGCCAATTCAGACATGTCCACTTATCCTCAATGGCAGGGGGCCTCTCACATCCCCTCCCTGTAACCCAGTTCAATACTTCTGTCTAAAGTCTAGAATTTCAATGTTGAAAGGAGAGCGTGGTTAGTGAGAGAAAATCCACAAAGTTTATCCTGATGATCCTTTCTGACCATCCATTGAAACCAAAGTAGTAATTCACCAGTTCTTGGCATCAGGAGCTGTTTCAGGCAAGGGCCTGATGTGCAACTGCCTTATGTCTGCTGCCAAGAGGAACCTAAAGTCACAAGAGACAGACCCACAAATATCACAGCCTGCCAGAGATTTTATTTTGGATACACCTGAGATTTATCAATACCAACTGTGCAAAGAAAAGAAATTGTTTCAGTCTTCCCATTCAGTAGCTCCTTCTTGAGAACATGACCTGAAGAATAGATGATGAACCCACCCATCCCCCACCCCAAGTTACCCCTGCTTAAAGAGGAAATACACATACCTCTATACATTTTACAAGCAACTAAAACAACTAGAGGTTCATCTGCATTTATAAGCTTCTTTGACAATGCAAATATCTACTGAGTGTTAATTCTTGAAATATTTTACACATTTCTGTGAATTTCTTACATCACCAGTTCTTTCTTATGTCTATTTCATTTTGTAAGTGTAGAATATGATTATATTCATGAAACTCAAATGATACAAATAGTCAAATTTATTGTATTAGAAATTAATAAGAATAGTAAAGTTAATTCTTTGTTGATTTGTTTATGCACCTTCCTCTGTCACTGGTTTATAAGCTCCATAAGTGCCAGAGGAAAACATATCTTATTCTTTTTTCATTCCCAGAACAAAGCACAGTTCTTGGCATACAATACAGGATAGATGGTCTGTTGATTGAGTGAATGAATAAAACAATGAGCAAGTAAAAAATGAAATTACTTTTTCCCACTGAAGAGAAAGAGAAACGCTTGTTGGGAAGGAGAAATGAAGACTTTTTTTTTTTTTTTTTTGAGACGGAGTCTCCCTCTGTCGCCCAGGCTGGAGTGCAGTGGCACGATCTCGGCTCACTGCAAGCTCCGCCTCCCGGGTTCACGCCATTCTCCTGCCTCAGCCTCCAGAGTAGCTGGGACTACAGGCGCCCCCCACCACTGCCGGCTAATTTTCTGTATTTTTAGTAGAGATGGGGTTTCACCGTGTTAGCCAGGATGATCTCCATCTCCTGACATCGGGATCCACCCACCTCAGCCTCCCAAAGTGCTGGGATTACAGGCGTGAGCCACCACGCCTGGCAATGAAGACTAATTTTTAAACGTTGAGTGCTACCACGGAGACCAGCCTGTAACATGAGTCACAGTGGAGACTTTCGGAACATCTAGGAAACTTCAGAAGGGCTCTGAGCCCCTGGGTGGTACAGACAGTTGTCACCTTGGATAACATTGCCACAGTTCTTGCTGGTGACCATTTCCCTTCATTTCACTGAAACAAAAACAAAAACAAAAAACCCTCACAGGTGCCTTAGGCCTTTCCTTGATTTTAAAACATTATTCTCTTTTCTGTATTTATAAAAAAGCAAAAAAGACAGCAACTAGGTGTATGTGCTAAAGTAGAAAAGAACACTTAAGGCCAGGAGCAGTGGCTCATGCCTGTAATCCCAGCACTTTGGGAGGCTGAGGTGGGCAGACTGCCTGAGGTCAGGAGTTCGAGACCAGCCTGACCAATATGGTGAAACCCTGTCTCTACTAAAAATACAAAAACTAGCAGGGCGTGGTGGTGGGTACCTATAATCCCAGCTACTTGGGAGGCTGAGACAGGAGAATCTGGGAGGCAGAGATTGCAGTGAGCAGAGACCGGGCCATTGCACTCTAGCCTGGGGAACAAGAGTGAAACTCCACCTCGAAAAAACAAAAAATAAAAGGACCCTTAAACTAGATAACAGTGGGGGTCAAGTAGTAACCCAAGGCTCTGAGTTCAGTAAGTAAATAAATCTAATATGAATGCCCTCTCCTCTCACTCATCTATTAACTTGTAGAACATTTCCTTCATTACTGCATCAGCGATGAGCTTTATGCTGTGAAATTCTCAAAATCTAAAGCTTATGAAGTGGTCTCAAGGTCCAAAGCGCACTAAAAACTCATTACTTACAAAATGATGCCAAGTAACTGTTTCATCATCTTTACCATACCTTTACCATATTTGAGTGGCTATGTGAAATGGTCACAGGTTAGAAACACATCATCGTCCAAAAGTTAAATAATATTTCACAGGTAATCATTTCAGTCACAGGAAGTGGAACCAGGATTGAAGAGGGTGTTGAATAAGCTACAAAAGTGGGTATAGTATACCTGGAGTCATTACTAAGCAGAGTTCTCAGATTTGATCAAGGTTAATTCAATGAGAAATGGAATATAGACAATAGGCAACAAGATTAGCAGGAAGCAGTCAGATCAAGTAGCCAATCAGGAATTGAAATCGGTCCTTGAAAATGGAAAGGTGATTGAATTGAGGCATACAATGAGATATCATTCTGTGGCTCTGGGAAAGTAAAATTGGTTGGCATGTTAACATGGAATAGGATTTCTACAAGGCCGCTTAAAGAATGTTTCCATCCTCTGAGAACTGAAGGGAGTTCCAAATAGGCAGTTTGTGACTGATGATGAGCATGTTGATGATAAAGTCTCCTTTATATAACAGCCGGCAGACGACTTGGTCACGCCCACACATTTTAAATTCACATAAAGGTAAATATATGGTCAGGCGTGGTGGCCCACACCTGTAGTCTCAGCACTTTGGGAGGCGAAGGCGGGTGGATCATTTGAGGTCAGGAGTTCAAGACCAGTCTGGCCAACATGGTGAAACTCTATCTCTACTAAAATACAAAAATTAGCCAGGCATGGTGGTGCATGCCTGTGGTCCCAGCTACTCAGGAGGCTGAGGCAGGAGAATCGCGTGAACCCGGGAGGCGGAGGTCGCAGTGAGCCAAGATCGCACCACTGCCCTCCAGCCTAGGCAACAGAGACTCCGTCTCAAAAACAAGTCAATATAGCTGGGCATGGTGGCTTGTACCTAGCTACTTAAGAGGCTGAGGCAGGAGGATTGCTTGAGGTCAGGATTTACAGACCAGCCTGGGCAACACAGGGATATTCTGTCTCTAAAAAAATTTTAAAAAGTACCACCACCATGCCCAGCTAATTTTTTTTGTATTTTTAGTAGAGACGGGGTCTCACCATGTTAGCCAGGCTGGTCTCAAACTCCTCACCTCAGGTGATCCACCCGCTTCAGCCTCCCAAAGTGCTGGGATTACAGGCATGAGCCACAGTGCCCGGCCCAGAACTTGCATTTCTAACAATTCCCAGGTTGTGCTGTTTGGGGAACCATACTTTGAGAAACACTTCCCTATAATCTGATAGGTTATTTCCCCTAAGATCCAGATGAGTAAAAATTAATACACATTAGATGAAATTCCAGAAGTTATCTTCAAACTTTGCTACTCATTGAATGTCATGAAGATATTGGAAAAAAAAGAAAAAAACAAAAAACAACCTTGCTACTCAACAAGGGATTTGCTATTATCACATTTCAGAGAAATTCAGAACCTCAGGCCTAAACCCAGGCCTACTAAATCAGGATCTGCAGTTTCTCACAATCTTCAGGTGATTTCTATGGTCATTAAAGTTTGAAAAGCTGCCTCGAAACAGTCCTTCCTAAAACTGAAGTGGAGGTGCCACAAAAATCATCTGGTAAATTGTTTAAAGTAATCCCAAATGCAACTCAAATCTACAGAATCCCAGGTGAAGCTCAGTAATCTGTATTTTTATCCTTCTCCCCAAATAATTCTGATGTGCAGGCAAGTTTGAAAACCACTGCTTTAAAGAAAATGGATACTCCCCTTACCAAGCAGAAAGTAGGATTTTGGAAACTGATGCAAGGGAAGCAAAAAAGATGCCTCAGGAGGCACGATTACAACAGGATTGATGCAAACGGAAGCTGAAGCTTAACCAAAGACATTAATATACGCCCACAAAAGAAAATGCTAAGGAAGTCAAGTGGTCTGCATGAATTCTGAAGAAAAATGGAGAACCAAAGAACAAAATTTGTCAATGAACTTCCAGCACAGTCTAGGTTAAGGGAGTGAATTTCTTGACTGAATGGCACAGACTCTGTACCACCTGATTGGCTGTTACCTTAATGGAGGAATTATATTACAATGTATAGGTACTTTAATTAGAATGACCTGGCAGTTACTGAGGCAAAATTTTCCGCTCCTTTGTATTCTGTAATACAAGAAGGATCTACATGGATGTTCTGTTCTCTGAACTGTCTGGATGAACCGGTCAACGGCACTCATCATACCTTAGTTTTTAAATCTGCATTGTGGTCATAATCTGTTATTTAATTAATTTCTCGTATTTTTAATAAAAACTTTGCCTATATATTTTAGACAGAAATTGCCTTACTTTGCTGAAATGCTGAGAAATCCTAGACAGTTTTCAAGGCTGGGCTCAAATGTCACCTCTACTACCCTTTGCTGTGCCTCCTGGCACTGTGCTTCTGACACTTTGTACGGTCCTCCATGACAGCGTGAGCACAATTAAATTACAGGCAATTACTCATGCCCCCCTGGCTCATCTGTTGACTCCTTTAGAGCACAGATCATGTTTTATTTATTGTAGCAACTAAAACAATTATTTGTTCAACCAATGACACCCATAAACAAAACTACCTGCTGAGGGCAGAGATGCAGGGGTAAAGTCATGCCAAGATTGAACCCCAGAAACCACTGTAGATTTTTCAGAGTTGACTCCTGCGTTTTCAGACTTCTAGACTTCAAAAAACAACTTCTATAAAATGTATGTTTCTAGAAGGAAGAAGAGTAACATTGTCCCCCCCCCCCTTTTTTTTTTTTTTTTTTTTTTGAGCTGGAGTCTTGCTCTGTCGACCAGGCTGGAGTGCAGTGGTGCAATCTTGGCTCCCTGCAACCTCCACCTCCCAGGTTCAAGCCACTCGCCTGCCTCACTTCAAGTAGCTGGGATTACAGGAGCCCACCACCACACCCGGCTAATTTTTATATTTTTAGTAGAGACGGGGTCTCACCATGTTGGCCAGGCTGGTCTCAAATACCTGACCTCAAGTGATCCACCTGCCTAGGCCTCCCAAAGTGCTGGGATTACAGGCGTGAGCCACCATGCCTGGCCTATAGAGTGCTTTCTATTTGCCAGACATTGTGCTAAGCACTTTAAAATGCATTCTTTCATTTTATCCTCAGATCAGCTCCATAAAATAGCTACCATTATTACCTCTACATGTATATACATATATATGTATATATATGTAGATATATATACGTATATCTACATACATTGAAAGTCTCAGCAGTGTTTTAACTTTTGCTTTCAACCACTATACATATTTTAAAGAGCTTAAGAGGAGAAACAACCGTTTGCATTTTTAAATTTTCCCAGATACCATTTCTGCTGCTCTTTATCTCTGAAGTTCTAGTATTACCACTGGTATAATTTTCCTTTGGCCTAAAGACCTTCTTTTACTTTTATTTTAGAGCAGAACTTCCGCCAACACATTCTCTTAGATTTTCTTCATCCAAAATGTCTTTCTTCTTTTTCTTTTTGCCTTAATTGTTGAAGGGTATTTTTGCTGGATATAGAATTCTGGATTGACATTTCTCTCAGTACTTTAACGATGTTCTGTAGTTACTTGAATCGCTGAAAGGCTTAAAGTTGGGGACCAGCTCTATCACCTATACATTTTATAGAAAGGTTCATTACTTTCATATCTTCATTGTGGACCATAGCCTTTATCATCACAAAATTTGGTCTCATTTATGAGTTTTTAAATTTTGCTTTGAACCTAAACTTTTATAACTCCTTTCTATTTCCTACAATGTGGAGTTTATGGCGGACAGCACAGGCAGTTGGAAATATATATCTGGAGTTTAGAAAAGAGGTCTAGGTAGGAAAATGGATCTAGAAGTCATTGATATTTTGGCCGGGCGCGGTGGCTCATGCCTGTAATCCCAGCACTTTGGGAGGTTGAGGCAGGCTGATCACAAGGTCAAGAGATTGAAACCATCCTGGCCAACATGGTGAAACCCCGTCTCTACTAAAAATACAAAAATTAGCTGGGTGTGTTGGCACACACCTGTATTCCCAGCTACTCGGGAGGCTGAGGGAGGAGAATCACTTGGACTCAGGAGGCAGAGGTTGCACTGAGCCAAGATCGTGCCACTGCACTCCAGCCTGGTGACAGAGTGAGACTCTGTCTCAAAAAAGTCATTGATATTTTGGTGGTAATTGAGTCAACTGATAATTAGGGGAAAGTTGGGGAAACTAAATGCTGAGGACTATCACATGTAAGAGGGATGTTTGAAGGAGGAATAACTGGTCAAGGAAATCAGGTCATAAGTGGCAACAGGAAATTTAAGAAGGATGTAGTAGCCAAAGGTATCATACATGCATTGTATAGTATGTAGATATATATCTTTCAATGTATGTAGATATACATCTACATACATACACAATGTATGCATGTAGATATAATATACACTGAAAGTATAGATACATATCTACATACATTGAAAGTGTATATAGATATATACACACATACACACACACATATATACAATTATAAGGGGGGGCTAGAATAAAGAAACCTATATGTTTGCAATACTTTTACATTTTATTTAGAGGTAAAATGCTAACTCTAAGTAGGTAGGTTAGGTATATATTTTGTAATTCCTACAGCAAAAACATAGCACAGATATAACCAAAAGCCAATTAATAAAACATAACACTAAAAAATATTCAGTTAATCCAAAAATAGGCAGAAAAAAGAAACAGAAGAAACCCCCCAAAAAAGAAATAACCAGAAAACAAATAATAAAAAGGAAACCTAAATCCAATCATCATCAATCATATTAAATGTAAATGGTCCAAAACACATTAATTAAAAGACGCTGTCAGATTACATTTAAAAGAAAAACGAAAAAACAAGAAACCATTTGAAAATATAATGATATGGCCAAGTATCACGCCTATAATCCCAGCGTTTTGGGAGGTTGAGGTGGGCAGGTGGCTTGAGCCCAGGAATTCAAGACCAGCCTGGGCAACATGGCAAAACCCCATCTCTATTTTTACAAATTAAAAAATAAATGAATATCATGATATCTAGATTAAAAGCAAAAGGGTAGAGAAAGATATGTCATTTTAACACTAGTCAAAAACAGTATTATACTACTAATATAAAACACTAATTTTATATTAATATTAAGTAATTTTTTTTTTTTTCCCCGAGATGGAGTCTTGCTCTGTTACCCAGGCTAGAGTGCAATGGCATGATCTTGGCTTACTGCAGCCTCTGCCTCCCGGCTTCAAGCAATTCTCTGGCCTCAGCCTCCCAAGTACTTGGGATTACAGGCAGCTGCCACCGTGCCTGGCTAATTTTTGTATTTTTAGTAGAGACGGGGTTTCACCATCTTAGCCAGGCTGGTCTCGAACTCCCGACCTCAGGTGATTCACCTGCCTCGGCCTTCCAAAGTGCTGGGTTTACAGGCATGAGCCACGGCACCTGGCCTGTTTTGGTTTTTTTTTTTTTTTTTTCTTTTGAGATGGAGTCTTGCTCTGCTTCCCAGGCTGGGGTGCAGTGGCGTGATCTCGGCTCACTGCAATATCCAACTCCCGGATTCAAGTGATTATCTTCCCTTAACCTTCTGAGTAGCTGGGACTACAGACGTGTGCCACCACACTAGGCTATTTTTCTCTTTTTAGTAGAGATGGGGTTTCGCCATGTTGTCCAGTCTGGACTCGAACTCCTGACCTCAGGTGATCCACCCGCCTCGGCCTCCCAAAGTGCTGGGATTACAGGCATGAGCCACCATGTCTGGCCAAATAATGGTTTTTAATATAATGATTATTACCAGAAATAAAGGTTATTTCAGAATGATAAAGGGGTCAAATAATCAAGAGGACAAAACTGTAAATGTTTCTGCATCTAATAACAGTGCCTCAAAATACAGGAAGCATAAACAGACAGAATTTTAAGGAGAAAGAGAACAAACCCATAACAATCATTGCAGACTTCAACACTCCTTTCTCAGTAATCACTAGAACAAGCAGACAGGAAATCAGCAAGGATAGGGAAGACCTTAACACGATCAACCAACTTGACCTAATTATTATTTATGAAACACTTTACCTAAAGGCAGCAGAACACATCTTTCCTATTACAAACTGAACATTGACCTAAACAAACAATGTTTCAGGCCATATACAAACCTCTACATTTTTTTTTAATTCATCATAACGAGTATGTTCCCTAACCATAATGGAATTAAATTAGAAACCAACAACAAAGATGTCTGGGAAATCCCTAAATGTTTGAAAATTAAACAATACGTTTTAAAACAAATCATGGGTCAAAGAGTAAGTCATAGTAGAAATTTTACAATATTGTGAACCAAATGAAAATGAAAATAAAACATGTATCACAAATTCTAAGATATGTTTTTAAAAGTGCACAAAGGGGCTGGGCGCAGTGGCTCATGCCTGTAGTCCCATCACTTTGGGAGGCCAAGGCAGACGAATCACCTGAGGTCAGGAGTTCGAGACCAGCCTGGCCAACATGGTGAAACCTCATCTCTACTAAAAATACAAAAATTAGCTGGGCGTGGTGGTGGGTGCCTGTAATCCCAGCTACTTGGGAGGCTGAGGCACGAGAATAATTTCAACCTGGGAGGTGGAGGCTTCAGTGAGCCAAGATCGCACCACTGCACTCCAGCCTGGGCAACAGAGCAAGATTTTGTCTCTAAAAACAAAAACAAAAACAAAAAAACGCATAAAGGAGCACAGTGGTTTAGCCTGGAATCCCAGCACTTTGGGAGGCCAAGGCAGGAGGATTGCTTGAGCAAAAAAATTCAAGACCAGCCTGGGCAGTATAGTGAGAACTCATCTCTATTTAAAAAGAAAGAAAGAAAAATCAAAGAAAATGAGGTATACATGCACAAGAGGATATTATTCAGCCATTTAAAAAGTGAAGTCATCTATAAAGCTTAAGGTTTGGAAAATAAAATCTGTTTGCAGCAACATGGATAGAACTGGAGGACATTATGTTAAGTGAAATAGGCCAAGGGCAGAAAGACAAGTATCACATATTCTCATTCATATATGAGAGATTAAGAAGTTGATTTCATGGAGATAGGCAGTAGAATGATGGTTACCGGGGGCTGGGAAGCAGGTAGGGATGAAGACAAGTTGATTCATGGGCATAAAAACTCAGCAAGATAGAAGGAATACGTTTCAGTTTTTATTTGCACAGTAGGGTGACTAGAGTCAACAATAACTTAGTGTATATTTTAAAATAGCTAGAACATTTGTTATCTTCCCAATACAAAAAAAAGGATAAACATCTGAGATGATGGATACCCTAATTAACCTGATTTGATCATTACACACTGTATCAATCTATCAAAATATTACATGTACCCTTATAAATATGTACACTTTACCCTAAGGAAACAGTGAAAAAAGAAGGTGTGGAACAACGACCACAACAAAATCAAAGAGGAAAATCTTTGTGAACTTGGGTTTGTCAGGCCAGGAATCAGCAAACCATGGCCAATCCACTACCTGTTTTTCTAATAATCGAAACAATATAATTGATAATTTGTAAATTATGTGAAATTCAAACTGCAGTGTTCATAAAGTTTTATTGGAACAGCTATTATCATTCATTTACATATTGTCTATGACTGCTTTCATTGCTACAATGGCAGAGCTGCAACAGGGACAGCAAGGCTGAAATATTTACTATCTGACCTTTTACAGAAAAAGTCTGGCAAGGTCTGGGTTAGGTAGAGCTGTTAGATGAACACCAAATGTGTAAAAGAAAAAATGTGGTAAATCAGACTTCATCAAAATTTAAAACTTATGCTCTGGGAAAAAGACACCGCTAAGACAATGAAACACAAGGCACAGATGGGGAAAATGTATGAACATCACACAGCCTAACAAAGCACTTATATCCAAAATATACAAAGAACTCTTACTACCCAACAGTAAGAAATTGGCCAGGCATGGTGGCTCATGCCTGTAATCCCAGCACTTTGGGAGGCCAAGGTAGGCAGATTGCTTGAGCTCAGGAGTTCAAGACCAGCCTGGGCAACATAGCGAAACCCCATCTCTATTAAAAATACAAAAATTAGCCACACATGGTGGCATGCATCTGTGGTCCTAACTACTTCGGAGGCTGAGGTGGTGGGAGGATCACCTTGAACCTGGAGTCGAGGGGAATGACAGGCTGCAGTGAGCCAAGATCATGCCACTGCACTCCAGCGTGGGTGAAAGAACGAGACTCTGTCTAAAAAAATAAAAGAGGCCTGGTGTGGTGGCTCACGCCTGTAATCCCAGCACTTTGGGAGGCCGAGGCAGGAGGATCACAAGGTCAGGAGATCAAGACCATCCTGGCTAACATGGTGAAACCCCGTCTCTACTAAAAATACAAAAAATTAGCTGGGCGTGGGGGCGGGTGCCTGTAGTCCCAGCTACTTGGGAGGCTGAGGCAGGAGAATGGTGTGAACCCGGGAGGGGGAGCTTGCAGTGAGTCAAGATCGCGCCACTGCACTCCAGCCTGGCGACACAGCGAGACTCCGTCTCAAATAAATAAATAAATAAAATAAAATAAAAGAAGAATAACAATAAAGAAAGCAACCCAATTAAACATCTTAAATAAAGATTTTGGTATCTTGGCCAGGCATGGTGGCTCATGCCTGTAATCTCAGCACTTTGGGAGGCCGAGGCAGGCAGATCGCTTGAGCCCAGGATTCGAAATCAGTCTGGGCAACATATCAAAACCCCATCTCTATTAAAAAAAAAAAAAAAAAACTAGCCAGGTGTGGTGGTGCGCACTTGCAATCCCAGTTACTTGGGAGGCCGAGAGGTGGGAGGATGGCTTGAACCCAGAAGGTGGCGGCTGCAGTGAGTGGTGACTGTGCCACTGCTCTCCAGCCTGGGCAACAGAGCAAGACTCTGTCTCAAAAAAAAAAAAAAAGATTTTAGTATTTTTCCATAAACAATGATATACAGATGGCAAATCAAAAGATGCACATAAAAAGAGGCTCAGAACCATTAGTCATTAGGGACAAGGAAATTAAAACCAGAAGAAGCTACCACCATATACTTATTAAGGTGGCCAAAAAAAAAAAAAAAAAACTTGAGGCCGGGCGCAGTGGCTCACGTCTGTAATCCCAGCACTTTGGGAGGCCGAGGCGGGCGGATCACGAGGTCAGGATATCGAGACCATCCTCGCTAACATGGTGAAACCCCGTCTCTACTAAATATACAAAAAAATTAGCCGGGCGTGGTGGTAGACGCCTGTAGTCCCAGCTACACGGGAGGCTGAGGCAGGAGAATGGCATGAACCCGGGAGGCGGAGCTTGCAGTGAGCCGAGATCGCGCCACTGCACTCCAGCCTGGGTGACAGAGCCAGACTCCATCTCAAAAAAAAAAAAAAAAAACAAAACAAAACCCTGAAAATATCAAGTGCTAGGGAGGATACAGAGCAACCGGAACTCTTCATACATTTGCAGGTAAGAATGCAAAATGGTACAGCTACTTTGGAAAACAGTTTTGGCAGTTTCTTATAAACATACAACCCAGAAATCATACTCCTAGGTATTTACTCAAGAGAAACAAGAATTGTGTTCAGACAAAAAACATTATGGAAATGTTTACGGCAGCTTTATTCATAGCTGCCACAAACTAGAAATAATTGAAATATTCAACTATTGAACAGATAAATGCACTGTGATACACTCATATAAAGGACTGCTACTCAGCAATAAAGAAACTACTGATACAACAACACAGATGAATCTTAAATACATTATGCACTGTACACGTATAAACTAAAAAATTAAAATACCTATTTAAAAGTCAAACGGGCCGGGCGCGATGGCTCACACCTGTAATCCCGGCACCATGGGAGGCCGAGGCCGGCGGATTACCTGAGGTCAGGAGTTCAAGACCAGCCTGGCCAACATGGTGAAACCCTGTCTCTACTGAAAATACCAAAAATTAGCCAGGCGTAGTGGCGGGCGCCTGTAATCCCAGCCACTCAGGAGGCTGAGACAGGAGAATCGCTTGAACCTGGGAAGCGGAGGTTGTGGTGAGCTGAGATCGCGCCACTGCACTCCACCCTGGGCAACAAGAGCGAAACTCTGTCTCAAAACTAAATAAATAAAGTCAAACAGTACATGAAAAAATAATATGATCAAGAGAGGTTCACTGCAAGAATGTAAGGGTGAATCAATATAAGATCTACTAATATAATTCTGTGAATATACACTACTGTAATTAATATGTAGCATGCAGGAGGAAAACTATATGATCATCTTAAAAGATGCTAAGATGTCATTTAACAAAATATAATAGCCATATCTGATTTTAAAAAAAAAAACTTAAACAGAAAAAAAATTGAAATAGGTGAATATACTCAACACATTAAAGGTCTCAAACCAACAGTTAACCATTAAATATCTGCAACAGTTCCATTAAATTGGGATAGCATACTAAGATGCCTATCATTATAACTAACATTTGACATTGTTTTGGAGGAGGTGGTAGGGAATGCAATTTTTTTCTTTTTTCTTTATTACCCAGGTTCCCATCAATGGTAAAGGCAATGTAATTTGAAGAGAAAAAGGAGACATAAATATAAGAAAATCAGATGTGTACATGATTCATGTTTGCAGATGACACAACTTTATTCCTAGAATAAAGTTATTCCAATCAAAGCAAAAGCTACAAGAAACAATTAGAAAAAAGAATAGGTGGCTGAATTCAAAATTAATTTTTTAAATTAATGAGTTTTCAACTAGAAGTCCCCTAGCAGAGCAGGTATTTTCATAGACAAATTAAAGATTAAATAAGATATCATGGCATAAGTGAAAATATTTAGCAAATAAATTATACTTCATCCAATTTTGTAAAAAATACATACATATACATGTGCCAGGTGCAGTGGCTCACGCCTATAATCCCAACACTTTGGGAAGCTGAGGCGGGCGGATCGCCTGAGCTCAGGAGTTCGACACCAGCCTGGGCAACACGGTGAAACTCCATCTCTACTAAAAAATACAAAAAATTAGCTGGGTGTGGCAGCGAGCACCTGTAGTCCCAGCTACTCAGGAGGCTGAGGCAGGAGAATCGCTTGAACCCGGGAGGTGGAGGTTGCAGTGAGCCGAGATCGCGCCACTGCACTCCAGCCTGGGTGACAGAAGAGAAAAAAAGAAAAAGTATGTACTTTTTTGCTCAAAAGAAAAAAAAAAAAGTATGTATGTATGTACACATGTCCACCCAAAGATGGTTACCTAATGAGAGGAACCAAAATATTAATGTTCTGGGTTTTCTAAATTTTCTACATTACTTTCCTGATAAAGGGAAAAAGCAAAAATAAAATGTAAAGGTTTTTTTTTTTTTTTTGAGATGAAGTCTCACTCTGTCACCCAGGCTGAAGTGCAGTGGCATGATATCGGCTCACTGCAACCTCCGCCTCCTGAGTTTAAGCGATTCTCCTGCCTCAGCCTCCCAAGTAGCTGGGACTACAGGCGCCTACCACCACGCCCGGCTAATTTTTTGTATTTTTAGTAGAGACGAGGTTTCGCCATGTTGGCCAGGCTGGTCTCCAACTCTCGAGCTCAGGCAATCCACCCGCCTCGGCCTCCCAAAGTGCTGGGATTACAGGTGTGAGCCACCATGCCTGGCCAAAATTTAAAGGTTTTACTAGATTTCCAGAAGCATTATTTATGAAAGTCAAAGCTTTTTTCCTAAACTAATTATCGAAATCACAGACTAAAGAATGTCAAGAGCTCAAAAATGGGGTGAACAAACTATGGCCGGCCACAGCCTGTTTTTGTAAATAAAGTTTTATTGGAACACAGCCACACTCATTTGTTTACTTATTGTCTATGGCTGCTTTCATCCTACCAGGGCCGAGCTGAGCAGCTGTGACATAGCCAGGTGGCCTGCAAAACCTAAAATATTTACTAATTGGTGCCCTAAGAACAAGTTTGCCAATCCCCTGATCATTAGATCATCTAGTCCATCCTATACTGTACAGGTGAGTAAACTGAGGTCCACACAAGAATGACTTCTCTATGGTCCAAACTCAAGTTAAGTAAGAAGCAAGGAAGACTCCATTTCCATGGTACTTTCCACCACTTGGCCAGGAAACTCTCAAAACAGACATCCTGCTGTTTGGGAGGTAAACCTCAGGGTCTCATATCACATCGCAAGTGAGTGTATTTGCCAATACATTGATGAGAAGAGGACTTTGGGCCTAGTCAGTATCCAAGAACAACTGCTAAAGGTCTGAGTAAACCTTAGTAGACTAGAAAAAGTTAATTTAAAAACCACACAGGCCAGGCGCAGTGGCTCACGCCTGTAATCCCAGCACTTTGGGAGGCCCAGGCGGGCGGATTGCCTGAGGTCAGGAGTTTGAGACCAGTCTGGCCAACATGGTGAAACCCTGTCTCTACTAAAAATACAAAAAAATAAGCCGGGTATGGTGGCATGTGACTGTAATCCCAGCTACCTGAAAGGCTGAGGCAGGAGAACTGCTTGAACCAGGGAGGTGGAAGTTGCAGTGAGCCGAGATCACACCACTGTATTCCCGCCTGGGTGACAGAGGGAGACTCCATCTCAAAAAACAAACAAACAAACAAACAAACAAAAAACAAACAAGCAAACAAAACACATAAGCACAGACTAGGGAAGGTTTAAAAACAAACAGATTCTGAGAGTATAATCTGGTTCAGTCTTTTAAATAGCACATACTGTAACCCAACAATCCAATCCCACTCCTAGGAACCTACCCTACAGAAACACCAGCTTAAGTGACTAAAGATACATCTCTAGCACATTTAAGACAGCACTGTCTGTAAAAGCAAAAAGGGCCTGAATTCTAGGCAAATAAATATTATCAGCAAATGCAGTTATGTGTTAATAAAGAAGGGGGCACTTCATGCCTTTACCTTACAGAGGGTCCTGACCTTCTGCGCATGTAAATTTGTGACCCTTGCCATAAACAATTTCCACTGTTAGGTTTCTTCCAAGACAGAGAAGATTCACAACTCATGCCATTAAGGCAGTTAAGGACAACCAATATACCTGGAAGACGGTAATCTTCCAAGTTACAGAGGATCAGAAATCCAATGCATTTCACCTGGATAATTCAGACTCAAAAGTTCAAATATTTATCTGAAATTACAGTAAAGCCACTTTAAAACTTTTTATTCTTTGCGCAGCACTTTGAAAGCACAGTACAGTCATAAGGTGGAGAAATGAGTAACTTACTGAATGAGACTTTCAGAAGTGTGTGAAATAGTTTTGATGTCTACAAAAACAGGGAAAACTGCACTTTCTTTCTACTTGTTGTCTTGATTACTGTGAGAAGAGTGTTGAAGTCTACAATATTGTTAAGGATGTGTCTGTTTCTCCTTGGAGTTCTATGAGTTCCTCATGTATTTTGAGGCTCTGTTATTAAGTTCATAAACCTTTAAGAAGGATTGTTTTTGGATGGGCTAAGATATTATTCGCTATTTTAAATGTTGGACCATCTCTTGAGACAAATATCCAAGCAAGAATTGGAAAGGAAAAAGGATAAGAGAAATTCCACACAGATTAATATATGCATTTCTGAAATACTTTTTAACTTCCATAAATAGAATATACACACAGACCTCAAAAGAGGCACTATGAACATAGTGAAATCGAGCAAGAAGCCATATTTCTAGTAAAACATATAAACTGCACCTACTGAATGTTGCCATTTGGTATGAATCACATGGCCAAGCCGTTTCCCAAGTGTGGGAATTACAGAACATATCCATGAGTAGAGAGGAGTCTAAGCATAACTTTCTTAGCAAATCTCAGGGGGGTTCCATAGACAAATAATTTGGCCAGTGACTCCTGCGTAAGAGGTTTTATATAGGAGAACCCAGAAACACTAGGACATACTAAAATCTCACAATTCAGTTTGCATATCAACATTTACACTTTTATAACACTGAAATTCTCTGAGTTATCAAATTTAATTTCTCAACCAAAAGTCTCTGAATCCTAATCCTTCCTTCCCTTCTGGCCTACATATATGACTCTCAGCTTACTTTTACCAGGACTGTGGCAGATTTTCTAACTATGTGTTAACTGACTGCCTCTTCACCCTACCACCAAGAACAACAAATAATGGAAAGTCATCTCACACATGACCCCAAATCTTACTGCAGAAATGCAATACCATCACATACACAAATAATGCTGGGCCCAGAGTCTCCACAAAGGAGGACCTCACTCAGCCAGACCGCTGGGGCTACCCAAGCTGTGCAGGATTTAGGGCAAATAAAAGGCTAGAAAAGGAGATGTTAGGTAAATTCTCACTGGTCTAACAGAGGCAGACTGACTACAGTGAGTCCAGGAGAACTTTCTGTAATGATATGAAATGCCCCAAATGCTCTACCTTTGTGTGGTGCAATACACGTGGCTACAGAGCACTTGAAATGAATGTATAACAGCTAGTGCCACTGGAGAAACTGAAGTTTTCATTTTACTTAATTTTCTTTTTTAAGAGATGGGTTCTCACTCTGTCACCCAGTCTGGAGTGTGGTGGCACAGTCCATAGCTGACTAGAGCCTCAAACTCCTGGGCTCAAGCAATCCTCCCACCTCAGCCTCCCAAGCAGGTAGAACTACAGGCATGCCATCCTATGCCCAACTATTTTAATTCTTTTGTGAAGACAGGGTTTTTACAAAACCCTGTTGCTCAGGCTGGTCTTTAACTGATGCCTCAAGTGATTTCCCACCTCAGCCTCCCAAAGTATTGAGACTACAGGTGTGAGCCACCACACCTGGCCTACTTAGTTTTAATTAATTTAACTCTCCACATGTGGCTAGTAGCTACCATACTGGACAGTACAGAGGATGAAAACAACCCACAGGCTTTATCTGACTCAACGTTCAGTTCCACAATTACCTGTGCTGCCTACTGCGTTCAAGAGATTTAACCAGGCACTCCAGAGACTGAATGGGACTTTCCCTGCCCAAAGTAGGTTGTAATGAAGGAAGGGCCAGATCATTAAAAGGCCATTTCAGTTCCACCTCTTAACAGATATAGATATAGATAAAGGGGTTAAATAATTAAGAGGATAAAACAATCCTTCCTAAAGGTTTATGGACTTTAGGAAGGAGCCTCAAAATACATAGATGCAGAGCCTCAAAATACATGAAGATTGCTAGAACTTCAAGGAGAAACAGACAAATCCTTCACAATAGCTGTAGACTTCAACACTTCCCTCAGTAATCAACAAAACAAGTAGAAAGTCAGACAGATCTTAATAACACTATCAACAAACTTGACGTAATTGATATTTATGCAATACTCCACCCGACAAGAGCAGAATACAAAATTCTTTTCAAGTACATATGGAATATTCACTTAGACTGACAAAATTTTGGGGTGCAAAACCTCTAAAAATGTTTTACAAAATTAAAGTCATACAAAGTATGCTCTCTGAACAAAATGAAATTAAATTAGAAACCAGTAACTGAAAGATACCTAAAAAAAAATCCCCAAATATTTGGCTAAAACAATTAATGCACAAGGTCCTGGAGGTTAAGGGGGTGGAAAACAAAGGAACTTAGCCCCACCTGGGGGTAAAGGGAATGGTGATCAGAGAAGGCAGGCTGGAGAGGGTGATGGATGGGTGACTAGGAGGTGGGTCTGTGAGAACTACAAAGAAATAAGTATTACTAGATCAATTTGAGATGAAGAGAAGAAATAAGGAGTGAACAAGGAAAAGAGAAATAAGGGGGATGTAAAAAGTAAAGTAGAGGTTCCTCTTCAAGACTTTCCTCTCTAATTAAGAATAAATAGTAACTTCTCTTAGAAGCAAAATTTATTCAAAGACCTGTGCTAACATTCTTAAATATCCGCTAGCCATAATAAAGAAATCAATGTACTTTATGTTCTTAGCTCCCACAATTTAGCCTAAATATTTGCCCTGGCACGCTTAGGCTGGTCCAAGCAAGCATTAGGTCATAGCCTGTTCCTCTTCCTTATTTAAAAGTGTTTTTACCTTTCTCAACATTCCACAAGTTACTTCCTCCTTCCTTTGTTCCCCTCTACCTTTGCCTCTTTTAAAAAGTTCTAAGTTACTAACCAATCGGGACAAATACAGAATGTGAGGTCCCGTTCCAGCCAAAGGAAACCGGAAACAGCAGTAAGGTAGATGCGTCAGGTTATAAATGACCCTATCTCCTTTGTTGGGTGTACTCTCATGGCAAAACTGCCCGTGAGTGTACCCTTTCTGCAGGAAGTAAAAATGGCCTTACTAAGTAAACTAAATTTATGTTCAAGTGCTGTTTCTTCACGGCACCGGGGAACAAGCATTTCAAACAGGAGATTTAGAAGTCAGTTCATCCTTGACTCCTTTTCTCCCGCTCACCACATCCCAGCCTAACCAATCTATCTCATTAAGGATTCATTCTAATGCCTGAATTATTTTCTGCCAGGTGCTGTGGCTCACACCTGTAATCCCAGCACTTTGGGAGGCCAAGGCGGGTGGATCACTTGAGGTCAGAAGTTCAAGACCAGCCTGGCCATTTGAACCGAGGAAGAGGCTGCAGTGAGCCAAGGTCATGCCACTGTACTCCAGCCTGGGCGACAGAGTGAGACTCTGTGTCAAAAAAAAAAAAGAAAAGAAAAGAAATTAAAATTGAATTTGCAATAATCCAGCAAATAATCCTATTTATATACCTAAGAGAAATGAAAATATATGTATAGATAAAAACATGTACACGAATGTGCTCAGCAGCATTATTCGTAATAGCCAAAAAGTGGAAACAGTTCAAATGTCCATGAACTTACGAAATGGATAAGCAAAACATGGTCTCTGGGCACAGAGGTGTGTGCCTGTAACTCTAGCTACTCTGGAGGCTGGAAGGCTGAGGCAGGAAGCCTGAGCCCAGGAGTTTCAGGTCAGCCTGGGCAACATTGCAAGACCCTGTCTCCATTTAAAAAAAAAAAGTGGTATAGCCATACAATGAAGTGTTATTCAAATATAGTACTGATACATGCTATGATACGCATAAACCTTGAAAACATTAGGCTAAATGACAGAAGCCATACATTATATGATTGCACTTAATAAGAAATGTCCGTAAGAGGCAAATCAACAGCAAATGAACGTAATTACTGGCTGCCAGGGGAGAGCAGGAGGGAGGTGAAGAACAGGGAGTGACGCCATAGGCATGGGCTTCTTTTGCAGGGGCGTAAAAACAAGCTGGAATTAGGTAGTGTTAATGGTTGCACAACTCTGTCAATACACTAAAAAAAACCACTAAATTGCATACTTTACAAGGGTACATTTTACAGTATGTAAATTATATCTCCATAAAGCTGTTACCTTTTAAAAACTGAATTTTCATAAATATTGCTTGAAAATCATTCTGCAATTTAAAAGATGTTCAATAAATGTTAACTATTACTGTCGCTATTTTTAAAATGTGACAATCTCAAAATAATATTTGAATATAACTATCAAGAAAAACATAAAAATTGTAGATATATACCAGCAGACAAAACAATTGAAACATTATATTTACACGCATTTTAATTCTTTCTATATGGTCACTTTCGATCTTTTAAAGTGTATTTTAATGTATAATTTTTTTTTAAGTTAAGAAACATGCTGCCTCCTGATGCTTATGTTAAAGAACCAAAAGCATGAAAAAAATTAGAGGCCGGGCGTGTTGGCTCAGGCCTGTAATCCCAGCACTTTGGGAAGCCGAGGCAGGTGGATCACGAGGTCAGGAGTTCAAGACCAGCCTGGCCAACACAGTAAAACCCTGTCTCTATTAAAAAGTACAAACATTAGCCGGGTGTGGTGGTGGGCGCCTGTAGTCCCAGCCACTCAGAAGGCTGAGGCAGGAGAATAGCTTGAACCCAGGAGGTGGAGGTTGCAGTGAGCTGAGATTGTGTCACTGCACTCTAGCCTGGGCGACAGAGTGAGACTCCGTCTCAAAAGAAAAAAAAAATAGAATAATTAGTGTCAGTGTTAAGCTAGTGCTGAGATCATAACCACTGTCAACAGGCACTCAAAGAGAAGGAAGAACAAGGTGCGCAACAGGACTCAAGGAAGATCTCCCAGGAAGAGGGATTCGAGCCTGGCTAAGGAGCAGGAAGGGAAAAGGGCATCAGCTAGGATTTGTTCCTGTGTCACCCAGATTACCACTTGCTCACCATGACTACCACTCTCTCACCCCCATGTCTCCATCATTAAGGGTCTTTAGTCAAAGGGAAGACACAGGGTCTTGAGGACTGAGGAAAGGAGGACCTAACAGAAGAGACCAGAGCTCCTGGTCTTAACATCCCCAGTCCTGTTATATGCATGTTTCAACACAAACTTCCAAACACGCCCATGGGTGAGCAGAATAGAACAGCACGAACTGTATGCAAGACTATTTATCACTGCGTAACTAGGACATGCCTCTCCACTACTCACAAATCATGTTGCCCAACTTTTTCAAAACCCTTTTGGCTCTCACTTTAATTCTCATGTTTAATCTCTTGAGGTACTGATACCTGAAAACAGATGTCATTAATTTCCCTTATAATCTTGACCTCCCTATTGTTACTGAAAGTACTACCATTCTTAGGGAGGCGTAGGTGATGCATTCCTCTCTCTACATTCTATGTGTCAAGGCCAGAAGAACTCTAGAGTACCTCCTGGACTGATCTTCCATTTAGGACTACAAAACCCACCAGCTATCTTGTCCTTGTCAATCCATCCTGCAGAACAGAAGCTATGCTTCAAGATCTTCTGATCATCCCAATACCCAAAATTAAACAGATTCGAAACAGATTTGAGAGAGAGGGCTACACCAGTGGTTCAACATCATCTCTGTGATTTGATGTGGTTCTGTTTCATGTTCATGCATGGTGCTGCTGGGAATACAGCATATCTTCTCGGGGTGTCAGGAGTGAAAAAGGCCTGAGGATCACGATCCAGCCCAATCCCTATTCTACAGAAGAGGGGGAAAGTACAGTTGCTATAGCCTGATCCTCTAAGTACTGCCCAACACAACATACAAGGGAGTTTTGATTAATTTCCTATTCACACACTCAGGCTCTTGTTACACCGAGTTACTTGAGACTGCCCACACTTTACTATCAGTGCCTGCCGCTCCCTCCCGCTCTCTCCCCCTCCCTCCCTCAATCTGCCTGTCCTTACTCTCCACATGCCCATCCAGGAAGCCTACGCCCACACCAATCCCCTTAAACAGGGTATATAATCTCGCCCTCCTTTAAATGCCCACTGCACTTTGTACCTCACTTGTAACGATCAGAAATTATACTGAAAAGATATTAAGTTGACACTGGTGGGAATAATATTGTCAAACCAGTGACAAATTCTGTTTGAGGTAAATCTATGGTTCATTGATGGCATCTCTGCCACTGATCTCCACTGTCACAATCCTTAGAGGACATAAATCACTAACTGTCCCAGGATAACACCAGGGCTTTTGTTTTATGAAGTCATCAGAGGTTCCAAGTTTTAAAATTCCAGGTAAGTATTCTCAGAAGTCTCACATAAGACTGAGACTGAAACACAAGAACCATTCTGTTTTACATACAATTTCTTAAAATTAGCAAATGCTTAATTTCAAAGTGCTGTCAGAACTTTACCAAATGCCTATTGAAAACACTTCCTATACAGTCCTTCTCATTATATCGGCAATGTCATAAAATCTATAGGCTGAAGTAATTCTAAATTTAAAAAGTAAAAATAAATTAAAGCATTATTCAGCCATATGCTTTCGGCTAAAGCAAAACTAGGTGGTTGCAATGTCATCCTTACATTTTTTCCATAAAAGGAAAACAATCTTCAATAAATAAACCTTTCATGACTTTAGTAATATCAATTAATGCTGCTGCATTGTTATATTACCTACAAAATACTGAGTTATTTCTTATATTAGGAGTTATTTCTTATGTTAGGAATGTCACATGTCAGTAATTAAGCCAACGCTGTAAACTATAAAAATTAATCAAATTACTCTAAATTACCAATAAAGTAAATTCCTCTTTCAGCCTTCGCAGTACAACAGGATTCAAATTCATCAATCATACTTCTTTATGTGTTATTCAGATATCTTAAACCAGTTCTAAAATTTTTTTCTTCCATCTACACATTTACCTGACAGCCTTCCACCCAGGAAGTACAGACTATAAAACCAATGAAACTAGTACTTAGCCTAAACAACTCACTGTCACGCGTTGTTACTCATTCGAGGCAAGTGGGCATGTTCTAAAAGTTTGGAACTCAAAATGTCACTCACATCCAGGGGGTGGGGGGCGAGGGGAGGGAACTTAAAGGGTGGGTCAATAGGTGTAGCAATCCACCATGGCACACGTATACCTATGCAACAAACCTGCACGTTCTGCACATGTACTCCATTTTGTTTTTAGAAGAAATAAGGAAAAAAAAAGTCACATCCATTTTACCATAATCTTAAGAAATAATGCGTTGCAAAAGGTAAAACATCCAAATTAACATCACAGCCAATAAAGAAAAATGCCTGGCAAGCAATATGAAATAGCAACTCAAAAACAAAGTAACTCTTGCAATGAAAAACATTCACTGGGCCAGGCCAGGTGGCACATGCCTGTAATCCTAGCACTTTGGGAGGCTGAGGCGGGTGGATTGCCTGAGTTCAGGAGTTCAAGAACAGCGTGGGCAACATGGTGAAACCCCATCTCTACTAAAATACAAAAAATTAGCTGGGCGTGGTAGCGTGCACCTGTAGTCCCAACTACTCAGGAGGCTGAGGCAGGAGAATTGCTTGAACCCGGGAGGTGGAGGTTGCGGTGAGCCAAGATCGTGCGTGCCATTGCACTCCTCCCTGGGCAACAGAGCGAGACATTCACTGATCAAATTGTCCATCAAAATCCAATTAGAAAAGAACAACAACAACAAAAAACCAATTAGGACGATTTTTAGTTTCCTAAATCCAAAATATTTAGGGGTTATGACACCCACTGTAGAATTATCGAAACTTCATGTACTACAAGTTCTCATCTACTAACAATAATTTATCCAACCAATCTTTGATGAGCACTTGCTATGTGCAAAACACTTACACGAGCTGCAGAGGGAATAAGCTCAATACCTATCTCTACAGAGTTAATAATTTCATATAAGGATAGGACAAGTAGACACAGTAGGCTACAGGTGTCATTAAGAAAAACAAAATCTCAGGCCAGGCATGGTGGCTCACGCTTGTAGGCCCAGCACCTTGGGAGGCTGAGGCAGACGGATCGCCTGAGGTCGGGAGTTTGAGACCAGCCCTGACCAACGTGGAGAAACCCCGTCTCTACTAAAAATACAAAATTAGCCAGGCGTGGTGGTGCATGCCTGTAATCTCAGCTACTTGGGAGGCTGAGGCAGGAGAATTGCTTGAACTTGGGAGGCAGAGGTTGCAGTGAGCCAAGATCGAGATTCTACCATTGCACTCCAGCCTGGGCACCAAAAGCAAAACTCCTTCTCAAAAAAAGAAAAAATGTCACAAAAGTATCAAAAGTAAACACATTTTTTTAAAGAACACCTAGCTACAAATTGTAATTTAAGTCAGCATATGCACAGCCATCAATCCTAAATATTATTTGCTAGGCCTTCAAATATGACTTAAAGTTAGCTGAACTGCCCTGCCAAAATGTCTCAGCTCTGTCTAACCAGAAAAAACTTCCTCCAGGGGTGTATGCAATCCAGTCTCCATGTTTCAATTACCGGCTCTGGGTACAAAGACCAACATGTGATTTCTTAAGGTAAAAATTATTACTATAAAAGATGTACTAGGCCAGGCACGGTGGCTCACGCCTTTAGTCCCAGCACTTTGGGAAGCTGAGGTGGGCGGATCATGAGGTCAGGAGTTCGAGACCAGCCTGGCCAACATGGTGAAACCCCATCTCTACTAAAAATACAAACGTTAGCCAGGCACGCTGGTGGGCGCCTGTAATCCCAGCTGCTGGGGAGCCTGAGGCAGGAGAATCACTTGAGTCCGGGAGGTGAAGGTTGCAGTGAGCCAAGACTGCGCCATTGCACTCCAGCCTAGGCGACAGAGCAAGACTCCTTTAAAAAAAAAAAAAAAAGCACTAAAATTAAGTTGGCAAGAATTTACATGTACTCCTTTTTACATATAAGACATAAATATCTGACATTTGATTCATTCCCTTCATTCTCCAGCCAGCCTCCCAGGGCAAGTCTGGCGAGGATTCTGACCATCGGGCAAAAGAAATTACCTTTTTTCAGTTTATGTTAGGACAACCTACGTGGGTTTACATTTGGCTTAATATAATACTACCCTACTTCTCCAATAAGTATTTAAGCATTTATTAAAAAACAGAAACTTTTCAATTTAACCACTTCTACTACCCTAGTCTCTCTGAGAAAGACATGACACACCTCACTTCAAGGAAAAAAGGGTCCTTTTTCCTCACAAATACTTCCTCATAAACTTTATTTTAAAAATGATTTTAAAACCAGATTCTAATTTAATTAATCTAGATTTGCAAAATTATAAAGGACAAGTCTTGCCGGTTGTTGCTTCGGTTATGTTAATTTCACAATTTAGTACACTGCAACTACGTATTTAATACAAAGCAGCCTTTGGGCGGGGCGGGGCGGGGCGGTGCCACGGGGTGGTTAACAAAATGCATCTCAGCACCGGCCTAGAGAAACTTTTCTGTGTGTAAACAGAAGAGGGGTTACCATGGAGAAATTCATTACGGATTTCGGGAGGGCTTTTTCCTCAGAAATAGAGTGAAAAGAATAAGTTGTTGTGTAATAAATCTGATACTGACACTGTGTGACTTAGAAGTTTGTCCAAAAGTTCATCTTAGGCAATTATGCCTAGATGATCAACTACACATCTTCTGCAACAGGTGACACGAACCTGCATTTCCCAAGCAAGGCAAAGCGATCAAATGAGTTAAGACGCGCGTTCCTGCGGTCTTGTAAATTTTTGATTTAACCAAAACAATTTTGAATCAGATGAATTACCAAATTTGGTTGGGTCTTGTTTGGCTTTCTGCTTTGCTTTTTAATCAGCCATTTACCAGAAACTGTTGCACGGGCCCGTTAGCACTCGAAGAATAAAAACAAACACACAAGACCAGATAAGGTTCCCCTACTAACCCAAATGATCCGTTTCCTTAACATATTTTTAAAACCACAGCTAGGGGTGTGAAAACAGATTGTGGCACACAATCTGTCCAAATCCTTAATTCCCTTTTAAGGAACAGATATATAATAAAAATCCGAAAGGAACCACATTAGAAATGAAAAGAGGTTTGCAAAACAAGAGGCTTCTTTCATTCCAGAAAACTATACCAAAACAAGGGGAAAAAATGAAAGCAATGGATATGTGTTTGCCCAAGTTTCAATCTTGCCCGGTGGAGACACTACACTGGTACAAATTCTGAGGAGGAAAAAGAGGAGGTTGGCGGGAGGCGGGAAGAGAGAGCGAGTGTGGCCTGCCAACTGCAACAATGCAATCTCCATTTTGAACAATGCGCCTCTTTCCTCCTATAAATCTGGTTTTTTGCCACCTGATGTGCCCTCGCATTTCCCCTCTGGGGGTCGGCGGGGTTGGGGGGAGATCGGAGCAGGATGCACAGCACACGAGTGAGCAAAGGGGGAGGGCAGAGAAGGTGGGGAAGGAGTCTGCAGCAACTGGGCTGAGTGGGTACCTGGAGTGCTGCTGTAGGTACTATGGCTCCTGACGCTGCTTTCCGTGCAGTAACTGGCGTCCTCCTACACCACTTTGTTGACAGCCCTCCGGACCGCAGCCGTCCGGGCCAGGTGGCTGCCCCCGCCTCCCCCCGGCCGGGGCGCTGGTGCTGGGGTGGGGCCGGCGGCGGCGGCTTTCTCCGGCTACTGCTGCCCATCCTGGGCGAGCTCAGCCGTGTCTTGGGCGCCTCAGCCTGGCGGTGGCCCACCTGCCCCGGCTGCTACCGCGTTGCCGCGAGCGGAACCCCGGATGGGTCCGGACGTGGGCAGCAGCGGCGGCGGCAGGGCCGGGGCGCAGCGCTCCGCAGAGGGAGCCGCGGACTGCTTCGTCGGCCTGCCCCGCCGGCCCCTCATGTTGGAGCCGAGGCAGAGGGAGAAGGGAAAGCGGCTGGGAAGGGGCGGGCGCAGTGGGGGCGGCCGGGGCCAGGTGGGGAGGCCAGAGGGGCAGGGCAGGAGGGGGCTGGCCTGCGGAAGCGGTTGGAGGGAGAAGGCTCAATCCGAATGGCTGGGGCCCCACTGCGGATCGCCTTCAGCCGCCATTTTGTTTCTTCCGTTAACGGAGCGCGGTCACGTGAGCTGAGCTGCCTACGAGCCTGGGACGGGGCGAGGTGGCGCGGCGGCCGCTAGGGGGAGCGCGGGAGCATTGAGTCGGGGGCGGAGATCCTGGGGCGCCGGGGCTGGGCGCAGCGCGGCGCGGCTGGACTCCGGGCTTGGTGGCGCGGTTGAGAGAGACGCGCAGCTCGTGAAATGCCCCGCGTCTAAGGCCTTCGGAGACCATAGTCTCCGCGGACCCCTGGCTGGAGCCCAAAGCCGGCCGGACCTCCTCCCTGCGTCTCCCCTTCCGCGGCTCGGAGAGGAAGGCAGGAGAGCCCCCAAATATTCCCCTCCCGCCCCCTAGGGAAACTGAAGCTGAAAGAGCCAGCAAAAGAAAAAAAACTCTCGGAGTGGGGCGGCCCGAGCGACCTAAGGGACGGGGCAGCGGCAGCGACCGAGGGAAATTAGTCGGGGTGGGGGAACAGGGAGACACGCCCCCAGAATTTAGGAAACTCCTAAATTCTACTAAAAATACAAAAATTACCTGGGCATGGTGGCGGGTGCCTGTAATCCTAGCTACTGAGGAGGCTGAAGCAGAAGAATCGCTTGAATCCCTGAGGTGGAGGTTGCAGTGAGCCAAGATTGTGCCATTGTACTCCAGCCTGGGCGGCAAGAGTGAGACTCCTCAAAAAATAAAATAAAATAAATCAAGAAAAGTCTGGAAACCATGCCAACTGGTGAAATGAATAAAGAAATAAATGTTGTCTGGACTGAGTGGCTCACACCTCTAATCCCAGTACTTTGGAGGCCGAGGCGGGCAGATCACTTGAGGCCAGGAGTTCAAACCAGTCTGGGCAACATGGTGAAACCCTGTCTTTTCTGCAATTGCAAACAAATTAGCCGGACGTGGTGGTGCATGCCTGTAATCCCAGCTACTCGGGATGCTGAGGCCCGAGAATCGCTTGAACCTGGGAGGCAGAGGTTGCAATGAACTAAGATCACGCCACTGCACTCCAGCCTGGGTGACAGAATGAGACTAGGTCTCAAAAAAAAATTATAATTCAGTAACATAGTCAGTTACAAGATAAACATTGAACCTGCCTCCTAGGTTCAAGCGATTCTCATGACTCAGCCTCCCGAGTTGCTGAGATTACAGGCGTGTGCCACCATGCCTGGATAATTTTTTGTACTTTTAGTGCAGACGGTGTTTCACCATGTTGGTCAGGCTGGCCTCCAACTCCTGACCTCAAGTAATCCACCCACCTCAGTCTTCCAAAGTGCTGGGATTACAAGCGTGAGCCACTGTGCCCGGCCTCAATTTGGGTTTTTATGGAAGCTTCATTACAGAGTCATTAATGATTACACCGTTGGCCGTTGGTGGTCAGCTTAACCTTCAGCCTCTCTCTATTTCTCAGAGGTTGAGAGTGGCACTGAAAGCCTTGACCACCAGCCCCAATCCTGAGGCTCTCTAGGAAAGCCTAATCAGTCAATCATTAGCATAAAAAAAAGACTTATTTTGCAGATTCTGAGGGTTTTAGGAATTGTACGCCAGGATCCAGGGAGGAAGATCAAATACGTGTTTCACAGTCTCACAGTCTCACAGGACCACATAGAGGAGATTGGTCATCAGTGTTTCTCAACAGAAGCGCTTTGGCCTTTTGGACAAGCCAGTTTACACACTGTAGGAAGAAGTTTAGCATCTCTGGGCCCGGATACCAAAGGCTAGTACCAGCCTCATCATTTTTACAACCAAAAAGATAACCTTGCCCGCTCCCCATACATTCCCAAACACTCTCTAGGAGGTGTCAGAACCACTTCCGGCTGAGAACCACTGGAATACATTTTGGAATATCCAAAAAATGTACTTCCATTTTAAGAAAATAATGTGGGATTGGTGTTTTTCGTTTTTTAATTATTTGGAGGAAATTGCCAATGACAAGTGCTTGAACAAAAAATCCAAATTACAGACTAGTGTATATATAGTATGATGTATCCATTCAATTCACTCAGCAAATGTTTATTTGACACTTAAGGTGTGCCATGCACTGTTTCCATTCCACATTCTGTACAGAGTGGGAAAATATTTGTAGTTTATATCCTTTATATGGAAATAAATAGGTCAGTTGCACTTCAAAGCCAACAAATAAAAGTGATCTCTAAATCTAAACCCCAAAGACAATCATTTTTAAACTTTAGAATATATCTTGTATATATTGTTTTAATGCATGTGTTCGTATATAAACACATTTTATACTAAAATAATCTAATGAGGAAGAAAAATTATACTTTGGGAAAGAAGGAGCCGGGTGCAATGGTTCACGCCTGTAATCCCAGCACTTTGGGAGGCCAAGGGAGGAGTTCAAGACCAGCCTGGCTGACATAGTAAAACCCCATCTCTACAAAAATACAAAAATTAGCTGGGCGTGGTGGCGCACACCTGTAGTCCCGGCTACTCCGGAGACTCAGGCAAGAGAATCGCTTGAACCGAAAAGGCAGAGGTTGCAGTGAGGCGAGATCGCGCCACCACATTCCAGCCTGGGCGACAGAGCAAGACTCTGTCTCAAAAAAAAAAAAAAACACACATTATTGCTAAGGTAATTTGCTTTTGAGTTCGAGACCAGCCTGACCAACATGAGGAAACTCTGTCTCTGCTGAAGTTTCAAATATGTATAAGTACTGGCATATTTTAAAAATACATTATACATTTTATTTTCTTTTTAGTTTATAAGATATGTGATTCCTTCTTTACATCTACCTATTTTTATTTCTGCCTCTTTTTTTAAATAGGGTTAATTTTTTTTTTTAAATGGAGTCTTGCTCTGTTGCCCAGGCTGGAGGGCGTAGGGCTGCCTCTGCTCACTGCAATCTCCGCTTCCCGGGTTGGAGCAATTCTCCTGCCTCAGCCTCCTGAGTATCTGGGATTACAGGCACCTGCCACCATGCCCAGCTTTTTTTGTATTTTTAGTAGAGACGGGGTTTCACCATGTTAGCCAAGCTGGTCTTGAACTCCTGACCTCAAGTGATCCTCCCTCCTCAGCCTCTCAAAGTGCTGGGATTGCAGGTGTGAGCCACCGGGCCCGGCCTGTCAAATTGCTCTATAATTTCATTTGGAGTGAATTCAGATTAGACCATTGATTTTATTGGCTTGTTTTTTTTTTTTTTTTTTTTTTTTTGCTTTTTGAGAAGCAGGGCCTTATTCTTTTTCCTAGGCTGGAGTGCAGCGGTGCAATCACACCCCATCGCAGCCTCCCCCTACCCAGATCAGTAAGTCCTTCCGCCTCAGGTTCCCAAGTATCTGGGACTACAGGCGCGTGCCATGCCACCATCTCTGGCTAATTTTGGGGTGTTTTTTGTTGTTATTGTTGTTGTCATTGTTTTTTTGTAGAGACAAGGTTTTGCCATGTTGCCCAGGCTGGTCTCAAACTCCCGGGCTCAAGCAAGTGATCCTCCTTCCTCGACTTCCCAAAGTGCTGGGATTATAGGCATGAGCCACCGTATGGGCCCTGGTTGTCTTTTTTTCATATTACACATTTTCATTTTCAAACATTTGAATTTTGCAAGCTTATTTTGAGTGAGAGGAGTGTTGTTTTCTTCTCTCCTGAAGCCCAGTGTAGCCCAGTCAACCCTTAACTTCCAGCAGGGAGCCTATCACTGCCTCACACACAGCATGTTAGCCTCCCTTACCCCCGAGAAACTCTTACTGTTAGTGTTCAGCCACCACTTCCTCCTTCTGCATCTGGAGTCTAGAAGGCCTGCAGTTTTAGTCCTGCTCACAGTTTTGTGTCTGTTCCATTGAGATTGTTGTAACTTATTTAAGCATGACTATGTCTTTTCAATTTCTCTTTTTTATATTTTACTCTCACTTGTATGTTCTTGAAGGGAGAGGGAGGATCAAAGTGTGCACCCGCTATACCATCTTGGTTCTCCCAAAATCCGTCCCACGATGTTATAAAAATATATGAACTAGGAAATGAAACTCAAGGTTTTCTTTCTAACCAAAGAAGAAGTTCAGTCTCTCTCTATAAATAGAGAAGGGCTGTTGAATAATTTGTCACATTGCTTCTCTTTTGACTTTATGAGACTAGATAGTCTATAGACAGAGAAGCAGATTCATTAAACCAGGGCCATTCAGGTTTATTTGGTAAAATATTTGTGATATATTTAAAAGCTTCCTGAGGTAGTCATGTAATGATTGGTGCATAGGGCTGGGTTACCCTGCAGAAAAAGAGGCACAGCAAACTTATTTCAGGTACAGATGGACCTTACCTTTAGGCAAATCCTTGAAATTTTGGCGTGGGGAATCAGGTTTTCCTGTGGGTTTTTTGTTTGTTTTTGGCTTTTCATAGACATCTATATGAAGTCTCTGCTTTAGAATCTATAAAACTATAGCTTCAGAGGCTGGGCGCAATGGCTCATGCCTATAATCCCAGCACTTTGGGAGGCTGAGGTGAAACGATCACTTGAGGTCAGGAGTTCGAGACCAGCCTGGCTAACAGGGCGAAACCCCGTCTGTACTAAAAATGCAAAAATTAGCCAGGCATGGTGGCAGGCACCTGTAATCCCAGCTGCCTGGGAGGCTGAGGGAGGAGAATCACTTGAACCCAGAAGGCGGAGGTTGCAGTGAGCCGAGATCATGCCACTGCACGACAGAGCGAGACTCCATCTCGAAACAAAAAACTGTAGCTTCAGAGATTCACTTAAATTATCATTTATAGGCCAAGAGAGTTGTGGCTCACAGCCTGTAATCCCAGCATTCTAAAAGGCTGAGGTGGGTGGATCACTTGAGGCCAGGATTTTGAGACCAGCCTGGGCAACATGGCAAAACCCTGTTTCTACAAAAAGGAATTTGCTGGGTGTTGTGATGCACACCTGTAGTCTCAGCTACTTGGCGAGGCTGAGGCCAGGGGACTGCTTGACCCCAGGAGGTCGACCCTGCAGTGAGCCATGATAGCACCACTGTACTCTAGCCGGGGCGATCAAGTGAGGCCCTGTCTCCAAAAAAAAGTTTTGTTTTGTTTTGTTTTAAGACAGGGTCTCACTTTGTCATCTACATTGCAGCACAGTGGTGCCATCACAGCTCACTGAAGTCTTCACCTCTCAGGCTTAAAGGAGCCTCCAACCTCAGCCTTCCAAGTAGTTGGCACTACAGGCATGCGCCACCACACCTGGCTCATTTTTGTATTTTTAGTAGAGATGGGGTTTCACCATGTGGCCAGGCTGCTCTTGAGCTCCTGGACGCAAGTGATCTTCCGCCCTCGGCCTCCCAAACTGCTGGGATTACAGGTGTGAGCCAGTGTGCTGGATGAATTTTTTCAAAGAAGGAAAAATAAAATTAATTCGGCCCTTCATTAAAAAAATTAAAAACTCTTTAAAGGAAACGTGGGCTAAGTTATTTTTCTGAGAGACTATAAGATTTAGGAAGAAAAATAATCATGATGAAACGTTTTGGGAATATTTTTGGTATTTAAAATTATTGTAGAAATTTATAAATGTGTCAGATTTTGGCTGGGCACAGTGGCTCACACTTGTAATCCAAGCACTTTGGGAGGCCAAGGTGGGCAGACCACCTGAGGTCAGGAGTTCGAGACCAGCCTAGCCAACATGGTGAAACCCTATCTCTAAAAGAATTTTTTAAAAAAATTTTAAGTCAGATTTTAAGAAATATTCTTATGGCTGGGTACAAGTGGCTCATAACTGTCATCCCAGCACTTTGGGAGGCAAAGGCAGGCAGATCACTTGAGCTCAGGAGGTAAGTTACCTGGGCAACACAGCAAGACTCCATCTCTACAAAAAAAAAAGTAGCTGGGCATGGTGGTGAGCACCTGTAGCTATTTGAAGGGGTTGAGGCAGGAGGATCACTTGAGCCTGGCAGGTCAAGGCTATAGCAAGCCGTGTTTATGTCACTGCAGTCCAGGCAGGGTGACAAAGTGAGACTCTTATCTCCAAATAAGAAAGAAACCCTCTTGGTCATAGATATGATTTCTTTACACCAAATTTGTTCGTGGATGCCAATCACAATGGGTTTGTCCCTAGGGTAATATAGTTTGCTTTGATCATTTCCAAGAGTAAGTTGTACTACAGGATAGCAGAAGAGATGCACTTAAAAAGTATGGCAAAATGCATATTGAGACAATAGTATGTTGGCCAGACACAGAGACTCACGCTTGTAATCCCAGCACTTTGGGAGGCTGAGATGGGTCACCTGAGGTCAGGAGTTCAAGGCTAGCCTGGCCAACATGGTGAAACCCTGTCTCTAACAAAAATACAAAAAATTAGCTGAGCTTGGTGGCACGTGCCTGTGGTCCTAGGTACTTGGGAGGCTGAGGTGGGAGGATCACTTGAGCCTGGGAGGTGCAGGGTACACTGAGCCGAGATTGTGCCACTGCACTCTAACCTGGGTGACAGAGTGAGACCCAGTCTCAAAAAAAAAAAAAAAGAAAAAACAAGATGCAGTAAAGAAGCCGACCAAAACCAAGATGGTGACGAAAGTGACCTCTGGTCGTCCTCACTGCTCATTAAAACTTTTTTTAAAAAATATGAAAAGAGGCTGGGCCCTGTGGCTCACACCTGTAATCTCAGGACTTTGGGAGGCCAAGGCAGGTGGATCGCCTGAAGTCAGGAGTTTGAGACCAGCCTGGCCAACGTGGCACAACCAAAAATGCAAAAATTAGCCAGATGTGGTGGCACACACCTGTAATCCCAGCTACTTGGGAAGCTGAGGCAAGAGAATTGCTTGAAGCCAGGAGACAGAGGTTGCAGTGAGCCGAGATCATGCCACTGTACTCCAGCCTGGGAGACAGAGCAAGGCTCCGTCAAAAAAAAAAAAAAAAAAAAAAAGCCGGGCCTGGTGGTGCACATCTGTAGTCCCAGCTACTCGGGAGGCTGAGGTGGGAGGATCATGTGAGCCTGGGAGGTCCAGGCTGCAGGGGGCCGTGATCCTGCCCCTGCCCTGCAGCCTGGGTTATACAGCGAGACAAAAGAAAAAAGTTAGTGGTAACAGGATAAACTACATAGCCATGTATTATTCCTTCACATTCATGAAGCAGGTCAATTTGAAGCTTGAGGACGACTTCCATTCCTCTAGGTGAATCTACCAAGAAATGCCTTGGTAGAGCTAGGAGTGCCAATGGTATCGGCAAAGCCAGCCTGCTTCCCTGTGATTCATGGTAATTCTCACTATGACTTTGACATGATGTTCCTACACTGTGCCTATCAACACTTGTAGACACACTGTATAAGCGTTTGTTACATTTACTTTTTCTTTTGTCATTACGTCTTTTATTACAGAGGCCACTGTGCACTCCACAATCACACACTTACACAGCTCCGCCTTGCCAAGCAGTGTAGACCCTGCCAAGCAGTGTAGACAGATTCTGGATAACTATCTTTGCATCCTTCCCCATACCATGTCCCCGATGTTGAACTGAAGCAGCTCCTTCCACGTTCCCTACCCGTTAACTAGCCAGGCCACTGCCCACATTGTCACAAACATTATATTAACTGAAAAAGTGGCCCATGCCATATTCCATTATGAGAAATTATTTTTAATTCGATTAAATTCCAATGTTTATTCAGAAAACCTGGTAGAGATTGAATTGCTCTATGTACCTTTCTTAGTTTTCTTCTTCTTAGCATATTTTGACCGTTTATCTTCTACACCTGGCTGACCTGCATGGTCCTTGTAGTGTAACTTCTACTTGGTGTTTGCGCTTTGCTTTGTTTTCAAATTTAAATTGTGAGATACATTTTTAAACCTATCTAAGAAATAGCCCTGATATTGAAATGGCTTCTGTGGAATAGGTTTGACAGGTGTAAGTCTTTGATTCTTTGGCTTTGGTTTTTGTGCCTGTTACAGTTTTGCACACATTCATTCAGAGGAAGACATTACCATCAGTGTGTGGTTTATTTTTTCAAATTCCAGTATGTTTTTAAAGACCCATATTTCACTAAGCAGTGTACTTGTTGAAACCCATGTGAGTGACTTTGTTTGCACATGTGATAGAGCATCAGATACTGGAGTTTGCCAGGGGTAGAATGGTTGGATTCAGGAATGTTTAGCTGACTCATAGCAGGAAGTTATCCTGTAAAAAAATGAAGCAAGGCAGGGAAGACAGATTTAAGTACCATGCAGCTCAAAACGACAATTACATTGTCATTTTCGTTGTGAATACTTCTAGGTTCTATATTGGCTGTGATCTTTGTACTAACTGCTATTATGGAGAATGTGTTGGCATCGCAGAAAAGGAGGCTAAGAAAATGGATGTGTACATCTGTAATGATTGTAAATGGGCACAAGAGGGCAGCAGTGAGGAATTGTACTGTATCTGCAGAACACCTGCAGTCACAGTGAGTTCTAATAAGAGCATCACATTTAATAATTTAGGAAGCCAAATTGCTCTGACTGGTTACTTATTTACTTTAAAATAAAAAGCAGATTTTTTCTACATTTGTTATACACTTACATTACAAATTCCTTTTCATTTTTTTTTCTCTTTTTCCCTTTTTACCTACCCTTCAAAATTTATCTTGCTTCATAGTGAATGTTTGAGACACATTGGGGAAAATGTGGTTTAATGGTAGATTTGATTCTTCAATATGTAACATAGAAATTAATGAGATTAAACTAGCTTGACTTGTTTGGACTTTATCAGTGTTTGAAATGGTGCTTTATTATAGGTTAGAAAAACACTAATTTGGGTATAAGCTTTGAGACTCTGTTATTACCTTATAGGATTTTGAACTCCCACATGGTACAGTACTAGTTGAAATATTTGTGACTTGTTTTCAGCTTTAAAATCAATTGAATGTTTCATATTTATCTTTAAATTGGTTCTCCAAAATTACAGTGTTCTTATAAATTTTTTTACTGCTTGTTCTTAACATCAAAAATACTAAATTAATGTACTGGAATGTCGATCTTGAAAGTATTAAAACCACAATACTAAAACTATTTTATATCCCAGGGTTTAGCAAATTTTCAGGTGCATGCTTTATTATAAGTAACATCATCCCATCTGTTTTGAACTCACATTTCCATTTCGGATCTTGCAGATTTTTTATTGGCCATGATCGGTGTCAGAATTGGTACCATGGGTGCTGCATTGGCATCTTGCAGAGTGAGGCAGAGCTCATTGATGAGTATGTCTGTCCACAGTGCCAGTCAACAGAGGATGTCATGACAGTGCTCACACCACTAACAGAGAAGGATGATGAGGAGTTGAAGAGGGTGCTCCGTTCCTTACAGATGAGAGCCCCTCTGTGTGCAGCATTTGAAAATGAAATCAGCTGGCATAATTTTGGAAGCATTTCTAGGATTTCAAGTTTCCAATGTTAGGATTTCAAGTTTCCAATCTTAGAGTGATTATTTACTGAGTCTCAGCTAGTCTAGTGAAGGGCTTGACAAACTTCAGTCCTTCACATACCAGTGTCATGAGCTTTACCATATCCCCACACCACCTCAGCTTATCTAACACTCAGATAATCTAACGTGACTCACTTCTTTATACATTTTATTTTTAAAGAAACTTCCTCTCACTCCCATGGATTGAGAAACAGTATGATTAGATTATAGTTATTATTTTCCTTATGAAAGACAGAAAGGTGGCTGGGTACGGGGGCTCACACCTGTAATCCCAGCACTTTGTGGGGGCTGAGGTGGGCAAATCATGAGGTCAGGAGTTTGAGACCAGACTGGCCAACATGGTGAAACCCCGTCTCTACTAAAAATACAAAAAACTAGTCGGGTGTGGTGGCGTGAGCCTGTAATCCCAGCTACTAGGGAGGCTGAGGCAGGAGAATCGCTTGAACACAGGAAGCAGAGGTTGCAGTGAGCCAAGATCGAGCCATGGCACTCCAGCTCGGGTGACAGTGTGAGACTCTGTCTCAAAAAAAAAAAAAAAAAGGAAAGAAAAGAAAACCAGGATAGGTATGGTTTGCAGGATTAGCAAGTGATACAGGTGTATTGAAGACACAGAAGGCCAGTGTGGTTGCTCACACCTATAATCCCAGCACTTTGGGAGGCCAAGGCAGGAGGATCACTTGAGTCAATTAGTTAGAGACCAATCTGGGCAACAAAGTGAGACCCCATCTCTACAAAAAATAAAAATAAAAAATTAGCTGGGCATGTTGGCACACACTTGTTTATCCAGCTACTTGGGAGGCTGAGGTGAGAGGATCACTTGAGCACAGGAGGCTACAGTGAGCTATGATCGTGCCACTCCACTCCAGCCTGGATGACAGAGCGAGACCCTGTCTCAAAACAATGGGGGGAAATAAAAGGATATAGTGCATTGGATTGAAACTTTCTTCTATTTTTATCATAATCACAAGAATTGAAGAAACTAAAAAGGGAATCGTAGTCTCAATGTGTGGTTGAATGTTATCTAACATCACATCTCTGCCACCTCATCATTAATCAGCTGTGGTAATGATTCCACACTTTGAACCCATCCCACCTGTTACAGAAGCAGTTGCAATGCCAGCATCACTCAGTGACAGCTCATCATGTAGGGCCCAGAATACTGATTTTGTGACTTCTAAGCTTGTGTTCCACCCCCCACACTGTGGGGAAAAGAAAGAGAGATCAGATTGTTGCTGTGTCTGTGTAGAAAGAAGTAGACATAGGAGACTCCATTTTGTTCTGTACTAAGAAAAGTTCTTCTGCCTTGAGATGCTGTTAATTTATAACCTTACCCCCAACCCCGTGCTCTCTGAGACATGTGCTGTGTCAACTCAGGGTTAAATGAATTAAGGGCTGTGCAAGATGTGCTTTGTTAAACAGATGCTTGAAGGCAGCATGCTCCTTAAGAGTCATCACCACTCCCTAATGTCAAGTGCCCAGGGACACAAACACTGCGGAAGGCCGCAGGGACCTCTGCCTAGGAAAGCCAGGTATTGTCCAAGGTTTCTCCCCATGTGATAGTCTGAAATATGGCCTCGTGGGAAGGGAAAGACCTGACCGTCCCCCAGCCTGACACCCTTAAAGGGTCTGTGCTGAGGAGGATTAGTATAAGAGGAAGGAATGCCTCTTTGCAGTTGAGACAAGAGGAAGGCATCTGTCTCCTGCCCGTCCCTGGGCAATGGAATGTCTCGGTATAAAACCCGATTGTATGTTCCATCTACTGAGATAGGGAAAAACCGCCTTAGGGCTGGAGGTGGGACACGCGGGCAGCCATACTGCTTTGTAAGGCATTGAGATGTTTATGTGTATGTGTATCTAAAGCACAGCACTTAATTCTTTACCTTGTCTATGATGCAGAGACCTTTGTTCATGTGTTTATCTGCTGACCTTCTCTCCACTATTATCCTATGACCCTGACACATCCCCCTCTCCGAGAAACACCCAAGAATGATCAATAAATATGAAGGGAACTCAGAGGCCGGCAGCATCCTCCATATGCTGAACGCAGGTACCCTGGGCCCCCTTATTTCTTTGTCTGTACTTTGTCTCTGTGTCTTTTTCTTTTCCAAGTCTCTCGTTCCACTTAACGAGAAACACCCACAGGTGTGGAGGGGCAACCCACCCCTTCACCACACCAAGGTCTTCCGACCAAGCTTTGAGTACCATTATTGCAGAGGAAGCTCATCTTAGGTAACTTATTACTAGAGCAGAAATCACCTAATATAAAGTATTTCATGTATCGCATTTAAAACTGACTTTTGGGTTCATTGATGTAGTGACTCAACTGGGAATCTTAAATGGAATTAGTGTTTTCACTGACAATAAGAATGCCTACTTTTTCATTATAGGCCCATAAGATGGCCCAGCCTTTCCTTGAACCAGTAGACCCTAATGATGCACCAGATTATTATGGTGTTATTAAGGAACCTGTGGGTACACATGAGTTGAATTTGAAGTTTTTTCAGAAGTCTCAGTGTATATTTTATTAACCATAAAATTAATATCTTAGAATACTTTTAGCAAGGCTGGTGGGGGTATAAATTGGTATGGTCACTTTGGAGGGTAAATTGATAGTATCTATTACAGTTGAATTGTGCATACTCGGTTATTTTATTTTATTTTTTTGAGATGGAGTCTCACCCTGTTGCCAGGCTGGAGTGCAGTGGTGTGATCTCACCTCAATACAACCTCTGCCTCCCAGGTTCAAGCGATTCTCCTGCCTCAGCCTCCCGCGTAGTTGGGACTACAGGCACGTGCCATCACACCCGACTAATTTTGGTAGTTTTAGTAGAGATGAGGTTTCACTGTGTTGGCCAGGATGGTCTCAAACTCCTGACCTCAGGTGATCCGCTCGCTTCGGCCTCCCAAAATGCTGGGATAACAGGCATGAGCCACCGCGCCCAGCCCCCACAGTGATCTTCCTTTGAGGAAAAGCCACGGGGTGCTTTCTCTCTTCTGTAGCAAGGAAGATGGTTTCTAAGAGGGTATTTTAAAAGCAGTTTACCTAAAATAAAAGTGAAAGGCCAGGCAAGGTGACTTATGCCTGTAATCCCAGTACTTTGGGAAGCCGAGTGGGGAGAATAGCTTGAAGCCAGGAGTTCAAGACCAGCCTGGGCCACAGTATGAGACCTTGTCTCTACTACCAAAAAAAAAAAAAAAAATTAACCAGGCTTGGTGATGAGTGCCTATAGTCCCAGCTACTTGGGAGGCTGAGGCAGGAGAATCACTTGAGTACAGGAGTTTGAGGCTGCAGTGAACTATGATCGAGCCACTCCACCCCAGCCTGGGTGACACAGCAAGAACTTGCCTGTTTAAAAAAAAAAAACAAACAAAAAACTGAGGCCAGGTGCGGTGGATCACGCCTGTAATCCCAGCACTTTGGGAGGCCGAGTGGGGCGGATCACGAAGTCAGGAGATCGAGACCATCCTGGCTAACACGGTGAAACCCCGTCTCTACTAAAAATAACAAAAAATTAGGCGGGCGTGGTGGCAGACGCCTGTAGTCCCAGCTACTCGGGAGGCTGAGGCAGGAGAATGGCATGAACCCGGGAGACAGAGCTTGCAGTGAGCCGAGATTGCGCCACTGCACTCCAGCCTGGGAGACAGAGCGAGACTCCGTCTCAAAAAAAAACAAAAACAAAAACAAAAAAACTGAAGGACAAGCCCAGCTAAAGTATCCAATTTTTATTCTCAGCAAAGGAATTAAAAAATAAATGAATATATATATAGGCAAGGAAGCAAGAAAAGTAGGCAGCAGGTTATAGACCAAAAACAAGAAACTACAAAATCTGTAAAACTAGGCTAGGCGTGATGGCTCATGCCTGTAATCCCAGCACTTTGGGAGGCCGAGGCGGGTGGATCACCTGAGGTCAGGAGTTTGAGACCAGCCTGGCCAACATGGCAAAACCCCATCTCTACTAAAAATACAAAAATTAGCCAGGTGTGGTGATGCACACCTGTAATCCCAGCTACTCAGGTGGCTGAGGCACGAGAATTGCTTGAACTCAGGAGGCAGAGGTTGCAGTGTGCCAAGATCACACCACTGCACTCCAGCCTGGGTGACAGTGAGACTCTCACAAAAGAAGAAGAAAAAATTCCCAACCTTACCAACATAACAAGACCATGTCTCTACAAAAATTTTAAAAATTAACCAGGCATAGTGGCGTGCACCTGTAGTCCTAGCTACTCAGGAGGCTATGACAGGAAGATCACTTGTGCCCAGGAGTTCAAGGCTGCAGTGAGCTGTGATCACTTGTGCCCAGGAGTTCAAGGCTGCAGTGAGCTGTGATTACACCACCGCTCTCCAGCCTGAATCACAGATTGAGACCCTGTCTCAAAAAAAAAAGACAAGAATAAAAGAAAAATTTTCTGAGCTGATGCGAGTCACGGGACTTTAAATTCTAGCAGAATAAATTCATTCACTCAGCAAATGACTATTGAGAACCTGATGTGTGCCAGATACAGGGAATTTAGCAGTGAATAAATTAAAGCCCCTGCACTCTATGAGGGGTGGGGGGAGCAAGGGGTCAGTTGATAAACATTATAAGCCAGGTGGACAAATGGAAAAAGACTCACTCCTACATACATCACTATAAAATTTCCAAACATTAAGAATAAAAGAAACTTTTAGATAAAACAGACAATCTATAAAACAAGAATTAGATTGGTGTCAGATTTTTCCGCTACAACATTTAGTGCTAGAAGATTATGGAAGAATAAATCTAAAAGTTTAAGAAAAAATGATTTTCAACCTAGAAGTCTATGTGCAGCCAAACAGTCAAGTAAAGTCAGAATAAATACATTTTCAGTCATGTAAGGACTCAGGGTACCCTTTCTTGGCAGGTATTTTTTAAAAGCGTGTGCTATTGGCCAGACACGAAATGGCTTATGCCTGTAATCCTAGCACTTTGGAAGGCAAAGACGGATGGAACATTTGAGGTCAGCATTTCGAGACCATCCTGGCCAACATGGCAAAACCTCGTCCCTACTAAAAATACAATACTTAGGCGGGCATAGTGGCGCATGCCTGTAGTCCCAGCCACACAGGAGGCTGAGGCATGAGAATCACTTGAAACAGGGAGGCAGAGGCTGCAATGAGCCAAGATCACACCACTGCACTCCAGCCTGGGTGTCAGAGTGAGACTCTGCTCAGGAAAAAAAAAAAAAAAAAAAAAAGTGTGCTATCAAAAATAAGGAAACAAATTTTTTTCTTTTTAATAATATATATTTTTAATTAGGGACAGGGTCTTGCTATATGACCCAAGCTAGTCTTGAACTGAGCTCAAGCGATCCTCCCGCCAACCTTGGCCTCCCAGAGTGCTGGGATTACAGCCGTGAGCCACTGCACTGGGCTAGAAATTTTTCTGTTGTTTTGTGTTTTTGAGACAGAGTCTCACTCTGTTGCCCAGGCTGGAGTGCAGTGGTGCAATCTCACCTCACTGCAACCTCCGCTTCCCGCGTTCAAGCGATTCTCCTGCCTCAGCCTCCCAAGTAGCTGGGATTACAGGCGCCTGCCACCACACCTGGCTAATTTTTGTGTTTTTAGTAGGGATGGGGTTTTGCCATGTTGGCCAAGCTGGTCTCAAGGCAAGTGATCCACCTGCCCTGGCCTCCCAAAGTGCTGGGATTACAGATGTGAGCCACCGCGCCTGGCCAGACATTTTTATTTATTTGGGTTCAGAAAACAAGAGGTTCAGGGAAAGCAATGAGAATTACTCTGACTCAAGGTGACATTTGTACAGCAGGCTGTGCGGTAAGCAATCCAAATCCTAGCAGGAGAATGGAGCACTCCCCAGAGGGTCAGTAGGGCAAGACAATGACTCATGCATTAGATAATTTGTTTAAGACAGAAAAACATAAGGCTATGATTAAGCCAAAGAATGTCAGGGATAAAAATGAAAGGCAATTAGAAACGCCACTAAAAACAAAAAGTTGTGTAGGAGGGCCTGTTGGCTGGGAATGGTGGTTCATGCCTGTAATCCCAACACATTGAGAGGCTGAGGCAGGAGGATGCTTGAGCCCAGGAATTCTAGACCAGCCCGGGCAACATGAGGAAACCCCATCTTTACAAAATACAAAAATTAGCCAGGCATGGTGATGTGCACCCATGATCCCAGCTACTCCAGAGGCTGAGGTGGGAGGATTAAGCCCAGGAGACAGATACTGCAGTGAGCCATGTTCATGCAACTACACTCCAGCCTGGACGACACAACAAGACCCTATCTCAAAAAAAAAAAAAAAAAAAAGAAAGAAAGAAAAAAAAGGCCAGGTGCGGTGGCTCATGCCTGTAATCCCAGCACTTTGGAGGGCCAAGGTGGATGGATCACCTGAGGTCGGGAGTTCAAGACCAGCCTGGACAACATGGCAAAACCTCGTCTCTATTAAAAATACAAAAATTAGCCAGGCATTGTGGTAGGCACCTGTAATCCTCGCTACTTGGGAGGCTGAGGCAAGTGAATTGCTCAAACCTGAGACGTGGAGGTTGCAGTGAGCCAAGATTGTGCCACTGCACTCCAGCCTAGGCGACAGAGCGAGACTCTGTCTCAAAAAAAAAAAAAAAAAGAAAAAAAAGAATGCCTTATTAGCAAAGGACTAGGTGGTATAGAGAAAAATATTTACATTGTCGTAATAATGTAAATAATGACATTGGGCCAGGAACAGTGGCTTATGCCTATAATCCCAACACTTTGGGAGGCCAAGGCATGTGGATCACCTGAGATCAGGAGTTCGAGACCAGCCTGACCAACATGGTGAAAGCCCATCTGTACTAAAAATACAAAAATTAGCTAGGCGTGGTGGCAGGCACCTGTAATCCCAGCTACTCAGGAGGCTGAGGCAGGAGAATCACTTGAACCCAGGAGGCAGAGGTTGCAGTGAGCCAAAACCATGCCATTGCACTCCAGCCTGGGCCACAAGAGCAAAATTCCGTGTCAAAAAAAATAAAAATAAAAATAATGACATTGGTTTTCAACTTTTAGAATCAGCCTACAGACAAAGCATGGAATGATATAATTTTTAAATTATAGGGAAATAAAACTTGGACTCAGCCAGGTGTGGTGGCCCACACCTGTAATCTCAGCACTTTGGGAGGCCGAGGCGGGTGTATCACGAGGTCAGGAGTTTGAGACCAGCCTGGCCAAGATGGTGAAACCTCATCTCTACTAAAAATACAAAAATTAGCCGGTCGCAGTGGTGAGCGCCTGTAATCCCAGCTACTCAGGAGGCTGAGGTGGAAAATCGCTTGAACCCAGGAGGTGGAGGTTGCAGTGAGCTGAGATCACACCACTGCACTCTAGCCTGGGTGACAGAGCAAGACTCCATCTTAAAACAACAAAAAAAAAAAAACAAAATAAAACAAAACAGAACAAAACAAAACAAAAAAGACTAGGACTCAAAAATGGAGGTGGGAAAATGGTTAAGTGAGCTTGGCTCTCATTTGCCATCACAGGGCTTAAATGAAAGTTGATAAAACAAGAAAGAGCAGTATAAGAAAGCTACCCAGGCTGGGCATGGTGGCTTATGCCTGTAATCCCAGCACTTGGGAAGGCCAAGGCGGGTGGATCATCTGAGGTCAGGAGTTCGAGACCAGCTGGCCAACATGGTGAAACCCCATCTCCACTAATAATACAAAAATTAGCCAGGCATGGTGGTGCACGCCTGTAAGTCCCAGCTACTCTGGAGGCTGAGGCAGAAGAATCACTTGAACGTGGGAGGCGGAGGTTGCAGTGAGTGGAGACCACACCACTACACTTCAGCCTGGGCGACAAGAACGAGACTCCATCTCAAAAGAAAAAAAATCTACCCAGACCAGGCATGGTGGCTCATGTCCGTAATCCTAGCACTTTTGGGAGGCTGAGGTGGGCGGTTAGGTCAGGAGTTCCAGACCAGCCTGGCCAATATGGTAAAACCTTGTCTCTACTAAAAATACAAAAATTAGCTAGGCGTAAGGGTGGGCACCTGTAATCCCAGCTACTCGGGAGGCTGAGGCAGGAAAATCATTTGAACCCAGGAGGAGGAGGTTGCAGTGAGCTGAGATCCCACCACTGCACTCCAACCTGGGCAACAGCAAGACTCTGTCTCAAAAAAAAAAAAAGAAAGAAAGAAAGAAAAGAAAAGAAAAGAAATCTACCCAGAGAACTGAAAGGTCAAGGGGATTGATCATAGGGAGCCTGGATTTCAGAGGGAGTTAAGGTAGGACAGAGGAGCACGACTTCTCATTATAAGCCCCTCTATGCTTTTTGATTTGTACATGGTGGTTATTCCTCTGGTTCAATTTCTAAAATTGCTTTTTTAAATTGGAAAGGCCTTTGGTGGTAACTGTGAGGTAGAAGCCAAGGGGTGTGAATCCTACCCTGCTGCCAACTTGCTGGCAGAGCCCAGAGGATGACTGCTGGCAACTGCTGATGAAGGAGAGGAAGTTGCTTGGAGGTCCTGGGGCCTGTGGCAAGACAAAGGGAATTTGGTAAAGGAGCAAAGGAGACCTAGGCTGGGCCCGCATAGTGTAGGGGCCACTTAGGATGTCTTCTTGCCACCTGGTTATTTTATGTAGCTTTTTAATATACTGAAGTTGACATAATTTTCAATAAAGCACATGGGAGCTGAATGGAGACGTTTGCTCAATTCTGCTTAAATAAACAAATTAGGCTGTGTGCAGTGGCTCACACCTGTGATCTCAACACTTTGAGAAGCCAAGGCAGGCAGCTCACTTGAGCCCAGGAGTTTGAGACCAGCCTGGGCAACATGGGGAAACCCCATCTCTACAAAAAATACAAAAAATTAGCTGAGCATGGTGGCACGTGCCTGTAGTCCCAGCTACCCAGGAGGCTGAGGTAGGAGGATCACCTGAGCCCTGGAGGTTGAGGCTGCAGTGAGCCATGATTGTGCCACTGCACTCCAGACTGGGCTACAGAGTGAGACCCTGTCTCAAAACAAACAAATCAAAAAAAAAAAAAAAAAGAAAAAAAGAAAAAAATTACAATGCAAAGAATTGTATAAAGACAACTTGCTGTTGCATTTTTAGGGAATTTCTATTGCTTTCCAGATTTAAGGTAGAATGAAACATAACTAGCCAGTTATTGAAACTTGATTTTATTATGGGTTTCCAGAATTTCCTTTGCCATATTTTCCCATTGTAATTTATGATCTCCAGCATTGTTTGCACATTGTTTTCATTACTGCACTTTGTTATAATTCATCATTTATACCATCCATATTCTTTCTTTTCTTACGGATTGTGATATCTTTAGTCTAAATTTTTAACTGGAATCAGAACTGGATGTTGGGGTCACTGTTTTATTGTACCTTGTGATTACGTAATCCAAAATTGCCCCCCAAAAAGTCAGGTTAGCTAATATAATTTTTTAATGTTAACGATGTATAGTGGTAAAAAATTTATTCTAGCAGCCACGTGAAACAATGTATTTAAAAATTGTAAACTATTGGAATACTGTATTTATCTGCTATTGCAATATAAATTTATCTGCTATTGCAATATAAAGTCCTTTGACTTAGTCCTGGTAACTGTACAGTAATTTGGTTTACTGACAAAAGTTGTGAGGCCAGCCTTGGTGGCTCACACTTGTAATCCCAGCACTTTGGGAGGCCGAGGCGGGCGGATCACCTGAGGTCAGGAGTTTGCGACCAGCCTGGCCAACATGGTGAAACCTCGTCTCTACAAAAAGTACAAAAATTAGCCGGGTGTGGTGGCAGGCACCTGTAATCCCAGCTACTCGGGAGGCTGAGGCAGGAGAATCGCTTGAATCTGGGAGGCAGAGGTTGCAGTGAGCCAAGATCGCGCCTTTGCACTACAGCCTGGGGACAAAAGCGAGACTTCGTCTCAAAAAAAAAAAAAATTGTGAATAAAACTGTGTGAAACTGGGAGACTTTCTGGACTTTAATAGAAAAATATGATTTTAAAATTGCTTTTTCTTTTGTTTTAGCATAATTTTTCCCTTTATATTCCCCTCATCCGTGTAAATAAACACACACATACACACACACACGCACCTTTCACCACAATGGTAATGCTTCTGTAAATGTCTCTATTTGTCCAGTTGCCTGAAAATGTTGTAATCTTTATTAGACAAATATATATACATACATATTTTAAATATTGGCTTTTTCCAGTGAGCTATTATGCTTAGTGTACAGTGAAAAGTTTTATTATTATAGGTTAAAAATTTCTTAATCGTTCTTTTCTATTCGCTTGCCAAGGGTGAATGAAAGAACATGGCTGCTTCTTCCAGATTTATTTACTTTGGCATCCGCATAAAGCATCATTTTCAAAAATGAAAGGTGCTCAATTGTTCCCTTTTTCTATACTCTGTAGGTCTCACAACAACAAACTGCAGTCTACAGCTTCCTAAAGTTCAGCATGTTAACCTAACATAAAACACAGCAAGAATCTTGTTGCCTGAACTATTTTAAATTAAGGAGCCAGATCTTTTTAGTGAGGCTATCCTGACAAGACTTGACCTAAACTTTGTTTTTATTGGTCATAACAGTCCAATTATATTATTGGCCAATTTTGTCCAATGGACAAGAAAAAAGCAAAGTTGCCAGGTGCGGTGGCTCACGCCTGTAATCCCAGCACTTTGGGAGGCCAAGGCGGGCGGATCATCTGAGGTCGGGAGTTCGAGACCAGCCTGACCAATATGGAGAAACCCCGTCTCTACCAAAAATACAAAATTAGCTGTGCATGGTGGCCTATGCCTGTAATCCCAGCTACTTGGGAGGCTGAGGCAGGAGAATCGCTGGAACCCGGGAGGCAGAGGTTGTATTGAGCCGAGATTGAGCCATTGCACTCCAGCCTGGGTGACAAGAACAAAACTCCGTTTCAAAAACAAAAAAAGGAAGAAAAGAAAAAGAAAAAAGAAAAGTCAACGACACCATTATCTTGTCAAGATCAAATGGTTTTATTATTGTGGCAGAAGCGAGAAAATTTTGTTTATTAAAAAAAAAAAAGAAAAAGAAAGCAAGAAACAATGATACTGTGGGGTCAAGTATAACTCCATGGAAATGCCACGTCTGCTCTTCAGTGAAGAAGCTGGTTTAGAGTCTCAAAGAAAACTTTTGACTGTATTTATTTATTGTTGCAAAAAAGATGCTTTTTTATTGCTGCCCTCATTTGTCAACTAATTATTTTTTCTTATAAAATCCAGCCACGGTTACATATAATCCATCCATATCTTATCAATGATTCCTGTACGTAAAAGTACAAGACAACCTCTAGATGTCTTTTCTTTCTATGAAAGGAGCTGCTATGTACACATGTGCACACACACACAACTGCGAATCAACAATGAGTTTATTGTTCATGGTAGATTAAAATCAAGCTTGCATAAAGGTTGGGCTAAGTGGTCCTGGACTACAGACTCTGGTGACTTGAATATAACAGTACAATTTGTCAATTACTCCACACCAGGTTGAAATGAGTAAAATCTATTTGAAGGTATCTTCTTTGTAAACATTTGTCAGATTCTAATTTTTCTTTTTGTATTAAAATTCAACTATGGATGTATGTGAAACAAAATAAATGGAGATAGTTTTTCTCCCACAGACAGAGGTGTCTTTGAATGTGTGCTAATGATTATCTGTAAGCCTCTGTGGGGAGGGAGGGCTGCAAGGTCATGAAAGGCAAAAGAATCTAATTGTACCTGGAATTCTCCTGGACAGCAGTGGCCCCTCGTTTTATCATTCCCAGTCAATTGTCATCACGTCAGAGAAGAATCTTCAGGGGTGCTAATCCTGTCGCATCAGTTGATCATACTAACGAAAAAGGTAATGCGACAAGATACACATTGCCTTCATCTGTACATTCTGTGATACTGGGCAAATTACCAATTACAGACAGCTACTTATATTGTATGAAGGACATTTTTTGTTAGATGATCTCATCCTCTGTGTTATTTGTTGATTGGGTTTGTTTTTTGCTTGTTGGTTTGTTTGTTTCTTCCATGTAAGGAAAAGTAGTGTAAGCAGTAGGAAGAAAATGAGGAAGATGTATTTTGCATGTTCTTCCTTTCAATGTTCTTACACATTGTATTACTGCATTGTGGTAATAGCTTCTATAAAATCTGCCATAGCTGGATTATGCAGCTTTGCAAAAATTCTACTAGATTTTATTCTAACTCATATTAGCTTTGTCCTATCAACTTCTGGAATTTATCTAATTATTGCTTTTAAAAGTTTCCTTCCTTTCAACGTTTCCCTGCTATGCAAAACCTTTCCCAGACCTTGGTTTCTTAAAAGAAAGATGTTGCTACAGTTCCCAATTCTTTCTTATTACAGGCTCAGGTGTACAGGTTATTCTGGCTTAATTTTATCTAATGAAGCCCATTCCTTTTTGTACATGAAGATGTCACTTAAACCTATGTTTACAAACTAAAGAGACTAATCACTCAATATGAAAACATGAAAACATTTTTGCTTAAAATATTAAGATGGAAATACTTAAATATGGATTATTTTGTCCTTTTACTTTTTAAAAAAAGTTACATATTGTATGCACTGTGCTGATGCAAGAATTCTACATTTTAATGAATTATAAAATTATTCTGCATCTCATCACGTCACAGTATTTCTGCACTATTTATTCATATATATAGAAATATATATGGGCTTAATCATTTAAAATTTGTTGCAGCAAGAACTTTCCTACCTGTAGGCAATAGATTGCTATGTTTTCAACAAATTGTGGCAAATTCTAAACAGCAATTCTTTTGTATGTAATAGGACATTTCATACTAGAAAAATAAAGTAATGTTTTTGACATTGGATTTGGTGCAGTTTCTAATGAAGCAACGGTTGGTTGGTGGTAATATGTCTTCTGTAGCTGTTAGCATTGCCAAATTAAAAAGGGTAAATTTTATGGAAATCCTGAGACCAGGAAGATATTAATTTCATGTGTATTTAATGGTATAAAGTGTTTTACAGTTTCTATCACCATACAAATACATAAAGACATTTTATAGTTTTATCAACTATAGGGCTTTAGTCTTTCAAAAGTAATTTTTGAAAAACACACATTCCTGGCCAGGTGTGGTGGCCCACGCCTGTAACCCCAGCACTTTGGGAGGCCGAGGCAGGGGGGATCACCTGAGGTCAGGAATTTGAGACCAACCTGGCCAACATGGTGAAACCCCATCTCTACTAAAAGTACAAAAATTAGCCAGGCATGGTGGCAGGCACCTGAAATCCCAGCTACTAGGGAGGCTGAGGCAGGAGAATCACTTGAACCTGGGAGGCGGAGGTTGCAGTGAGCCGTGATCACGCCATTGCACTCCAGCCTGGGGGACAAGAGTGAGACTTCATCTCAAAAAAAATAAAAAAGAAAGAAAAACATACATTTTTTAGAACATAATGAGTTCTGAAAGCTGCTTTTCTGTGAGTAATCTTTGAAAGCTTCTGCTATTAAGATCTATATAACACAGCTATTTTGCTTTCAATAATCCAGGCAGTAAACTGTACATTTGTGATACTCTTAGGATGTTTCTACCACAGGCCTTGGGCTTGTAAATATATTTAATTTGCATCAGTAGATTTCCTTGGCTAAAAGTATTTTCAATAACTGTTATGCTTCACCTGCCAAGTTCACAATCCTTGAAACCATTTCATGAAAAGTATTTTCCTATTGGTAAAGCTTTTATTCTCCTATCCAAATTCTACAGGAGGTTTAAATAAAATTGTGGCTGGGCATGGTGGCTCACGCCTATAATCCCAGCACTCTGGGAGGCTGAAGCGGGCAGATCACAAGGTCAGGAGTTAGAGACCTGCCTGACCAACATGGTGAAACCCTGTTTCTACTAAAAATACAACAATTTAGCTGGACAAGTGGCACACACCTGTAGTCCCAGCTACTCAGGAGGCTGAGGTGGGAGGATGGCTTGAACTGGGGAGGCAGAGGTTGTAGTGAGCTGAGATTGTGCCACTGCACTCCAGCCTGAGCGACACAGCAAGACTCTGTCTCAAAAAAAAAGTGAACTTTTGGAGATATTTTCTGAAGTAAAATAATTACCTTTTTATATTCCAAATGGCCTAGAGTGTTATTTAGAGACACTAAGATTTGCTGTTGTTTGTAATCTACCTTCCTGGGATCTGCAAATAAAAGTTATTTCCCTATTTCTGCTAATTCCTTTAGGCAAACTCTCTACTTCTTTATGTTAAAGAGCCAACCTGGTGGACTTTCAGATCTCTGCACACTTAGTTAGACAAAGTTACATGGTTATTACAGCTTTCACTCTTCCTGATTGAAACTATCATGATACGGCTGGGCGTGGTGGCTCACACGTATAATCCCAGCACTTTGGGAGGCCAAGGCAGGTGGATCACCTGAGGTTGGGAGTTTGAAACCAGCCTGACAAACATGGAGAAACCCCATCTCTACTAAAAATACAAAAAAAAAAAAAAAAAAAAATTAGCTAGGTAAAGTGGCGCATGCCTGTAATCCCAGCTACTTGGGAGGCTAGAGCAGGAGAATCACTTGAACCCAGGAGGGAGAGGTTGCGGTGAGCTGACATCATGCCATTACACTCCAGCCTAGGCAACAAGAGCGAAACTCCTTCTCAAAAAAAAAAAAAAAAAAAGAAACTATTACCATAGGTCTCAGATTTCTTGCCCTTAATGTGAGAATGGGGATATTCCATGGATAAAATAATGAAGTACTTGAGGAGGTGGAGGGAAGAGCCAACCGAGAAGTATTTTTAATAATTTGAAACATTCTAAGGTATTTCTAGATACTTGGAGTGAGATACTAAAAGACTTTTCTTAGAAGATTATACCACTTGATCCAATTTGAACCAAATTCAACTAAAGAAATTAGCCATATAGATATACTTTTTGTTGTTGTTTCAGACAGAGTCTCGCTCTGTTGCCCAGGCTGGAGGGCAGTGGCATGATCTCGGCTCACTGCAACCTCTGCCTACTAGGTTCAAGCGATCCTCCTGCCCCCCAATAGCTGGGATTACAGGCATGCACCACCATGCCCAGCTAATTTTTGTATTTTTAGTAGAGACAGAGTTTCGCTATGTTGGCCAGGCTGGTCTCAAACTCCTGACCTTGTGATCCACCCGCCTTGGTCTCCCAAAGTGCTGGGATTACAGGTGTGAGTCACAGCTCCCGGCCTAGCCTTTTGACATTTAAAAATTCAACTTTGATTTGACTGGCCTGAGTTATGCCTGAGTTAATTTTTTTTATCTTAAAGAAAACTAGCTCAGAAGCTCTTCATTAGCTATAATTCTATCATGCAATAATGCATCTGACTCCCAAAAAGCAATTCTAGTAAAATTTATAATAAATTTGGACAAAACTCATTTTTGGAAAATACTCTAGAAATCTCTCAGTAGTGCTTTACCATAGAACACTCAGAACCTCTCAACTCTTTATTACCTGTCTGCCCCATAATTGGAACAAATAATAGTATCAGGTATTGTAATGTTAGGCTGTTGCCTCTTGGCTCCTGTGATTCCCTAGCGTCCCGTCCTGGATGTCCTTTATGTGTACAGTGCTACTACTGGGTGCCATGGACAGCGTCAGGACACATTCTGACCTTCCTGAGTGCATCACCGTGAGGCCAAATAGGCTGCTCTCTCTCCAGTGAAATTCCTTCCCCTGTCTCTCTTTAGGCAGTCATCTTCATCTATGCATTAGTGGTGTCTCTGTTCACCGTACTTCTTATAAACTGAAGTACAGCCTTATCTTCTGAAAAAATACTCTCATGTCTTTGTGGACTCAGGTATAAAATCAATATTTAATTTAGCTAGTGATTAAACCTTTTTAAAACCAACTGAAAAATGTTTAGAATTCACTTGCTTGTGAGCTGTCATTGGTTAATATTGGTTCCAAGGTTTGGGGAATGAATTTGAGAAAGGCTTTTTCTCAAACCTTTAGGGCTCAAAGGCTAAAACAAAACAAAACAAAAATAAACAGGTGCATCCAAGGTCTAATTTCAAAGCAAGATTTATTGCTTTACAAGCAAACATTATACTTGGTCTTAATAGAAAAATGATATCAGATACACTCAGAATACAGTTCACATTGGGATAGCTGCCAGTTCAGCACAAAACATACATTATTAGGAGCAGGGAGGCATGAAAATAAACTATATCTTACTCTTTGGTACATCAGGAACACTTTTGCCTGAAGTAAGCCCTTTGGCACTTTTTTAAAATTTATTTTTTTAATCCACCCATCCGCACACTGGCCCTTTTGTACACTTTGTTTGTTTTTGAGACGGAGTTTTGCTCTTGTTGCCCAGGCTGGCGCGATCTCGGCTCACCACAACCTCTGCCTCCTGGGTTCAAGTGATTCTCCTGCCTCAGCCTCCCTCAGCTGGGATTACAGGCATGTGCCACCACACCCGGCTAATTTTTGTATTTTTAGTAGAGACAGGGTTTTTCCATGTTGGTCAGCCTGGTCTCGAACTCCGGACCTCAGGTGATCCACCCGCCTCGGCCTCTCAAAGTGCTGGGATTACAGGTGTGAGCCACCGCGCCCGGCTTGGTACTTTTTAAGTGTAAAATTTTAATCCTTGTCCTGGGCTTTGACCCTTGTGTTTGATCTAAATGACGTTTCATAGGTAAATGTCTTTTGACTAGTGCGCTTACTGTTATGTGAAGAATTTAATCTTCACATATAAGTTTTGAATATAAATCAGGTTTGAATATAAAATCAGGTTTGATACATGATATAAAAGTTGTGTATTTAAATTCAGGAAAATGTTTTGTGGACTATTTCTACTAAAGAATGTATTAAATTAAAATATTTAAAAACATGAAGCAGTGATCTGTTAACTAGACAGGTCAGTTATCTGAGCTGTGTAAATCACTGTCTGGCACAACAGTTGAATCACCTTGACACTGAGCTCAGGAGCAGCCCATTTAAGAAGCATCTTGTAAATAACAAAGTGACACCTTCGAGATTACAGTTGTAACTATGCAGGTCATTCATAGAGTAGCTTTGGGCTCTCTTCTAAAGGAGGACCCATTACATGAAGATAGACCTTTCATGTCTTGTTGCCGATGTCTCTTGTGATCCAGAAATGCCAGGATGGTTGTTTCAAATGCATTGGGTATGAATTGCACCTTGAATTTGCCCTTCCCTTTTTGGGTTAAACCTTTTCACATAGCTGCTGCTGCTCCTCAGCAGTCCATCCCCTGGACAGAGATGGCCTCTCAGGACCTGGAGCAGAGCTGTAGGAAGCTGCCCTCTCTTATGGTAGATGTGGCCCATCACAATATACCTGCTGCCTGGACAAAATAACCAGAACATTAATTCATAGCGTCTTTTAAATGCCATGAAACAGAAAATATAAGGCCTTTAAGAAATACCTAAGCTGCAATCTACTATCTTGCTGCACAAGTTGAAACTGATATTTAGTCTACAGGCAAGGTGGAAACAGTCTAGCGACCTTTAGAAGATAACCAACCCAACCAGGCCAGTGCAGTGGCTCACGCCTTTAATCCTAGCACTTTGGGAGGCCGAGGCGGGCAGATTACTTGAGGTCAGGAGTTTGAGACCAGCCTAGCCAACATGGTGAAACCCCATCTGTACTAAAAATACAAAAAGTAGCACGGGGTGTGGGGAAGGGAAAGCAATACGTAACCAGCCCACATTACAGAACAAAGGTCCTTATCACATTGTATCAGGATTTCCCAGAGCACATGCCTAGAAAGATGTGGGAGTGGGGCCGGGCGCAGTGGCTCAGCCTGTAATCCCAGCTACTTGGGAGGCTGAGGGCAGGAGAATGGCTTGAACCTGGGGGACGGAGGTTGCAGTGAGCTGAGATGGCGCCATTGCACTCCAGCCTGGGCAACAGAGCGAGACTCTGTCTAAAAAAAAAAAAAAAAAAAAAAAAGATGTGGGAGTGGGTATTCCCCGCTACCAACCCTCCACACACTCCCCCAAAAAAGCAGCTTTTCTAAACTCAGTTCTGTACAGTCCCTTCTGGCAATGGTGTTTGGTGGTCGCTCACTCCATTTGTCAACATCTATTTATTGATAGCCCGCTTTGTGCCAACAGCTGCCGTTCTCACCCGTGGGGGTGGGGCTGACGGTGCTTAAATCACAGTGGCGGAAATAATACCTGTCGTCTAAATCCTAATCATGTTACAATACTGTCCCCCATCCGTCCCAAAAAAAGACTGGACGACCCACAGCCCGGGCTGTGGCACCCACGTTACAAACGGTGGTATAAAGTACATATGCAGCGTCATTCAGCTCAGTTTCAATACCAGGTTTAAACTCTGGACACGGTTTATTGCAGCTGGAGGAGTCCAGGACTAACATGTGGACTCGGAAGAAGAAGACGTCGGGGGTGAGTGAGGTACAGGCGGTTCATCTTGTACAGCCCGTCCCGATCCACCAGCAGGGTCACCAGCCAGATGCCCGCGCCCAGCACGTCCACGTCATGCACTATCCCGTTCATCGCTGCTTCCAAAAAACAGTTTGGGAACCCCAGTTCCTCTCCCAGTCCCTGGGCGTTGGTTTTTAGCAACAGCGAAACGGCCCGCATGGGTCGGGCGCCCTGGGATCTCGCGTGCAGGATTCTCCGGGACTCGGAAAGGCTCGCGGGGCGGCGGCGCGGCGGCCGGGCTCACCGATTTCGCGCTTGCAGAACGCCTCTCGCCCGTCCATGCCCGCCCGGCAAGCGCAAGCGCAGAGCTCGGCGCCGGGCTCCGCGTCCCTGCGCGGCTGACTGAGGCCGAATCTGAAGCTGAGGCGCGGCGGCGGCGCGGGCGGCGAGCCGGGGGCCGGCACAACGGCGCGCGGCCGGTTGGGGTGGGCAGGGCCGGCGGGGCCCTCGGCGGCGCGCGCGCGCGGCCGGGCGGCGGGGAAGCGTAGGGCCCGTGAGCGCGCGCGTCTCGGGGCTTCCTCCGTCGCGGGCCCGCGGCGCGGCGACGCGCGGTTCTCGGCTTGCGCCAGGCGCGGGCCTGTGGGAGCGTGTGCGGCCTCACGGAAGGTGGCCCGGTTGTCGGCCGGCGGCTGAGGCCTGGGCGCCCCCTCCCCAGATCCCCGCTCCGCTCCCAGGGCTCCGCACTACACCGATCTTACTTTTTCTCTCCACCGGAGCTTCGGGGGATGATCCGACGATTAAACAGAGGAGCCAGAAAGCTCTAGCTGTCATTTTTGCAGACAGGGTTCCCAGGCTCTAAAAGTGAGCCTGGGCTTTTGCTTGCTTTCTCTCCTCTAACCCCTTCTCCACACCCGCGTCCCCGTTCATGCTAATGAGGGGCAGCCTTTGGGGAAACGGGAATCACTCGCTGAGCAGACCATTGGAACAAAACCGAGCCGCAGGGATTTCTCCCTCTTCCTTCCTAAGGGGGACGAGCACATGGCCTCGCAAAGTTGTCCCCGAGAATGTCTGTCCTGTGATCTGCGGGCGAGGATAGCATCACAGCCTAAACTTTAAACTCGTGTGCGTTTGCGCGCTGCGGTGGGGGCAGCAGAGGGTGGGGTGACAAGTGCGGAGAATAAGGGTGTTTCGGGACTGAGGGACTGAGTGGGGGAGAAAGAGTGATGGCCGCTTTTTTCTAGATTAGGTCAACAACAAATAGGAAAATAGTGCTTAAGACAGCGTGGGTTTGTGGAAGGGAGGAGATTCCAGATGACAGAGAATGTATCCTGGAATGTGTATGTTAGGCAATTTCTAGAGACACCAAGTCACTGCTTCCTAAGTTTAGTAAAACTGTTTCATTATATATGACAGCTCACTGTAACCTCTGCCTCCCGGGTTCAAGCGATTCTCCTGCCTCAGCCTCCCAAGTAGCTGGGATTACAGGCATACGCCACCATGCCAGGCTAATTTTTGTATATTTAGCAGAGACGGGGTTTCACCGTGTTGGCCAGGCTGGTCTCAAACGCCCGACCTCAAGCCATCCACCCGCCTTGGCCTTCCAAAGTGCTGGAATTACAGGCATCAGCCACGACGGCCGGCACAGAGGTCTAATTATTAATCAGAAGGTTGCCTGTTGAGGCCGGGCATGGTGGCTCGTGCTTGTAATCCCAGGACTTTGGGAGCCTGAGACAGGAGGATCTCTTGAGCTCAGGAGTTCAAGACCAGCCTGAGCAACATGGAGAGACCCTGTCTCTACAAAAAATACAAAAATTAGCCGGGCATGGTAGCTCACGCCTGTGGTCCCAGCCACATGGGAAGCTGAGGTGGGAGGATCGCTTGAGCCTAGGAGGTGGAGGTTGCAGTGAGCCGAGATCGTGCCACTGCACTCCAGCCTGGGTGACGGAGACCCTGTCTCAAAACCGAAAAAAAAAGAAAGAAGAAGAAGAAGGAAGAGGAGGAGGAAGAGGAGGAGGAGAGGAAGAGGAAGAAGAGTAGGAAGAGGAGGAGGAGGAAGGAGGAGGAGAAGGAAGAGAAAAGAAGAAGGAGAAGAAGGAGAAGGAGGAGAAGAAGAAGAAGAAGAGGAGAAAAAAAGAAGAAGAGGAAGAAGAAGAAGAAGAAGAAGAAGAAGAAGAAGAAGAAGAAGAAGAAGAAAGGAAATTTGTCCGTTGAGCATTAAATCAAAGAAGAGAAATTTGCCAAATTGCAGCTGAAGGAGGTGGGTTAATCTACCCTCATTCAGGTGTTGGAGGAATGAATTATCTTCTCCCTCCAAAAGAGCAAACCTCTACAGCCACTGCAAAGCTTGGGTACACCAGAGTCAGGTTCTCCAGACTAGACAGGCCCAGATAAACACTAGTCATATAAACACTAGTAAGTTCATGCCCTTGGGGCCCTGTTCATAGATGTCCTCAGATCCCCTTCTTTCACGTGCTCTTTATTTAAGTCAAGTGGAATAAAATTCACTAGGCTTAAGATTTCTCAGTTACAACCACATCTCTGACATACATTCAAATCACCCACATCCTGCTGGGGGTGTTCCCAAAACTCTTCTGTTGCAGGAATGTTGTGAATGCCCTGAAACCCACACCCTGAAATGTAGAGACAGAGAGCAAGCTGGATGGTTCCCAGGGGCTCCCAGAGCCTCCTGGGGTGGCAACAGCTGGAAGAACTCACCAGAGTCCAGTGCTGGGTCTTGGGCAGTGTCTGGCTTGCAGCCTTAGAAATCACACTAATGGTGGAAGGTACAAAGAGTTCAAAGAGACTGATCTATGTAGCCAGAATGCCAGTTTATTAATTTACAGTGAGAAATCAACTCAGAAATGCAACTCACGTCAGCCTGGGTAGCATTCTCTTTCTATAAACAAGCCACACAGGAAGCCAAGTTATCATCAGGTTGCTTGGTAATATAAACCAGAGCCCAGGGAGTTTGTCACCTGATTGGAATGTTTAACAGTATTGGTTTCTCACAGCCTAATGTGTTCATCTTTACAATAGGTGTGTATACCTGTCGGGAGGAAGAACCCAAGAGACCAACTGGCAACTTCCTTGATAATTTCTGGTATTTTGAGTGTATGTTTCTGCTTAGCAAATATTTATTGAGCATCTACTGTGTGTTGTATAATAAAGAATTTGTAGGCCAGGCTCAGTGGCTCACACATGTAATTCCAGCACTTTGGGAGACTGAGGGAAGCGGATCACTTGAGCTCAAGAATTCAAGACCAGCCTGGTCTCTACAAAAAAAAAAAAAAAAAGTCAGCTGAGGTGGTAATTCTAGAGAATTTGAATTATCCAGAATGACTCACAGAACTCAGGATAGCATTTTACTTACAATGAATTGTATTATTATTTTGTCGGTTCATTATTTTATGTTTATTTTATCTTATTTTAATAGAGATGGTGGGAGCCAGATGCAGTGGCCCACACCAGTAATCCCAGCACTTTGGGAGGCTGAGGCGGGCAGATCACTTGAGGTCAGGAGTCCAAGACCAGCCTGGCCAACCTGGTGAAACCCTGTCTCTCTCTCTTTTTTTTTTTTTTTTTTTTGAGACAGAGTCTCACTCTTGTTGCCCAGTCTGGAGTGCAGTGGCACAATCTCGGCTCACTGCAACCTCCACCTCCCAGGTTCAAGCGATTCTCCTGCCTCAGCCTCCCAGGTAGCTGGGATTACAGGCATGTGCCACCACGACCTGCTAATACTGTATTTTTGGCAGAGACGGGGTTTCTCCATGTTGGTCAGGCTGGTCTCAAACTCCCGACCTTAGGTGATCTGCCCGGCTCAGCCTCTCAAAGTGCTGGGATTACAGGCATGAGCCACCGTGCTCAGCCTTTTTTTTTTTTTTTTTTTTTTGAGACAGAGTCTGGCTTTGTCACCCAGGCTGGAGTGCAGTGGTGTGATCTCAGCTCACTGCAACCTCCACCTCCTGGGTTCAATCGATTCTCCTGTCTCAGCCTCTCAAGTAGCTGGGATTATAGGCACACACCACCATGCCTGGCTAATTTTTGTATTTTTAGTAGAGACGGGGTTTCACCATGTTGGGCAGACTGGTCTCAAACTCCTGGGCCAAGTAATCTGCCCACCTCAGCCTCCCAAAGTTCTGGGATTACAGGCGTGAGCCACTGCACCGGGCTCCATTTTATCTTCTGTCTCTACAATTATTTATTTGTTTGTTTGTTTGTTTATTGAGACAGGGTCTCACTGTTGCTTAGGCTGGAGTGCAGTGGCAAAACTCTATCAAGGCTCACTGTGGCCTTGACCTCGCGGGACTCAGGTGATCCTCCCTCCTTCGCCTCCAGAGTAGCTGGGACTACAGGTACCCACCACCAAACCCAGCTAACTTTTATATTTTCTGTAGAGATGGGGTTTCACCATGTTGGCCAGGCTGGTCTCCAACTCCTGGGCTCAAGCTAACTAACCTCCTTGGCCTCACAAAGTGCTTGGATGACAGGCATAAACTACCACACCCGGATTTCCTTGTTACTCTAGGAGACATTCTGGAACTTGTACATCAGCTGCTGATTTCATTTTCAGTGCCATCAATTCTGCTTTTTGCTCTGTCCAATGAGGATCTTCCTTCCTTTCTTTTTTCTTTTCTTTTCTTTTTTTTTTTTTTCCAAGACCGAGTTTTGCTCTTGTTGCCCAGGCTGGAGTGCAATGGCTTGATCTCGGCTCACCGCAACCTCCGCCTCCCGGTTCAAGTGATTCTCCTGCCTCAGCCTCCCAAGTAGCTGGGATTACAAGTTACGGGAATTCTCACAAAAGTACAAGGAGAAATAGTCCTTATGAAGAAGGAAATTATAAAAAGGGAATAGACTGAAATGAACAAACAACAGGATGAACAAAAAAGGAAGCTGACTAATAATTCCTGAGCTTTTAAATCCTTACTGGGGCCAGGCGCAGTGGCTCACGCCCTTAATCCCAGGACTTTGGGAAGCTGAAGCGAGCAGATAGCTTGAGCCCAGGAGTTTGAAACCAGCCTAAGCAACATGGCAAAATCCCATCTCTATTAATTAAAAAAGAAGAAGAAGAAGAAGAAGAAGAGGGGAAGGGAGAAAGGAAGGAAGATCGGCCGGGCGCAGTGGCTCACGCCTATAATGCCAGGACTTTGGGAGGCCAAGGCAGGTGGATCACCTGAGGTCAGGAGTTTGAGAGGCCCGGTGCAGTGGCTCATGCCTGTAATGCTAGCACTTTGGGAGGCCAAGGTGGGTGGATCACTTGAGGCCAGGAGTTCAAGACCAGCCTGTGCAATATGATGAAACCCCGTCTCTACTGAAAATATAAAAATTAACCAGGTATGATGGTGCTCGCCTGTAGTCCCAGCTGCTCAGGAGGCTGAGACAGGAGAATTGCTTAAACTCGGGAGACGGAGTTTACAGTGAGCTCAGGTGGCATCACTGCACTCCAGCCTGGGCAACAGAGCAAGAACCTGTCTCAAAAAATAATAATAATAATAATTGTCTTTAGGATTCTTTGTCAACATTATTTGAGGTATGCTCTGCACATTTTTAAGGGGAAAATATTTTTACTTTTATTATTAAACATTTAAAAAGTTATGGAGAATAATGTAATGAATACCTGCATAAGTATAACCCGGTTTTATCAGATCTTAATATTTTCCCATACTTGTTTCTTTTTCTTCTTCTTCTTCTTCTTTTTTTTTTTTTTAGTGGTTAAAATATTACAAATATAGCCAGGCACCATGGCTCGGGCCTGTAATCCCAGCACTCTGGGAGGCCGAGGCGGGCAGATCACCTGAGGTCAGGCGTTTGAGACCAGCCTGACCAACATGGAGAAACCCCATCTCTACTAAAAATACAAAAAATTAGCTGGGTGTGGTGGTGCGTGCCTGTAATCCCAGCTACTCGGGAGGCTGAGGCAGGAGAATCACTTGAACGCAGGAGGTGGATGTTGCAGCGAGCTGAGATCGTGCCATTGCACTCCAGCCTGGGCAACAGAGCAAGACTCCATCTCAAGAAAAAAAAAATTACAAATATAGTTTGTAGTAACCATCCTCCAAATAGCCAGTCCCCAGTGGCCCCCACTTTCTGGTATTCACATACCATGTAGTCTCCCCTACCCTGTAGCAGGGTTGGTCTGGGAGACTGATAGCCTATGGAAGAAGTGATAATATACACTTCCAAGATTAGGTTACAGAAAGACCGAACTCTTTTTCTAAAAAAAAATTTTTATTTCCATAGGATATTGGGGAACAGCTGGTGTTTGGTTACGTAAGTAAGTTCTTTAGTGGTGATTTGTGAAATTTGTGTGCACCCATCACCCAAGCAATATAGACTGCACCCAATTAATAGTCTTTTATCCCTCACCCCCTTCCCATCCTTTCCCCCTGATTCCCCAAAGTCCACTGTGTCATTCTTATGCCTTTGCATCCTCCTAGCTTAGCTCCCATTTATGAGTGAGAACGTACGATGTTTGGTTTTCCATTCCTGAGTTACTTCGCTGAGAATAATAGTCTCCATAGACGGGGCACGGTGGCTCATGCCTGTAATCCCAGCACTATGCGAGGCCGAGGTGGGTGGATCACCTGAGGTCGGGAGTTTGAGACCAGCCTGACCAACAGGGAGAAACCCCGTCTCTACTAAAAATACAAAATTAGCCAGGCATGGTGGCGCATGCCTGTAATCCCAGCTACTTGGGAGGCTGAGGCAGGAGAATCGCTTGAACCCGGGAGGCGGAGGTTGCGGTGAGCCAAGATCCCGCCATTGCACTCCAGCCTGGAGAACAAGAGTGAAACTACGTCTCAAAAAAAAAAAAAAAAAAAAAGAGAATAGAGAGCCATGCAGTCCAAGCGGGATTGTGAGCTGTGGTGTGAGAGGGTGAAGGCGGCGCTGGAGGCGTGGGTCAGGGAGACAGGCATCGCCTGGTGCAGGTGAACGGGCAGAGGAAGTATGGCGGGCCACCCCCAGGCTGGGTGGGCAGCCCGCCGCCGGCTGGGTCAGAGGTGTTCATCGGGCGGCTGCCTCAGGAAGTGTATGAGCACCAGCTTATCCTGCTGTTCCAGCGCGTGGGCCGCCTCTACGAGTTCCGCCTGATGATGACCTTCAGCGGCCTGAACCGCGGCTTCGCATATGCCCGCTGCAGCTCGCGGCGCGGCGCGCAGGCCGCCATCGCCCGCTGCACAACCACCCGCTGCGGCCGTCCTGCCCGCTGCTCGTGTGCCGCAGCACCGGGAAGTGTGAGCTGAGCGTTGACTGCCTGCCGCCGAATCTGACCCGCACCGCGCTGCAGCCCGCGCTGCAGCCGCTGGGTCCCGGCCTGCAGGAGGCGCGGCTGCTGCCCAGCCCCGGACCTGCGCCCGGGCAGATCGCTCTGCTCAAATTCAGCTCGCACTGGACCGCTGCCATGGCCAAAAAGGCCCTGGAGGAAGGGCAGCCACACCTCTGTGGAGAGCAGGTGGCTGTGGAGTGGCTCAAGCCAGAACTGAAGCAGCGACTTCGCCAGCAGCTTGTGGGTCCCTCCTTGCGGTCCCCACAGCCAGAGGGCAGCCAGTTGGCCTTGGCAAGGGACAAGTTAGGGTCCCAAGGGGCTCGGGCTACCCTGCAGTTGCTGTGCCAACGAATGAAGCTGGGCAGCCCTGTGTTCCTCACCAAGTGTTTGGGCATAGGACCTGCTGGCTGGCACCGCTTCTGGTACCAGGTGGTGATTCCTGGGCATCCGGTGCCCTTCAGCGGCCTCATCTGGGTTGTGCTGACCCTAGATGGCCGGGATGGGCATGAGGTGGCCAAGGATGCTGTGTCTGTAGGGCTGCTGCAGGCACTCAGTAAGTCTGGGGCCAACCTCCTGTGGTCTGCTGGGGCTGAGGCAGGTAGCATGGTTAAACAGTGACTCCATTCTCTCTCCACAGGCAGCCCGAATGGGCATGCAGAGCCTGTGTCAGGCCCCAACCCAGCAAACCTGGGTGGCCACTATCTGACCCCCAAAGGTGGGGAGGGGCATGGGCCCAGGCCCATCAGCCTCCCTGCTGGGACAGGGACCTATGGCACCTGGGGGCAGCTTAGGTTTGGCTTAAGTTGTGGTGAGGGGCCTTGCCCTCCCCCTCCCAGCCCAGGGTCCAACCTGACCCAGTTATCTTCCATGGCCATTCCTTATCCCACCCCCACCCGATCATACCTTCCCTCTGCCACAGCTTAGCATGAATCTTTTTTATTGTCCTGATTTGTCCTCTTTGTTGGTTTTTATTTGTGGGGAAGGGCAGCTGAGCCAAAGGGGTCAGAAATTCTGCCCTTTGCCTCCACCACATGGCATTCTGGTTTTGGTTTCTGTATAGTTTTGGGTCTTTCTATGCTGGTTGTATTTATGTTAAACCCCTGGTTAGTAAAAAAAAAAAAAAAAAAAAAAAAAAAAAAAAAAAAATAGGCCGGGTGCGGTGGCTCATGCCTGTAATCCCAGCACTTTGGGAGGCTGAGGTGGGCGGATCACGAGGTCAGGAGATCGAGACCATCCAGGCTAACATGGTGAAACCCGGTCTCTACTAAAAATACAAAAAAAAAATTAGCCGGGCGTGGTGGCAGGCGCCTGTAGTCTCAGCTACTTGGGAGGCTGAGGCAGGAGAATGGTGTGAACCCAGGAGGCAGAGCTTGCAGTGAGCCAAGATTGCGCAACTGCACTCCAGCCTGGGTGACCAAGTGAGACTCTATCTCAAAAAAAAAAAAAAAAAAAAAAAAAGAATAATAGTCTCCAATCCCGTCCAGGTTGCTGCAAATGCCATTAATTCATTCCTTTTTATGACTGAGTAGTATTCCACTGTATATCTATACCACAGTTTCTTTAGCCACTCATTGATTGATGGGCATTTGGACTGGTTCCACATTTTTACAATTGTGAATAGTGCTACTATAAACATGTGTGTGCAAGAATCTTTTTCGGCCAGGCGTGGTGGCTCACGCCTGTAATCCCAGCACTTTGGGAGGCCAAGGCAGGTGGATCACAAGGTCAAGAGATCAAGACCATCCTGGCCAACATGGTAAAACCCCATCTCTATTAAAAATACAGAAAGTAGCTGGGCATAGTGGCACACGCCTGTAATCCCAGCTACTTGGGAGGCTGAGGCAGGAGAATCACTTGAACCCAGGAGGCAGAGGTTGCAGTGAGCTGGGATCGTGCCGCTGCACTCCAGCCTGGCGACAGAGCGAGACTCCATCTCAAAAAAAAAAGAATCTCTTTCATATAATGACTTAGAAAGACTGAACTCTTACCTGGGCTGTGTGTGTTCTCTCTCTTTTTTAGTCATTCACTCTAGCTATGTGGGGAGGACATTCAAGCAGTCTATGGAGAAGTCCAGGTAGTAAGCCAATGAAGTCTTCAACCAATATTCAGTAAGGAACTACAGCCTGCCAACAACCAATGAGTGACCTTGAATGCATATTTTCTCCCAATTGAGTCTTCAGATAAGAGTGCAGCCCCAGGCCACTGCTTGACTGAAACATCCCAAGAGAACTGAGCAGAACCACCCAGCTAAGTCCCTCCCAGATTCCTGGCCCACAGAAAGTGTGATATAATAAATGTTTTTTGTTTTAAGCTGCTAAATGTTGGGGATCATTTTTTTTTTTTTGACATGGGCCTCACTCTGTCGCCTAGGCTGGAGTGCAGTGGTATGATCATGGCTCATTGCAGCCTCAACCTCCAAGGCTCAAGGGATCCTCCCATCTCAGCCTCCCAAGTAGCTGGGATCACAGGTGTGTACCACCACACCTGACTTTGGTGTTTTTTTTTTTTTTTTAAGTAGAAACAAAGTCTTGCTTTGTTGTCCAGGCTGGTCTGGAACTCCTGGGTTCAAGTAATCCTCCCTCTTCAGGCTCCCAAAGTGCTGGTATTACAGGCATGAGCCACTATGCCTGGCCCAATTGTTAAATCTTTTTTAAATTTTATTATTTTTTTCTTTTTTGTTCAAAGTGTTAATTTTTTTTTTTTTTTTTTTTGAGACAGAGTCTAACTCTGTTGCCTGGGCTAGAGTGCAGTGGCACGATCTTGGCTCACTGCAACCTCCGCCTCCCAGGTTTAGTTCAAGCAATTCTCCTGCCTCAGCCTCCCGAGTAACTGGGATTACAATCACGTGCCACCACACCCAGCTAATTTTTTGTATTTTTAGTAGAGACAGGGTTTTGCCATGTTGGCCAGTCTGGTCTTGAACTCCTGACCTCAGGTGATCCACCCTCCTCGGCCTCCCAAAGTGCTGGGATTACAGGTGTGAGCCACCATGCCCAGCCTAGTGTTAAATCTTTATAACAACATAAGTACGAGGTTGAGACTTATTACCCTGTTTTACAGATGAGTAACTGAGGCACAGAAAGGTTGAGTTACTTGGCCAAGGTTATACAGCTAATAATTACAGGATGCCAAAACCGCTAGCTTCTGCCAGTGCTCTTAATATAAGGTTGAAAGAAAAAAGAAGAGAAAAGAGCCAATTAACATAAAACATAGCTGTTAGAAGCCTCCTTCTACAAATGGCGATGAAGTCTAAGTTGATAATCATAGCCGCCTTCTTCACCACTTCTTCCAATCCCCTTTCGAAGGGTTCTGTGCCTCATAGGGACACTCAATACTTTATTCCATAAGACCTGACTTCTTGGTGGTCTTGTTTTTATTGGGTTGCTCTACTTTTCCATTAACCAGGTCTTAGGGTCAAGAGCCTGCTAAGATGTGTCCCCAGTGAATTTTTGGCTTTCAGACATAGCCTCCTTCCTCCATTAAGTAACAGAGCCATTTTCCTCTTGCTAATCATATGTAAAGAGGCTAGTTCGGTGATGGTTTTAGTCAGCTCAGTATTACATACTGGGTGGCTTAAACAATAGACATTGATTACTCACAGTTCTGGAGGCTGGGAAGTCCCATATCAGGGTGATAGCACAATTGGGTGCTGGCAAGGGCTCTTTTCCTAGCTTGCAGATGGCTGCCTTCTTGCCATATCTTCACTTGGTGGACAAAGAGAAGAAAGGCTCTCTGGTCTCTTCTTTTTTTTTTCTTTTTGTTTTGAGACAGAGACTCTCCAGATGCTCTCTCTGTCCAGGTTGGAGGCTGGAGTGCAATGACATGATCTGGGCTCACTGCAACCTCCACCTCCTGGGTTCAAGCGATTCTCCCACCTCAGCCTCCCAAGTAGCTGGGATTACAGACTTGCGCCACCACGCCCAGCTAATTTTTGTATTTTTAGTAGAGATGGCTTTTCACCATATTGCCCAGGCTGGTCTCAAACGCCTGATCTCAAGTGATCCACCCACCTTGGCCTCCCAAAGTGCTGCGATTTCAGGGGTGAGCCACTAGCCAGACCACCTGGTCTTTTCTTTTAAGACACTCATCCCATCATGGGGCACTGTCAGCCTAATTACGTCCCAAAGGCCCCACCTTCTAATACCATCACATGGAGGTGAGGGCTTCAACATAAGAATTTGGGGGCCGAGGCCGGGCGTGGTGGCTCACCCCTGTAATCCCAGCACTTTGGGAGGCTGAGGCAGGCAGATCACGAGGTCAGGAGATCGAGACCATCCTGGCTAACACGGTGAAACCCCGTGTCCACTAAAAATACAAAAAATTAGCCAGGCGTGGTGGCGGGCGCCTGTAGTCCCAGCTATTCGGGAGGCTGAGGCAGGAGAATGGCGTGAACCCAGGAAGCAGAGCTCGCAGTGAGCCAAGATCATGCCACTGCACTCCAGCCTGGGTGACAGAGCGAGACTCCGTCTCAAAAAAAAAAAACAAAAAACAATTTGGGGGCCGGGCGCGGTGGCTCATGCTGGTAATCCCAGCACTTTGGGAGGCTGAAGTCAGCAGATTACCTGAGGTCGGGAGTTTGAGACCAGCCTGACCAACATGGAGAAACCCCATCTCTACTAAAAATACAAAATTAGCCGGGTGTGGTGGCGTATGCCTGTAATCCCAGCTAACTCGGTAGGCTGAGGCAGGAGAATCACTTGAACCTGAAAGGTGGAGGTTGCAGTGAGCAGAGATCGCGCCACTGCACTCTAGCCTGGGCAACAAGAGCAAAACTCCATCTCAAAAAAAAAAAAAAAAAAAGAATTTGGGGAGGATGCAAACACTTAGCCCATAATAGTAGCCGCCTTCCATCCTTATTGATTCAGCAGCATGAGGAACTTTAAATGGCCAGCTTCGGCTGGGCAAGGTGGCTCATGCTTGTAATCCAAGCACATTGAGAGGCCGAGGAAGGAAGATCACTTGAGCCCAGGAGTTCCAGAGCACTCTTGGGCAGCATACTTGCCCATAGTGTAAAAATTAGCTGGGCAGGGCTGGGCTTGATGGCTCACACCTATAATCCCAGCACTTTGGGAGGCCGAGGTGGGTGGATCACCTGAAGTCGGGAGTTTGAGACCAGCCTGGCCAACATGGTGAAACCCCACCTCTACTAAAAATACAAAAATTAGCTGGGCATAGTGGTGTGCGCCTATAATCCCAGCTACTTGGGAGGCTAAGGCAGGAGAATCGCTTGAACCCAGGAGGCAGAGGTTGCAGTGAGCTGAGATCACACCACTGCACTCCAGCCTGGGTGACAGAGACTCTGTCAGAAAACAAAACAAAACAAAAAAAACAGGCGCGGTGGCTTATGTCTGCAATCCCAGTGCTTTGGGAGGCTGAGGCAGGCGGATCACAAGGTCAGGAGTTGAGACCAGCCTGGCCAACATGGTGAAACCCCGCTTCTACTAAAAAAAAAAAAATTGCCAGGCGCGGTGGCACATGCCTGTAATCCCAGCTACTCCGGAGGCTGAGACAGGAGAATCGCTTCAACCCAGGAGGTGGAGGTTGCAGTGAGCCAAGACCGCGCCACTGCACTCTAGCCTGGGCAACAAAATGAGACTGCGTCTCAAAAAAAAAAAAAATTAGCTGGGCAAGGTGGCATGCGACTGTAGTACCAGCTACTCAGGAGGCTAAGGTAGGAGGATCTCTTGAGCCTGGGAGCCTGGGAAACAAGAGTGAGATTCTGTCTCTAAATAAATAAATAAATAGATAGATAAATAAATAAATAAATACAATAAATGGCCAGCCTCGGCTTCCAGTTGAATAAAACCATAATAGTATTTCCTGATCTACACATTTCTTCCTTTGGCACTAGGACCTCTGGACCCACTGAGTCCCGGGTCCCTGGCAAGGAAAGCAAAAATTCTTCATGTGAATTATTAGGGGCCACAGTGGGAGGAGCCACTCCCATCTCCTCTCCTCGGTTCCTGGACTCATTCTAGCATGGTCTAAGTCTAGGAACGGCAGTGCTAGCAGAAGTCCCGCAGGCAAGGGAGGCAAATCCACACCCAGAACACGGGTCTGTCGTTGTGAGGATGAGGCACTGTCCTTACACCCCAGTCTGGTCCTACAAAAAAGGATGGCCTCTCAGGGTGCGACCTTCACCTTGGAGCAGCGCCCTCTGCTGGCCGCCTCTAAGATCTGTGGCCACTTGCATCCCCCTTCTAATCTTCCCCTACCTCTGTTGGTTCAAATCCTCTCTCAGTTTATTAATCCTTGGAAAGAATTACATAGCGGTTATTCACAGCTTGTAAATTACAATAGAAAGGTTCCTTTCAAATGGTAGAGTTGCACTAAAGAGGAAATTGGGTTTATAAGAAAATGCACCTCTCCCTCTCCCTCTCCCCCTCCCCTCCCCCTCCCTCTCCCTCTCCCCACGGTCTCCCTCTCCCTCTCTTTCCACGGTCTCCCTCTGATGCTGGACTGTACTGCCGCCATCTCGGCTCACTGCAACCTCCCTGCCTGATTCTCCTGCCTCAGCCTACCAAGTGCCTGCGATTGCAGGCACGCGCCGCCACGCCTGACTGGTTTTCGTATTTTTTTGGTGGAGACGGGGTTTCGCTGCGTTGGCCGGGCTGGTCTCCAGCTCCTAACCGCGAGTGATCCGCCAGCCTCGGCCTCCCGAGGTGCCGGGATTGCAGACGGAGTCTCGTTCACTCAGTGCTCAGTGGTGCCCAGGCTGGAGTGCAGTGGCGTGATCTCGGCTGGCTACAACCTCCACCTCCCAGCCGCCTGCCTTGGCCTCCCAAAGTGCCGAGATTGCAGCCTCTGCCCGGCCGCCACCCCGTCTGGGAAGTGAGGAGCGTCTCTGCCTGGCTGCCCAGTCTGGAAAGGGAGGAGCGTCTCTGCCCGGCCGCCATCCCATCTAGGAAGTGAGGAGCGTCTCTGCCCGGCCGCCCATCGTCTGAGATGTGGGGAGCGCCTCTGCCCCGCCGCCCCGTCTGGGATGTGAGGAGCGCCTCTGCCCGGCCGTGACCCCATCTGGGAGGTGAGGAGCGTCTCTGCCCGGCCGCCCCATCTGAGAAGTGAGGAGACCCTCCGCCCGGCAACCGCCCTGTCTGAGAAGTGAGGAGCCCCTCCGCCCGGCAACCGCCCTGTCTGAGAAGTGAGGAGCCCCTCCGCCCGGCAGTCGCCCCGTCTGGGAATTGAGGAGCGTCTCCGCCCGGCAGCCACCCCGTCCGGGAGGGAGGTGGGGGGGTCAGCCCCCCGCCCGGCCAGCCGCCCCGTCCGGGAGGTGTACCCAACAGCTCATTGAGAACGGGCCATGATGACAATGGCGGTTTTGTGGAGTAGAAAGGGGGGAAAGGTGGGGAAAGGACTGAGAAGTCGGATGGTTGCCGTGTCTGTGTAGAGGCGGGTAGACATGGGAGACTTTTCATTTTGTTCTATACTAAGAAAAATTCTTCTGCCTTGGGATCCTGTTGATCTGTGACCTTACCCCCAACCCTGTGCTCTCTGAAACATGTGCTGTGTCCACTCAGGGTTAAATGGATTAAGGGCGGTGCAAGATGTGCTTTGTTAAACAGATGCTTGAAGGCAGCATGCTCCTTAAGAGTCATCACCACTCCCTAATCTCAAGTACCCAGGGACACAAAGACTGCGGAAGGCGCAGGGTCCTCTGCCTAGGAAAACCAGAGACCTTTGTTCACTTGTTTATCTGCCGACCTTCCCTCCACTATTGTCCTATGACCCTGCCAAATCCCCCTCTGCGAGAAACACCCAAGAATGATCAATTAAAAAAAAAAAAAAAGAAAGAAAATGGAGGCATGGTGGCACGCGCCTGTATTTCCAGCTACTTGGGAGGCTGAGGTGGGAGAATCACTTAAGCCCAGGAAGTGGAGGTTGCAGTGAACTGAGATTATGCCACTGCACTCCAACGTGGGTGACAGCGAGATCCTGTCTGAAAAAAAAATCAATGAATCAAAGAATGGTGACCCCAGTAAATACCTGATACTTTATTTATTTGGCTCAATGAAAATAAAAAAGAGAATTTTATGCAAAAATTTCAGACAACTGAATTTTGCCAAATGATTCCATTTACTAAGGATTCCATCTTTGGTTCTAATGTAGTATATATTCCCTGTGGAGGAAATGGATTTCTCCAAATAACTGGATCCATAGTCATGTAATGCTAGTGGGGACAATCACCCCAGCTTAGATACCATCAAATGAATTCCAACATATGTGGGCTCTCCCATTATTTGTCTTCTCACCTGCCAGCCTGCCTCTCTTGGCAATGCTAGGATTCCAGAATCAGGCCCTAAGCTCAGCAAGGGCCTCCATGAGGGCCATATTACACCCTAAGATTCCCAGATGTCTATTTGGAACCACCTCTGACTTACTCCCTTATTTTGCCCCTGAAACTGCATGGGGACAAAGAAGAAATCATAAAAACAGGGATAATGGATATGGCCCTAAGTATTTTAATGTGGCCTATCAATAGTGTCGTCATACCATCCCTGTTTACCAAGCCTTTATGGCAATTTCTTCACCTTGATACTGTTGACATTTTCGGCTGGTCATCATTTTTTATGGGGGAATTGTCCTGTGTGTTTTAAGACGTTAAGCAGGACAGGTGAGGTGGCTCACACCTGTAATCCCAGCACTTTGGGAGGCTGAGGTGGGCTGATCACCTAAGGTTGGGAGTTTGAGACCAGCCTGACCAACATGGAGAAACCCCATCTCTACTAAAAATACAAAATTAGCCAGGCGTGATGGTGCATGCCCATAATCCCAGCTACTCGGGAGGCTGAGGCAGGAGAATCGCTTGAACCCGGGAGACAGAGGTTGCAGTGAGGCGAGATCGTGCCATTTCACTCCAGCCTGGGCAACAAGAGCAAAACTGTGTCTCAAAAAAAAAAAAAAAAAGATGTTAAGCAGCGTCCTTGACCTCTGCCCAGATATTGCCAAATGTCACTTGGGGAGCAAAATTGGCCCAGTTGAGAACCACGGGACTAAGGTAAGCAGAATTATCAGGATAAAACAGACAATTCACCTCTATCATACCAGAGTTTTTTGTTTGTTTTTTGAGACAGGGTCTTGCTCTGTCACCCAGGCAGGAGTGTGGTAGTGTGATCATAGCTCACTGCAGCCTCAAACTCCTGGGCTCTCAGGAGGCTGAGAAGCAGTGAGTCACAATTGTGCCACTACAATCCAGCCTTGGCAACAGAGGGAGAACCTTTCTCAAACAAACAAGAGGAAGAAGAGGAAGAGGAAGGAGAGGAAGAGGAAGAGGAAGAGAAGGAAGAGGAAGAGGAGAAAGGGGAAGGGAAGAGAAGGACAAGGAGAAGGAGAAGAAGAAGACTCTGGGGCTCAAGCCATCCTCCTGCCTGAGCCTCCCAAAGTACTGGGATTACAGGTGTGAGTCACTGAGCGTATTAGTCAGGGTTCTCTAGAGGGACAGAATTAATGGAATATATACAGGAGTTTATTAAGTATTAACTCACAGGATCACAAGGTCCCACAATAGGCCGTCTGCAGGCTGAGGAGCAAGGAGAGCCAGTCTGAGTTCCAAAACTGAAGAACTTGGAGTCCGATGTTGGAGGGTAAGAAGCATCCAGCACGGGAGGAAGATGTTGGCTGGGAGGCTAAGCCAGTCTCTCACATTTTTCTGCCTGCTTATATTCTAGCCTTGCTGGCAGCTGATTAGCTTGTGCCCACCCAGATTAAGGGTGGGTCTGCCTTTCTCAGCCCGCTGACTCAAATGTTAATCTCCTTTGGGAACACCCTCACGGACACACCCAAGATCAATATTTTGTATCCTTCAATCCAATCAAGTTGGCACTCAGTATTAACCATCACACTGAGCCTGGCCAAAGCTGGACTACTTGTAAGCTTTTGTCTGGAACCGTGATTTGGGAGCCAGTGGCCCGAGGACGATGAAAACTATCAGAGGTGGCTGGGCACAGTGGTTCATGCCTATAATCCCAGCACTTTGGGAGGCGGAGGTGGATGGATCACTTGAGGTCAGGAGTTTGAGACCAACCTGGCCAACATGGCAAAACCAGTCTCTACTAAATATACAAAAACTGGCCAGGCATGGTGGCTCACGCCTGTAATCCCAGCACTTTGGGAGGCCGAGGCAAGTGGATCGCCTGGGGTCAGGAGTTTGAGACGAACATGGTGAAACCCCATCTCTATTAAAAATATAAAGAACTAGTCGGGCATGGTGGCAGGCTCCTGTAGTCCCAGTTACTCGGGAGGCTGAGGCAGGAGAATTGCTTGAACCCGGGAGGTGGAGGTTGCAGTGAGCCGAGATCATGCCACTGCACTCCAGCCTGGGCAACAGAGCGAGACTCCATCTCAAAAACAAACAATCAGAGGCGCTGACTGCAGTGACAGCCATCTGGCTCTGACAGTTCCTGTGCTTCCAGCTTCTTGCTATTTCAGGGGCTCTGGTCTTGATTCTTGCAGGTTCCCAAACCTGGTCCTACAGCTCCCCACCTCCTGTCTCTTTAGTGGTTTAGTGGGCGCCCCCTCCCCTGTATCTTTCTAGTGAGTTTTAATGTGCTTTGCTTAGGTAGGGCTGGTTTGTTTCCATTGTTGGCAACAAGAAGGAATTGGTCAAGGAGTCTAAGAAGTTGTCTGGAGAACCAAGAAAAAGATTTCCTGGAAGCATAGAAAGAGTGTGTTTCCGGAAGAAAGATTTATCAAGAATTTCAAACATCAGGGCCAAGTCAAGCAGGACAAGGACTAAAAGGTGCTCCTTAAATTTGCCTATGAAGAGGCCACTGCTGGGGAGGAGTGTGTCAGGCGGCAGTGGAGGGAGGACAGCAAGTGTAAAGGAGACTCTGCAACCTCCACCTCCCAGCTTCAAGCACTTCTTGTGCCTCAGCCTCCTGAGTAGCTGAGATTACAGGTGTGTGCCACCACATCTGGCTAATTTGTGTATTTTTAGTAGAGATGGGGTTTCCACACAACTGGAATACTACTGAGCAATAAAAAGGAGTGAACAGTTGTCCCTCGGTGTCTGCAGGGGATTGGCTCCAGGACCCCCTGCCGACACCAAAGTCCACAGATGCTGAAGTCTTTTCTATGAAATGACATAATGTTTGTATATAGCCTCAGGTATACTTTAAATACCTAATACAGTGTAAATGGTATGTAAATAATTATACTGTATTTTAAATTTTCTACTGTTTTTATTGTCTTATAGTTATTTTATATATTTCATTTTTTTCAAGTATTCTCCATCCATGTTCAGTTGAATCCATGGATGAGGAACCTGCAGATATGGAGGGCCAGCTGTAGTGATGGGTGCAGCAACATGGATGGCAGCATAATTTCAAAAAATAATATGATAAGTGAGGCCAGGTGAGGTGGCTCACACGTGTAATCCTAGCACTTTGGGAAGCCAAGGCGGGCGGATCACTTGAGGTCAGGACTTCCAAACCAGCCTGGCCAACATGGTGAAACCTCGTCTCTACTAAAAATACAAAAATTAGCCAGGCGTGGTGGCATGTGCCTGTAATCCCAGCTACTCAGGAGGCTGAGGCAGGAGAATCACTTGAACCTGGGAGGTGGAGGTTGCAGTGAGTCTAGGTCATGCCGCTGCACTGCAGCCTGGGCAACAGTGAGACTCCATCTCAAAAAAGAAAAAATTATGCTAAGTGAAAGAAGTCAAATACAAGAGGCTACATGCTATATGATTTCATTTATAAGATATTCTGGAAAAGGCAAAACTATAGGAAATCAGATTAGTAGCTAACAGGGGCTGACGGTGGGAGGAGGTGATTGACTACAAAGGGACACGAGGGACCTTTTTGAGGCGACAGAAATGCTTTATATTGGGAATGTGGTGGTGGTTATGTAACTATACATTTGTCAAAACTCATCAAATTGTACACTTAAAAAGGGTCAATGTTAGTATATGAAAATTATATCTCAATAAACCTGACTTAAGAAAATAATAAAACAAACCTAAAAACGCAACAGGGTGAAAATAAGTCTAAGAAAAAAATAACTTACAGTTTTTCCAGTTCAACGGTCATCATGAGAATGTTCTTAAGTGTTGTAAGTGGGACTTGCGTTGTTCCCACGTCTCTGAAGAAGAAAGCCGAAACATTCATGATATGAACCCCAGTAAAAAATTCTGTACTTAAAAAGATAATTCAAGGACATGTGATTACTTCAATTTTGGCTTCCCTATAAAACAAGCCAGTTCAACAGTTTATTTGCCGCAAAATTCCAGAGAGCTCTTATTAAAGAAATTAAAGTTGATTTGCATCATCAAATTAATGATATTCAAGAGTAGGTCTTACACTGTTTTTTTTTTTTTTACCATTATCTTACTTCTCATTTTCATATTGCATTCACCCATCTTGATTATTTACTCTTTTCTTCCTTTTTAGAATAATGAACACCTTTTCCCCTTTGCTTTCTTGGTTAAGTAATATTCCTCCATGTGTCTACATGTTCCAAATCTATATGGGTTCTTCAACACTGTTCTCTTTCCCCTGCTGGCTATCTTGACCATTACACATCCTTTCCTTTGCCAATAATGTTTTTCAATAACTCAGTTAAAATTTAAATTATGACATTTTAGCCTAAATGCAAAATACTTAATCTTTGATGAAAAATTTAAAAAGAGTATAAATCATCTCATGACTCCCAAGAGTACTATAGTACTTACAGATATTTTAATGCCAGTAATTTAAAGAGATACGGATCTTCAACAGTTGTCAGAGGATTGCGATTGAGAATTCTGAAAAATGCAATGGAATTAAAATAACCTGCATTTTCAATGTGTGAAACTGCATAAGAAGTTTACATTCATTTTTTGGTATGGAACTTGTGGGTAAAAAAAAAAGTCATTTTCTGTTTTTACCTAATAAATCAACATTAGACTCCGTAAAGCATTATTCCTTTGGGAACTACCTAGATCTCTAGGAGATAAAGTAGAGGAGAGAAAGAGGGGGAAAAATAGGGAAAAAAAAGTGGATAGCAAAGAAACAATGTGCCACAGAACTTTTCAGGTCGAAAACCCTAGAAGTGACTATGTTGGTAGGAAGCCCTGATTCTGTAGGAAACACTATTTCTAGTGTCCTCCATAATTCAAGTTGCTCATCTTTTTGTTTTGTTTTGTTTTGTTTTGTTTTGAGACAGAGTCTTGCTCTGTAGCCCAGGCTGGAGAGCAATGGCTCCATCTCATCTCACTGCAAACTCCGCCTCCCAGGTTCAAGCGATTCTCCTGCCTCAGCCTCCTGAGTAGCTGGGATTACAGGTGCCTGCCACCACACCTAGCTAATTTTTGTATTTTTAGTAGAGACAGGGTTTCGCGATGTTGGCCAGGCTGGTCTCGAACTCCTGATCTCAGGTTATCCACCTGCCTCGGCCTCCCAAAGTGTTGGGATTATAGGTGTGAGCCACTGAATCTGACCGCTTGCCTTTTATCTTTATAAAGTTATTAAAATTTATGGTTTAATTTGCAAAGTTAAGAAAAAAAAATAGGACCAATTCTTTTGCTTTATAGCCAAAGAAAAAGGGATAAATCTAAGAGGAGGAACTGGTCAAAACCATACTCCCATCACATACTCCCACTTGTCTTCTTGTATGACATCATAGCCTTTGTTACATTGCATGTAATCACCTGTCTACTTGTCAGTCTCCTGGACTATCAGCTCCCTGAGGGCAGAGACCACATCTTATTGTCATTGTCATCCCTGTGCCTGGCATGATGTCTGAAATTTACCAGACATTTAATAAATGTTTATTGAATAAACAAATGACATTTTATTTGTATGTCAATAAAATGAATAAATTCTTTTTGATGCAAATTTTTATTCCAAAATGCTGGAATCAATTTTCTTTTTAATTCTTTAAAGTGAACAAGGAAAAGAAAAGAAACAGGAAGAAATAAAAGAAAATCTGCCTTTAGGTTAACCCAAGAATCATCACCATACTTTTGCAGAAATTATAAAAATAATAATTATTACAGTGAGTATCTATTGGGCTGCTAGGTATTTGTGATCAGCATTTCACATTTAATCCTCACAATGCCTTATGGGCTAGATATTATTATTGCCCTATTTTATAAATGAGGAAACTGAGGCACAGAGAGGTTACATAACGTCCTACATCACCAAGCTATTAAGAAGCAAAGCTGTAATTTGAAGTCATGTGTTTTAATCTGTATGAAGAAAAAGGGTTTACTTTAACCTTATGGTTTTTTAATTTTTATTTTATTTCTCTTTCTTTCTTTTTCTTTCCTTCTTTCTTTCTATTTCCCTCCCTCCCTCCTTCTTTCCCTTTCTTCCTCCCTTCCCTCCCTCCCTCTCTTCCTTCCTTCCTGCCTCCCTCCCTCCCTCCCTTTTCTTTTCTTTTCTTTTTTTTTTTTTTTGACAGGAAATGGCACTTTAATAGTTGGGGCCAGGGTGACAGGACCAAGATGGGGCTAGCCTGTGTCAGTCAGGAAGCCTCCCTCTCCTGCTGGGATAGGGCCTTGCAGCAGCTCCTCCTCCCCGCTGAGGTCCTAGGCCTGCCACAGGCTAGCATGCCAGTGAGGTCAGTGGCAGGAGCCACCCAGAAGCCCTGCAGATGACAGAGCTGAGAACAGGGACTTCACTTCCATGTGTTGCCATTTCCTCACTGGAAAGTCCTTGGGAGGTGGCTGGGCTCAGCCTGAGCTCAGGGCTCTTCGGTGGGTGTTGGGACAGGGGCAGGGCGGGCACTTGCAGGTGGCACAGGCTTCATCAAGGCAGGACATGGGCTTCATCAAGGCAGGAGCCAGAGCACCCGAGCCCTGGCAGGGGAGGTATGGCCCAGGATGGGGCAGGGCCGTGTGCTCCTGGAACGGACATCCTTCTCTGCCAGAGACCTGCTCCCCAAGCCCTGTCCCTCCCAATCCCCAGGCAGCCCACTCTGCCCTCCATAGATGAATCTAATCCCATATATTACAATAAACTGCATTTGCCTCTCCCCATTGCCCCACCCTCCCCTACCCTGAGCCAGCGGCCCCCACTTCCTCATCCCCTGGCGGTGGCAGGTGCCCCTCCTCAAGCAGTGCCACATCCTGTCAGCAGCCAGCTGTCCTGGCACTGGCCTGAGGGCCGGGGGACGCAGAGGGCGGGGCTGCGCGGCTACTCCAGGTAGATATCTTCTGTGGGGCAGGTGTACTCCACAAACTGCTTGTGAAACTGCTGGAATGCTCTCCCCACGGACTCTGCCAGGGCTTTGGTGGAGTCTTCAGACACAAAGACGTGGCAGGCAAACCGGTGGTCGGCGAGGTGCTTGGTGATGAACCCAAAGTACTTGTTGTTCTTTGGATGATATCCGCGGAAAGAGATGTTTTTTAACTGGAAAAAGTGGCTACATTTATTCCCCTTGGCCTCCTGGGAGTCATCGGCCTTGATACCTATCTTCACACCCCGCACGCTGATCTCCAGGACACAGCTGGAGGGCGGGTTAAAGTGCACGGTTAGCCGGCGGGTGGTGGCAATCTTTTGCATAGCGGCAGAGAGGACGACATCGCCCTTGTGATAGGGAACCTGGACTGAGCCCAGGAACTTCACCCGGAACTGGTCCACCCAGTCACTGTTTTTAGCCAGGGCTGCCATGTGCTCGGGCTCCTTGGTGACCTCGATGGCGTAATAGGCAGTAAAGATGCCCCGGGCACCAGTGCGCATGTTGTAGGCCTCGTACCAGTAGTCTTCAGCCTGGAGCTCCACTAGCAGAGGGTCATCCACTTCCAGCTCAGGTTCGTCTTCGTGTCGAGGCACAAACCTGAATATGGTCCGGTGGGTCTGCTCCTGCTCCTCCCGGTTGATGATGCAGGAGAACAGCCCGAAGGACTCGGCACTGGAGGAGCGGGAGCGGCCACTCATGAAGATGTTCAGGAACTTCTTGGAGAAATGGACGTCGGGTTCGTCAGGCGTGGAGTCCTTGGAGAGGCAGGCAGGAGGCTGGGGCCGGGAGGCCTCCTCATATTCCTCTCCGATGGCTGACTCATAGGGCGAGGAGACGGAGGCACAGTTGTCGTAGACGATGGCCGAGTCACTCTCGTCACTGTAGTCTCTGAAGCACGGCCGCAGGCTCACCAGCTCCAGCAGCGTGGGCTGTTGGTGGAGGTGCCTCGATCTGTGGTGGGGGCGGGGCTGCTCTGGGGGGGCAGCTCATCGCTCAGGCAAATGGGTTCATGCGGTGGTGTCTGCTCCCCTGTCTTCAGGGGTGAGGATGATCGAGACACCCGATCCTGCCAACTGTACTTTTTGCCCAGAGAATTATTATTCAGTGTGTCCTGAGACAACTGCACCTGCGGAAAGAGGTTGAGCGTGGTGGGCCGCTTGGGCCGGTACGTGTCCCCGCTGCCCGGGCCCTGGCTCTGGCCTTGGCTCTGGCCCTGGCCGCGGGACGCCGGCTCCTGGCCGGACTCGGCCTTGGGCGGCCCCGCTCCCGGCCGCCGGGCCGCGCGCTCCTCGTCGTCGTCCTCCTCGGCCCCGGGAGTGTCCCCCGTCGCGTCGATCAGGTCCATCTGCAGCATCTCGGCCTGCAACCGGCTCCCCGCGCCGCCGCCGCCCGCAGAGCCCTCCCTTTTCTTTTCTTTTTTCTTTTCTTTTCTTCTTTCTTTCTTTATTCTCTTCATGTCCCTTCCTCCCTCCTTCTTTCCCTTTCTTCCATCCTTCCCTCCCTCCTTCCTTCCTCCCTCCTTTTCTTCTTTCTTTTTTCTTTCTTTCTTTTTTCTTTCCTTCATTTCCCTCCCTCCCTCCTTCTTTCCCTTTCTTCGTTCCTTCCTCCCTCCTTTTCTTCTTTCTTTCTTTCCTTCCTTCTTCTTTCTTTTCTTCCTCTCCCTCCCTTTCCCTTCTTCCCTCCTTCTTTTCCTTCCTTCCCTCCCCTTCCTTCTTTCTCTCTCTTTTTCTCTCTCTTTTCTTTCACTCTTTTCGCCTTCCTTCCTTTTTTCCTTCCTTCCCTCCCTCCCTCCTCTTTCTCTCTCTCGCAAAAAAAGAGTAAGCAGACATAATATCAATATATTCATTTACCTCAAGGACTGAGAATAATGAATTTAGTTCATGCAACTATGATTCTTCTTGTCATTTATTCAAGAAACTTTGAGATTCATTCCCATTATAGCTAAACACTCTTGACACTGGGAATATAAAGATAAATAACTCACAGTCCCCACCCTCAAAGGTTTATAATAGAGTAGGAGAAGGGAAACAGTAAACAAAAGTTTGAAGTGTGATATAGTGAAATATATATATTTGGTCTTTGACCTCATTTCCTCGTATACACTTAGAATCTCCAAAGTGATATCTTCTTGTATGCAAACAAATTGACTGGTAGCTTCAGGATGGGGGCTGGCGGCAAAAGACCAAAGCAGGATTAGAGGGTTGGGACTTTTCTTCCCCACCCCCCAACCTCCCAGGAGGTGAGAGGAGCTGAAGATTAAGTTCAGGGACAGAAAAAGCTGCCCTTGAAAATTCAAGGCCTTGAAAATGCAGAATTAAGTTTGAATATGAAAGGGAATAATAGACCCAGTGCTTTGGGAGGCTGAAGCAGGAGGATCCTTTGAAACCAGGAGTTGAAGACCAGCCTGGGCAAGGTAGGGATGCCCTGTCTCTACAAAAAAAATAGAAAAATTAGCTGGGCATGGTGGCATATGCCTTTAATCCCAGCTACTTGAGAGGCTAAGGTGGGAGAATCATCTGAGCCCAGGGAGGTTGAGGCTGCAGTGAGCCATGATTGCACCATTGCACTCCAGCCTGGGTGACAGACCCAGCACTTTGGGAAGCCAAGGCAGGTAGAACGCAAGGTCAGGACTTCAAGACCAGCCTGGCCAAGATGGTGAAACCCCATCTCTACTAAAAATACAAAAACTAGCCAGGCGTGGTGGCAGGCACCTGTAATCCCAGCTACTTGGGAGGCTGAGGCAGAGAATTGCTTGAACCCGGGAGGCAGAGGTTGCAGTGAGCCAAGATCATGCTGCTGCACTCCAGCCTGGGCGACAGAGTGAGACTTTGTCTGAAAAAAAAAAAAAAAAAAAAAAAAAAAAGAATAGATTTCCTGTGACCAATTTCGATATTATTTATTTTTAGCCAAACTTATTGATCCAGAATGACCAGTTTAGATAAATCGTGGTCCTGGGATGGAACACAAAAAAGTGGAATTTTATTAGAAAAGGAGAAGGAGAGTGGCTATTGAACATTGATGTTGTGTTCAATATAGTGAGGGTTTTTTATTTTGTTTTTTGAGACAGGGTCTCAGGGTCTTGCTCTGTCTCCCAGGCTGGAGTGCAGTGCAGTGGCATGATCATAACACTGTAGCCTTGAACTCTTCAGGCTCAAGTGACCTTCCCACCTCAGCCTCCTGAGTAGCCAGGACTACAGGCACGCACTGCCACACCTGGCTCATTTTTCAATTTTTTGTAGAGATGCGATCTCATTATGTTGACCCGGCTTGTCTCAAACTCCTGGGCTCAAGCAATCCTCCGACCTTAGCCTCCCAATGCATTGGGATTACAGGCACAAGCCACTACACCTGGCCTGAACTTTCTTATTCTAAGGATTTGCAGAGTTTCTGTTTAAGCCATTATCTTCAAATAATGGTTTTAATTTCTTTTTAATCTTTATGTAAAATACCTTATTTCTTTCTTTCTTTTTTTTTTTTTAGATGGAATTTCACTCTTGTTGCCCAAGCTGGAGTGCAATGGCACGATCTTGGCTCACCACAACCTCCACCTCCCAGGTTCAAGCGATTCTCCTGCCTCAGCCTTCCGAGTAGCTGGGATTACAGGTATGTGCCACCACGACCTGCTAATATTGTATTTTTAGTGGAGATGGGGTTTCTCCATGTTGGTCAGGCTGGTCGCAAACTCCCAACCTCAGGTGATCCATCCATCTTGGCCTCCCAAAGTGCTGGGATTACAGGCATGAGCCATCGTGCCCAGCCCTATTATTCTTTTTTAAAATTTTTTTAAAATTGAGATGGGATTTTGCCATGTTACCTAGGCTGGTATCAAACTCCTGGGCTCAAGCAATCCTGCCACCTCTTTCTCCCGAAGTGTGGGATTACAGGTGTGAGCCAGCGTGCTCGGCTCTTTATTTTATTTTATTTTATTTTATTTTATTTTATTTTATTTTATTTTATTTTATTTTATTTTTTGAGAGAGAGTCTTGCTCTGTCACCCAGGCTGGAGTGCAGTGGTGTGATCTCGGCTCACTGCAACCTCCACCTCCCAGGTTCAAGTGATTCTCCTGCCTCCCTCTCAAATACCTGGGATTACAGGTGCCCACCACCACGCCTGGCTAATTTTTGTAGTTTTAGTAGAGATGTGGTTTCATCATGTTGGCCAGGCTGGTCTTGAACTGCTGACCTCAAGTTATCTGCCTACCTTTGCCTCCCAACGTGCTGGGAGGGCGTGAGCCACGGTGCCCAGCCTTTTATTTTTTATTTTTATTTTTAATCTGTCTTGATTTTGCTTCCTTCCTAAACAGTTTTGGCTTCGTGATCACGTAAACCAAGAGTCACAAACTGAAATGCCATCAAGGGGCCAAGCAGGTAACAAAATTCAAGTCATACAGGCTCAATGTCTTAGTCACCCCAGGCTACAACAGAATATCATAGACTGGGTAGCCTAATAATACAGATCATTTTCTCATGGTTCTAGAGGCTAGAAAGTCCAAGATCGAGATTCCCAAAGGGTTAAGTTTCTGGTGTTGATGCAGGGCAGGTAAGCCACAAAACTGGGGCTTAGACTGAGAGGGTTCTTGGCTTCACCCAGGAAATAATTCAAGGGCAAACCGAAGGTGTTAGAGGCCAACTTTTTTTTTTTTCGGGACAGGGTCTCACTCTGTCACCCAGGCTGGAGTGCAGTGGCTCACTGCAGACTCTGCCTCCTGGGTTCAAGTGATTCTCCCGCCTCAACCTCCTGAGTAGCTGGGAGTGCAGGTGTGCGCCAAAACACCCAACTAATTTTTTTGTATTTTTAGTAGAGATGGGGTTTCACCATGTTGACCAGGCTGGTCTCAAACTCCTGGCCTCAAATGATCCACCCGCCTCAGCCTCCTAGAGTGCTGGGATTACAGGCATTACCCACTGCACCTGGCCTAGATGCCAACTTTTATTGAAGCAGTGGCCTATAGCAACAGCAGAGGGACTGCTCCTTGCAGAGCAGGGCTACCCTGTAGGTAGTGTGACCAGAGTAGCAGCTCAGGGCAGTTCTGCAGTCATATTTACATTGACCTTTAATTACATGCAAATTAAGGGGCAGACTATACAGACGTTTCTAGAAAAAGGCTGATAACTTCTGGGTTGTCAAGTTGTTGCCATTGAAAGGGGTGGTAGGCTGAGCACAGTGGCTCAGGCCTGTAATTCCAGCACTTTGGGAGGCCAAGGCAGGTGGATCATGAGGTCAAAAGTTCAAGACCAGCCTGGCCAAGATGGTGAAACACTGTCTCTACTAAAAATACAAAAATCAGTTTGGCGCGGTGGCAGGCGCCTGTAATCCCAGCTACTCGGGAGGCTAAGGCAGGAGAATCGCTTGAACCCGGGAGGTGGAGCTTGCAGTGAGCCAAGACTGTGCCACTGCACTCCAGCCTGGGCGACAGAGTGAGACTCCGTCTCAAAAAAAAGGCGGTGGGGTGGTAACTCTGGGTTCTGCCATGGAAATGGTAAGCTGACATGGTGCACTGGTTGAGCGTGTCTTATGGAAAGCTGCTTTCACCCTGTCCCTGTTTCAGCTAGTCATCAATTTGGTCTGGTGTCCAAGCCCCATCTCTGGAGTCCAGTTCCACCTCCTACCTCAGCGTGGGCTTTATTACCTGGCTTGCCTTCTTGAAGTGGCCTCATGTGGCAGAGAGAAAGCTAGGGAGCTCTCTGGGTTCTCGTCTCATAAAGACACTAATTCTATTAGATCAGTGCCCAGCTTTATGACCTCATTTGACCTTAATTACTTCCCATAAATCCTTTTTTTTTTTTTTGAGACAGAGTCTTACTCTGTCACCCTGGCTGGAGTGCAGTGGCATGCTCTCGACTCACTGCAACCTCTGCCTCCCAGGTTCAAGCAATTCTCCTTCCTCAGCCTCCTGAGTAGCTAGGACTACAGGTGCGCACCACCATGCCTGTCTAATTTACGTTTATTTTTTTTTTTGAGATGGAGTCTTGCTCTGTCGCCCAGGCTGGAGCGCAGTGGTGTGATCTCGGCTCACTGCAACCTCTGTCTCCCGGGTTCAAGCGATTCTCCTGCCTCAGCCTCCCAAGTAGCTGGGACTACAGGCGTGTGCCACGACACCTAGCTAATTTTCTTTTTTTTTTTTTTGTATTTTTAGTAGAGATGGGTTTCACTGTGTTAGCCAGGATGGTCTTGATCTCCTGACCTCGTGATCTGCCCGCCTCGGCCTCCTAAAGTGGTGAGATTACAGGTGTGAGCCACTGCACCCCGCCAAGTTTTTATATTTTTAGTAGAGATGTTTTTAGTAGAGATGGGGGTTTCACCATCTTGGCCAGGCTGGTCTTGAACACCTGACCTCAAATGATCCACCCGCCTTGGCCTCCCAAAGTGCTGTGATTATAGGCTTGAGCCATCGCATCCAGCCCCACAGGTAATACTTAATGATGAAAGACTATAAGTTTTTCTCCTAAGATCAGGAAGAAGACAAGGATATTCACTCTTGCCACCTCTATTCAACATTATACTTAAATTTCTAGCCAGGAAATTAGCAAGAAAAAGAAATAAAAGCCACACAAATTAGAAAGGAAGAAATAAAACCATATGTATTTGCATATGACATGATCTTGTATGTAGGAAATTCTAAGGAATCCACAAAACCGTCAGAACAAGTAAACAAATTCAGCAAAGTTGCAGGTGTAAGAGTGATATAAAAAAAATTGGCCTGGCGCAGTGGCTCATGCCTATAATCCCAGCACTTTGGGAGGCCTAGGTGAGCAGATCATGAGGTCAGGAGTTCGAGACTAACCTGACCGGTGGGGGGGGGGTCAGCCCCCCCGCCCGGCCAGCCGCCCCGTCCGGGAGGTGAGGGGCGCCTCTGCCCGGCCGCCCCTACTGGGAAGTGAGGAGCCCCTCTGCCCGGCCAGCCGCCCCGTCCGGGAGGGAGGTGGGGGTGTCAGCCCCCCGCCCGGCCAGCCGCCCCGTCCGGGAGGGAGGTGGGGGGGGGTCAGCCCCCCCGCCCGGCCAGCCGCCCCGTCCGGGAGGGAGGTGGGGGGGGTCAGCCCCCCCGCCCGGCCAGCCGCCCCGTCCGGGAGGTGAGGGGCGCCTCTGCCCGGCCGCCCCTACTGGGAAGTGAGGAGCCCCTCTGCCCGGCCACCACCCCGTCTGGGAGGTGTGCCCAACAGCTCATTGAGAATGGGCCAGGATGACAATGGCGGCTTTGTGGAATAGAAAGGCAGGAAAGGTGGGGAAAAGATTGAGAAATCGGATGGTTGCCGTGTCTGTGTAGAAAGAAGTAGACATGGGAGACTTTTCATTTTGTTCTGCACTAAGAAAAATTCCTCTGCCTTGGGATCCTGTTGATCTGTGACCTTACCCCCAACCCTGTGCTCTCTGAAACATGTGCTGTGTCCACTCAGGGTTAAATGGATTAAGGGCAGTGCAAGATGTGCTTTGTTAAACAGATGCTTGAAGGCAGCATGCTCGTTAAGAGTCATCACCAATCCCTAATCTCAAGTAATCAGGGACACAAACACTGCGGAAGGCCGCAGGGTCCTCTGCCTAGGAAAACCAGAGACCTTTGTTCACTTGTTTATCTGCTGACCTTCCCTCCACTATTGTCCCATGACCCTGCCAAATCCCCCTCTGTGAGAAACACCCAAGAATTATCAATAAAAAAATAAATTTAAAAAAAAATAAAAATTAAAAAATAAATAAATAAAATGATAAAAAAAAAAAAAAAAAAAGAACATCTTGAGACTAACCTGACCAACATGGTGAAAACCCATCTCTACTAAAAATACAAAAATTAGCTGGGGGTTGCGGCACGCACCTGTAATCACAGCTGTTCGGGAGACTGAGGCAAGAGAATTGCTTGAACCCAGGAGGCAGAGGTTGCAGTGAGCCGAGATCACACCACTGCACTCCAGCCTGGGTAACAGAGCGAGACTGTCTCAAAAAAAAAAAAAAAAAGTAAATAAATAAATAAATTGTATTTCTATACAGTAACAATTAGCAAGCTGAAAATGAAACTAAGAAAATTCATTTACAATATCGTTTACAAACACACACTTAGGAATAAATTTGACCAAAGTGCTAGACCTTGTTCTTATTTATTTATCTTTTGGTTCCTAAAGTATCCACACCAAACACAAAATAAAGCAAAATCTTTTTTTTTTTTTTTTTTTTGAGACGGAGTCTCACTCTTTTGCCCAGGCCGGACTGCAGTGGCGCTATCTTGGCTCACTGCAAGCTCTGCCACCCGGGTTCACACCATTCTCCTGCCTCAGCCTCCCAAGTAGCTGGGACTACAGGTGCCTGCCACCGCGCCTGGCTAATTTTTTGTATTTTTAGTAGAGACGGGGTTTCACCGTGTTGGCCAGGATGGTCTCGATCTCCTGACCTCGTGATCTGCCCGCCTTGGCCTCCCAAAGTGCTGGGATTACAGGCATGAGCCACCGTGCCCAGCCACAAAGTCTTAATAGTAATAAATTAATTTTGCAAAGTTGGAGGATACAAGATCAACGTACAAAAATCAGTTGTTTATTTATTTATTTTTTAAGAGACAAGACTGCACTATGTTGCCGAGGCTAGAATGCAGTGATCATTTACAGGCACAATTATAATGCACTATAGCCTCAAACATGGCCACAAGCAATCCTCCTGACTCAGCCTCCCAAGTAGCTGGGACTACAGGTGGTGCACCACTACACCTGGCTCAGTTGAATTTCTATACACTAGAAATGAACAATCCAAAAATGAAATTAATAAAACAATTCCATTTGTAATGGCACCAAAAAAAACTTAGGAATGAATTTAACCAAGGAAGTGCAAACTACAAAACATTATTGAAAGAAATTAAACTTAAATACATGAAAAGACATTGTGTGTTCATGGATTGAAACACTTACTACTCTTCACATAGCAATGCCTCCCAAATTGATCTACAGACTCAACACAATCTCTATCAAAATCCCAACTACCTTTTTTGCAAAAATGGACAAGCTGATTCTAAAATTCACATTAAATTGTAAGGAACTTCAAATAGACAAAACAATCTTGAAAAATAAGAACAAAATTGGAAGACTCACGCTTCTTGATTCAAAATCTAATTCACAGTACCAGTAGTTGAGCCCCTGGGCACTGGCATAAGGACTGACATATAGATCAATGGAATAGAATTGAAAGTCCAGAAATGAGTGCTCACATTACGGTCAACTGATTTTTTTTCTTTTTTGAGACAGGGTCTCACTCTGTCACCCAGGCTGGAGTGCAGTGATCAAGGCTCACTGCAGCCTCCGTCTCCCGATCCCCCTGCCTCAGCCTCCTAAGTCACTGGGACCACAGGCATGTGCCACCACGCCCAGCTAATCTTTTTTTTTTTGAGACAGAGTTTCATTCTTGTTGCCCAGGCTGGAGTGCAATGGCGCAATCTCGGCTCACCACAACCTCCGCCTTCTGGGTTCAAGCAATTCTTCTGCCTCAGCCTCCCTAGTAGCTGGGATTTACAGGCATGAGTCACCACTCCAGACTAATTTTGTATTTTTAGCAGAAATGGGGTTTCTCCATGTTGGTCAGGCTGGTCTTGAACTTCTGACCTCAGGTGATCCACCTGCATTGGCCTCCCAAAGTGCTGGGATTACAGGCGTGAGCCACCATGTCTGGCCTGCCCAGCTAATCTTTTTAATAATTATTTTTAGAAATGGAGTGTGCCTATATTGCCCAGGCGGGTTTTGAACTTCTGGGCTCAAATGGTCTTCTTGCCTTGGCCTCCCAAAATACTGGGATTACAGGTGTGAACCATGGTGCCCAGCCAAGGTCAACTGATTTTTAACAAATATGCCAAGACAATTCAATGAGAGAAAGTGTAGAAAAAAAAGTCTTTTCAAACAATGGTCCTGGGACAACTGGATACCCACACACAATAGAATGAAGTTGAAACCTCACCTCATATTATCTATAAAAATTAACTCAAAATATAACAAAGCCTTTGTTTATAAAACATTTGTTAGACTGAAAAGTAGAAAACTCTTTTTTTTGTTTTTAGATGGAGTCTTGCTCTGTTGCTCTGTTGCCAGGCTGGAGTGCAGTGGCATGATCTCAGCTCACTGCAACCTCCACCTCCTGGGTTCAAGCCATTCTCCTGCCTCAGCCTCTGGAGTAGCTGGGACTACAGGTGCGCGCCACCACGCCCAACTAATTTTTTTTTTTTTTTTTGAGACCGAGTTTTGCTCTTGTTGCCCAGGCTGGAGTGCAATGGCACGATCTTGGCTCACCGCAACCTCTGCCTCCTGCGTTCAAGCGATTCTCCTGCCTCAGCTCCCAAGTAGCTGAGATTACAGGCATGCGCCACCATGCCCTGCTAATTTTTTTGTATTTTTAGTAGAGACGGGGTTTCTGCATGTTGATCAGGCTGGCCTCGAACTCCCGACCACAGGTGATCCACCCACCTTGGCCTCCCAAAGTGCTGGGATTACAGGCATGAGCAACCATGCCCGGCCCAGTTTTTATTTTTTTAATAGAGACAGTGTTTCACCATGTTGGCCTTAGAGGAAAACATAGACATACATCTTTATGACCTTTGGATTAGCAAGTTTTCTTAGATATGACACAAGTGTTTAACACAGAGCTCCCATATGACCCAGTAATTCCATTCCGAGGTATATATGCCAAGAGAAATGAAAACAGAAAAACTTAAAACACACACACATATGGCGAAACCCTATCTCTACTAAAAATACAAAAATTTTGCTGGTGTGGTGGCTCATGCATGTAATCCCAGCACTTTGGCGGGCTGAAGAAGGTGGATCATTTGAGGTCAGGAGTTTGAGATCAGCCTGGACAACATGGTGAAACCCCATCTCTACTAAAAATACAAAAATTAGCTGGGTGTGGTGGCACACGCTTGTAATCCCAGCTACTTGGGAGGCTGAGGCAGGAGAATCTCTTGAACCCAGGAGGTGGAGCTTGCAGTGAGCCGAGATCACACCACTGCACTCCGTCCTGGGCAACAGAGACTCTATCTCAAAAAAAAAAAAAAAAAAAAAAAAAGAAACAAAGAAAGAAAAATTAGCCGGGCATGGTGACAGGTGCCTGTAATCCCAGCTACTTGGGAGATTGAGGTGGGAGGATCAGTTGAACCTGGGAAGCAGAGGTTGCAGCCAGCTGGGATTGTGCCACTGCACTCCAGCCTGGGCAACAGAGTGAGACTCCGTCTCAAAAAATAAAAATAAAAATAATACACACACACATATACACATACACCTCTTTATTTCTTCAGCGAGACCTGAAGATATATATCCATAACATAAGAACAGGATGCTATAAAAAATGAACAATAAGAAAGCAAGAAAAACTATCATAAATTAGAAATATGATAGCCAAGGCTGGGTGCAGTGGCTCACACCTGTAATCTCAGCACCTTGGGAGGCTGAGGCATGTGGATCACTTGAGGCCAGGAGTTTGAGACCAACCTGGCCAATATGGTGAAACCCCGTCTCTACTGAAAATACAAAAATAAGCTGGGCATGCTGGACCACGCCTGCAATCCCAGCTACTCAGGAGGCTGAGGCAGGAGAATCACTTGAACCCAGGAGGCAGAGGTTGCAGTGAGCTGAGATCAAGCCACCGCATTCCAACCTGGGTGACAGAGTGAGAACCTGTCTCAAAAAAAAAATAAATAAATAAAAGCCAAAATTAAAAATTCAATACAAAATTTGAAGGTTGAAGAAATCTCCTAGAATGTAGTATTTAAATTCTTTTTCTTTTGAGACAAGGTCTTGCTCTGTCTCCCAAGCTGCTGTGCCGTGGCGCCATTCTAGCTTACTGCAAGCCTCAAACTCCTGGCCTCAAGCAAGTCTCATATCTCAACCTCTCAAAGTGCTGGATTATAGGCATGAGCCACTGCAGCTGGCCAGAATGTAGAATTTAAAAGGTGTTGAAAAATATAAAAAATAAGAAAATTGGAGGATTGAGGCTGGTTGAAGGCAGAGGCAGGAGAATAGCTTGAGCCCAGGAGCTTGAGTATAGCCTGGGAAACACAGAAAGCCCATCTCTATATTTAAAAAAAAAATTCTTTTTTTTTTTTTTTTTAAGAGAGAGTCTTGCTCTGTCACCCAGGCTGGAGTGCAGTGGTGCGATCTTGGCTCACTGCAACCTCCACCTTCCGGGCTCAAGCAATTCTTATGCCTCAGCCTCCCATGTAGCTGAGATTATAGGTGTGTGCCACCACACCCGGCTAATTTTTGTATTTTTAGTAGAGACAGGGTGGGAGAGTGTTGGGGGAGATGGGGCATGGCAGGGAGGGGATGGCGGGTTTTACCATGTTGGCCAGGCTGGTCTTGAGCTCCTGGCTTCAGGTGATCCTCCCACCTCAGCCTCTAAAAGTGGGATTACAGACGTAAACCACCGCGCCCAGCATTTTTTTTTTTTTTTTTAGACAGTGTTGCTGTGTTGCCCAGGCTGGAGTGCAGTAGCACAATCTCGGCTCACTGCAACGTCTGCCTCCTGGGCTCCAGCGATTGTCGTGCCTCAGCCTCCCAAGTAGCTGGGATTACAGGTGCACACCATCATGCCTGGCTAACTGTATTTTTAGTAGAGATGGGGTTTCACCATGTTGGCCAGGCTGCTCTCAAACTCCTGGCCTCAAGCAATCCACCTGCCTCAGCCTCCCACAGTGCTGGGATTACAGGCCTGAGCCACTGCACCAAGCCCCAGCTCCAGATTGTGAGTTTCAGAGCCAGGCTAGATAGGATTCAGACTCAGAACTGTGAGATTTCTGCCGCTCAGGCTGTTAACCAGTGACTCATGGTTTTTTTTTTTTTTTAGGCAGAGTTTTACTCTTGTTGCCCAGGCTGGAGTGCGATGGCTCGATCCCAGCTCATTGCAACCTCCGCCTCCCAGGTTCAAGTGATTCTCCTGCCTCAGCCTCCCAAGTAGCTGGGATTACAGGTGCCCGCCACCATGCCCAGCTAATTTTTGAATTTTTAGTAGAGACGGGGTTTCACCATGTTGGCCAGGCTGGTCTTGAGCTCCTGACTTCGTGATCTGCCCACCTCGGCCTCCCAAAGTGCTGGAATTACAAGCGTGAGCCACCGCGCCCTGCCTGACTTGTGGTCTTTTGAGATTATTTCTGATGTCCCATAGACATTTCAAAAGCAAAATGTCAAAAGCTACACTTGCCTCTCAAACCTTCATTCTCTCTGTGTGATAGGCACCCTCCTTCCCATCTTCCTTCGCTTCCATGGGTCACTCAAAGCTGAAGACCTGCAAGCCATCTCAGGATCCTGTCCTGTATCCCATCAACACTCATCACACCCTCTCAATTCTGGCTCCTAAATACCCCTTGGATTTGGCCTCTCTTCCCCGTTCCCCACTGGCATTGTTTTATTTCAGGTCTTTATGATTTCTTGCCTGGGTTTCTGCAGCAGCCTCCTAACTGCTCTCCCTGACTCCAGTCTTGCCCTCTCTGTTTCATTTTTCATATTGCACACAGGGTGATTTTTCTAAAATATAAATGTGACCACATCTCTTGCAGGCTTAAAACCTCTCAAAGGTTCTTCACCCCCTCAAGGCTGCAGCACACACCTCCCAGCACAGCTCTGCAAGTTGACCCCGCCCTTCTTCTCCATCGGTGGTTCTCAGAGTGTAGCCCTCCGAGCAGCAGCACTCTGACCCGCTCCATCAAGATCTCTAGGCTTGGAGCTTGCGAGACTATGTAAACAAGGCCAGTTTTTTGTTCGTTTGTTTGTTTTTTGGAGACAGAGTCTCGCTGTGTCACTCAGGCTGGAGTGCAGTGGCTTGATCTTGGCTTACTCCATCTCCACCTCCCAGGTTGAAGTGATTCTCCCGCCTCAACCTCCTGAGCAGCTGGGACTATAGGTGTGCACCACCACACCCAGCTAATTTTTGCATTTTTAGTAGAAATGGGGTTTCAGGCCGGGCGCGGTGGCTCACGCCTGTAATCCCAGCACTTTGGGAGGCCAAGGCGGACGGATCACGAGGTCAGGAGATCGAGACCATCCTGGCTAACATGGTGAAACCCCGTCTCTACTAAAAATACAAAAAAATTAGCCGGGCATGGTAGCGGGTGCCTGTAGTCCCAGCTACTCGGGAGGCTGAGGTAGGAGAATGGCGTGAACCCAGGAGGCGGAGCTTGCGGTGAGCCGAGATCACGCCACTGCACTCCAGCCTGGACGACAGCGAGACTCTGTCTCAAAAAAAAAAAAAAAAAAGAAAGAAAAAGAAAAAAAAAGAAATGGGGTTTCACCACATTGGCCAGGCTAGTTTCGAACTCCTGACCTCAAGCGATCCGCCCGCCTCGACCTCCCAAAGTGCTTGGATTACCGGTGTGAGTCACTGTGCCCAGTCAACAAGGCCAGTTTTTATGCACATTTAAGTTTGAGAACCACATTGCAGTTAATCTCATCTGGTTTCCTTTCTTGAACTCCATGCTTTAGCCTCATTGAACCATCAGTTTCTGGAAAGTGGTATATTATCCCTCACCTTCTATAATTTGCACATGCTATTCTCTGCCCTTATCCCATGGCAATGGCTTTGTCTGCTTTTATCCATATTCCCCACCTTTGTGGAAACTGGAAGGCAGGGTCACCACCTTATTCATCTTTACATCTTTAGGGTCTTGGACCTGACATACAGTAGGTGCTCAATAACTATTTTATTTCTCTCTCTCTTTTTTTTTAGAGATGGGGTCTCACTCTGTCACCTAGGCTGGAGTGCAGTGGCTCAATCATGGCTCACCTCCCCCCTCAACCTCCTGGGCTCAAGCAATCCTCCTGCCTCAGCCTCCCAAGTAGCTGAGACTACAGGCACTCACCACCATGGCCAGCTAATTTTTAATTTTTTTGTAGAGATGGGGGTCTTGTTATGTTGCCCTGGCTGGTCTCCAAATATTGGCCTTAAGTGATCCTTCCACCTCAGCCTCCCAAAAGCGCCACTGCACTACAGCCTGGGCGACAGAGTAAGATTCCATCTCAAAAAATAAAAATAAAGATAATACACACACACATATATACACATACACCTCTTTATTTCTTCAGCGAGACCTGAAGATATATATCCATAATATAAGAACAGGATGCTATAAAAAATGAACAATAAGAAAACAAGAAAAACTATTATAAATTAGAAATATGATAACCAAGGCTGGGTACGGTGGCTCACGCCTGTAATAGATTACAGGCGTGAGCCAGTGAGCCTGGCCATTCAATAACTATTTTCTTAATGAACATTGAGGGTGAGATGAGCAGAAACGTAACTGCTAAAAGCAGGCAACATTCAGCTACCAGGATTTATGAGGGAGAACACAGTAAACTGTGCTATTACTTAGGAATACCTAGAGTCAATGTACATTTATTTTCATTTTACTCTAGCCCCACTGGTGATCTCTGCCCAGTAATCTAACTAAATTGATGACAGTGGGAATGAAAGGAAATCATAGATATGTATTATTGTAAAGGAAAAGAAATGCAAATGAATGGGTACAGGGACAGTCTGTACAATTGAAGATCTCATCTCTTCATATATATATATATATATATATATATATATATATATATATATTTTTTTTTTTTTTCAAGACAGGATTTTAGCACCTACTATTTGCAAGACTCCCCCTATGTTAACCTTTACAGCAACTCTCGGAGGGATGTTTTATTATTGAGAGAACTGAGAGACAGAGGTCATTAAATATTTGTCCAAGATCCTACAGCCGCAACATGGTAAATCCACTGCTATTGGAACTTCCTGTTAAGTGAGTTCCATGGCCCCAAACTGCATTCCCACCCATGTTGCTCACAGATTGGTCACAATGTGGCTCACAGTCATAGGCACAGGTGAATGGATCAACCATTATTTTCGATAATGATTCTGGGGTATCATCTTTGACTCAAAAACGCAAACTGTTATTATTATCTATGCAGTCTACAGCCCTCTGCTCTACCAGCTGAGCTATCGAAGAGTGCACAAGCTGTTATTATATCACAAGATTTTTTTTTTCAGACAGGGTCTTATTCTGCGGCCCAGGCTGAAGTGAAGTGGCTCGATGGTAGCTCACTGCAGCCTTGAACTCCTGGGGTCAAGCGATCCTCCTACCTCAGCCTCCCAAGTAGCTGAAACTACAGGCAGGCACCACTATGCCTGGCTGACTTTTGTATTTTTTGTAGAGACGGGGTTTCGCCATGTTGCCAGGCTAATCTGCAACTCCTGGGCTCAAGCAGTCTGCCCACTTCACCCTCCCAAAGTGCTGGGATTTCAGGCTAGAGCCACCATGCCCAGCCCACAAGATCTAAACGCTACTGTTGAAGCAAAAAGACTTGAAGACAGAATTTGCCCTCCTAATATAAGCCCATGGTAACCTGAACCTCCTTCACCCTAACTCTCATCACAGTGTATTGTGATTGCTTATTGAAGATGAAATTTGATTTTCCTTTTTGATGTTACTTCTCCAGCACAGTACCTGGTATGTGGAAGGCACTCAAACTAGGGCCAACCTGGTGCCAGCTAACCTGGGACTAGTGCAAGCTCCTGAAATTCACCTGGTCAAGGGACACATGTTCACAGGATCTCCTGGGGTTGTGTCACCAAAAAAAAAAAAAAAAAATTTCACCTGGTGTCTCTAGTCACCATGATTTTCTCTAAAATGCCACACAGAATTCTATGTATGGAATTTTTTTCTTTTCTTTTTTCTTTTTCTTTTTTTTTTTTTTTTGAGACAGTCTGTCGCCAGTCTGGAGTGCAGTGGCGTGATCTCGGCTCACTGCAGTCTCCTCCTCCCGGGTTCAAGCGGTTCTCCTGCCTCAGCCTCCCAAGTAGCTAGGACTACAGGTCCGTGCCACCACGCCCAGCTAATTTTTGTATTTTTAGTGGAGATGGGGTTTCACCATGTTGGCAAGGATGGTCTAGATCTCTTGACCTTGTGATCTGCCCGCCTCAGCTTCCCAAAGTGCTGGGATTACAGGCGTGAGCCACCGCGCCCGGCCAAAATTTTTTAAAAATAAGGAAAGTTCAAGTTTACTTTAGATACCATAGTTCAGGATTTAAACTCCTGTCCTTACTTTGGAATGTCATTTTAGATACTTATGTGATTGACTGAGGAAAAAGACATTGTAACTGATCTTATCCCCTTTAAAAAAAAAAACCAGCTAACAATTATTCATTTAGTCTTCTGTACATTGTGTGAAATAAAATATAGAAGACTAGGGGACAGTTTCTGCCCTCAAGGAGCTTATGTGGTTTTTTTCGTGCGTTTTTTTGTTGTTGTTGTTTTGTTTTTTTTGTTGTTGTTGTTTTGACAGGTTCTTACACTGTCACCCAGGCTGAAATGCAGTGGTGAGATCTCGGCTGACTGCAACCTCTGCCTCCCAGGCTCAAGCGACCCTCACCTCAGTCTCCTGAGTAGCTGGGACTACAGGCATGCACCATCATACCCAGCTAATTTTTGTGTGTGTGTTTTTGTAGAGACGAGGTCTCGCCATGTTGCCCAGGCTGGTCTCGAACTCCTGGCTTCAAGTGATTCACCTGCCTCAGCCTCTCAAAGTGCTGCGATTACAGTCATGAGCCACCTCACCCCGCCAGTCAGGCTCTTAAAAAATCCATCACACAGGCCGGGCGCCATGGCTCATGCCTGTAATCCCAGCACTTGGGAGGCCAAGTCGGGCGGATCACGAGGTCAGGAGATTGAGACCATCCTGGCTAACACGGTGAAACCCCGTATCTACTAAAAATAACAAAAAATTAGTCGGGCATGCTGGCGGACGCCTGTAGTCCCAGCTACTCAGGAGGCTGAGGCAGGAGAATGGCGTGAACCCGGAAGGCGGAGCTTGCAGTGAGCTGAGATAGTGCCACTGCACTCCAGCCTGGGAGACAGAGCGAGACTGTGTCTCATAAAAAAGAAAAAAGAAAAAAAAATCCATCATATGTATTCACTAATTTAATCTTCACAACAACTCTAAAGGGTAGGAACTATTTTTTTTTTTGCCCCATTTTACAGATATGAAATGAGAGGCTGTGTTGAAGGTGTTTTCTGGGGTTGATTTAAATAGAATTAATAAACTCAGAAAAAAGATTCTTAATCGATAAAGGTGTTGTTTTTTTTTTTTTTTTTTTTTTTTTTTGAGTCGGAGTCTCACTCTGTCATCCAGGCTGGAGTGCAGTGGCGTGATATCGGCTCACTGGAACCTCTGACTCCCTGGTTCAAGCAATTCTCCTGCCTCAGCCTCCCGAGTAGCTGGGATTACAGGCATGCGCCACCATGCCCGTGGTTTCACCATGTTGGCCAGGATGGTCTTGATCTCCTGACCTTGTGATCCGCCCACCTTGGCCTCCCAAAATGCTGGGATTACAGGCGTGAGCCACCGTGCCCGGCCTTGGCTTTCATTCTTATTGTCCCATGGTTACCAGAGCCTAAAGAGGTAAAGAGGTAAGACCTATGAGGCTCTCACAGTTTGTTTGTTGTTTTTTTTTTTTTTTTTTTTTTTTTGAAACAGGGTCTCACTGTGTCGCCCAGGCTGGAGTGCAGTGGCGCGATCTTGGCTCACTGCAGCCTCCGCCTCCCGGTTCAAGCAATTCTCCCACCTCAGCCTTTCCAGTAGCTGGGATTACAGAGGCGCGCCACCACGCTTGGCTAATTTTTTTTTTGCATTTCTATTAGAGATCGGGTTTCACCATGCTGCGCAGGCTGGTCTCGAACTCCTGACCTCAGGTGATCCACCCGCCTTGGCCTCCCAAAGTGCTGGGATTACAGGTGTGAGCCACCGTGCCCGGCCTCTCTCATAGTTTTATTATTCTATTTTCCACAGACCCTTCCTCCCTTAATTTTCATGCCTCTTTAATATTGTTTCTTTTACCTCACTGACCTTCTTTTTCGTCCTCCTACCTTTTACTGTGGGTGTCTTATTACCCTTCTTTGGGAGTTTATCCTTTAGCATGTCATAGATCACTATCTTTAGGCAGAGGACCCTGCATCTTCTCTAGTCCTGATTGTCTACCCTCTCTCAAGTTCCATAACTTCAGTTGCCTCTGGGACACCTTCACTGGGTTTTACAAAACCCTGTTACCGGGAGCTGAACATATTAAAAGCTAAGATTCCTCCCCAAATCTGCATGTTGCGCCAATTTTCCTGCCCAATTATCTTGTCTGTCCCCTGGTTTTGCGACCTTATTTAAACATTTAAATCCTTTTCTTTAAATTGGAATCTTGATGAATGGTGCAAAAATCAATGGATACAAATGATATGCCGAGATATGTAAGTCTTCCGCCCACTGGTTCCCTAGGCACTCAGTTCCTCTCCCAGGAGGTAACCACTGTTGCCAGCTCTTAGAGTGATTTTTGATTCCTTCTTCTACCGGCTCTATCTCAAGTCCTTCCCTGTCTGTGAGATGTGTGCCCTTTCCTTTCCAGGCCCTAGTGAACTGATATCTGGTTGAGTTTATATATAAACATTTTTATGTGTATATTTTATATACATATATAACATCTCTCCCTATGGCCTTCCGGCCTGGAGTTTTCATCACGTCGCTTCCTGGATGAAAGAACCTCGAGGGGTGAGGGGCAGGGGTTGGGGGTGATGGAGAAGAGAACCTAAAGGGGACTTAGGTAGGGCGTTCAGAGTGGCCAACTGGCGTGACGCTCTGTCAGGATTCCTATTCCTATTCCTCCCACCTCAGGCCCCCTTCTAGTCCTCTCAGCCAAAAGCCTCTCGTTTCCAAGGGCCGAGACAGAGACAGAGACAACGAGATACACAGAGACAGAGACGCCAAGGCACCAGCATCCCTCTCCCCCTTCTGTCCCGCCCCATCGCTCTGACGGACACCATTGCTCAGCCAATGGCGCTCACGATGTGCCCCTGAAGGGCCAATGGGCGCCAGAGGAGGGCGGAAGATTCCCCGCCCCCACTTCTAGGCTTGGTTGAACCGTGCAGGTAGGTCCGGGGCTGGGGGAGCTGCCTTTGGCACTGGTGCCCCTGGGGGTGGGGGCACGAGTGGGCCAGGGTGATGGTGAGGTAGAGGAGGTGTCCCTGACCCGACGAGCTCGAGGGAGCGGCCCGGCTGGGAGGCGGGGGGCCGCGGGGCCCGGGGAGCGGGCGCCGCCGAGGGCCCTGGAAGCGGCGGGGCTGGGGGAGAGGGGACGCGTGTGTGGGGCACGGGGACCCCCGCCCAGCGCCCACTCGTAGGCCTGGGACGCCGGCTGCCGGCCGACTGGCCTGAGGGCCTGGCTGCCCGGGGGGCGGGCCGGGGCCGCGGCCGGGGGCGCGGAGCGGACCTCGGGGCGCCAGGCCGAGCCGAGGTGGGACGGACCGACGCGGAGAGGAAGGGAAGCCGCATCCCGCGGGGCGCCCCTCCTGAAGCGAGCCGGGCAACGGCCGCGGGCGCCCCTGCCCTGAGCCCACCCCGCGCTCTGCCCTCCCTAACAATGGGAATGGGGCAGAAGGAGGCGCCCCACTGCGGGGAGGTGAGGGGTGGGTTTGGGACTGGGGTCCGCGGTGGGGGGAGGTGCGATCTCGGGCTCTCGCCTCTCCGCTCCCTCTGGCTCTGGAGTTGGGGGCCCCTGTGGGGCTCTGAAGTCCGCCTGAGACTTGGGTCAAGAGTCAAACTGTCGCCCCCCGCTCCTCCCCCAAAATCCGGTGAGCGGTAAGGAAAGTGATGCCAAGTCTTCGAAGCCTCAGTGACAAACGCATAGCAAGAACACATCCACTCCAGAGGTGTTTATTTTTTATTTTTATTTAAAAAGGGGTACTTTTCGACATTTATTTTTAAGAAGTGGGTGCTGTTATTTTTGTCCCTACGCAGGCAAGCCTCCATTTTAAGCGAAGCAGTAACTGGTTAAGCTGGAATTGTATACAGGCCCAGGACTTGAACGAGGATCCTACCAGAGGTCATTTAGTCCATCCTCCTGCCTCCAGGCAAATTTACCTTCCTCCCACCCTCAAAATTAAGTTGCTCGGTCTGCTTTTAACGATCTCTGGGGAAGAAGGGTCTTTTATTTGTTTCTAGTACTTCAGTCAAGAATAGGTTTTACTTTTCATGTGGAATTGACTCTGAAACTTAAGCATAATCTTGGGACAGTCGGGATGATTAGAGAAGTTTTACTTTACTAAATATAATTAAATGTGGCAAGGGTCTTTCTTTAGACGGTTAGTTAACAAATCACGTTTAGTGTTTATGAAGTACCCTGGAAAATTACTTTATTCTCTCTGGGATTTTGGCTAATTGTTTGATAAGCAATTTTACATTATCTAAAATACGTGTTACATATTTATTTCTCTTTTTATGTAAAGTATGTTTCTACACACATATATATGGAGACACACATTTGCCCTTTTCTAAAGGGGACTGTATTTTCTATACTTTTTTAGTGCGATGAGGCAAATAGTACTTCAAAATCCCTGCCCAGGTAGCTTAAACTATTTGCATTGTCTTGATTATTTTTTAGTCTAAATGAAAATCCTCTCTTTCAGATACCTTCTCGAAACAAAAGATTTTCCTACCTGCTTATACTTGGTAACCGAGGGAATTACTAAGACTTCTTGCTCATTTCTGAGTATTGTCTTTATATCCTGACACTATGAATGCTACTTGGATGCCTCTTAAGGTAAGATGTGTTATTTTTTCATTACCAGCCTCATTTTATTCATTTTTCTTTAGAATTGGGAATATTGTAGTTTTTGAATTTGCTATTCTTCACTTCCTTTACCTGCCATTTCTCTTGCCTCTTGTGTTTGCTTCCTAGGATTGATTGGCTATATTTTACTTTGTATCTCTACTGTTCTTTGATTATCGGTGTGAATGTTTTAATGAAGTTCTCAAATTAACTTCCATTATAATGAAAGGCAGTGATCTTTTTAACTTTAAATTATGGCAACTTACATAGTTGTAAAATTATGTTCCGGTCTTAGGATGGGTTGGCAATTCAAACATCTAGGTCCACTTTTCAAACAGGTACTTTAGAGTCATAGGTACTAGGGTGTGTCCCACTCTTGCAAATCAGTAGCTGATTCATGTGTTACAAAAGATGTGTCATTAACCATTTGTTTACTCTGAAACTTCATATAGTATATTAGGGCATTCTAAGACCTGCTGGTTTACACGTATGACTCTTTCAGAGTCCTCCTGCTGCACCCCAGTCCTTTGTGTGACATTTCATACTATTTTTCTCAGCAGGTAGCACTTACACCAAGTTTTATTTCACAGGGTAAACCTCATTTGGACAGTGTGGACAGATGACCTTTAGATGAAAAAGCTCCCATTGATGTGGTTCTCCAGTCTCTTTGGCTCCTCTAATCTCTTGTACATAGATGGCCAAAGAACTCTCCATTAGGACTAAGCAAAGGGCAGAGCTTAAGACTTAAGTAGGTGGCTTCTTTGATTTTCTTGTGACTAAAAATACATTAAAAAAAAAATTAAATAAAAACAAACAGAAAAGACGTAAGGAGGGGATGGGAGGAAGGACAGAGAAGGATAAGGAGTCTTGGAAACCCTCCACCAGCTTCGCCTTTCTTCAGAGTAGGATACTAGCTTAGTTAAGATTGTTGGGTGCTAATCTGCTCTGTGGACTTCCAGATTGATGCAGAGGAGAAATCAGACAATAGTGCAGTGTGTGTAACCTAAATATCTGGACTTGTGGGAAATCTTAGGTCATGTAGGCTGAGTTCTCATCTTCATTTATGTTTCAGCTGCTATTGCTGGATAAGAGTGCTTATATTAATATACAGGAAGCCAAAGTGACACAGTTTTTCCAGCATTCTCCCTGTAGAGTTGGAGGGTTGCATGGGGAATGCAACCAGAAGTTCTGAACCCGTTAAGAATCAGAGGACCTGTGTAAGAGTGTTTCGACTTAGCAAGTGTTGAGCACCAGTGTTGGTGGCCTCTGTCCTCTTTAGGAAGCAGGCAAGGGGATTGAGATCAATACATTGGATTTCATTTTATAGTTTCCTAGGTTTTAACGAATGTATTTGGTACACAAAGCCCTACTTTTAAAGATATTTCCAGTGTTTAAGGTTTTACCTCTAAATCTCTCTGAACCTGGGTTGTAATACAGTAACCTCAGAAGTTCTACTAGAGGTCTCTGGCATGGCAGGAATAGAGAAAGGAAATCAGCTCCATATCGTGAGTTACCACCTGTTACTACTTAAGAATGCAGTTAGGTGGTTGCCTTAATATTATGTTCCTTACCAATCCTTTGCTCAGTGGGAAACATCTTCTAAGTGTAAACCAATTTTGGGGGGTAATGTTTTCTTCCTATTTTTATTACTTAGAAACCTTAAAAATTACAGTGTTCGTCTGGTCAGAAAAAAAGGTCCTTTTTGCGGGGAGGATAGCATTGAGTTTGTGGGCTGGAAAATAAAAGTGGGGAGAGGGAACTTTATTCTCTTTTTCATTGGTGAATATCCTTAAAACATTTCTAAGATGTAGTTTCAGATTGGAGCTACTTAATTTAAGTAAAAAGAAATGATAGGTTAATTAAAGTGCATATTTTGGAGCCCAAATGTTTATTTTATATAGATCTTATATTTTGTTTCCAATTATCTTATTGTAGAATGAACTCTGTCGTTCTGTCAGGCATTGCGTAAATGTTAGACTGAGTATGTGCTTGTTTCCATGCGTATAGAAAATAGCGTCACACTCACTCAGTCTTCACAAATGAAAATGCCAGAGGAGGCAAGTAACAAGGAAGAATAACTCCAAGCCAAAACTCCTCAATTTAAGGCACTCTCGTTAATTAGAAGTTCTCATGGAAATTATTATTTATCCCTTTTTCTCTGTGTTAGGGGTCTGTACCTTTTTAAAGCCTGAATATTTCTAGCCACGACTAAGCAATGTCAGTGATGTTACTAGGGTCTAGTTGTCAGGGTTAGGGCTAAGGAGTGGGTGAGATGGGAGAGGAATAGGGAAAGGAAGGAGAATTGAGTGAGTCGGAGAAAAGAGTGAAATGAAGATGAGGAGGAGAGAAAAGATACAGGGTCTTTAGTGTGTAGCATGGAGCCATCATCAGTTGTTTCAGGTAGTTCTTAGGGCTGCTGGATGCCTTGTGTGCTAGACTGAACTATGGTGAAATGAAGTAAAAACTGTTCTTGACAAGCAAAACGAGAGAATTAAAACATAATTTAATATGATATAGAAAGATCTGCAAGGCAGACAGTTAAGTGATGAAAGCAAGATGCAGAACAGTATGTATGATTTGATACCCTTTGTGTTTTTTGGAAAAAAAAAAACAGGAGAAAAAGATAATTTGCATTGGTGTATGTATGCAAAAAAAAAAAAAAAAGATCTTTAGGGCTGGGCATGGTGGCTCACACGTGTAATCCCAGCACTTTGGGAGTCCAAGGTGGGTGGATTACCTGAGGTCAGGAGTCTGAGACCAGCCTGGCCAATATGGTGAAACCCCGTCTCTACTGAAAATATAAAAACTAGCTGGGGCATGGTGGCACACACCTGTAATCCCAGCTACTTGGGAGGCTGAGGCAGGAGAATTGCTTGAGCCCGGGAGACGGAGCTTGCAGTGAGCTGAGATCACGCCGCTGTCCTCCAGCCTGGCTGACCAAGCGAGACTCTGTCTCAAACAACAGCAACAACACAAACCTTTAGAAGAATAAATAAGAAAATGGTGGCACTGGTTACCTGTTAGGTCTAGGAATTGTTCAGGTAGAGGACAGAGTAGGAAGGAGACTTCTCATTGCATTATATCTTTTTACACTTTCTGATGTTTGTATCAGATTTTAAAAATTAAATAGAAAATTGAAAATTTTAGCTGGGCGCAGTGGCTCACGCCTGTAATCCCAGCACTTTGGGAGGCCGAGGCGGGCGGATCATGAGGTCAGGAGATCGAGACCATCCTGGCTAACACGGTGAAACCCCGTCTCTACTAAAAATACAAAAAAATAGCTGGGCGTGGTGGCAGGCGCCTGTAGTTGCAGCTACTTGGGAGGCTGAGGCAGGAGAATGGCGTGAACCCGGGAGGCGGAGTTTACAGTGAGCCGAGATCGTGCCACTGCACTCCAGTCTGGGCGACAGAGGGAGACTCCGTCTCAAAAAAAAAAAAAAATTTTAAAGAACAGCATCTCAATCCTTCCTTTTCTTCTCTTTCTGTGTCTGGAAGTCAGAGAAATGGCAAGGGTTCTAACTGAGAGAATAGTTTTTTTGTTTTTGTTTTTGTTTTTTTGAGACGGAGCCTCACTCTGTCACCTAGGCTAGAGTGCAGTGGCGCAATCTCGGCTCACTGCAAACTGTGCCTCCTGGGTTCATGTCATTCTCCTGCCTCAGCCTCCCGAGTAGCTGGGACCACAGGCGCCCGCCACCACGCCCGGCTAATTTTTTGTATTTTTAGTAGAGACGGAGTTTCACCGTGTTAGCCAGGATGGTCTCGATCTCCTGACCTCATGATCCGCCCAACTCGGCCTCCCAAAGTGCTGGGATTACAGGCGTGGGCCACCGTGCCCAGCCGAGAGAATAGTTCTTGAACAGTGGTTGAGGGGATACACACGCAAAAGGGCCCATAATCTAGGACATGTGTTCTCTTGGGATCTTCAAGAATTTTGAATTTATAGATGTATATTTCTAGTATTGAACTGCAAAGTCAGGCATTAAAAAATTTAACTTGGCCAGACGCGATGGCTCACGCCTGTAATCCTAGCACTTTAGGAGGCTGAACAGGCAGATCGCTGGAGCACACGAGTTTGAGAACAGCCTGGGCAACATGGCAAAACCCCATCTCTACTAAAAATACAAAAGAAAATTAGCCAGGCATGGTGGTGTGCACCTGTAGTTGCAGCTACTTGAGAGGCCTAGGTGGGAGGATGGCTCGAGCCTGGGAGGTGGAGGTTGCAGTGAACTGTGATTGCGCCCCTGCAGTCCAGCCTGGGTGATAGAGCCAGACCTTGTCTCTTGTCTCATTAAAGAAAAAAAAAAAATTAACTTGTTCTTAAAGTTTTAGTAAAAACAGGTTTTCATTGTATATCCCCTTAAGTTAGCAATTAGATATAATCTCAGCATTCTTCTTCCTTTTTTTTTTTTTATGAGACAAGAGTCTCGCTTTGTTGTCCAGGTGATCTTGGCTCACTGCAACCTCCACTTCCTGGGTTCAAGTGATTCTCCTGCCTCAGCCTCCCAAGTAGCTGGGATTACAGGCACCTGTCACCATGGCCAGCTAATTTTTTTTTTATTTTTAGTAGAGATGGGGTTTCACCAGCTTGGCCAGGCTGGTCTTAAACTCCTGACCTCAGGTGATCCACCCGCCTCGGCCTCCCAAAGTGCTGGGATTACAGGCATGAGCCACCGTGCCCGGCCTAATCTCAGCACTCTTAACCGTGTGACTTTGGGCGATTTTCTTAATCTCTCTGAGATTCAGGTTCCTCCTTCATACTGGAAATAATAACACTTACTTCAGAGGACTTTTGTATTATATCTGTAAAGGACATAGGGCAGTGTTTGGTTCAGTGGACTACTACTGTTCTTATTGTAATTACTAATTTTTTTTTTTTTTGAGATGGAGTCTTGCTGTGTCGCCCAGGCTGGAGTTCAGTGGCACGATCTCGGCTCACTGCAACCTGTGTCTCCTGAGTTCAAGCAATTCTCCTGCCTCAGCCTCTCAAGTAGCTGGGATTACAGGCGCATGCCAGCATGCCCGGCTTATTTTTCTATTTTTAGTAGAGACGGGGTTTCACTATGTTGGCCAGGCTGGTCTCAAACTCCTGGCCTCAAGTGATCCACCCGCCTTGGCCTCCCAAAGTGCTGGGATTACAGGCGTGAGCCACCACGCCAGCTCTTATTGTAATTACTGTTAATAATAGCTCCTCATACACTAGTGGTGAGAGAGAGGGCTCTGGCTATGTGATACTGGGTAAGCTCATTAACCTCTTAGAACCTTGGTGTCCACACTGTAAAAAGGGTATAATGATAGTACCTAGATCCTAGAGTGGACTTTATAAGGATTAAATGAGTTTATTCACGCAGAGTGTTTAGAACAGCACCTGGTAGGTACTTAGTAAACCTGAGCTGCGAATTTTCTTATGACATCTGTTTGCTAAGGCTGCTGCCACAGAGTGACATATGCTGAGTGGCTTAAATAACAGAAATTTATTGTCTCCCTGTTCTGGAGGCTAGAAATCTAAGGGCAGAGGCATGCTTTCTCTGAAGCAACTGGGACAGGATCTGTTTCAAGCCTCTCTTCTAGCTTCTGGTGGCAGCATAACTCCAGTCCTTATGTAGAGTTCTCCCTGTGTGTATTTCTTTTGTTTTTTTAGACAGAGTCTTGCTCTGTTGCCCAGGCTGGAGTGCAGTGGCATAATATCGGTTCACTGCAACCTCTGCCTCTCAGGTTCAGGTGATTCTCCTTCCTTAGCCTCCTAAGTAGCTGGGATTACAGTCACGTGTCACCATGCCCAGGTAATTTTTTGTATTTTTTGTAGAAACAGGGTTTCACCATGTTGCCCAGGCCGGTCTTGAACTCCTGACCTCAGGTGATCTGCCTGCCTTGGCCTCCCAAAGTGCTGGGATTACAGGCATGAGCCACAGCACCCAGCCTAAATTTTGTATTTTTTGTAGAGACAGGGCTGCACCTTGTTGCCCAGGCTGGTCTCAAACTCCTGACCTTAAGTGATCTGCCCACCTCAGCCTCCCAAAGTGCTGGGATTACAGGCGTGAGCCACGGCGCCCAGCCTCCCTGTGTGTATTTCTTTGTGTCCACAATTTCCCCTTTTTTATAAGGACAAGTCATATTGGGATTAGAGTCCTCTCTGATGACCTCATTTTAACTTTATGACCTCTTTGAAGATCCTATCTCTTTTTTTTTTTTTAGAGTCTCTCTTTGTTGCCCAGGCTGGAGTACAGTGGGGTGATCTCAGCTTACTGCAACCTCCTCCTCCTAGGTTCAAGTGATTCTTCTGCCTTAGCCTTCCAAGTAGCTGGAGTTACAGGTGCTCGCCACCGTGCCTAGCTAATTTTTACATTTTTGGTAGAGATGGGGTTTCACCACATTGGCCAGGCTGGTCTCGAACTCCTGACCTCAAGTGGTCCACCCACCTCGGCCTCTTAAAGTGCTGAGATTGCAGGCGTGAGCCACTGCACCTGGTCTGAAGATCCCGTCTCTAAGATCACATTCTGAGGTACTGAATGTTAGGAGTACTACATATCTCTTTTTTTTTTTTTTTTTTTGAGACAGGGTCTCCCTTTGTCATTCAGGCTGGAGTGCAGTGGCACTTGGATCACTGCAACCTCCAGCCCCCTAACCCCTGGACTCAAGTAATCCTCCCACCTCAGCTTCCTGAGTAGCTGGGACTACAGGTGCACACTACCACATCTGGCTATTTTTAAATATTTTTAGTAGAGATGGGGTCTTGCCATGTTGCCCAGGCTGATATTGAACTCCTGAGCTCAAGCGATCCTGTGGCCTTGGCCTCCCAAAGTGCTAGGATTACAGGAATGCGCCACTGTGCCCAGGCCCCTGGAGTACTACATATCTCTTTTGGGGAACACAATTCAGCCCAGAACAGGTGTATATCATTTATCATGGGTACTAGACCCTCGACACCTACACATAGGAAATGAAAATTTTGGTGCAAATTGATAGCATGACTTAAAGAAGTAGATTATTTATTTAGCTTCTCATGTATTTATCTTTAACAAGATTTTTGTTTTATCTTTGAAACTTTTTTTTTTTTTTTTTTGAGACGGAGTCTTGCTCTTTTGCCCAGGCTGGAGTGCAGTGGCGTGATCTCGGCTCACTGCAACCTCCGTCTCCTGGGTTCAAGCAATTCTCCTGCCTCAGTTTCCCCAGTAGCTGGGATTACAGGTGCCCGCCACCACATCTGGCTAATTTTTGTAGTTTTAGTAGAGATGGGTTTCACCATGTTGGCCAGGCTGGTCTCGAACTCCTGATCTCAGGTGATCCACCTGCCTCGGCCTCCCAAAGTGTGTGAGTCACCAAGTCTGGCCCATACTCTTGGTTTTCTTTGCAGACTTTTTTCCTCTTTTGCTCCTAAAAACATTAGTATTTGCCTTCCCTTGACCCTTCTTCCTCTCACCCTGTGCAGTTTATGAGGAATGCCTTAGATAAACTTGTGCCTCACTTGCCGTCTATATGCCGATGATTTGCAAATGTGTGTTTTTCCAGCTCTGACTAGTTTTCTGATCTCCAATCCCATATACACAGTTGCTTCCTGGACATCTCTACTTGGATGTCCTATGGGCATTTTATTTTATTTTTTTATTATTATTATTACTATTGAGACGGAGTCTCGCTCTATCCCCCAGGCTGGAGTGCAGTGGCACGGTCTCGGCTCACGGCAGCCTCTGCCTCCCAGGTTCCAGCGACTCTCTTGCCTCAGCCTCCGGGTAGCTGGGATTACAGGTGTGCGCCACCACGTCCGGCCAGTTTTTGTATTTTTAGTAGAGATGGGGTTTCACCATGTTGGCCAGGCTGGGCTTGAACTCCTGACCTCAGGTGATCCACCTGCCTCAGCCTCCCAAAGTGCTGGGATTACAGGCGTGAGCCACTGCATCTGGCCATCTTATGGGCATTTTAAAATGATCTTATCCACTTCCCCAGTCCAACCTCTTCCTATCTTCGTATCTTAGTGAGCGGTAGTGTCACCCAGCCAGTCACTCAAATCAGGGATTTGAGAGGCCTCTGGGTTCCTTCTTGTGCCATTCTAGTCACCACATTCTTGAGATCCTAGCTCATAATATTTTCCTAGTCATCCTACTTCTCCTTTTTGAGTCCAGACCTTCATCGCCCTTTTGGCTGCATGACCTTCTGTTGTCTTGTAATCATTCTCCTTGACTGCTTTCTCTCTTCCAAGTCGCTGCCAACATGATCCTTGTAAAATGCATGTTCAAGCGTATGATCATATCCCTCCCTCTTCCACCATGGCTCAACTAGCTTTGAAGGTAGAGTTGAAATGTTTTGCCAGATCATCTCTCCACTTCTTCCTGAGCATCCTGTACGCAGTAGTACAGATAGCTTGTGCCCAGTTCCTTCTGTGAACCCTGTTGTTCTTTGCCTCTGGGTCTTCACACAAGCAGTTACCTCTGCTTAAGATGGACTCTACCCTGTTCTGGAAACTTACTCCCCCTAGTCTTTAATAACAGTAGTGGCTGGTCCAAGTATATTGGTGTTTACTATTAATTGATCACAGCCAGTTACAGATTTCTTTGTTCCTTCTCCACTCCCACTGCTTCACTTGATTAGCCTTAAAACAAAATAACAGTAGTGATAATAGTAATAACAGTAGCTGACACTGAGTGCTTCCTCTGGACCCAGGTATTATCACTTTATGATCAGAGTTCATAAAGAAATACAAATGACCAAGAAGCATATGAGAAACATTTTTATTCTGATAAATAATCAAAGGAATGCAGATTAAATGACATACTATTTTTTACCTATCAGATTTGCAGTTGACTGTGCTGTCAAAGGTGGTAAGGGGACAATCTCTGAAACTGTTAGTGTGTGTGCATGTGAGTGTGCATATGCAGACCTAGCACTTCTATTGTACTGATTGCTAGTTTGCTCCACTTTGAACCCAGCTAGTGTCTAGGTTCTTTGAGAGTGAGGACTTGCTCTTGTCTTTTATCCTCACTGCTTGCTGTTTTTGTTTCTTTTTTTTTTGAGACGGAATTTCGCTCTTTGTTGCCCAGGCTGGAGCGCAACGGCGCGATCTCGGCTCACTGCAACCTCTGCCTCCCAGGTTGAAGTGATTCTCCTGCCTCAGCCTCCCAAATAGCTGGGATTACAGGTGCCTGCCACCACGCCCAGCTAATTTTTGTATTTTTAGTAGAGACAGGGTGTCACCATGTTGGTCAGGCTGGTTGCGAACTCCTGACCTCAGGTGATCCACCCCCCTCAGCCTCCCAAAGTGCTGGCATTACAGGCGTGAGCCACCATACCCGGCCATCACTGCTTGCTCTTGATGGCACTTAGTAAATGAGTGTTAAAGACTGTATTGCTGGACTTGGGACATGCATCTTTAGGAGGGTATCAGTGGAAAAGCTGAGAGTCACATGCATTTGCCAGTCTTGGCCTTACTCTTTGGATCTATTGGTCCCAGTCTGATAAGTGCAAGCAACTTTGGAATAAGGATTGCCAAGAATTAAGATTTTTAATACTCTTTCTTTGAATGCTAAAGGGCAAAAGTGTTTTTGTTGTTTTTGCTTTTGGAAAAAGAGAACTAGTTTGCTGACCACCCAGTGTCATTTGGTAATTTAGAGTGTTTTCACATAGTTAAAGTATAGGGAAATGAATATTTAGGTCTGTGATGTTTATATGTGCCAGGTAGTATATTTGGCAGGGAATTGATTTTTAGAATTGTTTGTGACATTAGTTCTTGCATATTAGTTTTTTTTTTTTTAAATGGAGTCTCACTCTGTTGCCCAGGCTGGAGTGCAGTGGCGCAGTCTCGGCTCACTGCAACCTCCACCTCCTGGGTTCAAGCAATCCTCGTTCCTCAGCCTCCTGAGTATCTCGGACTACAGGCACGTGCCACCACACCCGGCTGATTGTTATATTTTTAGTAGAGACAGGGTTTCACCATGTTGGCCAGGCTGGTCTTGAACTCCTGACCTCAGGTGATCCACCCACCTCGGCCTCCACAAAGTACTGGGATTACAGGTGTGAGCCACTGCACCCCGCCTAGTTCCTGCACATTAGAAAACGTTTGGGCCGGGCACGGTGGCTCACGCCTGTAATCCCAGCACTTTGGGAGGCCGAGGCGGGCCCATCATGAGGTCAGGAGATCAAGACCATCCTGGCTAACATGGTGAAACCCCGTCTCTACTAAAAAAAAAAAAAAAAAAAAAATTAGCCGGGCGTGGTGTTGGGTGCCTGTAGTCCCAGCTACTCGGGAGGCTGTGGCAGGAGAATGGTGTGAACCCAGCAGGCGGAGCTTGCAGTGAGCTGAGATCACGCCACTACTCTCCAGCCTGGGCCACAGAGCGAGACTCCGTCTCAAAAAACAACAACAACAACAACAACAACAAAAAACAAATAAAACGCTTGTCCCCCTTGCCTTCTCCATCACAGCTCTGTTAAGTATGAGTTTAGATACACAGTATTTTCTTTTTTATTACCGTGTATAATTTGTATTTGTAGCAGCAGCCCAGAAGACAGGCAAGCGTATGGTTCTAGCTCACTTTTTTTTACTGGGCACTTGATGGTGGTGGTAATTTATCTGTCAGCAGGGGGAGCTGCAGTTGCTGATATTTAAATGATTCCATCTCAGCTGGTTTTCCACAGAAAGTTTGTCGGCCAAGAGAAAGAAAAGTTTTGCTGGCAAAGAACATGATCAGAGTTCATAAGGAAGAAATACAAATGACCAAGAAGCATATGAGAAACATTTTTATCCTGATAAGTAATCAAAGGAATGCAGATTAAATGACATACTCTTTTTTTAACCTATCAGATTTACAGTTGACTGTGCTGTCGAAGGTGGTGAGGGGACAATCTCTGAAACTGCTAGTGGAGTGTGCATTGGGCCTAGTTTTTTTGAAAGATATTTTGGCAACATATATTGGCAAAATTAAAAACGTTCTTTAATTCAGTAATTGCACATCTAGGAATTTATCCTAAAGGGGAAAAATTAAGATACATAGAAAGATTTGTGAACAAAGATGTTCATTGTAACATTATTCATATTAGTGAGAATTGAGAATAAACCTAAATGAGCAGCAAGATTTATAGGAAAATAAATCATGGTATATTTAAGGATGGACATTTACAACCATGGAATAGTATTTGAAAGAATTTTTCTGGCCGGGTGCGGTGGCTCATGCCCGTAATTCCAGCACTTCAGGAGGCCGAGGTGGGCGGATTATGAGGTCAGGAGATCGAGACCATCCTGGCCAACATGGTGAAACCCCATCTCTACTAAAAATACAAAAATTAGCTGGGCGTGGTGGCACGTGCCTGAAATCCCAGCTACTCAGGAGGCTGAGGCAGGAGAATTGCTTGGACCAGGGAGTTGGAGGTTGCAGTGAGCTGAGATGGTGCCACTGCACTCCAGCCTGTTGACAGAGCAAGTCTCTGTCTAAAAAAAAAAAAAGAATTTTTAATGTCTTAGGATGTTGAGTAAATGATAAATGAAAAATTCAGGGTGCAGAGCTATATAAGGAGCATTCTAAGTGTATAAAGATAAGGAATGTATATATGTTCTAGTATAATATGTATGTATATATTACACACACATACATACTGAGGTAAAAGAATGGAAGGAAGTCTATACCAACCAGCCTCCTTGAGTCTGTCTGTCCGGGGTCTGTCCAACCAATTGTTCTGTCTAAATTGGCACCAAGTGATGTTTTCAGGTGAAACATTGTTATCTGTTAAGATGTTAACCTCAGAAATTTAGGGCCTCACGTCTGATAGCACTTCTATCCTGTAGGACCTGAATGGACCTAATATACCTACATTTATCCGAGCACTTGAATCTATTTTTAACTTGTAGATTGTGGTAACACAATCCACAAGTTTCTTTTATCTGTTATATAAAGAAATACTTTTCAAGCATAAAAGGTGAATAAATTAGTATTTACCATATTGATACGTTTTCTGATTTTGATCACATTGCCCCTTTGCTTTCATGTTTCTCAACTGAAGATGCTTGACTTTTTAATTTAATCTCCAGTGAAACCTCCTTCCAGGATCTTTGTCAGCATTGCTTTCCCTTTCTGGATTTATGATAACTACTCAGAACTGCATTTTAGTTATAACTACACTGTGATTTGGTAGAAGGATAAGAAAATATGTTCTATTTACAGCAAGCTTGTCCGACCCATGGCCCACAGGCTGCATGCGGCCCAGGACAGCTTTGAATGTGGCCCAACACAAATCTGTAAACTTTCTTAAAACATTATGAGATTTTTTTTAAGATTTTCTTTTTTAGCTCATCAGCTATTGTTACTTTAGTGTATTTTATGTGTGGCCCAAGACAGCTCTTCTTCCAGTGTGGCTCAGGGAAGCCAAACGATTGGGTACCCTTGATTTACAGTTTTTTCCTAATAGGATTTGGTCCTCCCTCCCTCCCTTTTTTTTTTTTTTTTTTGCATAGAACATCACATTGTCTTTAGGGAATATTCTATAATTATTCAAAAATTCCTTTTTTGACTTGAAGGCATGAGTCTTTTAAGTATAGCTTAGATTTTTTTTCCTGTAAATGCCTTACTTTTCATTTGTCCATGCTGTAACATACCTGCCATTTCCTCGCATGTAATTTTTTAACACTCATATCTCAGTGGGCTCTTAGAGGTAATCCAAGGTAAGAACCACCTTTTTAGTTAGGTCTGATGGTTAGAAAGCTTGAGTTGAAGCGTGCCCTTCTGGAATTGCCACTTTGGGCCCAATTTTGTCTACACGGGAACTGCTTAGAGCAAGTCTGGTTTGTCTTCTGCTAGATAACCCTTCACATATTTAGACAGCTTTTATACTTGCCAAAGCATTCTCTAAGCTGAATATAAATCTTAGTTTTTGCAAATGTTTCTCATTTAATATATTTAGAAACCCTTTCCATCACTCCGTTCCCTTATTTTTCCAACTCGTGTGGTATTTCATTATTAGGAATCTCATCATCCCATCTGCAAAATGGGGAATTCTCTGTATATTTTTTGTACAATATATTAAAATGTTAAATATAGCATTTCTAAAAAAATTTTCAATCTTCTGTTTTTACTTCTTCATTTGGGGAAGTACCTCAGCATCTACCTATAATTTTCTGTGTCTCAGTTATGTCCAGTCTACAGTAAATGTTCTCATCCTGTGGCCACTCAGGTCTTTAAAAAAAAACTTTAATTTAGAATCTTATCAAGAGTTTTGTGAAAGCTCACATAAATTATATTCACATATTTATTTTCTTTTCTTTTTTTTTTTTTTTTTGAGACAGAGTCTCACTCTGTTGCCCAGGCTGGAGTGCAGTGGTGCGATCTCGGCTCACTACAACCTCCGCCTCCCGGGTTCAAGCGTTTCTCCTGCCTCAGCCTCCCGAGTAGCTATGACTACAGGTGCTCACCACCACACCCAGCTAATTTTTGTATTTTTAGTAGAGTTGGGGTTTCACCATGTTGGCTAGGATGGTCTCGATCTCCTGACCTCATGATCCACCCGCCTCAGCCTCCCAAAGTGCTGGGATTACAGGCATGAGCCACCGTCACCCAGCCACACATATTTATTTTCTCAGAGAATTTGGGTGAACTGGTGTGGTGTGATGTCCACTTTTAGAATCCATGTTGTCTTTTCCTCAGAAGGTTATTCATGCTGATATGTCTTCTGAGCCCATCTTTATTAGAGATTTGCTAGTTTGGGCAGTTTGAAGTTGCAGCCTACTTGAGTAGATGGAAGTTACTTTGATGACAGCATTTTTTTGTTCGTTTTGGTTCAGCACATACTTATTGAGTACCTAATATGTCAGAAGTTGAGCAAGGAAAATATTGATAAAGGAAAAGTGGATTCTATCCTCCTGGCATTTAGAGAAGGTCACTCATATGACCGTCAGCTAATATGTTCTGTCCTGCAGTTTAATAATTTATACTTAAATGCCTTTAAAACACAGAGAAGGGGCTGGTCGTGGTGGCTCACACCTGAAATCCCAGCACTTTGGGAGGCCGAGTTGGGTGAATCACTTGAGGTCAGGAGTTTGAGAACAGCCTGGGTAACATAGTGAAACCCTGTCTCTACTAAAAATACAAAAATCAGCCAAATGTGGTGGCACATGCCTGTAATCCCAGCTACTTGGGAGGCTGAGGTGGGAGAATGGCTTGAACCCGGGAGACAGAGGTTGCAGTGAGTCGAGATGGTGCCACTGCACTCCAGCCTGGGCAACAGAGTGAGACTCTGTCTCAAAAAAACAACAACAAAAAACCCATGGAGACTATTTTGGGTCTTCATGACTACCTGACATCTGACATATCAGTTTGAGGAATTTAGTATATTTAATGATGCATTTGATTCACTATTAGAGATTTGTATGCTTATTAAGAGTAATTTAGATAGCTTTTCCCCTCTACCTTCCCCAGTAAATATCGAAGCAAATAAGAATTATATAATATCAGCTGTCTTGCTTTTTATCAATCCCACTTATCAAGTGACCCATCCAGTTTTATTTGGCATCGAGCTTTTTATGTATTTAAACTGTCTCTTAGGTGACTTTGCATTTTCTTTTTTTTTTGAGATGGAGTTTTGCTCTTGTCACTCAGGCTGGAGTGCAATCGGCGCAATCTTGGCTCACTGCAACCTCCGACTCCCGGGTTCAAGCAATTCTCCTGCCTCAGCCTCCCAAGCAGCTGAGACTGCAGGCATGCGCCATCACGCCTGGCTAATTTCTGTAGTTTTTGTTTTTTTTTTAGTTGAGATAGGATTTCACCATGTTGGCCAGGCTGGTCTCGAACTCCTGACCTCAAATGATCCGCCCCACTCGGCCTCCCAAAGTGCTGGGATTACAGGCGTGAGCCACTGCGCCCGGGCTGCATCATTTTGTTGTAAGGTTTTTTTTTTTTTTTTGAGACGGAGTCTTGCTGTGTCGCCCAGGCTGGAGTGCAGTTGCAGGATCTCGGCTTCCTGCAACCTCCGCCTCCAGGTTCCTGCACCCTCTGTCTCCGGTGGGCTGAGCTGAGGTGGGACAGACTGACGCGGAGAGGAAGGGAAGCCACCTGGCCTGAAGATCCTGTCTCTAAGATCAGGTTCTGAGGTGCTGAATGTTAGGAGTACTACATATCTTTTTTTTTTTTTTTTTTTTTGAGACAGGGTCTCCCTCTGTCATCCAGGCTAGAGTGCAGTGGCACTTGGATCACTGCAACCTCCAGCCCCCTAAACCCCAGGCTCAAGCAATCCTCCCATCTCAGCTTCCCGGGTAGCTGGGACTACAGGTGTGCACTGCCACACCTGGCTATTTTTTTATATTTTTAGTAGAGCCGGGGTCTTGCCATGTTGCCCAGGCTGATATTGAATTCCTGAGCTCAAGCGATGCTGTGGCCTTGACCTTCCAAAGTGCTGGGATTACAGGCATGTGCCACTGTGCCCAGCCCCTTGGAGTACTATATATCTCTTTTGGGGAACAAAAGTCAGCCCAGAACAGGTGTATGTCATTTATCATGGGTACAAGACCCTCAACACCTACACATAGGAAATGAAAATTTTGGTGCAAATTGATAGCATGACTTGAAGAAGTAGATTATTTCTTTAGCATCTCGTGTATTTATCTTTAACAAGATTTTTGTTTTATCTTTGAAACTTTTTTTTTTTTTGAGACGGATTTTTGCCTTTCACCCAGGTTGGAGTGCAGTGGTGTGATCTTGGCTCACTGTAACCTCCGCCTCCTAGGTTCAAGTGATTCTCCTGCCTCAGCTTCCCCAGTAGCTGGTATTACAGGCGCCTACCATCACACCTGGCTAATTTTTGTCTTTTTAGTAGAGACGGGGTTTCACCATGTTGGCCAGGCTGGTCTCAAACTCTTGACATCAGGTGATCCACCCGCCTCAGCCTCCCAAAGTGCTGGGATTAAAGGCATGAGCCACTGTACCTGGCCTTTTTGTATTTTTTGTAGAGATGGGGTTTTACCATGTTGCCCAGGCTGGTCTCAAACTCCTGAGCTCAAGCAGTCCCCGCACCTTGGCCTCCCAAAGTGTTGGGATTACAGGCCTGATCCCCTGTGCTCAACCTGATGAGATCTTTTCATGTGCTTATTGGCCATTCATATATCTTCTTTGGAGAAATGTCTATTTAAATTCTCTGCACATTTTAATTTTATTTTTATACACTATTGTTTTTTAGGCTAGGTCTTGCTCTGTCACTCTGGCTAGAGTGCAGTGGCCAATCGCAGTTTTCTTTTCTTTTTTTTTTTTTTTGGAGATGGAGTCTTGCTCTGTCACCCAGGCTGGAGTTCAGTGGCACTATCTTGGCTCACTGCAATCTCTGCCTCCTGGGTTCAAGTGATTCTCTGCCTCAGCCTCCCAAGTAGCTGGGATTAGAGGCACCCACCACCACGCCCAGCTAATTTTTGTATTTTTAGTAGAGATGGGGTTTCACCATCTTGGCCAGGTTGGTCTTGAACTCCTGACCTCATGATCCACCCGCCTTGGACTCCCAAAGTGCTAGGATTACAGGCGTGAGCCACCGCACCTGGCCCAATCATAGTTTCTGGAACTTCAAACTCCTGGACTCAAGGGTTCCTTCTGCCTCAAGCTCCTGAGTAGCTAGGACTACAGGTGTGTGCCACCATGCCTGGCTAATTGTTTTTTTTTATTATTATTAATTTATTTTGTAGAGACAGGGTCTTGCTATATTGCTCTGGCAGGTCTCAGAATCCTTGCCTCAAGGGATCCTCTCCTTCTGGTGTGAGCCACCATGCTCAGCCTTTGCCCATTTTAAAATTGGATTCTCTTTTTATTGTTGAGTTGTAAGAGTTCTTTAAATATACTAGATACAAATCCCTTGTGAGATACATGATTTGCAAATATTTTCTCCCATCTATGGGTTGTGTTTTCAATTTCTTGATGGTGTCCTTTAATGTACAAAATGTTATAATTCTGATGAAGCCAAATTTACTTGTTTTTTCCTTTGTTGCATGTGGTTTTGATGTCAGGCCACCAAATGAAATGAAGATTAGCTTTGTTTTCTTCTAGGAATTTTATTGTTTTAGCTGTTACATTTAGGTCTATAATCCGTGTTTAAATTTAATTAGAATTAATTTTTGTGTATGGTGTGAGATATAGTGGTCCAGCTTCATTCTACTGCATGTGAATATTCAGTTGTCCCAGCATGGTTTGTTGAAAAGACCATTGTTTGTTTCTTGTAGAGATGGGGGTCTTGCTTTGTTGCCCTGGCTAGTCTCAAACTCCTGGCCTCAAGCAATCCTCCTGTCTCAGCCTCCCCAAATGCTGGGATTATAGGTGTCAGCTACAGCACTTGGCTTAAAAAGACCATTCTTTCCTCCACTGAATTGTCTTGGCATTTTTGTCATAAAATCAATTGACTGTCAGTGTAAAGGTTTATTTCTGAACCCACACTTATATTCCATTGATCTGTATGTTTATCCTTATGCCACTACCACACTGTCTTGATTTCCATAGCTTTGAATTATGTTTTCAAATCAGGAAGTGTGAGTCCCCCAACTTTGTTTTTCCTATTCAAATTTCTTTTGGGTATGCTGGGATCACATTGATTCTGTAGATCAATTTAGGGAATATTGCCATTTTAACAGAGTTGTATCTTCTGATCCATTCTCATCCATGAACATGGGATATCTTTCCTTTTTTTTTTTTTTTTTTTTTTGGGGGACACAGTCTTGTTCTGTCATCCAGGCTGCAGTGAAGTACAGTAATGCAATCATGGCTCACTGCAGCTGTAACCTACTAGGCTCAAGTGATCTTCCCTCCTCAGCCCCCCAAGCAGCTAGGATTACAGGTGCATGCCACCACATCTAGCTCATTTTTGTATTTTTGTAGAGATGAGTTCTTGCCATGTTGCCTAGTCTGATCCTGAACTTCTGCGCTCAAGCAGCCCACCCACTTCAGTCTACCAAAGTGCTGGGATTACAGGTGTGAGCCATCACACCTGGCCTTTCCATTTAGTTAGGATTTCTGTAACTTCTTTTGTAATTTTTATATATCTCAGAGTATAAGATTGTCACTGCTTTTGTTAAATTTATTTCTAAGTCTTTTTTTTTTTTTTTTTTGAGACAGTGTCTCATTCTGTCACCTAGGCTAAAGTACAGTGGTGTGATCTCGGCTCATTGCAACCTCCGCCTCCTGGGTTCAAGTGATTCCACTGCCTCAGCCTCCTGAGTAGCTGGGATTACAGGCACCTGCCACCACACCCAACTAATTTTTATATTTTAGTAGAGACGGGGTTTCACCACGTTGGCTAGGCTAGTCTTGAACTCCTGACCTCAAGTGATCCGCCTGCCTCGGCCTCCCAAAGTGCTGAGATTACAGGTGTGAGCCATCGTGCTTGGCTTTCTAAGTCTTTTTTTTTTGGCGGGGGGATGCTATTGTAAGTGGAATTTTTAAAAACTTTTCATGTTCAGATTGCTTATTGCTTGTGTATAGAAATACGATTACTACTTGTATATTGAGCTTGTATCCTGTAACTGTGTTGGATGTGTTTATTGGCTCTAATAGTTTATTTGTGGGATTTTCTTAGGATTTTCTATATACAAGATTATATCATCTGCAAATAAAGGTAGTTTTCCTTCTTTTTTTTAAGCCTGAGTGATTTTTATTTCTTTTTCTTGCCTATTTGCCCTGGCCATAACCTTCAGTGCAGTGTTAAACAGAGTGGTAAGAGTGGATATCCTTGTTTTGTTCTTGACCTGAGGGAGAAAGCATTCAGGCTTTCTCCATTAAGTATGATTTTAGCTATGGGGTTTTTGTAGGTATTCTTTTTTTCCCCCATAGGTATTTTTTATTAGATTGAAGATGTTTTCTTCAATTTCTACTTTGTTGAGTGTTTTTATCATGAAAGCATGTTGGATTTTGTTAAGTGCTTTTTCTGCATCTATTCAAATGATCATGTGGTTTGTATCCTTTATTAATATGGTGTATTACATTAATTGATTTTCAGAAGTTAAGCCAACCTTGAATCCCTGGGATTAAGTCATACTTAGCAATGGTGTATAAGCCTTTTAATATGTTGCTGGATTCATTTTGCTTTGTTGAGGACTTTTACATCTGTATTCATAAGATATATTGGTCTGTAGTTGTCTTGTGATATCTATGTCTGGTTTTGGCATCAGAGTAATAATGGCTTTATTGAATGAGTTGAGATGTGTTCTTGGCTTCATCTTGGACTAATTTTGGTTGAACTTTGAACATTCATTTAGCAATTGTAAATTCTAATTGCCTAATTACTGAATGAAGATAATAATTAAAGATATAACTGTTTGTTTTTTTGAGATAGAGTCTTGCTCTGTTACCCAGGCTGGAGTGCAGTGGTGTGATCTCCGCTCACTGCAACCTCCACTTCCCAGGTTCAAATGATTCTTATGCCTCAGCCTCCCAAGTAGCTAGGATTACAGGCCCCTGCCACCACACTCAGCTAATTTTTGTTTTTAGTAGAGACTAAAGATACAAAAATTTTATCATGTTGGCCAGGCTGGTCTCGAACTCCTGACCTCAAGTGATCCTCCCAACTCAGCCTCCTCAAGTGCTGGGATTACAGGTGTGAGCCACCACACCCGGCCTTTTTGTTTATGTTTGTTTTAGAGATAGGGTCTTCCTATGTTGCCTAGGCTGGAGTACAGTGGCCTATGGTTTCAAGCACTCCTCCTGTCTCAGCCTCCCAAGTAGCTGGGACTAGAGGCACATGGCACACCCAGCTTGGTTGCCTTCCCCTGCTCCCCTACCCGTGAGACAGGGTCTTGCTATTTGTCCAGACTAGTCTAGAACTCCTAGGCTCAAGTAGTCTCTCCACCTCAGCCTCCCAAGTAGCTAGGATTACAGGCACATGCCACCACACTTGGTAGTCAACTATTTAAAAAACATCTATTATTTAACATTCAGGGTAGAGGTTCCAAGTATAGAACTTTAGATCCTTACTGCCTGCTTGGTTCCCTGGATTTTTTCTCCTAGTTTTATTTGGGGTACTTACTTTGTTATTTCATTTTGGTTATGCCATAAATAACACCCAATTTTAGCATTCCTGGGATGATTTAGGCAAGCTTCAGAAAAGAGTCCAGAAGAAAATGGAATTGGAAGCATAAAGCCACTAAAATTTTTTCATTGTTCTCTGATCATTTTTTAGCTTTGGATTTTTTGATCATTTAACGTATCAATGAGTAGAAAGGATTTTTCTTGACTACCACATAGCTTATAAAGTGACCGAGTATTCTTTCCTTAGAGATTCTACAGTGTTTAACATCCACTGGTACTCAGTATGTTTATGAATGAATATGTATTAATGGTAGGGCTTTTATAGGGTCTTATTTTACTGAAAATTGAAGATAATCATTCACATTTGGATTACAAGTGTTTGTGTTATGTTATAAACATTTAATGCCGTAGCCCAAATATTAACAAGCATGGTCATATTTTGGTATTGCCACGGTAGGTATTCTGGGAAGTGTGAGTAGTTGTTTTTTCCTACCCTCTGTGCTGAAGGATTTCTTTCTTTTTTTTTGAGACGGAGTCTGCTCTGTCGTTCAGGCTGGAGTGCAGTGGCGCGATCTCAGCTCACTGACACTGCAACCTCTACCTCCCGCTGGGTTCAAGCAATTCTCCTGCTTCAGCCTCCCGAGTAGCTGGGACTACAGGCGCATGCCACCACGCCTGGCTAATTTTTTGTATTTTAGTAGAGACGGGTTTTCACCATGTTGCCCAGGCTGGTCTCGAACTCCTGAGTTCTAGCAAACCACTGGCCTCGGCCTCCCAAAGTGCTAGTATTAGAGATGTGAGCCACCACGTCTGGCCTGAAGGACTTCTTATACCAAAGAAGATACAGTTTCATTTAACTATTTTATTTTATTTTTTCTGATGCTGGTTAAAGTTGGTTCATTTGGGACACATTTCATTAGATAAAATTGTGTTTAAATGTGATAGTGAGAATTTGGAATATGGTGGAAAATATTGAATATTATATTCTATAATTTTTGTCAGTCTAATTCAGAAACAAAAAAGATTGCAGTTGAGAAAATCATACATGATTTCTTTGTAAATGAGTTACAGAGATAAGACAGGACCTTTAGCATTTCCTGAATTCCAGTCATGTTCTCGGTAACTTATGGTCTCTTTTATAATATTGTACCCATGACAATTTATACGTTAGATTTCAGGTTTTATCTTCTGCCTGGAAGGATTACATTCAGGGGTTTTAGCCATGCATATTTATCTATAAATGGTCTAAACCAGTACCTCTTTATCTTTCCTTAAAGTACTTTTCAGGGTCTAGGGCTGTTTGGAGCTGTTTGTTACAAGCAGGACATATCTCTCTGAGGACTCCTTTTCTATCTTGAAACAGTGAGAATTCTGCCTTTTGCTCTGTATACATTGAATATCCCTTATCCGAAATGCTTGGGACCAGAAGTTTTTTGGATTTCAGATTTTTCAGATTTTGGGATGTTTGCATGTACATAATGTACTATCTTGGAGATGGGATCCAAATCTAAACATGAAATTCTATGTTTCATGTACACATTATGCACATAGCCTGAAGATAATTTCTTTTTTTTACCTTTTTCTTTAAGAGATGATGTCTCATACTGTTGCCCAGGCTGGAGTGCAGTAATGTGATCCTAGCTCACAGCAGCCTAGAACTCCTGGGCTCAAGTCATTCTCCTGCCTCAGCCTCCCAGGTAGCTGGTACTAACTGGTACAGATGCACGGTGCCAAGCCCAGCTAATTTTTTTGTTTGTTTGAGATGGGGTCTGATTCTGTTACTCAGGTTGGAGTGCAGTAGCGCCATCTCTGCTCACTGTAGCCTCCACCTTCCAGGCTCAAGTGATTCTCCCACCTTGGCTTCCTGTGTAGCTGGGACTACAGGTGCATGCCACCATGCCTGGCTAATTTTTTGTGTTTTTGGTAGAGATAGGTTTTGCTACATTGCCCAGGCCGGTCTTGAACTCCAGAGCTCAAGTGATTCACCTGCCATGGCTTTCCAGTGTTGGGATTACAGGCCTGAGCCACTGTACCTGGACTTAATTTTTTTTTTTTTTTCAGAGATAGGGTCTCACTATGTTGCCCAGGCTGGTTTTGAACTCCAGGGCTCAAATGATCCTCCCATCTTGGTCTCCCAAAGTGTTAGGATTACAGGCATGAGCTACCACAACCGACCAGTTTTATACAAAATTTAAAATAATTTTGTTCTTGAAATAAACAGTGTTTCTGATGGTTCAGAGAACCATCAGAAGCAAAGGTGTCACGTGTGGAATTTTCCATTTGAGGTGTCATGTTGGCACTCAAAAAGTTTCAGATTTTGGAGGGTTTTGAATTTTCAGATTAGGGATGGTCAACCTGTAATATATTTGTGTTTATTTTAACAAAAGTATATCTGATTTTACTATAATCCTTGATTAAATTGATACTCCAAAAAAGTTGCTCCTGCATATATTCAGTGGCTTTGGTTACTCCCCGTTTGTAGCTGTATGTTCCTGAGTGTACATAGAAACAAGTTCAAGAATCCAAGAATTAGTGGGTTAAAAATAATGTTCTAGGCTGGGCGTGGTGGCTCACGCCTGTAATCCCAGTACTTTGGGAGGCTGAGATGGGCGGATCACCTGAGGTCAGGATTTTGAGACCAGCCTGACCAACATGGCGAAACTCCGTCTCTACTAAAAATACAAAGATTAGCCGGGCATGGTGGTACGCGCCTGTAGTCCCACCTACTTGGGCAGCTGAGGTAGGAGAATCGCTTGAACCCAGGAGGTGGAGGTTGCGGTGAGCCCAGATTTTGCCATGCACTCCAGCCTGGCAGCCTGGGCAGCAGAGTGAGACTGTGTCTCAAAAAAAAAAAAAGTAATTCCCTTTCCAAGAATGGTATGCTGCTTCATTGGAGGAAACAGGTCTGCCATCTTCCAAAGTCCCTAGGTTTGCCATGCCATCAGAACAAGATTTTACAAGTTGCATCATAACTTAGAATCAGCAACTGACGTAAAAAGAAAAATATATATATATATATATTTTGAGACAGAGTTTCGCTCTGTCGCCCAGGCTGGAGTGCACTGGCGTGATCTCCGCTCGCTGCAAGCTCCGCCTCCCAGGTTCATGCCATTCTGCTGCCTCAGCCTCCCGAGTAGCTGGGACTACGGGTGCCCCCCACCATGCCCAGCTAATTTTTTGTATTTTTAGTAGAGACGGAGTTTCACCACGTTGGCCAGGATGGTCTCGATCTCCGGATCTCGTGATCTGCCCACCTTGGCCTCCCAAAGTGCTGGGATTACAGGCATGAGCTACCGCACCCAGCCTGTAAAGATATTTTTTAAGGTGTGTTTTGCCTTGTACACCTGCTGCCTCCTTTTCTCTTTGAACATTTTCCCTTCTGACTCACTTTTGTCAGGCCCTCCACAACTTGGCTGCTCACAGCTGCCTTGAAGTTCTGCATATTTACCTTTATGTTTCCTTTGGAAAAGAACTCAGGTAGTTTCTTGGTACATTTTGGCCAAATTCTGACACTCAGCTTTATTATCTGATAAAAAGTTTGGGTCCTGCGTAGATTGCTTAATCTGCAAAATCAGTATATTAGAATACTCCTTCTATGTTTGGTCATTGAACGTTCACACATTCTAGTTATTTGAGAATTTTAAAATATTCTAAAGTTAAAAACATTAGAATTAACTAAAATTCACCAAAATAATCAGGGTGTGTGTGTGTGTGTGTGTGTGTGTAAACTCATTGAGGAACTTTATTAAAATGTTCGTATAAAATCCTGCTTAAACTGCTTGCACTAGAAATGAGTGCTGGTAGCTGCTATTAAATCCACCACTGTGGAGAAGACCAACAATCTTGGGTGTTAGATTTTAACAATAGCTGATGGCCTGAGAGAACCTGACTTGTTTCTTTCAGTGATATAATTGTATTCAGCTGAGCTTTAATGTTGTCTTCTGAATTATCCTAAAGTAAATTATTTCTAGACTTACTAGTACATTTAGGTTTAACCTACAACAGTATTGTTCTCATTACTAACACAGTTAAATTAGGAGGCTGCCTAATAATTAGTTTTTCTTTTGTATGAATTATTGGGTCAGTTCTGTGGTGAGATGGCAAAATAATATCTTTATGTAAATCCTGCAGTTTGTATCAGTAGTATGAGGAGGAAAATATCTTGTTAGGTTGGATTGAAATGAAGGAATGCTATGCATTCTTGTAATACTTTGCCATTTATGAAATGCTTTTGTTTAATCTTACTGAAAGTTTGTTTCTACTGGATTCAGTCAGTACATAAAAATACTGTATGATATTTTGAATCAGCTAAGGCCTCCATTTAATGAAAAAAAATCTTGATTTCTGAGCTTTGTAGTCATTGTAATCAGTATGAGGATTTTCTTCTACTTGCATTTGGCTAAATCTTTATACTTGTGACACTGTGAAATAGGTAGTATGGTTTAGGTTTAATGCCTTTAGCATGTTTGCACATCCAGTTCACCAATTGAGTAGCACTGGTGAATTAGAAGTGGGAAAAGTGAGAATTGAAGACTGAGAGACCCTGATTCCAGCTTTGACGCTTTGGCAATCTCTTAACTGGCTTCTTTCTGTTGGCCTCATTTTCACACTAATAAAATGTGGCGGCTGAACATATTCCTTCTACATCCTAAATTTTTTGACTTAAATTTCTTAACTTTGGTTTAGTTGACTCTGGCTATTTAATATTTAGCTGGTTAAATATTAATGTGAGAACATGCCTCAGTTTCAGCTTAAAGATGTTTCTTTTATAATTTTAATATGGGTTTTTACATAGGTTTATGTGTTCATTTCTGTGATATCTAGAATAAATTCTTGAGCTTAATAGGTACTCACTAGATTTTTGTTGAATTAAATGTATTTGAAGTATTTAATGTGGCATTAGATTTATGATTGTAAATAATCATTCTCAGAATATGTTTTTAGGGAGCTAAAAGTATTTTTATATATAGTGTTATCTAAGTTCATGAATGAAAACATTGTTTGCTAGAGTCTAGACAGGGATTTTGTTTTTGAAACAGAGTCCCGCTCTGTCACTCAGGTTGGAGTGCAGTGGTGCGATCTTGGCTCACTGCATCCTCCACCTTGTGGGTTCAAGCGATTCTCCTGCCTCAGCCTCCCAAGTAGCTAGGACTATAGGCATGTGCCACAATGCCAGGCTAATTTTTGTATTTTTAGTTGAGACAGGGTTTCACCATGTTGCCCAGGCTGGTCTCAGACTCCAGGCCTCAGGTGATCCACTTGCTTCGGTCTCCCAAAGTGCTAGAATTACAGGTGTGAGTCACCACATCCAGGCTTTTTTTTTTTTTTTTTTTTTTTTTTTAATTAAAGTAGGTCCAAGTCCTAAGTAGATAGGTGTTTGAAGTTTGAATTAGGAAAGAGGTGCTGATTTTTGCTTCACTCAGATTTTAACCTTTAAAGTTTAGAACTGTGGAAAATAGCTTCATTCACTAATAATAATAGTTAAACTTAAGAGGTAGGTGGTATTACTATCTCCATTTTACAGAGCAGAATACGTACTTTGCCCAAAGTAACACAAAGAATAAGTGAGGGAGGCAGGATTAGAATCGGGCTACCTAGGTCCTGTGTGCTTAAGTACTACACTCTACCTTTTTCATTTATTCAGTCAGTTCTTATGATGTGTCTCTTTTGTGCCAGGCCCTGGGCTAGGTCCTAGGTAAGTAACCAAAAAAATGGGCCCCTGTGCTTTTGAAACTAAATGGCCTAGGCTTTAGAACTTGTCCTGAGTTAATATATAATAATTGCTTTTTCTTAAGTGCAAAAAAAGTTATTCATTGTCCTTTTGAGATTAGTTTGGACATACGAGGTACTGAATTTGTGAGATTATTCTGTTTAGGAATTTCTGGCTTGTTTAGAAGGTCTGTGGCAGGGAAGGTAGAGAGTGCCTTTTTGGAATACGTTTATTATCTATAGATGAGTTACAGATCTTAAATTAGAACAACCACAGTTCCTGCCTGCAAGGGCTTTCAGGCTGGCTTGAGGTGGCAAGACTGGTATATGAAAACAAACTCAGAGGAATTACAGACAGCATTTAACCAAGGGTAATGTAGTGCCAACTCTGTACATTATTGGTTCTTTTTTTGAGACACAGTCTCCTTCTGTCGCGTAGGCTGGAGTGCAGTGGTGTGATCTTGGCTCACTGCAACCTCTGCCTTCCGGGCTCAAGTGATTCTCATGCCTCAGCCTCCCGAGTAGCTGGAACTACAGGCGTGCACCACCATGCTTGGCTACTTTTTGTATTTTTAGTAGAGGCGGGGTTTCACCATGTTGGCCAGGCTGGTCTCGAATTCCTGGCCTCAGGTGATCTGCCTGCCTTGGCCTTCCAGAGTGCTGGGATTACAGGCATGAGCCACCACGCCCAGCCTACATTATTGTCAAGTGAAGTGAGTAGACGATAACAGTGGTGTGGTGGAATATAAGAGGATAACATGAGTTGTAGGTGGATTGGAGAGAGGAATTAACAAGGAATGGTGGTAATGAGGGATGGTCCTCTTTTTCTAGGTAGAGAGAACACAGACAAAGATGGATGGATACAGAGCTGTGTGTAAGAGGGAACACCTTTTCCTTTTTTCTTTCTTTCCTTCCTCCCTTCCTTTCTTTTTCTTTTTTTGGAGACGGGGTGTTGCTCTGTTGCCCAGGCTGGTTTGCAGTGGCGTGATCATGGTTCACTGCAGCCTTGACCTCCTGGGCTCAAGTGATCCTCCTGCCTGAGCCTCTGAGTAGCTTGGACTACAGGTGTATGCCACCACCCCCGGCTAAATTTTTTTATTATTTATTTTTTGAAGAGATGAAGTTTTGCTGTTTTCCCTGGGCTGTTCTCAAACTCCTGGGCTCAAGCAATACTCTCACATTGGCCTCTCAAAGTGCTGGGATTATAGGTGTGAGCCACCATGCCTGGCCATGGAATGTCTTTTCTGAGGAAGAAATAATAAGATTAGTTATATAAAATACTGTAATCATAAAGTAAGATACAAATACTAAAAAACATTAGAACTCAATCATTGTTTTTTGACTTCATTTATTATATAAGGAACCTAACTCAAATTGGCTTAAGCAATTAATAAATGTTTATTGTTACATTGTTGTAATGTGGCTGGAAATCCAGAAGTCATACAAATTGTCAGGATTGGTTGATACAGTGGCTTAATGCTATCACCAAGGACCAACTCTCTATTCCCTTTGATGTTGGTGGCATCTTCAGGCTTGCTGCAAAGGTGACTGTAGCAGTTTGAGGTGTCACTGTCTGAGGAAGAGGGACTGTTTTTTCCTCCATCATTTTTAGGATTGAAGAACCTTTTCTCACAGTTCTCTTTTGGAGGCTGTCCAGGGGGCTTCTACTCACATCTCATGGCCATTCCTAACCAATCATTGGCAAAGAGAATGGGTTAAAACTAATCAGAATAGAGTGGATATTGGAGAGTCAACATGACTATTCCAAGAGTGATTTGAAATATGTTGGTGTTTTTATTTTTTTATCACTTTTCATTTTGAGATGGTCTCGCTCTGTTGCCCAGGTTGGACTACAATGGCATGATCATGACTCACTGCAGCCTTGACCTCCCAGGCTCAAGCAATCCCCTCAGCTTCTGGAGTAGCTGGGACTGTAAGCACATGCTACCACACTTGGCTAATTTAAAATTTTGTTTGTAGAGATAGGGTCTCACTCTGTTGCCCAGGCTGGTCTCTAACTCCGGAGCTCAAGTGATCCTCCCACCTCACCCTCCCAAAGTGCTGGGATTACAGGAGTGAGCTGCTGCACCAGGCCTTTTTCTTTAAATCTTTTTTTGTTTGTTTGTTTTATTTTGTATGTAGGTGTTTTCAATCAGCCTTTTGGACATCCACTATTTTTTGGGGGGAAATTTAAGAAAATTTGTTTCTCTTCATAAGATTTTTGTGTGGTGGCTCATGCCTGTAATGCCAGCACTCGAGTCCAGGAGTTCGAGACCAGCCTGGGCAACATAGGGAGACTCTGTATCTACCAAAACAAAAAGGAGTGAAAAAAATAACAGCTGGGCATGGTGGCATATGCCTGTAGTGCCAGCTACTCAAGAGGCTGAGGTAGGATCGCCTGAGCCTGGGAGGCTGCAGTGAGTTTGATTGCACCACTGCACTCTAGCCTGGGCAACCGAGCAGGACCCTGTCAAAAAAATAAAAGTACAAGTGGATGCCTAATAAGAAAGATGTCTGATTTTAGATAAGAATATACAACAGGTTGACTGATTTAAGTGCCATAAACCCTGTGAACTCTTGACTCTTGCACTAAGCAATGAGAGAAAGGGGAAACTGGAATTTATAGTTCCCCCAAATACATGGTTTTAAAAATGAGCATTTTCCAGTTTTCTCCTAATCCATTAGAAAAATATATTTCATATAATCTTGCTTATTTGGTTGCCTAATTAAATCTGACAGTTCAGTCTTAAAAATTTGGAGCAGCAGTAAGATTATTTTGTTATGGTGTGTCTGAATTTAATATTTAAGTATACGCTGCAAAGGGCTTTGCCTTATTTGGTATTTTTCATTCTGCTAATTTAGATTTCAGGAGCCTCAGATTGGGGCTCTAGTTCGCCATCTGTTGGTCCAATACCCTTCTACTGTATTTTGTGGAATTACTATTTATGTGTGTATGTGTGTACAATAAAAAAGTCAAAGTTTTTCCCCAGGGTTGTAAATTAAAAATCCAAGACTAAAGACCTCTTTTGGATGTGTATACAAATATTAGTTTATTCTTTGTGTAATTTGACCCTATGACTCCAAACTGCCTGCCTTTGGTATTTGAGAACTATGACTATGCTTGAGAGTGTGATTTTAGGAGTACAAATGGAAATTCGCAGAAACCTAGGTGCAGATGTTGCAGGGGCAGGTGAGTTAGTGTAACTTTGTGGGAAGACTAAAACCGTTCTGTAACGACTGTGAGGGTGTTTTTTGATAAGCAGAAGTGACGTATAATGCCGGATATTGGTTCTGGTAAGCCACAAAAAAGTGTGAAGCATTTTGCGTCTTCCTTTTTGGTAGTAGAGCATACATACCCTTCTTATCTGCCGAATTTGATGATTTAATGATTTGAACGATTTTTTCTTCAGTCATTTAAGCCAGTTTTGATGAATCCTAGATTAGTCTTTTAAATCTCAAGATACTCCACTCATCTTTTGGCAACTTTAAAGGGTGGTAGAATTACACTTTGTGTGACACTTTGTATTACATTATGTTTATGAATTCTTTAAGTCTAGGAAAGGTTCCATTATTTTAAAGGTCCTATTTTGGGGACAATATAAAGTTCTGTACTGATAAACTGGTCATGAGAAATGATAAGGTGCCACCACTTTAAACCAACTCTGGTAACGAGGTGGGAAGTTGGCTTTTTGTTGTGAGACTTGTGTTTCTTTATGGAGTTCTTTGTTAAACTTTTAGCATGGCAGTGAACTTCCTTTTGGTGGCGGCAGGAAGCATAAATACTCATTGTGTAATGCCATTTGCCTGTTTTGGCGGATCTGCCAAGCCATGACACCCAAAACAAGACGCGTGTTTCTTCACGAAAACTACAGTTCCCAGCGGGCCCGGCGCCGGCGGGGCCATCACTTCCCCTCTGGCTCCCGGCTGTCCCTTCCCGGGCTGGCCCGGCGCGGGCCCTGGCTGGGGCCTGCGCAGTGACTACGTGCACCCTCCCCACCCCGCCCAACTCTGGTGGCTGCGGAGCGCGGTGCTGGGGCTAGTGCCCAGCCGTGCTGCAGTATACGGAGGCTGGCTGCTAGGGACAAAGGGCGGGCGGCGGAAGCCGCTTCACTGGTCAGGGAGCTTTCTGCAGGGTTAGCCTTGGAATAGTGTGGTGCCGACGGCCTTACCCTCTTTACTACACAGTGCAAACAGTTCCTCGCTCACGTCCTCTCGCTCCGCGGCGCCGGCCCGCCCTGCCCCTCAACTGGCGAGCCGCACCGCCGGCCCCAGCACGGAGGGCATGTGACGGCGTCAGTGCCTCAGGTTAGACTCACCTCGGCCGCAGCGAGGGCTGGCTTCCCCCTGCCGCAGTGCTGCGTGCCGTCGCCGCACGTCCGGGGCAGCTGGGGCCGGGCGCCGCGGCCTCCGCAGATGGAGGTACAAAAACATCGGCCACGGCGAGGAGCCATGACTGAGGCGGCGGCGGCCGCGCCTCCTGGCGGCCCGCGGGGGCGGCGCGGCGGGCGCCCCCTGGCGGCGCGCCGGGGTGGAGCGGCCCTTCGCCGCCGCAGCCGCAGCCGGCGGAGGCGCTGCTGTCCCTCCTCCCCGTGTCCCCGGCGCTCGCCCGCTTGCTCGCTCGCTCCATTCTCCCTCCGCTTCAGATTAAAGGGGGGGAGGGAAAAGGAGCTCGGCCGCCATTTTCCCAGTGCCGCCGCCACCGCCGCCACCGCTCGCCGAGCCGGCGGGAGAACCGAGCACCGTAGCGAAGCCGACTCGTCTTGCCGCGGCGGCGCGGGGGGCGGCTGAAGCGCGCTCCCCGGCTGGAAAGAGGCGGCCGGGGGTGGCGGCCTGGGTGCGGGTTCGGGCTGCAGACGGCGGTGCTTGTTTGTGCGGGGCGGGGGGGCGGTTTCACTCTCTGCCCCCGCCCGCCCGCCCTCCCGGCCGGGCTGCGGTCTCCAGCCGTGCTCGGGCCCCGTCGGTGCGGAGCAAGGCCGGGAAAGGGCCCGAAAGAGAAGAAAAAGCAGCCGCTCCCCGCCGCCGCCTTCCCCTCCCCCTCTGCCTCGCCCCCCCGCCCGGAAAGTCAGGGCGGCTCCGGGCGTCGGGGGGAGGAGAGCGGCGGGCCCGGGCCGGAGCCGCCGTCGCGCGCCCCCGCCCGCCGCTGGCCCTCGGCGCCCAGGCCGGGGGGCTGTTTGCAAACTGCGCCCATTTTGTGGGGCTGAATCCGCCCGGGCTACGCTCCTCCATCACGTGGTAGGTGTTGCTGCTGCTCCTCTCCTCCTCCTCCTGCTGCCCTTTCTCCTTCTCCTCGCTCTCCCTGTGGCTCCCATTTCTCTCTCTCTTTGTTAGTTGTAACTAGAAAGGCAGGGCAGGGTAGAAAAATCCCCCGGAACTTTAAATGGCCTCTCCGGGCTTCCCTGCTGCGGGTCCGGGCTGGGAGTCGCCCCAAGGGCGGGGGTGTGCGGGGGCCCTTCCCCAGGAGCTGCCGCCTCGTTCGCCAGCTTTTCCTTTGGCGTTCTATTTAAAAAGGCGGCCTGAAGAACATGATTTATTCCCGTAAAAGAACCCCCCAAACAAACTCTGGCTCTCGCCTTGAACTTCTCTTGACTGCAAAAGGCCTTTCTCTGCTCGAAACACACATCTTGGCGCGTTGCACGGTTTGTATCACAACTCTGATTGTTTCATTTATTATTTTTGTTGCCTGTAAATTCAGGTCACTTACGTTTTCAGATGTAGTCTCCCTCAGGCGGACTTTTTTTTTTTTTAAACTAAAGAGGAAGAGGGATTTATTTGCTTTTAAGTGAGTTGGAATCTTAACTGCCTTTTTGGGGGCCTGTTTTCCGGCTGACGGTCTTTTGATTCTTAGCAAATAGTTTGTTTTCCATACGATAAACAGCGCTACTCCCGTGTCTTACTTAAAAATCCTCGTTTTCCAATGTTGGAATCCCAATGTGGATTTATAGAGAAACGTGCTACTTAACTATTGCTTACTGATTGCTTTAGGGGAGAAGGGGTGACATGATGGCGCCACTTTAAATTGCTCTCTTTCCTTTTCCTCGGTCCCCCCCACCCCCCTTTATCCTGGAGGTCACTGGAGCATTTTCTGTGACTTATTAATAAAACTGTACTTGAGGGTGTTAGAAGCACAACTCGTAGGGGCTGGAGTTTAGTGCTCCTAGGGTCGGCAGACCGACTGCCGCGGTCCCCAAAGTTCCGAGAAATCTCTCTTCCTCCAGCCTCGCCTCCCTCCCCTCCATTCACAATCCTGGTGTTGCCATCTCCTTTGTCACGTGGCTAGCAATCATTGTGTTTTTTTGTTTGTTTTGGGGTGTGTGTTTATATTTTTAAATTGCAGCTCAGAGGAACCTTTCCTTTTCGCTTTGGAGAGATCAAAACGTTTTACTTGTTTTAGTTTTAGAGTCGGAGAACATTTTAAAATAAACGATAAAATTACATAATCTTTGCCTTGCATAATCATGATATAGTTATAGATTGCTACTGAACTTCATTTTGAAAGTCCTTTCAAGTATGGAAACTAGTACGTTAGAATATGTTTTCCATTTGTCAGGATGGTCTGTAATTTCTGTTTTCTCTGCTTTTTGGGTCAGTTAAAGGACCACTATTTACAAAGGCTTAAGTGGGTGTGTTTTCCCTTTCCCCTTTCCTATAGGCTCTACTTGGTTCCTTTTCTAGCATGCTGTCTGACCAATTTAGAAAATTTCAATTGTCTACAGGCGTTGTCAGTTAAAACTATTTTTTTAACCTATCAACAGTGAATACTTTTGAGTAGTAATTGTTTTGTGCCTAATGCTAAGTGTATTTATTAGCATTTCGGTGTTGATCTAGAAAATTTTTACTTTTAATCCTGTAGTTTTAGAAGTATGTTATTCCTTTATCTGTTTCTTTATATCAGTTTTTCCCATAATTGGGTAAACTCCTATTTTATAAAATACGAAGTACATTTCTGGTTTTTTCTACATAGGTTACTAGACATTTTTTCAATTTGAAAAAACATTTTGAATTAAGAAACTTTTTTTTTAAAGTAAATACGAAATGTGGTTCTTGAGTATGCATTGATCCTGATTTACCATGTACATTGTCAATGGTTTGGACCATTTTCTTTGCTAACAGTTACATCATGTCATGTGATATGTGCAGTGTGATGTGTAGTTCTAAAAATAAGGCAAGGTAAAAATGCTCATCCCTTGGGAATTTAAAAAATGTATTATAAATGTGGAATAACTACCTTCAGTCATGAAATTCTGAATTGGATTTCCACTAGGTTTATGCAACAAAGTGTGCCGTTCCTTCGACCTTTAGCATATTTGGTGTATTTGTTAGTACCTCATAATTTGAGGTGATTGACTTTTTATTTTTTGAACTACTTGGAGGGAAACATTAAATGTTACAAAGGTTCTTAATGTCTATATTATGGTGAAGATGGTTGTCACTGATGGCCACCTCATTTGAGTATATACCAGTGTCTGTGATTGTGACCAGTTAAAAGAATGATCAGTTAAGAATTATTAGAGCCTTTATGGTAGGGTGGGATTTTCGGTCTTTCCATCTATATGAGTCCACTGAAGTGAAGTATTTTAGAAGTTTTCTTGCATCTTTTCTGAAAGCCACGTTCAGAACATTCGTATTTGACTTTGGTGCTTTACCAACGTGAGATGTTAAATTTTTGTCTGATTTTCTTTCTTCCTGCCTACACATGTTATTTCTCTGGTTAAACCTGCAGAGCACTCTTTGTTACGTGAGTGTTTCCTGTTGAGGAAAATTCTGGAAGTTAGAAAATGAGTAGGCCTTAGTTCACTTGTGAACTCATATCAAGGTGAGAAGAAAGTGAAGTAACTATACTAAACTTTTTTCTTCACTGTCACTAAGGCTACTCTTCCATCTCTAGTAATGCTACATTGTAACCAGTGTCTCTGCGTCTTCTGTAGAGGATTGAGTTGACCACAGGTTTTAATTGCATTTTAAAGTGAATAAGAAGTTTTAGGTTTGTTCTGTTCGTTATGACCTGATTTGTGTACTCTGTAAACATAGGGGTGTTGTGGTTGTTTGAGAAGGTATTTTAGTATTGAGAGGTTCTGATTAGGCCCCTTTGCGAGTAAAGCTTAGTTACCTTGTTATATCAGGCAAGCAATTTTTTTTTTTTTTTTTTTTGAGGCAGGGTCTCGTTCTGTCGCCCATGCTGGAGTGCAGTGGTGCTATCTCAGCTCATTGCAGTCTCCGCCTCCCAGGTTCAAGCGATTCTCGTGCCTCAGCCGCCTGGGTAGCAGGGACTACAGGCATGTGCCATTGGGACTACAGGCGTGTGCCACCATGCCCAGCTAAGTTTTGTATTTTTAGTAGAGACGGGGGTTTCACCATGTTGGCCAGGCTGGTCTCGAACTCCTGACCTCAAGTGATCCACCTGCCTCGGCCTCCCAGAAGTGCCGGAATTACAGGCATGAACCACTACGCTTAGCCTAGACAAGCAATTTTTAAAATGTGCTATAAAACACCAAACTAATCCACACTGGATTTTCTAAACATAGTAAACGCCATGTTTAAAGAGTAATGCGTATTCCTTTTATGTTTTTTCAGCTTGTGGGGAGATGGGTAGGGGCTATTTTTTTCTTCTTGGTGAGTCCATTAAGACACAGAAATAAGCGACTTTCTTGCTAGATAGATGTATATAGTTTTATTGTCCCTCTCCACCCCCCAACAAAGGACCTCTCCGTTCCATTCCTTGAGTTTAGAGGGGAGGGACTAGGGTAAACTGAATAAGTGGTTGTCTGTTGATTGCCCCAGAGTAAATCTTATTGAGTGGTTTAGAGATTTTGTTTCTTTTTCATTTTAGAGACGAGGTCTCGGGGTCTCGCTGTGATTCCCAGGTTGGCGTGCACAGATGTAATCATTGTGCGCTACAGTTTAGAGTGCCTGAACTCCGGGGCTCAAGTGATCTTCCTGCCTTAGCCTCCTGAGTAGGTTGAGCAACGGGAGCATATAACCTTGCTTGTCTTTTTTTTTTTTTTTTTTTTTTTTTTTTTTTTTTTTTGAGACAATCTTTGCTCTGTTGCCCAGGCTGGAGTGCAGTGGCGCGATCTTGGCTCACTGCAACCTCCACCCCTAGGGTTCTAGCGATTCTCCTACCTCAGCCTCCTGCGTAGCTGGCATTACAGGTGCCCACCACCACGCCTGGCTAATTTTTTTCTATTTTTAGTATAGATGGGGTTTTGCCATGTTGGCCAGGCTGGTGTTGAACTCCGGACCTCAGGTGATCCACCCACCTCAGCCTCCCAAAGTGCTAGGATTATAAGCGTGAGCCACCGGGCCTGGCCCCTTGCTTGTCTTATTTAGAGTTTTAAAGCAGCTTTCGTTGTACTCTTTCTTCATTTTAAATGTTCCTGCCTTGAGTGATTTGATTAGTCTATGTCTTGGGAAGCGTATTTTACCTTAGTGCCTCTTTACTTACTTACCTTAAGAAAGGAGTACAGGGCAGGTTCTTAAGTAAAATGGCCCCAGACACCTGGCTTGCCTACTGTGTCAGTGCAAAGAACACTTGGATCATGTCTTTTTCCTAAAATTGGACTTCATAACTGTTTCTTGGAAGTCTGTTTTAAGACTTTTTTAGTTCTCATGTTGCTTCTGAAGATGTATGTTTAAATTACAGTTTCTATGCTGATAAGTTGCGTATATACCTCTGGGCATACTAAAAGTTGTGCAGAACAATAGTTTATATGACAAGATAAGTTTCCCTCATCAGTACTTCCCATTCCCTGAAATGTGAGATCAAAACTCAGTTGAACCACACTATGGCTGTAGAAGACAGTATGAATTAGAAAAGACAAATATCCACTGTACTAGAGTTCACCAGCGTTTGAAGGCTATCAGAAGATATAGGAGGTAAGTGATATCCTTGGGTGTCACTTGCAGATTGAGGGGAGGATTGTGGGTCATAGGAGATGACTAGTATGGCAGGGGGTAACTATTATTATTTGTTTCTTTTTTAAGCCATGTGCCTTTTAGGATGTAGAACAAAATACATAGGAGAAAATAAGCCAAAAGGTGTGATTTACCAAAATACTTGGACTCCAAAAAGAGCTGCAATATATATTTTTCTTTATTAAGCATTTTCTTGTCTTTGGTAGAATAAAGGTAAAGCTAAAATAGAGTGCGGAAACTGACTTGACCAAAGTAGAAAACACAGCTCATGTTTATGAATCAAAAACAAATGAGTTTGGGCAGTCTGAAAGAAAAAAATCAAACATTTTATATGAAGATTTTAAACCTTTATGCAAAGAGTCCCTTTAAGGTGGAAGAGACCTTTTAAATAGAGTAGACCTTCCCCATTTAGTAGCACAATGCGGCAAAATAGTTGTTTAATAAATGTTACTTTCTGCAAGCCTTGCTTTTCCAAGATTTTAAGCTGCTTCCACAGTGTTAACATTTGAAAGCCCTCTACCAGGAAATTATTTAGCTGTGTATTTTATTGTTGCTGACTGTGAACTTACCCTTTTTTTTCCTGGCTGTAATTTTTTTAGAATTAAAGTTTCTTTCCAAGATTTTGAGGGTCAGGAAATGCAAAGTGGAGGTAGATTGAGTGCAGTTTTATCTAAATGTTATTTTAAAAACTCTGGTTCTTGTAACCTGAACCAGGAATCCAAAATGAGATCTTACTCTGAATTTTAATTACAGCAGATTCTGCTCTTATTTGGAAAAAGTTGCTTGAGTGACATCAAACTTAATGGAGTCCCTCACCTTTTAATTCCTTTTTAAAAAGGGGAGAGCTTAAGGTTAGACTTGGTTAAATTCAGTTGGAAGGTAAGTATTAGGGAATAAAAAAGAGGAATAACAATTTTGTTGTTAGGATGTTAAACCAAAAATTGCTAAGAACTCATATCTAGACTTTCCTCTTGCTGCTTGTTATTTGGCCTTTGTGACTGTTTGTTAGCACCTCCACCAGAGGGTGTGAAGGGAAAGAGGCTCAAAGCTAAGTACTGTAGCTAGTTTCTGGTTTCTAGTATAGGAGAGACACTTCATAGAAATACCAGCCTGGGCTGGGTGTGGTGGCTCATGCCTGTAATCCCAGCACCTTGGGAGGCCGAGGCGGATCACCTGAGGTCAGGAGTTTGAGACCAGCCTGGCTTAACATGGTGAAACCCTGTCTCTACTAAAAAAAAAAACAGCAAAAATTAGCTGGACATGGTGGCGCATGCCTGTAGTCCCAGCTACTCAAGAGGCTGAGGCAGGAGAATTGCTTGAACCTGGAGGCGGAGGTTGTAGTGAGCCGAGATCGCACCACTGCACTCCAGCCTGGGCGACAGAGAGAGACTTCGTCTCAAAAAAAAGAAAAAAGAAATACCAGTCTGATAAGTTGAACTGTCAGGAAAGTTTCATTAAACTCTCCATATGTTACCATGGAGAACTGAAGCTCTTTGAAGACCTTAAGCATGTCTCCAAAAAATTGGACTGTATTTTTTTGCACTTAGTGATTTACTCCTTACCCCTTGCCTCCCAAGAGAATGAAAAATGGATATTAGTATTGACTTAACATTTTATTGGCATTGGAAAAATGTACTTTTAAAAGTCATTAATTGACTTTTCTCTAAAGGTATAAGGTAGGTTTCAGTGGGAACTCAGGAATTTGGCCATGGACCCTCCCAGAATAACCTGTTTCCTTTAGAATTCTTTTTTTTTTTTTTTGAGACACAGTCTCGCTCTGTGCCCCAGGCTGGAGGTGCAGTGGCGGGATCTCAGCTCACTGCAAGCTCTGCCTCCTGGGTTCATGCCATTCTCCTGCCTCAGCCTCCCGAGTAGCTGGAACTACAGGTGCCCGCCATCATGCTCAGCTAATTTTTTTTTTTTTTTGCATTTTAGTAGAGACGGGGTTTCACTGTGTTAGCCAGGATGGTCTCGATCTCCTGACCTTGTGATCCACCCGTCTCGGCCTCCCAAAGTGCTGGTATTACAGGCATGAGCCACCGCGCCCGGCCTCCTTTAGAATTCTTAAAATCTTCCAGAAGTCGCTGATTTTAGGATTGTTCAGGAGCACTTACACCAACCATTAGGGCTTGTTGGAAAGAGATATGATAAAAAGTATGATTTTTTTTTCCTCTGTCTTTTGTCAGCTAAAGAGTGGTAGGAAATTTGAATTCAGTGCTAGCATAGAAGTAGGATTAACACCATTAATAGTTTGATATATAGACATCCTTCAGAAAAAAAAGTTTTCTTGAGATGGTATCTTGCTATGTTGTCTAGGCTGGTCTTGAATTCCTGGGCTCAAGCAGTCCTCCCACCTTGACTTCTAGAGTAGCTGGTATTACAGGCATGAGCCATGGGGCCTAGCCTATCCGTGTGTGTGTGTGTGTGTGTGTGTGTGTGTGTGTGTGTGTGTATATATGTGTGTGTATATATATGTGTATATATATATGTTTAATGGGATCATACTTGTTATATGGCTTGATCTTTTTAATTAGGGTTTTTTTTTTGTATTCCAGTTCTTCAGTGAAAGCATTGTGTATACATCTTTGAGTACCTATGAGAATATTTCTGTTGAATAGATTTCTAGAAGTGCAGTTGCTGGGTAAAAGTTTGAGCAATTACATTTGTGATTTTGATGGCTATTACCTTTATAATGCTGTGTAACCACATTTAATAATAGCTTAAAAAGTGTAGTTAAAAAGTTTCCTAGTCTGGGTACAGGTGCTTGGTCAAGTAAATAACTGGAACTTGTAGTGGGTGAAGCCTATCCTAGGTTCAGTTGATGCCTCTTCTTGTTAGGTGGTTGATCACTTCAGACATCCCCATTAACGTCCTAATGGATCTTCATCTGATGGGTTTAGCATAGAATGCTCAGGTTGCTTAACGTGTGTTGGTCTGCTGTCTGCCAGGCATTGTGCTGCTTGTAGGGGACAGAGATAAAACAAGCTATAACCCTCCTTTTTTAAGAAGTACATGGTTGGCCAGGCGTGGCGGCTCATGCCTGTAATCTCAGCACTTTGGGAGGCCGAGGCTGGCGAATCACGAGGTCAGGCCAGGCCAACATGGTGGAACCCTGTCTCTACTAAAAAAGACAAAAAATTAGCTAGATGTGGTGGCGGGTGCCTGTAATCCCAGCTACTCAGGAGGCTGAGGCAGGAGAAACGCTTGAACTCAGGAGGTGGAGGTTGCAGTGAGCCAATATTGTGCCGCTGCACTCCAGCCCGGGTGACAATGAGAGGCTCTGTTTCAAAAAAAAAAAAAAAAAAAAGTACATACTCTGGGGAAGAAAGAGACAAGACAAAATTGTGAGTTTATATTGTACCATGAGCAATAGCCAGGGTGTCATGGGGGTGCAGGTAAGAGCCTAGAGGGAGGGACCCCACCTCAACCTGGGAGTAATGGGGAATACTTGAAAGAGCATGTAACCTTGAGCTGAACCGTGAAAGAGTAGCATGAGTAAAGGTGCAGGGGCATAGAAGAGCCAGGAAACATATGTTTCAGGTGGCTGCAGTGAGGACAGGCTGGAGATGAGGTCTAATGTAAAAAGGGGACAGATAATGGTGTGTGGGGAATTTGGACTCATCCTTACTCTAGAGTCAGTGAAAGATTTTAAATGGTTAGATTTAGGTTTACCCCCTCCTTTCCTTTTTTCTTCCCTTTCTAATAATCATTTTGGTAGTGGACGCTAGATTAGAGGCTTGCTGAGACAGGAAGAAGGAAGAATAGTTGGGAGATTATTACTGCCTGAATTACTATAGTACATAATGAGGTTCTGCACTAGGGCATTGGCACCAAGGATGGAATGAATGTGCCTGTCATTCTGTGTGTTGCCAACCCTCACCCTCTGTGCACCACCTCACCTTTCAAAATTCAGTCAGTATGTCATCTTTTCTAGAAGCCTTCCTTGACCCCTTCAGGTGAAATACAGTACTTTATCAAGCTAGGCTACCTTCACACCTAATTTATATTTTACTATCTTGTATCTGGCATTTAGTAGATGTTTAAATTAAATATTTATGGTAAAAAGTAAGTTGGTGATTTGAGGTCATGATTAACTCAAATAGACAATGTTGAGGAGCAGGAGGAAGTTTTGGATTTGGTGTTGGGGCAGGGAATGGGTTTTGAATATGGGATGCTTGAAGTAGTTGTATAGGCAATGCTGAATTCTACTCATTTCTTTCTTTTTGTTTTTTTGGAGACAGTCTCATTCTGTCGCCTACGCTGGAGTGCAGTGGTGCCATCTCAGCTCACTGCAGCCGCTGCCTCCCAGATTCAGGTGATTCTTGTACCTCAGCCTTCTGAATAGCTGGGATTACAGGCAAAGACGGGGTTTCGCTGTGTTGGCCAGGCTGGTCTCAAACTCCTGACCTCAAGTGATCTTCCTGCCTTGGCCTCCCAAAGTGCTGGAATTACAGGCGTGAGCCACCTCTCCCGGCCCTACTCCTTCCCTTCCTTCCCTCCCTCCTTCCTTCTTTCCCTCCTTTTCTTCTCTCACCTCCTCTCCCCTCTCCCCTGTCTCCTCTCTCCTCTCTCCTCTCTCCTCCCCTCTCCTCTTTTCCTTCTTTTGAGACAGAATCTTGCTCTGTAACCCAGGCTGGAGTGCAGTGGCGTGATAACAGCTCACTGCGACCTCCACCCGCCAGGCTCAAGTGACCCTCCCACTATGCCCAGCTAATTATTATTTTTTTAGAGACTGGGTCTCAGTGTGTTGTCTAGGCTAGTCTCAAACTCCTCCTGGGCTCAGGCGATCCTCCTGCCTTGGCCTCCCAAGGTGCTGGGCTTATAAGTGTGAGCTACCATGGTAGGCCATCATTTAAAAAAAAAAAATTAGTGTTTTTGTTTGGGTGGCTTTTTTAGATGGGGGCTATGTTGCCTAGGCTGGCCTTGAACTCCTTGCCTGAAGCCATCCTCCTGCCTCCTGAGTAACTGGAAATACAGGCGCCTGCCACTGCACCCAGCTCCTACTCATTCTTTAGGTTTCAGCCTGGATGTTCTTTTTTCTGAAAAGCATTTTCTGACTCCGCCTACTTCTCAGCCTGTATGAGGATTGCCTCCATCCCCCAAATCACACAGTAGTGTCTCTCTTTACTGCTGCTTGTCATCCTTGTATGTACTTACTGTGGTGCTTTGAATACTCTAGGCATTTTAATATTTATTGGAGATACTCAGTAGGTAGTTGGTGTTCTTTGACTGACTTTCCTCTAAAGACTAAAATTCAGAATTTACTGTCAGGCAGTTAAGACCGTTTCAGTTTAAGCCTTAAACTATCTAGTGTAGTAGTTAAAAGCATCGGCTTTAGCATTATGGATCCTGCCCCTGCAACTTCATAGTTGTGTGATCATGGGCAAATTACTTAACTTCTTTGAGCATCTATAAAATGAGGACAGTAGTACTTACCTTACATTGTTATTGTGAAGATTAAGAGAATATATGTAAGATACTTAGCATAGTGATTGACATAGTAAAACGCTAATTAATGTTAGTGAACAACATTTGTAATAACCTATCCTGCACTCAGGAATGATTCCTTTAGTAATATAAAGCTTTTTCAGTTAAGAAGCCCTGTTGGCCAAGGAAATTGATAATGGTCTTGTGGGTGACACACATTATCTCTTTGTTTTATAGTAAAAATTTTGTCTCTCCTTCCCCATTGTATTCCACAACAAATCTACTTTTGTTCATATGTAAAATAAATACTTTGCAGTGCATTCCATAATGTAGCTTGCAGTACTTCATCACAAATCACTGTTCTTTTCCTCTCTTTCTCTTGAGAAGCTGTACATATACCACCTGATTCATGCAAGTTGTTTTGTGGATCATGCCCCACGTCTTTCCCATTATTTTGATTGTGTCAATTTTTTGATTCGTGTTTCCTCCTTTTTCTCTTCTTAGTAAAATCTTACACTTGAGGGCAACCCCCACGAGGCCTTTTTGACTTCTCTAGTCCAGTCATTTAGGGCTTACAGCACTTACTATGTACCAAGCTCTCGATAAAGTTAGCACGCTAAAGAAGGGTGCTGTTAAGGAATTTTGCTTGTCTTGGAAATAGAATTAGTTAACAATTAGGGAAAATTCAGATAATTTGAACTGAATGACAGTGACTTTAAGTGCATTATACAATTCAAGCAGGAAGAAAGTGATATGAATTGGAAGAGTCTAAGAAGTTTTTGTGGAGATGCTATGTATTGAAAAATTAGTAAGTTTGGGGACAAAAAAAAAAAGTAGAAGAAGGACCTTCCAGGTAGAGGTAGCAACATAGGCAAAGATACGGAGTTGGGAATCTGTGGGGAGTTCTGGGTCCGTATCAATTGATGTGCTTGCCCTGACGTTAAGTTTCATCTTGAAGAATTTGAACTCATTAAAAAGGTGTGAGGGGCTGGGTGTGGTGGCTCATGCCTGTAATTCCAGCACTTTGGGAGGCCGAGGCGGGTCGATCACCTGAGGTCAGGAGTTCGAAACCAGCCTGGCCAACGTGGTGAAACCCCATCTCTACTAAAATTACAAAAAAATTAGCTGGCTGTGGTGGCAGGCACCGGTAATCCCAGCTGCTCGGGAGGTTGTGGTAGGAGAATCGTTTGAACCTGGGAGGCGGAGGTTGCAGTGAGCGGAGATCGCGCCATCGCACTCCAGCCTGGGGGACAAGAGCGAGACTTTGTCTCAAAAAAAAAAAAAGTGTGAGGAACTTGTTCAGAGTAGGAAAGTGAGATGATAAAAAGGTAAAGGATAGTTTGGGGCACTGAGGCACTAGTCAGGAAGCTGTTGTGATAATCTAGACAGGAGCTGATGAGGACCTGGGCTAGACTGATAGTGTTAGAAGTATAGAGAGGACATACCAAACCTGAAAAGCTTCGTGAGAAAAGAAGGATTTCGTCACAAAGGAGATGAAATTATGAAGGAAAAGAGAGCTTTCTTTCCATTCTTTATAAGCCATCATGTTTTTGTTTGTCATATATTTGGCCTTTTTGTTAGACTGGCCCCTTCACATTTCTGGATTTAAGCTTTGGTAGAGACTTTGACTATTATTTTCTGGTTGAAGTTCTCATTGCATCCTATCTGGATTATTGTGGTAGCTTTTTTATTGGTCTTTGCCATCTATAGATGCCTTTTTACTTACTTTCAATCCATCCTACCCAACTGATCTCTCTAAAGCACAGTCTGATGTTTCACTCCCATTTAAAAAGTGTTTAATGATACTCTGCTGTCATTATTTTATATATACATATACATATATATGTGTGTGTATATATATATGTATATACTTTTTATTTTTCAGAGACTCGATCTCGCTATGTTGACCAGGCTGGTCTCAAACTCCTGGCCTCAAGCAATCCTTTTGCCTTGGCCTCCCAGAGTGCTGGGATTACATGTCTGAGCCGCTGCACCTGGCCTCTGCTGTCTTTGTTTGTTTGTTTTTGTTTTTGAGACAGAGCCTCTCTTTGTCGCCCTGGCTGAAATGCAGTGGCTCAATCTTAGCTCATTGCAGCCTCTGCCTCCTGGGTTCAAGTGATTCTCATGCCTCAGCCTCCCTAGTAGCTGGGACTACAGGCACCTGCCATCATGCCCGGCTAAATTTTTTATTTTTATTTTTATTATTTATTTCTTTTTTTGAGATGGAGTCTCACTTTTGTCACCCAGGCTGGAGTGCAATGGTGCGATCTCGGCTCACTGCAACCTCTGCCGCTCAGGTTTCAGCGATTCTCCTACCACAGCTTCCCGAGCAGCTGGGATTACAGGTGCCCGCCACCACACCCAGCTGATTTTTTTGTATTTTTATTAGAGGCGGGTTTTCACCACGTTGGCCAGGCTGGTTTCAAACTCCTGACCTCAGGTGATCCACCCGCCTCAGCCTCCCAAAGTGCGGGGATTGCAGGCGTGAGCCACTGTGCCTGGCCCCTCTACTGTCTTTAAGTCTGAATTAAGGCTATTAAAGGCTGTCCGTTAAGGATCTGGCTTCAAACTGCCTTTCCACCTTCATTCTACTATTTCCTCTATTAAAATATGCTTTGTGTTTTAAGCAAATTGTTAATTTTTTTTTTTTTTTAAGATGGAGTCTCGCTCTTGTTACCCAAGCTGGAGTGCAGTGGCCCGATCTCAGCTCACTGCAACCTCTGCCTCCTGGGTTCAAGCAATTATCCTGTCTCAGTCTTCCAAGTAGCTGGGAGTACAGGTGCGCGCCTCCACACCCGGCTAATTTTTGGTAATTTTAGTAGAGATGGGGTTTCGCCATGTTGGCCAGGCTGGTCTCCTGATCTCAGGTGATCTACCCGCCTCAGCCTCCCAAAGTCCTGGGATTATAGGCATGAGTCACTGCGCCCGGCCCAAATTGTTCATTTCTTTTAACCTTCAGAATGTCGCCTTTTCCCACACAGCGTTGCCTTTTCTTATGCCATTTCCTCTCACTAGAATGCCACATTACCATTCTCTTGTCCTAGCCTTTTGCATAATGACATTTTAGCTAATTTTCAAGTCTCAGCTAAAATTGCGGCAACTTCATGGACACTTCCCTAATCATCCTTCCTGCTGTTTCTTTCCGTCCTTTGTGTAGAGAAATGAGGTAATGGTGAAGGAAGAGGTTAGTAGAAGCCACATTATGGGCAAACTTTTCTTCCCCATCTGATTTTTGCTTTTGCTTTCAGTGCAAGTGTGGTTGTAATACTTGTTGGCCACCTGGATGACCTATTCCTTCCCCTTTGTTCTCTGCAGCTAAATATTTTTGCAAGGTGGATGCTTCCAGGTTATTCTTGTGTATCTGGAGTCTTGTCTTGGAAATTGACTGGGAATAAATGAGGTTTTCATTTGTGGGTGTGGAGTTAGTTCTGACTTACAGTATTTGAAGCAGCTGGATACGTTTTGCTTTTGAAAGAGTATATATATGTGTGTGTATAATCTTTAGGATATGGTTCTCTGTTGGGAGGTGTGATGTTGAACCCCCCAGCTCCCATATTTGACATGTCTGGAGACATTTTTGATTGTCATAATTTTCAGAAGGGCACTACTAGCATCTAGTGGGTGGAAAACAGAGATGTTGCTAAACATGCTACTGCCAGGATAGCCCCCTGTGATAGATTACTCATCGTGAGATGTCAGTTAGTGGTTAGGTTGAGAAACTCTATCCTAGAAGTATATTTTTGCTTCCCAAGTGCCACTTGTGTTAGGTAGAAGTTTGTCCTTGGACCGATGGTGCAATTTAGAATAATAGAATTAACATAGGAAGGGACCCTAGAGGTCACATATTTGAACTTTATCCCAACTTGTATTTCTCACAATGATGTTTCTGCTTGATATTAATAGATGTAATGGAAAAAGGTGCTTGTTAAAAAAGTTTGGTAAAGGTAAACATTTGCATATTCAGTATGATGCAATACGTTGTGAGTCTCCATCTGGGAAGTTTTTCCGAAATGTATTTGCTTGCTGAGTGCATTTAACATCTTCCAGACCCTAAAATACTTCTTTGAAACTGAGAGAGAAACTATTGATTATCTAGCCCAACCTTTTATAGCTAAATGACCTTGAATAGGTAGCCTTTTCTTTTATCTGTACAAGCTTACTGCAGAATCTCAATTTGTGTGAGTGACAGCAGGTGTAGCAGCTCCATCTGTATTTGTCAGATTATAGTTTACTAACTGAATGAACTAAAAATTGGGATATTTGGGGCTTGAATTTTTATTCTGAATGTACAGTCTGACTTTATCCCCACCGGTAAATTAGAAATTATAATCTCAGCCCTAATTCTACTGCCCAGGTTGTTATGAGGATTAATCAGTTAATTATAGCTTTTAAGGCTTTGTATTCTTTGGAGAAAGATGATTTATCAGATAGGCTGTTGTGCTGTTTGTGTAGAACTGCTTCCTTTTTTTGTTTTTCGTTTTTTTTTCCTTTAGCCCTGAGCTTCTCTAAGAACTGCTTAAATTTGACAGTCTTTCCCTGCTTTACATTGTCAAAGATTGAAGCTTTTTGAATTTTGTAGGGGTCAAGTGGGATAGGAATCATTGTTTTGCTCTGTATATTAAATTTAAGAATGTTACTATGGGCCGGGCGTGGTGGCTCATGCCTGTAATCCCAGCACTTTGGGAGGCCAAGGTGGGCAGATCACGAGGTCAGGAGATGGAGACCATCCTGGCTAACATGGTGAAACCCTGTCTCTACTAAAAATACAAAAAACTAGCTGGGCGTGGTGGCGGACGCCTGTAGTTCCAGCTACTGGGGAGGCTGAGGCAGGAGAATGGCGTGAACCCGGGAGGTGGAGCTTGCAGTGAGCTTAGATCACGCCACTGCTCTCCAGCCTGGGTGACAGAGCGAGACTCCATCTCTTAAAAAAAAAAAAAGAATGTTACTGTGATTTTGTTTTACTTAGTTATTGGCTCTTTAAGAATTTCCATTGTTTTCTTTTTGTTTCTCTCCATTTTATTATAGAAGTAATACATGTTTATGGTGGAGACTTTACATAAGCCAAGAAACAAAAGACAAAAGAATCTTAACCAATGACTTTTTAAAGCAAAATTGAGATGATACTGTGTTTTGTTTTGTAACTTTTTTTCATTTAATAATGAAGCAAGCACTTTTCTATGTTAGTAAATATAGCTCTGCCACACTTAGGGTTGCACAGTATTCCATTGTATGGATATTTAATAATTTAACCGAGTTTTTGGCATTCAGTTTTCTTTTTATTATAAACAACATCATGAAATATTAAAAGTAAGTCTAGACATAACAGGGAAAAGATTAAAGTACTAAACTTAGGTGGTGGTTTATGGCAATTGTAGCTAATTGCAAACTAGGTGCATTAAAAAGCCATGGAAATTCATTCCTTCTATGTTTCCTTTTTGTTTCCAGTGTAATAAAAGTGCAAATAATACTGGGTGGTTGCTCCAGGTACGTGGCCAAGTAATTGAAAGTATCTTATTTCATCATCATAGCATCCTTGTCGGGAAGGCTCTGTTACTTGTAGATGAGGAGACTTAAAGAACAGAATAGTTAAGTAACCTACAGGAGGTGGAGCCAGGATGGGAACTGAGATTTGCTCACTTGAGTCAGTGCTCCTCTTACTTATGAATATCTTTGGGAGTAATGTTGAATCTTAGCATAGTATTTCGAGTCAATAAAGGTATGTCAAGTCAATAAATGGTATTTCTTTGGTATAGAAATCTCAAGATTTAGGAATTAGGAATGGGAATTTTTTCGGAAAAAGTGGTCACTTTTTCCTGTTCTCTGCACTCTCTCTCCTCCCCCACCCCCTTACTTAGATGATTGTTTTAGTAACTACACTATGCTGTGTATCCTATGGGGATATTGAGACCAAGGATAAAGTGCAAATCAAATAAACTATTGTCTTTGAAGTGTATATGTTAATGTCAAGTTCATAGACATCATTTCAGAGAAGTCTTGGAGTAGATGGGATTTTTTTTTTTTTTTTAAGATGGAGTCTTGCTCTTGTTGCCCCGGCTGGAGTGCAGTGGTGCAATCTTGGCTAATTGCAACCTCTGCTGCCTGGGTTCAGGTGATTCTCATGTCTCAGCCTCCCAGGTAGCTGGGATTACAGGCGCTCGCCGCCACACTCAGCTGATTTTTGTATTTTTAGTAGAGACAGGGTTTCACCATGTTGACCAGGCTGGTCTTGAACTCCTGACCTCAGGTGATACGCCTGCCTCGGCCTCCCAAAATGCTGGGATTACAGGCGTGAGCCACTGTGCCCAGCTGGAGTAGATGGGATTTAAGCCGGCATTTTTTCTTAAAGTTGTAAGCTTTAAAGAATTGAATAATCTCAGAATAACTTTGAGAAGTTTACTACTTAAGCACCTTCTGTGATGTGATGTTAATTATGACCCTCTTTTTCATTTGTGCTGGAGTGAGCCTGGGTTTTCCTAAGTTTTATGTAAGTCATAAAGCATATTTGTGCCCTTGCTTGGGTCCTCAGAGGGAAGCTGTTTCCTGCCCTTGCTAAGTCTTACTGTAGTGCTGTCAGGCAGTAGGGTACAATTACTCTTCACATGTTGTATTAATCATCTGGCACTGATAATATGCCTCCTTGCATTGCTCATATCAACTACATATTGACATTCAAAAGGGGAGGAGATTGAATTGATGGGAATTATCTGGTAGTGATTTTCGTTTGTCCATGGGAAAAACCCTTTGCATATTATAAAAGTGACTCAAAATATTTTTAACAACTATATTGGTCCAGCTGTCAACTGGTCTATAACACAATGTTTAATAACAGGAATTAGTACTGTCAACTGGTCTGTAACACAATGTTTAATAATATATTAGTAATTAGTATTATATTTAAAGTTAGAAATGGGAAAAGACAACATAGAATAATTTGTGCCACACAGAATGCCATATGCCAGAAAGCCCACAGGAGAAAACTACATAAGCCCTGAAAATCTAGTTCATAAAGAGTGTTGGTTAAAATACAACCCTGGAACAAGAAACTTTTGGTGTTAATAATTATATGAGGCCAGGCACAGTGGATCACACCTGTAATCCTAGCACTTTGGGATGCTGAGGCAAGCGGATCACCTGAGGTCAGGAGTTTGAGACCAGCTTGGCCAACGTGGTGAAACTCCATCTCCATTAAAAATACAAAAATTATCTGGGCATGGTGACACATGCCTGAAGTCCCAGCTACTCGGGAGGCTGAAGCAGGAGAATCACTCCAACACAGGAGGCGGAGGTTGCAGTGAGCCGAGATCACGCCACTGCACTCCAGCCTGGGCGACAGAGCGAGACTACATCTCAGAAACACACACACACACACACACACACACACACACACACACACACACACACACAGCAATAAGACAGATTCGACCCATATGTATATTGGTGCTTTTATGAATAATGTTTTCTCAGTCATTTATTTGAGTATTTTTATGTTAATGATTCAAATTGTCATACTATAAAGAAGCTTACTGTGGTCCTGTAGGGCCTACCATCCTGTGTTGGTATTGCTCCAAAGATAAGCATTTTTGATTAAATTGGAGATTGCCCTCATTTGGGGCAGGGAGGGGGGTGCTTAGTCCAGTGATTTCACAAGCATTTTGGTCTCAGGACCCTTTTTTAACTCTTAAAATTTGTTGAGAACAGCAAATAAATTGTTTTTCTTATAAACTTTGAGAAATTTAAAAAATATTTAATAAGTAATTCAGGCTGGGCATGGCGGCTTATGCCTATAATCCCAGGAGTTTGGAAGGCTGAAGCTGGGAGTTTGATAGCAGCCTGGGCAACAAAATGAAATTCCATCTCTACAAAAATTCAAAAAATTAGCCGGGCATGGTGGCACACACCTATAGTCCCAGCTACTAGGAGGCTGATGCAGGAGGATCACTTGAGCCCAGGAGGTTGAGGCTTCAGTGAGCCATGATTGTGCCGCTGCACTCTAGCTTGGGTGACAGAGCTAGACCCTGTTTCAAAATAACAGCAACAAATAAATGATTTGTCTTGCACTTAAACTTTTTACCCATGCATGATTTCCTGACATTCACTGGACATTTTATCGTTCACTGGGTTATGCAGATCTTCCAAATGTTACACATTACATTATATGCAATCAAAAATTCACGTTCATTAATATCGTCACAAGTCTGTTAAATCAGAAATGGCTTTTAAAATATTCAGAAAGTCCGAATGTGGCAGCTTAGGCCTGTAATCCCAGCACTTTGGAAGGCCGAGGTGGGCGGATCATGAGGTCAGGAGATTGTGACCATCCTGGCCAACATGGTGAAACCCTGTCTCTACTAAAAATACAAAAATTAGCCAGGCGTGGTGGCACGTGCCTGTAGTCCCAGCTACACGGGAGGCTGAGGCAGGAGAATCACTTGAACCCAGGAGGCAGAGGTTACAGTGAGCTGAGATCATACCACTGCACTCCAGCGTGGCGACAGAGCAAGACTCTGTTAAACACACACACACACATCCACACCCACCAAATAAAATATTGGGAAAATGTTTAAGTTCATGATTGTTGATACAAGTTTTCAAAAACACTAATCTTTGCCTAAAAAATTCAGATTTTATTATTGGCAGCAAATATCGTCAGTGGTCTTCCTTGAAGTGACAGGTTCACTTTGTTCATTTGCAAGGAAATGTCTGCTAGTGAAGCAGGTTTCAAATAATGTTTGTCAGTAGTTCTGCCAAGTAAAAATCGTGTTCCATGAACAAAGCTCTAGTTCATTTTGCAACTCAGTTGTACTGTGCTTTTTCCTGAGAATTCATAAAGCAGCAGAGTGCTTTATGCATACTTTCCCTTTCATCACAAAGAATATTTTTAAAAAATGCACTAAAGGCTCAAGATAATTCATAATTTTTGCTGTTCATCAAGGACATCTTAAGTGGAACTCCCTTAAAAAAAGAAAAACTGAGTGGAGAGTATAATGACTATTAGTATAGTTTGGTGCCTCTTCCTTGATTTGTGCTAATAATGTACCAGCAGTTTTGTTCACCTTTGTTTTTGTACTCTGATTGCAAATGTCAACACAGTGTAAAAGGCAGATAATATTCTAGTATTGCTATGAAAATACCTTTGATTTCACGAACCTCCAAAATAGCCTGTGAGATCCCCAGAAGTCCAGAGACCACACTTTAAAGAACAACTGGCTTAGTTCTTTACGTATGTTTCCTTTGGCTCCCAGACCACATAGATCAAGGGGGATCAAACAGAGGCAAATGACTGAGATTTTTAGCTTGGTTACTAAATAAAAGCAGTGTCATTACTTAAGGTAATGAAACAGGATGCGGAATAGTGTGCTGGAAGGAGAAAGTGAATTCTGAGCTTCAGGGGGCTTGAGGAACATAGAGGTTATAGGAATCTTGATTAGTGCAGCTCAGAAGTTTTTCTTATGGTTAAGAAACCTCACCATACTAGTGGTTGTTGAGAGAGAAGAGGGCAGAAGGGACCTTGTGCAGCACCAGCATTTAAGGGTCCAGGAGGAAGAGAAGAGGATGATAGTACAAGGACATCAGGAAAGAATTAGAAGAAGGTCGGTATTGTCCAGTGCTTCAGAGAAGTCAGATAGAATGGGGACTGAGGTTTGACCATTGGATTTGATAATAAGATTACTGGTCACCTTTGCCAGAGCAGTAGGGGGTGAAATCCAGATTATGGAAGAGTGAAGAGTGCAGAGACAGTTATTTATACTATTCTTAGAGAAGTTTTGGGGTAAAGGGAAAGAGAGATATTTGGGCAATTAAGTATGAGAGAGAGGCTGTACTGAGGGCAGAAGATACTTGAGTAAATTCCTAGGCTGAGAGGAAGAAGCCAGTAGAGAAGATATTGATGACCACTTTGATCTGAAAGAAAAGAAAACTGATGAAACAAGTTGGTATTACAGATGTGGTACAGTTAGCTTTGTAGTATAATCTATACTTCTAGAGAAGTGAGAAGCTGATGAAAACTGGATTCCCTGGCCAGAAAAATGCACAGACCTGTGATATTTGGCATACTTTTTTTAGTGAACACGGGAATTCCTTACTAATTTTTTTCTGTTTAATTATTGCTTAGTTTGATGTGTCTTGCTTTAAATCCATTTATTTCAACAAGCTTAAAGAGATTTTTTTTTAATGGAGATGATTTAATTTTAACAATCTGTGATTTTCTCTGAATCGAACTTGTGTTTTGGCACCTTTCAATCTGTGGTAACAAATGACAAGAAGGGTGCAATTCTTCCTTCCCTTGTGCAGGGATTTTGCCTCCCCCTTTCTCCCAGATGAAAGATATTTGGGTCTCTAGAATAACTGTGGTACAGTTAGCTCCAGAGTGTTTTCTTTCTGGAGGCAGTTTAGACAACAGCCTCAAGTAGTGCTTTTGTTAAAAATATACATGTTTTTAAAAGTGCTTGTATTTCTAATATTCTTTTCTCCTTTCTCTTCTAGTCTGTTCTCTGGGGAGGCAGTAAGGGGCCGTGGAGCTGGCCTCGGCCTCGGCATCGGGAGAGGCTGGACTTCCTGTCTCTCTGTGCTGAATGGCTGCGATGGCGCCCGCTCTCACTGACGCAGCAGCTGAAGCACACCATATCCGGTTCAAACTGGCTCCCCCATCCTCTACCTTGTCCCCTGGCAGTGCCGAAAATAACGGCAACGCCAACATCCTTATTGCTGCCAACGGAACCAAAAGAAAAGCCATTGCTGCAGAGGATCCCAGCCTAGATTTCCGAAATAATCCTACCAAGGAAGACTTGGGAAAGCTGCAACCACTGGTGGCATCTTATCTCTGCTCTGATGTAACATCTGTTCCCTCAAAGGAGTCTTTGAAGTTGCAAGGGGTCTTCAGCAAGCAGACAGTCCTTAAATCTCATCCTCTCTTATCTCAGTCCTATGAACTCCGAGCTGAGCTGTTGGGGAGACAGCCAGTTTTGGAGTTTTCCTTAGAAAATCTTAGAACCATGAATACGAGTGGTCAGACAGCTCTGCCACAAGCACCTGTAAATGGGTTGGCTAAGAAATTGACTAAAAGTTCAACACATTCTGATCATGACAATTCCACTTCCCTCAATGGGGGAAAACGGGCTCTCACTTCATCTGCTCTTCATGGGGGTGAAATGGGAGGATCTGAATCTGGGGACTTGAAGGGGGGTATGACCAATTGCACTCTTCCACATAGAAGCCTTGATGTAGAACACACAACTTTGTATAGCAATAATAGCACTGCAAACAAATCCTCTGTCAATTCCATGGAACAGCCGGCACTTCAAGGAAGCAGTAGATTATCACCTGGTACAGACTCCAGCTCTAACTTGGGGGGTGTCAAATTGGAGGGTAAAAAGTCTCCCCTGTCTTCCATTCTTTTCAGTGCTTTAGATTCTGACACAAGGATAACAGCTTTACTGCGGCGACAGGCTGACATTGAGAGCCGTGCCCGCAGATTACAAAAGCGCTTACAGGTTGTGCAAGCCAAGCAGGTTGAGAGGCATATACAACATCAGCTGGGTGGATTTTTGGAGAAGACTTTGAGCAAACTGCCAAACTTGGAATCCTTGAGACCACGGAGCCAGTTGATGCTGACTCGAAAGGCTGAAGCTGCCTTGAGAAAAGCTGCCAGTGAGACCACCACTTCAGAGGGACTTAGCAACTTTCTGAAAAGCAATTCAATTTCAGAAGAATTGGAGAGATTTACAGCTAGTGGCATAGCCAACTTGAGGTGCAGTGAACAGGCATTTGATTCAGATGTCACTGACAGTAGTTCAGGAGGGGAGTCTGATATTGAAGAGGAAGAACTGACCAGAGCTGATCCCGAGCAGCGTCATGTACCCCTGTGAGTAGACCTCATGCATGATAGCATTCTTGAGAAATGTTGGCACAAGGAAGAATGAATGAATCGCCATTATGGAGAGAATGTGATTCTTTGTACATAGGTGTCTAGGTTCTGTTTGTTTTTTCCCTGATGTTGGGTAGATGAGTGCATATACATGCTAGTGAAGAAGGGGAAGATACTTTTGCTGTAGGGTTGTATTGTTGTAGTCTAAATGGTGGTAATTTCCTTTTGAAGTCTAAGAAAAATAACTAGGAGACATCTTATGTGTAAAATTGTACTAGTACCTCTTTAAGAGTGAATTTAGATTTCTTTTGAAACTATATATAGGACATGATAAGTTAATGGCCTGATTGTTGAGATTTTGTTGTTTCCAGTAAGCAGGGACAAATGCTGAGTTGACCTAGTTACCTTTGTAGGAAATTACAGTTGCTTTTGATTGAACTTTCAGCAGAGAGCACACCCAGTCTTCAATTTTAACACTTGAGATTTTCTTACATTTTAAGGACTGACAATTAGAAAATGCTTCAGAATATTTAATACATCGCCTCCAAGCACAGTCTAGTTTCACAACCTGACTCTCTTCCTATTAAAAAAAAAAAAAAGCCCATTTTAAGCAGATTTGTTAAGCTGAGTTAAATGTATTGATGTATTTGGAATAAATTCTTACTGGGTTGTTTTTTTTGTTGTTTTTTGTTTTGTTTTGTTTTGAGACAGTTCCGCTCTGTCGCCCAGGCTGGAGTGCAGGAGTGCAGTAGTGCGATCTCAGCTCACTGAAGCCTCTGGCTCCTGGGTTCAGGTGATTCTCGGGCCTCAGCCTCCCTAAGTAGCTGGGATTACAGGCACCCGCCACCAAGTCAGGCTAATTTTTTTCTTTTTTCTTTTCTTAAGTAGAGACTGAGTTTCACCGTGTCGACCAGGCTGGCCTCAAACTCCTGACCTCGTGATCCGCCCACCTCATCTTACTGGTTTTTCTAAATCTGTTGGTTTGAGAAAATTTTACATAAGCTTTTTATGGGTGGCACTCCAAATTGGCATGGTGGAGACAGAGACGTTTCATTCCTGTCACTCCCAATTCAGCATCTATGTACTTAATTAAATAAAGCAGTACTATATTATAACATACTTAAAGATACATGTTAAATAAGTGCATTTATCTCCTTAGGAATATCAGATTTGAGAGAGAGCATGAGGAGTTGGAAAAGATGGGCAGGATAATTGACTAGCAGATCTTTCATTTTCTCTTTGCTAGAGGCTGGCTTACTAGAGAAGGCTGAAAAAGATGAATATGTGGGAAGAATTGGTGTTTCCTTGACTGTATTAAAAGGTGATGAAGATTTTCACTGGAGTGTTTGGTTGTTGAGACAGCTATGATTTTTAAAAGTAAATTTTCTGGTTTCCCAATTTTGTTTATATTATCTGCATGGATATTGTATCTGAAATGAAACTTTTTTTTTCTATTTTGAAGGAAGAAATGGATAATTTTTGCTGAATTTCTTCCTTGTAGACCTAGTTCTATTATCATTTGTTAGTTCACTGTGCTCAAGTCCACTTCTGTATTTAGATTTAAAGCAAATGCTTCAGAGGCTTGCTTCTTCCGTAACCCATCTTTCTTTAAATGGATTAGTAGCTTAATTCAGCTTGCTAATATTCATGGCATTATCCCCACTAACTTTGCTGTTTAAATCACCGCTTTAAAAATATCTTGGTTAACGTTAAATATTTTGTGCTTAGAGGTATAATAAACACTGTAGTTAAAGGATTTTAAATTGCATGCACTTATTTTGAGTAACAGAAAAGCACCTAGACACTATAAGCGTATTGTTTTCAGGATACGTTGCATTGAAAACATTTCTGAGTTTTGGTACTGTTGTAGGTAAGCGTTACAAACCAATGAAATAAAAGTACCTGAGAATTTTTCTTATTCTGTAGGATAGTTTAATGACTTGGAAAAACCTTAAGGCCATTCATTCACTACTTAGTTCTGAGCATTCTTCTCACATAATGGTTTATGGTTTGGAAGGGTGTGAAGTGTATAAGAACAGCCAAAGGATGGCTTTTAGGAAACATTTTGGGATCAGTTGAATCCTCTTGCAATTAAATCAACTGATACTTTAAAAAGTTGAATTTTCATGCGTTAGATCATATTTGGGTACTGAAAGTACTCTGAAGTACATGCTCTTTTTGCACATTGTAATTGTATTTAGGGCCGGGCACGGTGGCTCACTCCTGTAATCCCACCCAGCACTTTGGGAGGCTGAGGCGGGCGGATCACTTGAGGTTGAGAGTTCGAGACCAGTTTGACCAACATGGAGAAACCCCGTCTCTACTAAAAATACAAAATTAGTTGGGCGTGGTGGCACACGCCTCTACATCCAGCTGCTCTGGAGGCTGAGGCAGGAGAATCGCTTGAACGTGAGAGGCGGAGGTTGCGGTGAGCTGAGATCGCACCATTGCCCTCCAGCCTAGGCAACGAGCGAAACTCCGTCTCAAAAAAAAAAAAAAATTGTATTTAAACTAAAACCACCAGTAAAGCATAAATACTTTAAAGTTCTTGTTGAGCAAGATCACCGGGTTGACTCTTAAGGCTGGTATTTATTTAGCCAAGTGTTTGTTGATCTTCTGAGTGTTTTAAAGGTTTTCAGCAGTTGACCAGACAATGAGAATGGAGGCATTGCTTTAATTTAAAAAGAAGAAGAAAAAGTTGTTCTTTGATGCTGAGAAATGAATCCTAGAATGTAGTTAGTTAATTCTTCAGGAACTTGACCCAGCTGGTGAATTTTGGCTCCCCCCACCCTTCCAGTAGCTGGTCTGTATTTTACTCTTTTGCCCAAGATAGAGTGGTGGGCTAGGTTTCGTCTAGGCAGCCCTGATGAAAATATTTAGTAGAGGAGACTGTTGGAATGAGCTGTTTTTAAATGATGTTGCTTAAATTACAAGTGGATAGTTCTGTGGAAATTATAATCCCTTTCTTCACTAAGAATTCAATTGTTTTTTTCTTTCCCACCTCCCAGAGGAGAAACAGTGATCCATTCTGTGTCGTTGGTACATGCTAGCTATAGAATGATTAATTTTTCTATGTTGTTGAATGTTTAGCAAATTGTATGTTTATCATTGTATTATGCTTGACAGTAAACTATATTGCTAAATGAGACTTTAGAGAGAGTTTTTTAAATTAATTTTTATGGTTGACTGATTTTATGTCTGGTTTAAAAACTCTTACCCTTTTTGTTTTAAACTCTTCTTGGAAAATTTTCATGAAATATTTCACATATCTTCCTTTCTTGGTACAGTGGAAATATAACTGCTTTGAAAATTCTGCAGTACGTTGTGTTTGATATGATGTCACTAAACAATGATATTTCATCACTGTGGAAGGTACAGGAATTTAAATTTTATCTCCTTGATTATGGGATTAAGAAGGAAGCTGCATGCTTCCGTAAATATCTTAATGTTTAATTCTTAATTGTAGATGTAGAAATAAAAGCATTTAATTATCATATGTATGTAATGTACTTGCTGAGTTGTGCTTGCTCTTCTTTCTTTTATATTCTTTGTTTTTCCCTCTTAGAGTTGTTTTTTTTTCCCTGCAATTTTGTTTAATTCCTGGACCCATTCCACATTTTGCTAAATTTGCTTTTCATTTTCTGGGTCCTGTGCTTATAAACTTCTATATAGTAACTACTTGTTAAAATAATATTTTTTTTCCAGAAATTCTCTTAATTGTGCTCTTAAATCAGCAGTGTTCTGGGTACCTGGACCACATTATGTAGGTCTCTCTCTCCTAAGTTTTTTTTTTTTTCCTTTCTTTTTTTCTCTCTGTCCCCGAAATTTTTTTTTTCTTTTTTTTCTCCCAACCGTTACTCTAGGCTTATCTTGAAGTTCAGTATAAAAATAACCTCATAAAACATTTCATTGTGATTACTGAAATATTGTTGAGGATATTCTCTGTATTCTGCAATGCCTTCTTTATAAAGACCTCAGGGAGAAAGATGTGCAGCCAAGAATAATTGTATGTTTGTCTAAGCTTTTAGTCTGTTTTTATTACCTGGGTGCTGTAATTGTTCACTAGGTTTCTTTTTTCCTATTGACATCTGGAAATTTAGAGCTAAGCTTGTACCTTTTTAATAGCTTCATTTTGTTTCCCTATTTTCATGTTTTTATTTCTGGTTGAATTTATGCTAACCTGTGTTTTGTCTAATAGTCTCCTGAAGTCTGTTTCAGATCAGGGTTGGGTAAAAATAGACTATGGATGCAGTTCAGTGACACTAAAGCGCTTATTTGAATTTTGGATGGTCTTGATTGCAGTGAGTTTTCTCACCCTCAGGAATTTTTTTTTTTTTTGGAGACCGAATGTTGCTCTTGTTGCCCAGGCTGGAGTGCAGTGGCGCGATCTTGGCTCACTGCAACCTCTGGCTCCCGGGTTCAAGTGATTCTGCTGCCTCAGCCTTCTGAGTAGCTGGAATTACAGGTGCCTGTCACCACGCCCGGCTAATTTTTGTACTTTTAGTAGAGGCAGGGTTTTGCCATGTTGCTCAGGCTGGTCTCGAACTCCTGACCTCAGGTGATCTACCCGCCTTGGCCTCCCACAGTGCTGGGATTACAGGTGTAAGTCACTGTGCCCAGCCCTTTTTTTTTTTTTTTGAGACAGAGTCTCACTCTGTCGCCCAGGCTAGAGTTACAGTGGCATGATCTCGGCTCACTGCAATCTCCACCTCCCAGGCTCAAGCAATTCTTCTGCCTCAGCCTCCTGAGTAAGCTGGGATTACAGGCGCCCACCACCATGCCTGGCTAATTTTTGTATTTTTAGTAGAGACGGGGTTTCACCATGTGGCCCAGGCTGGTCTCAGAACTCCCGACCTCAGGTAATCCACCCACCTTGGCCTACCGAAGTGCTGGGATTACAGGCGAGAGCCACTGTGCCTAGCCCCTCCTGGGGAATTTTATCCTCTTGGAGTTTATGAAGACCTCATGGTAAAATGAATTACTAGTGTGTTTATAGGTTTTGCTTTTTAGATACTTTGGAATGTTCTATATTGTTGCTTTTGGTCTGGCTTGGTGGCTCATGTCTGTAATCCCAGCACTTTGGGAGGCCAAGGTGGGTGGATCACTTGAGGTCAGGAGTTGGAGACCAGCCTGGCCAACATGGTGAAACCCCGTCTCTACCAAAAATTCAAAAATTAGCCAGGCGTGGTGGTGCACGCCTTTAATCCCAGCTACTTGGGAGGTTGAAGCACGAGAATCACTTGAACCCAGGAGGCAGGAGTTGCAGTGAGCTGAAATCTCAGCTCTGCACTCCATCCTGGGTGGCAGAGTGAAACTGTGTCTCAAAAAAAAAATAAAAATACCTGTAATCCCAGCACTTTGGGAGGCTGAGGTGGGTGGATCACGAGTTCAGGAGATTGAGACCATCCTGGCTAACACGGTGAAACGCCGTCTCTACTAAAAATTCAAAAAATTAGCCGGGCGTGGTGGCGGTCCCCTGTAGTCCCAGCTACTCGGGAGGCTGAGGCAGGAGAATGGCCAGAACCCAGGAGGTGGAGCTTGCAGTGAGCCGAGATCGCACCACTGCACTCCAGCCTGGGCGACAGAGCGAGACTCCATTTCAAATAAATAAGTAAAAATAAAAATAAAAAAAAGTAACTCTTACTTGAATTTATTAAGAATACACAGATGATGTTGCCAAAGTGGCAATCAAATTGCTTTGTCATTTTTTACTTTTTATGTATGTTTGTATGTATGTATATATTTGAGAGAGAGTCTTGTTCTGTCACTCAGGCTGGAGTGCAGTGGCGTGATGTCAGCTCATTGCAGTCTCTGCTTCCCAGGTTCAAGTGATCTTCCTGCCTCAGCCTCAGGAGTAACTGGGACTACAGGCATGCACCAAACACCCGGCTATCATTTTTCTACTCTTTATCATTTCATAAAGTGGTGGGTTGGGAGGAACATCAGCCAGGATACCCAAGTCTTCTCAGCTAAACCCTTCTTCTGCTAAAAACTAGCTATAGGACTAATGTAACCATTTTTCTAATTAAAGTGAGGGAGCTGACCCTACGTGACCTTTAGGTCTCAAACTACTTTGAAATGTGACTGTTTATCTTTAAATAACATGAATGAAACTATTCTCATCACCATTTTTTTGCATTGGGGGAAGCTGAGGCAAAGAACCCAGCAAAGCACTGGTATAAGTTGAAACAAAACAGGTTTCTTGACTTGTGACTTAAAGCTTTGGTTCTTCTAATGCCTTCATTCATTTCTTTGGTTGATTTACTTTTCATAGTCCATTAAAGTGATTATCTTATTTCTTGATGTATGGGATAGAAATGTGGGAATAATTTCATTGTATTCTTACAGAATTTACTTCAGAGCTGAGTAAACTTTCATTTGTTGAACACCTTTGATTTAATGCCCCTTGGCTTTTCTCCTAATCTGCACATGACGTCAAGTGGCAGAAGTAGGAACTTGTGTTTTTTTCTTCTATTCTCTTCTCATTTTTTTCCTGAGAAGAAACGTAGGTAGTGAAAATCATTCTTAGTGCTTGTTGTGGGATTCTGAAGAAAGGAACTTAGGCATCAGGAATTTGGGTGTTACCCATTTACCGTAGATATAGTTGCTATAGTGTTTTCTGCCACCTTGTGATTGTTGTTTTTGTTCTCTGAAGTGAACGTACTCTTTTATGGTAGTGTTAAAGTCATATAATAAGTACTTATGGAGTAAGTAAATGTGTAAGACACAAGAGATAACAGATGAATAAGCTAAGTTTGTATCCTCAAGAAGTTTAAAGAGTGAAGGGAGTGAAGAACTTAGTAAGACAAAGATGAATGTTTAGAACAGTGCCTGGCACTTAGTGATGTTAGAAATGAACCTTGAAGGTTGGCAAAGATTTTGATAGACAGTTTTCTTTTGATTGTGACCTACTGAGAGGTCAGTATAGGCAGAAAGCACAGGGCACACAGAGAAGACAAGTTGAAAGGTATAGGGCTTTGGTGGCACCATGGGAATGGGATATGTTGAAGACATAGTATTATAGGTACAGATGGTAAATGTAATGTGAGAAGAAAAAGAGATAATTCCAGAAATGATGTAGAGGTAAATTGAATGGGACTTAATAACTGTGATGTGTGGGGGCAATGACGGGAGGGATCATCATAGGTGATTGAAGTTTTAAGCCTGGCTGACTACAGCAATAGATGGTTACCAGAAGCATTTCAGTACTCAGTTTGCAAAATAATCTTAAGAGCTCATGAGAGTCCAGGTTCTTTACTAGAGTCTTAAAAATGAAGGTTTCTGTATTCCTTACAAGTTCCAGCAAGTGTTAAAAATGAGGAAATGGCTGGGTGCAGTAGCTTGAGCCTGTAATCCCAGCTCTCAGGAAGTTGAGACAGGAAGATGGGTTGAGCCTAGGAGTTCAAGGCTTGGGTAAGCTATGATTGTGCCACTAAACTCCAGCATGGGCGACAAAGTGAGACCCTGTGTCTGAAAAAATAAAAAACAGTGAGGAAATAAGCTTCCAAATAATCTTCTATAAATGGGGGAGGAGTTGCTCTGTAGAGACCTGAAAACCTTCATTGGAGGAGTTTGGATTTGATTAATTCATTCATTAACTCTACATTGAATGCCTGCTACATGCTGGGATGCTAGGGATCCAGTGGTTAAGAAAGATACAATCCTTGTCTTGCCCTCATGGGGAATATAGATTAGAGAGAGATTAATATTTAAGCAGGTAATTACATAGATGATATATTTATGATTGTTGTGGGTGCTACAGGAACAAAGTTCAGAGTGATCTGAGGGTGCATATTGGATATATCTAGGCAGCATGTGATGGGGATGTGATGGTGAGTCTTCTGAAGGAAGTGACATGTAAGCTGAGACCTGAAGGATAAGAAGGAATTGGTGGGTGAGAAGGGGCTTTGCTGCTCATTGAGGAAACAAGACATGCTAAGGTCCTGGAAATGGAAGGTGCTTGACTCTCAAAGAACAGAGCAAAGTATAGTGTATTTTACAAGTAGTGAGAAATGAGACCAGAGAGGTAGCTAGTTGCCAGATCATACAGATGGCCTTGTTGATTATATAAAGTTAAAATTTTTATTGTGAAGCCATTGACATGGCTTACATGATTTGTATTTTTCAGACCCCGCTTGTGTGGAGAAGGGGAATAGAGGTGAATTTAGGCTAACCAGTTAGCTGAATGGTGGACTCAGCCTTTGGCAGGAAAGATTTAAGAGAATTGGTTATTGGAAGTAGGGGTGATGAGGGCTTGTGGCTGATTGCATGTGGTGAGCAAAAGGGAAGAGGTGCCATGGGTGATTCCCAGATTTTTGTTTGGCAGGGGTAACTACATTGGATGGATATGTCAAGATGGAGAAGGAGCAGATGAGGTAGGCATTCATTAATTTTTATTTAAATATTTTCCTTTGTTGGGTATACCTGGAGTGTCCTTTGTAGAGCCCCCGATTAGGCTCTGTCAGTGTGATAAAACAAATAGTTTTAACTAGAAAAGGGAAAGCATGGGTCCACATTCTGTTATAAATGGATGGTACTTTAATTCATTTCCCCACCTCCCTAAACATGGACCAAAGTGGACTAGATTATTTTGCAAGCTGGGTAGAAATTCATGCCTAAGGTCATGCCCTTTCATGTTTACCAGTGAATTATCTTTCTCCAATTTTCTATTGTGCATCTGGGAAAATTATGCTTACATATCCAATGTAAAGAAAACATTGAGTTTATATAGATTTGAAACCAAGGGGGTTTAGTATATAGTAAACATAAGAATAAATCTTACCAGTTTTGATTCTCATTAGTTAAGGCTTTGTGGCAACTGTGTCCTGTTTGATTTTATATTTCTATAAGTGTGAAGAAAGGTTTCTTGTACCATGGTAGACAAAATTGCTTTGAAATTATTTTAAGCCTGATGAAAGTTGTAGGGTCTGCTCTGCAAGCAGAATATACTGAAAATTTGCTATTAAATTGTGAATGTTGTGGTTTGCTCTAGCAGCCTATTTAGTAGCATTGTAGTAATCATGTAGATTATATTCAGAACTCAGGTAAGAGGAATTGTAGAGAAAATTGTTTTGGGGGCGGGGGAAATGGGGAGATTGGGGAATGGCAACTAGAGAGAGGTGTCATAGTTCATTTAAAATCATGTTCTTATAAGTTGTTTTACTTAGGCCTAAAAGAATAGAGGGCATGTGCCAGGGAATTGAATACCCTTGTATATGTAGTGCCATTTCCTTGCTCTCCCTTTAATTGCTATTTCCGGTTTGTTTCTCAGGTACTTACAAGAGATGTATCCTGGGAAGAAACAGGGTGGCAGAGTTTAGGGCCTTTGGGACTGAATTAGTCTTAAACCTGAGAACCCAGGAGGATTTTGACCGAACTGATTTGGGTGAGCTAGGAAACAAGGTTTTTTTTTTTTTGAGACAGAGTCTCGCTCTGTCGCCCAGGCTGGAGTGCAGTGGCATGACCTGGGCTCACTGCAAGCTCCAACTTCCAGGTTCACGCCATTCTCCTGCCTCAGCCTCCCAAGTAGCTGGGACTGCAGGCGTCTGCCACCACACCCGGCTAATTTTTTGTATTTTTTTTTTTTTTTTTTTTTTTTTTTAGTAGAGGTGGGGTTTCATCATGTTAGCCAGGATGGTCTCGATCTGCTGACCTCGTGATCAGCCCACCTCGGCCTCCCAAAGTGCTGGGATTACAGGTGTGAGCCACTGTGCCCTGCTGGGAACAACGTTTTTAACCAACTTTGCCTAAGCAGACAACAGAGTTGAGACATTCTGGTAGAGAAATAATAGCCCACATTTGTTGAATTGTTTTTAGCTCTTTAGTTATAAAGAGCTTTTTACAAATTAATTTATGTAATCCTCCAACAGTACAATGAGATAGATAATTTTAATTTTACAGACTCAAACTGCAGAATGGAAAGTTTAAGTAACTTAATGTCAAACAGCTAATAAGAGATCAAGATAATAATCTAGGCTCTTTACCTATCTCCTGGGCATAAGCACTAGCTTTTTTAGTGTAAACAGAATCAAATTGTTCATTAGATTTGGTTGATGAAAAGAGGTCTACCAACCATCATGTAAAATAATGGCGTTTATGTTTATATTCAGAAGACTATTATACATTAATTTGGTAATACGTATTTTTTGAGGAAAGGTATAATGGCCATATGTATCTTAACCAGATACATCCTTAAGCCTACAATATGAGTAAAAGAAAATTACTCATTTTCTTTTGTGGAGTAGAAGTTGGATGGGTTATATGGGCGTGATGCCTCTCTCCTGTAATTCCAGCACTTGGGGAGGCCAAGGCGGGCAGATCTCTTGAGCCCAGGAGTTCTAGAGCAGCCTGGGTAACATGGCGAAACCCCTTCTCTACAAAAAAAAGTAGCCAGGCGTGGTGGCATGCGCCTATAGTCCCAGCTTACACGGGAGGCTGAGGTAGGAGGATTGCTTTGAGCCTGGGAGGTAGAGGTTGCAGTGAGTCGAGATTGCACCACCGCACTCCAGCGTGAGCAGCAGAGTGAGACCTTGTCTTAAAAAAAGTTGGATGGGTAGAGGAGGGACATTTTGCTAGGGCAGACTAACATCTAGGAAGTGGTTGAAGTTATTTTTTTTAAAAAAGGAAGAAAAGAAAGGAATTAGTATTTATTGATCACACCTTTCTGTATGTTAGGTGGTTTAGGTTTGTTGTCTTTAAATCTTCCATATGATGATGATACCCTGTTTTACAGTTGAGACCCAAGACTATAGATATGTTAAATAATTTGCTTGTGGTCATACATGTTCTATCTTCTGAATAGAAGATAACTCCTGGAACTGATAGAGAGAGGGCAGAAAAAAGATTCTATTTTGAGAAATGGAGCAACCTGAAGGCACATAGCTTTGCTGTTTGCTGTAACTCCTTTAGACAGCTCTCTGACCACACAGTACGTGGGTGGACACCAGCATTGACCAGGAGGGATGGTGGGAAGTTTAAATAGTTTTCCTTTACTGTAATAAACACTCTAGAGAAGTGAACTATTAAAGGTTTTTCCCCATCAAATGGCTAAATTAAACATTTTTGACATTCGAAAGGGATGATTTATATCTTATGTGGAAAAGCCCCAAACAACTATTTCCCCAGTTGCTGGAAAAGGAGCTCTTTTGAGTTATGAAGGTATTTTATGTTCTTTCTCCATTATTCTTAACTTGTGCTTACAGGTGAATTGTAAGCATGTGCTTTGTGTTTAGTATTTTCCTCAAGAAAACTCTTGCTGGTAAATCTAGTTACCATAGAACTTGAAAGGATATTGAAAGAATAGTTGAGGACTATCCTGATTGGTTTTCATCTACTTAGTCTGTATTTGTGTCATTTCAGTGTCTGAGTAGGTGGTTTGTGATTAACATTTCACATGTTATTTTTATTGATTTGGCAAGTACCAGAAAACTTGAAGGATGAACTAGAGGTTATTTTTCTTAGCATTTGTGGTATTAGTACTAAAAGGGGAGTAAGAGAGTAGAAAGAATTCTGGACAACTGTTAAGAATTGTTACATTTTGTCTACCTAGGCTCGAGTTCCTCACTTTTAAAATTAGGACTGTACTTTTTGGAAGAATATTGCTTGTTGTTTTGTGGTGGGACCAGGCTGTGATGGGAAAGGCTGTTGTCATAGGCATAGGCAGGCCTTTTGCTTTGCTGAGGTATAGTGAGCAGCCCGGTGACCCTCCATGTAGCCTGCATTGCATGCAGTTTCCACAGGGTCCATAGAGTTAGTGCAAAGCTCCAGCAGGCCTACTCACCTGCTTTTCTCATGAGGCAACCTGGGACCAGTGTGTCCCTGTAGTAACTGTAATTTTTTGTTGTGTTCACTTATTGCAGTGAAAAAAAAATCTGAGCGTAAGGTTCTGAGTGGACCTGGAAAGGGGTGGGTGTTGTAGTGAGAGACTGAAGACAAAGGCCTGTAACAGATGGGTATCTTTTTAGCTTAATCAAGCTATTGCTGGAGTGTTATGCTTCAGAAATAAGTCTCTTGGCCGGGTGTGGTGGCTTATGCCTGTAATCCCAGCACTTTGTGAGGCCAAGGCAGGCAGATCGCTTGAGGTCAGGAGTTTGAGACCAGCCTTGCCAACATGGTGAAACCTCGTCTCTACTAAAAATACAAAAATGAACCGGGTGTGGTGGCGGGCACCTGTAATCCCAGCTACTCGGGACGCTGAGGCAGGAGAATCACTTAAACCCAGGTGGTGGAGGTTACAGTGAGCTGAGATTGCTCCACTGCACTCCAGCCTGGGCGATAGAGCGAGACTCAGTCTCAAAAACAAACAAAACAAAAAATACAAAAATTGGCTGGGCATGGTGACACATGCCCGTAATCCCAGCTACTTGGAAGGCTGAGGTGCAAGAATCACTTTAACCTGGGAGGCAGATGTTGCAGTGAGCCGAGATCGATCGTGCCACCGCACTCCAGCTGGGCGACTGAGCGAGACTGTCTCAAAAAAAAAAAAAAAAGTCTCTAATGGAAAACAAAAATTTATCCCAATTCCCCCAACCCCTCCTCCCAAAAAGCAAAACAATAAAGAAGTTTTGTTATTCTTGCTTTTTTAAAAAGGAAAATAAAATGCTTTCATTATTTCCCAGAAACAGTTGATTTAAAAACTATTGCAGATTATAAAGTTCATTTATGTAGAACAAATAAGGTACTTAGTGCTTTTTGCACCGTCAAATGTCAAAGGCAGAATTTCAGTTACTGCTTTTTAGGTGCATAAAATTAGCATAGTTGAATACTTCATTGATTCATTTAGTTGCCTTTCATAGAATTTTACTCCAATAACAAAAAGATCTGGGGTTTTTCTAAAATTTTCTTCAGGTCTTGAGAGTTTTTAGCTGAATTGCTACAACTATTCTTTCTCTAGATTTCCAACTGGGCGAAAATGTTTTTCTTTTTAAATTGGCACTCTCCCAGCATATTTTTCCAGCAAGTATTCTTTGGGCACACCCTGTGCGTAGTGAATTTTTCAAGATCCTTATTCAAAAGGCTGGGAGGACAGGCCAGTCTTTTCTTTGTAAGATGAAAACAGAATGAAGCTTGCTTAAGACTCATTTTGCTTCTGCCCAACTGTATATGAAATTGATCTCATGCAAATACACTCAAGCATTACCAGAAGTAATTTGACTTGATAGTGTAAGTAGAAAAGCTAATTTAGTATTTGCAGGCGGTTTGCTTAGTGCAACAGGTGACCTCTCAATTGAGAATTCTTAATTTGTTCTCAATGATAACTTGATAGTAAGCAGGTCTCAGGTCCAAGAGTTGAGAAATGTGAGGTGACTTTGAAATTTTCAAGGTAATTGTACATTCAAGACATTGACATGATATGTATATATTTGGTTTTACATTTTATTAGGTGCTGAGGTTGTCATTTCCATAATGTCCAAAGCAATGTTAGATTATTTAAGCTTCCATGGTTTACTGATGGTATTACTAGATGAGATAAATGCCTTTAATTTCATCCTTGAATGGTAAGATTGGCTGACTAATTTAGGGAAGGATAAGGTACAGAATTGCTCTTGGGTGTTTCCTAGCAGGCTGGCCTTCCAAGAGCAATAGCTTAATGTTTGTTCCTTTAATAAGTAGTACTTAAACAGTGATCAGGGGAGTTACCATAATTGGTAATCTGAATGGAAACTAAAATGTGTCATCATTGAGGATAGTCAGAAGTGTCCTTGTGGCAGTCCTAGAAAAGGGGTTCCAGAATTTTCCGAGCAGAGAAAAATATAAACATTTTCAAGGTTCTAATTATTTGGAGACTAGCCTTTCAGGATCATTTATCACCAAGATTAACCTTGCCACCAAAGGGCAAGGAAACACTTCTCTGGTGGTTAGATCAGGAATGATGAAAACACTTAAGAAGAATTGAAAACTTGGTTCCTGTCTTCAATGAGTAATTTATGTGACTGATTTTTTTTTTTTTTTTTGGAGATAGAGTCTCACTCTGTCACCCAGGCTGGCGTACAGTGGTGTGATCTCAGCTCAGTGCAACCTCCACCTCCCTGGTTCAAGCGATTCTCCTGCCTCAGCCTCCTGAGTAGCTGGGATTTCAGGTGTGAGCCACTGCTCCCAGCCTTCCCCTCCACTTTCAAGTAAAAGAGGAAGCATTAGAATTAGACATTGTGGGCCGAGTTCCTTGGGAGGATCCCTTGAGCCCGGGAGTTCTAGACCAGAATAGGCATCATAGCGAGACCCCGTCTCTGTTTCGTTTTAGTATTTTAAATAAAAATTAAAAAACAAGAATTAGGCATTGTGTACTAAGTATTAGATACATGGTACAGGCATTAAATGCTGAAATCTTAGGAGGAGGGAGTGGTTAGAGGGAAGGATTGACTGCTGTAGGCTGAGGTGATAGGAAGACCTGAGAAGAGATGGATCTAGGGTTAGGAGTTTACATTCCAGTGCAGGAGTTCTCCATATAAACACTATCAGATACTGACTTTCTGGATGATCTGGAGTATTCTTTGTTAATGTTTTTTTTGAGACAGAATCTCGGTCTGTCGCCCAGGCTGGAGTACAGTGGTGCCATCTCGGCTCACTGCAACCTCTGCCTCCTGGGTTCAAGGGATTCTCTTGCCTCAGCCTTCCAAGTGGCTGGGATTACAGGCATGAACTACCATGCCCGGCTAATTTTGTATTTCTAGTAGAGATGGGGTTTCACCATGTTGGTCAGGCTGGTCTTGAACTTTTGACCTCAGGTGATCCGCCCACCTTGGCCTCCCAAAAGTGTTGGGATTACAAGTGTGAGCCACTGTGCCCGCCTATCTGCATATTTTTAAACTACTTAGGAGGAGAAGTTTTTTTCTGATATTTACAAGGTATTTCCCCCAGCTTTTGTCATTTGAGTAATAGCTATCACAAGAAAGGATTGTTCTTAGAGTATGTTTTCTTTTGAGAGATAGGGTTTCACTCTATCACCCAGGTTGGGGTGCAGTGGCGTGATCATAGCTTACTACAGCCGAAGACTCCTGGGCTTAAGTAATCCTCCTGTGTCAGCCTCCCAAAGTGTTGGTATTATAGGTGTGAGCCACTGCACTTAGCCTGTAATATCTTTTAAATAGTTTTTTTTTTTAATAGACTGTAGGAACTAGAGTGTTATGCTCCTCTTCTGTGTTTATGTGGTTTTTCCAAAAATGAATGTTTTTTAGGCAGGTTTTCTTAACAGAGGCACCATTAACCTTTTGGGACTAATAATTATTTGTCATGGGAAGCTATTCTGTGCACTGTAAGAATGCCTGATGGCGTCTCTGGCCTCTACCCCCTAAATGCCAGTAGGACCTTCCCTCACCCTAGTTGAGACAACAAAATTTTTCCAGACTTTATTATATGTGCCCTTTTGGGGGTTGGGGTAAGGTCAAAATAATCCCCAAGGCTGGGAGCAGCGGTTCACACCTGTAATCTCAGCACTTTGGGAGGCCGAGGTGGGCGAATCATTTGAGGCCGGGAGTTCGAGACCAGCCTGGCCAACATGGCGAAATCCTGTCTCTACTAAAAATAGAAAAATTAGCTGGGCATGGTCGCACACGCCTGTAGTCCCAGCTACTTGGGAAGTTGAGGCAGGAGAATCGCTTGAACCCGGGAGGTGGAGGTTGCTGTGAGCCGAGATGGCAACACTACAGCCTGGGCAATAGAGCAAGACTCCATCTCAAAAAAAAAAAAAAAAAAAAAAAAATCCCTGGCTGAGAACTATTGGATTAGGGCCTCCTGTACCTATCTTTGAGGGGGAAAGGATGCTACCATCAACTTTTCTGAATGCCAGGAATGCCTTTTAGTATAGTTATTTCACTTACTATTTTATAGCATATTTTAATTGTATAGTAAGCATTGTGTCTGTTTTATGGTAAGGAAACTAAAATTGAGAGATTAGGCTGCTCGTGGTGGCTTATACCTTGTAATCCCAGTACTTTAGGAGGCCAGGACTTTGAGGCCAGTGTGGTCAACATAGCAAGACCCCATCTCCATTAAAATAATCATAAAATAATAAAAGGGAAAGATTAAACCTGGAGATGGCATCATATAAACCATGTATAATATGGGTTACTTATGCTCTGATTGTTTACTCCTTCCCCCCACCACACCCTCTCATTTCTTTGTCCCAGCTCTAAGAAAAGCATACAATATCCTTTTCCTGTATTCTGGTACTGTTTAAGGCTTTGCAGTGAAGATGGTTTGGTGAGTCAGACCACTTTTAAAGAGGAAATTCTACCCTTCCCTTCATTCTCTCTCTTTTTATAATTGTGGTGAGAGCCCGGGCACGGTGGCTTAGGCCTGTAATCCCAGTGCTTTGGGATGCTGAGGCAGGGGGATCACTTGAGCTCAAGGAGTTCGAGACCAGCCTGGGCAACGTGGTGACGCCCATCTGTACAATAAACCACAAGAAATGAGCTAGATGTTGTGGTTCACACCTGTAGTCCCAGCTACTCGGGAAGCTGAGATGGGAGGATCACTTGAGCCTGGGAGGTCGAGGCTGCAGTGAGCATTGCAAGTAGAAATTCTTAAAGTGCAACCCTGAGGGGGGAATATCCTCCCTCATTTGTCAAGGGACAAATCAGAATGTTAGCATTTCCCCACTTCCCTCATTGCCAGTAACGTATAATTTAAGCATGTGGATATGCCAGTCAGCTTTCCACAGCTTAACTGGGGTGGAGAGAGGTGTGCGAACCAGTGCTTTGTTCTTTCTTGTCTTTTTCCCCTTACTTTTGTACTCCCACTCCTGCCAAACTAGACATCGTTTTATCCTGGTGTGTTCATTAACCTCTACTCCAAAAATTAAGTGTGGTTAAGGGAGTGAGGTCGATTTCAAAATGCTGCATCTGATTTAGAGGGGGGTATAGTTGAGTGAAGAACTAGGCACTGAAGCAGCAGCTCATGAGGAGAGTGTTTTCTCTTTATTTAAAGCCCTTACATATCGAGGCATCTGGTGTTCATGAAATAGTCTGTTGTGCTGTTCAACTTTTTCACTCTTTTCTTACCTGACTTAGACAATTAACTCCTAGGGCTGGGTTTTCCCTCCACATTGCGATTCCTTCAGGGTCAGATTGTCTTAGTTTCTCTCTCTTCTTTGTATTGATACTTTATTTTTTTGGTGCTTCTCATTTCTTCAAATGTAATGGAATGAGGGGACTCAGACTTTTTCTGGTTTGATAATCTAGTGTATAAATGACCTGGTCTTTTGATGGTTCATGAAATCTTTAACTCCGTCACCTCCAAGTAGCCAGCCCTTCCATGTAGTCTTCATTTCCTATACTAGTGTTCTGTTCCTATTACATAAAAGTCATGTACACGAAACATTTTGTAAACAGCCAGTGGGGTTTTGTATCCCATGCTGTTCTGTTTTCATTTCCAGCCCACATTTTGGGAATATGTTTCTGTGGCTTTATTTATATATTTACTAGTTAATCCCAGAACATTTATTTCCACAGGCTTTTGATAAAAGATAAAGTTACTAATAAGAGTGTACTATTTTACCGAGTAAAACGACATAGAAAGCTAAGGATTTCCTTGTGCCCATCTTTCTAGAAGGGAAATTTAAAGAGGGCTCTTCCAGCTCTAATAGTTTTATAATTATTCGTGTCTCCTAAGCCTGATCTTTCCCCACAACTAAAATGCGTTGATGAGCTGCGTACCTGCATGTATGTCTTTGTTTGCACTTTCCTAGTAAATTAACTTACTCAACAAGGGAACTGAATAATACTTTAAAAAAAAATCCTTGTGATATGACCAGGAAGTCAAGCCACAGAGGCTTCATAGCTAGGAGCATGGCTGTCTTCCCTAAGCCCTTTAGATTTTAAAAAATACTGCTTTAAGTTTGTAATGTTTTATGTCAGATGTGCTCATGACCTGGTGCTTCTGTGTCAGCAGGTATCTCCATACAGCCAAGAATAAAGAAAGAAAGGGATAGATGGAATGAGTTTCATCGTGATTCTAAGTATCCAGGAATAATTTAAAATTATTTATCACTGTGGATTTAAGCATCTGGATTTATTTATTTTACAAATACTTAACATTTTGTTGTTTTGCTCTCTATCTTGCTAATCCCTTTTTTAAAAGGGCTACTTGGATGAAGGTATAAAAACCAGTAACTTATGAAACCCTCGGTTGGTATCAGTGAATTCGCTTATTACTCAATGTTTGCTTGTTTGACTTCAAAAAGAAAACAATTTACCACCTGTGTCAGTCTGACACCTGCTCTTTTCAAACCCTTTTGACATGATCTAAATAAATCTCTGAAATCCCCCCCCCCCCTTTGTGTCTATTGTCAGTATTAGTTTCACCTAAATTCAGGGCCTGTCATCCTGTGTAACAGTTGAGGCTAAATGAGGACATTAATTGGTGGAAATGTGTTGCTTCAAAGGCATTTTTAGGAATAAAACTACAAAGAGCTTCATAGTTGTAATATAGCTGATTCGTCTTCAAAAAGTATTCTGTTGTTTTCTTGATAGTTTTAGGTTTTTATAAGTAAGTTATTAAGAAGTGAATGTTTGTCTGAAATACGTTGTTTTAAGTGAAAGGTGTTATTTGTGTTCTGGGAGTAAGCTCTAGAATCTCAATGTCAGGTTAGTATTTAAGTGGAGGTAGAGCTACTAGTTTTTGTTTAAAATGTTTTTATGATACAGAATTATTCAGGAACTTGTGTATTGATCTGTTTGCCAGCAATGCCAATTCCCTCAAAATTCATAGTTTTCAATTTTTGTTTTCTTCCCACTGTAAGTACCTTTGAGGACTCTCACCCAGTTAACATTTGTTGTGTTCAAATTGCATGGTTCTCAACTTTTGCTATACACTAGAATCACCTGGGTAATTTTTTAGAAGTCCTGTGGTTGTACCACAGATGAGAAAAAATACACCCTCTGGGATGGGATCCAAGCATCTGTATGTTTAAAATTCACCAGGAGATTCCATGATGTAGCCAGAGTCATAAATCACTGGTCTAGGATGTTTTTCAGATTAGGGACCATTTAAAGAAAAGCTGTAGATTTTCCTTCCAGAAACATGGGTATTAATGATTCCCTAAAGCCCCAAATTAAGAACCCCTGTTCTAGGAGTAGCCTCAACATGCTAGATTTAATTGTAAGCAGCTGGTTTAAGAAATTATGTAAGTTGCAATGATGAATATTCCTCGTCACTCACAAATGTTATTCATCAATTTAAAAATTAATATGTATCAAGTACTCAGTGTGTTCCAGGCATGATTTTAGTTACAAGGAGTACAGCAGCCAATAAGATATTACAGTTTTCAGGGAGTTTTATCCTACTAGGGAAGACAGATAAGTAAATAATGACCGAAGGCTAGTTAACAAGTGCTATAAAGAGATATAAAAAGGAAAGAGCCTAAGGAGATTGAAAGTGATGGTTATGGGAGAGAGATGTCTATATTAATAGGGTGGTCAGGGAAAGCCTCTCTGAGGAGGTGACAGTTTGAATGAGATCTGTATGAAGTGTGTGAGCAAGACCTGTGAAGATCTTGAGGAAGAGCATTCAAGGTGTAGAGAACACTTGCAAAGGCCCTAAGATGGGACTGAGCCCGGTTTGTTGGATTTTCATCAGTAAGCCCGGGGTGGCAGGAGCATGCATGCTGATCCAGGTATAGAATGAGTGGTAGAAGGTGAGATCAGGAGCCCTGTAAGCTGTTGTAAGCATCGTTGTTTTAATTTGGTAGAAACTCAGTTATAACTCATTCTTAAATATTTAGCTTTATGCTTAAAATAATTTAGAAATAACCTTGGACTTCCATCTTTTTAGAAATAGCTGGAAGGTTAGCACTCAGTATGTTGTATTACTTCTCTGTGAAAGGATCTACAGTAGACTGAACTTGTCTATGTTATGAGACTGCTCATGTCTTTATTCTTTATATTCATAATGCTGAACACAAGATACTCGTGTTTTTTTTTTTTTTTTGACAGAATAGGGATCTTGCAGTTAACTTAGCTGTTCTTAAATTTCTGTTTATAAAAGCCATAATGCATAATAATTTACTGTAGTCGTTATTCCTAGTTTTCCCAGGTAGGCAGTGGTAACATCTGTTTCACAAGATAAGGAAGCAGAAATTTAACAACAATGGCAGAATCAGGATGTCAATCTTGTCCTTTTTTCCTTTTCCCACTTTGCCATGCTGCCCTCTGGGTAATAAGATGGAGACTAATTTTTGAAGGCTTAATTTGTTGAGCCAGTGTCATTAGTTTTTAGGTAACATTTTAATACAGAATAAGTGTGTCTTGGTCTTATTAACAGTGCTATGTTATGTAAAGGAATTTAGTTGTAGGAATATTTTCTTTGAAACAATAATACCTGTTTTTTTATCTCTTGATTGTAAAGTGCTGTGGGAAATACAGAGATGACTTGTAAATAAATTCTGCCCACAGGCTTAGGGGATCTAAGATATAATTCACTGTGGTAAAAGATACAAAGCAATCATTGTCAGAAAAGATACAGATTAAGTGCCATAGAAGTTCTGCTGAAGAAGAATTTCTGGGTAAAGGGAAGGAGACTTCTTAGAGGATAGATGGATTTTAGTTCTAGGTGGTAGTGTGGGAAGCAAGGGAGATGTAGGTGTTTAGAGGGAAAGAAGAAAGGACATTCTGTATACAAATTGAGCAAAGGTTTGGAATTAGAGCAGTATAAGCAGCCACAATCATGGAATACAATTTGGAATCTAGTATGAGAAAAAGGAAATGACCAAGGTTAATGAAGATTATACTCATGGAGGAAGCCTTTGAGTATCAGGCCAAGGAATGTTAAGTTCTATTTTTTTTTTTTTTTTGGTAAGGAAAGTGACTTTTATTTTTTATTTATTTATTTATTTTTGAGATGGAGTCTCGCACTGTTGCCCAGGCTGGGGTGCAGTGGTGCGATCTCAGCTCACTGCAAGCTCCACCTCCTGGGTTCACACCATTCTCCTGCCTCAGCCTCCCGAGTAGCTGGGATTACAGGCGCCCGCCACCACACCCGGCTAATTTTTTTTTTTTTTGTATTTTTAGTAGAGACGGGGTTTCATCATCTCTACTACTAGCCAGGATGGTCTCGATCTCCTGACCTCGTGATCCACCCGCCATGGCCTCCCAAAGTGCTGGCATTACAGGCGTGAGCCACCGTGCCCAGCCAAGGAAAGTGACTTTTAAATCAGAAATCACATGATCTGTGATGGAATTTAGGAAAGTTGATATTAGTTGGTTGGATTAGCACAATCAACAGACTATGCCCTGTATGCCAAATGCAGTCTAAGGCAAGTTTTTGTAAGTAAAGTTTTATTGGAACACAGTCATACTCATTCACTTGAATATTGTCTGTGGCTGCTTTAGTACTATAATGGCAAGAGTTGTGTAGTTGAGACGGAGACTGTGTGGCCTGCAAAGCCTAAATATTTGCCATCTGGCCCTTTACAGAAAAAGTTTGCCAACCCCTGGATTAGAGGAGTGGAGGCAGAAATCCTGTTCATTGTTGTTCTGGTTAGGGTATAAACCCATGCCTTCCTGTCAAATGAAATGAAGGCCAGAATTGTGATAGCCCTAGTAGAAAAAAAGAGGCAGGCTGGGCGCAGTGGCTTACGCCTGTAATCCCAGCACTTTGGGAGGCCGAGACGGGCGGATCACAAGGTCAGGAGATCGAGACCATCCTGGCTAACACGTGAAACACCGTCTCTACTAAAAATACAAAAAATCAGCTGGGCGCAGTGGTGGGCGCCTGTAGTCCCAGCTACTTGGGAGGCTGAGGCAGGAGAATGGCGTGAACCCGGGAGGTGGAGCTTGCAGTGAGCCAAGATCATGCCACTGCACTCCAGCCTGGGCGATAGAGCGAGACTCCGTCTCAAAAAAAAAAAAAAAGAAAAAAAGAGGCAAGAATGGGTGAGATAAAATAATTTTTTGAATTTGGTAACTTGATTAGGTTAGGAGTCTAGGGAGAGGGGAGGAATTTTTTTTTTTTTTTTTAAGTGTAAGCAACAGGCCAGGTACGGTGGTTCATGCTTGTAATCCCAGCACTTTGGGAAACCGAGGTGGGCAGATTACTTGAGATCAGGCGTTCCAGACCAGCCTGGCCAACATGGTTAAACCCTGTCGCTACTAAAAATACAAAAAAAAATTAGCAAGGCATGGTGGGTGCTTGTACCCAGCTGTTCAGGAGGCTGAGGCAGGAGAATCAATTGAACCCAGGAGGTAGAGGTTGCAGTGATCTGAGATTGTGCCACTATACTTCAGCCTGGGCGACAGAGGGAGACTCCCATCTCAAAAAAAAAAAAAGGTAAGTGAAGGAGGATGGTGATTTGGGTTAGAAGAGGCTTTTAATTGTAAGCCATTCAGCATGTGAACTCGTAAAAATGACCTTATGTTAAATAATTAGTTCAGAGCGCTGATCTTGAGAGATAGGAACGTTTCCTGTTTTTGATAAATGATAGGTTACCCTTGTTTATGGTTAGGGGTGGGTTTTTGTCATGGTCCAACCAGGTGATAGTTATATATGTGAACATATTAAAATTGTTTTTAATGTTTAAATTCTAATCCTTAAAATGTGACAGAACTGATTTATGTTCCTCCTCTCCCAGTTCTCTTCAAATCATGAGAGTGACCCTCTTAAAAACTGCTTTCTTTCGGGGGAGCGGTTGTTGAGAAGAATCATGTAACTATGTAAAAAGCATGTCTGTTTGGTACACTATTTGCTAATGTCAGAAGTGTTAAATAGAAATAAAATTTCCACCATAGTAGCTAATTATTATTTAGTGTGTGTCAAAACTGTGTGCTAATTACTTTTTATAAACCATCGCCTTTAAAGTCTTATAACTTTTCTATGAAGTAGGACGTTTGTGTCCCTACCTCCTCTGTTTTACCATTGGGAAAACCAGGGCCCAGAACGAGTAACCACACAAGTTCCACAGCTACCAAGGTCAAGGTTATTTCTACCCTAAATACACATCTTTAAATTTTATATTCATCAACAACCTAGTACTTAAAAATTCAGATTCCTAAGCCTTTCAAGGGTTTTGCCTGTGATTCTATTTTTGATCTTTGTACCAAACTTCGAGAAAATACCGTCATATAGTCTTCTATTAACAGCAGTTGCCTCATGTGGAGAACACCTGAATTTTACTTACAACTTCTTCCAATGCTGACCCATTTTGATTTTTATAAACATTTTGAAATATTTGTTAAGTTGGTCAAGCAAGAGATAATGTGATTATGTAGTATCTTATCAGTTGAGATCTTTCTCTCTCTCTCTGCCTCTTTCTCTCTCGCTCTCTTTTTTTTTTTTTTTTTTTTTTTTAAAGAGTCTCACTCTGTCACCCAGGCTGGAGGGGTTAGTGGTATGATCTCTGCCCACTACACCCTCTGCCTCCTAGTCTCAAGCAATTCTTCTATCTCAGCCTCCCGAGTAGCTGGCACTACAGGCGCATGCTACCACATCTGGCTAATTTTTGTATTTTTTGTAGAGACAGGATCTTGCCACCTTGCCCACACTGGTCGTGAACTCCTGAACTCAAGTGATCCACCCACCTTGGCCTTCCAAAGTGCTGGGTTTACAGGCATGAGCCACCACCCCAGTCTGGTTGACGTTTTTCACCTCCTTCTCTTTACAGCATATTCAGAAATTTTAAACCAGTAATACGAAATACATATATTGGTTGATTTTTCTGTTGTATTTTAAGCATATTGACTTTTTAAATCGGATCATATTTTTGCATGCAAGTACTATGGCTTTTCAAGGTCATTCTGATTTGAAACAACACATTTCTTAGTCAATTCATTGGCTCTTTACCCCCTTTTAAAATTTTTTATTTTTTATGTGATTTATTTATTTACTTATTTTTAGTGATGGAGTCTCACTGTGTTGCTCAGGCTGGGCTCAAGCAGTTCTTCTGCCTCAGCCTCCTGTGTAGCTGGAACTACCTAAGGATGTGCACCACTGTGCCCAGCCAGATCTTCACCTTTTCCAAAAAAAGAAACATCTAAATGTGAAACCTTTTAGGCCTGTCAACTTCTTTTTTTTTTTTTTTTTTTTTTTTTTGAGACGGAGTCTCGCTCTGTCGCCCAGGCTGGAGTGCAGTGGCGGGATCTCGGCTCACTGCAAGCTCCGCCTCCCGGGTTCACGCCATTCTCCTGCCTCAGCCTCCCAAGTAGCTGGGACTACAGGCGCCCGCCACTACGCCCGGCTAATTTTTTGTATTTTTAGTAGAGACGGGGTTTCACCGTTTTAGCTGGGATGGTCTCGATCTCCTGACCTCGTGATCCGCCGGCTTCGGCCTCCCAAAGTGCTGGGATTACAGGCGTGAGCCACCGCGCCCGGCCTCAACTTCTTGTGATAGACACATACAGAATTTTTCAGCTACTCTCTGCCTATGGGGTAGCCCTACCTTGCAGGAGCAGTCCAAAAAAAATTTTTTTTTTCAATTTAGGATCAGTGTAGAGGAAAGAGCCCTGGACTATCATAAGACTGAGTACCAGCTTGGCCAGTCAGTCACTTTGTGACCTTGATTAAGCTATGTAACCTTTTCAAATTGATTTCCCTCTCTGTAAATAGAGCTGATAAGATGGCTTGCCCTGTTTCCTGTGGTTTTTAAAGAGGATCAAATGAGTGCGTGAAAGTTCTCATGAAAACTAGACGTCTATTCAAATATGAGGTGGTGGTATTCTCAGAAGGTCATAGATGAATGATGCATTTATTTTAGTGCTTTTCACAGTTTAGTCTCAATACTGAGTGCTTACTGAGGGGTTGTATGGAGGCACACTAGTTGTTTCTTTAGGAGATGTCTTTAGCTGCTAGAGTAGAGAACAAAAGAATGAGTAAAGAGGCTTCAGAAAAGCTAGTATGGGCTGGCACGGTGGCTCACACCTGTAATCCCAGCACTTTGAGGGGGCCAAGGTGGGAGGATCACTTGAGGTCAGGAATTTGAGACCAGCCTAGCCAACATGGTGAAACCCTGTCTCTACTAAAAATACAAAAAATAGCTGAGTGTCATGGTCGACGCCTGTAATCCCAGCTACTCGGGAGGCTGAGGCAGGAGAATCCCTTGAACTCAGGAGGTGGAGGTTGGAGTGAACCAGGATTGCATCACTACACTCCAGCCTGGGTGACAGAGAGTCACTCCTCTCAAGAAAAAAACAAGGAAAAGCTAGTATGGATGGAGCACCTCCATGCTCATTTCCTAGAGCTTATGTTTTGTTGTTTGATTTCCTAGTTCATAACAGAAGGGGTTTTGTAAGCTGACCTAGCTTGACAATCCTTTTTGGGTTTTTTGGTTTCAAACATGATCTTATAAAATTATTTAGTGCATTAAAATGTAGACCCAAGTAGCTGCTTAGCTCTTGAGAAAAGGCTGTGTTTCAGTTTAGCACAACAGTGTTTTCAGGAAGATAACTGTTCTAGATAGCTCTTTTTTTCCAAAATTCTTGATTAAGGTTTGGGGAATTTAGAATTATCTCCAGCTATTAAATTATCAAATTGGTTAAGTAGAGGTAGAAAGTTTATTGCATAAATCAGTAGATTTGTCTTCCAAAGAAGCTTATGAAATAGAAAGGGCCAGGAGGTATACCTGTAGTTGAAATATGGGATGGGCCCATAGAGAGTGAGTTGGAAAATGATAGTAAGTGGTTGAACATGGACTTTAAAGCATGGCATGCTCTGAAGTCATATTAGAAAAGTCCTTTGCTTTCATGCAAAACTAGTCTCCGTGGCTTTTCATTGTGTAGATCGGGTTAAAAGCAGAATATAAGAAGCAAGTTTTTGGATGAGATGATAGAACTTAAGTAGTACTTGTCTGTCAATCCTAAAAGAATTATTTCTGGCCAAATCCTCTCCTCTAACCACCAAATAAGGAGCTTGACTTCATTCTCACTGTTAAGAATCAGAAACCCAGTTTAGAATATCCAACTCCTGGTGAACTTTTAAAAATTAATATATATCTTGATACTTTATAATCTATTGTGTGGCATCCAACGAATGTGAGGTAATCTGGGGAGTTAGAAATGCCTTGCATTTCGTGTGGAAAAGGTGTAGTCGTAAGTTTGGCCTGGGAAGGTTAATACTGTCTTTGCACATAGAAAGCTAAGGGCAGTGTCATCATCATTCGTTTGTGAGGAGGGGACTGAAAAAGCAAAATCATCACTACTAGCCTATTCTAAAGGATCTTAATCCCATTACATTTTTCAGATTTTTTTTTTTATTATGTAGTATCCCCTGGATATAATCTTTTTGGTGAAGGGGGATGTCTCTAATTTCCACGTGGTACCCCCTGTCATATACAGGTTATGTATCTGGCAGTCTACAGCTGCAATTCATGGCTGTTTATAAAATTTCACCAGAACTTGTCCTGACGTCCTTTTACTTTTGTAAATGATTAGAAAAAATGCTGAGCCTGAGTATGCATTTTTGTATTAAGAGTTCATTTAGAGAGTCCCAGAAATTGGCAGAGTTGATTCAACTTTCTGTGGTTTAAATTTGAATATGCAATTAGTAGACTGCTGGTATTTCAGAAGTTTGTTGTTGCAGGCCTCTTGTACTGAGGAGGAAATCTGGAATTTCTTTTTCTATTTTAAATTAGCGTTCATTCAACAAACATTTTTTGATTATCCCTAGAGTTTTGGCACACGATAGGAAGTCTAGAACTGTGCAGTCTCACCTGGTCTCGCAAGTAATGGGAATTTTTAAACTATGCAGGACTTAGAAGGTATACCTTCCCTTCCTTCAGAATGATAGTAGTAGTATAGTTATATCTTTCCTTGACCTAATTATAATTTTTCGTTTTCCCCCCCATGACAAAGTAATAAAAACTTGTAAAAAACAAAGAGCCACAGACATGTGAAACTTGTTTTACCTCTGCTGTTACTTGGTCTGTTGTAATGCCACTGTAGAAAATACTCCCTTTGTTTGGGGTAGCATAGGAAACATGTGATTTGGAATCAGACTTCAAGTTCTAGCTCCATAATTTTACTAGCTCTGTGGTCCTCGGATATCACTCAACCAATCTGGACCTCAAATTTTCTCATCTCTTCTACTGGGAAGATAACAACTTCTTTTTTTTTTTTTTTTTTTTTTTTGAGATGGAGTCTCGCTCTGTCGCCCAGGCTGGAGGGCAGTGGCGTGATCTCGGCTCACTGCAAGCTCTGCCTCCTGGGTTCACGCCATTCTCCTGCCTCAGCCTCCTGAGTAGCTGGGACTACAGGCGCCCGCCACAACGCCCGGCTAATTTTTTGTATTTTTACTAGAGACAGGGTTTCACCGTGTTAACCAGGATGGCCTCAATCTCCTGACCTCGTGATCTACCCGTCTCGGCCTCCCAAAGTGCTGGGATTACAGGCGTGAGCCACTGTGCCCGGCCTTTTTATTTATTTATTTATTTATTTTTTGAGACGAAGTTTTGCTCTTGTTGCCCAGGCTGGAGCACAATGGCGTGATCTCAGCTCACTGCAACCTCTGTCTCGCGGGTTCAAGCGATTTTCCTGCCTCAGCTTTCTGAGTAGCTGGGATTATAGGCGCCTGCCACCACACCTGGCTAATTTTGGTGTATTTAGTAGAGACGGGGTTTCACCATGTTGGCCAGGCTGGTCTTGAACTCCTGACTTCAGGTGATCCACCTGCCTCGGCCTCCCAAAGAAGATAATGACTTCTACAGAACTGCTGAATGGGTACATATATGTAAATATTCTCACCTGACTTCTGCTTTTCCCTTTATTTCACTGGGAGGTATTATATTTTTAGTGTATCTTACGGCCTTTGAGGACTTCTTAGTTTGAGTATATTTTAGCTGTGTGCATAAATGTCTTTACAGTGTACTTAAGGAGTTGGATTTTTAGAAACTTGCCATATTTAGAAATCTATTGGATTGAACATAGTTTGAAAAGCAAAGTATAAGTTAATTCCTTTACTATATACTTGTACTATTCTTTTCATGGACTTTCTGATGCTTGCTGTTTGTGCACATAGGCTTTGCTTTTTGTATTTATTTATATTGTATGAATCTAAGAATAAAAGAGAGTGTGAACAATTCAGAAGACTACAGATATATCTTGTTAGGTTGCTTTCCAAAAGGTTCCCAGTTGTAGTCATACCAGCAGTGTAACAAGCAGGTTTTTTGTTTAACCACACTCCAATTAGCATGGAGGATCCTTTAAAAATATTTGCTAAACTGATAAATAAAAAATACTATCTTTACTTAAATTTGCATTGGGAAAGTATTAGTGAAGTTGAACATTCTCATATGTTGTAATGTTTTGTTTTGTTTTGTTTTGATACAGTCTGCAGTCTTGCTCTGTTGCCCAGGCTAGAGTGCAGTGGCATAGTCGTAGCTTGCTGCAGCTTCAACCTCCAGGACTCAAGTGGTCCTCACAAGTAGCTGGGACCACAGGAGTGCACCCTTATGCCCCCCTTATTAAAAAATTTTTTTTTCTTTGTAGAGATGGGGTTTTGCTCTGTTGCCCAGGCTGGTCTCAAACTCCTGGACTCAAGCAGTCCTCCTGCCTTGGCCTCCCAAAGTGCTGTGATTACAGGCATGAGCCACTGTGCCAGGCTGTTGTAATGTTTTTATGATTCTTTGAAGCAGAGATATTTATCCTTTGGTAAAAATATTGGAGTCAAACTTGGATAAGTTAGAAATTATAAATTGTTTAAATTTTTGTCTGTTGATCTTTTGCCTTTAGCTTTCTTTCTCAACCTAAAATAGTAGAAATTCTTCATCCTTCCAGACACTAATAGGAGAATTTTAAATTTCCTTGTACATGTTTTTATTTTTGGAAACTACCCTTTTACCAATATAGTGAAACCTTGGCTCTACTAAAATACAAAAAAATTAGCCAGGTGTGATGGCACACACCTGTAATCCCAGCTGCTCGGGAGGCTGAGGCTGGAGAATCGCTTGAACCTGGTAGGTGGAGGTTGCAGTGAGCCAAGGTCATGCCACTGCACTCCAGCCTGGGCACGCAGAGTGAGACTTGTCTGAAAAAAAGAGAAATAAAGAAAGAAACTACCCTTTTAATTCATCAGAGCGTTTTTTGTTTCATAATACAAGGAAGTAAGTCCTCTCTAACCCTCTTTCCGAAAAAGCTGACTAGTATCTCAAAACCACTTAATTTTGTATTACTTTCTTTGGGACTTTGGAAGTTGCATAAGACATACAGGTTAACTTGTAAAGAATATCTTTCCAGAATATGGGTTGCCAAATTTTTACTAGATTCATTTAGGGTATTTTTTGTGAGGATACTGTATTCTTGGGCATTTTGTTCTTTTTAATTCCTTTTATGAGTATACACTCTCTGATTGTCTTTTCTTATTTCGCACCCAGATTTTCTGCAGTAGCTCAGTGGAATATTTTGAGCTTAGTGTAAGATAGACCGTTTGTAAATAAATGTAAAGTATTGCATAGAAGAATTTATTTGTCTTAGACCCTTAAGCAGCCCCTATGCTCCCCCAGTGAAGTTGATTTAGATGTGTAGACAACCTTGAGGAAAGAGAAGGGCTCTTCAGCTGCTCTCCTGTCTCCAAGTTTATCTAAATCTAGGGTTCTGTGAAATGATTTAGTCTTCAGTGTGGATTTTGCTCTGTGGGATAGCCTCTGAGTGTAAATGCTTCCTGTCCTGAGACCTACTGGGTTTAATGCATTTGCTTCACCTTGTTGTGTACACTCACAGGTGGGAATATAAAAGGATTTTCAGTTCAAAGAACCAGATAAACAATTTTCAATTTAAAATGTTTAGTTCTTACATAACTTAGTTTTGTAAAGAGAAATACAAGTACTTTAGTTAATTGTTGAGTACATTGTCTTTTTTTTTTTTTAAACAAACAGGATCAATCACTGTTCTGGGAATGCTTTATCTGAATTTCTGATCCTTTATGCATCCTCAGCATTTAACACATAAAGTAGCCCTGTGTATAACTTTTTGAGGAACTGCCTGTTTTCCATTTTATATTACCATTTTGTATTACCATGAGCGATATTTGTGGGTTCCATTCTCTCCACATTCTTGCCAATGCTTCTAATTGTCTTTTTAATTATAGCCATGCTAGTCAATGTGAAGTGGTATCTCATTGTGGTTTTGATTTTAATTTCTCTAATGGCTAATGATGCTGATAATCGTTTCAGGTGCTTAATTGGTCATTTGTATATCTTCTTTGGAGATCCTTTGCTCATTTCTAAAGTTATTTGGTTTTTAAAAATTGTTGAATTGTGTTTTTTGTATATATTCTGGAGACCAGTGTCTTGTCAAATAGATGATTTTCAGATATTTTCTTCCATTCTGTGGATTGTATTCTCATTTTCTTGATTATTATTTACAGAAGTTTTAAATTTTGATATAGTCCAATTTATGTTTTTTTTTTGTTTCTTTTGCTTTTTGTGTCACAGCATAAGAAATCATTGCCTAACCCAAGTTCATGAAGAATTTACTCCTATGCTTTTTTCCAGGAGTTTCAATGCTTACATTTAAGTAGGGCTTTGATCGACTTTAAGTTAGTTTTCTGTATGGTGTGAGGTAGGAATCCAATTTTATTTTGCCTGTGGATAGTGGATATTCAGTTGTCCTTGTACCATATTTATTGTAAAGACCTTTTTTTCCCCATCATGTGTTTTACAATGTAAATTTAGTTGTGGAAACTTATTTGCAGCTTAAAATTTTTTCCGGTTGTATAGATTACATATTTTTCTTCTTTATGCTACTCTTTATTTTCCAGATATCTGCAGTAAAATTTTGGCAACAAAAATATATATGTATGTATGTGTATGTGTATATGTGCACACCAGAGTGCTAACAGTGATTATTTCTGAGGGATGGGATGGGTTGGGATGGAGGAAGGGAAGGGATTACTTTCATTTATTTTTTAATACTTTGAAATTTTATTATGAGCTTTTTTGGTGTAGTAAAAAATAGAAAAAGTTTTTGTCTCTCTGGATTATGCTAATTTACTTGAATTATTGTGGTGGCCTGTAAACCAGGACCAAAAGTATTTTTAAAAATTTTTGCCTTTTCCCTTCCCTCTCTCCTTTTTCTTTTCTTTTCTTTCCCTTCATTCCTTCCTCTTTTTTTAAGGACAGTATATTCTGAGAATGCTTTCAGTTCGTGGAGGGTTAGTTTCCAAAGTCAGGGTGCTGTTGTAGGAGAGGGACGGAAACTAACAATCAGTTAGTGCCTATTTTTGGTATTATGCTTTTATGTACGTAATAATCCTTCACATTTTTACAGTTAGGCAACAGGAGTACTAGACATAATGATTGACTTCCCGAGGTCACAAGGCTTAGTAATTGGTTAAAACAAGAAGTAGAGTCAGGTTCATATCACTCCAAAGGCTGGGTTTCCTCTGCTTCTTCGTGCTGAGTAGTACATAATAAGCAATTCATTGAATGCTTGAGTACACATGTGCACATTTAGATGGGTGAGTAGTGGCACAGGTGGAGGAAATCTGGTGGAGAAATTGATGTTAGAGAGAAATAATGGAAAATGAGTAACTTCACCTTGAGGGAACTAAAAATTTTGAATTCAGTGAGAGCAAGTATTTAATTATATTTGTCATGGTATTTAAAGCATGTTAGTCATTATATACTTTTTTTTTTTTTTTGGCCTATGAAAGATTTTAAACTTGGTTCCAAAATGTGGTCAAATGCCCTGTGAGGATGAGAAAATAATGTCAATACTATGAGTTCACTTTAATAAAGGCTAAGAGGTAAATAGACATTAGTAAATAGACATTGGTTTCCTGTGATGTCCTAGGTATTGTTTTAGATTATGGGGATAGAGCAGCAATGAAAGACTTCTGGTTTTCCATTTTTCTGCCTTCCTTTTTAATGAATTGGCACTAGTTTCTTCCTTAAAACTCAAGACTTCTTAGCAGATTAGAAATTTGTAATGGTAATAGTCTTGTGTCTGATGCCTTTAGGATTGATTCATAAGCCACTGGGGGTAGTTGAGTGAGAATAGGTTTAATGAATTCTATCACAGGATTCCTGGTTAGAGGTGAAATTTATGTGTGTCCTGTATGTATGTTACTTCATGACTTCTCCTAATATTGTGAACTGTACCTATGTTGATGGGTTACAGTGATGATCCTTTGACTCCAGTTCTTACTGTCAGGTGTGACCCTTGGATCAGGTGAGGAATACTATCTCATCTTTGTCTTGGACTTAATACTTTTAAAGTACTTTGAACCTTAGCCACGTATGTATTCACACAACTAGATGTGCTGTTGATTTACAGAACTGAAAGCCATTACAGGTGGAGTCTCTCTGATGTGAAATGTTTGGGACCAGAGGTGTTTTGGATTTTGGAATCTTTGCATTATACAGTTATCCTTCAGTATTCTTGGATGACTTGTTCCACGAACTTCCGTGGATACCAAATCTGACAGTGCTCAAATCCCTGATATAAGATGGGATAGTATTTGTGTATAACCTATGCACATCCTCCTGTATGCTTTGTCATCTCTAGATTACTTATAACACCTAATACAGTGTAAATGCTATGTAAATAGTTGTTACACTGTATTGCTTAGGGAATAATGAGAAGAAAAAGTCTGTACATATTCAGTACAGACATTGTTTTTTAAATATTTTTGCTGTTTGATTGATTGAATCCATGAATACAGAGGGTCAGCTGTACTTACCAGTTGAACATCCCAAATCTGGAAACCCAAAATGCTTCAATAAACATTACCTTTGAGTGTCATGTTGACACTCAGAAAGTTTCCTATTTTGGGAACTTTTTGGATCTTGGGTTTGGGATGCTGAACTTGTATTTGCATGTGTGGAAAGAGATCAGGAGTCAAGGCAGGAGTCAGGAAATGTGGCTTCTATTCTTGGCTAACTTGATGGTGTAGGGCAGATCACTTCACTAGCCTAAGCTGCAGTTTGCCACTGTTCACTCCTGAGGGTAGCTGGAGAGGCTTGAGAACAAATTTTAACACACTACATAGTGCAGACACCTTTTCATCTGAATTTTTCCTTTGAAGGATGAGTCATTCTTATGAAACAATTTTCTTTTTTTTTTTTTTTTGAGACAGAGTCTCGCTGTGTCGCCCAGACCTGAGTGCAGTGGCGTGATTTTGGCTCACTGCAAGCTCCACCTCCTGGGTTCACGCCATTCTCCTGCCTCAGCCTCCTGAGTAGCTGGGACTACAGGCGCCCGCCACCACGCCTGGCCAATTTTTTGTATTTTTTTTTAGTAGAGACGGGGTTTCACCATGATCTCGATCTCCTGACCTTGTGATCAGCCTGCCTTGGCCTCCCAAAGTGCTGGGATTACAGGCATGAGCTACCGCGCCCGGCGAAACAGTTTTCAAAACAGAAAGATGGAAGTGACATTATCAAATTAAGTGCACACTGAAAACTTTTATGACAATTGTATCGAGGGGGTACATGTATTTTTCAATAGATATTGATTGGCTGCTATAGTAAGGATTTTTGCTGGGCTGCGAGAATCATTTTCTAAGTTTGAGGATGCTAACTAAATCATACGTAAGTTGTATGTGATAAATATGGGGCAGAAATAGGTATGCACTCTAAAAGTAGTAATAGCTTCTGGTTTAAAGAAGTGGGAGATCATAACAAGTTGGAATATCTGGAAATATTTAAGAAAATGCTTTAGCATGAAGTATTATTTTGACTATCATTTCAGAGAATGAGGATGAATAGAGAATAAGTGAGTAGGGTAGAAAGGGACAAGGTAAGAGGGCCAAGAGGCAGAATTAAAATTAAGTCAGGGGAATAAGTGTGAATAGGAGTCTGGAAGAGATAAACAATTTTGGGGGGAAGGATTTGATGCTCTTAGTGCACTTGCTGTTTCTGTGTTATACTGTACTCCAGCTGTGCCCTACACTCACCCCAAAGAACAGCAGAAACATGTGTTCAAGAGAAGTGTTTTAATCTGGAAATAATTAGGGAATTACAATTTTTTTGAGGTTTAGCTGCTGTTTGTGGGATTCAGTTCCCAACCCTGAAAGTAAAAGTAACCATGAACATTTTGTTTTGTTTTTTAATTTATACACATTCCAGGAAATACTATTTTAGTATAAGTTGGTTCATAATGGCAGTTAAATTGCTCTTGTGTTTTGCCACCTTGGACAAAAGTGCTTTTGTCTTTCTGGTTTTCTTCTTTTGGTTTTATTTAATTTTGAACCCTGGGAAGAAGGATATGATGTAAATTTAATAAAATGAGTTTTCCTCCCTTTTTGTTTTTTCCTGAATCTTCATGGAACTTTTTTGGAAACGTGGAACCTAGGTGGGGTGGGTGACGAGAAAGGCCTGAGAAATGCCAGGAAGACATGAGGTTGGATTGGCCTTTGGGCATCCAGTCTACCTAATGTGTTTATGTCATGTATGTTACCGTTGAGGAAGTCAGTGCTGATTATGCCAAATTTCTACTTTTTCTGGATCATTTTACTCCTTAGCATTTGTAGGGGAAGACATTTATTTGAGCAGAAGAGGGTAACGATATGGTCCGTCTCTATATACTACTAAGAAGGATGATTATGGGTATGTGAACATGTGCATGCATATGTAAAATGAAACCTAATCCAAGCCTTGTGGTGAAAATACTCTGACAGGCTTCAGAGAAGTAAGAGTTTTGATCAAGGAAGGTACATCAACCTATATACCCTAGATTTTTTAAAGAATGTATAGATTAGGAATTCTCATTTTAAAATTAAGGTCTTTTTGTGACTTTTACCATGGATTATTATTTTCCCAAATACATGACCCTGTTTGATTAGCATATAGAGTTTTGACCCAGGGAGAGGATGCAGTGCCCAGCTTCTCAGTGGTTAACAGCTGTTCAGCCTAGTGCATATCAGAATTTATGTGGGTGTTGAATGATTTTTTTAAACTAGTGTAGGAACACTTGATACCTTCTCAGTAGTTATGTGCATGTTTCTGTAGTTTCCCAAGCTAATGGGAGAGATCTTCAAAATGATGAAATTTTATTGAAATCAAATAGATACATTAAGAAATGGAAATGCTGAATAGAGCCTAGTTTGCTCTACATGCTCTTTGGCAAATTGTTGGGTCACTGAGACATTTTAAGATAGCAATATAGGCCAGGTGCAGTGGCTCACACCTATAATCCAGCACTTTTGGGAGGCTGAGGCTTGAGCCCAGGAGGTTGAGACCAGCCTGGGCAACATAGCAGGCCCCTGTCGCTACCAAAAAAAAAAAAAAAAAAAAAAAAAAGCCAGGCATGGTGGGGCATGCCTGTAGTCCCAGCTACTTGGGAGGCTCGCTTGAGCCAGTAAAGTCAAGGCTGAAATGAGCCATGATTATGGCTCCGTACTCCAGTCTGGGCAACAGAGTTGAGACTCTGTCTCAAAAAAAAAAAAAAAAAATGTATAGTTGAGGGGAAAAAAATCTGTCACCTTTAAAGTCTTGGTATAATTGAATCTTTTAGAATGTCTGCATCAAACCTGTGGATCCTTGGTTGTATCTCTCGTTAATCTGGGTAAGATGGAGAGATTTCTCATGGACTTGTGTTTGCCAACCTTCCATACTATGTTTTATGTTTTATTGTGAAATATTCAGAGAGACCAGTGCAGTGAACCTTCCCATGTGTGCATTGCCCAACTGTAACAGGCATCTACTCAGAGCTGTTCTTTTTTTTTTTATCTAGACCACCCCTTACTTGGACTATTTTGAAGCCAATTCTGTACAACATATTATTTCATCTGTAAATATTTCAGAATCTATTTCTAAAAGATAGGCTTTTTTTTTTCCCCAAGTTATTTCTCCCTGTGCTTCTTCAAAAAAGATTTGTAGTAGAGGCTGTATAGAGGGCACAAAAGAGTAGAAATTAAGCACAAGTGATACCGACTTCCAGAAGAGACTATCAGGTAGACCCAGACCCATAAGGGGACAGCAACGAGAATTCATTATTGGAAGATGTCATACTCCAACCCCTACTGGTCTCTACAAGATTTCCAGACCCCCCTACACTTTGAATACTAAAAGTACCTCAGGGTTTAGTTCTCAACATCCTCCTCTTTCCTATCTCTATTCTTCCGCCCCATCTTCTGCCCTTTTTTTTTTGGAGACCGAGTCTCACTCTGTTGCCCAGGCTGGAGTGCAGTGGCACCACCTTAGCTCACTGCAGCTTCCGCCTTCCAGATTGAAGTGATTCTCCTGCCTCAGCCTCCTGAGTAGCTGGGCTGACAGGTGCATGCCACCGTGCTCGATTAATTTTTGTATTTTTTTTTTGGTAGAGGTGGGGTTTCGCCATGTTGGCCAGGCTGGTCTTGAACTCCTGACCTCAAGTGATCCACCTGCCTCGGCCTCCCAAAGTGCTGGGATTACAGGCATGAGCCACCACACCTGGCCTCCTCGTCTTTTAAGTAACATTCATATAACAATAGTTCGTAATTTATATTTTCAGGTCAGCTCTATCTCCTTTCTGAAGTTCAGACTTTATCTGATTGTTAGTCTTGTAAATACATTATAAACGTTTAATGTGTTTATTTTTATTTATTTTTTATTTTTTGAGATGGAGTTTTGTTCTTGTTGCCCAGGCTGTAGTGCAGTGGCGCGACCTCAGCTCACTGCAACTTCCACCTCCAGGGTCCAAGCGATTCTCCCACCTCAGCCTCCCCAGTAGCTGGGATTACAGGCACCTGCCACCACGCTCAGCTAGTTTTGTATTTTTAGTAGAGACAAGGTTTCTCAATGTTGGTCAGGCTGGTCTCAAACTCCTGACCTCAGGTGATCCGCCTGCCTCAGCCTCCCAAAGTGCTGGGAGTACAGGCGTGAGCCACCACGCCAGGCCATTTAATGTGTTTGTAATGGGGCTCTTGATTCCTTCTGCTAAAACCCAGCTTATTCCACTGTACCCTTCCATCCCCATCCTTCCTCATGACAGTGTGCAGTAAGTCTAGAAGTCTTCATTCCTGTCTGGTCACTCCCATTCCTAGTCTTCTACAATACTCTCTAAAATATATCTTGGATCTGTTGATTTCACTCATCTCCACAGCCACCATCATCTCTCCTTGAACCAATATAGTAACCTAATAATTGATAATTGATATCCTTGTATTGACATTTTCCTCCAAAATCTGTTATTTTATATTGCAACTGAAGTGGTCATTTAAAAATGTATCATATCATTTCTTTGGTTAAAAAACTCCTTCATGAGTCGCGCCCCTACCCTCCACTTTCAGTTACCTGAAAGGTTTCCTTAAAATTTTTCGAATCAAACTTTTAACAACTATTTTGTAATAAAGATACCTTGTTATTGTCATTGAGCTTTTATAAATCTGGAGGCACTTTACTGAGCTGAAAACTATACAAAAGCACTAGGCTCTTGGGAGTAGAGAATAGGAAGATTGGATAGCAAATTTTCTTTCACTTATGTGGTTGCAAAATTACCTAGTCTATATCCGTATCTCCATGCCTTGACGTGTGCTTTTTCCTGCCTCATAGCTTTTTTCATAGTATGTTGTCATTTTTTCCTTTCTAGTTGGAGTGAAGAATCGTTTACCACCTGTCTTCTGAGAGTTGCTTTAAAGTGCTAATTTCTGGTTATGTTTCATGGTAAAATCATTGCAGCTAAGGTGGTATGATAGAATGAAAAGAACGATGCCCTTGGGTGGGGAAGTCTGGGCGTGTGCTTGGTATCGTTCCCTCAGAACACTCAGTGGTCCTGGTTTCAGTAAGGGTTTGGGATCACATACAACTTGGATTTGAATGTTAATTTTGCCCATTAAAAATTGAGCCGCCTTTGACAAATTACTCCATCCATCTCACACCTGAACCTCAGTTTTTCTTCTGTTAATTGGGGCCCAGCTGGGCTGTTGTGAGGACCTGATGTTAAAAATGTAAAAAGTGGTCACCCTGGTACTTGGCATATAATGGACCCTAAACAAACAGTCTCCATGATTGTGGTTTTGAGCAGGTTATTTTATCTCTTCAGGTTTCCATCTGCTTACTTTTGTTTTTTTCGAGACACGGTCTTGCTGTGTCGCCCAAGCTGGAAGTCCAGTGGTATGATGATGGCTCACTGCAGCCTCGACCTCCCAGGCTCAAGTGATCCTTCTGCCTCAGCCTCCCGAGCAGCTAGGACTATAGGCACATGCCACCATGCCTAGCTAATTCTTGTATTCTTTTCAGAGACAGGGTCTAACTATATTACGTGGTCTCAAACTCCTGGACTCAAGTGGTTCTCCCACCTCGGCCTCCCAAAATGTCGGGATTGCAGGCAAGAGCCACTGAACCTGGCCTCCATGTTCTTTATACGTAAAATTAGAGGGTTTAATTAGGGCAGCAATTCTCTAACATTAATGGTCATCACAATTACCTGGAGTGCTGTTAAAACACAGATTACTGGGCGCAGATTTGATAATTTATGATTCAGTGGGTCTGGAGTGGAGCCCTAGAGTATGGGCTTCTAACAATTTCCCAAATGATGCTGATGGTAACTACACCCTGAGAACTATTCGACTGGAAAATTGGATTATTGAAAGGCCCCTGCCAACACTAGGATTTTACTGTTTCTAACAGTAATGATAATAGGCAGTATTTGAGACTATGTGCCAGGCATTGTGCAAAGCGCATTATATACACTATCTCATTTGGTTCTCATGGTAATTAGTAGGTACTATCTTCCTTTAAAGGGTTGGGTAAATTGTTGAAAGTCACACAGCTAAATAAATGGGAAGGTTGAAACTGCCCTGACCTTTCTCTTGACCAAATGAATTGCTTCCTTTGGTTTCTCAAGTTTTTAGGACTCCTGTATACTCATTTTACTTTTTTTTTTTTGAGATGGAGTTTTGCTGTTTTGGCCCAGGCAGGAGTGCAATGGCACGATCTTGACTCACTGCAACCTCTGCCTTCCAGGTTCAAGTGATTCTCCTACCTCAGCCTCCCGAGTAGTTGGGATTACAGGCACGCGCCGTCATGCCCAGTTAATTTTTGTATTTTTAGTAGAGACAGAGTTTCACCATGTTGTCCAGGATGGTCTCAATCTCTTGAGTTTGTGATCCACCTGCCTCGGCCTCCCAAAGTGCTGGGATTACAGGCATGAGCCGCCGTGCCTAGCCTACTCATTTTACTTTTTACTTACTTGGCTTGGCAAGGGTGGTGGTGGTGGTGTTGCTATCTATGTCTGAGACTGCAAGCTGGGAACTGGTATTCAAAACTTAGTTTGTACTGCATGATTTAGGCCCTTATTATGTGTTTTATTGCTATCTTGCCTATCAGCCCTATCTCCTCAGTCAAATTTATAAGCTTCTTGAGGATGTGGAGCTTGTCTTTTGATTACTGTATAGTGCTCAGCAGAATACTGTTCACATTGCAGTAATTCATGTGATGAAGATGATGGGTTGTCATTGTAATCATTTTGGCAGGTTCACAGTAGGCACTCAGGTTTCAGGCATAGGGTGTACCAGTTATTTTTGAATAATCATGCCATGGCATTCAAGTTTTTTACCAGTTTGCAGCTTTTGCACAATTAAGGTATGACAAATGTAATTTTATTGAGGGAAATGCTTAATCAGTGAGCTGAACTTTAATGTAAATTTGAAATGAAAAGGTCCTGTGTTCTGATTTCAGATTTTCAGAAACTGGATGTTAGATGGACATCATGTTAGCCTTAATACCATGCCTTAAAATGCTACCCATATTTTATTTGTATTCCCATTCACCCATTGATTTGAACAACCATTTTTATTCATTGTAGAAGGGACTTAAATAAATGTAAAAACCAGGCAAAATTTCTTCTCTTTTATAATACATCCTTGATCATAGATAGAATTTTGTCACTTCTCTGATATTTAAAAATAAGACGGGTGGCAGTTTGAGTATCTATAATGAGGTGAAGATCAGCTTGTGCTTGAAAACCAGGACAGAGGGTTTCAAAGTGTAATTGAAAAAGACTGTGGCAGTCTTCTTCATGTGCTGGGAGAATGGGAACATTTGTCAGTTTACTAAGGTTTTGCTTTCCTCTTGTGCTTTATAGAATTTCTTAAAGAAATGTGTTTATTTTACAGTGAGGACTGGTAATTTCATTCCTCTGTACCCCTGTAAGTGGTACAGTGAACCACAGATGTGTTCAAAGTTAGCTGTTGATATGTGATGAGGGAGGGGAAAGAGGAGGGACAAACTGGGATGTTATTTTCTATCTTCTATGTCTAGATTTCCTTGGCTGGAGATGTATTTAGCTGTGCAGCAGTGACTGCTGTTCTGTAGAGTTCTAAGGCAGCATTACAGGGAGAAGCCGTCTTGAACTGACTCTCTAGGTTTGTTGCTATTGTAGTGTTCGGTTAAAAAATTCAAGCCCTTGGGAAGGAATGTGGTGGGGTTAATCAAGGTTTCTTGTTTTTGTTTTCGTTCTATCCTTTCCTGAACTGTTTGTATGTATGAAACAGCCTTTTACAATTCCAAAGCAGGTCCTTTTATCTGTGCTCCAAAATGCCCACTGTGACCCCCACGTGTTAACATGAAGGCTCAAGTTTGTTGACTTCTGAAAGTGTTGTTTCTTTAAAAGACTTTTATTTAAATCCTCTACTTTAAACTTTATTGCTGTAAATTGGTGATTCTCAACTTGGGCTGCACATTCAGATCACGTGGGAAACACTTAAAGGGAAAATCCCAGGACCCACCCCCGATTAAATTTTGATTTAATTTATCTGGTGTGGGTCTCCAGCATTCATGTTTTAAAAGCCTCCCTAGTTGATTCCTTTTTTTTTTTTTTTTTTTTTGGAGACAGGATCTCATTCTTTTGCCCAGGCATGAGTTCAGTGGCACCATCTCAGCTCACTGCACCCTCTACCTTTCTGGGCACAAGTGATTCTCCCGTCTCAGCCTCCTGAGCATCTGGGACTACAGGCACATGCCACCATACCTGGCTAATTTTTGTATTTTTAGTAGAGATGGGATTTCACCATGTTGCCCGGGCTGGTCTTGATGTCCTGGGCTCAAATGATCTGCCTGTGTCGGCCTCCCAAAGTGCTAGAATTACAGGTGTGAGCCACTGTGCCCAGCCCTCCCTAGATGATTCTAATGTATGGTCACTATTAAGGAGTACTGCCCTAAGTTCTGTTTTTGGAGAGTCCTATAAATTTCTTAGTAGAAAACAGGTCCACCCCCACCCCTACCCTCTCCCACAAGGGAGAGTTGAGACTGTCCAATCTGAATCTTATTCAAAAGCACAGAAATATAATCTTACAATTTTGCAAATACTTAGAGTAGGCTTTGAATTATTTTTAAAGTGATCTCCAATCTTCCCTTTAACAGACTTTGCTTGCTAAATATATTTTGTCTGTGTTTTAAAAACACTCCACACTCTGACTGATTTATCAGATTCCTGATACCAGTACCACAAGGACCCAAGGACCTCTAGCTGTGTTTGGTGAGGCAGGTCTTTGTCAATTTAAGTAATCCTGTCAGATGGTGTAGCCAATCTTGTAACTCACGACAAAGCACTGTTGCTGAGATACTGTGATTTATTTTCCTTAATGAGCAGTTTTTTTATATATATACGTTCCATTTTCAGACAGGTGGTGCTTTGAGTTGAATTTGCAAGTTCAGTGAAACATGGATCTCTTTTTTATTTAACTCCCTTTTCTTCTCCTAAGGTGCTTAATTTCCATGCTTGACATCGTACCAGTATTTGCCAGCCAAAATAAATGCCAATATTGTGATTCTGTAGGGAAAGAAGCAGGTCATTTATTAATTCAACTAGAACATACTGCACTGTTCCTTTGTTCAAGGACCTGAATAGGACAAACATGGCCCTTGCTTTCATGGTGGTCAGGTACATTCTCTGAGGGGATGCAGAGATGAATAGATTTTTTTTTCTTTTCATCTCTACATTCTATTCCATTGGCAAATCTTGGCTCCACCTTCAGATTACATTCTGAAAATAAATAACATTCCTCATTTGACTGCTACCATCACCCTAGTCTAAGCTATTATCATCCTTTGCCTGGACAACCTTCGCAGCCTCCCAGTTGGCCTCCTTGCTTCTGAAGTTACTGGTCATTTATAGTGTGTCGATAACACATCCGTGTCCCTCCTCAAAGTTCTTCAAAGGCTTCCTGTCACACGTAGACTAAAATTCAAACTCCATATCGTGAGCTGCAGGCTCTAGAGGATCCAAGTTCTGTCTGCTTTTATTTACCTCATTGGTGTTGTCTTTATCACCTCTCTTTTGGCTCTCTGTGCTCCAGCCATGCTGTTTGCCTTGCTCAACAAGCTAAGTATATTCCCGCCTATTTTCGATTCCTTCTGCCTGGAAAGCTTTAATCCAGATCTCCTGTCAGCTTGGCTCTGTTCTTCACCCTGTTCAGGTCTCTACTACTGTTAAAAGAGGTGTTATTGACTGTCAACTGTACAAGGACAACTTCACTCTCTGTCCTCTTACTGTGTTTTTTTTCTTTATAACACTTGTCACAGTGACATTTCTTATGCACATATATATGCATACACACACTTTTTTTTGGCTTTTTAATTCTCTTCTTACCTCTGGAATGTGAATTTCCTCCTGTTAGGGGCTTTGCCTTGTTCACTGCTGTAACAAAGGTACCTTGAAACATATGAGGCATCCAAAAAATGCTTGAATCGAGTGAATAAAATTGTAACTGACAAGTATGGTAAGGCACAAGGTTCTGTGAGAGGGCCTATCATTGAACTCTCCTTTGGTCTCTGCCAGTGTGGCTAGAGCCACAGAGAAAGCAGAGGCTTTGAGTCTATTTACTAGAGATAGTGATGATATAGTGGGGGCCAAGATCAAGCAGAATCTTTTGTGGGACATGTTAAGAATTAGGGAAGCGACCAGGCACAGTGGTTCACGCTTGTAACCCCAGCACTTTGGAAAGCCCAGGCAGGAGCATCACTTGAGCCCAGGAGTTTGAGATCCACCTGGGCAATATAGCGAGACTTTGTTTGTACCAAAAAAAAAAATTAGGGAAGGGGTGTTTGGGTATCTTCGTAGTTATTGTGATGTTCTATTTTAAATTCATACATACATGAGGGTGAAGTATTAAGTTGCTCTCAAGTCTTATTAGGTGCTGCCACTGGTAACTGGTGTAGGAAATGCTTTATCACATTGAAGAATTTACAGAGAATTGTGTTCTATTCAGTCATCAGCATTTAACTTTTTTTTTTTTTGAGACAGGGTCTGGCTCTGTTGCCCAGGCTGGAGTGCATTGGTGCAATCTCGGCTCACTGCACCCTTGCTGTCCTGGGCTCAAGCAGTCCTCCCACCTCAGCCTCCCAAGTAGCTGGGACTACAGGAGTGTGCCACCACCATGCCTGGTATTTTTTGGTATTTTTTTATAGAGGCAAAATTTTACCATGTTGCCCAGGCTGGTCTCAGACTCTTGTGCTGAAAAGCAATCTGTCCGCCTTGGCCTCCCAAAGTGTTGGGATTGCAGGTGTGAGCCACCACGCCCATAAAACTGTTTAAAACTGTTTCTTTTTTTGTTGTTGCCGGAGCGGGATCTGGTAAAAACCAGAAAACCTGCCAGATTCTAAAGGAGTTGTAACATTGCTTTAAAACTGTTTCTAACTTGATGTTGTTTTGAAGATGATGAATGTAGGTTTTCCAGCTCATTTTTTATTGTTCTTTTTTTCCCTTTCAGTTTGATTTATAAGTGAAATTTAATACCCCCATTATTGGGAAAGGAAGATCCTGAAGAGAACACAGAATTCAATTCCTTTTCAGAAAATTTTGCTGCTTCAAGCTGTGCTTGGGCTTCTTATCCTTACTGTAATTGTGAGGGGTGAAAATAGTCCTTTGAACTTTTTATGAGGAAAGTGGTGGTGTTCTGTAAAGGACATTTATTTAAATATGATTGTTATTGGCTTCCATAATCCCCCATGTCATCTGACCTCGGATTAGACCCAGTCTGCCAGTCTGATGAGAGAGCCAGTTGTAAATTACCTGTTGAATTTCCTGTGGATCCCCTCTGTTGTTCTTTATTAGCTCCATAATCCAGCTGGATGTTACTGGTTACAGTTTGGCTAATGATCATGACCAATTTTTGAAGAAAGGATTCCTTATTGGCGGGCAAATTTTTGTTGAGTGGTACAGCCAGAAACATTTTCACATTATTCTTTCCTACTTTAGGAGCTAAACTTGCGGGCTGTTTATGTATTTGTTTTTAGGGTAATCAAATTTTTTCTTTATAACATTTGTCACAGTGACATTTCTTATGCACACATAAAGAGTAACCAGATATTACACTGTATGTTTTGGAGGAAACTGTTCTGGAAGACCTAGGCCTAAAACTCACTTAATAATGAAGTTGGGGAAATAGATTACAGTTCTTATTAAGAAAAAAAAATTTCATGTTTTAAAGCCCCCCTTTATTTGCCAAAATATTCCAAAATAGTATATCTCCTTGACATATTATCCAGAACCCAATATGCCTTACATGTTTGTCATAAAGATTGAGAAAAGCAGTGTGGTCTAGTGGAAAGATGGAGACTTTTACTTTTTTTTTGAGACGTAGTTACTCTTGTCACCCAGGCTGGAGTGCAATGGCGCGATCTCGACTCACTGCAACCTCCGCCTCCTGGGTTCGAGTGATTCTCCTGTCTCAGCTTCCCGAGTAGCTGGGATTACAGGCGCCCATCACCACGCCCAGCTAATTTTTGTATTTTTAGTAGAGACCAGATTTCACCACGTTGGCCAGGCTGGTCTCGAACTCCTGACCTCAGGTGATCCGCCTGACTCGGCCTCCCAAAGTGCTGGGATTACACTGTGCCCGGCCGACTTTTACTTTTTCAGCAGCTTTATTGAGGTGTGCTGGGATTACACTGTGCCCGGCCGACTTTTACTTTTTCAACAGCTTTATTGAGGTATATTTAAGAATGCAGACTGTTGAGTCAGACCTGAGTTTGAATTCCTACTGGTACTGATAAGCTGTGTGACTTTGTCCAGATTGCTCAGTCTCTAATATGTAATAGTGTTGAAATAACAATATTTGCTTTATTGAGTTCATATAAAGATTAGAAAATGATATATGTCAAGTACCAGGCCCTTCAGGTTTCAATAAGAGGTAACTATTTTTAGTATTACTAATACTAGCCTGTAGTATCTCTTTCTGTCCTTTTGGGGTTTTAAAGCTTGAGAATGGAAATGAAATGGACAACAATGATGGTAGAATCTGTTACTAGTGAACATAATCACACTAATTGATCAAAAGGGTACTCTGACATAAGAGTTGGCTTTGTTTTGTTAATGAGCAAGGAGTCCTTATTCTGCCCATTTTATGTTTCCTTTGAATGTAGCTGTCCTGAATAAAGAGTAACCAGATATTACACTGTATATATGATTTGGTACGGCTGGAGATAGGAGCCATACACCCCTTTGGTCTTGGGAGTGGTACCCCCTATATGGACAGATGTATTTGGGATCTAGACTCTAGATTTAGGGGGAGTGCCTTTATTTGTATGAAAATACAGCCATACCTCAGAGATATCACAGGTTCATTTCCAGATGACCACAGTACTGCAATAAAGTGAATATCACACTAAAGTGAGAGACATGGGCTTTTTCTGTTTCCTATTGCATATAAAAGTTACATTTACACTATACTGTAGTCTGTTAAGTATGCAGTAGGCTTATGTCATAATAAATAGTGGACTACCTTAATTTTAAAATATTTATTGCTAAAAGAAATACCAGCGATCACCTGAGCCTTCATGAAGTGAGTCATAATCTTTTTTGCTGGTGGAAGGTCCTATCTCCATGTTGATGGCTGCTGACTAGCCAGGGTAGTGGCTGCTGAAGGTTAGGGAAGCTGTGGCAATTTCTTTCCCTCCCTCCCTCCCTCCCTCTCTCCCTCCCTCCCTCCCTCTCTCCCTCCCTCCCTCCTCCCTCCCTCCTCCCTCCCTCCTCCCTCCCTCCTCCCTCCCTCCCTACCTCCCCTCCCTTCCCTTCCCTTTCTTTCCTTCCCTTTCTTTCCTTCTAATTCTCGATTTCTAATTCTAGTTATCTTGCTGTTTCTTCCTCATCTGCAGTTACTTTTTCGACCTGTGTCTTGAACCTCTCAGTTATCCATGAGAGTCAGAGTCAACTTAACTTTGCATCTGTTTCAGTTTTATCACGAGATTGCAGTTCAGTCACATCTTCAGGCTCTATTTCTAATTCTGGTTATCTTGCTGTGTTTTTCACATCTGCAGTTACTTTTTCGAGCAATGTCTTGAACCTCTCGATTATCCATGAGAGTCGGAGTCAACTTCTTCCAAACTCCTGTTGGGGTTGATATTTTGAACTCCTCCCATGAATCATGAGTGACTCAATAGAATGGTGAATCCTTTCCAGAATAATTTTCAATTTACTTTGCCCAGATTCATCAGAAGAATCACTATCTATGGCAGCTATAGCCTTACAGAATGTATTTTTTAAATTATAAGGCTTAGAAGTGGAAATTATTGCTTGATCTGTGGGCTGCACAATGGATGTTGTGTTAACAGGCATGATAACAGGATTTATATCCTTGTACATCTCTTTCAGACCTCTCCGGCAATGGTGCATTGTCAGTGAGCAGCAGTATTTTGAAAGGAATCTTTCTGAGCATGAGGTCTCAATGGTGGACTTAAAATATTCAGTAAAACATGCTGTCAACAGATGTTCTGACATCCTGGCTTTGTTGTTTCATTTATAGAGCATAGGCAGAGTAAATGTAGCATAATTTGTTTTTATTTTATTTTATAGAGACGGGGTCTTGCCGTGTTGCCCAGGCTGGTCTCCAACTACTGGGCTCAAGCAGTTCTCCCTCCTTGGCCTCCCAGAGTGCTGGGATTACAGGCATGAGCCACTGCACCTGGCTGATGTAGTGTAATTCTTAAGGGCCTTAGATTTTCAGAATGGTCAAGGAGCATTGGCCTTCACCTTAAAATCACCAGCTGCATTAGCTCCTAACAAGAGAGGCTGTCCTTTGAAGCTTTGAAGTCAAGCATTCTCCTCTCTTTGAAGACAGGATTTCTCCTTTCTACTCTCTAGCCACAAAAGTTTTGGATTGTGTCTTCCAATAGAATGCTGTTTTTTCTACATTGCTGACATGTTGTTTAATGGAGCCATCTTCATCGATGATCTTAGCTAGATCTTCTGGATAACTTGCCACAGCTTCTCCATCAGCACTTGTTGCTTCACCTTGCACTTTTAGGTTATTGGAGATGGCTTATTTCCTTAAACTTCGTAAAGCAGCCTCCGTCATCTTCAGACTTTGCTTCTGCAGCTTCCTCACCTCTCTCAGTCTTCATGGAATTGAAGAGGATTAGGGTCTTGTTCTGGATTAGGCTTTCAGTTTAATGGAATGTTGTGGCTGGTTTGATCTATACAGACCACTAAAACTTTGTCCATATCAGCAATAAAGCTGCTTCTCTTGCTTACGATTTGTGTGTTCACTGGAGTAGCACTTTTTAAATTTTCTCCAAGAACTTTTGCATTTACAAGTTTGCTAACTGGTACAAGAGGCCTTACTTTCAGCCTATGTTGGCTTTCAACATACCTTTCTCAGAAGCTTAATCACTTCTAGCTTTTAAAAAATATATATTCTTTTTCTTTTTTGAGATGGAGTCTCGCTCTGCCGCCCAGGCTGGAGTGTGGTGGCACGATCTTGGCTCACTGCAACCTCTGCCTCCCGGGCTCAAGTGATTCTCCTGCCTCAGCCTCCTGAGTAGCTGGGACTACAAGTGCGCAATGCCACACCCACATAATTTTTGTATTTTTAGTAGAGAGGGGGTTTCGCCATGTTGGCCAGGCTGGTCTCAAACTCTTGACCTCAGGTGATCCGCCTGCCGCCGCCTCCCAAAGTGTTGGGATTACAGGCATGAGCCACTGCGCCCCGTCTCTAAAAAAAATTCTTTTCTTTCAGCTATTTTACCAGAAAACATCCGCAAGTGTCTATTTCTAGCTTTTGATTTAAAGCGAGAGCTGTAGACTCTTCCACTTGAACACTTAAAGGCCATTGAGGAGTTACTAATTGGCCTAATTTCAATATTGTTGTGTTTCAGGGAATAGGGAAACAAGAGGAGAGGGAGAGAGACAGGGGAATGGCCATTCAGTGGAGTAGTGAGAACACACATTTTTATCAGTTAAGTTTTCCATCTTTTATGGGTGCGGTTCGTGGTACCTCCAGAAATTACAATGGCAGTGTCAGAGATCACTGATCACAGATCATCATAACAGATAATGAAAACATTTGAAATATTGTGAGAATTACCCAAATGTGTCACATGGACATGAAGTGAGTGCACGCTGTTGGAAGAATGACGCTAATAGACTTGCTTGATGCAGGGTTGCCATAAACATTGAATTTGTTTTTTTTTAAAACAGCATCTGCAAAGTGCAGTAAAGTGAAGCTTTACTTGCTTGATGAGGTTAGATTACTTCAGTTTCTAACCCACTTTTGTAGTCGATAGGAGATCACCCCCATTATTTCTCAGCCAGTTAATCTCGTGGTACTTTTGTTAGGAATATGATTAAAAGTGTTTCATATTTCCAGTATGAATACTTGTTTAAGTATTTATGGCTGAATGCATCTTTATCTTTATGATAGCAGCCTAAATATGCTTGTGTCCTACCCATAGATCTGTTCCTAAGTGTGGTATGCTTTGTGGCTGTGTTAGTGGCTAGAAAACAGATGGGGACATCCCGAAGGCAGCAGGCTAGTCTCCTCAAACTGTAGACATTTTTTTCTGATAGAGGGGCTTGAAGCCTTTAAGAGAGTCAAAGGAACTTCTGTGTTTCCAGAATCAGTTACTGATTTGTTGAGAATTGGGGCTTTATTTTTTTAGACTGTAGTTGCTAGCACCTGTATGTCACCTTTAGGAACCTTGACAGATGGTCCCCAACTTACTATAGTTCAAATTATGGTTTTTCAACTTTATTATCGTGTGAAAACTGGAAACTGTACTTTGAGTACCCACAGCCGTTGTTTTCACTTTCAGTACAGTCTTCAGTAAATGAGTTATTCATGCTTTGTTATAAAATAGGCTTTGTGTTAGATGATTTTGCCCAACTGTAGGATAATGTATGTGTTCTGAGCACGTTAAGGTAGGCCCAGCTAAGCTTTGATGTTCAGTAGGTTAGGTGCGTTAAATGCATTTTCATCTTATGATATTTTCAAATTATGATGGGTTTATTGGGACAAAACCCCCATTGTAAGTTGAGGAGAATCTGTACACCATAGTTTATTCATTCAACAAATAATTACTAAGTGCTTTTTAAGGCCAGAAACCTCAGTTGCTGCATTTATTTTCTAGTGGGGTGGGGGGGTCAATAAAATAACAAAGTAGAATATATATTTGGTTGCAGCAAATGCTATGCAGAAAAAAATAAAGCAGGTAAGAGGGATAAGGAGTACAGGGGAAAACAATGCAGTGATAAATAGGGTCATCAGGGAAAAAGGCCTAACTATGAAAGTGATATTTGTGTCAGGATGTGAAGTCAGCTGTGTGAGCATTTGTGGAAGATATTTTGGACAAAAAGAACAGCCAGTGCCAAAACTTTAAGGACAGAGACTGCCTGAAGTAATCCGGCAAGCAAACCAGTGTAGCTTCAACAGCAAGTGGTGAAGAGGACACAGGAGGTGAAGTCATAGACAGAAAAGGGAACTGAGGTAGGTGGAGACAGGTTGTGTGGAACCTAGTAGGCCTGTTGTGAGGATTGTAGCTCTTGCTCTAAGGTAGAATGCCAGTTCCTGCTTTGAGTAGAGGAGTGACATGATCTGATTAGTTTGTGGACAGAAGCAAAAAAAAAAAAAAGAGTTAGGGGGCTACTATAATAACCTAGTGAGAGAATGGTGTCTTGGGTTCCAGTGGTGGTGGTAAAGTGTGAGAATTAAGGTTCAATTCTGGATATATTTTGAAGTTAGAGCAGGTAGGATTTGCTGATGGGCTGGATGTATGGGTTATAAAAGAGGAAGGAATTTTTGGTCTGAGCAAGTGGATGGAAGGTATTGCTCTTTACTGAGATGGGAAGACTGGGAAAACTAGGTGGGAGCAGGGGAGAAGATCGGAGTTCAGTTTATGTTACTGTGATAAAGATAATGAGATGCTGAAACATTCTCTCTTTGAATCTAGCTGTATTTTTTGGTATTGCATATTGTAAAATTTCGTGGTAAGTACATGTTTTACATTTGTCAAAATTCAAAACAAAGCGAACCTTGATGTAAATGGACTTTGGTTAATAAGAATATGCAAGTATTGGCTCATTAAGTATAATAAATGTGCAAAGGAAATGGAAGGGAGGGTATATGGGTACTCTGCTGTCTACTCAGTTCATTAAACCTCAAATTACTTTAAAATATAGTCTATTAATTTAAAAAATTAATCATGTTAACTTACACTATCATGTTTTCTTTGATTGTTGAGGTCATTTCTGGGGGTCTGTCTTTTATTTAGTGACAGCATGTTGACTTGCCCCTCGCTCCCACTTGTTTCTGACATAATTTCATACCAAGCATATATCCACAGTAGACCTCCTTTCTTTCATGGAAATGCACAGCTTATATAAATATATTGTAGAAAATTGCTGCTTTTACTTAGACTAAAAGACACAAGAGTCCCCTGTAACAAACAGCTTGAAGTTATTTCATTTCACTGAGGTTTGTACAGGGTTCCTGAAACTGTCCTGTTTCAGGAGCTGCCAGATAACCTGATCCTAGAGTGAAACTCACTTTGGCATTCAGATTTTGTCTATGTTGATATACCTCAACAGTTTAAGATTCTTTTTTAACTTACATGGCTCCATGAAAGAGGGATGTGATGTTTCAGTGTTCAGTTTTGGTAGCTATTAATTATCCCTTGTAGCCTTCCACTTAGAAGTGATACTTTCAGATTGAACATTGTTTCTTAAGTTTTTTCCTTTCCACCCCTCTCTCTTCTTCTTCAGAAATAAAGCTCTGCATGTGTGTTGGTGTGTTTTAAGTATAATTTTTAATCTGTTTGTGGAACCACAGAAATGGATCCAAGAGGTAGGTAAGGTCTTAAATTGAATTTGATGTTAAATAAGCTGGCCTTTGACCCATAGGCAATGAGTGAGGAGCACCGTTGGGTGTAAGACTAGAAGCAGAAATACTAGGCATTTTAGAGGCCAGGTGAAGGGTGAATAAGGACATTTAGGTCAATTGAAATAAAAAGAAAAAGACAGATGTGAAATGTAGAAGGACTTAATTATGGTAGGAACTTAGTGATTTGGAGCCTGGCAGCCTGAGCAGGAAGGTGAAAACATTGACAGTAGGCAAGTTTAGAGGAAGAGCTAGTTTTAGATGAAAGATTGGAATTTGTACAAGTTGAATTTTAGATGAAGTGTAGTGGTTAAAATTCAGGACTCTGGGCCGGGTGTGGTGGCTCACGCCTGTATCCCCAGCGCTTTGGGAGGCCGAGGTGGGCAGCTCTCTTGAGGTCAGGAGTTTGAGAGCAGCCTGGCCAACATGGTGAAACCTCGTCTTTACTAAAAATACAAAAATTAGCTGGACGTGGTGGCGTGCACCTGTAATTCCAGCTACCCGGGAGGCTGAGGTACGAGATCAGTTGAACCTGGGAAGCGGAGGTTGCAGTGAACCAAGATTGCGCCTGGGCAACTGAGCGAGACTCCCCATCTCAAAAAAAAAAAAAGAAAAAGAAAATTGAGGACTCTGGAGCCAGATTACCCGTATACAGATGTAGATTTTACCTGTGCTTGCTTCTCTGACAAATGACCTAACCCCTTGACAAATGACCTCTTTTTCTCCATCTGTAGTATGGGGATAGTAGGCACCGTTTCATAGAGTTGTTATAATGATGAAATGATGAAAAGTCATGTAATGTTGTAGCACAATGCCCGGAACAAAGGAAGCATTCAGCAAAAGCTGCTATGTATAGGATCCAGCTGGAGAAAGCAAATTCAGTAGAAAATATTAAGGCTGGTGATACACATTTGTTAGTCATAAAATATTGGAGCTACGTGGGATCTTTTACCACAATTTTTGTTTACCCCTGTTATTTTATCCATGAAGTGTAGAAGAGGTCATTAAACCTTGAGAAATGGATAAGGCCCATGAGAAAGAATGTAGAATAGAAAATTTGGACTAGCAACTTAATCTAGGATTATTCTTAAATTTAGTGTAGGGCAATGGTTTTCCACCTCTGATAGAGGGAAGCAGTGCACTGACTATTGGTTGTTTATCCGTCGGCTTTTCTACTCTTCCTTGCCTCCCTCCCCCATTAATGGAATCTCCAATATTGTTTAAGTATCCTGTAATTGTGTAATTCAAAGGATGCTAGGCCTCTCTCTGGCTTCAGCAAGGAAAGTTCATCAAAATGTGGTCTCTAGACCATCAAAGTGTAGTCTTTGGACCATCACCTAGAAATCTGCTAGAAATGTAAATTCTGGGACCCCATTTCAGATGTCCTGAGTCGGAAACTCTGGGGGTGGGGCCCACCAATCAGCGTTTAGCAAGCCCTGCATGCTTAAAGTTTGATCTCTAGTGTAGGGCTTCCAACTGAGATAACTTTAGAAGATAAAGCATCTAATGTAAATGAACCAAGCTTTCAGATTAGGGATGATTTTGAACTGTGTATCATGTGCCACATCTGAAGGGATTGGCTACTGTTTAGCTAATAGTCATTAAGAGGCTTGCAGACCCAGTGCTGGCAGATCTTGTGTTTGTGTGCAATAGATTTTAAAATGCTGGCAACTTACTGAATTTTTTTTGACACACTTGTGAAGGCCAAAGAAAACCCAACTACAAGCAAATAAAACTAACGTCGGGAACATGACCCTCAGTTAGTGCTCTTTTATCTAAGAGTTTAAAAACATTGTGTGTAAAGCTTGCTTCATATCACAGATTATTACCTTAGGTTAAATTTCTAGATGTGGACTTTTTCTGGGGTGGGGGTAGTGGGGAGTGGTCATGGGATAATGACAGTTTTAAGGCTTTTGAGAAATGTTATGTTCTCCAGAATGAAACTGCTGTTTTGTCAGCAGTGTTCTGAAGCCTAACAGATAGTAGTTTTTAAAGAATTTCCAATTTAATAAACAAAAAAGACATTCTTGGATTATTTTATTTGGTTGATTTAGTAGTGTATTTCTTTTGTATTTATTTGTCACTTTTTTATATAAAGAAATCTGTAAATCTTTGTGTCTTTTTGAGTTATTTGAAAGGGTTTTTTTGCATTTTAAAAGCATAATTAAAATGCAAATTGTTTTCCCTAGCTTTTTATTTATTTATGTTTTAATTTTTATGGTTTTTGAATGATAGAAGTTTTAAATTTCTTTAGTCAGATCCATCAGTCTTTGTAAAATACCGTTTTAAAAGCCTGGGCTTTTCATTGGAATTAGATAGACTCTCTGAAAATCTTTGGCTGCTTTGCGAGGCATGCACATGGTTACTGCTGTGAACTATTCATGAATAGGATATCCCCTTCTCCACCTGCCACTGCCACCATCACTAATATCTATTTAACAGACCTTTATTGAATGCTTACTGCATACATAAAAGGAAACTATTAAAATGGTGTGGATACATCAGTGAATAAAACAAAGACGAATTCCTACTCTCTTGGAATTTACGTTACTGGAAGGAGAGTCCATACACAAATTTGTGAGATAGTTTCTTCACCCATAAGTCTGGCAGCTTTTAAGGAATGGCTAGAAAGCTTTGCTTGGCTGGGTTGCTTCGTCAAGTACTGTGTGCACATGGCTGTTCAGCATGGAATTCTCAGGGTTATAATATCTCTTAACATGAAGTCTCTGTGCTCAGTTGAAGCTGCATACCCATTTATAACCTGTCCTGGAAAGTCATCTAGTACCACATCCACCATATTCTGTTGACCAAAGTGGTCACAAGCTCCCTCAGATTTGAGGGGGAATTGACAGAAATCTGCCTCTCATTGGGAGAAGTGTCAAAGAATTTGTAACCCTTTTTAAAAACATTCCCTCATAAAAATTTTTTTCTTCACTTGTAATAAATGTAACTTTATACTTTCTAAAAATGTAATTTTCAAACATTACTTCAGTATTACTGTTGATTACTGAGATTATTTTGCCATTTAAAATATATTTTCAAACACTCTTTTGGAAGCTACAGATTTATAGATTTTTGTTGTACATTTAAAATAATTCCCTGCCAACAAGCTGTGAAAGGGAAAAGTAATGCAACTTTTATTCACTGATGGAAAAGTTCTTGAGCTGTATTGGAAAACTGATAAGAAATTGGAGGACTCTAAATGAGTTTTTAGAGTTAAGGTTAAAGATTGCATTGCACTTAAAAGTAAAGGGAACCTCTGGAAGAGGCTGGACAGAAGAGTCACAAGGTTGATAATGAATTGACTTATTATTCCTTCCTGATCTACTTTTAATATTTTGTGTCTTGATAGAAAACATTATTATAGTTTAATAATGTTTTGTTGTTGTTGGTTTTTGTTTTTTGAGACGGAGTCGCGCTCTGTTGCCCAGGCTGGAGTGCATTGGTGCCATCTCGGCTCACTGCAAGCTCCGTGTCCCGAGTTCACACCATTCTCCTGCCTCAGCATGCCTAGTAGATGGGAGTACAGGCACGCACCACCACGCCCGGCTAATTTTTTGTGTTTTTAGTAGAGACGGGGTTTCACCGTGTTAGCCAGGATGGTCTTGATCCTCTGACCTCGTGATCCGCCTGCCTTGGCCTCCCAAAGTGCTGGGATTACAGGCGTGAGCCACTGCGCCCCGCAGTAATGGTTTTTTTTGACTGTATGTCTGTTTCCTTTGAGGACTTTACGTGCTGAGCTATTTCTAATAAAATCTAAATAACTAACTTTAATTTTTGTGAAGTATAAAATCCTATCTCAGTTTGAAGTTGGGTCTAGTTTTCACTCTGTCGTAAGTTTTTCAGGTCAGTTGACTTATTTATAAGAGGCTTGGTTCCGGGGATTCTTCTCGTCTATGATTCTATAGTTAGTAACATGAGTTATAAAACCAATCAGAAAATGTGCCATAAATGGAAACGTTTCCACCGTAGTTTCCAACTCTGAATGCTCCTTATCCTCTGCTTTGTCACATTGGTAACTACTGTGGTGATAACTTACTGTCCAGCAGTTATGTGGCATTTGCCTGATGTCTGTATGCAGCTTAAGCATTTTGTGGTTACCCTCTGTGATGAGCCTAGAGATCTCTGGGGTAAATGTTAAAAGCGGTCTGGGTATGTTTTTTAAATGCCTTAGTATTTCTGCCTGATTGCAAAGATTTATCGGTTGGCTTTCCTAAAGTTGTTGGATTGTTTAAGCATACTTTTTGAGTAGAGTCAAAGTATCCTATAAATAAACTGTTTTTCATTCATAATGTCATAGTAAAGCCTTGTTTTTAATTTAGTTTGAAATCACATATAGTTCACTGAAAACCCGTATATGCATCATGTAATACATATCTAAAGTTATCTTCGTTCCTTGAATGTATACTTTCCTTGGGATTTCTGTTTAGCTTTCAGGAGCAGTACAGTGGGGGTGGGGACGGGGGTAATATAGAACTGTTGACACTCGATAGCTTTATACTATTTTCTCATCTGTAGTAAGGAGACAGAAAATCTGCACTTTCTTTTTGCTCTTTAAAAATTCTTGCTTTACAGGCTGGACACGGTGGCTCACGTCTGTAGTCCCAGTACTATGGGAGGCTGAGATGGGTGGATCACCTGAGGTCAGCAGTGTGAGACCAGCCTGGCCAACATGGCAAAATCCCATCTCTACTAAAAATAAAAAAATTAGCTGGGTGTGGTGGCAGGCGCGTGTAATCCCAGCTACACGGGAGGCTGAGGCAGGAGAATCGCTTGAACTCAGGAGGTGGAGGTTGCAGTGAGCCAAGATTGTGCATTGCACTCCTGCCTGCATGACAAGAGCGAAACTCCATCTCAAAATAAATAAATAAATAAAACTTGGGTTTACAAAAATACCTGTTTGCCAAAGAAAAAATGAAAAAAATTCGTGGACTTTAGTACAAAATTTCAGTGAAATGGACCTAAATCTGGACAGATCTTTAGAGAGTGTCTAAATCAAAAGGAGAAACTGTTAAAAAGAAAAATTGTTCTAAACCTCATCTAAACAGAATCCGTGTGATATAATTCATAACCTCCTTCTGAGAAGAAATGAACATTTCTGTTATACACTTGTCTGATAAACCTTAATGGGATTAAGGCTTCTGCTGGGGAACTAGTTACCTCCCCACTCAGATGACTGTCATAGTCTAATAACTTTAAACAAGATATTGTCATTTTTTAAAAATCTAGTTTACGAATTAGCCATTGCCATTTCCTAATATAGCTCTATCAAGAGTGTATATGTCTTTAAATTAGTATATCAGAGACCTTCTTTCTTGCTTGAAAGATTGTAATAAAATACTGACATGTGGTCTTAACTAAACTGGGAAAAATATTGTAAGCTGTTATCAGCAATGTAGAAGTCCTAGGGAGAATTTGATAGTAGTCTAAGAACATTAGAATAAAGTTTTTCTAGTTTTAGTTCTGCATGTTAGGGAATCTTTATCCTTCTTCCTCTTCAGATATTTAAGATTATTTTGATACTTAAGCAGCCTGATTCAGTTAGATGTTTTAGTTTTTTTGTTTTTGTTTTTGTTTGAGAGGGAGTCTCGCTGTTGCCCAGGCTGGAGTGCAATGGCGCGATCTTGGCTCACTGCAACCTCCGCCTCCTGGGTTCAAGCGATTCTCCTGCCTCAGCCTCCCGAGTAGCTGGGACAACAGGCGCCTGCCACCATGCCCAGCTAATTTTTGTATTTTTAGTAGAGACGGGGTTTCACCGTATTGGCCACGCTGGTCTAGAACTCGTGACCTTGTGATCTGCCCTACTCGGCCTCCCACTGTGCTGGGATTACAGGCGTGAGCCAACATGCCTGGCCCTGAGCATCTTTTTCTTATCAGTTTGCTTTAACGGTTTGACAGTCTGACTTGGCTTATGACTCTGGGCAAATCATTTAATCCTTTGGGCCCCATTTTGGGCTCATTTTACTCATTTAAAAATTGAGATGCTTAGAGATAGATAATCTCTAATGTTTCTTTTGGTTTTAAGGTTTTTGGCACTTTCTGAGTGGGTGATTTAGATTTAGATTTGGCCTCATGGCTTAATCAAGATCTTACAAAGTCTATGTGAATGTTATTGACTAAGGAATTTTCTTGAAACATCTGAAATGAATTGAGCCTTTCAGGTGTCTACCTATAAGGACTGTACCCCCTCCCATGTAGGTTACATCTGTACATACAGGGTAGACTTCATGCAGATGATCATAAATTCATTAACATTTTATAAAGAAAGTGCCTCGTAGGTTTTTTTGTTTTTTTTTTAGTCCAACTCATGAGTTTTTTGGATGAGAGAACTGAGGAGTATCTTGAATGACTTTCTTTGAGCATGATCTACCGTGCGATAAACAGTTTGCCCCACTTATACCTACAGGTAAATTTGAGAGACACAAAGGCTTGCATATGCCTAACTTTAACAAAAATTACTTTCCCCACATACTCTGCATGCTGCATACTCTTAGTTTTCTGTTGTATTCTTTTCCATTATTTTTTAAATGCTGGGTCATGGCTTAAACTTCTCCCTTGCCATTCATTTGATTGTTAACAGACCATAACAGCTATTTGGTGGCTTAGCCAAAGAACCTGCAAACACGTGGGGCCATGATGGGGCTAAAAGGCAAGATTGACCTTGGAAAGCTAAGATTTTATTCTTATCAGTGGTTCATATACAGCAAGGTTTCTTAGTGTCAGCTCTACTGACATTTTCTTGTAGGAAACTGTCCTGTGTTGTAGTATGGTTAGCGGCATCTCTGGCCTCTACCAAGTACCATCCCCCCACCCCCAGTTGTGACAACAAAAAATGTCTTCAGGCATTGCTAGTTTCTTTGTATTCTTTGTAGTCTTCTTCCCACTTAAATTGATGTCTAAAATTATCTGTCCCGGCCGGGCCTGGTGGCTCACGCCTGTAATCCCAACACTTTGGGAGGCCAAGGTGGGCGGGTCACCTGAGGTCGGGAGTTCAAGACCACCCTGACCAACATGGAGAAACCCTGTCTCTACCAAAAATACAAAATTAGCCCGGCGTGATGGCGCATGCCTGTAATCCCACCTACTCGAGAGGCTAAGGCAGGAGAATCACTTGAACTTGGGAGGCGGAGGTTGTAGTGAGCCAAGATTGTGCCATTGCACTCCAGCCTGGGCAACAAGAGTGACACTCCATCTCAAAAAAAAAAAAAATTTATCTGCCCAGTTTTTTGTTTTGTTTTGTTTTGTTTTTTGGAGACAATGTCTCACTCTCACCCAGGATGGAATGCAGTAGTGTGATCTTGGCTCACTACAACCTCTGCCTCCCAGGTTCAAGCGATTCTCCCACCTCAGCCTCCTGAGTAGCTGATACTACAGGCACACACCACCATGTCCGGCTAATTTTTGTATTTTTAGTAGAGATGGGGTTTCACCATGTTGGCCACGCCGGTCTCGAATTCCTGACCTCAGGTGATCCGCTCGCCTCAGCCTCCCAAAGGGCTGAGATTACAAGCGTGAGCCACCACTCCCGGTCTGGATTCTTTTTTTTTTTTTTTTTTTTTTTTTTGAGACAGAGTTTCACTCTTTTCACCCAGGCTGGAGTGCAATGACTTGATCTTGGCTCACTGCAACCTTCACCTCCTGGGTTCAAGCGATTTTCTTACCTCAGCCTCCTGAGTAGCTAGGACTACAGGTGCACCCCATCATGCCTGGCTAATTTTTTTATTTTTTAGTAGAGATGGGGTTTCACCATGTTGGTCAGGCTGGTCTTGAACTCCTGACCTCAGGCAATCCACCCACCTTGGGCTCCCAAAGCCCTGGGATTATAGGTGTGAGCCACCGTGCCTGTCTTCATTCTTAATGATTATATAACACTCCCTATAGAGGTGTACAATAATATACTCAGCCATTCTCCTTTGGGAAATACAGTTGCTTTCAGTTACCTTGATAGTAAACATTATTGTATTGGTGCTCTCGTTTCTGTGGGATCGAATCTTGAAAAGTGGATCAGAGAGCATGAGAATTTTTAATGAATTTTCCAAAAAATAAACTTTTCTGGTTTCTGCTTTTCTTCTGTTCTTTAAGAATGCCTCCCAATGCAGTGATTATGCTAAAGTCTTTAACACACTTTAGATTTATTTTTGTGTGTAGTGTAAGATAGGAATTCCCTCTCCTTTCTTCCCAAATGTGTAGTTGGTTATATCAATATCAACAATTAAATACAATGTTCTTTCTTCTGAGAATTGAGATGTCATCTTTGCATATTACGTTGCCATGTATACTTGGATGTATATGTTGTATTTTGTGGTCTGCTGATCTCTTTGTCTAGTCTAGTTCAAATACCATCCGTATCTATTGATTATACTTGTTGTATAATGGCAATTTTAATAATTGGTTGGGCAGAGTCTTCCTTAATATTCTCTTTCGGTTGGGCACGGTGGATCATGCCTGTAATCCCAGCACTTTGGGAGGTGGAGGCAGGGGGATCATCTGAGGTCAGGAGTTTGAGACCAGCCTGGCCAACATGGTGAAACCCTATCTCTACTAAAAATACAAAAAATTAGCTGGGCTTGGCAGCACATGCCTGTAGTCCTAGCTACCTGCGAGGCTGAGGCAGGAGAATGGCTTGCCCGGGAGGCGGAGGTTGCAGTAAGCCGAGATCACGCCATCGCACTCCAGCCTGGACGACAGAGCGAAACTCCATCTTTAAAAATTATCTTTCAGTGTTTTCTTGGCAATGTTTGAACACTCATTCACATGAACTCAAATTATTGTGTCAAATTTATCATCACATATTCTATGCCCTTCTTTAAAACCGCTTAAGAAATGCATCAGACGTAAAATAACTGCTCCAACTTAATAATTTAAGGGAAAAAAACTACAATTATGATAGGTAGTTATCACAACCAGGAATATGACATGTTCTTGTTATTTGTTTCACTATAGTTTTAATTATTTTTATGTTCTCTTTAGTTATGCATTGAGTGCCTGATACCTAGTGACACTGCTGTTTTTGTAATACTATTTCTACCTATTACTACTGCTTTGTATCTAGGACATAGCTTTTTACTTTTCTGACTGTGCATTTTTATTCATGCTCTATTCCATGCTTGACCTGCTTTCCCCACCTCCCACCCCAACCTTATTTCTCTCCTTTCAGAACTCAGCACAAATACTTGTGATTCTTTTCTTGCCCACAGTATTCTTTTCCATTAGTATTTCTAAATAGCATATATTTGACAATCAAATACTCTTTTTATTTGTTTCAGCATCTTTTCACAGAACCTTAGTGAATTCAGAGGGTCATCTCCCCCCTTCCTCCACTTTGACTTATTTTTGAGAAAATTGATTTGGCAGTAATACTTGTAAATTTGTATATTCCAACTGTTAACAAAAACTCTGGCCCAGAGCACCTATGTCAAGTCTTGGCTCTGCTTGTTAGTGGTGTGACCTTAGACAAGTTACTTAGCCTTATTGTCTTAGTTTCCTTATTATAAAAATGGGGCAGTGATGATCATAATACCCACTTGACAGGGTTTTAATGAGGATTTCGTGAATTAATATCTGTAATGTGCCAGACCAGTGTTTTGCATGGAGTAAGCACTTCATTTGTGATTCCTATAATTTCTGTTACTTAATTCTCATGAGGAAACACTAGTAAAATGAAGTAAAACATAAACCTTCTTATTATATGACTACTGTGCTTTCTCTCATTAGACCAGTTAAAAATCTAAGCCTTTAGCTTTAACTATATTACCCTTATTCAAACACATAAAAGATTTTTCCTACATGCTAGGTTTTTTTGAAGATGAGTATTGCCAGAAAGCTTTTTACGACTTAAGATGAACAGTTACTGTGGTCACTTGTTCCTGTCAGTAGTCCTAAATTTAGGATGAGTTTATCATCATCACTGTTCTACAGTTAAGGCACTACTGCAGAATAATCTCCCATTGAAGCAGTCTCCCTAGTCACCCTCTCACCCCTCTACATGCACTTTGCTGTGCATGCTGGAATTTGATTCAGAACAAAATGTACTTGGGTCTCTGGTTCCTGTTTCTCAAGTGTGTTTAAGGAGTATACGTTTTTCAAAACAAATATTTGTCATTAGATGTAAGGGCATAGAGTACCTTGTGGTAACTGAGTTAGTTCAACCAGGTATGGTAGTCAGAAGCTTGTAAGAGCAGCAGCAACTTCCCATTTACTGAGCACTTATAATGGAATGCTAGACTTTAAAAATGTTATGTCATTGAAATCACACAGCCACCCTGGGAGTGATATCTTCCAATTTTTAGGATGGTAAAAATGTCCACCTTTGTGCCCTCAGTCATTCTTTAACTGAAAACTAGCTCAACCTTTGAGGTCTATGTCATTAAAAATTATTTCTTAAGGGTTTTTTTTTGGTGGGGGTGTGGTTTTTGAGGGAGGCAAATTTATATAATATATAATGATGAACATGACAGAATATTTTTCAATTTGATGTGGCAGAATCGAAATCTGCCAATAAAACTTAACTATCTTACACGTATCATATAATTCACGATTCTGTTAGTAAGTGGTTTGCAAAAGCATAGAAATTGAGATGTGAGAATTTTGTATTTTACCATGTGTAAAAGCGGAAACGTTTTTACTCTGGAACATCTATAGTACCCTCAGCAAGTTTCCATTCAAGTTGTGTATGGTTGGGATTAGACTGGGTGCAGTGGCTCACACCTGTAATCCCAACATTTTGGAAGGCTGAGGCAGGAGAATCACCTGAGCCTAGGAGTTTGAGACCAGCCTGGGCAACATCGTGAGGCTCCATTTCTATGAAAAAATAAAATTAGCTGGGCGTGGTGGTGCACATCTGAGGTCCCAGCTACTGCAGAGACTGAGGTGAGAGTGGTTGCTTGAGCTCAGGTGATTGAGGCTATAGTGAGCTATGATTGCATCACTGCCCTTCAGCCCGGGTGACAGTGCAAGATCCTATCTCCAAAAAAAGAAGAGCTCTCAAATATCTTGTTAGTAGTTTTCACTTTGTAATATAGCTTTATTTTCCCTGGTTTGTGTATACTTGGACTAAGAGTGTGGACTATAATTGCTTGACTCGCTTTCAGCATTAGAGGCCAGAGTTAGTTTTATGAGGAGGCCAGAGTTAGTTTTATGAGGTCTGTTGGCACCAGATGAGAAAAGGGGTTAGCTTCAGTCTGGAATTACTTTGGTTTTAATCTTTTGTAAGGAAAAGTTAGGATCATAGTTCCAGCCTGTTACCCTCATTCCCTCTCTCTTCCTGCTTCCTTCCTTCCCTTTGAACAAATATTTGAGTACCTGCCATTTGCTAGGCATTGTTCCAAGCACCCAGAGATATTATGGTGAACAAGACAAAAATCTCTGTTTTCCGGATATGATTCTAGTGGGGGAAACAGACAGTAAGAAAGATAGATAATTAAAAATAATTTTCATGAAGGTTCTATTAATAAAGCCAGGAAGCGGGAAAGAAAGGTGTGTAGGGGGTATTTGGAGAGGGGTTGCAATTTTATAGGACAGTTAAGGGAAAGCCTTAATAAAGTGTCATGTAAGGAAATGACCTGAAGAAAGTGAGGATATCTGCTTTAGGAATAGCAAATAAAAGGTCCTGTGGGTGACAGCTTGCCTAACATGTTCAGCAAACAGCAGTGACTGGAATGGAATGAGCCAGGAGGAGAACAGGAGATGAGGCCAGAGAGGTAGCAGGGATTGGGTGATAGAGGCTCTCTGTTTGAGGCCTTACAGGGTCGTTGTCAGGACTTGGGTTTTTAGAGATGGTAAACAACTAGGCTAGGTTTTGGGTAGAGGAGTGACATGATAGAACTTATCCTTTTATACAATATTAGGCTGGCTGCTATGTTCATGATAATATCCTGAAAGTGGTCAAGGGTGAGAGCTAGAAGCCCATTTAGAGGCTCTTGGACTCATCTAGAAAGATTCAACCAAAGTACTAACAATGAAGTGGCAAGAAGTGGCTGAATACTGGATATATTTGAAGACAGTGCCAATAAGATTTGCCAATTGAGTGTGTTTATGAGAGAGATAGAGGTGGTGGGGGGTTGAAATTAAGGATTACATGGAGGTTTTTGACCTGAACAGATCCATCTAGTTGAAGCAGGTTTGGGATGGCATATAGGAGTTGGGGAGGGGAAAGTATCAACTTCATTTTGATCATGTAAAGTTTGAGACACTTTTTAGACATTCAAATAGAAGTGTTGAGTAGGCAGGTAGAAACAGGAATCTGGAGTTGAGGGGAGCGATTTCAGCTCGAGGTAGGAATTTGGGAGTCAGAAACATAGTTGGATACTTAAAGCCATGAGTTTGGGTAAGATCACCTAGAAAGGAAGTATAGGAAAGAAGATTTAGTGATTTCGCATATGCAGTCTTACAAGGAATTCAAAAAGACAATAGAAAAGCCAGGTTAGTATGTCTTGAAAGAGAAGTGGAGAAAGTATTTGAAGGAGGGAGTACTCACCTTTGTTGGATACTGGTGATGGATCAAGGGTGGTAAGGACTGAAATGTGGAAATTGGATTTAGTACAGTGGAGGTCATTGGTGACCTTGACCAGCAGCTTTGGTGCAATAGTGGGTTGAAACCCTGTGTTAAAGAAACAGTGAGAAGAGACAAATTAGAATAATGAGTATTTGCCGTAAAAAGAAATAGAGAAATGGGGCAATAACGTTTCCTCTGGCTTCCTATTATTAGCAGACCTCCTGATCCATCCCCCTTGCTGTTGCTGCAGTGCTTCCCTGGTATTGAAGGAAATACTTCCCTTATATGGAGGCAGGGAATGAGCCTGTCTGAGATGCTCTTTGTTGCTCTCTTGGAAGCCAGGAAATGCCAAACTTGGGTTACCTTCTTTCGGTTGGATAGTGTTTATTAGATGCTTTTGTCACTGTGTTGTTCCTTTAGTCCTGGGGCCTTTAACTAGTTTGCCTTCCCTTTTCTATCTTTCAGAGTTTTCCTTTGATTGCCTCTTGTGTTATTTGCAGGATTTATAATTGTGCTTAGAACAGGGATGAGCTGGGAGAAAGAATAGAGTCTACACCACCTTGCCTGTACCAGGGTTTCTTCTATTTATTCACTTTTTTGTTTGTTTTGTTCCTTTTTACCACATTTATTTTTAAGAACTGGTAAGTTTATTAACAAATTAATTTTTGGTTCAACTCATTTTCTTGAAGATGGGTTCTGTTGCTAAACCTCAGTGTCTTTAAGGACTATTTCTGAAAATATGGTCTCAGCTGGGCGCATTGGCTCACACCTGTATTCCCAGCACTTTGGGAGACCGAGGTGGGTAGATCACCTGAGGTCAGGAGTTTGAGACCAGCCTGGCCAACATGGTGAAACCCCGTCTCTACTAAAAATACAAAAATTAGCCAGGTGTGGTGGTGGACGCCTGTAATCCCAGCTACTCGGGAGGCTGAGGCAGGAGAATTGCTTGAACCCGTGAGGCAGAGGTTGCAGTGAGCCGAGATCGCACCACTGTACTCCAGCCTGGGCGAAAGAGCGAGACTCCATCTCAAAAACAAAACAAAACAAAAAAAGTATGGTCTCATAGATATCTTACATAATAACTAAGAGGCTTTTTCTTCATAAAGGTACGTGAGACTTAACTCTCTCAGGCAATTCTTAGACTTACTAAAGTTGGAGCATTATTCCTGGAGATTGTGCGTTGGAACTTGTTTGATTTCTCAGTAGCTGACTGGGGGCTCAATGATAATAGCTAGCTAAGTGGTGGGGCCAGGATTTGGAACTCAGTGTTCACTGACTCCAGACACCATACTCTTTTCCAATAAACCGTATTTTCAAAGTGAGAAAGAAGATGTTTTTCTGTTGGATTTAGTATTAAAATTCTCTCATTCTTCTAGAGATAGCCGGAGGCAAGTTCTCCCTGTGGAATATGTGGGACTGGGGTAGTAGGGATGAAAGGGGGACCCTGCCTCAATACACTGTACTTTTCTGCTCCTTCACCCTTCTGGGGGTGTGTGTGTGTGTGTGTGTGTGTGTGTGTGTGTGTGTCAAGGCCTTGCTCTGTGTGTGTGTGTGTGTGTGTGTGTGTGAAGGTCTTGCTGTGCTGCCCAGGCTGGAGTACAGTGGCGCAGTCTCGACTCACTGCAGCCTTGACCTCCCAGGCTCAAGCGATCCTCCCTCCTCAGCCTACTGAGTAGCTGGGACCTTAGGCTTGCACCACCATTCCCGGCTAATTTTTGTATTTTTTTGTAGAGACATGGGGTTTCACCTGTTGCCCAGGCTGGTCTCGAAGTCCTGAGCTCGAGTGATCATTTTGGGGTTTTTTGTTTTTGTTTTTTTGAGACAGGGTTTCACTCTTGTCACCTGGTCTGGAGTGCAATGGCGTGATCTCACTCACTGCAGCGTCTGTCTCTAGGGTTCAAGTAATTCTTCTGCCTCAGCCTCCCAAGTAGCTGGAATTACAGGCACCCACCACATTCCCTACTAATTTTCGTATTTTTAGTAGAGACGGGGTTTCACCATGTTGGTCAGGCTGGTCTTGAACTCCTGACCTCAAGTCATCTGCCCGCCTCAGCCTCCCAAAGTGCTGGGATTACAGGCCTGAGCCACCATGCTCGGCCTCAAGCAATCTCTTTGAAAGAGAAATTAGTATCACATACAGAATTTGAACATTCTAACCTCAGTTTAACTTTTGAAAGGAAGAAAAGTAGACAGAAAATTAATTCACTCTGGAGGAGCTGCTCTGGAATGGCAGTACTTTGAATAACTGAGAGCCTTTCACTATTTGTCATTTGCTTTATTCTTGAAACATAACAGTCTTATTCTCTAAAGAAGACACAGTAGGCCATGTGCGGTTGCTCACGCCTGTAATTCCAGCACTTTGGGAAGCCGAGGTGGGTGGATCACCTGAGGTCAGGAGTTTGAGACCAGCCTGTCCAAGTGAAACCTTGTTTCTACTAAAAATACAAAAAATTAGCGAGGCGTGGTGACGGGCACCTGTAATCCCAGCTACTTGGGAGGCTGAGGCAGGAGATTCGCTTGAACCTGGGAAGCAGAGGTTGCAGTGAGCCGAGATCGCACCATTGCACTCCAGCCTAGGCGATAAGAACAAAACTTTGTCTAAAAAAAAAAGAAAAAAGACACAGTAAGTAGCCTAGTATTTTGCTCAAAATCTTCATGCTCAAATTCCATGTTCAGTCCTACAGCCAGTCAAGAACTGTAAGCCATTTCCATACTTCTTTGTCATGCCATTTTTTCCTCCATTAGAATACTTCAGTTAAGTGTTTTTAAAATATAAACATTTGAGAATTAAACAGGATAAGGCATCAGCTAAAACTCTCTCATATTGTTTATATTTTTTGCAAATTTACTTGTAAACTACATGTGCACAGACATCATTAAAAATTGTCTTACAGTTAAAACACATGGTAGTTCCCATAAGGAGGCATGGATAATCTAGTTGGAGACCAGTTATATATATGACATGACTTGGAAATAATAGCACATACAAATAACAAAATAAGAGGATCCAACTAAGCTTGAAGAGGACAAAGAGTGAATTGTGAGGTACGATGCACAAGGAAAAACTTTCCTGGAGAGACGTGGGTTTTAGTGTTAGAAGATGCTTCTGGGTATTTTCTGGTTGGAAATTTGCATAGGGTATGACAAACAATTACATTTCTTTTATTGTGCTAGGCAGAGTATATAATATGTATATGTTTACCATGTTTGATGAAAAATCTGACTGACGGGTATTGAAAGGAGTTTAAAGTACCTTAAATGATTTTTAAAAGATTGAGTGTATTTTAAAACATATCTCAATCTTAAACATGTAAAAATTTAATGTACAAAAAAAATTTATCAGCTGACCTACAGAAAATGAAATGTATCAAACTACTAAAGGTTGTTTGTTTGTTTGTTTATTTTTGAGACAGAGTCTCACTCTGTCGCCCAGGCTAGAGTGCAGTGGCGTGATCTTGGCTCACTGCAACCTCTGCCTCCTGGGTTCAAGCAATTCTCCTGCCTCAGCCTCCCGTGCAGCTGGAACTACAGGCCCAGGCCACCACGCCTGGCCAATTTTTTTGTATTTTTAGTAGAGACAGTGTTTCACCATGTTGGTCAGGCTGGTCTTGAACTCCTGATCTCAAATGCTCTACCCACCTCAGCCTCCCAAAGTGCTGAGATTACAGGCATGAGCCAGCACGGCCAGCCTAGAGGTGTCAAATTATCAAGTTTAGAAGTATGGGCTTTGTGTTAAAGGCACAGTCAGTAAAATCCACAATGGAGGAAATTCTAAAGGACAGATAGTGCTGTCTCTTCCACAGATTGTGAGGAAAGAAAATGAGGAGGAGCGTGTTACGAGCTTGTGATGTATTAAGTAAATGAATTGTGTGGATCTTATTTGACTCTGATTTGGAGAAAACTGAGACAATCCAGGAAATTTAACCAGTAACTGGATATTTAACATTAAGGAATTATTGTTTTTTAGATTATAAAATATACTGGTATATATTCTTAAAAGACCTTACATTTTGGAAACATACCGAAATATTTAGAGGTGATGATGTGATGTTGGGAATTGGCTTAAAAATAATTCATAGGGATGGGAGATAGATGTTATAGATGAGGTAGGATTCGCCAAAAGTTGATAGTTGAAATTGGTTGATGGTTTTGTGGGAGTTTATTATCTTTTAGCTTGTATTTGTAAATTTTCATTCAAACAGGGTCTGAGATAAATAAAAGAGCATGAGGAAAGATGAGGATTGCTTATATTGTTTTATAAGATTAACATGGATTGCCAGGTTCTGTGTGACCTGGCCCTGCCTACCTGTATCCATTGTCAAGTTGAATGAATTCTTTTCGTTGTTCACTGTTGGAGTTCTAACCACATAACCATTGTATACATGTCGTTTCTTTGTGACACACCACAGTTCCACCTAATGTCTTCTGCTCCACATCCCCAAGCCCTACCAGTTTGTGCATCCAAGTCCTATTTTATGCTTTGGAGGTCTGTTTAAATATTTATATCACAAGTCTTTCTAGATCCCCCAGTCTAAATCTGACATAGTTAGGATCTCTTATCGTATATTTTATATGATTATTTGATTATTAACATCTATCTGCCCCATTAAATTGTAAACTTTAGCCACAGTTCTTGTTTTTGCATCCCTAACCTAGTCTAATTCTTGGTAACTAATAGTTGCTTAAATATTTGTTAAATGGAAGGAAGAAGGATAGAGTGAGTTCATGGTGGGCTAAATGCTTGGCTGAAATAAACTACCAAAACTACACAAATTTCATTTAAATATTAGAGGTAATCTAGTTGAAGTAGTAAGACAAAAGTGCTGTGTTCAATTTCAAGGGTCTGTCAGGATGAATTGGCAGTTTAGGTAGAATTGGCTCTGGGGCTGGGTGCTGTGGCTCACACCTGTAACTGCAGCACTTTGGGAGGCTGAGGCAGACGGATCATTTGAGGTCAGGAGTTCGAGACCAGCCTGGCCAACACGGCAAAACCCCATCTCTACTAAAAACACAAAAATTAGCCAGGCATGGTGACAGGCACCTGTAATCCCAGCTACTCAGGAGGCTGAGGCAGGAAAATCACTTGAACCCGAGAGGCAGAGGTTGCAGTGAGCTGAGATCGTGCCTCTGCACTCCAGCCTGGGTGACAGAGCGAGATTCCATCTCAAAAAAAAAAGTATTGGCTCTGGTACATTTGTTCCACATTACTACAGATATCTGTAGAAAGCTGACACAACCTAGGTCATGTGACAGATGAGAATGGGTTAAGACGAAGTATGTATCCGAGTTTTTTCCTGGGTTTTACTTTACAACTAAAATGTGGGATATTTAACTCTGGACAGTTTGGTTCTCTTCTTTTTCTCCTTGTGCTTTATCCCCTCCATCTTTTTAAATTTGGTGGTAATGTCACTGATAATGCAATGTCTATTCTAATAGACTACTTTGATTTTTCTGTTTAGAGTGGAACTTTTAGATGACTCTAAAGTTCAAAGCTCAAGAAACTCTCAGAATATGGCTTGTTGCTAACTGAAAACACTTGTTTCCTGAATTTATCTGAGAGGTTTTTCTTTAATCTTATTCTGTTTTTCTTCCTTTTTTGTACCTTTTTGATACGGAATTTAAATCCATGGTTATAATGACTAAATTGTTATTTCTTTTTTTTTTTTTTTTTTTTTTTTGTAGACAGAGTCTTGCTCTGTCCCCTAGGCTGGAGAGCAGTGGCACGATCTCGACTCACTGTAACCTCTGCCTCCCGGGTTCAAGCGATTCTCCTGCCTCAGCCTCCTGAGTAGCTGGGATTACAGGCGCGTGCTACTAAGCCCGGCTAATTTTTTTTTGTATTTTTAGTAGAGACGGGGTTTCACTATGTTAGTCAGGCTGATCTCAGACTCCTTATCTTGTGATCTGCCTGCCTCGGCCTCCCAAAGTGCTGGGATTACAGGCCTGAGCCACCGTGCCCAGCTGACTAAATTGTTATTCTTATCTAATACATACATTTTAGGTTGCAGTTAGGATTACATCATTGTATGGCTATCACAACTTTGTGAAGCAGATGTTGTTCTTATTTGCAGAGGTCAATTTATATGTTTAGGATCACATAAAGTAAGTAAAAGTGAGAACTTGTCTCCTGATCTTCCCTCTGTTTCACACTGCTTTTGAGCTAGGTAGTGAGTACTTGTGAGTGGTTTTTTGTTTTTGTTTTTTTCATGTGACTCAGCAATTTCAAGATTTCTCATTCCTGCCCCACAGTGACCCTAACTCTTACCCTGAAAACTGTTAATCTGGCAATTGTACGCTCTGGGATGATCTCAGTTTTATTTGAATCTTTTGGTTTTTAAAAGTTATCTAAATAACCTGGAGATTTCAGAACTTAGATGTCTCAGGATTTCCTGCACACTTGGAAGTAGCACATAATCCTTTGTCAATTTATCTACCAGTGTGAATGTAGCACTGTGTAGCTCACTGTGAACAGTCATTTTACTTTAGTTGGCTAATAGAACCTTTGTTTCATTAAAAGGAAAGAATCGAGATGGGACTGAAATCAGAATCAAAGTTGAAATTACCACCATTCGGGTTTTTCTGGCATGTTTGTTGCCTTAATGAGATTTAAAAAAATTTATGTTAATACATCAGGGAAGAGAAGCATAATCCACCAGCCCTGTTCTACTGGATTGACATACAAATTTCCCATCTTAGAATAGAATTAGGTGACTTAATTAGAGGCACTAGGCCTGGTAGTCAACATGTGGTGTTCCATGTGGTTCAATGTCTAGCTTTTGGTGCTACTTATCTAATAAATACAAAAGAGTTGATCTATTGATAATCCCTTTTAAACCCATTGACTATTAATAACTTTAAAGAACTAAAAACAAAAATTAATTTTTAGCCAACATGTAAGCTGAACCCTGAATTTGCAAGGAAAAAAATTAATTACTTTTACTGTATGGTTTAAGTGTGTTTATAGAGGGCGCTTTTTTTTTTTTTTTTTGGGGAGAGGGAGTCTCACTCTGTTGTACAGGCTGAAGGGCAGTGGCGTGTGGTCTGGGCCCACGGCAGCCTCCGTCACCTCCTGGATTCAAGCAATTCTCCTGCCTCAGCCTCCTATGTAGCTGGGATTACAGGCGTGCGCGACTACGTCTGGCTAATTTTTTTTATTTTTAGTAGAGATGGGGTTTCACCATAGATTTCACCAATGAGAAGTCTTAAAATTGTTGAGTCACATGAAGAAAACAACAAAAAACCATTCACAGGTACTCACTACCTAGCTCAAAAGCAGTGTGAAACAAACACAGGAAAGATCTATGTTCTTAGAGTCAACAGAGCATTCTCAATTCTCTGTGGTAATAGTCTAACTGTGTAAAAAGAACGATTAAAGTACAAGTTCATAGCTAATGAAATATTTATATACAACAAATATTTCTTATGTAAACCAATACTAGCACATAGCTGGTTAACATTAAGGTGTACTATTCATGTGGTGTCACAAAAGCAAATATTGATACTGCATTTAGGTAACCAAAAAGTAATTCATCATGTAACATTTTAATGAATTTTTGTATAGCACATGGTGACAAAGCCATTTTTACCAATAAAAAGTTTATAAAAGCAATGAGCAAAATACGAGTTGAAAAGAATTCCCACTCAGGTGATAACTACAGTATATATAGTACATGTTTTTGTATGGACTAGGATAAAGCACACGGTAAAATCAAACGTTCTAAGGCATTCTAGTGTCCTACTCAGGCACATAGTTAAAACAGTTATTTCACTAATAGCACAGAAACAAGCATCAGGAATGAGTTGACTCATCAGTGTTAGAATCCACGTGATTTTCTTCATTATTGATAATGACTATATTAGAAACCAAGTCCTCATTGTATTTAAAGTATTATTCTGCAACCTTAGTCCTGTGTTCTTTCCTGAAGTCTGTATGGTATAACATTAAACATGTCCCTAATGTTCAATGTGTGTCCCTTGTTTTGAGCTGTAAATTGTCAGAGTGATAAATTTACACTTCGAATATTGAGGAGGAAGTCTATCTTTACCTCTGATAAGCTGAGTTTATATAGCTTGTATTTGTTTTTTTTTTGTTTTGTTTTTTTTTTTTTTGAGACGGAGTCTCGCTCTGTGGCCCAGGCGAGAGTGCAGTGGCGCAATCTCGGCTCACTGCAAGCTCCGCCTTCCGGGTTCACGCCATTCTCCTGCCTCAGCCTCCCGAGTAGCTGGGACTACAGGCGCCCGCCATCACGCCCGGCTAATTTTTTTGTATTTTTAGTAGAGACGGGGTTTCACCGTGTTAGCCAGGATGGTCTCGATCTCCTGACCTCGTGATCCGCCTGCCTCGGCCTCCCAAAGTGCTGGGATTACAAGCGTGAGCCACCGCGCCCGGCCGCTTGTATTTGTTAAGGAACAAAAGATGTGAAGCTCTTATTCTTGTGTTACTGTTTAGTGGTGCTCTGCTCTGCCACTGGAGTATGGTAACATCTTCATATCTTATCCAGACTTGTTAACTGTACACCTCTCATGCTTAATAACAGTTTAGCTTTCTGCTCATATTGCTGGTATTTTGAACACAAGATACTTCTTGGACGCTTGAGTTGTGGTTTTCCATTTTTCATTGGAGATGATGAGAGTTTGAGCAGCATTATGGAAGAATAATGTTGTAACAACTTTCTCCTGGAAATCACTTCGAGTTCTAAACCATCACATCACAGATACACTTGTAAAATGAAACTTGTTCATAAATTGGGAATTGTTAGTATTCCTTAGTGCTGTCTTGCCTTTCTTTAATTAGTTTATTAACCATATTATCCAAAACATATTATCAGGAGGCTCGCTTTGTATTGTTATTTAGGTAAATACCTGTGTAGGGGACATAAGACCTTCATTAATATCCAAGAAAAAGTGTATTTATCAAAGTTCTTGCGAACTAAAATGTTTTAAGTAATTTTCTTTTCCTTTTGTATTTTCAAAGGAGCTGCATGGTTCCTTAAACATTAGAATGCCAGGATGAAAAAGGTGTGAGGGGAGTTGATTGAGGAAAAGTAGTATGATTGACTGGTGTTGGGAAGAGCAGCTAAGGAGGCTGTTGGGGTTGCCCAGTGGTGATAGATGGGGACCTGGTGTGGTGGTAGTTTTAGGAATGAAAGGAATCTATAAATCCAAAAGATTTTGCAGGATAGAAAGGTGGTAAGCCTTGAAAAGTAAGGAAAGGTGGGAATAAAATACGAGGGTTAACTAGTTTTGTCTCTTTGTGGGTAGGGGGCATTTTTGTTGTTCAAGAATGATCCCTAGTTTCTTATTGATCTCCTGAGATCATTTCCTGGATTTAGGGTAGAGCTAGACCTGCAGCCAACATTGAAGCAGATAACTGTACTTTAAAAGTATCTTTTTATCTTGAAGTGGTTCCATCAAAATTAGGGAACTGTAAAATGTTTTCTTTCTAAAAGAAGAGACATAATTGATAATTATCACAGTGGTTGGTTTGAATGGTTTATGTTTGGTCCATACAAAAGTTAAAATACCATTACTACCCTTGGTCTTAATTATTATGGTATGATTAAGTATTAATTCATGTCTTACTCTGTCGTGGTCAGATTTGTTCTTTTTTATTTTTGACATTTTGTATTTTGCCCCTATGGGAGACTGTGTTCAAGTTCACCTATAGTCATAAGTTTTAGCAGTGAGTGTGTGTATCCTGATGGGAAGTGGGGCTGAGGGCTGTGTGACTGCTGCTGCTTTCTGGGAAAATAGTTTTGTGGTAGATTATGAAATATTTAGATTACAGAATATAGTAGACACCATGTATCCCCAGTGTAATATTTAAACAATGTTAATGTTGTCACATTTCCATCTTTGTTTTTTTACATGAGAAGTCAAACATTATAGGTAGAGCTAAAATCCAACTTCTCCATCCCCTTTCCAGAGATAATGAGGAGCTTGATTGTAAATTTGTTGTATGTCAGTTTTAGGCATTTTAAAATATATTCATCAGTTATCTGTATTGGTAACAATCCTTATTAATGTTTATTTGTTTATTTTTGTGCAGCTTTTGCATTCCCCATTGTTGAGATTAGGTCATGTTGATACATACAGTAAATAAATTGCTAGATAGTATTTCATCAAATTCCTTCACTACTTGTGTGTACTTAATCTTGTTTAGTTTTTTTGTAGTTGTTTCATTCAACATTGTGTTCTTAGATTTAATCATGTTGATACATACAGATGTCGTTTATTTTTATTACTATAGAACTATTAAATGAATAAATTATAGTTTATTTACCAAGTTCAGCAGAATTAGAATATAATTAGTTTTTATCTATTACAGACTCTCCTCCAGTGAACCTGTTTCCTTATGCAGAGGAATGTGTAGTTTATGTTCTCAGAAACAGAATTTCATGGCTGGGCATAGTGGCTCGTGTCTTTGGGAGGCTAAAGGTCAGGAGTTAGAGAACAACCTGGACACCATAGCAAGACCCCATCTCCACAACATTTTTTATTAAAAATTAGCCAGTGGGGCTAGGCTCAGTGGCTCACGCCTGTAATCCCAGCACTTTGGGAGGCTGAGGTGGGTGGATCATGAGGTCAGGAGATCGAGACCATCCTGGCTAACACAGTGAAACCCCGTCTCTACTAAAAATACAAAAATTAGCCAGGCGTGGTGGTGGGCGCCTGTAGTCCCAGTTACTCCGGAGGCTGAGGCAGGAGAATGGCGTAAACCCGGGAGGCGGAGCTTGCAGTGAGCCGAGATCATGCCACTGGACTCCAGCCCGGGCGACAGAGCAAGACTCCGTCTCAAAAAAAAGTTAGTCAGGGCTGGGTGCAGTGGCTCGTGCCTGTAATCCCAGCACTTTGGGAGGTCGAGGTGGGCGGATCCCCTGAGGTTGGGAGTTTGAGACCAGCCTGACCAACATGGAGAAACCCCGTGTCTACTAAAAATACAAAATTAGCCGGGCATGGTGGCGCATGCCTGTAATCCCAGCTGCTCGGGAGGCTGAGGCAGGAGAATCGCTTGAACCTGGGAGGCGAAGGTTGGTGGTGAGCCAAGATTGCGCCATTGCACTCCAGCCTGGGCAACCAGAGTGAAAGAAACTCCATCTCAAAAAAAAAAAAAAAAAAAAAGAAAAAAAAGCCAGGTATGTAGTATGCTCCTGATCCTAGCTGCTTGGGAGACTGAGGTGGGAGGATAGCTTAAGCAAAGGAACTCTAGGTTACAGTGAGCTGTGATTGCACCACCACAATCCAGCCTCAATGATAGAGTGTGAGACCCTGCCTCTCAGGAAAAAAAAAAAAAAAATACAGTATCATGATGGTTGGGTATGCACATTTTACACCTCGCTAAGTATTTTCAAATTATTTTTCAAAAATGGTGGTTCCAATTTTAACTGTTACCAGCAATATATTAATTGCTCTTTTCCATTTCTCACCACCTGTTGGCTTTATGAGACTGTGCGTTTTCCCATCCAGATTTCAAACAGCATCTTAATGTTTTACCTAATATTTATATTTTAACCAAATTTTAACGAGATGACACATTTTTATATATTTATTATTTGCCTTTTATGTGAATTTCCTATTTCTGTTAAGATTGTCTTTTTTTCTTTTATCCTATTTCTGAGAGTTCTGTTACATATTCTGATGTTTAATCGTCAGTTATATGTGTTAGATATCTTCCACCAAAATGTAGTTGGCCTTTTAACTTTATTAGATTTTCTATTGTATGTTGAAAAGTAGGTGAAATCTTTGTGTATTATCTAAGAAATGCTCCCTGCTCTAAGTCCCGAAGATATTCTTTTAAGTTTGGCTGTTCATATTTAGCAATTTGAAATGCCAAAATTTTGTAATTATATCATGAAGAAGGGAACTAATTTTACTTTTTCCTTTAAAGAACTGGCCAGTTTAGTACTATTTATTGAGTAGTTTGATCGTTTCTGCACTGATCTGATTTTTTAAAAATTTCCCGTTATCTTTTATGTATCTAGTTCTATGTTTTGAGGCTCTCTATAGTTTTGCAGCAAATCTGGCTGTCTGGTAATGTGTATTTGCATCATGCCTTCTTGCAAATTTCTTGCTGTTGGTCCTTTATTCCATGTGAACTTTTAGATCTGTTTCTCAGCTTTCATTAAAAATACTGTAGGCAATTTGATTGGAATTTCTTTGAATTTATAGATGTTCATGAGAATCGCCATCCTAAAAAAATGTGTCCTACCATTTGTATAGATCTTCATGCTTTCAGGCGTTATTTTCTCTGTAAAGATATTTAATATATCATTAGTTTTGTTGGTGTTATGAATGGTACTTAATGATATTTTCTACTTTATTAGTTTTTAAATATTCTTTACTGAACACTTTTGCTGAATTCTTTATTAGTTTTAATAATTCTTAGTGTCAGTTGGATTTCCTGTATAGATTATTCTTAATGTATGTTTTATTTTGGCATGGACAATAATTTTATTGTCCCAGAGAAATTAAAGGGATTTCAGAGAAACTGTGTGCCACAGGATCAGGATGCTAGAACGCAGTTCCACTTAATTTGGGAAATACCTATTTGGAAGTTTATATCCATGTGCATCCTGATGAGCGGGAGGTGTCTTGTCTCTCTCTTGGGTTTTTCTTGACACTAGAGTTAGTCTCTGCAAGGGCCTTTAAAAGTTAAATTCCACTCCCCACCCCCCAATCTGGTATAGATATTACTGCTACTCTTGGATTTCACTCAGTTTATTTCCTTTTAGGAGACGCAGGTCAGAATGGAAATGGGCTGCAGACCGGGCAGCTATTGTCAGCCGCTGGAACTGGCTTCAGGCTCATGTTTCTGACTTGGAATATCGAATTCGTCAGCAAACAGACATTTACAAACAGATACGTGCTAATAAGGTAAGGGATAAGTATCTGATGTTTTTAAATGCTGCCGAAAACTATCAATATCGCTTTTCTCACATCCCCTCCCACCTCGTAACCCCCATAACCCTCTTCTTAACTATTGCAAAGTAAATGGTTTAATGACCTGATATAGTGGTTTAATTTAAGAACCTGATGTGGCTGCGCGTGGTGGCTCACTCTTGTGATCCCAGCACTTTGGGAGGCCAAGGCAGGAGGATCATTTGAGCTCAGGAGTTCGAGACCAGCCTGGGCAACATAGTGAGACCTTGTCTTTACAAAAATTACAAAAATTAGTTGAGCATGATAGCATGTGCCTGTAGTCCCAGCTACTTAGGAGGCTGAAGTGGGAGTATCGCTTGAGCCCACGAAGTGGAGGTTGCAGTGAGCCAAGATTGTGCCACCACACTCCAGCCTGGACAACTAAGAAAGGCCTGTCTCATAAAAAGGAAAACACTATTAGAATATAATGTTTAACTGAACGTGTATTTAGAACAAAACTGTGTGGGTATCTGAGCTAACAGGAAACAAGGAAAACAGACTGAATAATGCAAGCAAGCCATTGATGTTAACTGTCATATTTGTTAGATTTATATTTGTTAGTTCCCTGTTATAAAACTGCCACATTTCATAGAACTTAAGATGCTACTGATGGTAAGATGTACCATTATTTTAAGTGCTTACTGTGTCTCAGCAGTGTTCTCAAAAATCCTACCTTCATGAAGCTTACATTCTTGCAAAGTATTTTTTATATTAGCTTGGTGTGGCTGAGCTCTATCTTTATGTAGACCCATGTCTAGAAAAAGTCTATTGCTACTAAAAATAAGGGTCAAAATGCCTTTTTGACCTTAGTACTAGTCAAAGCCTTAAGAAAATGGCTTTCCTGTGAACAGTATCCATTAAATTAGTAGGCCAAAAGTTGAAGGTTGATCAACTGATAAAATGAACAGAATGATCAGGGTTTGAAGTGAAAGTTCTGTGGGCTATCTAATCATTTAAACTTTTATTCTAAAAATGTCACTGCGGACTTATAGCTTCTTTCCAGATTGGAGATACATATATATATATATATTCCCCCTCCCCCTAAAAGTTCAATAGAGCATACTTTAATTGAGGACACAGTCCAGAGGGCTCACTTTTTTATTCTTACTAGTTTGTTCCCTTAGGGTAGCATACAAATTAAATCCTGATTTACTTATTTAAAAATTAGCTGGAACAAAACTAATAAACATTCTAGATTTGGTGCATATTTTGCTTTCCCAAGTCTTCACAAAGGAAATTTTAAAGTGAGATTTGTAGAACTTGAACTGGAATGATGACTAAGAATAACTAGGAGGTGACTGGATATGCCTGTACTGAGGAGAAAAACACAGTCTTTCTCTATCAGAGACACCTCTTCAGTGTCTGTTTCTAGGTTTTTATAGCCAGTAGTTAAGTGGGATTTTCTATATTTGAGAACTAGAGTCTCTTAGTAACAACTGAGATTAGTATAATAGTAGTCATAAGTGCTGCTTCATCTTTTTATATACATTCATAAATATATATGTGGGTTTATATATGTGTATATGTTATATCATCTTAGTTCCTTGTTATAAAACTGCTACATTTCATAGAACTTAAGATGCTATTGATTGTAAGATGTACCATTGTTTTAAGTACGACAAAGAAATTATTTCAGTTAAACCAGGGCATAACAGAAATTGTAAAATGCATCTTGATTTAAAAGTTGTTGACATGTGGGGAGAGTACCTCTTAGAATTGATGAAATACTGTGTATCAATTCTCAGGAAACTGAAATGACATAGAAGTATAAAAGACACCCACCCTCCCCCCCCCCCCAAAAAAAAAAAAACAACCCAACAGCTCAAAATTATCTCGCTACCAACATTATGGTACATTTTCCTAGCACATAAGTAATTTGTTCAAATACAGTCATGTTACGTATGTGCCCTGAATATTTCCCAGTTGGTTTTTGGAAAACATTTTTAATGGCTGCATGCTATTGGCTTTCTTTGTTGACTATTTAAGTTACATTTGTTATTTAAATTAAATATGCCATGATAAATATCTTTATCTCAGTCAAAGGTATGAATGCTCTTTTATGTTCTTAATGCATTCTTCAGAGAAGTATTTTGGCAGTGTCAGTTTATAGTCTCACTAGCTGTGTATAAGAAGATACTCACCTCATTTGGTTCATGCTTTATTCTTCAGCTCATCACTCAGAAGTAATGACAGAGCAATTTTCAGAAACTTTCAAAATATCAAAATATCTGAAAAGTATTTCTAAATATCTGGAAAATAATCTGGAGTTTTGTATATACCATCACACATTGCTTAACAAAAGGGAAACTGAGAAATGTGTTGTTAGGTGATTTCATTGGTGCGTGAACATCATAAAGTGCACTTAAATTCAAGCTGAGGGCCGTGCGCAGTGGCTCACGCCTGTAATCTCAGCACTTTGGGAGGCCGAGGCATGGGAGTCCAAGGTGGGTGGGTCACCTGAGGTGAGGAGTTCGAGACTAGCCTGGCCAACATGGTGAAACCCCTGTCTCTATGAAAAATACAAAAAAATTAGCCAGGTGTGGTGGCGGGTGCCTGTAATCCCAGCTATTCGGGAGGCTGAGACAGGAGAATCACTTGAACCTGGGAGACAGGGTGCAGTGAGCTGAGATCGCGACACTGCACTCCAGCCTGGGCAAAGCAGAGCGAGTCTCTGTCTCATATACATACATACATACATACTTACATATATACATACTTAATACATACAAGCTGAGGTGGTATGGCCTGCTATTCACTTAGACAATATGGTATATAGCCTATTGCTCCTAGGGTATAAACCAGTACATCATGCTACTATACTGAATACTGTAGGCAATTAGTGGTAAAGATTTATGTATTTAAACATACCTAAACATAGAAAAAATACAGTAAAAATGTAGTAGAAAAGATAAAAATGGTACACCTGTATAGGGCACTTACCATGAATGGAGCTTGCAGGACTGGAAGTTGCTCTGGGTGAGTCGGTGGGTGAAGGGTAACTGAAATTGAAAAGCCTGGGACATGACTGTACACTACTATAAACTTTATAAATACTGTACACCGAGGCTACACTACATTTATTTTAAATATTTTTTTCAATAATAAATTAACCTTAGCTTACTATAACTTTTTGCTTTATAAACTTTTAAGTTTTTAAAACTTTTTGACTCTTTTGTAATAACACTTAGCCTAAAACACAAATACATTGTAATTGTACAAAAATATTTTCTTCACACCTTATTCTACAAGCTTTTTTCTATCTTTAAAACTTTCCATTTTAAAATGAAAGTTTTATTTTTTAAACTGTTTTGCTAAAAACTAAGACACAAACACACACATGAACGTAGGCCCACATGGGGTCAGGTTTGTCGGTATTACTGTCTTCCACCTTCACATCTTGTTACACTGTTAGGTTTTCAGGGCCAACAACACACACGGAGCTTTCATTGCCTGTGACAGTGCCAACAGAAGGACCTGCTGGAGGCTGTTTCACAGTTCACTTCTTTTAATGAGTAGAAGTACTCTCTAAAATAACGATTAAAAGTATAGTATAGTAAATACATAACACTTTTTATTATCATAAGAAATAAGTGTAACAGTAACATAGCTTTTATTATCAGCTATTATATTCTTAGTGTACATAATTGTATGTGGTATACTTCTAATAGCAGCACTGTAGGTTTCTTTACACCAGCATCACCACAAACACAGGAGTAGTGCTTTGTGCTAAAACAGGTATTCTTCAGCTGTATTAAAATCTTATAAGACCATCATTGTATATGTGGTCTGTCATTGACCATAATGCTATTTGGCACATGAATGTATGTTGCTTATCCAAGAGTTTCATCATTCAAAGCGTATTGTATTAAGCACCATACTTGGACTTGGTAAATTTTTGTTTCTAATCGTGGCTTTGCTACCAGCTGCTTACATGAACCTTGAGAAGAAAAGTCACTTAACATTTCTGAGCTTCAGATTCTTGGTCTGTAAAATACAACATCATAGATAATCTTTTACTTCTCAGAGTTCCGATAGGAAGAATAAAACTAGGTTGATAGTTCCAATAAGTAATGCATCAAGAAAATTCACAGCTTTACGTGTCGTATTTATACATTTCTTTTTCAACAAATGGATTAGTTTCCTAGACTGTCATAACAAACTATCACAAATGGGATGGCTTAAAAAATCAGAAATGTGTTCTCTCACCGTTCTGGAGGCCAGAAGTCTGAAATTATGGTGTCAAAAGGGCCATGGTCTCTATGGAGGCTCTAGGGAAGAATCCTTCCTTGTCTTTTTCCAGCTTCTGATATTGTGCTAGTCCTTGGTGTTCTTGGCCTGTAGCTACATCACTGCAGTTGCTGCCTCCATCTTCATATGACCATCTTTCTCTTTGCATCTGTGTAGATTTCCATGTCAGGAGGACACCAGTCATATTGAATTTAGAGCCCACACTAAATGGCTCTTCATAACTTGATTACATCTGCAAAGACCCTTTTTCTAAACAAGGTCATATTCACAGGTTCTGGGTGAACATAAATTTGGAAGAGACAATATTCAACTTGCTCTAACAAGCCATGGAATTTTCCCCCAATGATATATTCACATGCATTTAGTCTTTATGTAACACTATAATTAATAGAAGTTTTTGAGCACTTGTGATATGTCAGGCACTGTGCTAAGCATTTTACTCTCATTCACGATTTTCAAGATAAACAATGGAAGATCAGAGCAGTCAAGTAGTTTGTTCATGGTTACACATCCAAGTGAGTGCAGAGCTATTGCTCAAGTTAGTAATCACTTTAAGTGCTTGGGTTTTTTTTTTAGTTACTGAAATGGAAGAAAGTTTTTCCTATGTGTTTTGGTTAAGTGGGTTGGTGTTCATATTTCATATTTTCCATGCTGCACCAAGATTTCCCAGCACTTCCTGGGTTGCACAGGTCTTTTTTTTTTTTTTGAGATGAACCTAGGTGATAGGCTGAATCTTGGTGATAGGCTGTTGAGTTATAATTTGTCTTCGGGTGGGAGATTGGAGGGATGGTGGGGCTTTTCTTTTTAAGGATTTACTTTGTTGCTTATTAACATTAATTTTATTTAAGTGGCGTATTACCAAAAAAAAAAAAAGTATTTGTGACTACTGCTAGGTGATTCTAGGATCCAGACACCAGTTTCTGTTCTGTCAGAAGGTAGGTATTACCTTCCAAGCTGTGAAGTGAGTAGAGTCCCTTTTGGGAATAATATTGCTCTCTGGAGAAAGAATATAACTTCTAGGAACTCCTCTGTACTACTTCTGCATGCTGTTGTACTCTTTTAATTTTCATAGTTTGTCAGCTTGTTTTTTAAAAAGAAACTCTTCCATGCTTTAGAAGGAGAAACGAAAACAATATACGTACCTTGAGTGTATACTAATTAAAGGTTTACTCATGTATGTTCGTTTAATGATCAGAATAAATCTTCAGAGGCTTGTAAAAGGCAGAGCTAAATTTAAACTCAGGACTTTTTATCTGATTCCAAAGCATTTTTTTTCTAACATACTTTGCTGTTGTGTCCTTTTCATCATTTCACTGAAACATGTTTGTTGAAATTTCACACCTGGTAAATGAGGGGAAAGAATAGGGACTAAGCAGTTTTTAAGAGGCAGGGTCTTGCTCTGTTGCCCAGGCTGAGGTGCAATGGCCAGATCATAGTTCTTTGTAACCTGAAACTCCTGGGCTCAAGCTATCCTCCTACCTTAGCCTTGCAAGTACAAGTAGCTGGGACCATAGGCAAGTCCCACCATGCTTAGCTAATTGTTAAAGGGTTTTTTTTATTTTAAAGGATGGGGTCTCGCTGTGTTGTCCAGGCTGGTCTCAAACTCTTGACCTCAAGTGATCCTCCTTGCCTTGGCCTCCCAGAAGCACTGGCTTGACTCTTACGTTGTTTTTTAAAATCTCCTCTTCTGACTACTCTTTGAGATTACACAGCTGTAGCTGAGGATGGAAATGTTATTGAGGATGGGAGGTGGAAGAGCATTGAAACTTTTGAATAGGGAAGGAGTTGAATGGGAACTGCAGAAGCTTATAACACCTTTCTCTTCAAAATTTTCATAAAGCTGTTGAAGTTCTCATCTTAATAGGGTTTTTTAAAGCACTTTAGACAACTTATCTTTTCCAGGTAGCCCAGGGTGATTCTTGTGGAACTGGTCTGCAGTGGGGTCACTGGTTTGTCTTGAGATGCATAGGGAAGATTGACCTGATAGAGTGATGTAAGGAAGTATGTGAAATTGCCTGTTAGCTGTATTGCAAATACAGTTGAGAGAGGGTTCATCCACAGAGGAGTCACTTAGGAGGTATTAAGGCTGCATGTAACTGTGACCCATTCCAGTTCCTTTGGTCCTTGTGTAAAGCAGAAGCTTGCTTCACTCTTGGAGTTTTCTAGGCCTGTGCAGCCTAAGCATGATCCTGGCTCTGACTCGGGACATGGCGAAGGAAAAGGAGACTCTTGACCTTTTTCTTCGGCTTCTACCGGTTGCTATTTCATAGTACAGCAGCCCTAAGTTTATTGCCACCAGGCTAATGGCACAGCTATTCAACACTGACCCAGTTTAAACCTGGAATGTTAGGGAAGCCCATGTTGGGGTAGCATGACAGGTGTGGAGTAGAACATTATGAAGTTTTCTCAGCTAATGCTAACCTTTCTTTTCATGGTTATTAAACATGAGTAAACTTTATCCGAAATAAGTGTTATTGTGGCATATGAAACATTGTATACAGAAAAGGGCAAAGTCATTAAGTGTATAGTTAATGAATAAGTATAGCTCAAAATATATTAAATATATTTTGGGGAATGTTAAGTAATTATGTAGACCTCCTCTGTAAAGCCTCACTTTCATCAGTCTCTTCAGTTAGGCTCTTTTCTGCTCTGACATCACCTTCTCTCAACTTCTGTTATAGTACTGTCATAATACTTTGTCTCTTTGTCTGTTCAAGGCTAGATGAACATAAGCTCCTTATGGTAGAATCTGTTTTTATTTTATTACTGTGTTTTCACACTACCTTGCACGTGGTAGCCACTCAATAGATGCTACCTGCATGAATGACTCTTACCTACTTGGATGCTTTTTATTTGCTCAGCCTCTTTTTAGCTGTTTTCATCCTTTTTGGTGTGAGGTACAGTATTAAATTAGAGGATCCAGTGTTTGGTTTTGAATGCCATAGTGAACTTACATATCTTGGGGGCAATGGACAGTGTATGGATGATTGTTGGTTGCTTCAGTGTAACACTTGAGCACATATTTTCAAAAATAGGTTTAATTAAAACTAATGTGTATTCAAATGTCCTCTGAACAAATGAAGAAGAGTTCCATTCTTCTGGTTGTGGAAGCTAGAAACCTTGGCAGTGTCTCTGACTCTTTTCCCTCCTATCTTGTAAGCACATTGGCATAGCTGGTTGATTCTGTCTTCAAATAAACATTCAAGCAGGGGCACAGTGGCTCATGCCTGCAACCCGGCACTTTGGGAGGCCAGGGCGGGTAGATCTCTTGGCCCCAAGAGTTTGCAACCAGCCTTGGCAACATGGTGAAACCCCTTCTCTACTAAAAATACAAAAAACTAGCCAGGCGTGGTGGTATGCGCCTGTAGTACCCCCTCCCACTTGTATCTCTCTCTCTCTCCTGGGCTTAAGTGATCCTCCTGAATATCTGGAACTACAGGTGTGATATTACACCAGGCTAATTTTTATTATTATTGTTTTTGTGGAGACAGGGTTTTGCCACGTCGCCCAGGCTGGTCCTGAACTCCTGGCCTCAAGCAGTCCTCCTCCATTGGCTTCCCAAAGTGCTGGAATTACAGGCATGAGCCGTCACGACCAACCCCACCATTTCCACTTCTTAATCCCCTCACTATCCTATATTTTGTTCTCTCTAGCATTTAATACCTTCTAATGTAGTACATAACATTTACCTATTTACATTGTTTTTCTTTGCCGCAGTATTAGAACGTAATAAGCACTTTGAAGGATGGGTTAGGGGAGAGGGATAGGTCTCTCATTTTTTCTTGTATCCTTAGTACCTAACAAATGCTGATGAGCGGATAAATGATTTAATTAACTGAACAAAAGAGGAATGAAATATTAGTTAGATGCAGACTTTTGCCCCAGTTCTGCCATGTATTGGCCTGTAGAGACATAAGCTTTGACCTACATCCTCTGTGGGTCTATAAAATTATGTCGATGAATAGATGGTCCCTACCAAGTTTTATTATACTCTCTTAGGAGATGTCTTCATAATCTATCTGAGGGTTGTATTTAGAAATTATTCTGTAGTTTAAGGAAAAATTCTTCCCTTTGGAAAATACTGACTGCGTCCTTACTTTCATATAACTGAAAAAGAAAAATTGAAGGAGTAATTTTATATCTAATTGTTAGATTTATTTATCTTCTGGCTATAATTATTATAAAGTTAATATTTTCCTGTTAGGAAAAAAATTATACAACTCAACAAATATTTGCTATGCATTTATTTTCTTGGTGTATGACTCTGCTAAGGGACATGGGTCATTTAAATATATTTGTATTTTGTCCACATCTTCAATAAACTAACATTAGTTAACAATTAAAGGCTGGGTGCAGCGGCTTGCACATGTAATCCCAGCACTTTGAGAGGCCGAGGCAGGTGGATTGCTTGAGTCTAGGAGTTTGAGACGAGCCTTGGCAACATGGTGAAAGTCCATCTCTACCAAAAAATAGAACAATTAGCTGGGTGTGGTGGCTTGCACCTGTTATCCCAGCACTTTGGGAGTTTGAGGCAAGTGCATTACTTGAGTCCAAGAGTTCGAGACCAGCCTGAGCAACTTGGTGAAACCCCATCTCTACCAAAAAAATACAAAAATTAGCTGGATGTGGTGGCATGCACCTGTTATCCCAGCTATTTATGGGGTTGAGGTGGGAGGATCACTTGAGCCCGGGAGGGGGAGGTTACAGTGATTCGTGACCACACCACTGCACTCCAGCACAGGTGACAGAGCTTGACCCTGTCTCAACAAACAAGAAACTGAGGCAATAATAAGTGAAATAAATAATGTGGCATAAGATTATGAATGCTCTGGAAATGAGATTTAAATACACAGAAAGTAAGATACAATCACCGTGCTTTAGGAGGTCTGGCAGTGTGGATAAAGCAAGTAGGAACTCATTAACCCGGGACATTTTCTTGGAAGGAGGTGGGACTTGTTGAAAATCTCTTTGGAAGGACGAACGGCAATTTGGACTGATAAAATATAAAAATGAGTATAAATAAAGATGAACAGCTCATGTGTTAACCTTTAATTCAGTTTTTTTTAACCTTCTACTGACTAATAACCCTTACCTCCAGCAGCAGCAACAGCTTCACATTCATTGAAACATTTGTCTAGGAGATGATGAGATTGGTATAACACTAACAAATATTTGGGGAAAGTAGTTGGAAATTGATCTTTAAAAAAGTTCTTAGGAACCGGTTATGGGAAAATTTGAATAATAAAATGATTTTTGGCATGCTTTGTACAGGAAGCAGGAAGACAGTTTGGGCCCTTAAGTAGGGAATATCTGTTGAATACAACGTTTTGAGAAGGCAGTGGTGTACAAGATAACTGTCTTTTGCAAATAGTTTTTATTTGGATGTGATAAAGTTTGTAAGGTATATCTTATGCTTTTGATTTAGGGAAGAAAATATTTTGAAGCAGAAGTTCTTTAACCAGAGAAACCTCATTTTAAAGGCTAGGGTTAATGTTTCTTGCTTACTAGTTAATGGCCTTTCTCTTGTTTCTGAGGAGACTCCAATTCTTTTTTTTTTTTTTTTTTTTTTTTTTTAATTTTTAAAATTTTGAGGTGGAGTTTCGCTCTCGTTGCCCAGACTGGAGTGCAATGGCACAGTCTTGGCTCACTGCAACCTACACCTCCCAGGTTCAAGCGATTCTCCTGCCTCAGCCTCCCAAGTAGCTGGGATTACAGGGGCTCACCACCACGCCCAGCTATTTTTTGTATTTTTACTGGAGACGTTGTTTCACTGTGTCGGCCAGGCTGGTCTCGCACTCCTAACCTCAACCTCCCCAAGTGCTAGGATTACAGGTGTGATCTACCACACCCAGCCTCCAATTCATTTTTGTTGTTATTGTTGTTGTTGTTGGAGATAGAGCCTTGGTCTGTCGCCCAGGCTGGTGTGCAATGGTGTGATCTTGGCTCATTGCAACCTCTGCCTCCTGAGTTCAAGCGATTCTCCTTCTTCAGCCTTCCGAGTAGCTGGGACTATGGGCATGTGCCACGACGCCTGGGCAATTTTTGTATTTTTAGTAAAGATGGGGTTTCACCATGTTGGCCAGGCTGATCTTGAACTCCTGACGACCTCAGGTGATCCACCCGCCTCAGCTTCCCAAAGTGCTGGGATTACAGGTGTGAGCCGCCATTCCGGGACCCTCCAATTCATTTTTGATACGGGCTAAGTGTAGTCATATTCCAGAATAGGGAGGCAGTGCTTCTTTTGCTTCAAGAGAAAAAGAGATACATACTTCTTTTTTAAAAACTGAAATAAAATTCCATTTTTCTTTCTTAATGTTTTCCCCTTTTCTGCAGCTTGTATTTCATATTGGTTTTTTAGTTACAAGGACCCCAGGGATGGATCATCTGGTTTAGTGGCTCATAAGAGTCTGTCGTATGGCCTAGAGAGCTAAGACTAATAGTCACAATCCCTAGTCCCCCAAATCTATACTTTAGGATGTTCTTTGAGCCCAAACTAATCAAGTCTAGTGTTTTTCAACTTTACAAGTTTAGGACTTACCAGGGGAGCTTTTAAAGAATAGTAGAATATCCACCTCTGGGCATGGTGGTAGGCACCTGTCATCCCAGCTACTCCAGAGGCTGAGGTGGGAGGATTGCTGGAGCCCAGGAGTTTGAGATCAGCCTCGGTAACATAGTGGGGTTGGCGGGGTGGGGGAGGAGAGAGACACCCACCTCCATGTACCCACCATGTCCTGCCTCCCTTCCCCCATAAAAAGGTAGACTACCTGGCCCCACCCCCAGAGGTACTGAGTAGATGTTGGACCTAAGCCAGTATAGTTTGATAAGGTTCCCCAGGTGATTCTGATAATAAATTTCCATTAAGAGCTTCTTAATCTAGTTAGATCTCTATTTTTTAGACCAGAGAAAGAGATTGGGAACCCTGATCACTTGCATCCCAGTCTTTCGGTTATATAGTGTCATAGCCTTATTTTTGTCACCTCTTCTGGTATACATGGTGGGATTCATATGTAGTATTTTGTTTTTTTAATAATAAGATACCTTCTGCCTTTACCCATCCTGGCTCATTATATGTACAATGGGGAGGACTTGTGGGTTCATTTTTAATTTCTTTTTATGTAAATTGTTTCCTGGAATGAATTTCCAAAGGTCTGAATTTGAAATTGTCAAGCAGGAACTTAATCTGAAGTAATATTTATGCTTATGAAAAAAGCAGGTTCCTTTGGGCCAGCTTTTAAGAAGCTCTTGGTTTCTCATAAATTGTAGGGGACTGTTCCACATTTGTTTCATTCAGTTTTGTTTGTGCAGGTATAGTTGGTGGAGTACATGATTAAGAATAGTAGCATTTTCAGCTTAGTAAGTCATAAACTGCATTTGTTGGCTACAAAAACTGCATTGCTGCTGTTAATCTAGTGGAGTCTAGTAATATGGTATAAATGCCATAATCTGGTAAAGATTTCATATCTGAAAGATATGAATAAAGATGCTAAATGGCTGATGAGCCATGTAGGTCAGAGCAGTCAAGTGGCAGAGAGGGGAGCCTGGGTCTGCTGCTTGTTGAAATAGCTCTTTGGGAAAACAAAGCTGCTGCTGCTGTAGTTTGTTTCTGAACCATAGGGTGAGGAAGAGGGGGCCTCTAGTACACCAACAGTCCTTTTGAGACTTAACTCCTAAATTAAATTTGAAGTTTATACTGCTCACTTATGCTATTTTTCTCCTCTCTATCCTGCAGGGGTTGATAGTTCTTGGGGAGGTACCTCCCCCAGAGCATACAACAGACTTATTTCTTCCACTTAGTTCTGAGGTGAAGACAGATCATGGGACTGATAAATTGGTAAGTATAAAAGATAGAAAGGGGGAAATGCGTGAGAATTAAGGGTGTTGTCTTGGCACACCGTTTTTTCTCTGTAACTAGGATCCTTGCATTGGCTGAAGAAGGGGAACTGTATCTACTTTTATCACTTTTGGTGTTTTAAGATCTGAATTCCTGAATAGGGAATCTAGGGCCCATCCTGCAGCTGTGTAGCTGACCATAGGATTAAAAGCAGCTCCAATTCTCAAAACACTACAGCCAGAGCAAGTAAGGCTTTAGGGAGTATCATTGGGAATCAGGAGACCTGGGTGTGGCTCTGACACCTGAGACATAAGGTCACCTTTCTGGGCCACTCTAATATATTATAGCCTTTTCATTAAAAGGTTAGACTAGAGGTTAAATTCACAAGAACACTGAAAATGGTCTCTGTGGGTGATTCACTGTTATTCTATAATGAGCATTAAACTGTCATTTTCTGTTTCCTTCTGTATCCTAGCTCTACTGTGATTCCTTCTCTTTCCTGGTTTCTCTCAATACCATAGTTAATTTTCTTTCTGAATTCCAAGAGCACTTGTTCTTTTCACTTTTTTACTTTGCCTAAAAGGTTACTGGGTTTTATGAATATTCATATTTCTTGATTTAAGTCTCCATAACTTAATTAGAAATTCCAAAGTCCCACAACCGTAGTTTATTATTTTGATTATGCTTCAGATAATAAAGCTAGTGTGAAGTGATGGCTTTTTAAATGGTGAGTTAAGCAAGCTGTTCTTGTATCCGCAAATAAACCAACCTTATAGTTCTTTTATTTATTTTAATCATTGTTAGCAGGAACGCATGATGTGGTGGAAACTAAATTTTCTCTGAGGCAGATATTGGAGATGTTTAGATCTTGGAAAGATCTCTCACCTAATTTTGAAAGCCAGCCACTGTTGCTAGAGATAAATGTGAAGACACTAGAAGATTGATAGTTCTTAACTGGAAAGTAGTTTTGAATAAATTAAAGAGCAGAATGCCAAGTTTTGCCACTATTTAAGTCTATAATATAAGTTCATTGCATGCTGTTTACAGATCTTTTTTAAGTTATTAATGAAACTTTTAGTGAATGGTCTAATCAGGGTAAAAATTGTTAAGTGAGAAAGGAAACATAGATACATTGGTGGTATGGGTACAGGAAACATGAAACATGAGGCATATGTGATAGGGGAGTAAGTTCTATGTAGATACTTATATATTTGTATATAGAATTTAGGGATTCCAAACTTTTTTGAGTAATCTCCCTGTAGTCATGTTTTCTCTTACCTCAGCACTTCTGAAGGACAGGGCATAACAGTCCTCCATTGTGTTACTAATCCTCATTGTCTTAAAAAATCCACAGTGATTGTGAGACAGTTTATACAGATTCACTTGTACACACACACTCTTTAGGAGCTTGGTCCTTTCCCTACCCTTCATTCATTTACTTGTGTGTTAAATTGTAAGATTCCTGTGTGTGTATTAAATTGTAAGATTCTTGAAGGTCAAGACCATCTTTCCCTTTGTGTTGGCCATACTAGTTTCAACATTGTGCAATAGAATGCTTTTTGGATTGAGTAAAATAAATAATGAAAACAACTAAGTATACACTGTCACTATTTTGTCAAGGAGAGATTACCCCTTCCCTGTTTTCGTGAATTATCTACCCTTTATGAATATATCCATGCTTTCTGAAAAGCGTTCAGAAAGTATTAAGAGAAGACAGGGGTTGGGGGGTGGGGTGGGGGGAGCAGGGACAATACATTTCCATTGTTTATTATTAGTAGAATGGGCGCAGAGCATATGTTTCTTAAAAGCTATTGACTTAAATTTTTAAAATGCCAAATATTTGCAAAGCTGTGCGTATGTCAATTGCCAGGCAAAGTTTTTCTGTATAAGAAGGCAGTATTTAACTTTGCTTGTTTGTTCCCCAGGTTTTTTTGTTTTGTTTTGTTTTAAATTTTAGGAAAGTGACTTTTCTCAGTTTTGCTTAAAAAAAAAAATTAGGTTGCCCGGGACAGAGGGCAACTGTAGGTTTTCATACCCACATGTAACCAGCCTGTTTTCCATTTTGTTAATTTTTTCCCCAAATGGAGGTAGGTGTATTTATTCCTTTTTTTTTTTTTTTTTTTTTTTTTTAAGACAGGCTCTTGCTCTGTCACCCAGGCTGGAGTGTAATCGCACAATCATAGCTCACTTCAGCCTCAAACTCCTGGACTGTGCTTGTTTATTACCCAAAAATATATTTGAAGACTTGTAGTTTAAAAATAATAATGTCAGAGGTATTTTCTGTTATGTTTAATTTTTTTATTCTCATTTCTGAAACTCAGCTGGAATTAACAAAAAAATCAGCGTCTTTAGAATTGTCAAAATATAGTTTCAAAACATTAGATATAATTCTTTTCTTTTTCTTTCTCTCTCTCTCTGTCTCTCTCTCCCCTCTCTCTTCTTTTTCTCTCTTTCTTTCCATCTTTTTAGACAGGGTCTTATTCTGTCACCCAGGCTGGAGTGCAGTGGTGCGACCTTGGCTCACTGCAGCCTCTACCTCTCAGGTTCAAGTGATCCTCCCACCTCAGCTTCCCAAGTAGCTGGGACTACAGGCATGTGCCACCATGTCTGTCTAATTTTTGTATTGTTTGTAGAGATGGGGTTTTACCAAGTTGCCCAGGCTGGTCTCAAACTCCTCAGCACAAGCAATCCGCTGGCCTTGGCCTCCAAAACTGCTGGGATTACAGGTGTGAACCACTGCACCAGCCTAGACATAATTCCTAAATATATAGTGATTTACTGAATAACAAGGGAATCATGATGGTGGCCAAACTGTTAACAGTATTTTAATACCAGATAAAAAGGAAGAATGCAGGAATATGATTACTCAGTAGCATACAAAAGTTATTAATATCCTATAGAACAATAAAGCTGTAACTTTGGACATTGTTTTCAACAAGATGCAAACCAACTTTAACTTGTCAGCGTTCTAAAATAAACATCCAGTAAGACTTCTGGGCCCTAATCAATTATAGATAGTAGGTAAAACAAAGTTAAATAATTTATGGAGAGTCAGATGTTTCCTGGGTGGGCTTGTTAGGTAATGTCCCAGTGGTACACTGCAAGGATACATAGTCTTTTTGCTTTATTTCCAAACAGGATGATTGTTTATTGACAGAACCAGTATATATCTGCTTGGGTCTTGAATACAGTACAGATATTATTGAACTAAGTTGTTCTAAAAGGACCCAACCTATGAGCAAAAGAACTGGAGACTGAATTCATGGGTGAACCTTTTTTGAGTCATGGAGCAAATCAAGGAATATTTTCTGGGTTAGGGAAGTGGGTACTGTTTTTATACCACAGAGTAGTGGGTTAGAGAAAGGGAAGACCTAAGGAGGAATGCCTAGAAAAATGCCTCTTTTTTTATTTTAACCTCTTCATTCTGACTTCTGACTCAAAGGCAGTTTTAAAGGTGTAAGGCTAGCTGAGGGAGAGAAAACTTAACGGGCCTCTAGCTTGGTAGCTGCCGATAAGTCGTGTGTACAGATAAATGCTTCTGTGAAATTTAAGACTCCTTTTGAACAAAGAGGGTGTGCCCTTGGAAAGAGAGCATGTAAAAAGCGGTTGAGAGTTGTTCTCTAGTGTATTGAAACATGCCTCTTATCTTCCCCACCTTCTCATTCTCTCTCTTCAAATAGAAGCTTGCTTTCCCCTGCTTAAGAAAAAGTAATGAGCAAAGAAGGGCAAGCTTGGAACCTGTGCATATTACTAGGTAAATTACTCAACAATGTCAGCAAAATTTCAGACAGAAAGTATTGCCAGGAAGAGATGAGAGCATTCTCAGTCCATGTGCCCCAGAGCTTCTAGAATTCAATAGTCACTGCTTCATGGGCTTGTTTGTATATTATCAGAGGATGGAGTTCAGGGCTGCCAAGTAGGTAGAAATTGAAGGAGGGGAATAGTGGCAAAGAGGGAGCTATGGGAGATGGGGAGGGGCATAGGCCCACAATCTATTTGAGCCCCTTTCAGATCTTTGTGCTCACCCCTGACCTGCACATGTTTAGGGAAGATTTTATAGGGCATAGTGGAAAGCAGTAATTGGAAGGCTGAAAGAGCTGAGCAGAGAAGATCATCATTGCCTAATGCAGGGAAGGCAGAATTTGGAGTTCGAATTCCAACTAGACTTGGCAAAAACCTGAGGGCTTTGATTGAAACCAATAAAGGCTCACACTTAAAGAGTTAAAGAATGTTTCCCAGGACGAAGGCATTCACCATAGGATTAAGGAGGGAACCAAAATAGACTCCACTATGCTTTTATAAAAACAAAACTAGCTCCACAAAATGAAGGTAACCAGGTAGTAGTAGTATGCCTGCTAGAACAAAAATCAACACTCTTTAGGAAAAGCTAACTAAATTCAGAGTCTCTATAATGTATTGCATACATTGTCTGTATATAATAGAAAATTACCATACATATGAATAAACATGAGAATATGATTCTTAGTCATGAGGAAAAAGAAAAAAAAAGATGGAAAAAAATTGAGGAACTTAATGACTGGATTTTTGAATTTAAACAGTCAGTTTACAAATGTATGAAACTTTAGGCCGAGCACGGTGGCTCATGCCTGTAATCCCAGTACTTTGGGAGGCCGAGGTGGGTGGATCACCTGAGGTCAGAAGTTTGAGACCAGTCTGGCCAACATGGTGAAACCCTATCTCTACTAAAAATACAAAAATTATCCAAGCGTGGTGGCAGACACCTGTAATCCCAGCTACTCGGGAGGCTGAAGCAGGAGAATCGCTTGAACTCAGGAGACAGAGGTTGCAGTGAGCCGAGATCATGGCACTGCACTGCAGCCTGGGCAACAGAGTGAGACTCCGTCTCAAAAATAAAATAAAAAAATCATGAAACTTCAAGAATAATAACCATGAGAATCACAACATTGTAGTAAAAATCGTGAAAATCAAAGGTGAAGACCTTATTCCTGAGCTGTGATGCTGTTTAAAAATTAGGAAAAAAACCTAACGCCTAACATCACACTACTTGGTGAAAGTGCTTGTTTTGTTGGTCTACAATTAGGAAAAAAATATATCCTAAAAATATTGTAAGCTGGGCACAGTGGCTCATGCCTGTAATCCCAGCACTCTGGGAGGCCAAGGTGGGCGGGTCGCTTGAGCCTCAGAGTTCAAGACCAGCTCCAGCAACCTGACGAAACCCCATCTCTACAAAAAAATACAAAAATGAGCCTGGTGTGGGGGCGTGCACCTGTAGTCCTCACTACTCTGGAAGCTGAGGTGGGAGAATTGCTTGAGCCCAGGTGGTGGAGGTTGCACTGAGCTGAGATCATGCTACTGTACTTGAGCCTGGGCGACGGGGTGAGACCCTGCCTCAAACAAACAAAAACATTGTACTCTGTCTTGGCTAATGCAATATTGCAAGAAAAAAGCAATTAAAGGCATGGAAATTGGAAAAGGTAGGGCAAAACTGCTTGTATTTGAAGATATGATACTTAGAAACCCCATGGAATTCCCTAAACCTGTGAGAATTAGAGATTTAGCCAAGGTCTCCAGGTACGGGGTCAATATATAAAAGTCAATTCTATTTTTATTTATTAGAGCAAACAACTGAAAAATAACCCGGAGAAACAGTTCCATTTGCGGTAGTATCAAGAAACATAAAATACTTAGGAATAAATCTAACAAAAGACGTTAATGACTTTATTGCTGAAACCATAAAACTTCTGAAAAAGATTACATAAGTGAACGGAGATGTATGCTGTATTTATGTGTTAGAAGAGTCAATGTTAGACACAATGATTCAATGCAAACCCAGTGAAAAATCCCAGCAAGATTTTTTGGTTTATGTTGTGTTGTTTTTGGTAACAATTGAACATTGATTTTCAAGTATGTATGGAAATGTTAAGTATTTTCAAGAGCCAAAACAATTTTTTTTTTTTTTTTTTTTGAGATGAAGTCTCTCCCTGTCACTCGGGCTGGAGTTCTGTGGTGTGATCTGGGCTCACTGCAACCTCCACCTCCTGGGTTCAAGTGATTCTTCTGCCTCAGCCTCCCGAGTAGCTGGGATTACAGGCGTGTGCCACCACACCCAGCTAGTTTTTGTATTTTTAGTGGAGACGGGGGTTTCACCATGTTGGCCAGGCTAGTCTTGAACTCCTGACCTCAAGTGATCCGCCTGCCTCGGCCTCCCAAAGTGCTGGGATTACAGGCGTGAGCCACTGCACCTGGCCAGTAGCCAAAACAATTTTTAAAAACAAGAACCAAATTGGAGGAGTCACACTCTCCTCCTACTACCTGATTTCTAGCCTTCTTACAAAGTTAATTTAAAATTTATAATTTGCTTTTAACAATGTTTGATAGATAATGAAAGTTAGTAAAAGCTAATTGTCATTGTTCCAGACTGCACTTTGTGTCTGAAAGACTAAGTAGAACCAGGTATCTATCTTTTCTTGAGTGCTTCTTGTTCTTCCAACAAGCATAAAATGGGAGTGCTGGAGGGAGTCAGTAAAGGTAGTTTCCTAGGGAAGGATGGACTTTTTTCTGAGTCTTATGGACTTGCTGAAGCATGGTGTAGGGAGTAATGTGTAATGCAGCATAGGCTTGAAAGAGCCTGGCATTATCAGGTAACTGCAAATACTTTTCTGTGATGGAGTGTTGGATATTTTGGCCAATTCAGAATGGATTCTATATTTATCTTAAGTGAGTACTGTAACTGATAGGAACCTGTAGACTGTACAGATTTATGTATGAATGAAGTTTGTTTTATTAATGCTAGATACATTTTTTCTTCATTCTTTTAAAATATGATTTTAGGCTGGGCACGGTGACCTAAAATCCCAGCACTTTGGGAGGCAGAGGTGGGCAGATCACCTGAGGACAGAAATTTGAGACCAGCCTGGCCAACATGGTGAAACCCCGTCTCTACTAAAAATACAAAAATTAGCCAGGTGTGGTGGTGTGCGCCTGTAATCCCAGCTACTCGGGAGGCTGAGGCACAAGAATCACTTGAACCCAGGAGGCAGAGGTTGCAATGAGCCAAGATTGTGCCACTGCATTCCAGCCTGGTCAACAGCGAGATTGTGTCAGAAAGAAAGAGAGAGTGTGTGTGTGTTGAAATAGTAGTACAGAGTCTCCGTACGGAGCTTTCTCTAATCTTAACACATCTTGTCACAATAATCGTTAATTATCAGAACCACGAAATTAACATTGAAATTAACATTGAACTTATACAAAGTAATAGACATACTTTATTTGAATTTCTGTATTATTAGTTTTCTTATTAATGTCCTTTCTGTTGTCCAGAATCTATCATTGCTTTTAGTTTTTGCATCTCTAAATGTCCTTCAATATGTGAGAGTTCTCAGTTTTTGTATTTCATTACTTGGATACAAGATTTCTGGTCAGTTATTTTGTATAGCGTTCCACAAATTGGTGTTTTCTCATTATTAGAGGTTACGCATTGTTTTACAGGAATGCCACAGAAGATACTGTACCCTTCTCTACACCACAGGGGGTTCATGATTTTGACTTGTCTTTCTAATAGTGATGATAGGTTTGTTCCCTTGGTTAAGGTGGTGCCTGACAGCTTTCTCCTCTGTAAAATTAGCATTTTTCCCTTTGTAATAACTGACAATATTTATTTATTTATTTATTTATTTATTTATTTATTTATTTATTTAGAGATAGGGTCTCACTTTGTCACCCAGGCTGGAGTGCAGTGTCGCAATCACCACTCCAGCCTTCACCTCCCTGGCTCAGCTATCCTCCCATCTCTCAGCCTCCCAAGTAGCTGGGATCACAGGCATGTGCCACCATGCCTGGCACATTTTTATGTTTTTTGTAGTGACAAGGTTTTGCCATTTTGCCCTGGCTGGAATAAATGACTGTCTTATAGGGAGACACTATGTAAATATTCTGTTGCTCATTATATTTTTACTCATAATTTTATTGTTCACTGATGACTTTTTCCTACAGCAATTATTGCTGTGTTGTTTACTAAAGGGTGGTTGTTCTACTTCCTACCTGCATTAAATGGAATTCTGTTAGGAAGAGGTGTCTTCCCCCCTCATTTATTTACTCATTCATTGACTCAGTTGTGAATATCAGGATGGTCCCATGGATATTTATTTTATTTAATGGATTATAACCTATTACTGTTTATACAGTTGCTCCAGTTATCTCAACTTTGGGTATTGGGCGCTCTTTCAGATTGGCTCCTGTGTCCTTTTAGCATGTACCGCTTATATTTTGAAATACTTTCTAATACTAGATGTTCCAGGTTCCTCTTGTATTTTGCCTACTTCAGCTCAGGTTCCTTTTATTAGGAACTAAAATCTGAGTACTAGTTGTGCTCATTGTTACTTCGTAAGTGTCACTGCTTCTAGGATGTCTCAAAAGGCAAAGCAAGGAAACATATGTATCTATGCTCACAGGTGCATACACACACATCTATATTTCTGTATCTACTTAACCTGTATATATATATAAAAAACCGTAAGTTCATACCAGTTCAACACAGCAGCCTTCCCCCTTCCTTATTGATACTCGTTTAATCCTAGTACCCGTATAGTCTCACAGTTGTCATCTAGTACCCCTGTGAAAAACACATTTGCTAACTAGAGTACAATATTTTTGTACAGTATGTTAACTGTTATGCAGTCAAAATACAGTTTTCTGAAGTTACGTAGGTTAGTTATTTCCTTCCACCAAATCTTTCAGTATGGTTATGTTGTTTTGTAATACAGTTAGGTTCATTTGTTACTACAGTATTCAATTCTAGCCTTCCCTGTTTTCCCCACCCCGCATTGTTAATTTTTATTTTTGTATGGGAAACATTACTGTGGTTCTAAAAAAGCTATACATTCTTCTTTATATCCTTTTCTCACTCAACGTCCTGTAGGTTAGCAATTTCAGTACGTTTTGGCTTATCTTTCCTGTATTTTTTTGCACCGATGAGCAGACACATGTATATATTTTTTAAAATCTCCTTCTTGGATAAATATTTTTTAAAATACTAGATTTGACGTTAAGGAGGGTTTTGTTTAGCGAAAAACATTGCTTCTATGGCAATTAACAAGTAACACATTATTTGTGTGTTAGTTTCTGTTTGTAAAATGATCCTGCTCCTTTACCCTTTCCTTGCTCATCCTACTTTACAGAAGTGATGAGAAAAACAAGTGTACTATTAAGTGAAGAGCTAATGCTTTCTCAGAAGAAAGGCATGCTAAAAATGTAAGCTATTGCTGTTTCTTTTTACACAGTCCAAGATACATCTTCATTCCATTGGTGTAAGTAGGAATACTCTTCCTTTCTTTGAAGTTTTGCAGTCTCTAGGGACAGTGAGTAGTTCATTGGCCTGACAAGGGTTTTGGGATAGAAGGTAAAGGGACAGATATTGGCCAAGAAATATTTGACCCACAGTGTTAGAAAACACTGACAAGTTAGGTCTTTTATAATAAATTGGGCTATGGATAAATAAGTTGAACAATAAGAATTTAAGATGCATTTTTGCATTTGCTATATTTCTTTAAATTCTAGATAGTTATTTTCAAGTGTTGGTAAACATAAATCTTAGGCTTAGGAACCATTGGATTAGTAACAGCATTATGCTAATCAAAACTTTAAAAAAATGAGTTCAAAATTGTTATAATGTAATTTTATAGATTTTCTTTTATCCTCAACCTGCAGAAGCCGGAAAGTGAGGCACATAGCCCCACATAGGCAGAAATTAAAGCCTAGGCAATAACTTAGTGAAAATGGAATTTTCAGAACATTCCACTTCTTGTTTAGTACAATTTTATGGCCATGGTGCTAGCTAATGGAAATGGCTAGTATACTATTTATAGGCCAGCAATATTTTGGTGAATTTAAGCGAAACTATGCTCAGTATCATTGAAATGGGGGTGGGGTGGGCTTGAGACATGAAATCAATCATACAAAGTCAAAAACTATTTTAACCCAGGAATAAGTTAAATTCCTGTCACCCAGTTAGCATTTTCTTTCCATTTTAATGTTTGTCAGAAAGGGAATAACTAACCAAAACTGAACTGTTGACTTTTCTAGCCAAACGAATGTGATACATTTAAAAAATGACATTGCAAGCAGGTGTGACATGGCATTAATTGAATAAAGTAAAAATACATATTTGCAGGTAGAGTTTAATTTTATTGTGTGCTTTTAAGTGTGTGGCTCTCTGTTTTTACCCCTTAACCCTCTCTACTTTTTGGTGAAACAAATCTAGTAGACATTGGTTCTTAGACCCTAGAAAAAACGACCCCCGTAAAAACTATTTAGTTTTAGCTTTTCATTCAAGGCCTCTTTGTCACGCTTACTTGATCTGGCCCAGAGTGGAGTAATGAATGAGATGCCTGCTTTATGTGAATAACAAATTTGAATCTCATTGCTATGTTAGTAATTTTATGCTGTACACCTGGCCCTTTCAATCGGGGCGGGGGGAGGGGTGGGGGGAGCAATTCAGCAACCCTCCTTGCTACCTTTAACTGTAAGATTACTCCAAAAGATAATCCCCTAGGGCCCTGCTTTGGAGAGGAGGGGATTACAGAGGCACTCTGTCTACCACTTTAGCTTTTCTACTCTTTCTTTCTGGCTGTGGGATGCATAAACCCTGAGTTCATCTCAACATCAAATAAAATTCAAATGGAAGCTTCAGTGATAATCCTTATTTTCTAGGTAGGAGAGTCTTAAGTTCTTTCATCCTTTTTGCAGTTGCCTATTGGATAGCAGATATCTCAGTCATGCTTTAGTTTTCTAAAAACACTAATGATGTAAACCACTGCAGTAGTAATAAGCTGAAATTAGTATGCGGATTTAATATTTCTTAAGTGTTTGTTAATGTTTATCCTCTGCATTTGCAGCCTTTTAGACTGCAGGATAGGAAATGTTCATTTTTTCTCAAGGGAGAGTGCCTGCATTTAAGGAGCTAGGTGAAATTACATGTGTTTGTGTGTTATGTTTTTCTTTTTCCAAATGGAACACTGTGATTGGGATTAATATTTTAAGCTCTTTGCATTGATGATGGGTTGCAGGACATGTCCAAATGCCTGCTGTTGGATACTAGCTTGATTACAGAATTTCCCAAGATCTTAAGTAGATCCTTCCTGAGTATCCAGTGCTTTCTTTTTTGTGGCTGGGAATGCAGGCCAGCCACAGTCCCTTTCTGATGTTTATGCTCTTGACCTCTGTATACCTCTATGTTCTTGACAACATTTCCATGTTAATAATGTGTTGCCTGTTGACTTCAATTTTGATTTGGGGGCTGAATTACTCCAGGAAGATTCAGGTTTCTATAAGAAAATCAATAACATTCATGTTAAAGCTGAATAGCATTTAAATATATACACCTGCAGACATGAGAAACAAGACAGGCTGTTATAGCAGTAGTAGTTAGCTATATGGATCGTGACATTACTGGTGATTTTACTTGACATATTCTTCTTTAGACTTTGTATAAGAAAGATAAATGTTTTGAAATGAGACTTTGTTAGAGAATGGCAACATTTTATCTTGACAAGTGTTCTTGCAGTTAAATCTCATAATCCCTACCAGAAAAACTTAATCAAATGGAGAGTCAGTCAACCCGTTACTTAAACGTAGTACCTTCTAGAACACGTGAAGGCACTACCATATAAATTATATATACCATATATAAATCAAATATACCATATAAATTATATATACCATATATAAATCAAATCACTGCCATAATTTAATGCCGAAATAAAAACAAACAGCATTTTTAAACAGCATTTTTCTATTGAAAGGAAACTTTTTCATCTAAACCAGAACTTCTGAAATCTAGAATACCTATAACATGCCTGAAGTTATACATCTGTTAGTTAATACCAACCTGAATCTTAAATTCTTTTGATTTTTCTTGTTCTTTGTCATACCATATTTGTTTAGCCTTTTTGAGGTTTCCCCTGTGTAGTAAATCCTTACTAGCATTCAGGAGGGTATTTGGTTTTATGGGGGTTTCTTTTTAATATAAAACTATTACCTAAAATGTAAAGAAAATTTCAGAATAGTTTTACAACTGTAACACTCTTTGTCTTGTTGTTATCTGTGTATGTATATTTTTAGTCACTACAACTATATTAAACTATTATTTTTTTCTCTTGAAATCTCTTCTTCCATAAGAGAAGAAATATCCTTTATGATTCTTTTTAATATTTTGATTTGGTGTACCACAACTGATAACTATAGTTATAATGCTTACAACATTTAGATTATTGATAGATATCATTGCAGTGACCACCTTTGTGAATAAGATTTTTGGGGCTGTGTTTGTTGAGTTACTCCTTTAGGGTAGATTTTTAAAAATTGGTTAGAATATTTTGTCAGAAGATAGGAATATCCTTATAGCTCTTGCTGCTTAATACCGTGTTGCTTTCCAAGGGAAATCTGCATAGAGCTTAAGGCAATGTGTCTATGCCAGATTTACTGTAATTTTTGATAGCATTGACAATTGTTCAAGATGTTTGTGATATCTTAGTAGATGTACAGGATATCCAACAAAAAAGACAGCCTTTTCTCGGTGTTCACTCATTGTAGCATACTTATATGACTTGTCTGTGTATATAGTTTGATCTGTATTTTAGGATAATTTGTATTAAAACTTTTAGATTATCTTCCCAATCTGTTTTTTGTTTTTGTTTGTTTTTTGTTTTGTTTTGTTTTGGAGACAGTCTCTCTCTCTCTCTTTCCCAGGCTGCAGTGCAGTGGCGTGATTTGGCTCACTGCAACCTCCACTTCCTGGGTTCAAGTGATTCTTGTGCCTCAGCCTCCCGGAGGAGCTGGGATTACAGACAGGCGCCACCATGCCCAACTAATTTTGTATTTTTAGTAGAAATGGGATTTTACCATGTTGGCTAGGTTGGTCTCGAACTCCTGACCTCAGGTGATCTGCCTGCTTCAGCCTCCCAAAGTGCTGGGATTACAGGCATGAGCCACCACACCCAGCCTCAGTCTGTTCTTTTTGATGCTTGTCTAGGACTACTTTCAGGTTCAGTCCTTTGGTGTTTTATCCTTGGGGGTATAAAGACAAAAGAAATCAGTATTGAAAAGTAGAATTTCAGCCTCAAAATATTTACCTTGAAAGCATTTGTAGGAAGCATTTATAGGAATATTTACCTTGAAAGCTTTTATAGGAAAGAGAACTTCAGCGTGCCCCAGAGTCAGTTCAAGTGTAAGGAGACAGGTTAGGTGTGGTGGCTCACACGCCTATAATCCCAGCATTTTGGGAGGCCGAGGAGGGCAGATCAGTTGAGGTCAGAAGTTCAAGAACAGCCTGGCCAACATGGTGAAACCCCATCTCTACTAAAAATACAAAAATTACATGAGCATGGTAGTGTGTGCCTGTAATCCCAGCTACTCAGGAGGCCAAAGCAGGAGAATCGCTTGAACCAGGGAGGTGGAGGCTACGGTGAGCTGCTATCATGCCACTGCACTCCAGCTTGGGCGGGATAGCGAGACTTCATCTCAAAAAAATAAAGTAAGGAGTCAAAGACCCATAGCCTTTCTGGGATAGTTCAACAATTGCTAGAACTGAGGGATAGCTGCATCTGTTGCTTTATTGCCTATACCTCAGAGGTGCTATATGACTGGCATTCATACTGTTCCTATCCGTTTTGAGCCTAGTAAATATATAATTTGTTTTGAATACTGCAAATCACACTTTTTCTATTCTTTCTCATCTGTTATTTCATTTTATATTCTAAACATATTTGATTTGAATACTCTAAAGACAATAGTTAGTATCTGATAGCATCAGATAATTAGATTCATTGAGATTTTATTAACTTTGTTTTCTGTCAGGGAAAAATGTGTGTGTGTGTTTATTTATTTATTTATTCATTGAGACAGGGTCTCACTCTGTCACCCAGGCTGGAGTGCAGTGGCATGATCATGGCTCACTGCAGCCTCTGCCTCCTGGCTCAGGTGATCCTCCTCCCACCTCAGCCTCCTGAGTAGCTGGGACTACATGCACGCACCACCATGCCCGGCTAATTTTGTATTTTTTTGTTGTAGAGATGGGGTTTTGTCATGTTGCCCAGGCTGGTCTTGAACCCCTGGGCTCAAGAGATCCTCCTACCTTTGCCTCTCAAAATACTGGGGTTACAGTCATGAGCCACCATCCCCGGCCTGTGTGTATATTTTTAAACAAAGCATAGTTTTTAGAAAACAAGCTTCTAGCATACTCTGTTAGAGTTAAGCAGATATTAACTACATTTAAATTTCCTCTTAGTCATCTTGATACTGATGTTAGTATATCCTTCTTGATCATTAGTTGAAAGCTTATGTTACTGTGTAATTGTTTTGCTAAGCTTCTGTTCCATAGAATTATTGAGGTCATTTTCCTGTCAATAGGTACTTACTTTTAGTCTGTACATTTGGATTCCTCATCCCTCTTCCCCCCAAAGCAAAAGCTAATATAATATTCTCCTTCTCTCTGTCAACCTCTCTCTCTCTCTTTTTAATTAGAGATGAGGTCTCGCTGTGTTGCCCAGGCTGGTCTCAAAACTCCTGGTCTCAAGCGATCCTCCTGCCTTGGCCTCCCAAAGTGCTGCAATTATAGTTGCGAGCCATCATACCTGACCACTGATTCTCTTATTTTCTTTTTCTTCAGTCATTCAAGTTGTGTTTTTCAAATTGATCATCAGAAGTTTTAGGTGCTTTGTGCAAATGAAGTGGTGGTGCTTTTCAGGCAGGGGTGCGCTTGGGTACATGTTAATTTCTTTTTTCCTTTTTCTTAATCAGATTGAGTCTGTTTCTCAGCCATTGGAAAACCATGGTGCCCCTATTATTGGTCATATTTCAGAGTCACTGTCTACCAAATCATGTGGAGCACTCAGACCTGTCAATGGAGTTATTAACACGTAAGTTTTAGCTCTTCTACTTCCTACACTTAGTAGACTTGTAAAGGTGTTTTGGAGCTCTTAGTTCTCTTTAGCCAGGACTGACCCTGGTTTAAAGAAGCGGAAGCCTTATCACTTAGTAACATTTTTAATCTTCACTGTATAATGAAGCAGTGCATTTTAATTAATTGTATATTTTCCTTTTACCTACTAAAATGGAGTGGGCATGGAGTAAAATAAAAGACACTACAGTTACTGTGAATTATTATTGTTTTAATCTTGCAGGAATTCCTCAGAAGTGCTTATATTAACCTCCTCTGCTTAGGACAGATTAGATCTCCAAGGGCTATGTTTGTAAATCTGTATTTATGAAGATTCAAGGGAGAAAACAAAAGATTCAGGGAGATTCTGTACAAGTGAATGATGTGTACAACACCCTTAAAATTCGGGTTTCATAGAACTGATTCTAAGGAAGCCCATTAACATTTGCAAAATTCATCATTTTCTAACCAACTGTAGTTCTCTAGACTTTATTTACTCGTGTGTTTGATGTAGAGGAGAACTCAATCACTAGAACTTGAGTTTATTTATTGACTTTTATCTTTCAGACATGATGTAGTTAATGTGCACCAAGAACCTTACACATAAGCACACACAGGTAGATTAACAGACATCAAGAGGAGACCTGCTTCTGCTCTAGAATGCTTCTTTGTGTCTGAACATTAGCAAATAGAGGTTGAACTAGTATAAGAGGCTTTGTTTCTTTGTGTTTTCTTGTTGTTTATTTATTTTGTTTCTTTGTGTGTTCTGAGAATACTCTTCCTTCCCCTTGTATAGTCTTCAGCCTGTCTTGGCAGACCACATTCCAGGTGACAGCTCTGATGCTGAGGAACAATTACATAAGAAGCAACGACTGAATCTCGTCTCTTCATCATCTGATGGCACCTGTGTGGCAGCCCGGACACGTCCTGTACTGAGCTGTAAGAAGCGGAGGCTTGTTCGACCCAACAGCATCGTTCCTCTTTCCAAGAAGGTCGGTACAGATGAGAGTTGGTCATTGTCAAGCAGTGAGCCAGATGCTCAGATAGAGTTAGTCTCTTGCCAACTTTGGTGTTTTCTAAACTTGGCTAACCACCAAGGTCTTCTGGGGAGCTTTATAAAATACTAGGTTCCTGGGCCCTGTTTGCTCTGGAGTTGGATGTTGGAATCTTGTTTTCAGAAAACACAAAGCTCCTCGGTGACTCTGCAGCTAGTTTTGAAAACCACTGTCTTGAGCTTTTTAATAGAAATGGGAGAGACTGAAAGTTTAAGTACTGCCCTTAACACTTTGAAGGAGAATAGTGTGCCCTCTCACCTTCACTGTTATCACTGAAAATGGCAGTATAGAATCCTTTGCCCTAAAAAAGAATCTTGGCCATGTGCAGTGGCTCATGCCTGTAATCCCAACACTTCGGGAGGCCAAGGCGGGAGGATTGCTTGAGCCTAGGAATTGAATACCAGCCTGGAAAATATAGTGAGACCTTCATCTCTACAAAGTATTTAAAAATTAAGCATGGTGGTGCACACCTGTAGTCCCAGCTATTCAGGAGGCCGAGGCAGGATTGCTTGAACCCATAAGGTTGAGGCTGCTTTGAGCTGTATTTGTGCCACTGTACTTAAGCTTGGGTGACAGAGTGAGACCCTGCCTGAGAAAAAAAGGAATCTTCACTAAAGTTTTTAAATTGATATTACTAAAAAAAAGTTTGTCTTCACAAAGGAAATGGAGATTAATTCACAACTGTAGGGAATTTTAGATTGCTGACTCTTCAAATAGCAGTTGCCTTTATTCCAAAACTAATGAGATAATAATATTCCAGTAAAATTGGTACTGTGCAGGAATTAAGAGCATTATCTTTGAAGATGATAACCTTGGGTTTGAATCATGGTACTACCACTTAGTAGTTTGGTAATTTGGTGCATGTTAACCACCCTGACTTCCACTCCTCTCCAAAGCCTCAGAGATCTCATAGGGTTGTTTGAGGGTTCAATGAAATATATGTAACATGCTTATTGGGATGTCTGGTTGATAAGTTCCTCGTACAAAGTGGCTGTTATTGTTACCACTTTTGTTGTTGTTCATTCATTCTTTCAACAAATATTTATTGGCTTCCTGCAACGAGCTAAATCTGTCTAGTCACTGGGTATACAACACTAAACAAAACAGACAAAAGTGCTTACCCTATGAAATATTCTAGTTGTTAAGAGAAAGAAAATAATAAATGAACTCTGCAGTGTGTCCTATAGCATTAAATCTTGGAGAGAGGCTAGGCACAGTGGCTCATACCTGTAATCCTGGCACTTTGGGAGGCTGAGGAAGGAGGATCACTTGCGTTCAGGAGTTTGAGACCAGTCTGGGCAACATAGTGAGACCCCATATCTTTAAAAAAAAAAAAAGCCTGCTGTGGGCGAGCGTGTGTAGTCCATTTGCTCAGGAGGCTGAGGCGGGAGGATCATTTGAGCCCACCAGGTTGACACTGCAGTGAACCATGGTTGTGCCACTGCACTCCAGCCTGGATGACAGAGTGATTGAGACTCTGTCTTTTAAAAAAACAAAAAAACAAACAAAAAAAACACACGTATACATATGTAACTAACCTGCACGTTGTGCACATGTACCCTAAAACTTAAAGTATAATAATAATAAAAAATTAATTAATTAAAAAAAATCCTGGAGAGAGAAATGCAATAGAGGAGGGAATAGAGAGTGCTGGAGAGCTCAGATAAAGAAGAGGTATATGGATTAGCCCTTTGATGTATTCCAGAGCTTAGGTATTCCTCCTCATTCCTGTGAAAGATGAGGAAAGGATTGGGAAGGGAGTGACGAATAAAGTAGAAGAAAAACCAAGAGAGTGTGGTATGTGAAAGGCAAGGGGAGAAAGTGTTTTGGAGAGGGAGGAGGAGGAGGGATTGTCTGTGTCAGTTGTTACAGACAGGATCAGTAAGATGAAGGCTGAGAATTGAGACCATTGAATTTAGTGGGGTGGGGTTGTTGCAGACATTGGTGAGCAGTTTTGGTAGAGGGAGAAAGGTGAATTAAAGCATGGTTGGAGTGGTTTCAGGAGACAAGGCCACAGAAGGAATTGAGGGAACCATTGTAGATAACATTTTCAAAGAATGTTGCTGTAAAAGAGAGCAGAGAATGGGAATTTTTCTTAAGAGAGCCACTAGCAACATATTTGCTAATGACAAATAAGGGAGATGAGAGAATTGCTGGAACAATTAGTATTTGCATGGTGAATTTTCAGTACTTTCCTTGTTTTATTCTAGTATGCAGTTGTACTGTGTAAGTTTGCCATGTTCTCTTTAAAGAAAAGAATTGTAGAATTGACTGTCAGGCGATACCATTTCTTCCTGTCTATTCCTCGGACTCTACCTGAAATATCAAAATAGCAGAAATAGATAAGAATAAGGTATTTGGCAGGGTTTTCATATTGACATTTCAGTCTCAGTTTTTTTTTGTTTTTTTTTTTTTTTTTTACTAATAGTCGTATATCTCTAAAAGATTTTCAGAGGAGTTGATAACAGGAATGTCAGAAAACAGTATATTACTGTCAAGTGTAGGAAAATAGCTTTTTGTCAATTCCTTGATGAATTTAACACAGAATGCTTTTACATTTAAAAAAAAAAAAAAAAACCGCCACCTCATGAAAATAAAGCACCCTTCCTCTGTTTTGGCAGTTTACCAGCCACTATGGCATGACATCAGGAGTCGTATAAAAATTTTCTGAAGTATGTGGTGGCCTCCTGGATTTTGTTTTTTAATATGTGAAGTAGCCAACCTTCTTCTGATCCATGCCTAAGAACGAATGTAGTTTTGAATGTACATATAAAATTATAAAAGGTAGCTTAGGCAAGAGATAGGCATAAAACTAAATATCCTTTTGTTCCAATGCCACTTTCTAAAACAGAATCATCCTGACACAAAAGTAAGCTGCATGAAAAATAAGACAGAGAAATTAGTTGACTTTGGGAAATATACCATGTACTAGATCTAGCAGAAAGCTGGAGTTCTTCCAGAGTTAGAGACACACCCCATTCCTTCTGTCTAGGTTGCTTTCTGTGTCTCACATGGCTCCTCACTCATGACATGACCTCAGTGGTATTTGCTGATGAGCAAGCATCTTGTCTTCTGTCATCTTGAATTGCTCAGTTTTCCAGACAGATTTATTCAACAGCATTTTTGAATGCCCACCGTATTATTCAGGGCAGCCAGGTTGCATTGGTAAGGAAAACAAAGCCCTTATCTTCATGGAGCTTACTTTCTAATGACAGCAAAGAAGTTAACAGGTAAATTATGTTCTAATATTGTTACATGACAGTGAGTTCACAGTTATTGTGAGTACAGAGTACAGAACACACAAAGCAAGTGATTAATATTTTTTCCTTACCTGCATCTTAAATGATCTCTACTGCATTCCAGAACCAAATAAAACATACTTGAGGGAACTCATTGAGGTTTTGTTTTGTTTTGTTTTTTCTTTGAGATGGAGTCTTGCTCTGTTGCTCAGGCTGGAGTGCAATGGTGCGATCTCGGCTCACTGCAACCTCCTCCTCCCGGGTTCAAGCGATTCTCCTGCCTCATTCTCCCGAGTAGCTGGGGTTACAGGCATACGCCACCACGCCCAGCTATTTTTTGTATTTTTAGTAGAGATGAGGTTTCACCGTGTTGGCCAGACTGGTCTCGAACTCCTGACCTCAAGTGATCCACCCGCCTCGGCCTCCCAAAGTGCTGGGATTACAGGCGTGAGCCACCACACCCAGCCCAATTACTGTGTTTTTAAAGGGCTATCAGCTTAGTTGAATTATGGCTGGAATATATCTTAAAATTGAGATGCACGTTTAGTGCAGTAACTCTTTTGCCCTTAAAAAGGCTGGCCAGGCACAGTGGCTCATGCCTGTAATCCCAGCACTTTGGGAGGCCAAGGTGGGGCAGATCATGAGGTCAGGAGATCAAGACCACCCTGGCCAACATGATGAAACCCCATCTCTACTAAAAATACAAAAATTAGCTGGGCGTGGTGGCACGTGCCTGTAATCCCAGCTACTCGAGAGGCTGGGGCAGGAGAATCGCTTGAACCAAGAAGTCAGAGGTTGCAGTGAGCTGAGATCTCGCCACAGCACTCCAGCCTGGTGAGAGAGTGAGAGTCCATCTAAAAAAAAAAAAAAAAAAAAAAAGCTGTTGTTATATCACTTGTACTTCTTAAAATCAATGACTAAAACAAAGTGTTCAGTAAGTTAAACTCGTTGGGAATAAAGAGAAATGAGATCTATCAGTAAATAAATAGGAAGCCTTGAATGCCCAAACTGATGATTTGGGTTTCAGTCTATAAGTTTTAAATTTTTGAGCAGAGAAGTGTTGTAAGCTATTTTGGGGGAGGTAAATCTGCTGTAACATGGTTTTTTTTTTTTTTTTTTTTGTTTGTTTTTTTTTTTTTTTTTTGAGTTGGAGTCTTGATCTGTCACCCAGGCTGGAGTGCAATGGCACAATCTCAGCTCACTGCAGCCTCCGCCTCCCGGGTTCAAGCAATTTTCCTGCCTCAGCCTCCTGAGTAGCTGGGATCACAGGCACCCACGACGACGCCTGGCTAATATTTGTATTTTTAGTAGAGACAAGGTTTCACCATGTTGGCCAGGCTGGTCTCGAACTCCTGACTTCAGCTGATCCATCCGCCTTGGCCTCCCAAAGTGCTGGGATTACAGGCGTGAGCCACCGCGCCCGGCCAATCTGTAACTATTATGTTTGGGATGGATTGGCACAAGAGACTGGAGGTGGAAAGACAGACTAACAGTAGTAATCCTGGAGGAGATAATAGTCTAAGGCCTCTACAACTCTGAATGTGGAATATTTTAAATGTAATCTAAGGAATAACCACTAGGGTGTGGTAAGTGAATATCAGAGTAAGGCTCATGGAGAACATGGAGTACTTCCTAAATCATAATTTTATTATAAAATGACGGAATTACTAGTTGTAATTACTGAATAGCCTATATTGCTATTTATTGTGTGTTTCATCACTTTAGGGGTCTAGTATGGTGGATGTTAGTAATTATCTAAGTGAATGAAGAAGCACTCCAGTGGAAAGTTCTTATATGCCATTATGTTCTTTTCCTGGCCCAGTGCCTAAGTGAAGTAGGTGTTTATAACTTAACCTAAACGTACTAAGATTTCAGATCAATAAAGTTATTAAAATAAAATTGGTACCAGCCAATTTTCAAATAAGGTTGCTTTTTATTTTTTAAGTAAAATTATGTTTATAATTAAACCATAAGACAAATAGTATTTTTTTAAAAAAGAAAAGAATGTAGTTTTATTAATAATTTACTGCATTGTTCTCATTCTCAATTTACTGTGGACCATTAGAAACTTGTGTATAGTCTGGCAGTGGAAACCATCAGTGTTTGGAAATGAATGGTTGAAAAGGCTGGGTTTTTTTGTACTAATAACCAGTAGAATAGGTAATGGCTACATTTATTACTAACATACCCTTGAAATTTTTATTGCCCTTAATAGCATTTCTTTCAATTTTTTAAAAAGTAGCAATTTCCTAACAAATTGGCAGTGTACTGGCATCATTTTAGAATTTTGTAGTCCTTGTTGTCATAGGGGGGATTGCTCTGGGCCAAATTTTAAAGCTGGCTTCCATAGAATTCCGAGTAGTCCTCCTCTTCTTCCCATTGTATCACACTTGAAGAGTGACATTTTTGTACAGGGCATTCTCTCATGGCTATGACCAGGTTTCCTGTAGACATCAGGGTAAATAAAGGTGTTAATATATGATTCTAGGCCTCCTAGTTTTGATTCCACCTATTTAAATCCAGTTTCATGACACCATGGTTGAGGACTAATGAACTAGAATATGAGTCAGTATTAAAAGTTAATAATTTGATACGTTCTTCCTTGACAGAGTGCAATAGACCTTGGAGGCCCAACCAACTTTTTCATACTAGTTAGACATTTGGAAAGGAGCAAGCATGCCATGTAGAAAATTGTACCTTAGGACATAAAGCTACTAAAAGAATACTCAGAAATCACTCTGTGCTTGGAACAGTTACCTCTAAACTGTTATGACGGTGTTTTATATATACATTATAAAACACATACAAAATAAATTTTGAAAGACTGAGATAAAATAGAAGCTTACACGTTTTGTTTCTTCACTCTGATGGATCTTCAAGAGCCAGTTGTGGGATATGCTTGATTGTGATAGAGTTGCCAAACCTTTGAAAATCTTTCCACATGTTAACAGTGGATGAGTTAGATAACGAATATCAAATGCAAAGCAAAAGCAAATGATTATAACCTGTCCTTGAGCCAAAAGAATTCTTTTAGTGTTTTGGACGAATATGCTATGATTAACAGAAAATGGTGAATAGAGTTTTACTTTGGTATTAATTCCTTCATAAGTATTAAATTGAGTATTTCTTGGGAATTCCTTCAAAGAGAATTGATAGCATTGCAGTATTAATTAAGGGAACGTGGGAATTTCTTCGTGTATCAAGTATTTTATCTCATTATTTTATTGAGATGCAGGTCTCACTGTGTTGCACAGGCTGATTTTTTGTTGTTGTTGTTTGTTTTTTGTCCCCCTCCCCTCCCCCAAGATGGAGTCTCGCTCTGTCGCCAGGCTGGAGTGCAGTGGTGCAATCTCTTCATCTCAAAAATAAAAAAGCCAGCTGTGGTGGCAGCTACACAGGTGGCTGAGGCAGGTGAATGGTTTGAAGCTGGGAGGCAGAGGTTGCAGTGAGTCAAGATCAAGCTACTGCACTCCAGTCTGGGCAGCAGAGCTAGACTCTGTCTCAAAAAGATAACAGTCTGTTTCTCTCTCTTAGTTCCAGCTGAGAACATGTGTTGATCAGTTTCCTTTTCTCTCTCTCTCTCTCTCTCTCTCTCTCTCTTTTTTTTTTTTTTTTTTTGGAGTCAGAGCCTCGCCTCGCTCTGTCACCCAGGCTGAAGTGCAATGGCATGATCTTGGCTCACTGCAACGTCTGCCTCCCGGGTTCATATGATTCTCCTTCCTGCCTCAGCCTTCCAAGTAGCTGGGACTACAGGCGCGTGCTACCATGCCCAGCTAATTTTTGTATTTTTAGTAGAGACGGGGTTTCACCATGTTGGCCAAGCTGGTTTCGAACTCCTGACCTTAGGTGGTCTGCCCGCCTCAGCCTCCCAAAGTGCTGGGATTACAGGTGTGAGCCACTGTGCCCAGCCTCCTTTCCTCTTAGCATATCCTGAGATCTAATTCTAGTCTCCTCACGAGACTGCCAGAAACATCTCTGCCCTTTTCAGAGACTTTCCACTTAGCTTTGTAGCCTCCTACCATTCACAACTTCAGCTTTTTCTTTGGGAGGGTGGTACTTGGAAGTGTGTCATGCTTAGTTCCCTGTCCTCTTTTTATTGATAATTTGACATTTCAAGTCTCTAGTGTTATCCATTCAGCCCTACAAGAGTACCAAAAGCTCTGCTCTTTTTTTTTTCTTTCTTTCTTTTTTTTTTTTTCCGAGATGGAGTCTCGCTCTGTTGCCCAGGCTGGAGTGCAGTGGCACATCCTTGGCTCACTGAAACCTCCATCTCCCAGGTTCAAGCGATTCTCCTGCCTCAGCAAGTAGCTGAGATTACAGACACGTGCCACCATGCCTAGCTAATTTTTGTGTTTTTAGTAGAGATGGGTTTTCGCCATGTTGGCCAGGTTCTTTTCCTCTCTGGAATCTTAGCTTTCAATATTGTCATTATGTCAGCATTTTTCTTATGTTTTGAGAGAGAGAGAGAGAGAGAGAGAGAGAGAGAGAGTGTGTGTGTGTGTGTGTGTGTGTGTGTGTGTTTTAAATCTGGCTTTTCCAATTAGTGAGAGTGTTGGTTTGATACAAGCTATCCATATAGGTGATTTATTTGTTGAGAAAACTTCATTTATCTGATACCTTAGTTTCCCACAGCCTACTTTCTTTTAAAAATTTTATCCCTATAGTAGTATTTTCTTGCCTCTTGGCATATCTAACAATGTTTTATTTATGTTTTAAGCTGAAAATCCAATTAATAATTTTCCCTGCTTGTAGCATGTGGATTGTGCCATCTTCCTTTAAAGAGGCTTTGTTTTGCTGGCAGGTAAATTCCTTGTCATTTGTTAGGTCAGGTGAGGAGTTGGCCACCTTAGTAGTCTAGCTCCACAACTAAAGCAGGATCTTCTGTCTTGAATTCTCTATGCAACTTTGGCTGGTCACAGTTTAAAAGCCTCTCAGGCTTGTGTTAGCTGTGGAAACCATTTCAGCTCACAGCTGCCTAGTTGCTCTTGCCTGGCCTGATAGTTTCACCCTTTACATGCACCTTTTAATATTTAGCAAACACTCAGGGGGATCTTATGAAGATTTCTGGGGCTCTTTTTCTGTAAAGCTTCCTCCTCTCAAGAATTTTGCCTTGCAATTTTCAGTTTCCTTAGTCTCTGAATTCTGATCTAGTGAGAATTTGCTTCCTCAACTCAGTGAAGCTATTATACTCTGCTTCAGATCCTCTCCCTGCCCTGCAGTCTAGAATGTACTTCCAGACGGAAAACCAGGGCAGTCTTAGAGACCACCCCATTTATTTCTCAGTGTTATACTGCCTGTTGTCCAGTTTTCTGGTTTATGACTGAAAGGTAAATCTGATCACTATTACTCTGCTAGAAGCAGAAGTCCTGTGGTGTCACTGTTTTCTTTTCCAAATTTTGTTATGAAATTATTCAGATACGAAGTTGAATGAATTTTACAGTGAACACCTATGTAGCTACTCCCTAGGTTCTACCACTAACATTTTAGCATACAATCATCCTTCCATTTATTAATCCATCTTATTTTTAGTGCATTTAAAAAACAGTGATGTTTTTCTGTCCCTTGTTTTTCTTGAAAACTAGTAGAAACGTGAATAAGTCCAGTTTTAGTTTCGTGAGAAAACACAAGGTGGCCGCCTTATGCTTGTATCAGAAGACACGTAATGACTAAACTGTTTGTTATCAACCACTGGTGATCATTGCCTGGACCCATTGTTAAATTGGAAGCTGAAGAATGGTGATATTCTACTTGTATCATTTCTGTTTTTCTTTTATTAGCTAGATAGAATATGTTTATAAAGGGAAAATTGTCCTTTTCAACTATTTGTTTACCCTGAGGTACAGTTTGTACAGAAGAAAGCATGATTTGTTGTTTTTTTTTATTTACCAATTTTCAAAATAACAAATTAGTTTTCTACTATCCTCTAAGGACAGTCACTGAAGTTTTTCATGAAGGGGCTGTGAGTCATTGATTGAAACATATTTGAGGTATTTCAAGCCATTGTAGTCTTTTCTTTATGATGCTAACGTTATCTGATCTTTGGTAGGGGAAGCTCTCTTCAGGCTTGTTCTTGACAATAGTCTTTGAGAGCTTTGTTCTTACTATTAATTTTTATTTTTTTTGTTTTCCTTTTTTACTGAGTCTTATGTTTACTGTGACTCACCACTAATATTTAATGGGAGCCTGTGCTTTGAATTTTTCTAGACGGGATGACCGTAATTTGAACCTCATGGTTCTCAGTGATTTTGTCCTCACAGGAGACATTTGGCAATATCTGTAGTAATTACTCATTTTCACAAATTGGGGGAGTAGGGAGGCACATGCACCATGAGGACAGAGATGCTGCTAGATATCTACAGTGCACAGGACTGTGCCCCACAACAAAGAAGTGCCAGCTGTTGAGAAATCATGCGGTATACTAATTTAGCTAACATTTGTGTAATGTTTTAACAGTTACAGAGTCATTTGATCTTTCCTACACTCCCATGAAATTGGTATTATTAGTCCTTTTTAACAAGTGAGAAAATTTAAGGATGTCATGTGACTTATCAATGATCATATTATACAGTGTTAAGAAGCTAGAATTTTGAAATCAAGATCTTTGATGGTAAATGTTCTATCAAGTTTGATGGTAAATGTTCTATCAGTAGCTATACTTACGGTTTTACAAAAGTGATTAAGAGTCGAGAGCCAGATACTGTTGTGAGTTATTTATCTTTAAAACAACTCTATCAGGTACTCTCCTGTTAGTAAAGATGAAGACACAGTAACTTGTCTTAAGGCCACACAGCTAGTAAGTGGCGGAGTCAAGGTTCAAACCCAGGCAGTCTGGCTCCACAGCTCATACTGTTAACCACTATATATTGCTTCACAATTTTTTTTTTTTTAGATTTGAGTATAATATTTGTTTTTATATTTAAATCTTTATTTGGGGCCAGGCACGGTGGCTCACACTTGTTATTCTAGCACTTTGGGAGGCCAAGGTGGGTGGATTACCTGAGGTCAGGAGTTTGAGACCAACCTTGCCAGCATGGCGAAACCCCCGTCTCTACTAAAAATACAGAAATTAGCCAGGCTTGGTGGTGGGTGCCTGTAATCCCACCTACTTGGGAGGCTAAGGCAGGAGAATCACTTGAACCCGGAGATGGAGGTTGCAGTGAGCCGAGATCGCACCATTGCACTCTAGCCTGGGCAACAGAGCGAGACTCTGTATCAAAAAAATAAAATAAAATGAAAATGAATAAATCTTTATTTAGAATTAATTTTGGTGTGAGGCAGAAATGCAGCCGTTTTCTTCTGTATGACCTCTTGGTTTTCCTGATTCATTTGTTGAAAAAGTAATACCTCCTTTTGTTTTTTTAAACTGATTTAAAAGTATTATTTTAGTTAAACAATAAACTGTCATATATACTTTGGTCAATTTTTGTTTTTATTTAAATTTTCTGTTTCTTAACCGAGGGCAGATTATTTTAATTACTGTAACTATAAAACATGTAATAGGCCAGATCACTCCCCTGTATTTTTGCTTATCAGAAATTTTGGGGAATGGTTCCTTACATTCTTTCAGTTGTATCTTTTAGATTATTTGTTTAAATCCCCTTTGCCTTGTCTCCCCTCCCCCCTCAAGTCTATTAAGATTCTGCATTAATTTGTAGAATATCAATATCTTTAAGCTTTGTGCTTAAATTTCTTGTTAAACTTATTCCAGGGCATTTTTTGTTGTTACAGTCAAGAATATAATCTTTTTTCACTTTTTTTTTTTTTTGAGAGGGAGTTTTGCTCTTGTCGCCCAGGCTGGAGTGCAGTGGTGCGATCTCAGCTCACTGTAACGTCTGCCTCCTGGGTTCAAGCGATTCTTCTGCCTCAGCCTCCCGAGTAGCTGGGATTACAGGCGCCCGCCACCATGCCCGGCTAATTTTTTGTATTTTTAGTAGAGACGAGGTTTCACCATGTTGGTCAGGCTGGTCTTGAACTCCTAACCTCAGGTGATCCACCTGCCTTGGCTTCCCAAAGTGCTGGGAATACAGGCGTGAGCCACCGCGCCTGGCCTTTCACTTGTATTTCTAAATAAAACTTACTTTGGGCCGGACACGGTGGCTCACGTCTGTAATCCCAGCACTTTGGGAAGCTGAGGCAGGCGGATCACGAGGTCAGGAGATCGAGACCATCCTGGCTAACACCGTGAAACCCTGTCTCTACAAAAAATACAAACATTAGTCAGGTGTTGTGGCGGGCGCCTATAGTCCCAGCTACTCGGGAGGCTGAGATAGGAGAATGGCATGAAGCTAGGAGGCGGAGCTTGCAGTGAGCTGAGATCCCACCACTGCACTCCAGCCTGGGCGACAGCGAGACTCCATCTCAAAAAAAAAAAAAAAGTTACTTTGAATACTGACATTTAAAGAAAAAGACACGATGTGAGAGAATGACCATGGAATTAGTGGTTGAAGAGCCAAGTGCAGAGGCCTGTGATCTGGAAGGTTGCCTGCTATCTTGGAGAAATATAGCAAGGAAATCAGAGTAACTGGTAGTGTCAGCTAGGAGAGTAACAAAAAAATGAGGTGAAGTCAGAGAGAGGGGATAGAGGCGACAAATACTATAGGACCTTGTGGGAACCATGCAAGAAGTTTGGTTTCTATTCCTCGTGAGATGAGAAGTCATTTGGAAGATTATGAGGTTGGTATGATGTGATTGAGATTTTAAAACAAGATTTACACTGATTACTGTGTTGATTGATTTGGAAGTAAGAACCAGTAGGAGGAGGATCAGTTAGGAGGCTTGAAGAAACCCATTTGAGAAAAGATAGTGACTTGGACTAGATTGAGTGTAGTTGAGGTGGTATGAAGTGGTTGGATTCTGCCAATAGGATTTCATGACTGGGACCGGTCGCGATGGCTCACGCCTGTAATCCCAGCACTTTGGGAAGCTGATACGGGTGGATCATCTGAGGTCAGGAGTTTGAGACCAGCCTGGCCAACGTGGTGAAACCCCGTCTCTACTAAAAATATAAAAGATTAGCTGGGCGTGGTGGTGCATGCCTGCAATCCCAGCTACTTGGTAGGCTAAGGCAGAAGAATCTCTTGAGCCCAGGAGATCCTTGTTTTTTTTTTCTTTTAAGAGACTGACTCACTCTGTCTCCCAGGCCTGGAGTGCAGTGGACATGATCACTATAGCTCCTCACTCCTGGGCTCAAGTGAGCCACCTCAGCCTCCCAAATAGCTAGGGCTACACGTGCACACCATCTGTTGTGATATTTTTAAAAATTTGTTTTCTTATTGTAAAACACAATATTGTATGTGTTCTTGTTGTTTTTTAACTTAAATGAATTCATGCAGATGATTTGGCATCTTGTTTCAGTGGAAGAGCGTGTGCGTGTGTACACTTAAGTTTGTCTGCAGGATAGATTCTTGGTGTGGATTTGTGCAACATGGGTATGAATTCAAGTTTTCTTTCAAAAATTTTCCAAAATGTATCCTTTAATAAGTATTAAATATATCTTTGGCTGGGTGCGGTGGCTCATGCCTATAATCCCAGCATTTGGGAGGCCGAGGCGGGCAGATCACGAGGTCAGGAGATCAAGACCATCCTGGCTAACAATGGTGAAACCCTGTCTCTACTAAAAAAATACAAAAATATTAGCTGGGTGTGGTGGTGGGCGCCTGTAGTCCCAGCTACTTGAGAGGCTGAGGCAGGAGAATGGTGTGAACCTGGAAGGCAGACTTGCGCCACTGCACTCCAGCCTGGGTGACAGAGCAAGACTCTGTCTCAAAAAAAAAATAAGTATTAAATATATTTTTATATACTCCTCGGGTTCTATTAGTACTTTACAGTTTTTAATTTAAAAGTGAGATTACTGTTTAAGTTACATGTGTGCACATTACCCTTTTGTCAAGTTATAAGTAGAATTTCTACCCTTTATTTTATTTTTTTAAATTTTTAAATTTTTTTGGAGACGGAGTTTTGCTCTTGTTCCCCAGGCTGGAGTGCAGTGGTGCAATCTCAGCTCACTGCAACCTCTGCCTCCCAGGTTCAAGTGATTCTCTTACCAGCCTCTCCAGTAGCTGGGATTACAGGTGCCCACCACCATGCCCAGTTTTTTGTATTTTTAGTAGAGACGGGGTTTCACCATGTTGGCCAGGCTGGTCTCGAACTCCTGACCTCAGGTTATCCACCCACCTTGGCCTCCCAAAGTACTGGGATTACAGGCGTGAGCCACCATGCGCAGCCTTTTTTTTTTTTTTTTTTTTTTTTTTTTTTTTTTTGGAGACAGGATCTTACTCTTTTTCCCAGGCTGCAGTGCAGTGGTGCAATCATGGCTCACTATAACCTGAACTCCTGGGCTTAAGCGATTCTTCTCCCTCAGCCTCCTGAGTAGCTGGGACTAAAGGCATGCAATACCATGCTGGGCTAAATTTTTTTTTTTTTTTTTTTTAATTTTAAATTTTATTTTAAGAGATGGAGTCTTACTGTGTTGCCCAGGCTAGTCTCAGACTCCTGGCTTCAAGCAATCCTCTCTCCCACCTCAAAGTTTTGGGATTACAGTTGTGAGCCACCACGCCTAGCCACATCTATTGAATTTTTTTATTGTTGTTGTTTTGTTTTTTTGTTTGTTTGCTTGTCTTTGGACTTAGTCTCATTCTGTCGCCCAGGCTGGAGTGCAGTGGTGTGATCTCAGCTCACTGCAACCTCTGCCTCCCAGATTCAAGCGATTCTCCTGCCTCAGCCTCCCGAGTAGCTGAGATTACAGGCTCCCACCACCACACCCAGCTGACGTTTCTATTTTCAGTAGAGTCGGGGTTTCACCATGTTGGCCAGGCTAGTCTCAAACTCCTGACCTCAAGTGATCCACCCGCCTTGGCCTCCCAATATTGACTTTGACTTAAGTGATACACTCTAGCCATAAAATGTAGTGTTGTTAAATGTCCCATATGGAGAGCTAGTTGATGTCATGGGTTGGTTTCTAGTCTCTCTCTTTTTATTTTTTATTTGCTATACCTACTGGAGTGAGATAATCTCTTTTGAATATTGAAAGTTTCAGTGTAATTTTTGGATCCTAACCAATTTTCCTAAATCCTCCCACTCACCCACTGTGTGATCTCATTTTCATCTCTACCTACTCATTTCTCTTTACCTCAAAATGTCATCCTCTCCAGAAAGCCAGCTCTGATTACATAGATACAGGGATTTTTTTTTTCCCAAAACAATACCAGTTAATATTGTCTACACAAAAGTAGCATGCCTAGTTGGTATCACTCCCTTTCAGTGGCTTCTAGTTCTGTGTGATTTGCCCAGTCTAACCTTTAAAAGACTTTATTTGCGTGCCACCTCTCTATGTGGTTACAATAGAATGTCGGGGGAATGTTGATAAAGACCACATTGTTCTTATGTATATCTTTCTCTTACACAAATCCATAAAAGGCTTTCGAGATGTCTCTGCTGAAAATAAATGGAGCTCTAGTAAATGTTAGAGTTTTTGCTAGTAGAGTTTTGATGCTTTTTGTCTTTGTTCTACTACTGAGCTTGCACCTAGGATGCCTTCTTATAGTGCCATTCAACATGCAAGTTTCTTTTTCTGGGGCTGTGTGTCCAGGTGACTTTATGAGTTAGGCTTTGGCAAATGCCAGACTTGTTCATCCTAACACTAGAATGTAGGGATCCTGCATTCAGCATGACCTGAAATTTGCTCAAAGTATAAAATTGTAGATGTTCAGTTTTTATACAGAATTCAATCTTTTGAAGACTTAAATTAGTTCATATTTAACTTTGGACTTACCTGGAGAGGTTATCAATTATTCTGCCCACATGTGCACAAAGGAAGTTCAGTGGAAATAATTTCTACCCTTTGGAATTAATCTAACATGAAGACTATGAAAGTGAGCATTTGCTGTACAAAATGTTATTTTATTACTTAGGTATGAGCTTTGTAACAGTGGATTTTAGGCCAGGTTAAAGAGTAGTTAATAAGTTACTTTTAAGTTACAAGCTTCAGGGAAGCTTGCCACCTGGCTTGAGACCACCTGAAAGTCTTTTGAAGAAGAGGTGTGAAAAGAAGAGAAGAGGTGTGGTTGGTAATTGAAGGCTCCTAGGTGGATAAATTTGCTGAAGAAAGCAAGTAATGTCCCACCTGGGAATCAAGAACCAACTGTTCGTCTTAGCGGACCATCAAGGTCGTGAAAGCATGCAGAGTTTATAAAGTGTTCTCAGAAAGCACAGTTTTAGTATCTTTTTAAACTGTCAGAAGTTTGATACCTAGGTAAGCACTTAGAGCTTCAAGTAGTTAGATTTCATCAATGAAAAGGAAGCAAGTTTCCTTACCCACTTTGAAGGTCAGTGTGTTAGACAAATGGAAATCTTTTAACAAACTAATCAAACATCCTTTTAGTAGTGTCACACAAGTATCTAGAAAGGTCTTCGCAATAACAAATGGGGAGCTAACTTCTCAATAACAAATGGGGATAACAAATGGGTAGCTGGCTTTTTATCAGATGCTGAATTGTCAGTTTTGTTTGGCTTTTTTCACAGGTTCACCGGAACAGCACAATCCGCCCTGGCTGTGATGTGAATCCCTCCTGCGCACTGTGTGGTTCAGGCAGCATCAACACCATGCCTCCCGAAATTCACTATGAAGCCCCTCTGTTGGAACGTCTTTCCCAGTTGGACTCTTGTGTTCATCCTGTTCTAGCATTTCCAGATGGTAAGAAAGACCACAGACTAGAAAGTCTAATGAAAGAAACTTGAGAGACTTCTAGGTGAAAGAAAATCAGCCAAGGTGCAGTTACAACTCAGATACTTTCAAGGTACAACTTTCGTCAACCAAGTCTTCTCTTAGAATTTTGCAAAAAGACTGTAACAGATCCACCAAACCAGAAGGTGCCACTAAAAGGTTGCAACTTAATATGAGATTTCCTTCTAACTCTTCAAGTAGCTAGGAGGGATCTGGGCTCAGTTGCCTCTAGCCACAGTAATCTGGTCCAAAATACGCTTAGTATATCTTTAAAAATGTTTTGTCTGGGCCAGGCGTGGTGGGTCACGCCTGTAATCCCAGCACTTTGGGAGGCTGAGGTGGACGGATCACCTGAGGTCAGGAGTTCTAGACCAGCCTGACCAACATGGTGAAACCACCGTCTCTACTAAATATAAAAAATTAGCCAGTCGTGGTTGTGCCTGTCTGTAATCCCAGCTACTTGGGAGGCTAAGGCAGGAGAATTGCTTGAACCTGGGAGGCAGAGGTTGCAGTGAGCCAAGATTGCACCATTGCACTCTAGCCTGGATAACAGAGCAAGACTCTGTCTCAAAAAAAAAAAAAAGTTTTGTCTGTGCGTGCCATGATATAATGTAGGATGGACGGCAGTGTTCTAGGAGAATATCTTCATACTGGCATTTATGTGGTAACGCGACAGCTTTGCAGGGTGTAGATAAGCACAAATCTTCGTTGTTAGCTTGTACTGTCTTTCTAAAGTTTGCCTCCCTGTTAAATCTCTGTGTCTGACAGCCCTCCTTTCCCACCTCCCTTCCCATACCTGTACCTCTCCCACTTGACAAAAGAAGAGCATTCCTTTTGGCCATATTGAGTCCCACTATGGGTCTTGCCCCAGAGTGTAAAAATCTTGAGGCTCGGTGTCGTGGCCCACGTCTTTAATCCCGTCACTTTGGGAGACCAAGGCAGGCAGATCACTTGAGGTCAGGAGTTCGAGACCAGGTGTGGTGGCTCACGCTTGTAATCCCAGCACTTTGGGAGGCCAAGACGGGCGGATCATGAGATCAGGAGTTCGAGACCAGCCTGGCCAACATGGTGAAACCCCTTCTCTACTAAAAATACAAAAATTAGCAGGGCGTGGTGGCATATGTCTGTAATCCCAGTTATTTGGGAGGAGAATCGCTTGAACCTGGAGGCCAGAGGTCGCAGTGAGTCAAGATCATGCCACTGCACTCCAGCTCGGGCGACAGAGCAAGACTGTCTCAAAAAAAAAAAAAAAAAAAAAAAAAGGTCTTGGATGGTGGGGACAACAAATAAAGAGATCATTTCTAAGAGTTCTCAGCACCTGAAGGAGAATCTCCCAGGTATTAAGCAAAAAAGTTTTGAATTTTAAAAATAAAATAGAGATAACTCAGGAACTCCTATCAACCAAGTCTTCTCTTAGAATTCTCCAAAAAGACTGCAACAGATCTACCAAACCAGAGGGTACCACTAAAAGATTGCAACTAAGAGATTTCCCTCTAACTCTTCGAGTGGCTGGGATGGGTCTGAGCTCAGTTACATGGTCCTATTCCTTGTCTGTCTTAGAATAAATACTGAGTTAATATCTAAAGTCTGATTAGCTAAATAAGTTTAAAAGAAGTTTTTTTTTTCAATTAATGAAGCTAAATATATTTACATGCCAAAGTTTTGATAAAAATGTTTTTAAAGCATTATGTAGTATTCAAATATAATCTTTACAACTATCTGAAATTATGATTTTTTAAAAATCACATATCAAATGGGGGTGCATGAGCAAAGACATTTTGAAACCACTATTCTAGATGGAAGCCAGCGCTTTCATAATCTGGATTGGTTTCATTGAATTTTCACGTAATCTCATGATCTGTGCCCAGCCTACAGAAGGTAGGAATTTCCTCTCAAATCACTGGTGGGTTTTTGTTTTTGTTGTTGTTTTGTTTTGAGACAGAGTCTCGCTTTTGTTGCCCAGGCTGTAGTGCAGTGGTGTGATGTTGGCTCACTGCAGCCCCCACCTCCTGGGTTCAAGCAGTTTTGTCTCAGCCTCCCAAGTAGCTGGGACTACAGTCGTATGCCACCACGCCTGGCTAATTTTTTTGTATTTTTAGTAGAGATGGGGTTTTACCATGTTGGCCAGGCTGGTCTCCAACTCCTGACCTCAGGTGATCCACCCGCCTCGGCCTCCCTAAAGTGCTGGGATTACAGTCAGGAGCCACTGCACCTACCCTATTGTGTTTTATCAATATGTTAATGAATTATGTTATGGCTGTTTGTGTATTTGCTTTCTGTTATTTAAATTTTAGGGACCAGGCACAGTGGCTCACACCTGTAATCCTGGCACTTTTGGAGGCCGTGGCGGGTTCATCATCTGAGGTCAGAAGTTTGAGACCAGCATGGGCAACATGGCAAAATCCTATCTCTACTAAAAACACAAGAATTAACTGGGCGTGGTGGCACACGCCTGTCGTCCCAGCTACTCAGCAGGCTGAGGTGGGAGGATCAGCTGAGCCCAGGAAGTCTTGGCCGCAGTGAGCCATGATTGAGCCAATGCACTGCAGCCTGGGGAACGGTAGTGAGACCCTGTCTTGGTGGCGGGGGGAGTGGGGAAGGGATGGGATGTAATCTCCCTGAGGATAAGGGCTCCATGCTGTTCTTCATAATATCTCCCAGGTAGTCTGTAAGTTTTTTTTTTTGTTTTTTTTTGTTTTTTAATTTTTATTTTTTAGATACAGGGTCTTGCTCGGTGCCCTAAGCTGGAGTTCAGTGGAGTGATCACAGCTCACTGCAACCTTGACTTCCTGGGCTCTAAACAGTCCTCCCACTTCAGCCTCCTAAGTATCTGGGACTACAAGTGTGCACCACCACAACCTGCTTCCCCGCCTCCCGCCCCCTACAAAGATGGGGTCTTGCTATATTGCCCAGGCTGGTTTTGAACTGAGCTCAAGTGATCCACCCATCTTGGCCTCTCAAAGTGCTGGGATTACAGGTGTAAACCACCACGCCCGGCCTGAACTTTTTCTTCAAGGGCCATATGGTAAATATCTTAGGCTTTGCAGGCCATATAATTGATGTCAGTTCATGTCACAACTGCTCAACCCTGTCATTGTAGCACAAAAGCAGCCATAGACAATATGTGAACAAATGAACCTGATTGTGTTGCAACAAAAGTTTATTTATAAAAACAATCATTGCTAACCCTTGTCCTAGAGAGAATCCTTCTAATTGACAGTTGATCAAACATTAGATAACTATAATCCCCTGTTCTGCATCTGTTCTTCAAATGATTGCATTTCTGGCCACCTAAATCCAGTAGATACCGGGATTTTTGGCTTTTGTTACCAAAACCCCCTAGCTGTGATAAGGATGTGGTGTAATATTCCTGTGGCCATGTGATTTCTTGTAAGAGAAAGGAAACAGAAAACCTGGAACACATGGATAGTCAGGAGCTGGTGGAGCAATAAATAAACTTGAACACAATGAGTGGAAAACACTAAAACATTTTCCTCTGTGCTTCAGATTCCAGAGTCACTGACTTTTACCTTCCCTTGCCATTGGATTTATGTAGCCCATGTAACTGCAGTTACTATTTGTATAGCATTTTAAAGTTTGTAGTACTCTTCTCATATTTGTCTCATATGCTGCTTTCAAAATTCTTTTTTTTTTTTTTTTTTACTTTTGAGACAGTTTTGCTCTGTCACCCAGGCTGGAGTGCAGTCGTGCAATCTCGGGTCACTGCAACCTCCGCCTCCCAAGTTCAAGCAATTCTCCTGCCTCAGCCTCCTGAGTAGCTGGGACTACAGGCACGCGCCACCACGCCCGGCTAATTTTTGTACTTTTAGTAGAGATGGGGGTTTCACCATATTGGCCAGGAGGGTCTTGAACTCCTGACCTCGTGATCCACCCGTCTTGGCCTCCCAAAGTGCTGGGATTACAAGCATGAGCCACCGCACCTGGCTTTTTTTTTTTTTTTTTTTTTTTTTTTTGACAGAGTCTCACTCTGTCACTCAGGCTAGAATGCAGTGGTGTGGTTTTTGGCTCATTGCAGCATCGGCCTCCCAGGATCAGGTGATTCTCCCACTTCAGTGGGTAGCTGGGACTACAGGTGCACACCACCATGCCTGGCTAATTTTTTGCATTTTTAGTAGAGAAGAGGTTTCCCCGTGTTGCCCATGCTGGTCTCAAACTCTTGGGCCCAAGCGATCTACCCATCTTGGCTTCCTAAAGTGCTGGGATTATAGGCATGAGCCACCATGCCCGGCCCAGAAATTTTGTAAGGTGTTACTTCAGTGTTAGTGCTCAAGGAACAGGCTTGGTAAGGTTGTGGCTTATCTAAAACTAAATGGCTAATGGGTTTGAATGCCTTCACAGTTCAGACCCAGATTATCTGATGCCTGTCCTTCCTTTTACTATATTTCAAGTTCCTTTCCAGACAGATTATTAAGAGGAGTCAGATTTTTACCCTTTTTGGGATTCTGGCTACAGACAGCGCCACTAGGAAGACTTAGGAATGTTTGTTGGGTTACTCTCTGAATTACTGTGTTGAATTGTATAGTCTCATACTTGAAGAAGGACAGGAAGCCCGGACACTTAAGCACACTCATTGGATATCACCTGCTAAACAGAACAGTCATTTCTTTGTCAACAGCATTACCACATACAGTTGCAAATAACCTCCCCCACCCTCAGATATACCCAGACTGTGTGTCTCTCAGCTCCTGTTCCATCATTCAGCATCTCTACTAAGAGGTTCCATTTCCCTTGAACATTTTCTGTCCTGCTGACTGCAGGACACTATAGATCTGACATGAATGCTGCCCTGCCGCATACCTTACACCTCCCACACCATCATTCAGAGCAACTACAGGCAGCAATGAGGGGGAATGGAAAGAAAGATAGGGAACACTCCCCCTTTTCTGGTCTTTATGGTTTTTATTTTCCTGCATCTAATCCTATTTGTTTTTCTGTCTATGTCTCACACACACACGAAGAGCTTCTAGCTATGGCCCTGGGGTTTGGACGAAAAAGTTGGTCATTAAATTCTCCTTATGAGACTGTGGAGATATATATATATTTTTACATGTAGGCTCTATTAACTACTGTATTTGCCTGTAGATTAATTACACCTCAGTTGGTTGACCTGAAGACCTGATTACCATGTCTAATATTATTCCTGTTGGAATAATTTTGCTTTGACCCAAACAACTGCCACATTCAGAATGCAGTCCATTTGGAAATCAGAAGATTCCCATGGGTGCAGAGATAGCCAACTCCAAAGGGCACCATTCACATAATATCCCGTGTAAATAACACACCCCCTGAAGTCTTGGGATTCCCTGTACATCATTGTATAGCAGTAAATAACAGTGAAGGCTAGCAGCTTGGCATACGACTGTGTAGGTCAAACATTTGTGTGGTAGATTTTACTACTGGGCCACCCTTACAACCTCTTCTCTAGAAGATGTTTTAAAGTGGCAGGATTTCCAACTTTTTTTTTTTTCATAACAAGGTTAAAAATGATTTTGATTCATTGATTCCATATAGTTACATTTATACCAGACATAAAGGCAGAAAATTGTTTGAATGTGATACTTAGCTGTTTTCTGGCCCCATAGGACAGATATTTTTTTAAGTAGTTTTAGTGCTGTTTCCTAACCAGTTTGTGTAGTTTGTTAGAATAACAACCAACTGCTGCTTTTCATCCTGGAGTTGTGCCTCGCACCTTGACTGTACCTCAGCCCCTCTCATTAAGTGTGTGTGGGTGATAGAAATTGAGGGACTGTGTTATAGCCAACTCTACGCCTGGCTGTGGAAGGTGGAGAGACTAGGGTGTAATAACCTGTTAGTATTCCAGCAGGAAGGGGGCTTTGTTTTATCACCTCAAGTAATCAAATCCAGTTAATCCTTAGTTGGAAATGTAGAGGATATATAACCTTGGAGAAAAGCTTGTTAACTTTATAAAAGGGGCTTAATAAGAGCACCACCTGCTGGCCATGAAGATCTGTGGTATTTTGAGAGAGCTTGCCAAACCCTGCACATGAGGCTACAGCAACTTCCCAGCAGGAGGAAGAAGTGAGCATTACAAAACACCCGGAAAAAGTGCGCCTGAGAAAATGGTGGAAAGTAAGGAGCCAGACAGCCAGGTGAATCGTGGAATGTCAGACCCTAGTCATCCTGAAGTCAGGGTCTTCTCATTCATCTTTCATTTTGTTTGAGGAAACAGTAACTTAAGGATGACATTAGTAATTCGTCTTATTTTCCTGTTATTTACCTGATAAGGATCAGCACCCTCTTCTCTGAAAATAGCAGTTTACCTATGTGGGTATGGAATGTAGGAGACCTCTAGCTGAATGGATCTCTGGTGTGTTCTCTTCCATTTCATATCCCTTTTTTTGCTTACTTTCAGGTCCCGTATCCAGTCTATTTTAGATTTTTAACTCTTCACAGAACCTAGGTATTATCACTTACTAGTTAGTATATGAACTCAACCAGCAATTCCTAAGATATCTTTTTTTTTTTTTTTTACTGACTGGGGGATCTAACTGGGTTCCTGTTCACTCTTAACATGGAAGCAATTAAAAGGCAACACAGCAAACTTCTAACAAAGTCTAGCAGCTGGAGTTCCTTAAACTGTTTATACTGGGTTTAAAGAGGAATCGCTCTTGATTCCGCTTAATACGTCAACTGGAGAGTACAAGGTAGTGTTCCATGACTTGGGTTCTACAATGTGCCAACTTGCACTTAAGAGCATTTAGTTGAGGGGAAGGGTTTAGGAGTGGAGTTCCAGTTGAAGAGTCATTGACTAAACATTTTAGAGTTGAGAGACTCATAGCAGTCATATAATCTAGCAGTAACAAATAGATGTCCTTTCTTGTGCCTATTCAAATGAATTGACAGTAACTGTCTGGAGTTATTTAATGTATTGTTTGGGAAGAATCTGAGGTCTCCAGTACAACAGGAAAGACAGCTGTGTTTGTACCTCCAGTACAACAGGAGGGTTAGAGAATGAATGCTAGAATGTTGCCAGCCCTGATCTAGCCCCACTGCCTCATTTCACAGGTGGAACTAAAGCCCAGCTGAATGATTTGTTCTTGCTTTCTCCTTCTACTCGAGATAGAACCAGGACCTGAATCCAGGCCTACTTGTTTCTAGTCATTGCTGTTTTCACTATAACCAGGTCTCTCATATCCCTGTCCCTTTTTTTTTTCCTGGCTTCATTTTCAGATTTGGGAGAACGATGGGGGAAAATAAAAGGAAAAAATAAAATCTATGTTTTTTGGAGTTCCATTACATATATATACAAAACATACACAGCCTTTGCCAAGTGGGAGTAACTCTTCTGCTGACAAAGGGGTATTGTGGGATGGGCAGAAGTGACCTCGTCTCCTTTCTTGAGCCTCTTTTATACATTCCAGCTCAGCCCAGCTTTCAGATTGTTTTACAGGGCCGAATGCTTCTAGACAATGCTTTATTTCCTAGGATTTGGTATAGCTGAGTTTTTAAGTGTGGAAAAGAGTGATTATGAAAAATGTTTGAGAAGACAGCACTGTCCTCAGAGACTGTGTTTTTACACTTGGACAGGTAGCAAATGTTTGTTTTCATTAAAACTTTAATAGTTTTCCTAATTTGTTTCACTGTCATAAAGCCCAGCAATCATGGAGCTGAGGGTGCTTACCCACTGGGAAAAATCATCCCTGAGAATGTTAGCTTTTTTTTTTTTTTTTTTTCCCCAACTCAGATTTTTATTCCAGTCCTGGAAGGCCTAACATTCAGTCCTCGAAGGCATAACATTCAGTGTCATGAAATTCATCATCTATACCATAGGCAGGAGTGGCTAAATTTCTTTTACTCTGCAGAACTGGCTTGGAAAATATTTTGTACTGTCTATTTCTTCGGAGTAATTTGAGAAATAATTGACTTTACTACAGAATCCTCTCCATCCTCTGGATCAGTGAGTAGCCTCAAGGTATATTGTCTAAGAGTATGGGCTTTAGGGTTGTATAATCTTGAGTTTGAAAGTTGGTTGTTACTCATTAAACTGTGTAACCTTGGACATAGTTAATGTACCTTTCTGCACCTGTTCCCTATCTTTAAAATAAGCATAATTGTGTTTGCCTCATGGAACTGTTACAAAGATTAAGTGGCACACGCATGATGATAAACACACAGTGCCTGGCAGATAATAATGGGTTCAGTAATGTTAATTTAGACGTCTCTTCCCTGCCTTCTTATCCTCAGTTCAGATTGAGCATATCCTCTGTGCTCTATGGGACCCAAAACCCCATAAGCTTTTAGAAAATATATTAAACAGGCCGGGTGCAGTGGCTCACGCCTGTAATCCCAGCACTTTGGGAGGCCGAGGCAGGTGGATCACGAGGTCGAGATCGAGACCATCCTGGCTAACACAGTGAAACCCCGTCTCTACTGAAAATACAGAAAACTAGCCGGGCGAGGTGGCGGGTGCCTGTAGTCCCACCTACTCAGGAGGCTGAGGCAGGAGAATGGCATGAACCTGGGAAGCGGAGCTTGCAGTGAGCCGAGATGGTACCACTGCACTCCAGCCTGGGCGACAGCAAGACTCCGTCTCAAAAAAAAAAAAATATACACACACACACACACACACACACACACACAAAATAAATTTCTAATAGTTCTAGAAGACATGCTATCAGTGACTGGAATTTGTAATTATTTTTGAAAGATGGATAAAGACAAGATAACTGTGAAGAAATAAATAGAAAGATAGCCCAAAGCACATGCCAGGAGTAAGTTGCTGTGAGGTGGGAACTGATTACAGGAGGTTTTTGACCCAGAATTAAAGGGCAGAGGGAGTAGTGATAGGACCTGGGCATTTGTCTGGGTGATAAATTTGGACTCATTTTGGAATAGCTAGGTTAGATTTTCCTTTCCTGTCCTCTCACCCCACCAGAGCCTTCTTCCTTGAAGTAGTGGTGTTTCATTCTATTCTGAAGCAGTGGATAGGGACTCTGGCGGGAACTTCTGAGCATGCCCCAAGTGGTTACCGATTCCCAGGAGGAACTGGGAGGTGAGGAAAAATGTGCTGGCTTTTAGATTTGAATATCCCTGGAAAGCTTTGCAGAAGCTTGAAAACAGACTCACACCGCTATCCATGGTGGTGAAATGTCAGAATATTGAAAACATGAAAAGGAAAATCTAAAAGTTGTACATCAGCACCAGAGGTTCCAGTCAGAGTAATAGGCAAGAAGTAAAAAAGGAATACAGATTGGAAAGAAAAGGTAAAACAGTCTCCATTTGTAGATGATGTACTTATGTCTATAGAAAATCCTACTGAATAAACAAGAAAAAGTCTATAACGAAGTAGTTTCACAGGCTACAAGGTCATTATATAGCAGTTTATTGTACTTCTATATACTAGTAATGAAGAACTGAAGTTGAAATTTTAAAAGGTACTATCTTTAATCATTTCCATCTGAGACTTTTGTCAGCCTGGCCTTCACTGCCCGTATTTCTATCAGTATTTTGGTCAAAACCATTTAACAAATCTCTAAGAAGTTCCAGACTTTCCCTCATCTTCCTGTCTTCTTCTGAACCCTGCAAACTCTTCCAACTTCTGCCCATCAGAAAACATTAATTCTTAGGAATAAACTTAACAAATTGTATTTAAGACCGGTATGTCAACAATAACTAAACGCTGTCAAGAGAAAATCAAGACAAACGTAAATAGATGGAGAGAGAGATACCACGTCAGTCGATTGAAAGATTCAGTATTGGTGGTGGAACACATGGAAGTTGTCCCCAAATTGATCTGTAGAGTCAGTGTAATACCACAAGTTTGTTGTTGTTTTTTGCAGAAGCTTAAAAGGCAAAAACCAGACCACCTACAAGTAAGAAAGAATCCGATTCCCTCTTAAATATAGCACTGGATATTAGAATACACGGAAGAATTGAATAGCTTTAAATGTTTGAGAGGAAAATGGTTTAAATCTAGAAATTCCTTTTCTAAAGGAATTGCTCAAGGATATATTCTTGGGAAAAATCTAAGAAAATGGAAAGATAAGAAACAGCATAAAAAATTCAGTCCAAAAGATGTTGATTTGTGATATTGAACATTAACCAGTCAGCTAAAAATCCCCGATAATCTCATGATGGGAATTGGCGGAGCCACAGAGGAAGGAAAGAGAGAATGGTATGTAGTTCTTATTTGGAGAGAGTATGTAGTACTCAGTACAGTGCCTGATAACATAGATAATGAATATTGTTGAATAATTGCATCCTGATTAACTTTATATTGATAGAAAAGAAGTAGGCTTAAATATGTTTTTAAATCTCTAGAATAGAAACAGGATGTTTTCAAACCAGTAAATTCAACAAACAAGGATACAAGAACAAAAACTCCATCAACCAAACCAAAAAGGTGTCTTGTTTTGTTTCCCTTTGGGACTTGAAAGTAAAAAGCTAAAGTGACCTGCTTGCAAATAGAAGAATGACCTTCAGTAATGTTCACGTAAACAGATCTTCCATATGACAGCACTTGCCCTGCCAAGTGTCAGGCCACTGGGCAAATTAAAGGAGGATGGAGTGTAGGTCTTGAACACTAGAGAGGCCAGGTGTTTGGACTAACCTGTAGCATTTTATGTTTCTTGCAGATGTTCCCACAAGCCTGCATTTCCAGAGCATGCTGAAATCTCAGTGGCAGAACAAGCCTTTTGACAAAATCAAACCTCCCAAAAAGTTATCGCTTAAGCACAGAGCACCCATGCCGGGCAGTCTGCCAGATTCAGCTCGTAAGGACAGGCACAAATTGGTCAGCTCCTTCCTAACAACAGCCAGTAAGTGTCAGGGAGCCGGGAAGTCCCCCAGAGTATCAGTGACTTTTCATTCCTTTTATATTCTCAAATTTGTAGTTTGCATGCATGTTGGGGTTGGGAGAGGCAGTTGACCGATAAAAAATTCAGCTCACAGTGACTGCTTCTGCTTGTCTTGGATGCTCTCAGATGGACTTCGGGAGCTATTCTAGACACCATGGATCTTGGAGCAAGACCCAAAATGCTCATTGAACAGCCAGCAATGGCATGGCATTGAGTTCATCTACGGGCAGGTGTCTTCTGTATCCTGGTGACATGTTTCTCTGGTTCTGGGCTCCCTGTGCCTATCCTAGCCATTGTGCAAATTACTAGAAACTTCAGTCCTGAAGGACTGTCCTGCTGCCCTGGGTATACGGCGTTGGCCTAGAGAGAACTCGAGAGCTTGGAACTCGAATAAGAAAATATTTGAGAGGACATATTTCACAGCTCTTTTTCTGTTCCCCTCTTCAGAGCTGTCCCATCACCAAACCCGGCCTGACAGGACCCACAGGCAGCACTTAGACGATGTGGGGGCCGTGCCCATGGTGGAGCGAGTGACAGCGCCAAAAGCAGAGCGCTTGCTCAACCCACCACCACCCGTGCATGACCCAAACCACAGCAAAATGAGATTGCGAGACCATTCATCTGAGAGAAGTGAAGGTAGGGCCAGGCCCATGGCACCTCTACCTGCAACTGCACCTGCTCAGGGCTTTCTGGGGCAGCCTAGGCTTCTCTTAATTACCCCCAGCTTTGTCCTTCACTTTCTAGGAAAGCAGAGTAGAGGGACGCTACTGCTTCTAAATGGAGGTCACTTCTTAACTGCTACAGCAACCTCTGCCCTGCCCCTACTTCCCACAGCTAGTGTGCTTCACCTTTTTATCCTCTAGGCATAGAAAACATTTTTGCCTTTAGTATGTATTGCTGCCATTCCAAGCTTGTGTTAGAAGTAACGCTGGTTAAGATAGCCATGTATTTCTCTCTTTTCTGTTGACTTCTGCAGTGTTGAAGCATCACACAGACATGAGCAGTTCGAGCTACTTGGCAGCCACCCACCATCCTCCACACAGTCCCTTGGTGCGACAGCTCTCCACCTCCTCAGATTCCCCTGCACCCGCCAGCTCTAGCTCACAGGTTACAGCCAGCACATCGGTAAGTACCTGTGTGGGGTTGGCCGGACACCCCCTCTGCAGGTCACAGCTCACTCAAGTGGCTCCAGAGGACAGTGTGAGGGTGGGTTATAAAGCCCAGGGCATTTATAGGATCTCAGCTCATCATGACATATGTATGTATGTCTGTACCATTTTTAAGTCAAAGTCATGGTACTTGACCTTCTGTTGTTTTTCTTGAGTTGTTTTTCATAGCAGAGATGGATTTATGCTGAGCCATCCATAGAAAGCTTGATGCAGGGACAAACTCTTAAGGTGATCTGTGACTATTCAAGATCTGTTGGACTAAGTTTCACACAGGACTCAACAGTTCCGTGGCCCTAATCCTGTTGGCCCAAGAAGTGAACAAGAGAGGAGGGGTGGGTAGAGGGGAGATTCCCATGGGCGTTGGAAGCAGTGTTTGATTTCCTTGGTTTTACTCTCTGGGTGAGTGGAGGTGAAGTACTAAGAATAAACACTAGGCGTGAGGGTACCAGAAGAGAAGGGAAGGGAGAAGGCAGAGTCCATGCTTTTTAGGTATACAGAGCAGAATTACAGATCCAGCAGGCCCCCATGGCAGGACATTTGGCATGCACACACCAGATTTTACGATACCACACTCCATCTGGAAGCAGTTTGCACAGCTATTCCAGACACATTTCCTTTAATTTCATTCTAATATTTTAATTCCTCAAGTGTGCCCTCTTGGAACATACATACCTGTAGCTGCTATGGACCTACTCAAAGGGTCCTTTTTGTATAATAATTACAATGTAATGTAATGGTAAATGTAAAAGTCTGCAACTGTAATGTTTATTGAACACTTACTACATACCAGTGATCAGTGATTTACATGTGTTACATGTTATAATGCCTTTTGAGATGTAGGTTGGTACTGTGGATTTCATTTTATATGCATGAAAACTGTCAAGGCAACTTGTGAGGGTTATAATTATGATTCAAACTCAGGCAGCCTGACTGTAGAGCCAGCTCTTTTACCATTACACTACACAGGCTAAGCCTGGGTGAGGGTATTGCAGAGGCAACTTAGGAAGTTCCTTCAGAGCCTAGATCAGGAAACTTCCAAGCTCATAAAATGGACTCACTAGGCTCCTGTGATCAGGTAGGAATTCACATTGTTCTCTCTTTGCTGTTACAAATCAATCTTTTCCAAATGGTCTCTTTGCTCTTCGACTTTCTTTACCCCCGTAACCCACAAATTTTATCTAAATAGGTGTGTAGTGTCCCTCACATACTCAGTTATCCAGCAGCAAAGGGTTTCAGATAACCAAAGTATTTATAAAAAAGAGTCTAAACTAATTCTGATAGAAAATCTGAACTCAGAGATTCAGGACTTGGTGAGCACTTCAATATTTCTGTGTCTGGAGAATGTTAACTTAGGCCTGGATCACTTGAAATTTTTACCATTTATTGAGTAAAAATTTTGTGTATAGCACTATGCTAACCCCTGAGGCTCTCTCATTGCCAAGTTTTTTCAAAGACTCTGGATTTATGTAAAAGAAGATAGGCCAGGCACAGTGGCGCTCACCTATAATCCCAGCACTTGGGGAGGCGGCTGAGGCGGGTGGATCACTTGAGGTCAGGAGTTCGAGACCATCCTGGCCAATAAGGTGAAACCCTATCCCTACTAAAAATACAAAAATTAACTGGGCGTGGTGGCATGTGCCTATAGTTCCAGCTACTCTGAGGCAGGAGAATCACTTGAACTGGGAAGCGGAGGTTCCAGTGAGCGGAGATCAAGCCATTGCACTCAAGCCTGGGCGTCGCAGCAAGACTTCGTCTCAAAAAAAAAAAAAGAAAGAAGATAGGCCAGATAACAGCAGGCTCTCAGTATCTGCAGTATCTGCAGTGGGGATTGGTTCCAGGACCTCCCATAGATAGCAAAAGCTATTGTTGCTCATGTCCCTAATATAAAATGGCATAGTATTTGCATATAACCTATGTGTATGCTTTAAATCCCATATACTTTAAATCATCTCCAGATTACTGATAATACCTAATGCAATGTAAATGCTATAAAAATAGTATGCTGTATTGTTTAGAGAATAATGAAAAGAAAAATCTGTACCTTTTCAGTACAGACACAATTTTTTTCCCCCAAATATTTTCAATCCACAATTGGTTGAACCCATGGATACAAAGGGCCAGCTCTCCTTGAAATCAAGTAAAGAAGCCAGAGGACACTGGAGAAAGGTAGGGAGGAGAGCGAGTGTTTTTGTCAGTGCTTCCCAAAAGCCAGTAGCTGCATCAGAATCACCTCAGCAGCTTTAAAAAACAAAACCAACCAACCAGACACTTCTAAAGATCTGATTTGTTGCTGGCTGTGATATTGCATGCCTGTAGCTCCAGCTACTCAGGAAGATCTCTTCAGCCCAGGAGATTGAGTCCAGCCTGGACAACATAGTGAGACCTCATCTCTTAAACAAACAAACAAACAAAATTCTGATTTTATAAAAGAGCGGGGGGGAGTCCTAGAACCTTTTTTTTTTTTTTTAAAAATACTCCTTAATGTTGCTTCTGATATACAACCAAGTTTGGGAACCAGTTTTATTCTCATCACCTGCTCTCTATCTCTGGCTCTAAATAGGAGATAGTAGTTAATTTAGACCTAATGAGTAGCTAACATAATAGGGGGTGTGTCTAGGCAGAGGATGAGATAAGAGCCCGTTGAACCATCCCACAACCTGCTCCAGTATCTTTTTCTCGAAGGTACTAACAACAAGCCCAAGAAGTTTCAGGGAAAGTGTATACCTGTTTCTGCCAGCAGTTTCACATTTATTCTTGACCAAGATACTGGGAAGGCTGTCTCTCTTGAGGCTTTCTTAAGATGCATTTCTTGTAGTGGGATGTATAATTTCAGCACAGATCTGGCAGTGGCAGAGGTCTCTGGGTATGAGATCACTAATCCTCAGCTACAGAACTCAGGCAAGATCCCCAAAAGTCTGTTTAACCATTTTGGTTAACCAGATATCCTAAATTTCTGAGGTCAATGGCAGTCATCTGATTTGATAGAGAAAGAAATTGAAGTGAAAAGGGCATTGTGGTCATCTGAAGTTATAAATGACAGTGACTGAAACTCTGGCCCAGGAAGTGCTGACTTTTAACATTCTCTGAGAATGTCCTAAGATGATAGGATGAATAAAGGGTATCTCACCGTCCAGGAACAGAGGATAGAGGGGTTAGTTATAGGGGACTTCTTACTCCTCCAACCCCTTCCCTGTGGACTGACCACACTTGGTGGTTTAGGTATAAATGCAGCCTCTTAGGTGTTTTCCAGCTGTTTTGTTGCCATGGCAGCGTGTTTGTTATGCCACTGTTTCCTTCTGGCCTCTCACAGCTCAGTTGCTAGTCTCTGTTTCAGGATAGGGTATTAACTATCTGGGCAGCAGCAGCTAGTAGACTTCTTCCTCCATCCAAGAGACTAAGCCATTTAGTTCCCTAGTCTCCCAGCTACTGTAGATGCTTACCTCTGCCTCTGATATTCGATCCTTGGAAGTCTTATTTTTCCAAGAGTTTGGTCTTCTCAACTATTTCCTATAGAAGCAAATTTCCTTTCACCAGGAATGTGAGGTATAGTCAGGTTCTCCTCTTTAGTTTCCCTCCATTCATCTCCTTTGATACAGCTAGAAAGCTCTCAGCTCTTTCCCCAAGAATCATCAAAAGAGGGGAAATCACATAAAGACTGGGCAGATGGTGGGTGCAGATTTAGCTGAAGAGTTCAGATCTTTGAGAAGGAGGTGCATTCATGACAACCAAGGTTAGATGATGTATTGAGATGGGCCTATCCTTTGGGCCTCTTTCAGCATAAGCTTTCAAGCATTGCTTTTAGGGGAGGGGCCACTATGAGTCTTAAGTCATAAACGGGGATAAAGGAAGGAAATAAAGATTGTAAAAGGAGAGGAGGTTAATAGAGGTGTATATAGAGTAGGAACCCCAACAGTTAAGATCCCAGGTACCCACCCCTATGAAATTTACGCATGAGCCCTTGAAGGAAGAGGGTGACCAGTGGGACTTATGAATGGGACTAACTCCTCATGACCACCTGGTATTTCTCCGTGAGGTTTTTTGCTGTTGGAGACTGACTCCTAGGTGGGAGCAGCTGCTATGGTCATTACTCAGCTTCAACCCAAGGACCCAGATGCTTGGTTATTGGTGATCCTGCTTTAACTCTTAGATGAATGATTTGATGTCTGTAAAATTGTACCTTCCTTTTAAACTTAATTTTTATCTTACAGCAGCAGCCAGTAAGGAGGAGAAGGGGAGAGAGCTCATTTGATATTAACAACATTGTCATCCCAATGTCTGTTGCTGCAACAACTCGCGTAGAGAAACTGCAATACAAGGAAATCCTTACGCCCAGGTAGAAGCTCAGAATAGTTGGCTCCTCTCCCCATTCTTCCTGCTATTGCCCTTTTTCCCTCTTCTCTTCTGACCAAGAGTTGGGCCCTAGTCTTTGGTTCTGTCTTCTCATTAAGAGAAATTCTTATCTGATAAGAACGAAATTATTTCTGTATATAGTTCTCTCTCATTCCATTATAGGAATACACCAAACGAACCAGCAGTCACAGCCTGGTAGGCCATTCACTTACTGGTCTAGAGACCGGTTTTGTCAACACATACAGTATGTTTTAAAATACTGAATTTGTTGTCAACATCAAAGCAGGATTTCACATAAAAATCTTTGTTTCCAGCTTTTGTTGCCAAACAGAAGATTAGGCAACCCTGGGTATGCATTTCCATATGGGAGCAATCAGCTGGTCCTGAACAGTGGTGGTCCTCTTTAAACAGGTTTCTTTTCTTGTGTTTGTCACAGTCTCTCAGCCTCAGCCTTACCCTAGGCCGCTTCTCTCATTTCTGGCCTTCTTGGGCATTTGAGTAGGTGGCCAATTTCACAGGCCTTGACAGGGTAGGGAGACTGAGCTGTGATAGGGCAGAGCCTACCCGGCAGAGAGCAGTGTCACCCACAGGTGCAGGATTCTCATCCTTGCATGGACACTTTGACCCTGCCCCCAGTTTTAGCCTGCTTGCCATCTCATGATTGTCTGTTCTTGGTTTTGCAGCTGGCGGGAGGTTGATCTTCAGTCTCTGAAGGGGAGTCCTGATGAGGAGAATGAAGAGGTAATGGCCTGGTTCTTCTGTTAGAAGAACACGTGTGTACACATGCACACATACATATGAGTGCACACACCCTAAATGGCCTGAAGACTTGTGGGTGTGAAGTGCAAGCTCCTTGTATTCCTGTCGTGACCGGGAAGAACCTAGAATGGGGTGGGACTGGTTCTTAACTCCTGGAGAAAAGAGGGGATCGATGAAGCTGCTCTATTGCAGATTGAGGACCTATCCGACGCAGCCTTCGCCGCCCTGCATGCCAAATGTGAGGAGATGGAGAGGGCACGGTGGCTGTGGACCACGAGTGTGCCACCCCAGCGGCGGGGCAGCAGGTGATGGGGCAGGCTTGGGTCCCCAGGGCCTGTGGAGAGAGGGTGGACAGGGAGTTTGGGCCCTACTTGAGTCCATGGAATTGCTACTGCCTCTTGGTTGCTCATCATACTCATCTACTGGCAGTGGCAAATAGCTCAGAATTTCCTTGGTGTTTGTTGGAACTAGTGGAGATACATGGAACTAGTGGAGATATAAGGAGCCAAGTGCTAGATCCTTGCTGAGAAGTCACTATGTAATTCTGAATTCCCATGATCTGTGGCATTTGGAAGACAGTTGGGGGGTCATGGTGATTCAACCCGGGGAGCTTGGAAGGCCTCGCTACAAGTTAACCTTCCTTTGGACAGTGGCTTTGTGATGCCACTTGAAGAAACTGCCCCCCCTTAACGTCCATCACTACCCTGTCTCCATTTATTGTTAACAGTGGCAGAAACCCTCGGGATTCTCAAGTAGAAAGTTTTGGGAGCTCTTACTTTTACTTTTTTTTCTTTGACTACAGTTTTCAAAGTCTACACGAATCTCCCTAACCTCCTGAATTCACTAGGCACTTTGCTATGGACTCACCTGGCATTGTTCAGCCATGCTTTTTTCTTGGGATGGTAAATGTTGTATACCTACCCCTCCAGAGAATAGTGGGAAGAAATGGGAGTTGCTGGATCCTAAGGAAAATCTGTTGGTGTTTGTTTGCCTCAACTCCTCCAGTGGGGATGCTTTTTTCATGCCCTCTACCCCCATAAGTAAACATTTCCCAGGCACTCAGATTTGCATTCCTTGGTGTGCAGGTCCTACAGGTCATCAGACGGCCGGACAACCCCCCAGCTGGGCAGTGCCAACCCCTCCACCCCCCAGCCTGCCTCCCCTGATGTCAGCAGTAGCCACTCTTTGTCAGAATACTCCCATGGTCAGTCCCCTAGGAGCCCCATTAGCCCGGAACTGCACTCAGCACCCCTCACCCCTGTGGCTCGGGACACTCTGCGACACTTAGCCAGTGAGGATACCCGTTGTTCCACACCAGAGCTGGGGCTGGATGAACAGGTAAGGGACGCAGCCTTTGGGTGGGGTTGGCATGGTTGGGGGATGGAACCAGGAAGGGGCAGCATCTGCTGAAGAGGGACCTAGCCATCCCCTCCCCCTTTTGAAGGGACAAAGGGCTGCACTTAAATTGATCTCCTCAACGTTCAGTGGAACTGTATTGATCACTGCTAAATGATCAATACAGTTGTCTGGGTATACCCTAGGAGGGGTGTTCCCAGACTGTCGCAGGAACACTAGATAGACTGGTCCTAGGCTCCAGGCCACAAGGTTTGTGGCAGGGCCTTGGAGCAGGAAGCAGGCTGGCTGGGACTGGGTCCTCAAAGAGCAACTTGTCTGCCTACAGTCTGTCCAGCCCTGGGAGCGGCGGACCTTCCCCCTGGCGCACAGTCCCCAGGCGGAGTGTGAGGACCAGCTGGATGCACAGGAGCGAGCAGCCCGCTGCACTCGACGCACCTCAGGCAGCAAGACTGGCCGGGAGACAGAGGCAGCGCCCACCTCGCCTCCCATTGTCCCCCTCAAGAGTCGGCATCTGGTGGCAGCAGCCACAGCTCAGCGCCCGACTCACAGATGAGCGGGAGACAGCCATCTAAACAGACTCACTAACTATTGGCATTAAAGCTTCAGAAATCTCTGCGTTTGATATTCAAACATCATATGCCGGAAATTTTCACAGTTTTTAGTGAACTTAAGGAATTTAGATCCTACTTTGGTATTTTTTTTTCTTGTTTTAATTTTTGTTTTGTTTTTGTTTCCATGTTTTCTTGTCACACACCTGAGCACTTCCTCCCGTTGGCAAACAGAAGTTCAGGATGAGACCCTGCTGGCCTGGTCCTGGCACATCCTCTGCACTGTTGAATCACTGGACTTACTGATCTTAGATGACCACCCCCTCCCTCACACCTGTGGGCAGGGCAGAACAGCCTGGCGGGCTACAGTTTAGCATGGCCTTCTTGAGCTAGGGTGGAATGGGGCAGGGTGCTCTGGACTCTTACCCCCTCCCCTCCCATCTGTGGCTTGGCTCTGCTGTGGCCCTCCTGGCTGGGTCCCCTTGGTTTTTCGTGCTGGAACATCCCCACCAGAGCCTCTCTGCCATAACTGCCAGCTGCTCTCCCCGAGTGCTCAGCTGGCAGAACACCTTTCCTTTCTCACCCAGAACTTAAGAGACTGATTTTTTGTTTCATCTGCATTTGGTCTTCTCTGTTTTGACTCTTTCACTGCAGTAACCTGGCTGTGGCTGCTCAGGTTCCCCTCCTCATGCCCCTTGGTACCCTTCCCTGTCTGCTCTCCCATGCCATGTACACACCCACAACCCGTCCTTCCACTTGGAATATTTTTACCACCTATCCTGATCTTTGAAGGTAGGGTTAGGACTACTTAACCTCTATTCCCACTCCCCTGCAAACTGGGGGTTGTGGGAAGTGAGCAGCCATCTCCCTGTGTGATTTTTTTTTTTTTTCCCTCTGATTCACTTTGCCATGTTTCCTTCACATCCAGATCCCTGTCGGTGTTAGTTCCACTCTTGGTCTTTCACGCTCCCCTTGCCTGTGGAACATTGTCTGGTCCTAGCTGTGGTTCCCATTGTTCCCCCTTCACCCTTCTCTGTTAACCTTGTGCCTGTCTCCTGTATGATCACATCACCAAAAAGGGGGAGGGGGGAGAAGACTCTTTTTTTTTGGCCATTTTGTAATCGTATAAAAATAGTAGACAACTGCTTAATGGTTGGGGTTTTTTCACAATTTTCAACATTAGTGATTTTTTTTTCTGTTTGCAAGTTAAAGGGTTTGTCATTGTTTCTTTAAAAAAAAATACAATAATGCACCATATCCCTATGCATAAAGTGCTTCTTCTATTTATAAGGTTGAAAATTCTGAATAACCCTTTTAGCATTGAAAAAAAAAACAAAAACAAAAAATGGAAAAAAAAAACCTTGTATTTTGTAAATATTTTCTTTTCCTGCTTTGGAGCTGTGTAATGGCAGCGAAACATGTAGCTGTCTTTGTTCTATAGAAATGCTTTTCTTCAGAGAAGCTGATCTTTGTTAATGTCTTGATTCTGTTCGCAAAGCACAGACTAGTGCTTAAAAAAAAAAAAGAAGGAAAAATTGAAAAAAATAAAAAAAAAAGTTACAGAATGCTGTGTACCAGGCCTTTCTTGACTTACTGAACTGTGTATGCATGGTAGTGTTGGCAGTTTCGGAGCTGGCTCTCTGCCGCCGTTCTTTGGGGTACTCTGACTTGCTCTATACCTTGGAAAATCTCCATTCTGTCTTGTGGGAACGCCGCAGGTTGATCTGATGGCCACCAGAGAGAGAATGGTGGTGGCTTTTCACTGAGGGTAAGGGCTGCCAGGAGGAGAGGGGATCTGCATTGATCATCTCTTTTTTCTTTTTGTTGAGTGAAAGCAGTTGATGCACTTTCTCTCTAGTGAAGTCAGCTGTATGATATTTTCTATCTGTTCTAAGTTGCTCTTTAAAGGAGATTTTGCTTCTCACTGTTAAATTTTTCTGAGGTTTGGTGGGGTCAGTGAGATACATAATTTGCTTAGAGCCTGGATTGGTTCTTGCCTGCTGCCTGAGATTATAACATCTTTCTTCTGAGGAGGTTACACGCTTTTTTTTTTTATTGTTTGAGATGGGATCTTGCTCGATTGTCCAGACTGGAGTGCAGTGGTGCAATCTTGGCTCACTGCAGCCTGGATCTCCTTCCTGGCCTCAAGAGATCCTCCCACCACAGCCTTACCAGTAGCTGGGACTGTAGGCATGTGCCACCATACCCAGCTAGTTTTCGTGGGTTTTTTGTGGAGATAGTGTCTCACTATGTAGCCTAGGCTGGTAGGTGCTTTTTTTTTGTACAAGATGAATAAGTGGGTGGGGCTGGTTCTCCCTCTGCTCTCTTCTTTGCATGGCAGTCAAGCTGAAACAGCCAGTGAGGCTGTCTCTTGTGGCTCTGAAAGCCATGCTCTCTGAGATAGCACTTCTCTTTTGCTGGCCTGTTGCTGCTTTTGTAGCTGCAGTTAAAATCTGTTTTACTTAAACATCTGCCTGCGGTGGCAAACACATCAGGAAGAGCAAAGAAAAGTAGTATTTTGAAACAATCTAAGGATTCAGTATCATGACCTTGGCATAGTTACTAAGGAATAATATGATGGATTACTGTTTTGTTTTTGTTTTCCTTTGTGGCATTGCTATGAAGATGCTATCTGGTTATCCCTATCTTGGTTTAGCAGAAATACTCCTCAATCTATAATAAGGTACCAAAGGAAAGAAGGCAGCTCTGCAAACCTAGCAGGAATCTAAGCCATTCATTAAGCTGATTGGCTTGGTGTTCTGCTCCAGCCCCAGGCCTCTGGACTAAATTTCCAGGGATGAAAGATCCCATATCCTCATCCCCAACCTTCTCAGGTTTGCATACACTGGTGCCGGTCTTGCAAACTGAGTGCTGCATCGTGAGGTCAGCCACAAGGCTTTGTATTGCCCTTTGAATGGGACTAGGATGGTTTGCCAGCATCACAAAGAAGCAACTGCAAATGAGCAAGTCTGAGAACTCTCACCTTCAGGGCCCCAGAGAGAGCTGTTAATCCTGATGTCCAGCTTTTATTAATACTATCATTTCCTGTTCTGAGCTAAATTATCTAAGGGTGCGTGGGAAAGAACTTAAAAAATAGACATTCTATATGACTTTCTTGTCCTTGGAATCCATGAATGGAGACCTTATTTAATCAGAGTAATAACTTTATTTCCAAATTCACTTTTACAGCAACAGTCAGTGTAAATCATTTGTTAAAACACACAATACACTATATAGACATTCACAGACAGAAAGCTAAGCTAAGATGATTTCATGTCCCTCCCCCCACCCTCAGAATTACCGAAGAAATCATGGGACTTGCAAGTGCCAGAAATAGTCCTGCTCAACATGGCAAACTCATGGGGCTAAGTCTATTAGGAGGTGAGGCTCTAGGCCAGTGCCCAGGGTAACCCTTTTCAAAGCTGAAGAGAAATCAGAAGTTTTATGAAGCTGCAGGTCTGTAGATGGGACACGCAGGTGATCACCTCTGCCCTCGCCCCGACCTCGTGGCTTTACTTGGAGAACAAAGATGAGGAGGGTGAAGCGAGTGATCTCAGCTCCAAAAGCACAGGCTGTGTGTCTGGAGCCAGTGTGAGAGGTGGCACAGAGGTGCCAACGGCTTAGAGGGAAGGATGCCAAGGTCTTAGGGAGGCATGATTGTGGGCTTAGGACCCCTGAAAGAGGGCAGCAGGCCAAAGCAACCAGATGTCCATATTCCTACGCCTGCACCTGGCTGGGGAGGGAATGAACTAGCCAGCTGCCTGGGAAAGCCTGTCAGTGGAAAAGAGAAACCCCAAGGGCCTCTAACTCCGTGGCTGCTCCCTCCCTCTAGCAAATGTGGTTGAAATCATGAAAAGGGTTACGAGGCAGTTTAAGTGCTGCACCCCAAGATCTCCCTTTGCCCATGTTAACTATCTTACACATTCCTCCCCCCTCCCCCCATAGCACAACAAGCAATAGCAAACAGGATACAGTCTCACCACTGAAGTCAATTTAAATGGAACTATTGATAAAGTGAGTCAGCAGCTTGAAGGAGCCGGCATACAGTATATCCTATCTAGCCCACCCAAGGACACTGGCTCTGCAGGTGGGAGAAGTGAGGGGAGGGGAGGAGTGCCCAGCCCTGGGGGGATTGTCCTCATTTAAGATCACAAGCCAGCGTGCCTTTTCAATTTATCTGCCAGCACTGATCACCCTAAACCATGATCTTAGGCTGGCCCCAAGAGCCTGCCCCACAAGGGGGAGATCCCAGAGCCTTCCGTATAAGAAGGCCCATGGTGCTGAAGAGCAGGGCACAAGAACTTCAGGAAGAGGAACCGAGGTGCGTGAAGAAATGCAGCCGAAACTGTTGGCAGTAATGAGGGGGGCATATCTCTAACCACCACCAAATCTACCCCACATTTCCTTCTCCTTCTCAGATCCCTTCAACTTAGGAGAATTGCTGGGACTCAGCGAACGGCAGGGAGGCTCTTGGTGGAGAGTTCTGGGCCCAGAGACTTCCTTTCAGGTAAAGCTCTAGCTGCACACGAAGCTGCCAGCCCCAGGGGAGGCCCTGGATTTCTACTGCCAAGTCCCTCAGGGTTGCCTTTAACTGTACCCAAACCAGAAGTGGCAGAATTGGGCCTGAGGCTGCTGAGTTTCTTTAGGCAGCAATGTTTTGCAAAGGCGGCTTCCCTTTTCTCATGGCAGCAGATGGAGTTTGTGCAAGGTCAGCGGGCTGAGGTGCTCTGGTCAAGGCTTTGGGAACAGTGTCTCCTGACTTGTCAAGTCATCCTTCCTCAGGCAGGCAGCTTGGGCCTCTAGAGCAGATCCAGGACAGGCAATTCATCCCAATCCCTGCTGTGGTCGCAGGGCCCTTGGTGGGAGGCTGCGCTGCCCCTCCAGAGGGCGAGCTTGGAGAGGAACCCAGTCTGAGGGGTGGCTGAGGCTCACGGAGCTTCTGGGAGCTGCAGATCCCCCCAGCTGGCAGTGGCTTCCTTTTTCTTGTGATGCAGGAGTTGTAAGCCTCCTTTGGGACTGCCATGAGACTTCGGGCTATGACCAGAGAGAACCATCCTCGCGCCGCAAGCCAGACCAGCCACAAGACCTAGTCTGTGCCCTGACACAGGGAGCCCCAAGGGGAAGTAGGGAAGGGGACATCATCGCTTCAGTCCTAATCCTGTGCTTCAGGCCTTCGTCACAGCTGAACGGCCTCCTTAGCTGCTAGAAGCTGGTCTCTGTTGGGTCCCAGGTGCTGAGGAAAGCCTTTCAAAACTTGGGAGGCCCCAGCAGGGTGGCACCACACAGGCCACACGAGTCCCAGTGTGGGGGTGAGAGACACCTCGTGAGGGTGGGTTAGAAACCTCTTTACAAGCATTTCAAGATACATGCGTCCTTTTTTTTTTTTTTTTTTCTTTTCACTATCATAGTCACTCTGGTGAATCCAAGCATAAACAGACAAATCCAACTACAACTCAACAGGGTGCAGATGGGGAGGGCAGGGCAACATCTATGTATATGTTCAGCTGCTCCAGCAGAACAGACAGCATGGCTTCCAGCTGGGACTGGGGGAAAAGAACCATTTCCAAGGGGGTGTGTTCCCCTTTGTCGGGTGTGGAGGGCTGATACTATGCATGTGGAGCTGAGCAGCGGGCTGGGCTGTCTGGGAGGTTGGCAGCTACAAGCTAGGGTGCAAGTGGGGGACAGCGGGACTGTGGGCCTGCCCTGGGTGCCTTGCCCTTCCATCCTGGTGCCACCACTGACAACCAAGACACCCAGCCTGCTGCTGTGGGCTCAGCACAGGAAGGGGCCAGGCCTTCTCAGGGGAAAGGGCTCTCTCCATGTCAACAAGGCAGAAACACCTAGGGTCACAGCTGAGCAGTGCCCTGGCTCACATCTGTGACGGGAGGAGGAGACAGGGAACCGAATCAGATCATGAGATTCGTGGTGAGGGTCCCAGTTGGATGAGTGGAACTGAGAGTGAGAGGCTGGGGTCCCACTCTTGTGCCTGGACTTTGCCTTCCCTTAATTTCACCCTCAGTATGGAGTAGGTACCTCCTGCAACCAACCAGGGTCATTACTGAGAAGGGGTGGTGAGGCTGGGAATTCGGGACATTGTGACGTGTGATGAGGGGTATAGGCAGTGATTGGGCTCTCACGGCAGACAACAGCACAGCGGCGCAGACGGGGTGACTGCAGTGGCCGTGGGAAGGACAGGGGGCTCGGGACCTGCCTCCCAGACCCCCACACACTCCAGAGATGCCAGTGGCCCAGGCTTGGAAACGGGTGGACGTCTCCCAAGAGGCACAAGTCCTTACAAAGAGAACTGGTTAGCCCTAAAGTCCCAGGTCTGCAAAGTGGCCAAAATCATGGCAGCAGTTCCAACCTTCAGAACTCAATAAAACAGGGTTTCTGTGGAGCAGAGGGAAGCCCCTCAACTCAGGCCCCCTACCCTGCAGGGAGGGAGGAAGAGGCCAGCGCTCTCAAGACATCAAGGTCAGTCTTTTCTAAGGAGGTCATCCACGAAGTGCCACCCTCCTGCCAGCTTGCCTTCTCTTTTTACCCGCTGTCCCTTCTCCCACAGGCTGCCCTGCAGAGGGTGGCACACTGACCCACAGCAGGCCCCCACCCCCGGCCACCAAGGACAGGCGGCCGCTCAGACGCTGCAGGTGGCATAGGCCTTGGCTCTCCCAGCGGCAAGGAGGGGGATGTCTACTCTCCAGCACGTGGCTTCCTCTCCCACTCCCACTTCTTGTGCTTCCTCTCCCCTCTGCCCAGCCCCTGCCTCGGCCTCCCCCGTGGCCTCCCGCCCCACCCCAACCCCCGTCACACTCACACAAGGTTGACATCGTCTGCCTGTGGCTCCACGAACACACCAAGTTTCAAATCCTTTGTTGCTGCCACTGCCTCTGTGACACCCCCACAACAGGGCCAGAGGTGGTTGGCACCCCCAGTCCCTTGAAATCCCCCAGAAGCAGCTTTCAGAGCCTCTCCTTCTCCCTCTTCTACATGGAGGGGGAAGAAAAAAGAATCAAAAGGAATTGCCTGAGGAAATGTTGGATGTGGCCATGTTTTTGAATGTTTTTTTTTAAATATTTTATTACTAGCCCACCCATCAATTTGGAAAGATGAAATTTGCTCTTACTCCCATCACTGATTTTGAAGTCCCGAGCCAAAGCCGAGTGACAAAAGCAGGTTAAGTGATTAACCAATTAACCGAACTGCGAGGAGCAGCTGGGGGCAGAGGGCGGGGGCCGGGTCATTATTCTTTTTTTTTCCACACTCTCTCATTCTCTCCTCTCCACAATTATTGACCGCCCCAGGGGCCTGATCACAAACCCTGCTTGGCCAGGGAGGCAGACACCTCGTCAGCTAGCGTGGCGAGCTGGGGCGAGTCTACCATGTCGATGCTGCCGGTGGAGGAGACATTGCTGAGATGCCGTGGAGACGTGTCCCCAGACACCACTGGCGACTTGTACACGATCTCCGCCCCGTGGTCTGTCTTGGCTTTGGCGTTCTCGCGGAAGGTCAGCTTGTGGGTTTCAATCTGCAAGAAGAGGAAGGGAGGGAGGGTGAGATGAAGTGCCAGAGAAAGACCAGCCCTGCCAACTGCCCTGCCAGGCCTGGCCCAGAGTGCCAGGGACTGTTTTTTGTTTGTTTTTGAGACAGGGTCTTGCTCTATCGCCCAGGCTAGAGTGCGGTGGCACAATCTCACCTCACTGCAGCCTTGACCTCCCAGGCTCAGGTGATTCTCCCACCTCAGCCTCCCGAGTAGCTGGGATTACAGGTGCATGCCACCACACCTGGCTAATTTTTTGTATTTTTAATAGAAACGGGGTTTTGCTATGTTGCCCAGGCTGGTCTTGAACTCCTGGACGCAAGCAATCTGCCCGCCTCAGCCTCTCAGAGTGCTGCCATTACAGGCGTGAGCCACTGCGCCTGGCCAGGAGCTGTTGTTTTTATTGTCTTCCAATTGGTAATACCTGTGCCCACTCCTTCCCTGACCTGCCTCCCAGGCACCCAGGTACCCTCCCCAGAGACAGTGATCATTTTAAGTTTCTTGTGTACCCTCCAGAGATATTCCACACATAAACAAACACGTGTGAGTGTATAGATACACAGGCTGCTTAGTATTCCGTCGCCACGGATGTACCAAAAGGCATCTACTCCTCTGTGGATGGATGTGTAGGCTGCTCCCGCCTTTAGTGATTACAGGCAATGGTGTGTATGAACAACCTCAGATAAATAAACCCGTATGAACATCATGTCACACACGTGTAAGTGGGTCCTAGAAGTGAAGCTCTTAGGTCAAAAGGCATGCACATTTTATTTTAATAGATATTGCCAGATTGCAAAGGAAAATGTGGAAGGAGAAGCTGGAGAAGATCAAGGATGTCTCCCACAGCCACTGATGCCCAGACATGAGCCACACATTCCTCCTGTTTGCCAGTGACTGATGAGTTTGGAGGGGCAGCAACTGTGGGCAACACTGGCAGGTGGGCCACAAAACATGACATGACAAAGGCCTTTTTATGTGTGGATGGGTGGATGGATGACTGTCTAGCGACTTATCTATCCATCTATTTATCTATCTATCTATCTATCAATCATCTACCTATCTACTTGCCCAGGCTGGCCTCAAATTCCTGGGCTCAAGCAATCTTCCCACCTTAACCTCCAGAGCAACTGGGACTACAGGCTCATGCCATCGTGCCTGGCTGAAGCCCTTTTGAAAGTAGAGAAACACATGACCTAGCCAGGAGTCCCAAAGGATACCAGGAAACACAGAAGCAGAAAGTGTTCACTGGAGAAGTGAGCAGTGCACAGCAATTCCTGATGACCCTGAAGTGGCCGACACGGTCATTCTCAGCCCTTTTTGGGTCCTAGGCTCTTTGAGCATCTGGTAAAGCCAAAAATATGTGTGCACATGTCCATCCACACTCACACACAGCCATTTTCCATATAATTTTAGGAGTCCATGGATGCGGGGTGAAGGGCCCCTATTGCAGGGGCTTGAATGGGCGTAGAGAAAACCAGGTTCGCATTTAAGCTAGATGCATATTTTGTTCATTTGGGGTCACTACTTTGAAAAAAGGATTGTTCTCTATTACTGTATACTGTATTTTATCTTTTTTTTTTTTTTTTTTTTGAGACAAAGATTCACCTTGTCACCCACGCTGGAGTGCAGTGGCACGATCTCGGCTCACTGCAACCTCCGCCTCCGGGATCAAGCAATTCTCCTGCCTCGGCCTCCCAAGTAGCTGGGACTACAGGTGTGTGCCACCACACCCAGCTAATTTTTGTATTTTTTGTAGAGATGGGATTTGGCTGTGTTGGCCAGGTTGGTCTTGAACTCCTGATTTCAGGTGATCTGCCTGCCTTGGCCTCCCAAAGTGCTGGGGTTACAGGCATGAGCCACCATGCCTGACCTGTTACTGTATTTTCTTGAAAGACCATTTAATACAGGCTTTGATAAAAATATTTATGTTAATGTTTTTTGAAGTGTTTTTTAAGACATTCCTGGGAATGTCCAAAAATCCCCAAACTGAAAGGAACCCAGGAGGCTGGTGGTGTGCCCCACTGCTTGTTAGCAATTTTTCTCAATACACTGGGAAAACAGGGGACTAATGCTGCGGGGATCCCCAGGACCAGGATGGTGTTTTCTGAGTAGGGGGCAGGGCCCTGCCTACCCTTCCTGAGCTATCACATGGACGAGTTTGAAACAGAAGGAGCCAAGAAGCTGAGACTCAGCGTGGCTCTAACTCAGGTTCTTAGAGGACTGCAACGCACCAGGAACCTTCCAGAACATTGTCTTTTTTGGGTCTCACAACCACCCCGGGACGTAGGTACAGCATTTCCATTTCATCTTGCTGAAGGAGAAACTGAGGCTGAGAGGATTTGCGGATCTTGACTTTCAAAGCAGAGTCAAGCCCAGAGCTTTTCCTAACACAGAGAAGCTTCCAGAGACTGTGAGGGGCCTCCTTTCACCCAGGAAATCACCAATGCTCAGGCCCTATCCAGACCCACTCAGTCAGACTGTGGGGATGGGGCCAGGCCCAGATATCTTTAAAATGCCCCGAGGCTGGGAGGCCCTGCCTTAGACCAGGGGAGGCCTGGGGTTAGAAACAGCAGAGAAGCTTACTGCTTCCCCAGATAACTGGACCTGGCCCCCACATCTCTTGAGGCGGACAGCCTCCTGGTCCCTCCTCGTTTTCTCACTTTGGATAGCGACCCAGCCGCTGAAAAGTATCCCTGTCGCGCAACCCGAGAGCTCTCGGCCAGCTACGGGCCAGTGCCCTCCCCTGCCTCAGGGCGTGTCTGGAGGTAAGGTCTGCCCCAGGCCACAGTTCGCAGCATCTGCAGCAAGGCTGTATCAGCAAACCCTTCTCACAAAACTACATTGTTAGACATTAATCACAAATACAAGATGAGGGTGCCCATCTGTTCAGAACCAGAGGCAGTGGCAAGAGGGGAGGGCGGGGACTGGCCAGGGCAGGGGTCTCTCAGCTGCTACTTGAGTGGCCTGGTGGAAAGACGGCCCGGCTGCCACTTCCACCCAACTGGGCCACCATGAGAAGCATACTTTCTCATGCTGACTTGGGTCTCAGACCCTATACCCTTTCTGGGACGCCCTGATATGGTTTGGCTGTGTCCCCACCCAAATGTCATCTTGAATTGTAGTTCCCACAATTCCTACATGTTGTGGGAGGGACCTGGTGGGAGGTAATTGAATCATAGAGGAGGGTCTTTCCCGTGCTGTTCTCATGATAGTGAATAAGTCTCCCGAGATCTGATGGTTTTATAAAGGGGAGTTCCCCTGCACAAGCTCTTTTCTCTTGTCTGCCACCGTGTGAGACAAGCCTTTCACCTTCCACCATGATTGTCAGGCCTCCCCAGTCACGTGGAACTGTGAGTCCATCAGACCTCTATCTTTTAGACTGCCCAGTATCGGGTATGTCTTCATCAGCGGCGTGAAAACGGACTAATACAATCCCTTTTCCCTCCACCACTCCCCAGTCAGCTGCTGGGAGACCCTGAAGGTTGGAAAGTGAGCCACTCCCAGAACTTCAGGCTGGGTGTGGGCCTGAAACCCCAGAGGGTGCTTGGCTGCGCTTCTGCAGAAGAGAAGCAGCAGCTACCAGACCGCATCCTGTGCCAGGCCTAGACAGAGCTCACCCAGCGCCACACACACCCTCACTGCACAGACACCCACAGCAAGACCTAGAGACTAGAAACTGCTGGGGACACCAAGGCCCCAGCAGCCTCATGTGGATACTTCCAAGACAGGCAGGCAGAGGCTTTGCTGAAATCAGGATTTCGGCATCATTGTTTTGCTCTAAGTGCCTAGTAACCCATTTAGAAAATTAGGTTATGTTCCCATGACTTGTTCTTGGTGCGCCACAGCTGACTGGGGATGTCCACTTCCTTTTTTAGTTGCCTGCAAACATCAGGGCCTAGGACAGTGGTTCTCGCTTTTTTTTTTTTTTGTGAGATGGAATCTCACTCTGTTGCCCAGGCTGGAGTGCAGTGGCACGATCTCGGCTCACTACAACCTCTGTCCCCTGGGTTCAAGCAATTCTCATGCCTCAGCCTCCCAAGTAGCTGGGATTACAGGCACGCACCACCACACCCAGCTAACTTTTGTATTTTTAGTAGAGATGGGGTTTTACCATGTTGGCCAGGCTGGTCTTGAACTCCTGACCTCAAGCCATCTGCCCACCTTCGCCTCCCAAGGTGCTGGGATTACAGGCATGAGCCACCGCACCCAGCCAGTTCTCACTTTTGACTGCACTGAAGAATCACCTGGGAGCTTTAAAAACTGCAGTGACTTAGGCCGAGCACTGTGGCTCACACCTGTAATCCCAGCACCTTGGGAGGCCGAGGTGGGCATATTGCTTGACCTCAGGAGTTCAAGACCAGCCTGGGCAACGTGGCAAAACCTCGTCTCCACAGGAAATACAAAATATTTAGCCAGGCATAGTGGCAGGTACCTGTAGTTCCAGCTACCTGGGAGGCTGAGGTGGGAAGATCACCTGACCCAGGGAGGTAGAGGCTGCAGTGAGCCGAGATCATGCCAGTGCACTCCAGCCTGGATGACAGAGGGAGACTGATATGGTTTGGCTGTGTCCCCACCCAAATCTCATCTTGAATTGTAGCTCCCATAATTCCATGTGTCATGGGAGGGACCCAGTGGGAGGTAACTGAATCATGGGGGCGGGTCTTTCCCATGCTGTTCTCATGATAGTGAATAAATCTCATGAGGTCTGATGGTTTTATAAATGGGAGTTCCCCTGCACACGCTCTCTTGCCTGTCGCCATGTAAGAAATGCCTTTGCTTCTCCTTTGCCTTCCGCCATGATTTTGAGGCCTCCCCAGCCATGTGGAACTGTGAGTCCATTAAACCTCTTTCCTTTATAAATTACCCAGTCTTGGGTATGTCTTTATTAGCAGTGTGAGAATGGACTAATACAGAGACCCTGCCTTAAATACATAAAAATAAATAAAAACAAAAACTCCAGCAACCGAGCTGCCCCTGAGACCCATTGGTCAGCCTCTCCAGGTTGGGGCCCAGGTGTGAAACGTGCTAAAGCTCCAGGTGATTGAGACAGGCAGTGGAGACCCACTGGATGCTGCTGAGGGCCCACATCCAGCCAGTCAACACAGAAGCCTCTGTTTTCCTCCTCTGGGAACTGGACCAGCCTTTGTCCACTCAACTTGATTAATGCCCATATACCCAAGGGCAGCATCCAACCCACCCTACCCCCTTTACCTTTTTATTTCCTCCGCCAGGGACGTGGGTGATATTGTCCAGGGACCCAATCTTCGACTGGACTCTGTCCTTGAAGTCAAGCTTCTCAGATTTTACTTCCACCTGGCCACCTCCTAGAACACAACACACACAAGAGCATCTTGCCATCATCTTCTGTGGTTCTGTGGACTTAACATACATTACATGAGGTCTGCAGTCTACAGGGCAAAGTGCCAGGGGCTGCTGGGGCACAGCAAAAATTAGATTGGGTGCCACTGCTCTGGAGGGAAGAAGACAATGACAGGACTTCCAGGTTTGCAGCAGGACTTGAACCAGGGCCAAGCAAGTGGTTCCAAGTAGAGACCAGCCTTTAGAAGTAGGTAAGACTCCTTTAGAATGGTGTTTGGATACAAGTAAGTCCTTGCAAAGCTCTTGAAAATAGTTTGCTTCATCTATATAATCAAAGTGTGCATCAAATATTTACACTGTAAACTCTTCTTCTTGAGATACTGCAAAAGTAAATGACAGCTCAGCCCAGGAAAAATTACTCTAAATATACATTGGTTGGCTTCCAGTAAGTAAAGTCTGTTTTTTTTTTTTTTTTCTTGAGACAGAGTCTTGCTCTGTCGCCCAGGCTGGAGTGCAGTGGCATGGTCTCTGCTCACTGCAAGCTCCGCCTCCCGGGTTCATGCCATTCTCCTGCCTCAGCCAACCGAGTGGCTGGGACTACAGGTGCCTGCCACCACGCCCAGCTAATTTTTTGTATTTTCAGTAGAGATGGGGTTTCACTGTGTTAGCCAGGATGGTCTCAATCTCCTGACCTCCTGATCTGCCTGCCTCGGCCTCCCAAAGTGCTGGGATTACAGGCATGAGCCACTGCGCCCGGCCCATTAAGTGAAGTCTTTTCTATATCAACATCCTGTAAACCATGACCCCACAAGACCTTGGAATTAAATTGAATGTCAAAATGCACACTAAATAAGAACCCTTTCAGGCCGGGCGTGGTGGCTCATGCCTGTAATCCTAGCACTTTGGGAGGCCGAGGCAGGTGGATCACCTGAGGTCAGGAGTTTGAGACCAGTCTGACCAACATGGTGAAACCTCGTCTCTACTAAAAAAAAAATACAAAAATTAGTTGAGCATGGTGGCGGGCACCTGTAATCCCAGCTACTTGGGAAGCTGAGACAGGAGAATTGCTTGAATCCAGGAGGTGGAGGTTGCAGTGAGCCGAGATTGTGCCATTACATTCCAGCCTGGGCAATGAGAGTACAACTCCATCTCAAAAAAAAAAAAAAAAAAAAAAAAATTAGCCGGGCATGTTGGCATGTGCCTGTAATCTCAGCTACTCAGGAGGCTGAGGCAGGAGAATCACTTGAACCCAGGAGGCGGAGGTTGCAGTGAGCCGAGATCGCACCACTGCACTCCAGCCTGGGAACAGAAGAAGGGTCCCTCTCTAAATAAATAAATAAGGACCCTTTCTCCCTCCTGACGCTTGACACCATGCCCAAGCATGGGACAAGGCATGAGGAAGAGACAGCCCACAGGACTTTCCAGGGAAAGATGACAAAAGCAGCTCCCAGCTGCTCTCACAGCTGGGGTAGTGGCACCACTTGTGGAATACTTTCCACAGGGAGACTAAATCCCACAAAGTGTCCAAGGGAGCCAGAAAATAAGGAGTCACATTCTAGACTGAACTTCTCATGGCCTTCTCTTCCCACAGTAAGGGTTCAAGTAAAAATCAGCCCTGAATAGGGCCTAAGGCAGAAGTCCCCGCTCTGGACTCTCGGGGTGGGGTGACAGAATCTATAGCTGTGTCGTCCGATATGGCAGCCACTCTTCCTCAACTGTACCAGCCATGTTTCAAGTGCCACATGTAGCTAGTGGCTACTATACTGGACAGCACAGATACAGAATATTTCCATCACTGCAGAAAGAAGTATAGACAGCACTGATTTCTTTCTTTCTTTCTTTCTTTTTTTGCTGAGTCTCACTCTGTCACCTAGGCTGGTATGCAGTGGCGCGATCTTGGCTCACTGCAAGCTCCGCCTCCCAGGTTCATGCCATTCTCCTGCCTCAGCCTCCCAAGTAGTTGGGACTACAGGTGCCTGCCACCATGCCCGGCTAATTTTTTGTATTTTTAGTAGAGACAGGGTTTCACTGTGTTAGCCAGGATGGTCTTGATCTCCTGACCTCGTGATCCGCCTGCCTTGGCCTCCCAAAGTGCTGCGATTACAGGCATGAGCCACCGCGCCTGGCCGACAGCACTAATTTCTACACAGTGTGAGGTGGGGAGGGGAGTAAGCATGGTTCCAGTAGGATCACTTTCTTTTCTTTTTCTTTCTTTTTTTTTTTTTTTGAGACGGAGTCTCACTCCCTCACCCAAGCTGGAGTGCATTGGCACGATCTTGGCTCACTCAGCCTCTGCCTCCTGGGTTCAAGTGATTCTCCTGCTTCAGCCTCCCAAGTAGCTGGGATTACAGGCATGTGCCACCATGCCTGGCTAGTTTTTGTATTTTTAGTAGACATGGGGTTTCGCCATGTCGGCCAGGCTGATCTCCAACTCCTGACCTCAGGCAATCTGCCCACCCCCGCCTCCCAAGGTGCTGGGATTATAGGTGTGGGCCACCACAGCCGGCCCAGAGCATCATTTTCTGTTTAAACAAAGTCACAGAGGGGACATGGCAGTGACCCAGGGTTCCTGTGCTGTAGCTGCTGCCGATGGTGAAGTGTCTCCCATGTTGGCTGGGGACCAAGCTCATGCATCCATATAGCTGAACCTCGAGTCTGAGAGGCCCTGTGGACAGCTTGCAGGGAGAACAACGGGTTAGGGGTTAAGGCCAGCATCTCGCCTCCCTCTTCACCTTAAAAAATATATTTTTTTAATTTTTGTGGGTACATAGTTAGGTGTATATATTTATGGGGCTCATGAGATGTTTTGATACAGACACACAATGTATAATAATCACATCATGGAAAATGGGGTATCCATCCCCTCAAACATTTGTCCTTTGTGTTACAAACAATCCATTTATATTCTTTTAGGTTTTTGTTGTGTGTTTGTTTTTGTTTTTGTTTTTGTTTTTGTTTTGAGACGGAGTCTCACTCTCTCGCCCAGGCTGGAGTGCAGTGGCACAATCTCGGCTCACTGCAAGCTCCGCCTCCCAGGTTCATGCCATTCTCCTGCCTCAGCCTTGTGAGTAGCTGGGACTATAGGCACCTGCCACCACGCCTGGCTAATTTTTTGTATTTTTAGTAGAGACCGGGTTTCACCGTGTTAGCCAGGATGGTCTATATCTCCTGACCTTGTGATCCGCTCGCCTCGGCCTCCCAAAGTGCTGGGATTACAGGCGTGAGCCACCGTGCCCAGCTGTATTTTTATTTTTATTTTTGAGACGGAGTTTCACTGTCACCCAGGCTGGAGTGCAGTGGCAAGATCTCGGCTCACTGCAACCTCTGCCTCCCAGGTTCAAGTGATTCTCCTGCCTCAGCCTCCCGAGTAGCTGGGATTACAGGCGCCCGCCACCATGCCTGGCTAATTTTTGTATTTTTAGTAGAGATGGGGTTTCACCATGTTGGCCAGGCTGGTCTCAAACGCCCACCTCAGCCTCCCAAAGTACTGGGATTACAGACGTAAGCCACTGCACCCGGCTATCTTTTAGTTATTTTTAAATGTACAATTAAATTATTATTGACTATAGTCACCCTGTTGCACTATCAAATACTAGGTCTTATTCTATTTTTTTTGTACCCATTGACCATCCCCCCACCATCCCCTCACTACCCTTCCCAGCCTCTGGTAACCATCCTTCTATTCTCTATCTCCTGGATCCCACAAAGAAGCGAGAACATGTGCTTTTTTTTTTTGAGACGGAGTCTCGCTCTGTCGCCCAGGCTGGAGTGCAGTGGCGCGATCTCTGCTCACTCCGCTCACTGCAAGCTCCGCCTTCCGGGTTCACGCCATTTTCCTGCCTCAGCCTCCGGAGTAGCTGGGACTACAGGCGCCCACCACCACGCCCGGCTAATTTTTTGTATTTTTAGTAGAGACGGGGTTTCACTGTGTTAGCCAGGATGGTCTCAATCTCCTGACCTCATGATCCACCCACCTTGGCCTCCCAAAGTGCTGGAATTACAGGCGTGAGCCACAGCGCCTGGCCGAGAATATGTGCTTTCTTTCTGTGCCTGCCTTATTTCACTTCACTCCCGCCTCACCTTGTCTTGGGCAGCATGGCCTGGGCAGGAGCGAGCTGGAGCCACCACGCCTCCTGGGCTCCCGCAAGTTTCACACTCAACACTTTCCTTGATGTAGGTCTACCTAAAATATCCTTTCCAGCCCCTTCTGAAGTCTGGAGCAGTTCCAGCCTCACCAGGACTCCTCCACCCCCTGCACCCTCCCGTCCCAACCCTCACCTTCCACAGGGCTACCTGGTTTATGATGGATGTTGCCTAATGAGCCACACTTGGAGGTCACCTTGCTCAGGTCAACTGGTTTGTAGACTATTTGCACCTGGAGATGAGAGAGGAGGAGAGAGAAGAGGAAAGGCAGAGAGAGAGGAAGACAGAGAGACAAAAAGGATAAAATGGGATTATTTTATTAAGGGTGTAACTCAATGAGAAGCAGCTGTGTAAGCCCAGGCCCTTATTGGACAGTGGTTCCCAGCTGCCATGAGGAGCACATCCTAGTCAGGGTGGAAAAATGTGTTGTCGAAATTCTGCCAACCCTGCCCCAGGGGAGCTGGGGACTGTGGGACTGGAGTGTCTTCAATCCCTGCAGAACAAAAGAGCCTCTGGGAAAAACAGGGACCCATTGTCATTGTGCAAGACCCAGACATTTGCTCAGCAAACGCTTAAGTGTAAAAATGTCACTCCCTTTCCTGACATGAAATTGACAGATCACAATCAGGCATGAAGAAAAAAGTGATCAATATGATGAGTATGCACAGCATCTGAAAAATCTTGCTGGAAAGGCAGGAGTGGGGTATCTGCTGGGCCTCAAAGAGGGGAGGCGCTGTGAGGGTCGATGCGTGGGCTTTATTCCAGGAAAAGCTTCCACGGACCCTGGAAAGCACTAGAGCAAAGACCATCAGTAAGCAGGACCCAGCGGAGTTCAGCAGCTCGGACGTGAGAACCAGCAGGCACCTGCACACTCAGTGTCCTGGACATTCCTGTCTTTAGCAATAGGAACAAAGCAACACCAACAGGGTGGGTAGGTGGCACAGCAGAAACCAACAGATTTAGTGTCTCAGTAAGCTCGAGCGGACGCAGACACACATGAGGAGGCCTGTGGCCTCCAGGGCACCGCTCCCTCTGGGAATGATGACCCTGAGCTGCCAGCTTTTCTCAGTCAAAGAACCAGCTCCCCTGTGGGGGGCACGCTGTAGGGACTCCACAGTGGCAGACAGACAGGTCCCTTGGAGGCAGGCCTCTATGCAGCCATGGCTGTGTGGGGCCTGGGGGGCAGGTCACTGATTGACATTCCTGGAGTCCCCAGGGCCTCCAGCAGTGGCCTTGTGTGGGGTCACCTGAGGGTGCAAGGGGGCAGCCACCTCCCACCTATCAGTCAGCTCCCGAGGAAGCACCGCCCTGGAGCTTCCTGGGAGACAGCTGGCTTCATGGCTGAAGATGGTTTATCAAGGTCACCAAAAAACAAGGTGCAGGGCAGGTGGTGGTTTCTCCTTCCACTTAGGTCTAAACTGGAACCATCCCGAATTATTTTGGTGTCAGCTGGCATGTGCTCTTTATGGATGGGGAGTTAACTGGGGCAGAGATGGCTGAGACCCATGTGTGTCAGGGCGGACATGATCTGTGGCAAGGACGTTGGGGGACAGGGAGGATGGATGGCGCGCGGCCTGGCTTGGAGAGAGCTGTGCTCTGAGGCCAGCACTGAGGGGGTGGACCAGGGCTGAGGGAGGTGGGAGGACGTGCTGGTATGACCAGGGCCTCCTTCCCTCTTCCCTCTGGCCTGGGTGAGGTAACTCGTGAGAGGGGGAGGGGGGCTGGGACAGGGACCAGGGAACGGCCAGAAAGGAGAGGAGTGGATGGCAGTGGGAGCCAGGGCCGGTGGTCAGGATACCTGGAGGGCAGGGAGGGGGACAGCAGGCCCTGCAGAGCTTCCAGGGTCCAGCCAGGAGGCAGAAGGGTCCCAGGTAGAGAAGGAGCAGGGCCAGCCTGCTGGGAAGGGGCCCCCAGGCTGGGGAGAGGCTAGGGCTCAGGCCAGGGATCCAGTGCCCCCAGATGCCAGGGGCTGGCATCTCTTCTCACCAGGAGAAGGGCTTCCTGTGAAGGTGCTCAGAGGGCAGTGCTCAGCCCGGGACATCTGGTGGCTCTCTGCCAGGTCACAGGCTAGACCGCAGACAAGCAGAGCGCGGGACACAGGCTAGCCCGCAGACGAGCACAGCGCGGGTCACAGGCTAGCCCGCAGATGAACACAGCGCGGGACACACGGGCGGGCCCCAGGGAGGTCCCAGATGTCCTGGGCACTGCAGCGTCTTTGGGCATCAGCTACCCAGAGGGGTTGGCCACGCAGCCCGTGTGCACTCTCTCCCCAGCTCCGCCTCAGCAGCACAGCCTCCACCAGGGCACCAGACTTGACTTCAACCAGAAAGCACATGGCCTTCCTCCTCTGGCCGAGCTCACTTTGAGGAAGCCAGAGAACCAGGATCAAAGCTCAAACAGCTGAAAACAGCAATCCCAGGAACAAGGGCCCGGGCAGGGGTGGGGGCGGCACACACCTCTTCTGTCCCCTCACAGCAGACAAACTGGGGGGACAGGAGAGCAGGGCGTGGGAGACAGAGGAGACACTTAGCAGACACTGGTGAGGAAGCGTTAGTTAGCCCCATGCAGCAGCCGCAGGGCAAGCGCTTGCTACCTGTGGGACTCAAGGGGCCTCAGGGCAGAAGCCGGGATCCAGGTGCTCAGGGCAGGAAGCAGCAGCACATTGCAAGAATAAACCCTCTGGGCTGGATGCGGGTGGCTGCCTCAGGCCAGGCATTTTCTGGAGACAGCCCACCCCGGAGCCACAGCAGTGTCCCGGTACTGCCAGCCAGGGCCAGGTGATTGCTCTCAAAAATCAACGCCTCCCACCCCAAGGGTCTCATACGTCCAGCTCCCCAGGGTGTTAACAGTTTGCTTTCAGCTGACCAAGAGAGCTGGTGGGAGAGGAGCCTCGGGTGCCCAGTCGACATAGACCGGCCAGGGGATGATGAAGCCTCAGCTTATCGGGTGGGTCAGTTGCACTTGAGGATCTGAGTCCCGAATCTCACGGAGACACTCCACAGAAGATGCACGGAGTCCCCGGGGACATTTAGAGGAAGCCAAATCTATTTATTTTAAAATTATTATATGATTGTTTTTTGAGACAAAGTCTCACTCTGTTGCCTAGGTTGAAGTGCAGTGGCGCGATCATGGCTCCTTGCAACTTCCGCCTCCCGGACTCAGGCAATCCTCCCACCTCAGCCTCCCAAGTAGCTGGGACTACAGGTGCGTGCCACCACACCTGGCTAATTTTAATTCTTTTTGTAGACACAGGGGTCTCATTGTTGCCCAGGCTGGTCTTGAACTCCTGGGCTCAAGCGAACCTCCCGCCTTAGTCTCCCAAAGTGCTGGAATTACAGGCACGAGCCACCACTCCTGGCAAGAGGCAGCCAAATCTAAAAGGGCCAAAAGCAGCATTTCTCTGCCACACCTCAACGCTGGGCAGAGGGACCTGTCGCACTTTGGTTTGGCTCTTTGCATCTGGAGTCTCTGCCAGAGGGTGGCGCAGGCTAAGCATAAGCTGGAGGCTTAGGAATCGGCTCCTGCCTTGAACGTGTAGGAGCAGCAGCTGAGCAGGACAGTAAGACCTTGGTGTCCGCTCATCAGAACAAACGGGTCACCTGTCCACAGTGGAGCCACTCAACGTCAACCTGCCCAGGTGTCGGGGGAGGAGGCGGCAGCCCAGTCTCAGGTGCCACCACCTTCAGCCCAACTTCCAATGGGCTATGGGGCTCCTGGGGACAGGGCTGGGCATGAGTGGAAGGAGACTTTGATGGGTATTCTCAGCTTCCCAGGCAGGGTCCGGAGAGAGGGTCCGTCATCTGCCCTATTCTGTCCACACAGCCTGCGCAGGCTGGGGGACCCAGAAATGCTGGGACACCCCCTCCTAGAATATGAGGAAGGGGCTTCTGGGAACAGTGGACTGTGTGGGGGAATGTGGGGAGCCGGGCTACATTCACCCAGAGGTCGCAGCCAGATCCTGAGAGCCCAAGAAGGATTTATTCTATGCAGTGTCTCGCAAGTGTACGCACTCACACCACTTCCTAATAATTCAAGCCACAGCACGGCGCATGGGACGTGTGAAGGTACTCACACTGCCGCCTCCCGGGACGTGTTTGATATTATCCTTTGAGCCACACTTGGACTGGACGTTGCTAAGATCCAGCTTCTTATTAATTATCTGCACCTTTGGTAGCCAGAAAAAAGGATGAGTGACACGCCACCCTGGACCCGCCTGCTTGCTCGCAAGGACGCCTCCACTTTCGATGAGTGACATGCGCCACCCTGGACCCGCCTACTTGCTCGCAAGGATGCCTCCACTTTCGGACTTGGCAGAGGCAGTCTGGGGAGTGACGGGAGGTTGAGTCACATCCCAGGGGAGCTGAAGGGATAGAGGGCTGCTCTGAAGGCATCCCAGAAGTGTGAGTGATTTCCAGCGGGCTTTACGAAGCTGGGATTGCAGGTCCTCACTTCACAAAAGGATGGCATCGTGAGGCCTGAACCCCAGAGGGGAGCGTTCACCAGCCTGAGGTCAAGTGAAAAATGTGTTCGGCCACACTGACGAGTGAGTAATAGGAAGTTCCCCGGCATCTCCACTCACACCTGGCTAGACCCACCGGCACATTCCCAGAGAACTCCCTGCGGCTGTTCTCAAGCCTGCCGGGCATCAGAATCACCTGTGGATTTTTACAATCTCAGCCCCTAGCCCTGACCTAGAATTAGAATCTAGGAGTCTGGCTTCAGTCTCTCTAGTTTTGAAAAGTTCCCCTGGTGATTCTGACACACAGCCAGGTTTGAGAAGCCCTGACCCCGTAGGCAGGACACAGGCCGCTTTGTGGGGAAGACAAATGTGGGGTGTCCCTTCTGTACGAGGGCTCTGTCCCTGCAAGGGGGGGCTGTGCCTTCTCCTTCCATCCACCCACCAGCCCTCTCCCACCCACAATGCCACTAGGTGCGTAACGGAAGCTGAGCAAATGCTCCCGTGGGGCTTTTTCTCAGCTCTTCCATAAGCAGGGGTGGCCTGGATGGGTCTCCCACGACTGCATTTCTGGAAGGTTCTTTCTGCAGACACCAGGGAGGTGTGAAAATATCAGCGTTTTGATGAGAAATGATTTTTACCAATTTGCCTAAGAACTATGAAATAGAAAACCATGGTTTAGGGAGTTGGAAAAACTGGACATTTTCTCTGCCAGATCAGTGAGAACGTCTTCCTCACCCGGTGACCTTTCCTCTCAGGAACTCTGGAAACAGTGGAAACAGTGTGCTTTGGGTTTTTTGTTTTGTTTTTTTTCTTTGTGAGATAGGGTCTCACTTTGTCACCCAGGCTGGAGTGCAGTGACACCATCACGGCTCAGTGCAGCCTCGACTTCCCAGGGCTCAGGGGATTCTCCTACTTCAGCCTCCCAAGTAGCTGGGACCACAGGCACATGCCACCACACCTGGCAAATTTTTTGTATTTTTTGTAGAGACGAGGTCATGCTATGTTGTCCAGGATAGTTTGAAACTCCTGGGCTCAAGCAATCAGCCCACCTCGGCTTCCCAAAGCCGATTACAAGCGTAAGCCACCATGCCTGTAATCTCAGCACTCTGGTTTTTATTCGTCTCAGGTGTAAATAATTGCCAAGTGGTGATCCCAGTGAAGGACCAGCCGTGCCCAGGCCGCTTCCGAAATCTTGAAAATGGCACTGAGACCTCAGTGGCTCTTTTGAGAATGCTGGGTGGAAACCACTGCCCTGGAGGCCCCATCAGCCTGGGCTGTCGGATCTGGGGTTGGAACTCCAGCCTGACTTCTGGTTCATCCCGTTTTTTTTCCCCTTAATTTTACTTGTCTGAATCTTCAATAGGAATCAATATCTAACTCATTTCTTCATAATCTTTTATGTTCCTTCAAAAGACTATGTATTTTTATTAGAAAATATAACGATTTTAAAAAACAGAGCTCATCAAAGCAAAAACCGTTTTCTTACCACCCTAACACAATCACGATTGCATTTTGTTGTATTTCCTTGAAGTCTCATTTATATATAACTACCCCTGTATACCTATACTTGGTAGAATTATTGTGCACATGCAATTTTGTATCTTGCTCTAAGAAGTGATATCATATCCTAGGCTGGGTACAGTGGCTCCTGTAATCCTAGCACTTTGGGAGGTCAAGGCTGGTGGATCACCTGACGTCAGGAGTTCAAGAGCAGCCTGGCCAACGTGGTGAAACCCCGTCTGTACTAAAAATACAAAAGTTAGCCAGGCATGGTGGTGCGCAACCCAGCTACTCGGGAGGTTGAGGAAGGAGAATAGCTTGAACCCGGGAGATGGAGGTTGCAGTGAGCTGAGATGGCGCCACTGAACTCCAGCCTGGGTGACAGAATGAGACTTCGTCTCAAAATACAAAAAACAACAAAAGAAGTGATATCATATCCTAAGCATTGTCTATGGTCTACGGTCATCAGAAGCACTATGTTTAATACTATGTCCCATTCCATTTTGTGAATATTGTTCCCCTGCTATCCAACATTTGTATTGATTCCACTTTGTACTTCAATAATACAAACAGTCCTGCAGGAGCTGGATTTGATGCAAAGAAAAAAAAAATACAAACAGCCTCCCATGAACCTCTTTCTGAAAGGAGCTTTTTCCATATGATGGGTTATTTTCATAACACAGAGTCCTAGAATAGAATTTCTGGGTCAAAGTTATAAATATTCTAAAACCTCTCGGTACAACTCTCCACATGGCTTTCTAAAAGGGTTGCATGAGTTTTCCCTGTGAGCCCTGGTGAGAGAGCCAGCCTCACCACATTGCTGCCAGCACTGGGTGTTTACAACATTGTTTTGCTTATTTTTTTTGACCAAAATAAAAGAAACTGCATTGCTGGCTTATTCTGCATCTCTCCAATTATGACTGAAATCGCTCCTTTACCCCCTTTTTGCTGATGGGTGTATTTTTTCTAACATGCACATATTTACATTTTAATTTATTTTTATTTATTCTTTTTATTATTTTTAAAATAGAGACAAGCTCTCACTCTGTCACCCAGGCTGGAATGCAGTGGCGCCATCGTAGCTCACTGCAGCCTTAAACTCCTGGGCTCAAGCAATCCTCCTGCCTCGGTCTCCCAAGTAGCTGGAACTACCGGTATGTGCTACCACGCCCAGCTAATTTTTAAAAATTCTTTGTGATGATGGGGTCTCGCTATGTCACCCAGGCCGGTCTCAAACTCCTGGGCTCAAGTGATTCTCTCACCTCAGCCTCACAAAGCACTGGGATTACAGGCGTGAACCACGGTGTCCAGCCTACATTTTAATTTACTTATTTATTTTTGTTTTATAATTTTTTAATTTTAAATTTATATGGGTACATAGTAGGTGTATATACTTGTGGGGTACATGAGATATTTAGATACAGACATACATTGTGCAATAATCACATCACGGTGAATGGGGTATCTATCACCTCAAGGATTTATCATTTCTTGTGTTATAAACATTCCAATTATACATTTTATTTTATTTTATTTATTTTATTTTATTTTATTTTATTTTATTATTTTATTTTATTTTATTTTTATTTTTTTGAGATAGAATCTTGCCTTGTCGCCCAGGCTGGAGTGCAGTGGCGCGATCTCGGCTCACTGCAAGCTCCGCCTCCCGGGTTCACGCCATTCTCCTGCCTCAGCCTCCCGAGTAGCTGGGACTACAGGCGCCCACCACCATGCCCGGCTAATTTTTTCTTTTTTTTGTATTTGTAGTAGAGACGGGGTTTCACCATGTTAGCTAGGATGGTCTCGATCTCCTGACCTCGTGATCGGCCCGCCTCGGCCTCCCAAAGTGCTGGGATTACAGGCGTGAGCCACCATGCCCAGCTAATTTTTGTATTTTTAGTAGAGACGGGGTTTCACCATGTTAGCCAGTCCAATTACACTCTTTTAGTTGTTTTTAAATGTACTATAAATTACTGTTGGCTGTCGTCACCCTGCTGTGCTATCCAATACTAGATCTATGCATGCTAACTACGTTTTTGTACCCATTAACCATCCCTACTTTCTCCCTGCTCCCCTCCACCCTCCTCAGCCTCTGGTAACCATCCTTCTACTCTCTATCTCCATGAGTTTAATTTTTAGCTCCCACAAATGTGTGAGAACATGTGAAGTCTGTCCTTCTGTCTGGCTTATTTCACTTAACATAATGTCCTCCAGTTCCATCCATGTTGTTTCAAATGACAGATTCTCATTCTTTTTCATGGCTGAATAGTATTCCATTGTGTATATGCACCACATTTTCTTTATCCATTTGTCTGTTGATGGACACTTGGGTTGCTTCCAAATCTTGGCTATTGTGAATAGCCCTGCAATCAACACAGGAGCGCCTGACCTACATTTTTAGATACTCAAATTCTTCCTTTGTAATTCCTTCTCTGGTGTTTCAATGTACAATCCACTCCTCCTTTAGAGATGGATAAATCTCTAGTGCCACATCACCTTTCTTGCCCACCGTCCCCACGTTAAGGACAAGGAGGCCATGTGAGGCTCGCTGAGGTTCCGCAACTTTCTCAGGTCAGAAGCAGCCACAGAAGAATCTAGATCTCAGAGTTTGTAGCCACAGGCTATCTATGTGACAACAAAGTTGTCCTGGGCTGTCCTCAAGGCTACAGCCTCATAAACCTAATAAAAACAATACTACTTTTTGGTGAATGTTGAAATTCTCTCCTGCCAGCAAGGAGACACTGTGACAGTGCCTCAGCCCAGGCTGGAGCTGCGGAAGGAGGTGGGACAGGCTTTCTCACACTGCTTCTCAAGGAGTCACTGTCGCCCTCTGCACAAGTCTTTGAATCAATTCATGCCACCCTCCGATTTTAAGGAATCCCACATAAACTCCTTCTTTGCGGATTATTTTTTAAATAAAAAAAAATAGTTTTAATGGAGATAGAGTCTTGCTATGCTGCCCAGCCCAGGTCTCAAATTCCTGGGCTCAAGTGGTCCTCTGGCCTCAGCCTCTGGAGTAGCCTCAGCACCTGTAGGCTTGACGATCATTTTTTATTCATAACTTTTCAGTGGATAAGGCTTAGAAGATTTGCCTGCTTTCAGAAAGGAGTGGGAACAGCTTAGAATTAGAAAACACACACAATAATAAAGCAGGAAAATGTAAAGAGTAACATTAGAAGAAGGGAAGGGCATCAACACTGATAATTACAAGAGTGATCATTACATTTAACTTTGAGCTTCCTGGAAGCCGAGGCAAAAAGGGAAATGTCATGGGTTATTTAACTCTCCTTATCTGACAAAGAAAACTTACCAGTTTTTCAAGGAAGAGAACTTTGTTTTCTGTACTAATCCATTAAAGAAATTAAACAAATGAATCAAAGGACATTAAGCAATAATTCAGTATCTGCCACATACTTAGAAATGTTTTTTTCTGGCCGGGCACGGTGGCTCACGCCTGTAATCTCAGCACTTTGGGAGGCCGAGGCAGGCAGATGACGAGGTCAGGAGATTGAGACCATCCTGGCTAACACGGTGAAACCCCGTCTCTACTAAAAATACAAAAAAATTAGCCAGGTGTGGTGGCGGGCACCTGCAGTCCCAGCTACTTGGGAGGCTGAGACAGGAGAATAGCATGAACCCGGGAGGTGGAGCTTGCAGTGGGCGGAGATCGCACCACTGCACTCCAGCCTGGGCGACAGAGTGAAACTCTGTCTCAAAAAAACAAGCAAACAAAAAAACAAAAAAGAAATTTTTTTTCCATGTGGCTTTTTCTTGTTCTAACCCCACAAAAAAGGCAACAAGCCTTTGTGAGATTTTACAATAGACACAAGGGTATTTACAAAGCAGACCTGAACTACTGCCAATTGTCACATTAAGTCAACACCGTTTATAGAATCTTAGATTTACAGAAGGGAGAGAAAAGAGGAATGGTTGTCATTATGAAATCAGAATCCTGAAATTTAATTTCTCAGCTACAGTAACATATATATTACACTTCAGCTCTGGATAGACACTGACAAAAACCATCAAGGGAGAGAACGATGTGTTGCAAGCTCCCAATTTTGATCCAGGGAACTCCTAGTCAGGGGAGAAATGTCTGTGGTCAGAGTTTGACCCTGAAGGAGAGGCTGTGGTGAGGTGGGGCTGGGGGTGTGTGTCCACTTGGTTTAATCAATTTCCTGGAGCACCCAAAGCAGCCCTAAGCTCTCACTAGACCTTGATCTGGTTTTGTTTGGGTTCAGTTCTCTCAAGGCTGTTCCAAAGAGCCCAGCCCTCCCTCCCTGGCCCCAAGCCTGCAGCCCCACAGCCCCACAGCCCCGTCCGTGCCTCACAGTTGGCTCCCAGGCTGGCCCAGACTTGGCCTGTCTCCAGCACTGCCTGGTGCTCGCTGTGCTGTGCTTTGCCTCACCAGGCTCAGCAAGCCCAGTGCAATACTCTGCTGGGAGTTTAACCCGGGGTGGGCACTGGATGCCCACACAAGCCTCCTCTTCAAGTCCAAGGTGATCAGCTTAGGAACTGACACAGGAAAACCTGTCTATGTCCTGTTAAGTCAGCTGGCCAAAGAAGAGATCAAATAACAGGGTAGAGTCACCTTCAGAATTATTTACACTGTCCTTTAAACAGTGATGAACCCAAGCTCCTTTAAAATGATTTGATTCACACAGATTTTTCAGAAGCACTGAGGTACAGGAAAAGATGCCTGGAGGGTCTCAGAGTTACAGAGCTGTCCTAGAGGAGGGTCCCAGCCTGGCTCTGCCCCCCACTTACTGTGGGGTCTGACATCTCAGCCCAAGCTCACCTGCATCCCTGGCCCTGATTGAGGAGAGGCAAACGATTCCACGTACAAATTCACTGTATTTATTCCACATAAATGTTCTACATAGATGCTTTTTAAAGTGACAACTGGGGCTTTGCTATTAAATATAATGTATTTTTAAGGGCAGGCGTGGTGGCTCACACCTGTAATCCCAGCACTTTGGGAGACCAAGGTAGGCAGATCACCTGAGGCCAGGAGTTTGAGACCAGCTTGGCAAACATGGTGACACCCCTCCTCTACTAAAAATATAAAAATTTGCTAGGCATGGTGGTGTGTGCTTGTAATCCCAGCTACTAGGGAGGCTGAGGCAGGAGAGTTGCTTCAACCTGGGAGGCGGAGGTTGCAGTGAGCCGAGATTGCACCACTGCACTCCAGCCTGGGTGACAGAGTGAGACTCTGTCTCAAAATAAATAAATAAAATGTATTTTTAGAATACTCAGTTCTCTATAATGGTCAGTGGTGTATGAGGAGGGAGGAAAGAGGGGTAAAAGGAGAGAGAAACAGATCGGAGAGATGGGCAGAGGTGACTGGGTAGAGACAGAGCAAGGCTGGGGGAAGGTGAAGACGAGAGTGCGCCCACACACACACACACACACACACGCCCTTAAAAAGAGAAGGTCGGGCATGGTGGCTCACACCTGTAATCCCAGCAATTTGCGAGGCTGAGGCAGGAGGATCACTTGAGCCCAGGAGTTCAAGACCATCCTGGGCGACACAGTGAAACCCCATCTCTACAAAAAATATAAGAAATTAGTTGGGCACTGTGGTGCAAGCCTGTGGTCCCAACTACTCAGGAGGCTGAGGTGGAAGGATCTCTTGAGCTCAGGACTTCAAGGCTGCAGTGAGCTATGATCGCACCACTGCACTCCAGCCTGGGCAACCCAGCAAGACTCTGTCTCAAAAAAGAGAAACAAATCAATACACACAGGGAAGGAAGCAGCCACCCAGGCTGCGGCCCAGAACCAAGAAAGTTACAGCATTCTATTGCCATCTTGTGGCCATCTTGAATATTGCACCCCCCGCCCCAAGGCTTTCAAAGCCCCACTGCTCAGGTAGGTTTCTGTCCATCCTGGGCTTCCAGGCTCTGTGCTGCTTCACGTCTTCACATCCCAACTATTGGCCTGGACATCCTCCGAGAAAGTGACTTTAGCTCCATCTTCTCAGAGCCAACCAGGCCCCCCCATGCTTGGGCCCCTGGGCCCTTCCCTGGGCATGATCCTGCACACCCCCTTCTCCCCGCTGGCAGTCACAGGGTCCCCAGTTCTCCTGATCCTGCAGCCTGGGCCCCACATGAGCAACTTCTCTCTCGCCCTGCATGGACCCTGGGACTCCCTGCTTCTTCAGTTCTCCTCTATGTTTCCCAGCGACCCCCCAAGAAGGGCTGCTGAGGCTGGGCCCTCACCCCTGCTTAACCGTCCCCAGCAGATGCCGACAGCCTGCCTGCTTCAGCACTCCCACGGCCACTGCCAGCTGAACTGAGCCTCTCTTCAGGGCCACCGTCCACCACCCTCTGTCCTGTCGGGCGATGTCCAGAGGCTTGCAGCTGCCCCAACCTCTCTTCTGCCAGTGTGAACTCTCCTAGCGCTCAAGCTTCACACCCCTTAGTGCTGAACACACACCCTCTGCTGCCCCAGCTGCCTCCAGTTGTTTATTTTGCTTTTGCTCTGAAGAGCTCCACGTTGCAGTGTTCCACTATCCTCCTTCAGCTCCTGCACCCAGCACTCCGGGTGGGGGCTGTCCTTTCAAAGGCCACTGAACAGGTCCCAAACAAGGGTCTGCCTGTCTTCTCTGGCTTGCTGACTTGTGCAGGCTGCTCCCCCTGCATGTCCTTGCCTGGCCAAGCTCTCCATCCTACATTCCTCCTGCTGCTGTGACTGGCCCTGTTTCTCTGCTCACCTGCCCCTGTCCCCTGGCCTGGACCCTGGGGGCAAAAGCTCTTAGCACAGAGCCTGGTGCTCAGAAGTGCCCCATAAATGTTGTCTGAATGAATGAATAAAGGAATGAAATAAGGAAGGAACCAGCATTTTTTTTTTAATAGAGTCTCAGTCTCACTGTGTTGCCCAGGCTAGGGTGTAGTGGTATGATCATAGCTCACTGCAACCTTGAACTCCTGGTCTCAAGTGATCCTCCAGCATCGGCCTCCCAAAGTGTTGGGATTACAGGCATGCGCCACCGCGCCCAGCCAGGAGCCAGCTCTTAATGCTGTTATATGTTGTTTTACTGGTTGTGTTTTCTTCATTTTTTTTTTTAAGTTAGGAGTGCAAGGTTGTGTTTTCTGGTTTATTTCTGCTCTTATCTTTGTTTCTAGATTCTTATTTCTTTTCTTGTACTCTTTTTCCCCTCCATTAAGAACCTAATTTATATGCTGCAGTCATTTAATTTTTTAAATAACAAAAGTATTTAAAACTATGAAATCCTTCTAAGTACAATTTGGGGCACCTTAATATAACGTACAGGATTCATTTTACTTTACTTTTTTGATACAGGGTCTCGCCCAGGCTGGCGTTCAGTGGTGTGAACATGGCTCATTGCAGCCCTGACCTCCCAGGCTCAAGCAGTCCTCCCACCTCAGCCTCTAGAGTAGCTGGAACTACAGGAGAGTGCCAACAGGCCCAGCTAATTAAAAAAAAAATTGTAGAGACAGGGTCTCCCTATGTTGCCCAGGCTGGTCTTGAACTCCTGGACTCAAGTGATCCTTCTGCCTTGGCCTCCCCAGGTGTTGGGATTAGGTGTGAGCCACCACACCTGGCCCCAACAAAATGTTTTAAAAGCTGGTCCTTTGTCTCTGTGTCTGGACACACTCCCACTCCCGCAGGCCAAACAGGGCGGGGATGAGCTTGGCAAAGGGGATGTGGGAACCAGGGGCTGGCCTGGCTGGGTCTGAGCTGACTGAGGACCAGGCACTTGGAAACTGCAAATAGGGATAGAGCTGGGACTGAAAGTGGAAAATGAGCCACTGGATCAGGGTGCACAGGAGGCCGCAGTGGTTGAGGTTGAGGGTAGGTGTCAGCAGTAAGAACCCAGGGCCACTGAGTCTCAGCCAGGCTGCACACTAGAGTCACCCAGGGGAGGCCCACCTCAAGATGACAACAGGTCCAGGAGGCTCGGGCACTGGAATGATGTTTAAAAGAATTCCCTCTTCCCGCCAGGTGCTCCCTTTTACAGTCTGGAGGGAACACTGCCACCCACGACTCCCACAAGATCGGCGGGGCCTACGGGCTCTTCCTGCCTGGCACCCCACCCAGCTCCTCCTCCTTGCCTGCAATCTCTACCCCTACCCAGCTGGTGCTCCAGTGCGGCCACCTGATTATCTGCATTTTCCTTTCAAAATAATTCCATTTGGGGCCCCAAAGCAATCTATGTTCACTGTAGCAAATCCTGAAAACAGAGAAAAGCACAAAGAAGAAAACAGAGAAAAGCACAAAGGGGAAAACAGACGTTTTCCGTTTTTCCCCCAATGATTTGCAGCAATCTGCGGCAGTTTTCAGCCTCTGCAGGTTCCCAAACGTGACTTGGCTCCTGCTCTTTTCCCTTTGGTGTTAGCATCTGTTCCGGCACGGTTGAGGGATTCTTCAGACTCCGCCAGCTTTGCCTCTTTTGTAGCCAAACATTTATTGAGCACTTACTGCATACTGGGTACTACATGAGGCCACAGGGACCCAAAGGTCTCAGCAAAAGCTCGTGGAGCCTTCAGGCCAGTCCAGGAGGAGGAGGCCTGACACCCTTCAGCGGGTCATTTTAAAGGCTCTTGTGCATGGACCCTGTATGACATTTTTCTTTTTCTTTTTTCCTGGAGATTCATGTGTTGGTCTTTGTTATGGCTGAGGTTTAGTTTCAGACAATTTTTCTAGGCTTTCCTGGCATTTAAGGGAGGCTGTGACTGTGTCCTCTGCCACTTTTCCACACTTCGTCCCCCAAAATATCTCAAGAAAAGTCAAGTCACCCTTTCTCCTTTAACCCTTTAGTAGATTTGGACGTGCTGCCTCCACCCAGCATGGTGACGTCATAACCTGGGGCTCCCGTCTGCCCCTTTCTACACTTGGCATGAGGTCGCCTGACTCTCACCCCTCATGGGCAGAGGCAGGGCAGCTGCAGGGTGGGAGGGACAGTTCTGGCCCTGAAAGGGGCCTTCAATGGAAAGTTGTCTTCCCTGCTCAGCCCCATTCCTGCTGCTCTCTTCAGAGCTGTAAGAACTGGGCCAAATGGTGCCCACACCTTCCAAGCCAACCTCAGATGAACTCAGGGTCAACAGGGAAGCTACTTCCCATGCTAAGCTGAGGGTTCTGTCTCTGGCAACCTGAATCATCCACTCACACAGAGGCTGAGTTAAATTAACCCCGCATTCAATGAGGGCCGGCCACCTGCACAGTCTTGTGGGGGCTGCAAAAATGCATGAGACTTGGCCTCCACCCTCACTCATGGCCCAGACTAGGGAGCAGCAGACACATGCTCAGTGTGGTCAGAGTTTACAGGGGCTTTAAGAAGAGAGAGGGGAATCCAGGAAGACTTCCTGGAGGAGATGGCAACTGAACTTGGATTTAAGGGAAGGGAAGAGATAAGGAGAGAAGGACATTCCCCACCATGGGACACAGGGCAGGGTATGGCAGAACCCAGGGGCCCCCAGAGGTGCATGGGCGGGGAACCCCAGACGGGGAGCAGCAGATTCAGGCTAGGGGGAAGGGAGCACCTTGTGGGTGCTGCTTGTTATGTGACTTGAGGAGATCCTGGATGGCAGTCTGGGTGCTGGAGCAGGATGGGGGTGCATGGGTGGGCAATGGGAGAAAAGGCAGGAAAGGCCAGTGAGGGCCCCTCTGGGGTCTTGGGCAGCACCAAGGCCAGGCACCCTGGAGAATGAAAGTCACGGTGGTCCCAAGATGGGGCTTCTGGAGGCGACTTTCGAGAACCGAATGAGGACTGGAAAGTCTGGAGACGAGGGAGCGCATTGTCCCCAGTGGAAGCGCAGGACAGTTTCCCTCAGCTGCGGTACAGGACAGAGGCCCTGGGTCACCTGTGAGTTATTTCCCCAAGGTCTCTAACCAGGCCACTGTGGTGGATGAGGGTCCAGAGAGCCTCTTCCACTACAAGCTCCACATGCCTGAGCAGGAAAAGGCCGGACCTTAATTTAACCCGGATCGTTTGCCATCAGGAGGGAGATTCTGAGATGTTCTCTTCCTTCCCTCCCTCCTGTGTTCCAGGGAGCTCTGCCCTTGTCCCCACAGCCACAGGGGAGCCACTGTCTGTCCTTTCCTCGATGAGAGGAGGTGCTCTGGGGCACAGCCGAGTCTTCTCCACCTCTGTGCACCGCCTGGCACGCAGGGACTCTCAAAAGAGGCCTGATGCACAGAGGCAGGGTCTACACATGCGTCCCTTTTAACCCGACCGTCCATTTCCATCCCGATGGGATGTGACACTGCACTCACAAGCTTGTTCGGGGGCAGGGGGGATCCTGGGTGGGGGGAGGTGGCAGGGTTTGAGGCAAGGTGCCCATGTGCACTGGTGGCCACCCTCCGTCCAAATGCCCCAGGCTCAGACCCAAGTGATAAGAACTTCAATGGTGTGGAGAGCGCCTGCGTGGGGGAGGCAAGCTGACACGCAGGCCCAGGGTTCCAGAAAGCCCCCTAGCTCCCCGAGGCCCAGTGCCCAGAAGGCCCAGCACATCTGCAGCCTCAGAGTGAGCTGTGGTCCTTCTCACCCCCAGCCTCCTCTTCACCCTTCCCCAGCTCCCCAGTGCTGGGTGGCGGGAGCGGGGTCCTGGGCTGAATTGTGGTCCCCGCAAATTCACATGTTGAAGCCCTAACCCCCCTCCCCAACACCCCCGTACCTTAGAATGTGACTCTATTTGGAGACAGGGCCTTTAGAGAGGTGACTAAGTGAAAAATGAGGTCATCAGGCTGGGCCCTAAGCCATGGTGGGTTTTTTTGGTTTGTTTTATTTTGTTTTGAGACAGAGTCTCGCTCTGTTGCTCAAACTGGAGTGCAGTGGCACTATCTCGGCTCACTGCAACCTCTGCCTCCTGGGTTCAAGCGATTCTCCTGCCTCAGCCTCCTGAGTAGCTGGGATTATAGGCGCGCACCACCACCACGCCCAGGTATTTTTGTATTTTTAGTAGAGACGAGGTTTCACCCTGTTGGTCAGGTTGGTCTCGAACTCCTGACCTCGTGATCTGCCTGCCTCAGCCTCCCAAAGTGCTGGGATTATAGGCGTGAGCCACTACGCCCAGCTGCCATGGTGTTCTTATAAGAAGATGAGCATGCGCAGAGCTACCAGGAGCACACACAGAGGGAAGACTGCAGCGGTGCAGGACAGAGGTGGCTACCCACGGCCACAGAGAGGCCTTGGAAGAAACCCACCCGCCCACACCTGGCTAGTGAGGAGGCATACTGCTGTTCTTTCACTGTGGTGCTTTGTATGTCAGCCCTAACGCACCCAGACGAGGGGCACAGGGACAGGAATGGGGAAAGGGATCCAGGCCAGGCCCCCGAAGTCTGTGCTTCTCCACCTTTAGGAAGCTGGAGAGCTCGCGAGCACCCACTTGCTCCCAGAAGAATCAGCTGATCAAAACAGAACCCCCAATCTCCCCAGAATCCAGAGGAACCCAACCTAAGCAGATGGCCCACGAGTGGAGATGCTGACCTATGGGTGGCAGTGTATTCTGCCCAGAAGGCAGGTGGGGAACCGCTGTGGGTGCCCTGACTATGAGAGCCTCCGGCCGTGGAGACACAGCCCTGCCATCTCTGTCCGATTAACAGGGGCTGAAGGGGCAAGAGAAGAGCCAGAACGTTCTCTCGCCTGAGGAGGGCACTCACAGTGTAGTGGAGAGCCCAATAAAGAACTGAACTTCCTTGAAGAGGGTCCAGAGGGGACTGGGGTGTTATGCGGGGGTGCTCAGGTGCGGGGAGCCCCACACCTCCATGCACAGTCCCACGACTCCACGCTCAACCGCGCACCTCCAGGCGCAGCCCTACCCTTCCAGGCACAGCCCTACCCCTCCAGGCGCAGCCCCCCACACCTCCACGCGCAGCCAGCCACTCTCACCTTCCCGCCTCCCGGCTGGTGCTTCAGGTTCTCAGTGGAGCCGATCTTGGACTTGACATTCTTCAGGTCTGGCATGGGCACGGGGGCTGTCTGCAGGCGGCTCTTGGCGGAAGACGGCGACTTGGGTGGAGTACGGACCACTGCCACCTTCTTGGGCTCCCGGGTGGGTGGGGTTGGAAGGGACGGGGTGCGGGAGCGGCTGCCGGGAGTGCCTGGGGAGCCGGGGCTGCTGTAGCCGCTGCGATCCCCTGATTTTGGAGGTTCACCTGGGAAGGAAGGAAGGGAGTGAAGCCAGGACTCGAGTGGGTGGGGTCAGAAAAGGCCCTGGGGGCTGCCTGTCCCGTGGGTCCATTCCCAGGCTCACCACTGGGTTAGGCAGGTGGAAGCCAGGTTGGAAGCGCAGCTACAGCAGACGGCTGCCCTGGGGAAGCATCTCTTCCTCCCTGCCTTTTTGCTTAGGGACAGAGACACCCCTTTCCCAGGAAAGCAATGGAAAACCATCAACCACCATCCAATACCCGCTCCCAGAGAGGTGGCCAACTCGGCTCCACAGTCTTTGGGTCAAGAGATGGGCTCCAACAAGCTGTGTGGCCTCAGACAAGTAACTTCCCCTCTCTGAGCTCAGAGGCCTTAATTTGAAAATGGAAATAATTATAATCCCTGCGGCCAGCGTGGCTCCAGGAGGTGGTAGATATGCTTTGCCAACCTCTAATACAATTCTTCAGGGCCTTTATCCTAAATAAGGGTGATGCAGTGACGAGACCCAGCTGTGCCCTCAAGCCTGGACGCTTCTGACCCTTTCCCCACAGGGTGAATGTTCAGCTGTTCAGCTGTTCGGCTAGTTCAGGGCTCCTGCCAGCACCCTGGCTCCTCTGTGGGATTTGGCCTTCAGAACAGGATGCCTGCTCCACGCCTGCCTGTCCCTAGCTGTCCACACGAGCCATACCGCTTCATGCTGCTGTGCCCTGACGTACAGTTCCCCACCTGCCATGCATAGCAGTTACTAGCGCACCCTTCCAACACCCTGGAAGCTGCTGGGGGGTCTCTTCTCCTCTCCATGCAGATGCTGTCCCTCCCTCCTCTGGGTGTCCTTTACCCTCAAACTTGCTTCTGTTACTGCACTTCCCAGGCCCCCGTTACACTTCAACAGTCTGGTATTCTATCTCATGGGTCTGTATTTTCCAAAGTGTGGCCCACGGAACCCTGCGTCAGAATCTCCGGAGCTTTCAAGGAGGAAAGTGGGAGTTGCAAAATGCAAATTTCTCGATCCCCTTCAAGAGTGGATAGAGCAGAATCTCTAGGGGTGGGACCTGCAAAGCCTCATTTTTCTCAAGCTCCACAAAGACTGAAGTCTGAGAACCGCAGGCCTCACCCTGTGCCGAGGTGTGCTTAGCTCCCCTGCAGTCTGAGAACTTAGCTTTCCTGCAAGTCCAGAAGCTTCCCGCAGCAATGCCCCTGCCGCTGCCCCAGGCATTTGCTGTAACACATACCTGCTGGCCAGACCTGGAGAAGGGCAGCTCTTTGAAGCACCCATGTAGCCAATGGGCAGCTTGGCCAGTGACGAATAAGCACTAGTTTTCTTTTGTTGTTGTTTTGTTTTTTTGTGGTTTTTTTTTTGAGACGGAGTCTTATTCTGATGCCCAGGCTGGAGTGCAATGGCGTGATCTCGGCTCACTGCAACCTCCGCTGCATGGGATCAAGCGAGTCTCCTGCCTCAGCCTCCCGAGTAGCTGATATTACAGGTGTGCAGCACCACGCCTGGCTAATTTTTGTATTTTTAGTAGAGACTTATTTTAGTAGAGACTGGATTTTTGTATTTTCAGTAAAGATTTCTTTAGTAGAGGTTTTACCATGTTGGCCAGGCTGGTCTTGAACTCCTGACCTCAGGTGATCCACCCGCCTCGGCCTCCCAAAGTGCTGGGATTATAGGCATGAGCCACCGCACCCAGCCAGCACCAGTTTTTAGAATTTGACTTCCATGTCTTTTTTAAAAATAATGTTTTTTATAGAGACGGGGTCTGACTATGTTGCTCAGGCTGGTCTTGAACTTCTGGCCTCAAGCGATTCTCCCACCTCAACCTCCCAAAGTGCCGGGATTATAGACGTGAGCCACCGTGCCCTGCGGATTTCCATGTCTTGGATGTTCCTGAAGTAGTACGCTCTGTGGCAATAGGACAAATGAAGCCTCTTATTTTCCACATAAGGAAACAACAGATGGGGCCTCGGCCTCCAGGGCCTCCAGGCTCAGCCTCTCTGCCTCCTCAGACCTCCCATCCTCCTGCCTCCCTGACTTCAGAGACCCAGGGTGACCAGTGGGCTTGGTGGTGGTGGCTCCAAATACTTTTCATGCCTCTTATTTACAGAGTGGTCGTGGGCAAGTCACCTGACCTCCTTAAGCCTATGTCTTCATCTGAAACATAGGGAGACAGCCAGGCATGGTGGCTCATGCCTGTAATGCCATTGTCCCTGAAGTCAAGGAGAGCACACAGGATTAGAAAGCCCATCAGACAAACACAGCTGCGCAAACTGCACAGGGAAGAGAATTCGGACTGCTCCATCTTCAGGCTGCGAACCCTGTGTGAACCCTGCATTGCAGAAAAGGGTCCTCCCGGCTCTAGAAACACAAGCCAGTGAATGGCCACACACGCAAAGGGAGGCTGCTCCCAGCGAAGTAGGCTCCCGAGTACCTCTCTCAGATCTGGGCCCTGCAGGGGGTGGTCTTCTCTGGACTTGCTTAGTCGCTTAAAGAGAAAAATCCACGAAAGCCTTATTATCATCAGGCTTAAACAGGGCCTTAATGAGTCCTTCACGTGGCAGGCACCCACAGCTGGCCCAGCAGGGGCCCCATTCTGAAACAAGGTCGAGGGGCCCAAGGGGGAGGGTCTCTCCACCTGCAGGCAGCCACCGAAGAGCAGGTAAGACCCAAAGGGAAATGCATCACGTTGTTTCAGGTTGTTACAAAGTGTGAGTCCCCTGTAATCCCAGCACTTTGGGAGGCCGAGGTGGGCGGATCACTTGAGGTCAGGAGTTCGAGACTAGGCTGGCCAAAATGGTGAAACCCTGTCTTTACTAAAAATACAAAAATTAGCAGGGCGTGGTGGCCTGTGCCTGTAGTCCCAGCTACTCAGGAGGCTGAGGCAGGAAAACTGCTTGAATTTGGGAAGCAGAGGTTGCAGTATGCCAAGATTGTGCCACTGCACTTCAGCCTGGGTGACACAGTGAGACTCCGTCTCAAAAAAACAACAACAAAAAACAGAGTGTGAGTCAACTGGCCCGATGTTAAGTGAAAAAAAAACAGCAGGATCCAAACGCTACTTAAAATCCTGTCAAAATTCTGGGAATTATCCCTGGATCACATGTATATGAGAAAAACACCAGGCCAGAAAACACGAAGCGAAAAGACAAAAACAATGGGCCTTAGTGAATGGCCATCCTTGGGGGTGCCACCGCACGGCATGTGTGCGAGAAATGCCACCGCAAAGACACGCAGCAGGTGGTGGGCAGGCTCTGGGCAGCTCCCTCAGGCCAGGGAGAAGCAGAGTCACCAAGATCCAAGATCCAGGCCAGGCTTTGGTCACAGCCCGCAGCAAGTGCCATAGGCTGCCCGTGCCACCAAGGAGCAAGTGCAGGTCAGACACCCCTACATGGTGCAGAGTCTAAACCCAGGGGCCTGGAATACTTCACTGGGGCAATGGAAGAGAGAAGTGCTCGGGCAGGCAGGCAGGCTGTCCCTAATCCCCAAAGAGGACGACTGTTTTTTTTTTTTTTTTTTTGAGAAGGAATCTCACTTTTGTCATCCAGGCTGGAGTGCAATGGTGCGATCTCAGCTCACTGCAACCTCTGCCTCCTGGGTTCAAGTGATTCTCCTTCCTCACCCTCCTGAGAAGCTGGGATTACAGGCGCCCGCCACCACGCCCAGCTAATTATTTTGTATTTTTATTAGAGACGGGGTTTTGCCATGTTGGCCAAGCTGGTCTCGAACTCCTGACCTCAGGTGATCCGCCCACCTTGGCCTCCCAAAGTGCTGGGATTACAGGCATGAGCCACCACGCCCAGCCGCGACTGTTCTTAATAGCACTCCTGGCTGCAAAATAACTCAATGGATGCCTTACTGGGTACTCAAAATTGACTGGGTTTTACTCACAGGAGCCCAGGGCAACGGGCCCAGCCTGTGACTGCTCAGCTAAGACCCTCAGGTTTTGCAGCAGACTCCTAACGTCCCTAGCAAGTTAAGCTGCCCAGGGGTTGAGCCCTGAGTGACGTCACCCATTGTGACTTATCCAGGCTGCTGCTCTGTCTCCAGAGACATTTGTCTCCAGAGTCTCATTTGGGGACTGAAAACATGCCATGCTGGGGCTGCCTCTATGGAACCCTGGACTTGGGGCCAGAGAGGCTCCGAGAGCTGCCACTTAGTAGTCATGTGACTGCATTTTCCTCGGGTTTAAAATGAGCTGGTTAGACTCAGTCAAGCAAACTCTCAGAGGCTCGATTTCTTTCTTTTTTTTCCTTTTTCTGTATTTTTTTTTATCATGCTGCAGAATCAGCCTCAATTTCTTCATTGATAAAAAGTGAGGATTCAGGCTGGGAGTGGTGGCTCATGCCTGTAATCCCAGCACTTTGGGAGGCCGAGGCAGGTGGATCACCTGAGGTCAGGCGTTCGAGACCAGCCTGGCCAACATGGTGAAACCCTGTCTCTACTAAAAATACAAAAAATTAGCCGGGCATAGTGGCAGGTGCCTGTAATCCCAGCTACTAGGGAGGCTGAGGTAGGAGAATCGCTTGAACCTGGGAGGTGGAGGATGCAGTGAGCTGAGATCACACCACTGCACTCCGGCCTGGATAACAAAAGCGAAACTCTGTCTCAAAAGAAAAAAAAAAAAAAAGGTAGGGATTCAACATTTGCCTCAGAAATCAAAAGGACTGAGAAGGCAATGAAGACTCCAGTGCTTAGTAAACTGCAAGCTGCTGACCAGCTGCCAGGGGTTATTCATTCTCAGTGGCCTAAGGCCTCCTAAAATGAAGGCTGTACCTCTGAGAGCTTCAGCTTCCTCTAAGATTCAAGAGAACGTTCTTCTTACCAGAGCTGGGTGGTGTCTTTGGAGCGGGCGGGGTTTTTGCTGGAATCCTGGTGGCGTTGGCCTGGCCCTTCTGGCCTGGAGGGGCTGCTCCCCGCGGTGTGGCGATCTTCGTTTTACCATCAGCCCCCTGTAAATGAAACATGATAGAGGGGTTTTTCACCATTGGGAAAAGTTACTGCCACCAAGAGTCAACACCAGCCCCACTCCGCCACCTTGACTCAAAACGTGGCTAAGACTGGGGTGACCCTTTGCCTCCTAGATGCCACTAGTGTCTGCTACAACCACAAGGGCTTGCTGGGCACACAAACCCACATCCCCACCCAAACTCCAAGTTCCCTGAGGACATTTCCTCCCAGAGGAACTGTGTGCATTAGTTATCAGCATGAGTTGTGCCAAGGCCAGCAGAGCTCACAGCAATGATCAGGTCACTCTCCACTCCATGTCAATCATCGGCAGGACATTAGTGCACTACACATATGCAGACATCCATTTTCTGACTCTAATTATGGATTTATTTGGCTGATGGTGGTTGGCTCCACCAGAGGCCCCTGGGGGCAGTGTTGAACCTGACCAAGGATGCTAAAGAGAGCTAGGTCGTGTTCTTTCATTCTCTCGCAAACAACCCTAAGGCCTCAAGAACTCCTTGGGTGTGCTCAGACCAGGCGAGCACCCGAGGAGGCGAGCACCAGCATCACTGACAAAGCTGGCAGAGTCGGGCATGGCACAGTCTAGGGACTAGGGCAGTCCCTGGGTTCCGTTACCCAGCAGATGACCCTTAGACATAACACAAACTCAAAAAAGAAACTGACATTAACCAAGGACCACAAGCTAGTTGAGGGGGCAGTGAGCTCACGGGGCAGTGTTGCTATGGCGTGATGCTGTCCTACCCAGATCAGGGCAATCTGGAAGCATTTCTCTTGCCAAAATCAGGAATGGGCAAAGGAACCCAATGAGAGTAGCAATTTTGGGTTTGTTTTTTAAACAATTTTTGCGACAGGGTCTTGCTCTGTCGCCCAAGCTGGAGCTAACTACAACCTCTGCCTCTGGGGTTCAAGCAATCCTTGTGCCTCAGCCTCCCGAGTAGCTGCGATTACCACCACGCATAACACCACGCCCGGCTAATTTTTGTATTTTTAGTAGAGACAGGGTTTTGCCATGTTAGCCAGGCTGGTCTCGAACTCCTGATCTCAGGTGATCCACCCTCCTCGGCCTCCTAAAGAGCTGGGATTACAGGTGTGAGCCACCGTGCCCAGCCTTAGAGTAGCGATTTCGAAACCAAGGTCCCACCAGGTGTCTTAGGAGCTGCTGCTATGAGAGCCTGTGGGGTGCTGAGAGGGATGGCCCCCAGCTCTCTTTTCCCCTTTGCCCAGAATTCTAACTATTTTACACGGTGCTTCTATGCCAGAACTCATTTGAAGAAAGGTCTTTGAGGCTAAAAAACAAATAAACAAACCCCACATTTGCAAACCACAGCAGAGCAGCCTGGTTCTTTTCAAAGGTGGTTTCCTTACCTTGAGTTTCATCTCCTTTGCTCCAGAACTGCCAGTTCGGGAAGTGACAGAAGAGACGTGTTTAGGAGAGGAAGGTGGCTCTGGGCACACAGCAGGGCTGGAGGGTTGGATCAGAGGGTCTGAGCTACCAGGAGTGGGGTGTTTGGGGCTAAGGCAAGGCCTATTTTTCAAGGTTTTAGCAGAGGAACGTGTGGATGTCTTAAACATAAACATAAATAAAATCAAAATAAAAGTCAGCACATGGAGGAGGGAAACAAACTGAAAAAAGGACAGTAACTAAAAATAAATAAGGCAGGTAATGGTTGAAAGCAGTGATCTCCAGGCTGTTTGAATCAGGTACCCTTAATATCCCTTCTGATCAGTAAGAACAGGAAAGTGACCGTCCTCCCCAATCACAGTTCTTTTTCTTTTTCTTTTTCTTTTTTGAGACGGAGTCTCGCTCTGTCGCCCAGGCTGGACTGCAGTGGTGCAATCTCGGCTCACTGCAAGCTCTGCCTCCTGGGTTCACGCCATTCTCCTGCCTCAGCCTCCCGAGTAGCTGGGACTACAGGCGCCCACCACCACGCCCGGCTCGTTTTTTTGTATTTTTAGTAGAGATGGGGTTTCACTGTGTTAGCCAGGATGGTCTCGATCTCCTGACCTCGTGATCCACCCGTCTCGGCCTCCCAAAGTGCTGGGATTACAGGCGTGAGCCACCGCGCCTGGCCCTGACAAAGCTTTTAGAAGAGGACATGAAAAAGGAATGGAAGTTCTAGTACGTTCTTTCTCCAGCCTGTTGGATGTTACTGTGCCCCTGAATTTGGAGACGACTGGTTTAAAGGTGCTTCACATGAGTAAGTTGATGGAGATCATCAAGGTACATGAATCTTAGGATGTTACTCAAGAAAATGTCCCCAAGTGTGTCACGGGGTCTGAAGGGCCTTACTTTCTACTCAATTCCAGGCAAGGTGCTTTTTTACCTGCCCATTAACCCATGGTCTCTTCCACCACACTGACAGACTCATATGGCTACAATCAGGAGTGTGCCCCCCCCAAGTTGGAAAGATTCTACCTGACTTAGGTTACACCCACCCCCACCACACATGTGCTTTCTGATTAAAGTCTCAAATCAAACTAATATTAACACTATCTGGTGAATCCTAATCTGGCCAATGTTAACTCTTTTGTTTGTTTGTTTGTTTGTTTGTTTTAGAGACAGGGTCTCCCTCTGTTGCCCTGGCTGGAGTGCAGTGGTGCCATCACGGCTCACTGCAGCCTCCACCCTTTGGGTTCAAGTGATCCTCCCACCTCTGCCTGGCCAATTAAATTTTTTTTTTGAGATGGGGTCTTGCTATGTTGCCCAGGCTGGTCTAGAACTCTTGGGCTGGGGACATCCTCCCACCTTAGCCTCCCAAAGTGCTGGGATTACAGGCATGAGCCACTGTGCCAAGCCTCCAATGTTATCTCTTTTTCTTTTTTTTTCAGTTTGTCAGTGTAAACAACACTGCTTACTTTTGAACCCATTCCACAAGAGGAAGCAGCCAGGGACGGGTGTCTGCACGCCTGTCCCTATGGAGGCGGGGCTGGGGGGGGCCCTGGAACCAGGATGCAGGATAGATGGTGACTGACACCCACAGTTCGTCCTGCCCGTGGGGGATTTTGACGGGTGGGCATGGCCCTGGAGGAGAAGGGGGTGTTTGGAGGGGAACAGGTCACACTCTTGGGAAACAAAGTGGGGAGGCTAAGCCTCGAAGTGTTTCCAAGAGCAAGTCAGAGCTCAGAGAAGGGTCCTGTCCCAGACTTCACTGGGCTTCTAGGGGATGCTATCTTATTGCTTTCCAATTCCCCATGGAAGCGGCCAAGGCCCTCTGTGTGGTCAGGCTTGGTAAGGAGGACCCAGGAGATGAAGTAGCAATGGGAGAGGAGGGACACAGGCTGGGGCCCTGGGGCTGATGACAAGAAAGCAAAGCTGGGGTGGGGGTATTGACGACTCCTCCTTCCCTCGCTGCACACGGCCCCTCTCCACCAGCAGCACTCCCCAGCTGGCCGAGGCCCAGGGTAATAGATCTTTCCCCTCCCTAGACTCTGGGCAACTCCAGGGCAGGGATGTTGTACCCATGTGTACTGAATGAATGAATGAAGGAAGGAACAAATGAATGCATGCATGCATGAGGCTGGTATTCCCTGCCCCCTGCCCCCGGCACTAAATGTGCACCGTGATTGACAAGCAGCTGTCACTATCACTTCAGAGACCCAGGCCAGCTCTCCAAATCCCCACAGGCCCTTCCACTGCCTCACTAGATGAGGCTGGGGAGCCCTGACTCTGCAGGCACTTCCGGGAGCAGCCCTCAACACACCACTGAATGCTCAGAGCTATGTGGCAACTGGAGATGCCCTCCGGGCTCCAGTACTGATTAAAATTCAGGTGTTTCAGACAGAATTTATGCTGGAAATTTTAGATACCTTTAAGAAAAATAGGTCTTATCTAGAGCCATGGTGGGATTTTCCAGGAAAAACGCCACTGTGCAATTACGGGAGCATTTCCCCAGACATTTCCCCAGTCATTGAGACAGTAAACAATGGGTGAAGTGAAATACTGAGAAGGATGGGCAAAGATCTGGGTGCAGTTTATGCAGTGAGAAGATGGCTTCATTTACTGTCCTAGGGCTGGTTTTCAAACACACCTTCATTTACTGTCCTGGGTTTGGTTTTCAAACACACCTTCATTTACTGTCAGGGTCTCACTGAAAGTACACTAAGAAAGCTGGAATTAGGAGCATGACTTCATGAACCTGCCAACTGCTCTTCCCTGGGGTAAGTATCAAAACTAATAAATGCTGGACTTTTTAAAAGCCTGCCCCAAAATACAAAGCACTTTAAATGACAGCTGTACTTTAGTGACAAATACTCCCCACATTATATATGAGAATGAATCAGACATAAAGCACAGCTTCTCTGTAAACTTGACCAGCTGCAGAGCTCCGTGGCATCGTCAGCTTACCTTGGCTTTTTTGTCATCGCTTCCAGTCCCGTCTTTGCTTTTACTGACCATGCGAGCTGATAAAATATAAAATAAGAATGCTTGTCACACTCCATTTTCACTGTTCACAGAAAGCCAGCTGTGGTGAAGCTGGATTTCTCTGGGATAGGTCCATGTTTGTTTAGTTGGGTCTGGTGGAAACCCAGTTGGTTCTCTTTTCCCTTGAATCTGCTAGGCCTCGCATTGTTAGTATCAACACAGCACACTGGGGTCACTGATTAGCGCAACCTGGCAAGAGGGGGCAGCAGGCTGGCCGAGGGTGGGACCATGCAGAGGGGACGCAGCAGAAACTGTCACGGGGACATGATGGCATGGAGGCTATCTAAGGAAGGTGCAGTCTCCCTAACCCACAGGCTCCTGCCCTGTTTCTGCCAGGGTCAGCCTCACCCCACTGGGACCAGCCCCACTCCATGGATGGGTGTTTTAAAAGCCTCAGGGCCATGGATGTTGGTAGCTCAGTGAGGACCCAGCCTCCTGCAAGATCCAAGGATGGGGGTGGGTGCATTGTCTCCACACTGCAGCCAGGCTTGGCCCTGATTCCCTGTGAGGTGCCTGCTCACCCTCTTGGCCTTGGAAACTGCCTGGAACCACCCGGCTCCCCTGCCCATGTGGCTAGATTGCCAGCAGTCCTGATTTCCACCTTCCTGGCCATCTTATGCTGACCAACCCATCTCCATTTCTGGTCACACGCCTCCAGAATAGGAGAGGCTGGCAGGGTTGTCTTTGTCCCCTAGTTGCTGGTTGTACCCCCAGGGCCTGCCCCTCACTAATGGTGGCTTTGGCCACCAGCCCCAGCTGCTCTGAGACGAGCCAAGCCCAGCCCAGCCCTGAGCCAGGCCTGGTGGGTTTCTTGCCACTTACTGGTCTTCAAAGGGCACGAATTCTCACTGCTTCCCCAAATTAGCTACAAACCAGTTACCATCATACATTCCCACAGACAACATCAGCCTTCATCACACTCCTTGGTGAAACCAACCCGCTGACCTGTCAGCCAGCATCAGCGCTAACTCACCCTTCTCCTTCTCTTGACAGTCACTGCTGAAAACTGATCATAGATTTTCTTCTTTGGTTTCAATATCACATTCCCTCTACCCCATGGACAACTGGGTCTCTTGGAGCTTCTCATTGGCTATTGTCACCTGGATTTCTAGAGGGACCAGCAATGAGTATGCCCAGAGGTTTTCCAACTATACTATGTGGCAGAATCACCTGCTAAAAGACTCCCAGGCTTACCCCACAACTGGGTCTGTAAGCCTAAAGTGGCACCTGGGAACCTGCACTTTAGTAAGAGCCCCAGGCGGATCTGACTCACGTGTTCTTTGTTTTGCCCACATCAACCAGCACCATCCACGGCACAACAAAAGAATCTGCTAAATCGGCATTTCCCAAACTTCCTCCAGGAAATGTTAGCAGGTAGAATCAAGTAAGTTTGGGAAACCCACTCTGTGACCTTCTCAGAGGGTCACAATGGCCATTAGTACATTAAAGGCTCTGACAAGTCCTGCAGCAGAAAAGCCTGTTTAACTTACTTTAGTCTTTTATTTTTTTCCCCCAGTCACTGGGCCATGGAACTCTTTTTTAATCCAAACACACCTATGAACCTCTAGTAGGCCAGTATTCAAGAAAACATCATTTCAGGAAATATTGTAGTAACCTGTCAAGTCAGTTATTTGTCCCCTACTGTTTTGGAATTTAACAAAGGATATAGGATATATTTTTTTCTCTCTTAACTTTATTTTATTTTATTTTTTGAGACAGAGTCTCACTCTGTCGCCCAGGCTTAGGGTACAGTGGTGTGATCTTGGCTCACTGTAACCTCCGCCTCCTGGGTTCAAGCACTTATCCTGCTTCAGCCTCCCCAGTAGCTGGGACTACAGGTGCCCGCCACCACGCCCAGCTAATTTTTTGTAATTTTAGTAGAGACAGGGTCTCACCATGTTGGCCAGGCTGGTCTCGAACTCCTAACCTCAAATGATCCACCTGCCTTGGCCTCCCAAAGTGCTGAGATTACAGGCGTGAGCCATCGCCCCCAGCCTCTGTCTTAACTTTTAAACACAGGCTTCTTTATAGCATTTCAAAGTTTTCCCTAAAAGTAAAATCTAATAAAAATTTAACAGATGCTTGCAACTGTGAGCTTCAGTAACATCCATTTCTGGGCTCTGCAAATAACTGTGAAATGCTAAGGGTCCCAAATTTATGAACAAGCTCGCCTTGTGGCTCTGAGGTCTCCTGTGGGACACCAACTCTCCTCTCCCTGATACTTGGGACTCTCCTCCCACCAATCCCTCCCTGCAGGGCTGCTGTGGTCGTGCTCCTGAGGGCTCAAGGTGGGCCCTGCTCAACCCCCTCCAATGCCAGCATGAGGATCCCCTTGTCCTCTGCAGAGGGAGGTGGTGGCATGTGGACCAGGGAGATCTTGTGTCTGCTCCTTGTCTTCCTGCCACAAGGCAGAGTGGGTGGGGGCAGGGCACTGGGCCAAAGGCACAGCATGAGCTCTGGGCCACCTCTGGATGCTGTGTGTGTCACCTGCTGTGTGTGCCCTGCACATCTCTGTGTTAGGCGTCCACACTCCAGCACCTCCTGGGAGGCGTTGTGGGATGCAGGACAGGCGTGTCTTTCAGAGACAACCTACCTGGATCCCAAACCTGGCTCTGTCACTTACTACTCATTGGCCTTCGGCAAGTTACTGTACTTCTCTGAGCCTCCGTTTCCTCATCTGCAAAGTGGGGCTGCTTATGCCTACATGGGAGGGTTGGAGAGTTCTAGACACCATGAGGGCACCCGTCATCCTGTCGGTGGAAGGCACCCACCAAACCTCCTGTGGGCTGATGGGCCGTTGTGGACAAATCAAGTGGCCAGAGAGTCAAACAAGGTGGGGAGCACGGAGCGGGGGTGCTGGTGACATGCAGAGTGGCGGGCAAGCGTGAGGGGCGCGTGCGGCCACAGCCTGAGCACGGGAGGAGGCCGAGGGAGTGGAGCAGCTGCACCCAGGTGTCGATTTAGTGGCGTCCTAGGAACGTCAGAAGCAGCAGGAGTCGGGAGGCCTGGAAGCTCAGTGGCAGTGCCCGCAGCCTGGGAGGCCTGGGAGGTCCCCAGGGAAGGAGCGAAGAAGCTCAAGACACAGACCTTTGAGTTGAGGGACCCGGCTGACGGGCTTCCCCCGCGGAGCAGCAGCAGGCTGCTTTTCAGAGGGCTCTGGAAGGTCAGCCTCTTTTGTGTCCTCTCCCAAAGAGGGGCCCCGGGCCTCTGGCCCCTCTCCAGGGGCCCCTGGAAATGCAGCCCTTCCCAAATGCTCCTCCGAGTGCGCCTGCTCCTTCTGCACGTTGGGTGTGATTTCCACGTGAAACGTGAACTCCAGGGGGGCATCCTGCCCTTTGGCCCGCCCTACACTGGGCCCATCGGGCTCTGAGGCTGGGATCTCTGTGGAAACTTTGGAGAGGAAATCCACAGGGAGGGGGATGGCACCCTCCGCTGGGAAGCCTGGGATGCTGGTGGCTTCTCTGGCGGCTGTCTGGGGAGGCCGCCCATCTTGGGCTGGGGAGGCCTTGGAGGGAGGGGAGTCTTGGGGGGAGGACTCATCGACGTCGCGGTCTTCATCCACCTCCTCCTTGCTCCCCGGCCTCTCTTTGCCCCCTGCCCCCTTCAGCGGCGGCCCCTCCTGGTGCAGGTCTCCTAGAAGCTGGTGCTTGAGCAGCTCAGGGGCGTGGCGGCCGCCCTCTGTGTCCTCAGGTCCTGTCCCCGAAGGTTGGCGTGTGGCCTCTCTGGGGCCCTCAGGCAGGAGGGGAGCCCCAGGCATGCCGGACATGAGCTGGTGGCTCAGACCTGGGGGGCCTGGCTCTCGGAGGAAGCCTTCCTGGACCACCTTACCACTTTCAGGCTCTGTGTGGAGATACGCAGTGGTGGCGGGCTTCGGAAAGGCCGGACCCTTCTTGGCCCAGTCCCCGCCTTTTTGTCCCCACTCCAGGGAGGGCTCCTGAGGGCCTCCTGTTGGAGGAGGCGCTGGGCAAACGGGACGGTGCTGAGGAAGGCTCGCGGTCAGCGGGACGGGAGCTTCTGGCTCTTTCTCCCCGAGGCACGGCCCAGAGACCCCAGAGGCCTCTCCGCAGGGTCCAGGCTGGACGTGGGCGCTAATCTCATTGGCCAGGGGCCTTTCAGGCGCCTTCCTCTGCCGGCCCGGAACTCTCAACTCCTCTGGTTTGAAGAGGCAGCGATAGCAAAAGGTTAGCAAGGGCGCATTAATCGCTTAAGAGAGGGAGCATCATCCTGGACAAAATGACACTGAGAGGGCATCCCAGGCCCCCTAACAAAGAGATGGGAGCACAGCTCTGGGCTCGTCTCGTTGCCTTTGCTTGCTTGGAATGACAGCTCTCCTGGTCTAGCCGCCACCAGCTCGCTAGGTGGCTCTCCCCTCTCTGGGCCTCAGTTTCCTCATCTGTAAAGAGGGTTCTTGGACGTGGTGACCTCCGAGGGCCCTTCTGGTGTGGGTGTTATTCCTCTGCCTATGATGGGCTCTGGTTGGGCACAGAGCATGTCACACATCTGGAGCCGCCCTGGGCTTAATCTACTGGGAAAGCGGGAGGGCTACAGAAGCTTCTCCTGCTTTCTAGGGAATTTGAGCCTCCCAAAGATTCTAGCCTCTAGATGGTATCTGGTTTGGGTGTAGCGAGAATCCCCTTTCCTCTCCCTACCTCTCACTGTTCTCCTGCCCCCGCCCCCCACCCCTTTTTTTTGGTTTGAGACAGAGTCTCACTCTGTCGCCCAGGCTGGAGTACAGTGGCACGATCTCAGCTCACTGCAACCTCTGACTCCCTGGTTCAAGCGATTCTCCTGCCTCAGCCTCCCGAGTAACTGGGATTACAGGCACGTGCCACCACACCTGGCTAATTTTTGTATTTTTAGTAGAAACGGGGTTTCACCATGTTGGCTAGGATAGTCTTGATCTCCTGACCTCGTGATCTGCCCACCCCGGTCCCCAAAGTGCTGGGATTACAGGCATGAGTTTTTTTTTTCCTTTTTTTCTTTCTTTTTTTTTTTTTTTGAGACAGGGTCTCGTTCTGTCACCCAGGCTAGAGTGCAGTGGTGCAATCACAGCTCATTGCAACTTTAACTCCAGGGCTCAAACAACCCTCCCATCTCACCCTCCCAAGCAGCTGGGACCACAGATGCATGCCACCACGTCTGACTAAAATGTTATTTTTCATTTTTGTGGAGACGGGGTCTCCTTATGTTGCTCAGGCTGGTCTCGAACTCCTGGGCTCAAGCAATTCTCTTGCCTCTGGGATTACAGGGATGAGCCACCATACTTGACTTCTGCTCCCCTTTTTGGTAAATGAAACCAGTGAAACTAGTGCCCACAAACCCCGCCTCAAGCCCATTCTCTGACAGATTTGGAAAATCCAAAATGTGTGATCATCAAGAATGGAGTCTTTACTGAGAGACCTGCCATAAGACTCCTCGAAAAAGAAGCCCCATTCAGATCTATCCAGGTCACTGACCACAGACAAGCCCTTGGCACAGGTGAGGTAGGCCCCCGTGGGAGGAAGGGCTCTGCACGGCAGACAGTGACGGCCCTCAGGACCACTGCTGTCCCCTGGTCACACAGCTTGCTGCACACCAACCCAGCTGATCAAGGGCACACTTCATTTTTTTCTGGTTCATTCACGTGACATTCATTAACCTGGCCGCATATTAAGAACAGGAGAATTACACTCCTTGGTTCTCCTAATAAATACCCTTTATGTTTTTTAACTCCCAACTCTTTGAACACCCCATCTAGTCCCAACGCAACAACCTATGCAACTCACCAGCTCTGCTTTAAACAAAACCTGCAGCCCTGAAGGATTCAGGGGCTTGGAAAAGAAAGAGATTTGGATGAGGTCGGGGAGGAAGGTGTGGTCATGGACACACAAAGGTAACCTGTGGGCCCGACCCCATCGGAGGCAAGGTGGTTGACATGGGCTCATCCCCAAGAGGCCCGGTCAGAGCGCAGCAGCACCTCCAGCCTGTGATACTGGCCATGCTCATGGGCCCCTCCAATTCCTGTTCCTGGCATCGACCACAGTGCATGCCACACAGCAGGTGGTTAAATCAATGGATCCTGCACAGATCAACTGGTGTCAGGAAAACATTGACTTCAGCTTCTCACAGGCTCTGCAGGTGCCTTATGGGAGCCCTTTGTCAGTCTCTGGGAAGAACAGCCCAGAGGCAACCCTGAGCCTGAGCGCCAGAACTGACCAGAGGCAGGGGCTGCCCCTATGCTGCCCCAACAGGACAGGTCTCCACTGCCTTCCGGAAGTCGCTTTCCTCCTAGAGCTTACTAGAGTGCTCTTGACTGGGATGTTACTGTACTCTGATATAATACAAGACTTTAAGAAACACTATTAAAAAAGAGACAAGGACCCCAAACGTAAATAGTAAATGTACCTTGAAAAGTAATGGATACAGGATTGTAGTGTGTGTGTGTGTGTATCAATGAGGAAACTGACATGATTAATTACACCCCTGGAGGAAGAAGCCAGGTTAGGAGAATGTTCTTTTTTTTTTTTTTTTTTAAACAGAGTCTCACTCACTCTGTCGCCCAGGCTGGAGTGCAGTGGCATGATCTCGGCTCACAGCAACCTCCACCTCCCAGGTTCAAGCAATTCTCCTGCCTCCTACTCCTCCCATGTAGCTGGGATTACAGGTGTGTACCACCATGCCTGGCTAACTTTTGTATTTTTAGTAAAGACGGGGTTTCACCATGTCAGCCAGGCTAGTCTTGCACTCCTGGCCTCAAGGGATCTGCCTACCTTGGCCTCCCAAAGTGCTGGGATTACAGACATGAGCCACCGCACCCAGCCTGGTTGGGAGAATGTTCTATTGATTCCCTAGGATGCTAGGAAGTACTCAGCAAATACTAAATGTAGCAATTCTCAGGGGTTAGGAGGAGTTCAAGATAAATGAGTATTGTAAACACAGTAGTCCAGGTAAGTTAAGCCCCCATGCCCTCTTCAGGAGGCCTGGTCTCTGGACACTTACAGAAGAAAAGTCCACCCCTCGTATACAGGCCTTCCCATAGCTTACTCTCAACAGACTGCAGCTCCAACCTGAAACACCTTTTTCCATCTTACTAATAGGTACTTTATCCCTCCATGATTCCAGGCTGCTGTCAGAAAGCTTAAAATTCAGTGAGCACAAAAGTCAAGTTCCCAGCAAAGACGGTGACCTGGGCTTTTTTTGTTGCATGGAATATGTTCTGGGGGCATGTAGACATCACCTGCACTAACAATCAGTAGAAAAAACTCAAACCCACTTCCATTTATGAAAAGCAATGATTTCTAGAGGTCATGCTTTATCAAAGCCTCTAGTTTTACCTAAGCTGAAAAACATGACCTAAAAGAAACAGGAGCCAGGTTCCTAGTTAATTTCACACATTGACTGAGGTTCTTCTCTTATAGCCACTGTCCCTTCTAATAGTTTTTGAAGCTCTTTGTTAGCCTGAGAACGAAAATGTGCCTTTCTGTGCCATGTGACATGAGAAACATCAGCCTGCTATAGGCTGTGACCTCTCTGGGGGCAGGAATGTGTAGTTAGGCCTCAAAATATCCTCAACGAGGCAGAGTCTCCTAGAATCAGATGGCCTCAGAGGCAGCTCTAAATACTGGACAGATCCCATCACTCGGGAGAAAAGAACAGTGTCTTTCCAGCCCTTCTGCAATCTAGAAGCTTCCACATTTTACAGTAGGCTCTCAAGTTCATTTATCTAGCAAATGACAGAAAACAAGCCCAGCCCACATTATATCAGTACCATAGGTCTCCCATTTCCTAAAATTAGGAATCTCTAGGATTTTTCTTAAGATATTTATGATAAATGATTACACAAAGCTGCCTTTCTTGAATACAGCAGTTTGGTTCCTGAGAAGAAAATCATAATAAGGGTTGAAGGCTGCACAGAAGAAAGTTTACAAGCAATCGCTTGGGGATGACATGGTTAAGGCCTTGCTCCTGGATCAGCCACAGGGCAGCCTGCAGTGAGAATCGCCTGTCACACATATTTGAGTTTCTTTTTTTTTTTTGAGACGGAGTTTTGCTTTTGTTGCCCAGGCTGGAGTGCAATGATGCGATCTCGGCTCACTGCAACGTCCACCTCCTGGGTTCGAGCGATTGTCCTGCCTCAGCCTCCTGAGTAGCTGGGATTATAGGCACCTACCACCACACCCGGCTAATTTTTTTATTTGTAGTGAGACAGGATTTCACATGTTGGCCAGGCTGGTCTCAAACTCCTGACCTCAGGTGATCTGCCCACCTGGGTCTCCCATAGTGCTGGGATTAGAGGCGTGAGCCACCACGCCCGGCCTAGAGTTTCTGTTAGACATTCATTCTCAACTCCCAGGCTGGACAAGGCTAGCATCTTTCAGAACACTAAATGCCTTAGGAATTACCCAGAAATGGTATTAGAAAAAAACCACTAGGGCTCTTTCTATATCTGAGTAGCCAACCTTTGATAAGAACCAACTCCCTAAAATCTCCTGGACTTGTGAATTAGAGCTCAGGTCCAAATGATCTTTTCAGGGCAGAGCCCACCCCATGTCCCTCCCCCCAACCCCCAAGTCATGGCAGGCAATTCCAGTTCACTGACCTTGGGTCACGTGACCAGCAGCTTCGTCTTCCAGGCTGGGGGTGTCTCCAATGCCTGCTTCTTCAGCTGGTGTATGTGTCAGCAAATGAAGGGGGGTAAAAGCAAGACAGTTATTGTTTACTAGAAACCAAGCTCTCTGTACCTTCGGGCATTTTCCCTTAAACATTCAGGAAAGTCACATCCCAAGAATACCAAGGTGCCTCAGCTCTGGCTTCTCTGCAAATGTCATTGCTGAGGATGCTGGTGATAAAAGTTCACTAAACAAAAGGCACAGCACCCACATGCAGGTGTAGCTATGACCTAGTAGGAAAGACTTTCTCCACTTTGGGACCAGGGTCCTGAATGCCTCACTCAACAAGGACACACAGGCTGAGTGAGGTCAGAGAAGCAATTTGCTGCTGAGCCATGGTTGTGGAGGCTGTGTCTAAGCAGTGGCTGCTGGGAAGTTCAAGGAAAGACTTTGCCTGGGTTGCGGAGTCAGGCAGATGGGGTTCATATCCAGGCACCGGCATTCATTCAACCTCTCTGAGCCTCCATTTCCTCATCTTGAACCCCAAGATGAAGATACTAGTTTGTCTTGTAGAAGGATGGTGAGGGTTAGTAAGAGAATTTGTGTGAACACGTTTAGCCTGGTGCCTGGCATATGGTAGGTGCCCCAAAATGTTACATTTCCTTCCTCCCAACTTCTGGGCAAATGCCTTTCGCAGAATGTCCTGAACGGGTGCTACTTGGTAAGAGGGAGGCTGGCAGTGCTGGTGAGCAGCTTTTGGGGGTGTCTTGGGTTCCTGTTTAGGAAGCCACAGCTCACCCCAAACAAGAAAGACTGAGAAAGTTCCTGACCACATTAATAGTACCAAAATCAATAGGCTTTAAAAACACCTATTTCTGCATCATAAACAACAGGACACTGTTACAGGACAGTGCACGCAATTGTCCAGAAAAAAAGTTTATAAGGCAAGTTGGCCACGTTGACATGCATTGACCTCAGGCCACCAGAATCACCAGCATTTCCTGAGGACAATGACAGAGGCCACTGCCTCTGAGAAATCCATACATCTTGCTGGCTGGGCCATCAGTCTTATCTCCCAGGCCTGCAATGAGTCAGTCACTTTCTGCACCTAAGATAGGAATGCCGGATCCCCACCGCTGGCCAGCACAGGCCTGTGTGAAGAGTGTAGGCAAGGGAGAGAAAGGTTCTCGAGTTTCCTGGAAGCCATGTGGTAGCCTCAGAAACACCCAGGCCATTGGCTGTCCCCAGGCAGCTGCTGAGGGCATGGGAGGGCGGGCAATGGGCTCACGGGGCTCCCATCACTAGCACTAGCATGACACAGACACCCTCCGGGTCCATCCAGCCGACACTGCGCTACCCACGACGCCCAGTGGTGACAGTGCCTTGTCATGTGACAATATCGCTGAGCAAGTGTTGGCTCAACTGCCTGGGCACAACTCTGAGTGCAGATTCGGCCTGAGTTTCTGACAAGGTGATGGCAATGGCAGAAAGGCTCAGAGCTACAGCAAGTCCAGCTAAATGCCAGAGTCCTTGAGACAGAGGGTGTGAGGAGGCTTCCTCGGACACGGTCACTGCCACGGCACTGGGTGAGTTGCCTTGCTGTCACACACAGTGCAGAGCTGCGATAGCCAGGCCCGGCTTGAGTCAGAAATTGGACGCTGCACTGTCTTTGCCACCCCTTGACCCCAGAAAGGGAGCTGCTTGGGAACACCATGGAGGGAGGTTGGGCCTCACATCACTGCTGGCCTCTCTGTACCATGGGGAGTGTTTTACAAGAGCCAGGAGGGCCCTGTGCTCTCCAGCAAGGCAGGAACCTGCAAGGGGGTGGCCACACTGCACCCCAACTGGATGGCCCATGGGGAGTTTCACTGGAGCGCCAAGAACAGCAAACAGGATAGGCCAGAGCGAGGTGCCAACTAAGGTCTGCATTGTCAGTAGCTGAAGACACATGCACCCAACTCTAGAACCTCCCCACCACATGGAGGATGTAAAGGGATCTTTAGGAGGATTTCCTTGGAGAGAGTGGCTTGGGGGTGGTGGGGGTGGCTACATGGCCACCCCCCATCACAGTCCCAGCACAACTGTTTCAAGGCAATACATTGAGGACACCTGGTGTGTGTCCCCTCTGGTTAGGGACCTGGTGGACTGTGGTCAGGGCCCCACCAAGGAACACTAGAGGATGGAAGATGGGCTGGCCTTGCTTTGGGGGCAGAGCAAAGGACAGGTGCTGCAGCCCTGAGAACCGTCTGCACACCCACAGTTTGCTTGCCGGCGTGTTTCCCGTGGGCCCCATGTGGGCACAGGTCAGAGTGCATGGGAGCCTCAGATCATGTTTAAGAGGTGGCAACTAGCAGGACCTCAGAGGTGAGGCTGCAGCCAGATCTTCAGACTCCCACGGGGCCGAGGAGATGACATGGCCACCAGAATCCAGCGCAGCAGAAGGGCTCTTCAGGGGAGGATAGCTGGAGATGGCAGGCTGGGGTAAGAGTAGAAGAATTCAAATAAGGTCCCCATGGAGACAGAGAGAGAGAGAGTCTCCTTGAAACCTCTGCAGGGAGTGTGACGCAGCTCACACCAGGACCAACTCAGTAAGAACCTTCCTGTTTCTCTTACCCCTCCCCTCCCTGCCAGCCCTCGAGGGGAATGGCTGCAACTTTGAATGGAGTTAGAAGCTTTGACTGTCACATGGGACTGGCTGTTCTAATTATTTAGCTTTTGCACACTGTTTTGCCACTGTGGAGACTAATGTACTTTCAACTACTTTGGAGTGATGGAAAAGTCAAGAGTTGGCTAGAGTTTTCATTCTGGGCAGGGGAGGGATTTCCCTCAGTGAAATAACTGTGAAGGGAGAGGAGGAGAGAAACTCAAGTTCCCTGTGATCTCATCCTGTGATCATGCCACAGTCTTCAAACGTCCTTCACGTTCAAGGATGAGGCTCTGCCCCAGCTTCGAGGACATCCCCTCTGCCCATCTCAGGGGACTTCACGGATCAAGTCACAAAGCAGAAATGCACTCAGAAGGGGCCAGGGTGGGGCTGCTCTCAACACACAGAGCCCTAGAGAATGCTGCAGGCTTCCCCAGTAGCTGCAGGGAGTACCATCTTTAGGAGGGAAAGGAAACTCTTTTCTGGCCACATCTTCTCTACTCTCCACTGCTGGTGAAATCCTGGCTAGGCCTCTTCTGCATTTCTTGTTGGGCAACTGGGCACCCTCCAAATCACCAAACCAATGGCTGGCATCTTTACGTAAGTGCAGTGAAGAAGACATGAAGGAAATGACTCCAGGAGCTCCAGGCTGTGCAGGCGTTTCCTAGGGCCTGGTGGGCTGAGCCACTCTTGGGTGACTGCAGCCTTGAGCCCGGCGCCCTGTCTGATTGATTCCCCATCACCCATGTTGACAAGGCATTCTCGTCATGCCTGTTCTACATGAATACGTTTGAAAAGGAGACAGAGTCCCAGAACTGGATGCTAGATTGCATGTCTGAGCTCCTCTGGGACCACCTCATTAAGATCACCAAAAGGTGTGGTCCAGTCATCTGCACCCTCTGTGCGCTCAGGTGATCTTGGGGTCCACCCCTTGGGAGGTGACCCTGTGCTGGGCAGTCTGAGCAGGAGGGTGGACTGACCTCAGGTGTCAAGAAGGCACGGGTCTGCCACCACCTGCCCCAGAAAACCCTGCAGAGAAGTCTCTGGAACTGACGCGCTGACTGAGGCAAGATGAGGAGCATCTAGAAGTCCAGAAGGCCCTAAATGCTCTGAGAGGCTGGCAGGCAGCCAGGGAGGTAACTGAGCACCAAGGCATCGAGCTACTCACAACCCAAGATTCCCAGGAGCCAGAATCCACCCATGTTCCTGCCCCACAGGAGGATAAACACGCAAAGCTCCCTCACTTCTGTCACAGGTCAGCTGGGGCACCCAGCAGGGCCTTGACTGCCTGGGGGTCTCTGGGGCTTACCCTCACCTGTGGTTCCTTCTGGGATCTCCGTGTGGGGCTGCGCGGCAGCCTGCTTGCCGGGAGCTCCCTCATCCACTAAGGGTGCTGTCACATCTAGAAACCACCGAGATCCACCTTAGAGGGGCCAGGACGAGCCATACCCAGCCCCTCACCTTTGCTTCTTGCGCAGGAGCAATGCAGGGAGGAGGAGTGAGGAGGGGATCAGCCATATGCCAGAAAGCAGCCCTGAAGTAGGGCCCGGAGCCCCTGCTACCAGCTCCCCAGGAAGCACACTGACATGCTGCTGAGTGGTTCTGGCTCATGAACCGCCCAGCTCATCCACCAGGAAAGCCCGGCAGCCCTGTGTAAACGCTGCAGTGAAACAGACTGCTGGGCATGGCCCCAGGCATTTTAAAAGAAGAAATACTGAAAACCAGATGATTGCTTACAACTATTTGATTCTTAAGACAGCACAGGGACTCTGGGGTTAGTGCGGGGGCCTATGGTTTTGCTGTGAGGCTTTGGGCAAGTCCTTGGTCCATTTTGATTGGACGGTTTCCTCATCTGCAAAATGGCAGTGTCATCTCTAGGTGACTTCCAAGACTTCTCCCAGCTCTAACCCCTAAATCCAAGCCCATGACCCACAATTCAAAAGTGCAGAGTCCCTTGCATGGCAATAAATAGGTCCGCTCCTGTCCAGAGTCAGGCATTTGACTGTTGGATGGGTCCACCTTCACAGCAGAGGCAGGAGGGAAAGCTCGGCTACCAGGAGCTGCTGTCAGTCTCTCATCAGGTAAATGCTTCCAAATCAGCGTCCCTCCCGAGCAATGCCCTGGCACACTCCCAGGCCTTTCCGGGTACACATAAGGAGTTGTCAGCTTTGAAGGCTTTCCAAGTTCAATGAAGGACATTTTAATTATGGTTGTCTTGGGTGCAGGCGGAGCAACCAGGCAAGATCCCAGCCCCAGCAGTGTTCCCTCCACCAGGGGTGGGAGCCAATGCTCTTGAGTCTCATGCCTGCACAGGGTCCAGAGGGGATTGCGACTTGTTTGGGAGATTCTTCCAGAATCCTGTTGAGGGAGCACTGAGAGTCAAGGCTTGGGAAGCTGGCATGAGGTCTGGCATCGTTTTGTAGACTTTCTCAGGATGGCAGGCAACTTGTAAAACCGTCCCGACAAGATGAGCAGGAAGTGTCTTGCATCACTGGCTCTAAGAAGGAGCCAAGAGAATCTGATCTGGATATTCTCATGAGGCTAAGAACCTCAGCGGCAAGGCCCATGCCTGCTGCGTCCTCTAAAGCTGTAGCATTATACCAAGCAAGAGGCGGGCACTTGACAGCCATTTTCCAAATTAATCCAAAGGTGGATGCTTGGGGAGACACTTGGGCCAGTTTTTCACCCCAAGACACAAGATCCAAATGAACGTGCAGAGCCTGAAGAAGTACTGAGAAAGGAACCTTGAAACTCCATGGGGAGGATGGAAAGATAGAGGGGCAGATACTGCCAACTAGTGACTCAAAAGCCACTATTAACGTTCTTCCCCCTTGGTTTATTCTGCTAAAGAGGTTGGACGGCAAAATGCTCAATGTCCCAGCCTTGCTCGCAGCAAGGGGTGGCCGTAAGACCCAGCTCTGGCCAATGAGACATAAGCAGAAGATTGCCACTTGCAAGAAAACTCCTGCTTTCCTAAGGGGACACATTTAGTTTCAGGGCCCTTTTGGCCACTTTACTTTGCAACTTGTTCCTGCTTCAAAGGCAGATGTGATGCCTGGAAGTGCAGCAGCCACTTTGTAACCATGAGGCAACAATCCAACCACTAAAGATGACAGAAAATAAAGACAGGAGAGCATCAATGACCCTTGAGGTGCTGGCCAAGTCTAGACATCTGATTATGTGAGAAAAGTAAACCTCTTCATGTAAATGCCACAGTTAGTTGGGGTTTCTGTTTCTTACAGCCAAATGCAGTCTTGACTGACACAGATGGGAAGCAAGAGAAGATGGTCAAAATCAGGACTGAGGAGCATGTCAGAAAGTATGCGAGGTGCTAATAACCTAGATGCCGAGTGTCTGGAAAGGACAGGTTAGGAGAAGGGCTGGAACAAACACCGTGGCCAAAGTCCAGAGGCCCAGGCCACACCCAGAGCCCCCAAAATGAAGGATACTAAACCAAGATCAGATGTCCACTGACCTGCCCCTTCCCTCAGCCAAATGGCTGCTCTGGGACCTACTGGCCCCTGAAGAAAGAGAGAGGAGGGGGCTTTTGAAGGGGGTGTGGGAGGACAATCGTATGGAGCGGGGCTTTGTGGAGCTGTGCGCGGGACTGTCCAAGGGTGGCTGCCTCCAGAGCACACACGGGATGAAGGTGCCCACACTCAGCACCAGCAAGCAAGGCATCGACGCAAGGCTCAGCTCCCACCACGCTGTCCTGCAAAGCACCGAAGGAGTGAGCACATCTCTCAGCCAGGGGGAGCAGCAGATGCAGCCAGGAGGGAGGCTCAAAGCACGGCTAAGCACAGGCTGGAGGCATGGAGGGGGCGTCTGAAGGGGGGCCCACCTTCCGCTGTTGGAGTGCTCTTAGCATCAGAGGTTTCAGAGCCCGGTTCCTCAGATCCGTCCTCAGTGGGGGTCTGCAGGGGAGATTCTGGAACACATACAGTGAGCCCTCAGAACGGTGGCCTCTCCCCAGCGCCCCCTTTTGTTCTCAGGAGGAACTGGGGAGCAGTGTCCTGTGGAGCTGAAAATCGCTCCCTGTGGAAACAGCTGGAACACGGCCTCGCAACAAACCCACAAAGGGGACCAACCCCACCTCCCTCCCTGCCAACACGACTGTGCCCCACACCAGGGCCATCAGATGAGGACACAGGTGATGTGCGTTTGCTCCTGGGTGAAAGGACAAAGTGCCTCTTAACCAGCTAGTGGTGCCACCTGAGGCAAAGGTTTATCTTCCATTGGTCAACGGGCAGCAAATACCAGAAAGCCGAGCTACGCATGAACCTTCTGCTTTGTCATTGCTATTAATTAACAACAAGTAGACACCTGGAAAAACACTCAGCGATCCAACCCCTTCCTTGGAAAAGGAGTCAGCTCAGGGCAGACACGGTGCTTACTTCTAAGTGGACATTGGGTGGTGTTTGGACGCCACCAAGCTCCTTTCATAGAAAGACCTCCAAGGACTGATGGACAAGCTGTGAGTTACATTTGAAATGGCAGCCATGTGTACCTACAATAAAACTGTCCTTTCAGAATGGGAAGCCTGGGCAAGAGAGGCCCAAATGATCACAGTGGTTGACAGTCACGCCCTCCACCAAGAATGTCCTTAGTAAGGCAGCTTTTGTTGCCTTAATAGAAATGAGAAAACTACCTCCTCCTCCTCCTAGAAGGGCTGAATTGTCCCTTCCCTGTGGCACTTTGGCCACTGGGAGTCAATCTGCCCTGGTTATTTTATGGGCTTATCAATGCATCATGCAGTATCCAGGGCTGAGCAGGTCAAGGCCTTACACTCTGGAAGGTTGAGAATTCTTGAGAGCCCAATGTATACAGAGCTGAGTGCTAGGTACTGGGAAGGGACAAAATGCTCAGAAGATACAGCCTGTGCTCTGGGAGCACACACTCTCCTGAGGGAGGAAGGATGGCCACACAGAGCAAAAGACTCCAGGGCAGGCCCATGGCCAGCCGATAGGGTCCTCCTGGAGATGCCCCACCAGGAAGCAGGAGTTACAGGCTAGAGAGCATGGGACCAAGGGGCAAGATGGCTGGGTTCAAGTCCCAGTTCCACTTCTTTCTGGTCAGGTGGCCTTGGACCTGCCTCTCAGGGCCTCCGTTTCCTCATCTGTAAAATGCGTGAGATGACCTCAACTCTACCTGCCTCCTCCTAGAGCTCCTGGGAGAATCCCATGAGTGAATGTTGGTAAAAGCACCTTCAAATCATGAGGATTTATACATGTGGATCTAGTTCTCATCCATGTAAAGGAGGCAAATGTTTATGGGGGCAGCCCTGGGCTTCCCTTCAGTTCTGCCCCACCTGGGCTGTCCACAGGGGACCATCGTGGTAAATCATGGCTCATACCATGATGGGTGGACGGACGGATGGATGGATGAATGGGTGGATGGATGGATGGATGATTGGATGAATGTATTATTGGATAGATGACTGGATGGTGGGTGAATTACTGAATGATTAGATGGATGTATAATTGATGTATAATTATATGGATGGATATATGAATTAATAATTTATTAGGTGGGTGTATGAATGTGTAATTGGATGGAGGTATAATTGGATGTAGAATTATATGGATGTGTGTATGTATAATTGAATGATTAGATGCATGTATGAATGTATAACTGGATGGATGTGTAATTGGATATATGACTGGATGGTTACATGGATGGATGGATGGATGGATGGATGGATGGGTGGATAGATGAATGGATGGATGGATGGATGGATGGGTGGATAGATGAATGGATGGATGGATGGATGGGTGATGTGTAGATGATTCGATGTATGTATGATTGATTGGATGAAGATATGGGTGGATGGATGGATGGATGGATGAATGGATGATGTATAGATGATATATGTATGATCAAATGGATAATGGGATGGATGGAGGAAGGCATGATGCATCACTGGATGAATCGATGGAAGAATGAATGATGTACAGATGTATGGTTAGATGTATGTCTGATGGATGAATGATGGATGGACGGAAGGACGGAGGGATAAAGCATAGATGGATGAGCTGGTGATGTGCAGATGTATGATTGGACATATGTATGATTGGATGGTGATCGGAAGGATGAAGGAAGGGATGGGGGAGGATGGATGAAGGAGGATGGATGAACCGAGGGAAGAATGGATTATGTACAGATATTGATGGATGGCTGATAGGAAGGATGAAGGAAGGGATGGGTGGAGGATGGATGAATGGACGGATGGATGAACCGAGGGAAGAATGGATTATGTACAGATATATGATGGATGTATGTATAATTGGATGGATGATGGGATGGATGAAGGGATGGATGGATGGATGGATGGGTGGGTGGGTGGTGTATAGATGACTGGATGTATGCATGATTGGGTGGAGGGAGGAAGATATGGGTGGATGGATGGGTGGATAGATGGATGGATGTGATGGTAACATGTAAAGCTTCCATCAGAATTTCTGAATTCTTTGCCAGTACCTCTTAGTCATCTTCCCTCAGCTCCTCCTGTGCCTGGCACTGCATGCCCAGAAAAGCCTCTCCAGTCTTCCCAGTGGTGTCTCAGCCATCAGATCAATGGTTCCTCAGCTCTCAGCTCAGTGAATTCACTCCCCTCTGTATGACAGAAATTCCTTACTCTTCATGCACATGGTGGCTGAATGGGTTTCCTCTGCTGTCTAATTGTCCTATTCATGGCTTAGACTCAACTCTGGAAGACTGGAAGATAGAGCCTCTAGAGAGTCAGGCAGATGGGGCCCAAATCCTGGCTCCACCACCTATTGGTTGTGTGAGGCTGAGCGAATTACCTAACCTCTCTCTGCCTCAGTTTTCTCCCCTGTATAATGGGCATAGTAGTAGCTCCACTGGCTCACAGGGCTTCTGTCAGCATGAAATTGTTGAATGCTTATTTAAAGCACTTTGTACCATGCCTGGCAGATGAGACGTCCCCAATAAGTGGCAGTGATTATTTTCAGTCATTATCATGTCACCTTGGTTGAAGGGCCCAGTGTAGCACTGCTCATGCTCACCAGCAGGAACTTGAGTATTTTATTTTATTTAGTGCCAATGGTGGTGATGCAGATATGGAATTGACTGGGAATCCTGGAGGGCCCCTAGCAGATAGCTGACATTGTACCAGATGGACAAAGTGGCTCTGGTCATATGAGGAAAAGTCAAGCATCACGTTGTAGTCACATACCCCGTCAAGCACATGGGGACTTTTAGTCTGGAAATTGCAAACACTCCCTCTGTGGCACAGACTGCTGAGGGTCCACCTGGTGTCCATTCTCTCTACCCTCCTTGGGAACAGAGCCCTGATATGATAGAGGACAGAGCTGTGCCCAGTTAAAAGGCCACATCTTCCAGCCTCCTGGGCAGACAGGGGTGGCTGATAAGAAGCTAAGGGAAGTCATTGGATAGGAAGTCCAGGAAAATGTCTGGATGGGAGGAGCTCAGCTGAGAGGGTCTCCCTTTGTGCCCAGCTCCCCTTCCTCCTTTTCCAGGGGCCTTTCTGAACATGAGACATCTTGAACATGGAAGTCACATGCTCAGAATGGTGGGGTTTTTTTTTGTTGTTTTTTGTTTTGTTTTGTTTTTCTGGCTGTATGAAAAGATCATTGTCAGTTCACTGGCTGTGCAAAACAGGCTGGGTACCAGAATTGGCTTGTGGGTTATAGTTTGTGGCGCGCTGCTTTAAGGAATGGCTCTGGGGCCTCAGTGGGGGACAGGATGAAGGGCGGAGGGTGTAAAGGTCTCATGGCTGCTGTTGCAAAACCAAGGTTTGTGGTGAGGAGATCTGTGTCGGATGGAATGGAGGTGAGGTCCCTGGGTGCTGTGGAGGGTTGTGGGAGGAACTGGCCAGGGTCATGATGGACAAGCTGATGGTGGTATCACCAACAGCAGTAGAGAAACCAGGAATGGCCCAGGATGGGGGAGCACAGAATTTGGTTTTTACTTGTTAGGTTTTGGGTGTGGCTTGGGCATTCAGTGGAGTTGTCCCTTGGGCGACAGGAAGGCTCTGTTGAACTCCGAGAAAGGCACTCCACCTGGGGCGGGAGTAATTTAGAGTCAGTTTCAGGATGGGGCTGGTTCTGTGCATGAAGCAGAATGAGAAGATGAAAAAAAGGCAAGTGGAGTTCCACTGTGAGATCAGACACCTCATGCCCTTTGTTAAAACACTGTCCCTGGACACCTGGCCCTGGCTGCACCCATCCCACAAAGAACAGCTAATCCTGAACAAGCTTCCAGCATGAACATAGCTCCTTGGTCCTGGAGCTTTTGCAAAAGCCTGCAAACTGCCGCAAGAAGGCTTTGGACAAATGGAGAGGCAGCATCACGCAGACTTCTGGGTTTTGTTATTTTTCAGCAGCCTTGACTGCCAGGGCACAGGGACATCTATATGGGCATGATGGTCCCCCTTTCCCCAATCTGTCCCCAGCTTGAGCCCTACAGTCCTTATCATTTGCATTGGTCTCCTTGTTAAATCCCTTGGAAGTAGTGAAGGAGGAAGAAGCCCCATTTGCATGTCTTATCTGGAAGGCATAACAAGTTAACTCATCAACACCTTTTAATTCATTAGGGTGCACTAGTTTATAGGTAACCAACTTTCATCTACTTTTCAGCTCTCTTGGGCAGGTATCCAGCCATATTTCAACTCTTAGCATCCACTTAGACACTCTTTGTTCTGGCATTTAACGTGTAGTTTCTTGTCTTCTGTCACTTATTTAAAATGTTGTTAGTAAAGTGACACCTTCTGCCAAGTCAAACCTGTCACACCCGACATCAAAACAGCTCCTTGTAAGCTTTCAGTAGCAAGAATTAATTTGATGAGGATTATGAACACCTTAAGTATTACTTGCTTTCTTGGAAAGTATATTCTTTGGGTAAGCAAATTATCTTGAAATGCTTTCCTTTCAGAGCAATTTCTAAAAGGTTGGCAATTTAGATTTTGCATTTTTATATACAGTATATATAGTGCATATATATATACACACACATATGTTTTGGCATAGAACTTCTGATCATGTTTTATGTGAAAGCTTTGAATAGTTTTAGCAAACATATTTTAGGCAACTCAAACACTAACTTGGTGAACTTGTCCTCACTTTACACATTAAATTTAGTTTTCTCTTCAGAAAATAAGAGTGGTAAAACCTACTTCTTTCCTGGACTTTATTTCATTTTTGTTTTTTGAGACAGGGTCTTGCTCTGTTGCCCAGGTTGGAGTGCAGTGGTACAATCACAGCTCACTGCAGCCTCAAACTCCTGGGCTCAGATGATTCTCCCACCTCAGCCCCGCAAGTAGCTGGGACTACAGGAATGCGCCACCACACCTGGCTAATTTTTGTGATTTTTTTTAGAGACAGGATTTCACCATGTTGCCCAGGCTTGTCTCAAACTCCTGGGCTCAAGCAATCCACCTGCCTCAGCCTTCCGAAGTGCTGGGATTATAGGCATTAGCTACCGTACCTGGTCTCCTGGAGTTAATTTTAAACGAACTTGTTATTTTGGAACAGTTTTAGATTTACAGAAAACTTGTGAAGTTAGTACAGACAGTATACCCCACATCCAGTTCCCTTGTTGTGAACATCTTACAGGATCATGGTACATTTGTTGCAGCATAATACATATTTTAAACTGACTCTAAGCCAGGCTGCCCTGCCTCTAAATAGAATGTCATTTTTCACTGGCACAATCCATATGAGGCACATGTTGTGATTCTAACTTGGATTCCACCCAAGAGAGCTTAATAACTGAAGTTCCAAGGGAGCTTGGTGGAAAGAGTGACAAGGGGGAAATATGGTCCATGTGGGGCTGCAGCCATGGACCTGCTCTGGCAGCCCACGGTCTGAGCATGAGGCTCCTTTGTCATCTGTGAAGCGGACGTCATCCACCCTCACGGGCTGTTGTGAGCATCACCTGCTGCCAACAGTAGAGTGCTACAAAAATGTCCCAATTAGCATTCTGAGGTAGATCCCTTATAAGTAGAGTGGCATTTACTATCACCCAAATCAGGACACTTGAAAGAGAAAGCAGCACTATTTTTTTTTTTTTGAGAAGGAGTTGACTGGGCACGGTGGCTCATGCCTGCAATCCCAGCACTTTGGGAGGCTGAGGTGGGCGGATTACCTGAGGTCAGGAGTCCCAGACGAGCCTGGCCAACAGGGTGAAACCCCGTCTCTTCTAAAAATACAAGAACTGGCCGGGCGTGGTGGTAGGCGCCTGTAATCCTAGCTACTTGGGAGGCTGAGGCAGGAGAATCGCTTGCACCCGGGAGGCGCAGGTTGCGGTGAGCCGAGATGGCGCCACTACACTCCAGCCTGGGCGACAGAGCAAAACTCCTTTTTTTTTAGGACGGAGTCTCGCTCTGTCACCCAGGCTGGAGTGCAGTGGCACGATCTTGGCTCACTGCAACCTCTGCTTCCCAGATTCAAGTGATTCTCCTGCCTCAGCCTCCCAAGTAGCTGGGACTACAGGCACCCACCACCACACCTGGTTAATTTTTGTATTTTTAGTAGAGACGAGGTTTCACCATGTTGGCCAGGCTGGTCTCGAACTCCTGACCTTGTGATCTGCCCACCTTAGCCTCCCAAAGTGCTGGGATTACAGGTGTGAGCCACCGCGCCCGGCTGAAAGCAGCACTATTAATCATGATGCAGAACAGATGCGCTGGGATAGGCTGGGACACCCACACCCCAGTCCCAGGCACCTGGTGAGAGAACTCTTCATCTCTCTTTGTCAGGAAAAGAGGCAAAATCTGGCCCCCAATCCCAGTTTCCCCCAGCAGCACCAACTGCCAGGGGGGCAGCTGGGAGAAAGTGGTTTCAACAGGCTAACCTTCGGGGTTGAGGTCTTGGGGGCTACCACCCCTCACTTCACACATCCTGAGCACCAGGGTGGGGCAGGGACAGGGTAGGCAGTGTTGTGGGATGGAGAGGAGGGAGGGACGAGAAACAGCAGAGAAAGAAAAAGATGGAGTGGGGAGAGAAGGAGAGGGAAAGCGGGAGTGGGGGAAGTGGGAGAGGAGGTGGAAAAATTCAGTGGAGGGGGACACAGTGAGGAAGGGACTGAGAAGGATTTATTTATTATTATTATTATTTGACATGGGGGTCTCTGTCGCCCAGGCTGGAGTGCAGTGGTGGGATCTTGGCTCACGGCAACCTCCGCCTCCTGGGCTCAAGTGATCCTCCTGCCTCTGCCTCTTGAGTAGCTGGGACTATAGGTGCATGCCACTATGCCCGGATAATTTTTAAAATTATTATCTGTAGAGACGAGGTCTCACTATGTTGCCCAGGCTGGTCTGGAACTCCTGGGCTCAAGCAATCCTCCTGCCGCAGCCTCCCAAAGTGCTGGGATTACAGGCGTGAGCCACCGCACCCGGCCTCTAAGAAGGATTCAAAGGAGAAAACAGGGGGTGGGGGGAGGGGGGAGGGATAGCATTAGGAGATATACCTAATGTAAATGACAAGTTGATGGGTGCAGCACACCAACATGGCACATGTATACATATGTAACAAACCTGCACGTTGTGCACATGTACCCTAGAACTTAAAGTATAATAAAACAAAACAAAACAAAAAAAAACAAAACAAAGGAGAAAACAGATCTCCTGGCTTGGAGCCTCTCAGGTGCCCTCCCTGGGGAGCTGAATCTGGCAGCACTGGCTGGAGCAGTCAGAAAGCACATTTCCATCTTGCCATCACCACGTGATGGCTGACCTCAGGCAGGGAGGCTGGGCCGAGCTGCATTCCCCGGTCCCTCTCACCTCCTCACCCAGAGCTTCTGGAACACCTCTGAGCAGCCCCTGCTCCCCCAATACGCCCATGTCTTCCTTCACCTACCCCCAACCCACCTGCACCCACTTTCCTAATTCCCAAATTCCTCATAATCCAATATCTTCGCTGATTCAACAGATAGAAATCTGAAACGTGCCTCCCAACCAGTCCTGGAACCTCTCCAAGCTGGGATGGCCACTCCCTGTGCGAGAAAGCTGGTGGTCCCAGCTTCCCACACTCAGGGGACCTCCCAGAGACCCCACCCACTCCAGCAATCTTCCTGAATAGACATATCCAGCAGAGGTCACTTCCCACCTCACAACTCCACGGCTTCCATGCACTACCCATACCCTGGGCTGCAAGGTGTTTTCTTATTTTTAGCATTAAAAGAGAAAAGTAGAGTGTTTGCCATTTTGCCTCCTTAGAAATGGGTATGGAGGCAGGGACTGAGTCCATCCTGCCCTCGGGCTGCACTGTGGGCTGTTGCTGTGAGCACTCACTGCCAGCCACACCCATGGAAAGAAGGGCTCCTTGTAGCACAACCCAGCGTGGAGACAGCCTCGACCAACCTTGAGACAACCTCAGACAACTTGGTCCAACCCTTGGACCAACCTGGCACTCCAGCAGTGGGTGAAGGGCCAGCATGGGAAGGCAGAGGGAGGGCTGTGTGCTCTGTGGGGTCCCCAACCATGTGGTCTGACAGTGAAATGAAACACATTTCATTTGGAAAGAGAGAGGAAGAGGCGAAGTCAATTTGGCCAAAAGATGGTATTATAGAATGTTTAGAAGTCGATGTTGTTTATTAATGTGGCTACAGTAAGAATCCCAGGGCTAACCAACTCTTGCTAAAGAGAGGCCACTCAGGCCTGATCTAAGTAAGAGATAAAAAGCAATGTTTAAAGTCACATATTTTACATGCTAATCAATACCACTGATTTATAAGCTAACAGGTGTGGCTAATGCCTCAAAAAGTACCCTGTATTTGAGAGATTGTTAAGGCCCTAAAATCTCTGTCCCTACATTCACTCATGTGGGTAACTCAAGGTAAATTTCTTTCTTTCTTTTTTCTTTTCTTTTTTTTTTGACAGGGTCTTGCTCTGTTGCTCAGGCTGGAGTGCAGTTTTATAATCACAGCTTACTGCAACCTTGAACTCCTGGGCTCAAGTGATCCTTCTGCCTCAGCATCCTGAGTAGCTAGGACTATAGACATGCACCACAACACCTGGCTAATTTTTAAATTATTTTAGAGACGGGGTCTTGCTATGTTGCCCAGGCCGGTCTCAAATTCCTGGCCTCAAGGGATCCTCCTGCCTGGGCCTTCCAAAGTGCTGGGATTACAGGCGTGAGCCACCGTGTCTGGCCATTATCTCACTGCTTGAGTTATCTTGGCCCACTCAAATTAATGAGGCTTTACTTTACTGACAGTCTAAGACAATAATGTATTTAAAATTTCTTTGCAATTCTGGATGCAAACTGTTCCCGCCACCCCTTGGCTTGCAGTGATCTGGGCCTGCTGTGCATGGCTGTCCACTAACCTTTCAGGCCAGCGTCCGTGTCACCCTCTTGGTCTTGGTGCATGGTGTAGCCCCCCTGATCTTTCCTGTCCCCCAACCCGTACGTCCCAGCGTGATCTTCCATCACTTCGAACTCCTGGCGGGGCTCAGCCATCCTGGTTCAAAGTTCACCTGGGGAAAGAAGAGGAGAGGATAAGTTCTGAGGAGTGTTGGGGGGCAGAGTGGGGGTGAAGAGAGAGAGGAGCCTCTCCTCCCAGTTCATGGCAGGCAGATCTCAGCCTCCCTGCTACCCTCTCTAACAGTTGGCCGCCCATCCTCATCCCGTGCTCCATATTCCTGCCCAAGCGTTATTTACATCTATCTGCTTGCTTAATTTACCAACACCGCAGCAGTTCATATTCAACACCACCAGGTGACGGCCAGGCATGGTGGCTCACGCCTGTGATCTCAGCACTTTGGGAGGCCGAGGTGGGTGGATCACCTGAGGTCAGGAGATCGAGACCAGCCTGGCCAACATGGTAAAACCCCATCTCTACTAAAAATACAATAATTAGCCAGGCATGTGGCAGGTGCCTGTAATCCCAGCTACTGGGGAGGCTGAGGCAGGAGAATCAATTGAACCTGGCAGGTGGAGGTTGCAGTGAGCTGAGATTACACCACTGCACTCCAGCCTGGGTGACAGGGTGAAACTCTGTCTCAAAACAAAAAAAAAAAAACAAAACAAATAAACCCACCAGGTGAGGCAGGTGAGGTGGGCCCGACTTGTTATTCCCAGCTCTCTTTCCACTTCATTAAAAAAATCAATGCTGCTGCCCAGCAGTTTGCTCTTTCTCTTTAACGGTGAGGGCACGACTGAACAGGAGAGGGACAGCATCAGCAGAGCCTGTCTGGTAAGGAAAGTGAGGCACGGAGAAGTGAAGAGATGGTTCAATCAGATGTCAACTGGCAGCAAAACCAACTCTTGACTCATCGGGGGTGTCCTGACTCCTCCAGCTCCGAGTTTGCTGGCTTCCTGGAGTCAGGCTGTGGCCCCCATTCACCACACCGGCACCCACCAGGTCCCCCACGTGTGTGTTCCAACGGTGGCTCTCCTGGTGGGCTGAGAAGCACCCCACAGGGCCCAGTAGGGGCATGAGGCTTGGGATCTGAAGAGCAACACACACCCTTCTTCCCCAAAAGCCCCAGCAGGGAGATGCCACTTCAGCTCAACAGAGCTGGATAGAAACCACCATTTACTCACACTTTGTCCTCATCTTTATTGTAAATTATTATTATTTTAAAAATAATTCATAACTTTGAATTTATGAACTTTTTTTTTTTTGAGATAGAGTCTCGCTTTGTTGCCCAGGCTGGAGTGCAGTGTCGCGATCTCTGCTCCCTGCAGCCCAGGTGAGCCAGCCAATTCGGGTTGCCCCATTCAACCTGCAGCTAAAGCTTTGTGAACACTAAGAAGTTTAATGAGCACAGTGGTTTTGTTCTTTGGATTTGATCTATTCCTTTCAATGACCAAGTTTCTTCTCTTGGAACATGGTGGACAGAGGTGTGAAAGTAAAAGTAAAAATCGGATGTGCTGGCTTTTCTTACACATTTGCATATTTTCATATTCGTAGCTCATGGCTATAGGAGGCCTGAATTTTTTTTTTTTTTGGCCCCTGTGAATAATCCAGGATAAATGCTTTGTGGGTTTTCTTTGGGGGAGTGGGGACGGGGGTCTCACTATGTTGCCCAGGCTGGTCTCAAACTCCTGGGCTAAAGTGATCCTCCCATATCCGCCTCTCAAAGTGTTGGGATTACAGGCATAAGCTGCCACCATGCCTGGCTCTATTCATATTTTGAGTAAAACAGTACTTTGCTATTTCTTGATGAGAAAAGTAATACAACCTTATTATAGAAAATGTATTTATACAAAGCAAGATGGGAAGAGAAAATCATCCCTCTGCCCAGAAACGATTACTGTTGACATCCTGCCATACCAGACTTTGACAATCATGGATTCAGCTTTTGGAATTTTGGTCCATCATAAGTGATGTGAAATTCCAGGACAGGCGGCACATGCCATCTGGCTGAGGAATAAATTTGAACCCCTCTTCCTCTATGGGGGCTGTACGGGAGTGAGGCACTCAGTAGGGAGTGAGCCCAATCCTCCTGGCTGCCCTGTCCCATCCTAAAACGGCTCTGCTGTTCTCAGTCCTCCAGGGCACACGGTGACTCTGATGAAGAGGCAAAAATGCCACTGCTTCGTGAAAAATGGCCTTGAAGCAAAAGAGAACATTCTGATCACATTTGAAAAGGCAGATACTTTGTGGCACCAGGGCTTGACTTCTAATGAATGTATAACAGAAAAGATCAGGCACTTGTGCAAATGTGTCTGTTTTCATGAATCCGCGGATTTACAAAGGTTTGGGAATGTATGTCAAGGATCTGTGATATTTCCTTCTAGCCTTTTATTCTATGCATTAAAAATATAGTTGCAATTATGCTACTTGCTTTTTTCACATAAGATTATAGCATGAGCATTTGTTGGTCACTAAAAGCCTTTGTAAACATCAGGGGCACTAACTACCAAATGTTCCTTTCCACATATGTACCATATTTTCCTAACCATCCCCTAATAGTTAGCACTGAAATGGCCTCAGATGTTCCAATATTACAAATAAAGTTGCATTAAATATCTTTTTGAAAAACTTTGTCCATAATTTTTTTTTTTTAGATGGAGTTTCACTCTTGTCACCCAGGCTGGAGTGCAGTGGTGCAATCTTGGCTCACTGAAACCTCCGCCTCCTTGCTTCAAGCGATTCTCCTGCCTCAGCCTCCCGAGTAGCTGGGATTACAGGCCCCAGCCACCATGCCTGGGTAATTTTTGCATTTTTAGTAGAGACAGGGTTTCACCAGACCTCAGGTGATCTGCCTGCCTCGGCCTCCCAAAGTTTAGGGATTACAGGCATGAGCCACCATGCCCGGCTGACTTTGTCCATAGAATTTTGAGAAGCATCACCAATTGCTTTTCAAACAAGATCGGGCTTGTTGAGGGTGTAGCGGCTGTAGACACCAATTGCTTCTCAGATGCAGTGCAAGTGGGTATGAAGTGTGAGTCTTGTCAACACTGAGTTAATCATACACCTAAATAAATGCCAAAAAATTTTTGTGCTTATAGATGAAAGATGATGTTTTACTAATGTAAACTATGAACTTGGGTGATAATGATATGTTAATGAGGATTCATTGGTTGTAACAAGTGTACCACTCTGGTGCAGGACGTTGGCAGTGGGGGAGGCTGTACGTGGAGGGCAGGGAACATACGGGAAGTCTCTGTACCTTCCACTCAGTTTCACTGTGAACCTAAAAGTGCTCTAAAAAACAGTCTATTAATGTTTTTTTAAATGATATCCTAGAGTTGTTTAAATATGTGATGTTTTAATTTTTTCTGGGACAGAGTCTCGCTCTGTAGCCCAGGCTGGACTGGAATGGTACGATCTCAGCTTACTGCAACCTCTGCCTCCCGTGTTCAAGCAATTCTCCTGTCTCAGCCTCCCGAGTAGCTGGGATCACAGGCATGTGCCACCACGCTTGGCGAATTTTTGTATTTTTTGTAGAGACGGGATTTCACCATGTTGGCCAAGCTGGTCTAGAACTCCTGATCTCAAGTGATCTGCCTGCCTCAGCCTCCCAGAGTGCTGGGATTAAAGGTGTGAGCCACTGCGCCTGGCCTGATGTTTTAATTACTAGTGAGATCAGCATTTTTCTCCTCTTTTTTTTTTTTTTTCTTTTAAGTCAGGGTCTCACTCTGTTGCTCCAGCTGGAGTGCAGCGGTGTGATCTTGGCTCACTGCAGACTCTACCTCCCGGGCTCAAGTGATCCACCCACCTCAGCCTCCTGAGTAGCTGGGACTACAGGCGTGTGCCATCACACCCGGCTAATATTTATGACTTTTGTAGAGGCAGGGTTTCACCATGTTGCTCAGGCTGGTGTTGGAACTCCTGGGATCAAGTGATCCGCCTGCTTCAGCCTTCCAAAGTGCTGGGATTACAGGCATGAGCCGCCGCGCCGACCCACTCTCATTCTTTTTGCTTGTCTGTTCAGGTCTCAGTGCTTATTCTAATGACTTGTGTGGGCTCTTAATTTATGAATAACATTAACCCTTGATCATATTTGTGGCAACTATCTTCTCCAGTTGGTTGCCTTTTATTTTGGTTTCTGATGGTTTTTGATGGGCAGGGTTTAAGTTTTATATAGTCAAATCTGTTTTCCTTTGTGATTTATTCCATTGCTCTATGGTATAGAAAGATCATCCATTTTCTTCTACATTTTTAGTGGTCTAATTTTTTATATTTATTAATTCATCTGGAATATTTTTAGGTTTAAGATGGAGTGAGGTTGAAAAGTTTCTCCCCAAATATAACAGCTAAAGTCAGTGGACCCAGGCCTATTTGTAGACCAATCTGCCCTCTTCCCCAGGTGAATGCACCATGCACTCTGTCCTGCTTATCTGTCAATTTTGCTAGAGCCTCCTGATTTAGCTTTGGATCTCAAGTCTTATTCTCTAGGTGGGCTTAGATATCATTTTCTTTTTCAAAATTATTTGACCTTCTTGTAAGTTTGTCTTCCAGATGTACTTTAGACATTTTTTTTTTTCCTGCAAATTCTCAAAGTTCCACTGGGATTTCGGCTGGAATTGTATTATAGGCCAAAACTATAAAAATTGCTCCCTTCATGATATTTAGTTTTCCCACCCAAGAGCACAGTATGTTTTTCCATTTTTTTCTGGTTTCTGAATCTCTCAGTTGGGGGCGGAATGTAGTCCCACACCCTTCTTGCCACGGCCACGTCTCCCTGGGCTTTATGTCGCTTTTGTGAATGGGCCTCTCCCCATCAACACGTGGATGATTAATTAACCAGGGCTCTGGGGCTCACAGCAGAGATGTGGCTGGGGCACCAATCATGGCTGGGGTGCCAGTGCTGGGGCTGCCACAGTGGCAGTGGTTCCATCAGAGGTTTTCAGGGAATGAACAGGAGAGCCATTTCCCAAGCCTCTTTTGATCAGACAGATGTGATTCCCTCAGTGGGAAACCTCTCTCCATGAACTTGTGAAAAGAAGCTGCTAGAGTTCGCCAACAGACATGTGAAAAAATGCTCATCATCACTGGCCATCAGAGAAATGCAAATCAAAACCACCATGAGATAACATCTCACACCAGTTAGAATGGCGATCATTAAAAAGTCAGGAAACAACAGCTGCTGGAGAGGATGTGGAGAAATAGGAACACTTTTACACTGTTGGTAGGACTGTAAACTAGTTCAACCATTGTGGAAGACAGTGTGGCGATTCCTCAGGGATCTAGAACTAGAAATACCATTTGACCCAGCCATCTCATTACTGGGTATATAACCAAAGGAATATAAATCATGCTGTTATAAAGACACATGCACACGTATGTTTATTGCGGCACTATTCACAATAGCAAAGACTTGGAACCAACCCAAATGTCCAACAATGATAGACTGGATTAAGAAAATGTGGCACATATACACCATGGAATACTATGCAGCCATAAAAAATGATGAGTTCATGTCCTTTGTAGGGACATGGATGAAGCTGGAAACCATCATTCTCAGCAAACTATCGCAAGGACAAAAAAACCAAACACAGCATGTTCTCACTCGTAGGTGGGAATTGAACAATGAGAACACTTGGACACAGGAAGGGGAACATCACACACTGGGGCCTGTTGTGGGGTGGGGGGAGTGGGGAGGGATAGCATTAGGAGATATACCTAATGTAAATGATGAATTAATGGGTGCAGCACACCAACATGGCACATGTATACATATGTAACAAACCTGCATGTTGTGCACATGTACCCTAGAACTTAAAGTATAATAATAAAAAATATATATATATATATATATATATAAAAGAACCTGCTAGAGTTCCAGATGAGTTTCACGTGATGAGCCCCATTTGCTCTGGTCTCTATGTTTGAGGTCAGTGGTCCCCAATGCAGTGGTTGCCTATATTCCAAATTCATGGGTTCTAGAGAGAGCAGCTCCCTTTGGAGAGAGCCTCTGAAGGAGCCTGGGAAGTGTGAGAAGCCAGGGACCCGCATGCTGGACAGCTCTCTGTGCTGTGTTCATCACCAAGTCCCAAAGCCCCCCGCGGTGCCCTGAAAAGACAGGCTGGTAGTGAGGAAAGTTCTCTTCCCTTAGTCACTGAGTCCTGCCAGCCCCAGCCCACTGCCCACACACTGCACCCCCATCCTTCAGCTCATTCCTTTGCACAGAGACAGAGCAGGTCAAAGGCACCATCTGGCCAGCCAGGCTTGACCTGGGCCTGGTCATGAGCACTAACTCTAAGTAGACCCTGGCCACTTAAAATGCGTCTCAGCCGTTCTCAATGGGCAAATTAGGCATACATTTAAATGGAAGGAGGCTAGGCCCCATGGCTCACACCTGTAATCCCAGCACTTTGGGAGGCCAAGGCAGGCAGATCACCTGAGGTCAGGAGCTCAAGACCAGCCTGGCCAACATAGGGAAACCCCGTCTCTACTAAAAACACAAAAATTAGCCGGGCATGGTGGAGTGTACCTGTAATCCCAGCTACTTGGGAAGCTGAGGCTGGAGAATCGCTTGAACCTAGGAGGCGGAGGTTGCAGTGAGCTGAGATTGCACCACTGCACTCCTGCCTGGGCAATAGAGTGAGACTCCTTTCAAAAAGGAAAAAGAAAAAAAAAAAAGGAAGGAGTGTTTGTGCCGTGTGAGCCGTTCTCCCCTCTGCCTTCTGTTGGATTCTCAGAGGTGGCTCCCAGCACGCCCATCTTAGATCTCACATGGGGCGGGGTTGCTTGTGTTGTGGCTGCCAACACCCCTTCTCTGCACATCGACACATCACCAAGTCTGTGGCGATGGGGTAAACCACTGGACACGCTGGCTGCTCCCCACTCACCTGTAGGTGGGTGAGGTGGCTGGCTTGGACTTTGTCCACAGGCAGCACCACAGAGGTGCCCTCGGTGAATTTGGCAGCAGCAGGCGGGGCCGATTGGATGGGTAGAGAGCAACTGTTCATAGGGAGCTGACTGCAGTGGTCCAAGCATGCAGTGAAAAGGCAGAGGTGATGGAAAGGAAGGAATGGAGCCAAGAAGTGTATTTGAGAAAATACTAGACTGGGCTTCAAAATCGGGTTGGGGTCAGGGAGAGGGATTAAAAGCTCGTATTATGCTAGAGGTGGGCTTGGACGGTTGGGAAATAGGGGATGGGGGTCACACAGTCAAAGGGAACACCCTCAGGAGGGAAGGCAGCTGGACAAGGGTGGGTTGTTTTTAGGAGAGCCGCTGCTTCAAAGAATCCTGCCCTCTCTTCCCCGTGACTGCGTTTTACTAACTGGTGACTCATTTGACTTAATGAGCTCTAGAAAATTTGTTCTACTATGCCCCTTGGCTTTCATTATAATTTTTTTTTGTTTTTGTTTTTGTTTTTGTTTTTGAGACGGAGTCTCGCTCTTTCGCCCAGGCTGGACTGCAAGTGGCACGATCTCGGCTCACTGCAAGCTCCACCTCCCGGGTTCAAGACATTCTCCTGCCTCAGCCTCCCGAGTAGCTGGGACTACAGGCGCCCGCCACTGTGCCCGGCTAATTTTTTTTTTGTATTTTTAGTAGAGACGGGGTTTCACCGTGTTAGCCAAGATGGTCTCGATCTCCTGGCCTCGTGATCCACCCACCTCAGCCTCCCAAAGTGCTGGGATTACAGGCGTGAGCCACCATGCCCGGCCAGCTTTCATTATAATTTTAAATTGATTCCTTTTTATATGGTTTTATTTATTTTACTTTGCATTATTTATTTATTTGGAGACAAGGTCTTGCTCTGTCGCCCAGGCTGAGGTGCAGTGGTGCCATCACAGCTCACTGCAGCCTCGACTTCCTGGGCTCAGGCGATCCTCCCACCTCAGTCTCCCGAGTGGCTAGGACCACAGGTGTGCACCACCATGCCTGGCTAATGTTTTGTATTTTTTGTAGAGATGGAGTCTTACTATGTTGCCCAGGCTGGTCATGAACTCCAGAGCTCAAGCGATCCGCCTGCCTCGGCCTCCCAAATTGCTGAGGTTAAGGTCAAGAGTCGGCACATTTTTTTCTGGAAAGGGCCAGATAGTAAATATTGTAAGGCTTTGTGGGCCACGTGGTCTCTGTTGTAACTGCTCAACGTAATTGTAGCGGGAAAGCAGCCATCGAGCATAAATAAATGAGCATGACTGTGTTCTGATAAAACACTATTTATAGATATTAGAATTTGAATTTCCCATAGCTTTCATGTGTCACAAAACATCATCTTATTTTATTTCATTTTTCAACCACTTAAAAATGTGAAAATCATTCTTAGCTCAAGGACAGTTTTGGCCCACGTGCCAGAGTTTTTAGACTCCTTCTTTAGGCTTCTCCAGTATTTCTTCGATCGAAAAAAAAGAAAAACTGTGAATCGGTCTTAGCAAGAATCATTGTATGTTCCGATCACCTCCTATATTCTCAGTGTGGAGTTCTGCTTTTCATGTTGGGTTTTCCTCAGCTGCTTCTAGAGGTTTCCATGGGTTCCAAGTCAGGAGCAGGAGAATCAAAGGTCATTCCCAGGACTCAGGGCAATGCGCCACTGTTTTGGAGGCTGGGGATGCTCGCTCAGGGTATTTCTCTGTTGGGCTGCCTCATTCAGCACCACAGAGCAGATGACAGGGCAATGAGTCTCACTGTCCTGGTTTCCAATAAAGATCCCTCCTTCCCCTCCCCCTCCACCATCCCTGCAGGGCTAGAGAGAGTCAGATGCACCAATAGAAGGCTGATGACCTACAGGGGCTGATGCAGAAATCAACTCATCCTTAAAATACAGGCTACTATTTACTATGCAAAATAAATAAACTGTGTGCCTCTCAAGGGTCAATATTTTCTTTTGGGGAAAAAAGTGGAATGCATGGGAAGAATCTCTAAGCAGGGAGGCTCAGCCTCCACCCTGATCCTGGGACAGGAAATGCTCGTAGGTTCATGGACCTTCTGATTAGACTCGGTTGCAAGAGTCACTGCACTGCATTGGCTGGGCTAGGTCAGCTGCCCCATGCTAATGCTTTGGGACCTACCTGCCATGTTAAGAAAGACAAGCCCATTTTCAGGAGCATCCTTGAGGCGCTACTTGACATAGGCAGAAAATAGGACCCAGAAAGATGTCCCTGGAGAGCAAAATGAAGTGACTCTTCTCAGTCTTACAACCAACACTGACTGAGCACAAGAACGACAGCTTCGCCAGGTAGGACTTGCAGGGTCACGCAGTGCCATAGCCCCAGGGCCTGGCAGCAGGTAGTGCTCACCCAGCACCTGCCAGAGAAGGGGCGCTTGCTCCATGCAGGTGCCTTGCAGGCATCTCTGTGACCCTTCAGGGCAATCCTTGAGGTAGGTGTCATCATCATCATCATCATCATCATCATCATCATCATAGGTGTTATGATTCCCAGGAGTCTGGGAAGTTACCTGCCCCAGGTCACACAGCCAGTAAGAGGCAGACAGAAATGCAAAGTGATGCTCCGCTGCCCCTCACTGCCCTTCCTTCATCCTGGACCATAAAACATCCCCCAACTTTTTACTTGAGATGTCAGGGTGCAGGTCTAGGGTATGGAAGAAGCAGTGGCCAGGTCTCACATCCAACAGCTGGGTAACCAAGCCACTTCTCTCAACCTTCAGGTTCTTTGCCGCCCAAACCATTTGGTGACCCCAGGGCTCCCTTCTTATGCTGACATTGTATTCTATGTGGGTCCATAGGCTGAGAAGCTGGGACCACAGGTATGCACCACCATGCCTGGCTAATTTTTTGTATTTTTTGTAGAGATGGGGTTTCACTATGTTGCCCAGGCTGGTCATGAACCCCAGGGCTCAAGCGATCCACCTGCCTTGGCCTCCCAAAGTGCTGGGATCACAGGTGTGAGCCACAGCACCCAGTCTAAATTTTTATTTTTTATGAACCTTTATTTTGTATGGGTTTTTCAATGAAGAAATACTCTACTTTAGCCTGTGTCTTCTAACTCAGGAGGCTGGGGCGGGGTAGTGATCAGTGACAGGACAGCAGGAGGCCTCCAGCCCAGGCCAGGTGAGAGGCAGGGGACCCTGGCATCCTAGCCAAGGACCTGGCTCCTTCCTTTCCCTCCCATCTCTGACCCCTGCTGCCCACCTCCTCCAGAAGGGCAGGATGATTTCTCTGGAAGAACTGGATAAAGGATATCTAAACCAACAGACAAATGGCGCAGCTGTGCCTCTTGGCCTGGGACTCCCATGCAAAGATAGTGAATTGAAAAACACATCAATAAGCATGCCCTTGAGGTGACTACGCAGCCTGGACCAGACGTGTCATCACCCACAGATCCCTGTAATCTAAGCGAGACACACAGACAGGAAAATACACTTGATCTTAGCCAAAAGGCCGAGAAGCGATACACAGACAGGAAAATAAACACACCAAGGCTGTTTTCCTCAGACCACTTGTTTTCTTCTTTTCTAAATCCATCAGCCTTCCTCCCTCTCTCTCTCTCTCCTCCTCTCTCTCTCTCTTCCTTTCTCCTTTCCTCAATCCTGTTTTCTCAGGCAGTGACTTAGATGCAGTGGGGTGGGAGGTAAGGAACACATTTTAGGGGAGGCACTAAAGTTGAGTGAAACCTGGACACTAAAATGGGACATTTTTTAGGGACCCTTGGAAAGGTATTGCCTCCTGAGTCCGTCCCTGTGGTTTTTTAGCTAAATTGAGGCCCGGGGGGCGGGGTGGGGGAAGGGGCTAGCTGAGTCACTGTTGGTGCCTTCTTCAGAATCACACCCTCCCAGTCTCAATTCATGCCTCGTAGGGAGACACTGGAGACACGGAAATCTGGAGGGTGGGGGCAGACAAAGAAAGGGAAAAGTGTCTGCAGGGTTGAGAGAGAGAGAGAGAGATGAGAACAAAGATAACAGTTCAGAGTAAAAGAAGAAGACGTCGGAGGGCGAGGGGGTGAGGCAGGGGAGGGATGAGCCATGGAATCGAATCATAAATCCAATCACTGCTGCCGCTACCCATAGGCTTTTCTCTTTTCAAACAACTGTTTTTGATTGACTTAAAATTCATGCAACGTAAAGAACGATTTAAAATGAATGATTCAGTGGCATTTAGTACATTCACAATGTTGTACAACTATCACCTCTATCTAGTTCCAAAACATTCTCACCAAACCCAGAAGAAAGGCTGGACCTCATAGACAGCTGCTCCCCCTTCTCCCCTTCGCCAGTCCCCAGCTGCTCATCTACTTTCTGTCACCATGGATGTATCTCTTCTGGATATTTCGTATAAGGGAAGTCACACAGCACGTGGCTTTTGGTGACTGGCTTCTTTCACTGTGAATCCAGATCTTGGCACGGCTCCGTGCTTCATTCCTTGGGTAATGGGAGGGATAGTCCACATTGGTTTATTCATTCATCCATTGATGGACACCACAGTCTTTTAATAAGTGAAAAGTGTGGAGCCGAGTGCGGTGGCTCACACCTGAAATCCCAGCACTTCCGGAGGCTCAGGCAGGCAGATCACTTGAGGCCAGGAGTTCGAGACCAGCCTGGCCAACATGGTGAAACCCCGTCTCTACTAAAAATACAAAAATTAGCTGGGCATAGTGGCACATATCTGTAATCTCAGCTACTCGGGAGGCTGAGGCATGAGAATCACTTGAACCCAGGAGGGAGAGGTTGCAGTGAGCCTAGATCATGCCACTGAACTCCAGCCTGGGTTAAGACTCTGTCTCAAAAAATACATAAATAAATAAATAAATAAAATTTTAAAAATTAAAAGTATGGGAACTAGACAATATGGACCTTTTTATTGTGACTTTTCTGACAACAATGGAGATGGGGTGGAGGGAGAAGGGTGTGTGTGCAGGAAGGGGAGTGCGTGGCCGAGGAAGGAGCCTGGCAGGGGCCCAGACAACCTTCACCTTCTTCCTCATTTTGCCAAGGCTGGGGCCTCCAAGAACCCCTAGGCCCTCAGGGACAGGGATGTGCAGGTGAGACCCTGGGTCCCTTTTGCTCCCAAAGAATAGAGTCTTTGCAGCAGAGTTCACATCTTCTGTGCAGCTTACCTGAAGGGACAGCTTTGGCTGTCCCCTGAGGTGTTGTGGGGTGGACGAGAAACCCCAGGCATCTCGCCCACCTCCAAGGTGACCCTGGGCATCACTGGGGAATGCTGCGTGCTGTTTGGAACATGTCTGCCATTTTCCTGGGCACCTGCCCATGACAGTGCATCCAGGCTCACTGTAACCTGTGAGGTGGGCAGGATGGCGACCCTAGGTGGGTAAAGGACCTGAGAGGTAGAAACTTGCCCAAGGCCACCGAGCCCCAGTGACCCAACTCCCCCCAACACACATCCCTGCCCTCAAGGCAGGATTCCCGACAGCTTTGCCCCTCTGCTCCCTACGTTGTCACCTCCTCCCCAAACAAATCTCTGCTTACAAAATCCAACTGGCTACTCTCTCAGGAGAACCTCCCTGGGGATTCTTAAAGCCCCAGCTTTTGCTCCTAGTCTGTCTAGCAGGTCTGTAGGTTTCCCACGATCTGGGGCTGTTTCTTGCTGCAAGGAGGTGATGACCAATCCGCCTTCCTCCACCTGCCACCATCCTTCCCATTCCTTCTAACTTTCTTACTCAAGGCAGTACAGTTTGGTAATGATAACTCAGGTTCTAGAAAGCTCCTTGGGCAAGGGAGGGGGACCAGTCAACATCCCTTGCCAGTTTTGGATTATTAATAACATGTTTATTTCAGCCCTCAGGATGAGCCACTCACAGGGGCTTCACAGAGAGGATCTCTGTAATGCTCACAACCACCCCGTGAGAAGGAATGATGAGGAAACTGAAGCTCAGAGACGTTCAGAAACCTTTTTAGGGTCACACAGCTAGTAAGCAGAGAGCAAGGCTTGAATTCTGATATTTTGATGCTAAAACCCATCTCTATGCTACTGTATCAAACGGGTGCCTTCCCAACAGAGCAACCCCTTTGGGAAAGGGGAGCTGACGTTCATTACCCAGGCCCTGCTGGAGTCAAGAGTCCAGGGGCTCAGGGGAAGCTCGAGTCGGGCTGGTCTCCTACACCGCGGGCGCATCAAGCTGGGGACCTGGACCGAGCTTCCAGTCTAAATCCGACGGCCGTGGAGCGGCCCCGGCGGGTGTCTCAGGCTGCGCTGCGGCCCTCGCTAGGGGGCAGCCAAGGAAGGTCCCGGGCTCCGCCGCCGCGCACCAGGCGCCCGCGGTGACTCAGCGGAATCGCCCCCTGGCCCGCGGTTCTGGTCTGGGGAAAGCGTGGTCCTCCTTATCCCTTCAGTTAAAAACTCAGACTGGAATCAAGGACAGGGAAGGCTGCACAGCCTTGTGAATATACCGGAAACATTTTAAAAGAGTGACTTTTATGGCATATGAATTATATCTCAATAAAGCTATCGTTAAAAACAAACAAAAATCCCCTAAATGGATCTCTTGCAGGTAACTGAAGACCAAGCAGAGATAAACCTAGAATCCAAAAATAACCTTAACATGCGCTTTGTTCTCCAAGGTAATTTTTGGCTTCTGCACCCTGTCTTTCCTTTGCTCTGGTCTCCTGTTCTGCACCACCAGGAATTTTCCAGCACATTTAGGCGGAAAGCAGGATTTCTCATGATAGGAACCATGTTTGAAGCATTTCCAGTTATTACCTCATTTAATTCACACAACAAACTATTATGCTGACATAATACAGCTGGGGAAACTGAGGAACAGACAGGTTGAGTAAGTTGCCCAAGGTCACACAGGAAGTATGTAATGGAGCCAGGCTTCAAAACCCAGACATCCTGGCACCAGCAGCAGACCTGTCAGGCCAAGTGATAGCCGAGATTAAATCAAGCAGTGACTGGTAACAGCTAAGGAATATAAGGGCTGGCCCAACATAACTAAAGCTCTTGTTTCCTGGGAGAACTTTCTCCTTATTCACAGTTTGTTCTTGAATGCTTATGGTCCAGCTGTTTTGCTTTAAGGTATAAAGATAAATGTTAGGGCAGGCATCCTAGTCCTGGGCCTAGGTGAAGGCTGGAGCCCACAGTCTCTCGGAAATCCCTCTACTCCAGGAGCGGGGAGCGAGTGCAACTAAAGGAAAAGAGCCCAGGAGGGCTGGGTGCGGTGGCTCATACCTTAATCCCAGTATTTTGGAAGGCCAAGGTGGGCAGATCACTTGAGGCCAGGAGTTCGAGACCAGCCTGGCTAACATTGAGAAACCCTGTCTCTACCAAAAGTACAAAAATTAGCCAGGTGTGGTGGCAGGCACCTGTAATCCCAGCTACTCAGGAGGCAGAGGCAGGAGAATGCTTGAACCTGGGAGGCAGAGGTTGCAGTGAGCCGAGATCACACCACTGCACTCCAGCCTGGGTGACAGAGTAAGACTCTGTCTCAAAATAAATAAATAAAAAATAACAACAACAAAAAAACCTAGTCATTAAATGGTTAACTATGGTTAGCCCTAGGGAATGGGAGTGGGGAAGGGTGGGATCCATTTTTTTCGCTTATTCCATGCTATTTTGATTTATTTCAATGAGTATAGATAATTTGAAATTTAAAAGAAAAATAAACAGTATTTTTTAGAAGTGGGGTGATTTTGAGAGAAATGTGGAGGGGTTAAGGGGAAAGACGAGGACAAAGGAAATGGAAAGTTGGAGCTTAGATGAGAACCTCTGTCTAAGGTAACTGGAGGTCATCAAGTCAAACATACTATAGATGAATCAACAGCAAGGCCAGGCGCGGTGGCTCACACCTGTAATCCCAGCACACTGGGAGGCCGAGGTGGGTGAATCATCTGAGGTCAGGAGTTCGAGACCAGCCTGACCAACATGGTGAAACCCTGTCTCTACTAAAAACACAAAAATTAGCTGGGTGTGGTGGTGGGCACCTGTAATCCCAGCTACTGGGGAGGCTGAGGCAGGAGAATTGCTTAAACCCGGGAGGTGGTGGTTGCATGCAGTGAGCCGAGATCATGCCACTGCACTCCAGCCTGGGTGACAGAGTAAGACTGCCTGAGGAAAAAAAAAAAAAAAAAGAAAAAGAAAGAGATGAGGAGGCTTAATAAACACCCTTGTGACGCTGGATCTTGGTGTCTCAGATGCTAAACATACTCTTCTGTGGCAGCTGGTCCCCAACTTTGAGCTTCTAAGAAGGAGCTGTGTCTCCTTTTGTGTCCCCTCCTCTCTCCTGCCCACCACAAGTGGCGCCCAGCACACAGGCAGCCACTGGGAGGTGCTCAGTAAGACTGGCCCTTGAAGAGCTCTGAAGTGTGAGCTCTGGTCACATTGCATCACACCACAGAATGTTCTGGAACCAAATTGAACTACTACTAATGAAAGACCCAGATTTCAAGCAGAACTGCCAAATTAAAGAGAGAAGATAAGGAGCATACAGAAAGGAAAGACTCATGCTGGCAAGAAGAAACTTAAATAATTCCGGGCCTCAATCCAAAGAGAATAATCAACGATTGTATGAGGGCATAGATGAAGGCTGCTTTTTGGGAGGAGGTGGTGCCACTGTGTGCACACGGATGGTTGCTGCTGATGTCAGTTGGCTAATGCCCACTGTCATGAGAAAATTCCCAGATTGTGTCTGAGAGGACAATTTTGGTTTTGACCTAAGGTTTCTGGGTTTGTTGTGTTGTTTGTTTGTTTTAACTAAAAGCTTCTCTCCTCCATTGTAACTACTGGAATAGCCAATAGTGCTTGTAAATCTGTCATGCTTGGATGGCCTTTGTTTTTAGAACTACTATAGATCTAAAAACTACCCCATTTTTGACATATATATATATATATATTTTTTTTTTTTTTTTTTTTTTTAAGACAGAGTCCCCCTCGGTCGCCCAGGCTGGAGTGTGGTGGTGCCATCTCGGCTCACTGCAACCTCTACCTCTCGGGTTCAAGCAATTCTCCTGCCTCAGCCTCCCAAGTAGCTGGGACTACAGGCACCCACCACGCCTGGCTAATTTTTGAACTTTTAGTAGAGACAAGGTTTCACCATGTTGGCCAGGTTGATCTCGAACTCCTGACCTCAAGTGATCCACTCACCTCAGCCTCCCAAAGTGGTGGTATTACAGGTGTGAGCCACCGTGCCTGGCCCAATACTGTTTTTGATCAGGCAACAGCCTTCAGTGAGGATGACAGTGGTTGTGTGAGACAAACTGATGGTGCTCCTGTCCCTCCCTGTGTCCACGAATGCCCCTGGTCACCACTTTAATCTGCCTGAAATGAATCCCCTGAACCCAGAGCCCCAAGTGGATGAGAAGGAGTTTCCTCTGATGTCAGAATCAAGAAAACCAGAGCAAAAAAAACTGTCTTTCTTGGGCAAACCACTCTTATTCTTTAAAGGAGTAGTAGGGGCTGGAGAGAATGTATTTTATAAAAGTGATTTATGGTCCTTATTTAAAAGTCAAATACAAAATTATAAAAGAGAAAAGCAAAGGAACCACTCTAACATCTTAGGGCACAACCTTGCAGACCCCTCTCCTATGCACACATGTAATTTTCCCTACATGGCACCATATTACACCAGTTGTTCTGCAGCCTACTTTATTCCCTTAACAATATGCTGGTATTAACAAGCTTTGTCTTTTTTTCTTTTTTTTGAGATTGCGTCTCCCTCTGTTGCCTCGGTTTGAGTACAGTGGTGCGATCTCGGCTCACTGCAACCTTCACCTCCTGGGTTCTAGTGATTCTCCTGCCTCAGCCTCCTGAGTAGCTGGGATTACAGGTGTGCACCACCACGCCCAGCTAATTTTTGTATTTTTAGTAGGGATGGGGTTTCACCATGTTGGCCAGGCTGGTCTCGAACTCCTGATCTCAAGTGATCCGCCTGCCTTGGCCTCCCAAAGTGCTAGGATTACAGGTGTGAGCCACCATGTCCAGCCAATAAGCTTTGTCTTTTGGTTGACCTCCAATGGGTATAATTTGTAGCATCGCTGTTGAGAGGGGGTCCCTACCTTCCAGCTCTAACAGGCAGCAAATGGTCCACAAACCAACTCAACATTACCCTTAAATATGCTAGAGGGGGAGGGATTGGCTTTTACATCTTCGATCCCTTTTTAGCCACACATATTCTTCCCTTAATAACAAGAGTAAATATTTCTATAGCCAGGCACTGTTACACATTTATCTTGTTTAATCCTCACAGCCACATAGGTGCAAGGGGCTGTTATTATCTTATTATCCCCGTTTTACACATGATGTTCAGCTGCCCAGGCTGAGGAAGGACACCTGTGGCATTGCATCTGCAGTCTCAGCCTTCGGTGGCACTGGGTGGGTTTGGAGACCTCCACCAACCAATCATGAAGCCCCACTCGAGGCCCTAATGTAGGAGGAGTCGCTCCAACCACACCTTTGTGGGTACATAGGCCCTCTTTGCTCCATTTTACAGCTGGGAAAACCAAGGCAAAGAGAGGCTGAGGAACCTCTAGTGGACCCAGAGAGAGTGAGGAGAGAGTCTGGCGAGAGGTGATTTGCTGGAGAGTTCAGCTTTACAGTGGGAAGTCTGTTGGGAGTGAGAGTCGGGAGGGATGGTGGGACTGTCGCAGCAGCATCACGGCCACTCTCTGAGGATGAATGGTCCTTCTTACAGTCAGGGCGTTGCCTCAGCAGCACCTCCGGGTGCTGCGAGGCCTCTCAGAGGCACCCTTGGGTCACTGGCCAAAGAGCACTGTGGGTTCTCGGAAGCACCTGCTCTTCCATCAGCTGTAAACCGGAATGATAACCAGCTCCTAGGCTTTGGTTTCTGAATGTACGCTGCGAACGATGCACTGCCTTGGCCTCATGGCAGGGGCTGGGGAGGCCCGCTCTACCCTGTACCCCGACCCGGGCCCAAAGCTGAGCTTGAAGGGCCCCCTGCTTGGCTTCTCGTTGGACCTGGAGCTCACCCATGAAGCCAGGACTCACGATGTGGCGATGCCACTTGCGCATCTATCCCCACGGGTACACAGAGAGGCCACTCGCCCCCAACCCCTCTCCTGGAATGCACCATATCCAGCCTTGTGAGTGGATGGGTGCCTGGACTCCCTGGGCCCCTGAGTTTGGAGGTGGAGGCTTTGGCTTCACGTCTTCCTGAAGGACACCTGTTCTCGGCTCAGCTCCCTCCATGGATTTGGGTGGAAAGGGAACCCGGACTGGAGTCAGAAGCCCTGGTGGGGTCCACTGGCTAGCTGTTGAGGCTGGGCCAGTCACTTGCCCTCTCTGAACTGCAATTCTTCATTTGAAACATGGGGATGATGACACTCCTGCCCCACAGGGTGGCTGTGATTGTCACTAGAAAAAAATGCATGAGAAAGGTGGCACTTGAACAAGCAGTCATATTCTGGACTGATGCGAGGTGCTGAAGTCATGACGTGTGAGTGGAGAAGGAGACTCCTGAAGATGGAGAAGAGGAGGCTGGACCTAAGGGAGAAAAGCAGGAGCCAGTAGGAGAGGCTTTGTCCCAACTTCTGCCCTGATGGTGGTGGGGTGACAGCAGGAAGAGGTGAGAGGCAGCTCTGGGGCAGCCCTGGAGAGGAGAGAAACAAGGGGCAACTTCCGGGAAGGTCTCAGAAGTGGTGGAGCGAAGGTAAACTTCAAAAGGAGAACCAGAGAATCTGTTCCTCATTCCTTCCAGCGCTGGAACCCACACAATGTGACAGGCAAGCACAGGGAAGACAAGGAAGGCGATCTGGGGGGACAGAGGGCCTGGCACTTTCTGCACTGAAGTCTCAGCTTTCGGGTAATGCACCCAGGAGCAGTGGGGTAGGTGGGAGTTTGAAAGGCCACAGAAAATGACCAGAAATGGGCTCTTTTTGCCATGATAGTTCATTAGATGGGGACAACAAGGAAGACAGGGAGGGGAGAGGAGGATTAGGAAGAAAAGGTGATAGTTTTTAAGATGTTTTCACTTCTAATTTTTGAGTCTGAGGTCACACTCTGAAAGTCGCAGGGGAGAAGAGGATGGCAATTCTGTTGGAAATCAGCAGTTGTCTGCCAGTAATGAACGACCTGAGCTCAGCACCGTCTTGGAGGGACAGAAGATAAACAGTGTCCGCTGAACACACGTAAGAAGTGCCACACTGCCAGGCATGGTGGCTCATGCCTGTAATCCCAGCACTTTGGGAGGCTGAGGTAGGCAGATCACTTGAGGCCAAAAGTTCGAGATCAGCTTGGCCAACACAGCAAAACAACATCTTTACTAAAAGTACAAAAATTTAGCTAGGCACGATGGTGCACATCTATAATCCCAGCTACTTGGGAGGCTGAGGCACAAGAATTGCTTGAACCTGGGAGGCGGAGGTTGCAGTGAGCTGAGATCATGCCACTGCACTCCAGCCAGGGTGACAGAGTGAGATTCTGTCTCAAAAAAAGAGAAGTGCCATACCAGGGCAAGCATACACATCTCCGAATTCTGTCTGACAGAGACAAAGTGCCCCCAGACACTTCTGCATGGCGGCATTGGGGCCAGAGATAAGCACAGCGCAGTGCAGGGAGTCAGACCAGGCTGCCTGGAGTCCACTCCGAATCCTTCACTTAGGAGCTGTGCGACTTTGGGGCAAGTCACTCAACCTCCCAGAGCCTCCTTTGCATTGTCTGTAAAATGTGGGGATTAGGTGAGTTAATACATGTCAAGTGTTCAGAACCATCGCTGGCTGTCGATGAACCCTACTATGGTTACCATCGTTAAAACTTTATCCATTAATTTAGCCAAACTTTTCTGTCTCCTGTTTGTATTTTCAAACTAAACAGCTTTTCAGGGCAAAGGGCCCCACCCCATTCTGGATCCTGGTATTGGGAGGGCTTTGCCTAGATTTGCATTATAATAGTGCCCCAGCTCCCGTCTGAATTTGGAGAGGCGCCTGGAGCTAGTTCTAGATTCAGAGTCCACCAGCGGGGAAGCAATGCTGGGAAGCAAAAGAAAGACTGTGGAAGGCTCTGAAGGCTCTTGTTTGACAGTACCCACGACACGTGGTGCCCCTTGGCCCTCTCGATGCAGCCTCCGGCCAGGCAGGGCAGATGGCAGACCCTGTGAGATCATCCCCTGGTCCCGTGACACCCTGGGGACAGAGCCAAAACCGTGTCCTGGTGCACCCTGGGCGAAGCCAACTGCTTTGTAAGGAAGAAGAAACGTACACTCTAGAGAGGTCCATGCATCATCAAGTGAAAACAGTAGTTGCAGAAATGTGCATGTTCAGAATTTTTATACATAAGAAAAGAATACATATATGTGTAGTCAAACAAATAAACAAACTAGAGTATATATGCCCAACAGGGGCTTTCTCTGTGAAGAGAAATACAATTAGGGAGATTTTCCCTTATTAGTGTCTACATTTTTGTCTCATTATACTGTTTTATAAACATGTATTATGTTTACAATCAGATGAAAGGCAATAATATGTTCTCATTTTGACAAAACAAAATGCTCTCGTTACAGAGTCATGTTCCACTGAGGATCTGTCCCACAGTGCCCTGTGGGTCTAGATCAATTTAAATGGACATATCAGAATTTGGATCAGGAAGAAAACAAAGTCAGAAGCACACACCTAGGTTCTGGGCCCCAAGAACATGATTTCAGAAAAAGCAGCCTCTCTCAATGCCAAATGTCCATTATCCAACAGAAAGACCAAAGAACAGCCTGGACAACATTTATGTCCTGAAACAGAAATTAGTCACATACCAGGAAGGAAGGAAGGAAGGAAGGAAGGAAGGAAGGAAGGCAGGAAGGAAGGAAGGCAGGAAGGAAGGAAGGAAGGAGGGAAGGAAGGAAGGAGGGAAGGGGGGAAGGGGGGAAGGGTGGAAGGGGGGAAGGAGGGAAAGAGGGAAGGAGGGAAGGAGGGAGGGAGGGAAGGAAGGAAGGAAGGGCGGGCAAAGGAGAAAAAGCTGGCAAGAAAGAAGCACAAAGAGTGTAGACACAGAAGAGGAAATGAAGTTCTGCTTGGAAAATGGCAAAACTCTACACCCCTGGGGTAGAAGCCAGGGGCAGGGGGAAGGAGGGGTCTCTGAGAGTCATTAAAGGGGAGACCCAGGAAATGAGAAGTCTGCCTCTGTGCTATGCCCTCCACACCCACCTGTGTCTGAGAGGCTTCTGGGTCTTCCAAGAGCCTTAAGAAAAGACCATCAAAATCATCAAGGAAGACTAAAACCACTGAATTGTAACTCAAAGTGGGGGAATTTTATAGAATGTGAATGATCATCTCAATAAAGATGTCTTTTAAAAGTTGCAAAGGAGACTCAAACTTAAATTTATTTTCTTTTGCTAATCTAAAAATAGAGATGCCCTTCAGTTTTCCCGTAGGTAGGAGTTGTGGCCTCCCAGCTGGCCTGCAGAAGCTGGTTTGGTCAGGCCTCAGCCTCTCCGGTCTCCTGTTTTCCAACAGGAGCCCTCTGGCTGGCTAGAACAAGGAAAAAGCAATTGACTCGAGGAACTCCTTGTACACAAGTCTCCTCTCTGCTTGCCAATCTGGCTTTGGCTCAACCCTCATCACTGGGGAGAGTTTGTGTTAAAGCACCAAGATGGCTTCCTATTGTTTATGCAATCTCAGAAGCTTTTGGAAAGGACTTTAAAGAAAAAAGCCCCTTGATAGCACCTAAAGTGGTTACCTAGCTCTTCTGGAATCCTTCCAATGACAGGGAGCTCATTACCTCTTAAGGGGGCTCATTCTATTTTCATCCTCTGAGTGACAGAAAATTTTTCTGTCTATAGCTAGAAACTGTGTCCCTGAGACTTTGGCAAATGGGTCCTGCTCAGTGCCCTGGAGCCACACAGAACATGCCAGTTCTTCATCCCAGGGGGCCCTTCACAGATTCAACTATCCCATATCCCCTGTCGTCTCCTCTTCAAGCTGAACATGCCCAACTCCTCCAACTATTCCTTACCTGGGCTGGATGGGCCACAGACTCGAGTATCAGAATGAACTCTAGGCTCTGGTAACAGCAATCATGACAACGATGACATCATTTGAGTGCTTACTCTGTGTAGCCACTTGGGATAATTCAACACATCCTCACTACGCCCTATGGGGTAGATTCTGTCCAGATTCCCCAACTCACAGATGAGGACTCTGAAGCACAGACAGGTGAAGTAACTTGCCCAAGGACACACAGCTTGTCAGTGGTGAAACCAGGATTCAGACAAGATTGGGCAGGTTCAGGATGGAATGGCTGTAGACAAAGCTAGTGTTTAAGCCAAAGGCAGGAGGACATTTCACGGAAGACACCCAGATTAACGCAGAAAACAGTTGCTTTCCAAAGCATCAAATCCATGCATTTGATATTGCAGGTCAAATGCAGTTCTCTGTTTACTTAGAAAATGGCATTCTCTGCCATAAAAATAGAAAGCTTGTAGTATATAGGCTGTCTTTGTCCCCTTTAATAGATTTTACTACTCTCTTTTCTTTTTGAGTCCCCAGTACAATTCTAGGGCATTGCATTTGTGCTTCCGAAAGTAGTGGGGAGGGGGTAATTATCTGATTCCTTTAAGCTACACAAACGATGAGCAAAAATATGCTAAAGTGAGTTAGGTCACTAAGTACATGTCTCTCCACAGAAGGAACATAAGAATGTCAGAATCTGTAACATGCTCAGAGGGAACACGTTACGTCAAGAGAGCCCCCCAGCCAGTGCAGGTCATATATGAAATCCCAGGTTCTCCTCAGACGTAGCCCCAAGGACACTGGAGAGTGGCTGTTCCTGCTCTGTGACTTGGTCCTCGACGCTCAGGCTGAAGTCACATCACACACATGATTATCTGTTATGGATCTGCCACCTACACTTCAACTCCTCAGTTCAAGAGAAAGAGCGAGTAATTAGAAACCTCCTCGTAAAAGCCCATTTACAATTCAGGAGCACTGCAATTTCCTTTCCATCCTTGCAGCTTATCATTTGCATAGCACTTTCCAGGGAGCCATGAAATATGGATTTATAAGAAGCATCCAAAGGACAACAAACATCTAAACACCTCAATCCAGTGATTTACAGGCATGTGCTAGGCAAAAAAACAAAAAACAAAATGAGATAAGATGCTGCAACACTGCTGCTAAAGGAGCTGATTAGGAAAATCTGATAAGATATCAAGTTCAATGTGACCAAGGGTATTAGCAAATATGACCCGGGTTACTTGTATCCTCATTTAGTTACTCATCCCACCTCTTCCAGATCTTGTTGTAAAGTATTAATTATTAAATCTTCTCTTAAGGCCGAGTGCAGTGGCTCATGCTGTAATCCCAGCACTTTGGGAGACCAAGGTGGGAGGTTTGCTTGAGCCCAGGAGTTCAAGACCAGCCTAGACAAAATGGTAAAACCCCATCTCTACAAAAAAAATATTTAAAAATTAGCTGGGGCCGGGCATGTTGGCTTACACCTGTAATCCCAGCACTTTGAGAGGCTGAGGTTGGTGGATCACTTGAGATCAGGAGTTTGAGACCAGCCTGGCCAACATGGTGAAACCCCATCTTTACTAAAAATACAAAAATTAGTCGGGCGTGGTGGTGCACACCTGTAGTCCCAGCTCCTTGGGAGGCTGAGGCACAAGAATCACTTGAACCCAGGAGGCGGAGGTTGCTGTGAGCTGAGATTGCACCACTGCACACCAGCCTGGGTGACTGAGTGAGACTCTGTCTCAAAAAAAAAAAAAAAAAAAAAAATTAGCTGGGCATGGGGGCTCACCCCTGTAGTTCCAGCTACTAGGGAAGCTGAGGTGGGAGGATCACCTGAGCCCAGAGACGTCGAGGCTGCAGTGAGCTGTGATCATACCACTGCACTCCAGCCTGAACCATAGAGTGAGACCTTGTCTCAAGAGGAAAAAAAAATCTTAATTAAAAAAATGAATTTTCATGTAAAGTAGCCTTTCAGAGACAGGCTCGTCCTAATCCCCAGAACCTGTGAATATGTCACTGTACATGGCAAAGAGGAATTGGGGTTGTAGATGGAATTAAGGTTCCCAGTCAGCTGACTCTAAAATAGAGAGATCATCCCAGATTATCAGAGTGAGCCCAAAGTAATCATGAGGGTCCTGACATGTGGAAGAGGGAGGCAGAGAACTGGTGTCAGAGCAAGGTGATGTGAGGACTCATCCTGCCATTGCTGGCTTTGAAGATGATTGATGGAAAATTTTTCTGACTATAGCTATAGAAGATCATGAGCCAAGGAATGCATGAAACCTTTAGAAGCTGGAAAAAGGAAGAAAATGGATTCTCCCCTGGACCCTCCAGAAAGGACCGCAACCTTGCCAAAACCTTGATTTCAGCCCAGTGACACCTATGGAGGGCTTCTGGCCTCCAGAACTGTAAGGTAATACATTTGTGTTGGTTTAAGCCACTAAATTTCTGATGATTTATTATAGCAGCAAATAGAAAATTAATACAGTTGATTTCATTAATGTGGACTAGTACTTTAATGACAACTTGATTTGGGGGAAAGGAAGGAAAGAAATGGACCTGGATGGCGCACCTGCTGTGTGGCCGCATCATGAAAGACTGAGCCATTTACCACCCTTGGTCCCCCAAGCCTGCCCAGTAAGGTGGGTATGGCAGCACCCACTTGCAGCAGATGGCTCTGAGAATGTCCAAGAGGCTAGGGTGCTTGTCTAAGTCCTCAGCTGGGAAAGTGGCAGGGCCAGGATTGGAGTCAGATTTGTTTGCCTCCAGAGTGCTTTCTATTTAGGGGCAGCCTTCCTTTCTTTATGCTCAAGCAAAATGGTACAAAAGCCCACAGAGCATGTGTTATCTGGTTGTGCACACTGAGGGCCCCAGAATGACGGCCGCCTCCTCTCCCCACACTCTTCTGGGCTTTCCCTTCCCTTCTTTTTTTTTTTTCTTTTCTTTTCTTTCTCTCTCTCTCCTTTCTTTTTTTTTTTCTTTTTTTGAGATAGGGTCTCAGCTCTGTTGCCCAGGCTGGAGTGCAGTGGTGCAATCACAGCTTACTGTAACCTCAAACTCTTGGGCTCAAGCAATCCTCCCACCTCATCCTCCCAAGTAGCTAGGACTACAGGTGCCCACCACCACACCCAGCTAATTACATTTTTTCTTTTTGTAGAGATAGGGTCTTGCTACATTGCCCAGGCTGGTCTCAAACTCCTGACCTCAAATGATCCTCCTGCCTCAGCCTCCCAAAGTGCTAGGATTGCAGGCATGAGCCACTGTTTCTGGACCCCTCCCCTCCCTTCTCTCCCCTGTCAGCACCTACTAGCTTCCTAGAGAAAGTGGGGATGGAGACCAGGGCAGAGGTGAGAGGGGGCCTCTCCTTTCACAGCTCTGGTACTTCTATGGCTCCAACCTCTGCACAGTGCAACAGTGGGGGTACAAAGATAGGAGAGCAGTGCACATTGGCCTGTGCTGGAGGGGAGTCAGACTCCTCAAATGTGCGCCACACTGAAGACAGCTAACTGACGAGCTCTCATATCGCATACATATTTGCAGACTCTGAGTAGGCGTGGGACGGGGAGTGGGGAGCTCCTTTACCACTTTGAGCCATGAATCAGACAGAAGAGCCATCCTCTCCCAGGTGGAGAGAGATGGAATGGGACTTTGCACACTGCTCTATGTCCCTGGGCATGCACACTGTGTGTATTTGGGAGGCATATGTGGCTCTCATAGCCTCCTGGGTGTTCAGGAACACACCTGCGGTTGGCCTGAAACAGAAGAAGGCTTTGGAAGATGTCCAGATGTGGATCGTTAATGACGCCCTTGGGGGAAGGCCTCTGCCTGCTCAAAGGATAGAATCCAGTTAATTAAGAGCAATACTTTGTGCTTAAAAGGCACAAATTCAGACCCGTCCATTAGTCTCTTCAGTTAAGATCACTTTAAATCAAAATTGCCAAGCTGGGGCCACAGGAAGCATCTATTATTAACGAACAAAAAAACTAGACTCCCAAGTGATAGGCTTGCCAATTCCAACACACTCAGGGGTGGATTTGGGAGCTGCTTCAGACATGTCCACTGTGTAATAAAGTTTAGAGCAGCTTTCCATGCTATAAAGCACAGAATGCATTATTGATGCTGTGCTTGGAGGCTACGTGAGTGTCCCATGCCCACGCATGTGCATGTATGTCCTCTAATGCTACAGGCAGCCCCTGGATACCTGTGGGCAGGAGAGTGGGCCAGGAAGGAGAGAACGACACAAACAGGATGGAGCGACCCATTTTCTCAACTCTGGCTGAGCAGTTGGGAAGACCTTGAGGACCAGGCCAGTGGGCAGATTATGAGGAAGGCATGAACTAACCCCCACCAGGGACCTGGAAACAGGAGCAGAGGTGGGCCATGCCCTTGGATATATTCGGTCTGGCCAGGAAGCTATCTGTGCAAATACTGAAGGACACAGGGGTAATTTCAGAGCAAAGTGACCCCTCGGTCAACACAAGTTATGGAACTCTGCCGATCTACCACACGCATGGCTTCATGCTGAGCAAAGGGACAGACAACATGCTCTCTGCCCTCTGGGGGTTGGGTTTGGGAGTGGAGACAAAGAGGTACACACAGTCCAAGGCCATGGGTAAGAAGAGAGAAAGCAGATTGTCCTGAGCCCCAAGTGTCTGTGATTCTCTTAGCTAAGTAAGGAATCAGTGCCAGAGACAGAGGTTGCTGGAGCCGAGAGGAGACGTAGTCAAGAAGATTGGAGAAGGCTCTGCGGAGAAGGTGAACTTGAGCTAAGACTTGAAGGGAGGGCAGGCTTGAAGGGATGAAACAGCCTCCTCTGTGCTAAAGAGAGGAGTGACAGGGCCATCATCAGGCAAAGGGGACATTACCAGGCAAAGGGACACCATTGGTCAAAGGCGATGGTGGAGACAAGACATTCTGGAAGAGCCCGGATCAGAGAGATTTGGGGCCAGGAGCCGGCATCAGGGGACCGGCTCCCTAAGGAACCATGGCACCACTGGCTCTCAGCTGGAAATAAGCAGCAGATGAAGCACATGCATCCTGAGTTTTGGCTCTGGTGATGGTGGTGGAGCTGTTAATTCTTGGAGTCCAAATTCCTGCACCACCTCTGAGTTCCGAGGGGGTGGGGAAGGTAAGTAAATGGACCCCAGCTGCGTGCCTACCTCTGACTGGCTTTCTGGGGTGATCCTTGGACCAGGAGTCCACGGAAGGTTATGTAATGAAGCTGCGAAGAGGCCAGGACTGCATTAGGAAAGGTTGCTGCAGAACAAAGCCTTGTGAGAGAAATTAGGGGGCTGGGGAGGGGAGGAGGGAAGAGAGCAGTTGGGGTGGAGGCTGAGGGAAGAGCCAGCATCCCAGCCCCCAGTAGGGGCTGCCCAGACTCTCCCGAGGGAATGGAAAGGCATCTTTGGAGGGACAATTCTCAGCACACCATTAGCTGTCAAAAGTCAGCAGGCCCTACCATGGTCGATTTTCAAATTCTCATGAGGGGCTCTTGGATATAGCAGCCCTCCCCAGAGAGGGCTACCCTGGGTAGCCACGGACCTTCCCAGTGGCTTGGATATCTTTCCAGCCAGAAAAAGACAAAAACATGCATATAATTACCTAAACAGAAGCGCTTCCTTTGCTTTTCCCAATTATTAACCCGTGGGTATTAAACTCAGTAGGATCAGAGGTCCTTCTAAGAAGCGGGGGGGAAACTCAAAAAGGCCATAGGTCCAGGGTCCACCTTCTGTCTAGCAAGGAAAAGATGATTCCACTTTGCAGACAAGGCAACAGAGAGGCAAGCCCCATGTGCAAAGTCACTCAGCTAGTCAAGGGCAAAGAAGACATGGAATTAGCTACTGCCTCTTAGAGCAGAGTTCTATCCGCTGCACCACCATCTCAGACAGCAGGGTTCAGAATTTTTAAGAAGTGATGGCTTTGCATTGACATGGTTACGTGCGCAAGTCCACGCCTGCATCTGTGCTGACTGCAGTCTCTAACTAGCCAGTGGCTGTCAGCTAGCAAAACTCCAGTGACAGAGGAGCCCGCAGGACATACGTTCTCAACCAAATGGCTGATGATACCATTTGGGCAACTGTCCAGCCAACATTTTTTTAAAGTTAAATTAAAACCCACATGATAAACAACTCTCTGGAAAAAAAAATACACACATGCGTAACTTTGATTCAACATACTGTATTTAAATATCCTAATGACTGCTAATGATTGAAATTTAATTTATTTTTTACTTATTTTTTTGAGGCAGGTCTTGCTCTGTCAGCCAGGCTAGAGGGCAGTGGCGTGAAAATAACTCACTGTAGCCTCAAAGTTCTGGCTCAAGCAATCCTCCCATCTCAGCCTCCCAAGTAGCTAAGACTACAGGTGAATGCTACCATGCCTGGCTAATTTTTAAAATTTACTGTACAGACGAGGTCTTGAACTCCTGGCCTCCAGTGATCCTCCCTCCTCAGAGTCCCAAGGTGCTGGGATTACAGGTGTGAGCTCCTACACCTGGCCCATGACCATAATTTAAAGAAACACATCAAGAGTGCAAAATATAAACAACAAATGGAAGTCTCTTTCTTAATTCAGAGTAGATCAATTGCAGGTAGCTGGAGATGATGATATCATTCTTCTAAGAAAAATCTGCTAGAATTTAACTCAAATCAATTCTCATTTCAACCTTCTCAAATGTAACATTTTATTGCTTGTTATTTTTTAAAAGTAAATGTAACAGCAAAAAAAAAAAAAAAAAATCAGAAAACATTTCAATGTGCAAAGACACGTGGAGCACTGAGAGACCCAGAGCAGCTTCTTCCTGTCTGGGAAGAAGGTCAAGTGACTGGGGACCTAGCAGATGACCTAATCTTCCCTGAACAAATGGCATCGCGTGGCACTGGGCCTCAGTTTCCCCAGTCCCCAAAGGATCGACAGAGATATTCTTTAGCACCACCAGGACAAGGGTCCGGAACACAATGCGGGGGGCCAGGTGAAGGGAGCAGCTGCCTCAGGACAAGTAATAAGGGGCTGGACTGTCTCTAGAGAGTTCAAAAACAGGGCTAGGCACGGTGGCTCACGCCTGTAATCCCAACACTTTGGGAGGTCAAGATGGGCAGATCGCTTGAGGCCAGGAGTTTGAGACCAGCCTGGGCAACATGGTGAAACCCTGCCTCTACTAAAAATACAAAAACTTAGCCTGGTGTGGTGCCCTGTAATCCCAGCTACTCGGGAGGCTGAGGCACGAGAATCACTTGAACTGAGGAGGCAGAGGATGTAGTGAGCTGAGACTGCAGTCACTGCATTCCAGCCTGGGTGACAGAGAGAGAGACTCTGTCTCAAAAAAAAAAAAAAAAAGGGAGAGAGAGAGTTCAAAAACAGTAATAAAACCAACTAATAGTTAGTCTGCTTTTCATTAGCATCATGTGCCTGCAATCCTAAACAATGCCAGTGATAAAATACTCCTCCCTTAAAAAATATTTTCCTGGTCTAAGAGGTTTTTTTTTTTGTTTGTTTGTTTGAAACAGAGTTTCACTCTTGTTGCTGGGGCTAGAGTGCAATGGTGCGATCTTGGCCCACTGCAATCTCCGCCTCCTGGGTTCAAGAGATTCTCCTGCCTCACCCTCCCCAGTAGCTGGGATTACAGGCGTGTACCACCGTGCCTGGCTAATTTTTGTATTTTTAGTAGAGATGGGGTTTCATCATGTTGGTTAGGCTGGTCTCGAACTCCTGACATCAAGTGATCCACCTGCCTCGGCCTCCCAAAGTGTTGGGATTATAGGCATGAGCCACTGCACCCGGCCCTGTCTAAGTTATAAACAATTGGTGCGATCTCAGTGTTAGTAAGGTTCTAGTTAGCACTTTAAAAAAGTTAACCTTTAATAAACTTTTTTTTCTCCACAGAAGTTATTTGGAGAACTTCTAGTTATACAGTTGGCCCTACCATATGTGGAGTCAGCCACACGTATTTATTTTGAGAGTAAGTTCTTTTTTTTTTTTTTTTTTTTTTGAGATGGAGTCTTACTCTGTCTCCCAGGCTGAAGTGCAATGGTGCAGATAGATCTCGGCTCACTGCAACCTCCACCTCTCAGGTGCAAGCGATTCTCCTGCCTCAGCCTCCCGAGTAGCTGGGATTACAGGCACCCACCATCATGCCTGGCTAATTTTTGTATTTTTGTAGAGATGAAGTTTCACCATGTTGGCCAGGCTGGTCTTGAACTCCTGACCTCAGATGATCTGCCTGCCTCAGCCTCCCAAAGTCCTGGGATTACAGGCGTGAGCCACCGTGCCTGGCAGAGAGTAAATTCTTAATGGTTCAGAATTTCCAGCTTGCTTCTGGCGCCATTTGCATTTTCCATCTCTGTGAGAACACATGTTCCTGCATTAAGCAAGTAGATTCTAAGCACAGACAATGGTAGGACAGTGATTATGAAGACAGAAATTGGAGCTAAGTTACTTCAGTCCTGTCATTCTGTGCGACCACCTGGAGTTTTTGTGTTTCTTTTTTTTTTTTCTTTTTTTGAGACAGGGTCTCAATCTGTCACCCAGGCTGGAGTGCAGTGGTGCAATCTTGCCTCACTGCAACCTCTGTCCCCCAGGGTTCAAGTGATCCTCCTATCTCAGCCTCCTGAGTAGCTGGGACCGCAGGCATGTGCCACCACACCCAGCTAATTGTTTTCAGTAGAGACAGGATCTCACTATGTTGCCCAGGCAAATCTTGAACTCCTGAACTCAAGCGATATGCCTGCCTCAGCCTCCCAAAGTACTGGGATTACAGGTGTGAGCCACCACACCCAGCCTACTTGGAGTTTTTGTATTTAAAATTTAAAACAGTGAGACAGCATGTGAACCACAAACTGTAATATTTTTGCTTGGTAAATACAAATTTTACTCATAGATGATATATTTTGCTGAGTTTAAATACCATTTTAAGTGGAAATTTATTATTTTAAAATTGTGAATTATATTGTTTAAATAATTAATCAAGAAAATAAAGCCGTACATCAATGGTACAATACAGTAGCTGCTAAATTATGGGCAACTTCTGCAGACGTCTCACTTTTCTTAAAGTTCACTTAGTAACCAAGCAATGATTTACATAAAATATTACATCAGTCTGCAATCAAAGGATCAAAACTCAGAAAGATATAGAAAGCTATTTAATAAATGCTTGTGCTTTTTCCCTTTTTTGTAGTATAATATTTACTTTTTATTTGAAAAAAATCCTGGTGCAATTATATGTACAGAGTTCAACAAGAGAAACATTTTACTATCTGCGTTTCTTTTCTGGCCATTATTACAGTCATTTCATTACACGATTATTTCTGACAATCATTTTGTCATATATAGGTGAGGTTGTTAAACAAAGGTCAGCGCTGGGTGTCAAATGGCTGGCTACACCACTGTTCCATAACATGGCACACGATGGCTGAGAAACCCCTTCAACATCAGCCAGTCTCAATCACCCATAGATCTGCAAGAGAATGAGGATGACTTTTCCCCCAGACCATCAATTTCCCTGTTAATGACAATGCCCGTTTCTCTCAGGACAACTTCATGCAGCAGCCACAGTGACAGCAAATTCTAGGATGTGAAGCTCAATAATACGAAGGTTTGCAGTGACTTCTTGGGGCCGGGATGTGACATCCAGGCAGGACCCACAGAAGATGGTGCTCCTGGCAGGTCTGGCCCCCACTCAGCCCCGGAAACAGAGGCCGGCCCTTGCAGCAGCGACAGCGTGTAGTCCCCGCAGCCATGACCTATTCCTGGTCTACAAGTGGGGACTGGGCAGCCATGACAAAGCAAAAATAAGTGAACTGGGAGTGAGCTCAGGCTAGAAAAATTTCTGAACGGCGTTCACCTTTTTTCGGGGGATGACAGGCAGGTGTCATGGATAGATGAAGGGTCTAATCTTAGAAATTAAAAAATTAAGCAGGAGGTAGTGAAAAGAACACAAGCTTTGGAGCTGGAAGATTTGGGTTCAAATTCTGTTTCTGTAATTTACTGGCTGTGTGGCCTGGGACAAGTGACTTAACCATTCTGAGTCTCAGTTTTCTTATTTGTAATGTGAGGATATAATCCCACTTCTTCCGGCTGTCCTGCCATGAAGCAAAATCATGTCTGTTTGTTCTCCAGGAACCTGATATCATTTTAGTCTCTCTCCTTTAGCTTTCCTTTTCTTTTTTTTTTTTTTTTTGGAGACAGAATCTTGCTCTGTCACCCAGGCTGGAATGCAGTAGTGCGATCTCGGCTCACTGCAACCTCTACCTCCCAGGTTCAAGAGATTCTTGTGCCTCAGCCTCTTGAGTAGCTGGTACCACAGGTGCATGCCACCATACCCGGCTAATTTTTGTTTTGTTTTGTTTTTGTAGAGACAAGGTTTCACCATGTTGGCCAGGCTGGTCTTGAACTCCTGGCATCGAGTGATCAATCTGTCTTGGCCTCCCAAAGTGCTGGGATTACAGGCATGAGCCACCGCACCCATCTTCCTTTAGTTTTCAGTAACAACATAAAATATTCTATAGGGACAGAGCCAAAGCATGGTGGGGCTTATGCACCCCTTCTCAGAGCTGGCTTGGTGGTCAGGCCCAGAAACTTCCCTAGGAATGCAGGTAGGCAAAACCTTACCCAGGAAGGAACTTGGCTTGCCAGAGGGTGGATATTGCAGGAACTGGATACCCATTATCTGCTCCCCTGGGAGCCTGAACTTCAGGGATCCACTAACAGCAAACAAAGGTTAACAGCACACAACGGCCAGGCAATCCTGGCATTTTTAAATAAACATGTGCAAGTTGTGGGTAATGAAGAATAAATCATCAGAACATTCTATACTTCAGAAGTAGAAAACTGGATTACAGATGAAAGAGAATAACAAGGAAAGAAGAAAGGTCTAAGCTGTTATTTAAAACAACAATAACAACAACAAAAGTTTTGTTTTTGCTTAGTGGTGGGGCCAGCATTTACTGAGCTCTTCTTGTATATTCCTACTAAACAGGACACAAGCCTGGCGATGATGACCATTTTTATCATCACCTGGGGAAAGACTACTCAGAGCAAAGTAGAGTCAACACAGGATACATTCCTGTCAAAGGGTTCTTTGTGACATTGTTTGAGTGACTGGATCCAGCTGTACCTAAGCTGGGTCTATTCCTGAATTTTTCAAATTTGGGAACCAATCAATTATATTATATAAATAACCAATTTCTTTGGGCTTCTATTACTTGCAATTGAAAGACAAACATATCCTAACTAGCCCTGAAACCATTAACTGCCTATTTGTGCTCCATCACCTAATGTGACTTTTCCTTGCCTGTGTAATGAGTATAATTACACCCTGCCCAGGCACTGGGCTTGCCCCATGTAAGGTGTATGACAGAGCTTGATTGAAATGAAACATGAAATTTCATGAAATATGAAATTAACATATTTTTACCTAGGAAAATATCCTTACCATCCTATCTTCTAGGGAGGCTTAGGGAGATTAATTTTTTGGGGTTTATTTATTCATTAAAAAAAAGTTTTAAATGTGAAGCACAAGGCAGATCAGTGGTTCTCAAGCTGATGCAACAGAATTCTCTGCAGTGCTTTAAAAATATATCCACTGATGGCCGGGTGCAGTGGCTCATGCCTGTAATCCCAGCACTCTGGGAGGCTGATGAGGCAGGCAGATCATGAGGTCAGGAGATCGAGACCATCCTGGCTAACACGGTGAAACCCCATCTCTACTAAAAACACAAAAAAATTAGCCGGGCGTGGTGGCGAGCACTTGTAGTTCCAGCCACTCAGGAGGCTGAGGCAGGAGAATGGTGTGAACCCGAGAGGCGGAGCTTGCAGTGAGCCAAGATCGCGCCACTGCACTCCAGCCTGGGTGACAGAGCAAAACTCTGTCTCAAAAAACAAACAAACAAACAAACAAAATATATATATGTATATATAACTCCACTGATGTCTGGCCCTACCCCAGGGATTTGGATCCAATTGGCCTAGGGTGGAGTCTTGCATTGTGGCTTTAAAAGCTCCTCAGGTGATTCTAATGTGTAGTTAAGGTAGGCAGCCAGAGTGCAGGTGACCACAGCAATGAGTGACATAGGTACAGTGGTACGGTCCTTGCCCTTGTGCAGGTGCCTTGTGGGGAAGGCAGTGGAAAATCAAGTGAGACAAGTACCACAAAGTCATAGGAGTGTAGATGGGACACCTGTGTAGTGTGGGTGTTGGAGAAAACTTCCCCAAGGAAGTGATGTTTCTGCTGAGACCTGAAGGATGGGCACAAGTTAGCAAGGTGAAAGGGAGGGGATAGGAAAGAACATTCCAGGGGAATAGTATATGACAAGGCCCCAACAGAAAACTGTAAAGAGTTTTCAAGGAACTAAAAGATGACTCCTAAGGCTGGAAGATGAGGTGGTGCCAGATGTGTGAAGCCACAAGAATTTGGGATCTTGTTTGTCACTGCAGCATAAACCTGTCCTTGTTAACTGAGACAACTGGTTAGAGTAGAAAGATCGGGGCTGAGTCCTGGCTGGATTCCAGTAACAGGGACATGTTGGGAGGAGATGGAGTTGCCAAAGTGCTGAGGATGCTTTTTTTTTTTTTTTTTTTTTTTTCCTGAGACGGAGTCTCACTCTGTCACCCAGGCTGGAGTGCAGTGGCGCCATCTCGGCTCACTGCAACCTCCGCCTACCAGGTTCACGCCATTCTCCTGCCTCAGCCTCCCGAGTAGCTGGGACTACAGGCACCTGCCACCACTCCCGGCTACTTTTTTGTATTTTTAGTAGAGATGGGGTTTCACCATGTTAGCCAGGATGGTCTCGATCTCCTGACCTTGTGATCCACCCACCTTGGCCTCCCAAAGTGCTGGAATTACAGGCGTGAGTCACCGCGCCTGGCCTAGGATGCTTTTAAAAAAATCTGGCTGGGAAAAGGAGAAGAGAGCTAGGGTGGTTGACTGAAGGGGGTATGTTTTGTTTTGTTGTAAAGAGGGGAATTATTTAAACTTTCTACATGCTGGCAAAGAAGACAGGAGAGGGAAAAGAAAAAGCTAAGCACCGTTCCTGAGACAGTGGGAGAGGTGGAGATATGGGATCCAGACATAGGGTCATGGAGGCCTGGCCTTAGTAGAGTCACCCAAGATTGCTGCCAGAGAGGTGCCCAGGGTGGACTTTGGCCGTGAATAGAACCATGCTGAATTAGCACACCTGAAACGCTGACTCTGGGCCTCCCACACTTGGGTCAGCAGAGCAAACCACTTTGACCCTGGGAGTCTTGACTTCTGCTTCTTCCATCCTAAGTCAACCACACCTCAGCGACTACCCCCTTCCCCAACATCTAAGGACTACTGGCCCACAACAGAAAAGAAATGAAATTGCCAAATCACATTGTTTAGATTTTCAGCATTCCAATGGAGGGCTTGGGGTAGACTGGCATGCCTTCTTCCTCCAATTTTTTGTTTTGAAAATTTTCAAACTTAAGAAAAGTTGCACAAATAATACAATAAATACCATATTCCCTTCACCTAGACTCACCAATCTTTCACTTGGCAACATTTGCACTCTCTGCATATATAATTATATAAAAATACATGTATGTATGTGTGTGTGTATATATATGTGTATGTGTGTGTATATATATACACATATATGTATATATATACACATATATGTATATATATGTGTATATATGTGTATATATATACACACATACATACACACACTCATACCACACACGTACTTTTTTCCTGAGCTATTTGAGAATTTGCTGCAGACATCATGATACTGCACCCTTAAGAAATTTCCTGGGGGAAGTAATGTTTCTGCTGGAACCTGGATGATGATAAGTTAGCAAGATAAAAGGGTGGGCATAGAAAAGCCTGTCTCCAAAGAAAAAGTCCATTCCCTCCAGAACCATCACACCACACACTCTGATACTATTATAAGTCCATATGTGAATTTCTCTAATTGTCCAATAATGTCTCTTATAGATTTTTAAAAATTTGAGGGCTGGGTACAGTGGCTCATGCTGGTAACCCCAGCACTTCGGGAGGCCGAGGTGGGAGGATAGCTTGAGCCCAGGAGTTTGAGACTAGCCTGGGCAACATAGTAAACACCATCTCTAAAAATAAAAAATAAAAAAAATTAGCCAGGTGTGGTGGTATGCACCTGTGGTCCCATCTACTTGGGAGGCTAAGATGGGAGGATCACTTGAGCCCGGGAGGTCAAGTTTGAAGAGAGCCATGATCACGCCACTGTACTCCAGCCTGGGCAACAGAGTGAGACCCTGTCTAAAAATAATAAATGAATAAAATAAATATATAAATAAAAATTTGACCGACAGCTTAGTAAGGATTATATAGTTATGTCTGCTACTGTTTAAAAAGGCTTTTCTTTTTTTTTTTTCTTTGACATAGAGTCTTACTCTGTTGCCCAGACTAGAGTGCAGTGGCACGATCTTGGCTCACTGCAACCTCCACCTCCTGGGTTCAAGCAATTCTCATGCCTCAGCCTCCCAAGTAGCTGGGATTACAGATGTGTGCCACCACACATGGCTAATTTTTTTATTTTTAGTAGAGATGGGGTTTCACCATGTTGGCCAGGCTGGTCTCGAACTCCTGGGCTCAAGTGATCTGACTGCCTCAGCCTCCCAAAGTGGTGCTATTACAGGTGTGAGCCACCTCGCCTGACCTAAAAACACTTTTCAGCTCCAATTTTAAACTTAAAATTTTTCTTATTTTAAAAACAACATATGCATGTATTATCAAATACAGGAAAATATGAAGAGACAGAAGTACTTACTGATCATAATCCTACCACCAGAGACATCACTATGAATATGTTTGTACATTTTTTTCCTGTGCATTCTAAAACATAGTTAAGATTATGCTAAATATACAGTTCTCATGCTCTTTTATGTCAGAAGTGTTTTCCCATGACATTTTAAACCCCATAGACATAATTTTCTAATGGCTACATACTATTCTATCTAACCATTTCCAGAGGTTGGATATTTATCCAGCTTCTGAGACTTCCTGTTATAAACAACACTTTGATGAACATCTTGGTACATAAATCTTTTGCATGTGACTACTTCCTTAGGACAGATTCCTAGAAGTGAAATTCTGGGTCAAAGAGTAGTAATATTTTAAAGGCTGTTTATGCATACTGACAAGCTGCTTCCTGGCAATTTGTCCAAACTTTTACTCTGACTAGCATTGTATGGGAGCTTCCCTGAGTGAATGCTGCCTTTGAAGTGGGGTCAGAGACTGAGGACCAAGGGGCACAGAGAAAGAAGAGTGTGGTCCTCGATGGGAGGACCCATCACAAACCGTCTTGCACAGTGTAAACCCAGGAGAGGGGCTGAAGAAACCACTGCAGCCCGGGGCCGCCCATTCTACCTGGCCCATGGTAGGCACTCAAGAAATGGTTTGCTACGTGAATAAACAAATCCACAAACATATATTTCTGAATTCCTATCATGCGTCAAACACAAGAGATAGGGAGAGAGGAGGAAAAGAAAAGCAAGGGATCATGGGATAAAAGGGGACAGTGGCAGTGGGGTGGACAGAAGTCAGAACTAAATTTACCTCATGCTTTAATTCGGCGAGTTTTCTTAGAATAGTCTGACCATTGCTTACGTTGAGGGTCTATAGTCCTCCCTTCCCCACAAGACAAAGTCCAACCTAATTCAGCACCAAGATCCAAGCAGCTCGGAAGATACAGGAGGGAAAAATCTGGTGTAGATTAAGTGCCACCCCCCAGCAATGGCCAGGACACAGCAGCAATGTTACCTAAGAAAGCAACTGCGCCTCTTGCTGATCAGCTAGACATGAGGGCAGTGTCCTACCTCAGCGGTTTGCAGCGGACATGCTGTCAGGCCATTGGGATAGTTCCCATAAGCCACTCCTGGTTGTCACCACTATTCCAAGTGGGCAGGAGCAGCCTTATTGACTGAGATGGGCGGCTATGGACACACATGGGTGTACGCATGTGATGGAAATGGGGGCTTGGGGCCCTGAGGGTCCACAGGGGCTGCGTGGTCAGGGAGGGTGGGCATGGCATCACAGGCACCCCAGGGGAGAAGCTGGCTTTCTTCCCATACTTTTGGCACTGTTTTCTGTTTTGTTTGCCTTCAAAGAGCAAGTGATGGCTGGACAGCAAAGAGGAGTGGAGGCCGGGAGAATGGGCAGCTAGCCCAGCGCTCTCCAATATCTGGGAGTCGACCGCACTCCTGCACTCCCTGTCATCCCTGCTAATGGTGAGGAACTGAGCAAAAGAGCCTCCAGAGTGACAGGTGACTTAAAGCGCACGTGGCTCTACATTTACAATTGAAGTGGGCTTTGGAGATTGCAGATTCTGAATACCTGCTGGGGTGGTACAGAGGCTGTGTTCTGGTTTTGCCATCTTGGACAGGGGGTTGGGAGTCTGGGGGGCTGCCTTCTCTCCTCTTCGTGCAGCTCTGCTGGGGCCTGTCTCACACTTGTGAGCAGAGTTATGGCTGGATTCCAGGGGAGACAGAGCTTGGTTGTGAAATGTAAGGTTGTGAAATGAAGGGCTTGTGAAATGAACAAAGAATGTATTTAAGGGTCTTTCATTTTAAATCGAACACTTACATAGCACTTACTACTTGCAAAGCTCCACTCTAAGCACTTTACCCATCTTAATTCATTTAATTCTCTTCTCAACCCTAAAAAGCAGGTATTACCATTGCTCCAATCTTACAGATGAGGAAACTCAGGCATGGAGAGGTTGAGCGACTTGCCCAAATTCATGCAGTTAGGACCTGGCAGAGCTGCGCTTTGAACCCAGGCTGCCTGGCTCTAGAGTGTGTGCACGAAACTTCACTGCCATATGAACAAAACTGCAGGACATATGTTCTCAAAGCAAATAAGCCTCCCAGAGGTAAGAGTTAGGTTCTGTTTCCCCACTGGTTGTATTATTCAAGAAGGGAGCTATTACTAAAAGCTAAAGTGGGTAGGCCAAGGTCGCATGCAAAGCTGATACTTGCTGAGTCAATGAATAGCTGCATGATGTGCAATGAGGTGGAGAAAGACATTAACGTGAAAGAATCTGATTATCTTTTATGGGAGGAACCCAGAATCACACAGAGCCCTGAGGGCTGGATGGCTCCGGGCATTCCCCCAGTGCCCACAAGTAAATCAGGGACAGCCGGACCCCTTCCAGGGTGCCCTTCCTGGGGGTTGTCTCATGCCCTTGAGTTAGGAGTCAACCCTATGGGATCCTCTGGGAGCCCTCTGCTCTATTGATCCCCAAAACTTTATCCAGACCCTGCATCCCCTTGTTCTGGAAATGGGTCTAGTTCTCTGATTCTCAAAGGCTCCTGGAAGGCAGGGGTTTTGTCTCATTCACATCGAAATCCTTAGTATCTACAGCATCCAGCAGGTGGAGAGAAGGAGAGACTTAGCATTTATTATGTGCCTGTTTCTGGCCAGGAGTCCTACCCCTGCCACCTTACCGAATCTTCACAACACCCCTTAGAGGGCATTCCTCAAAGGGGAAGATATTACCAGCCCCTACTTAGAGATAAGAACATAGGGTCCAAGAGGTTAAGGGGCTTGGCTCAAGGTCACCCAGCTAACGAGTGGCAGAAGAAGACACAAGATGAGTTCTACTCCAGAGTCCAGGCTCTGTCACTCGCCACAGGGCTCCCGGAAGACATTGGTGTTGCTCGGTCTCTCTGACTTGCCCTTTGCTAACTCCTTTAATTATTTTGCTTGACTTGAGTCCTATTCAGGATTTGAGACTGAGTTTAGTTAACACCATTTTTTTTTTGTTTTGTTTCTGGCTCCAGAGGCTTTTCCTGATGGCTTCAAGGACCTGCCCTAGCCTGGTCTGACTTCCCAGAGGGGATCCAGTCCCAACATTGGCCCTATCTTTAGACCACATTTCCATCCCATTCTCAGTGAAAACCCTGAGTCATGACAGAAGACAACCAATGCTGGAGAGAGGAGGTTTCAGGTAATGCCTGTTTTAGGCATCCTCTCCTTTAAGAAAAATTTTTATATCAAGGCACCTCAACATAATAATACCTTTATTGCATATAGGTAGAATATAAAACTGACTTGTAAGACCACTCTGTGTGTGTGTGTGTGTGTGTGTGTGTGTGTGTGTGTGTGTGTGTGTGTGTGTTCTCTAGCTAGCCTGCAGGGACGGGACTCAGTTCCTCAGCAGCCCAGTGCCTGGCACAACAGGCATTGAATTAGAAGTGCCAGACATTTTCAAACTTTAAGGTATAATTTGTTTGGACACTTTGGCTGGGCATTTTGATAAAACATCCCTAGTTAAAAGATGGCAACCAACAGGCATCAAACCAAAACCACCCTCAAAGAGCAAAATATAAGGCCTTTGTAACAAGAGTCACAGAGTTATGGCTGGCCGCGGTGGCTCATGCCTGTAATCCTAGCACTTCGGGCCGTCTCTATTAAAAACACAAAAATTAGCCAGGTGTGGTGCTGCATGCTTGTAATCCCAGCTACTTGGGAGGCTGAGGAAGGAGAATTGCTTGAACCTGGGAGACAGAGGTTGCAGTGATCGCTCCACGGCACTCCAGCTTCACTGCACTCCAGCCTGGGTGATGGAGGAAAAAAAAAAAGCAAACTCACCGAGTTACAGAATCAGCCATTCTATGGAGCCAGAAAGAGGCGCCTCAGGGAGAATCTGTGACTCAAGAACACTTGCTGAGGGTCCCGGGCTTAGGTGCTTTGAACTTCGCTAAGGGCAGTCTTCTAGTTCTCTGTTCTTCCCTTCCAGGAGGACAACAGTCAGAATACCCCCAAGATGTCCTTCTTTCCCTAAGGTCTCAAAATCCTTGCCTCAAGAAGTTATTCCTGAAGTCTAGCTTGAATTCCTCCAGATAGAGTTTAAACCAGACAAACAGCCTACGAACATGTTACAATATTCAAAAACTTCTAATTTAGTCACCATCACTTGCAAATAGGGATATCTCATGGAAATACGATTTCTGATTTATCTTGAAAAGTCAAGATGATCTGGCCACAATGGGCCTGCACTCCTGTGAGGTGGTATCATTGGCTTGGGGGTCTCACCAGTGCCACCCTGCATGGGGGCACCGGGTGACATGATGCTCGATTGAGCTTTCCCTCCAGGCTGGGTAATCAGAGGCCAGGCCCTGTGTGTCTTCCAGGGGATGCTGTCCTGATCCAGGCTGGTGAGGCAAGGAGGGGCTGCGGCTTCCTGAGCTCTCCGAGCTGCTAATGTGCGTGGGGAATGCTAAGCAGCCTCCAGGCTCTGACCAGGTTTGTCTTCTAGGACCCACTTGCCCAATGGGTGCCAGGACACCAGGTCTGGGTCTGGAGAAGAGAATTCTTCTCCAAGGGATGTTGATGGTCCATTCCGGAAATGAAAGCTTCCCACGGTCTGCCCTGCACCAGGCTTTCATCAGTGAGAAATACCCCGAATTTACACCCAAACCTAAAAGGAGAAGCGTAGAAGTGTTCTTGGCCCAATTCTTTTAATTGCAAGTCCTACTAGCAGGACAACTAAGGGATTATCCCTAAACTTTCATTTAAAAGTCTGGGGAGGGAAGGAAGGAGTAAAAACTTTGGCAGTCAGATTTTTCTCACTTTCACATTTATTCTTTACTATTAATGACTTGTTCATCATGCTGTACAACAATTGTGCAAAGATGCATACGTTTGCCACTATAATTTGCCATTAAAATGTAATAATCAGTAAGTATACACGGCGTGCCAGGTGCTAAACAGCAGATGAGGGGCGAGGTGGGTGAAGGTTCCATGCCGTGAGTTTGTGGCTAATGGAACCCCTCATGCTGCTGCTATCCTTCCTGGGCCCAGCAGTTGGATCCTGCAGGGGTGCCCCACTCTCTCGGGGACCTCAGAAATGTCCTCTATGGTTAGGGACGGCTAAGGAGGGTGTATCTGCAGGATTCCCAGGCACTGGGAGGTGTATAGAGGTCACAGGACCCATACAACCACCCCAGACCTTGTCAGAGTGCTCCAGTCTGGCATCCGCAGAAGGCCAGGGAGGGTCAAGGGGCAGTGCTGAGCCACTGAACACAGCCACAGAGTTGGAGCTGCCAGGCAGAAGGTGCACGGCTCAGCAGAGGAGACCCCTTGAGGCAGCAATGCTGGGGCCGGAGGGTCAAGGCTGAGGAGAAGGCCACCGCAATGCCCTGTGTGGCCCTCATGAGCTGAGGGACCATGGGAAGGTGGCCTAGCCACTCTGAGCCTCAGTTTCCCCGGGAGATAAAAACAGAGACAGTATCTGCAAACTCAACAGGGCATTATGGTGAAGAAATGAGAGGACTCAGGAACATGTTAGCTGTCACAGCCTTAGCCACTGCCAACTCCAGCCAGGCAGCTGGTCAACATTGCCGAGCACCAGCCAGGTGACAGGAGGACAGAGGGCTCGGGGGAAACCAAATCCATCCCCCCAAACAAAAGAAAAACACAAACAAAAATAGGCACCAGAGCCGCCGGACGTGTACAAAGACTGTGTACGTTCTGCCTGTGGACAGAGCCCAGGAAGAGCACCCTGGCTCCTGTGCTCCACGCCTGCAGCTCATCTGGAAGGTTCCCTGTCTATGGCAGCCAGGTACCCAGGCCAGCCTGCAAAGGCCCAGTAACAGAACTTGTGTCTAAGATAGAACTTCATAGCTTTGTGCTGCCAAGCCCACCTGGAGCCCCCTTTAAGCCTTCTTTTGTTTGTTTGTTTGTTTGTTTTGAGACAGGATCTCATTCTGTTACTCAGGCTGGAGTGCTGTGGTGCCAGCATAGCTCACTGCAGCCTCAAACTCCTGGGCACAAGCGATCCTCCCACCTCAGCCTTCTGAGTAGCAGGGACTGCAGGTGCATGCCACCCTGCAAAGCTAATTTTATTTATTTTATTTTTTGTAGAGACGCGGTCTCACTATGTTGCTCAGGTTGGTCTCGAACTCCTGGGCTCAAGTGATCCTCTGCCTTGGCCTCCCAAAGTGCCGGGATTACAGGCATGAGCCACTGCGCCCCAACCCGTTTAAGCCCTTCTGAGCTTTAAACCTCATCTGCCTCCACTCTGCGCCCAGCAGTGGGGGAAGGTAGGGAGGGGAAGGTAGAAACATGTAAAGGAGACAGGGTCATCGGAGCCAGCTCTGGGTGTGAGCTCACCATCTTCCACAAGGCCGTTCGTGGATCCGGCCTGGCGAACTGACCACGGTTCTCCACAGAGTAGGGGCAGGTAAGGGGCTGGGATGAGGCTCTGACCTCTGCAGCGTGAGGATGCCAGGGAGGAGGGCAGGCGGGGGGGGCGCCCCTTCCTCTGGTTATCTGTAGTCCTGGATGCCTCGTGTAAGTGAGAACACAATCGGTCCCAGGAGGACTGTCTCTAGAGGAGGCACCAGGGGCCCGGTGGAGGCAGGAGAGGCCGAGGGGAGGCAGGTAGGGAGCAGGCAGGGCTGAGCGGCGCTGCAGCAACAGGCAGGGTCAGGGAGACGCCAAGACTCCCAGTCCCACAACAAGGTACCACAGACCATATAGCTCATAAACAATAATTTATTTCTTGCAATTCTTTTTCTTTTCTTTTTTTTTTTTTTTATTGAGACAGAGTCTCAGTCTGCTGCCCAGGCTAGAGTGCAGTGGGGCGATCTTGGCTCACTGCAACCTCCACCTCCCGGGCTCAAGCAATTCTTCCACCTCAGCCTCCTGAGTAGCTGGGATTCCAGGCGCACACCACCATGGCCAGCTAATTTTTGTATTTTATTTTAGAAGAGACAGGGTTTCACCATGTTGGCCAGGCTGGTCTCAAATTCCTGACCTCAAGTGATCCGCCGGCCTTGGCCTCCCAAAATGCTGGGATTACAGGCGTGAGCCACCGCACCCAGCCAGTGTGAGCCAATTAAACCTCTTTTCTTTATAAATGATCCAGTCTCAGGTAGGTCTTTATAGTAATGTGAGAACAGACTAATACACTAAGAGTCCCTTTGTAACCTTGGAACCCACCTCTGGTTCTACAACCTGCCCTACAGGAAGCTCACTACAGCAGGCATGTTTCCCCTTTGCTTCACACACCACAATGGCAGCTTATCACAGTAGCTGCTCAGCAGTGTGGCTAGGGGCCAGTTGCTGGCTGTGCGCTCTGCTTTATACACACCACTGCTATTCCTTACAGCAGCCCTGAAAGAGAGGTGCTATGATTCCGAACCAGGCTCAGAGAGGTCCAGCTACTTACCCAAGGTCACACAGCTAGTAGGGGGCAGCCAAGATCCAACCCCAGCCAGCCCTCCTCCAAAGCCTGGGCCCTTTCCACCACATCTTACTGGCTCTGCAGAGTGGCAGGAAGAGACAGGTAAATGCATCTCATATCCATTTCTTAAGTAAGGCATAATAACAATAAAATGATTAAAGCAACAGCTGGGGGAAACGCTTCAGTGGCCAAGAACAGACCAGCCAGGTGCAGGGAGAGATGACCAATGACAAGCGCTCTAGCAGTTTTTGTGCTAATAGTGAGATGGACTGACTTTGGAAATGGAAAAGGAAGACAGTGAGAGAGGAAAGGGCCAAAGCAGACAGAAAAATGAAAGATGCTGGCTGGGCATGGTGGCTCATGCCTGTAATCCCAGCACTTTGGGAGGCTGAGGCGGGTGGATCACCTGAGGTCAGGAGTTTGAGACCAGCCTGGCCAACAGAGTGAAACCCCCGTCTCTACTAATAATACAAAAATTAGTCGGGCATGGTGGTGCGCACCTGTAGTCTTGCTGCTCGGGAGGCCGAGACATGAGAATCGCTTGAACCCGGGAGGCGGAGGTTGCAGTGAACTGAGATCGTGCCACTGCACTCCAGCCTGGGTGACAGCAAGGCTCTGTCTTAAAAAAAAAGAAAAAAAAAAAAAGACGCTGGAATCCTCCAGGATCCACAGAGTTCACTTTACGGATGGACCAAAGGGGCTGGCAGTTCTACAGCCCCTTCCCATACAGCATTTGTCATTGGGAACTGTTCCCTCACCCTGGGCAAGAAAAACCTTATTAACTTCACTGATACTTTCCAGCAACAAATGTCGCTTCTGTTATTTAGCATACTGAGGGAAGAGCAAATGGTCCTCTCATGGGCATCAGGAATGCCCATGCCCCCTCCAGGAATTAGTGGATATTCTCTAGGAAAATTTGCATTAGTTTTTAAGCAGGGGCAAAGATAATTCGAATTCAGCCTGGCTGCTTCAGTGGAAGGAAATTTACCTGGACTCAGAGCCTTCTTTAAGAGATGCATGTTTGCTGTTTTTGCTTTTGTTTTGATTTATTTTTCTCCTTGAGGGCAAGTCCTAGTCATCAGCATGAGACAACCCTAGCTCTTATGAGAGGTGACCGACCACTCGACCTTAGCGTTGGTTACTCAGCACAGGCAGATGCGAACCCTGCAAGGCAGAGCTCGCACTCTGCAAAGCAGAATGGTTTATCAAAGACACTGAAGCAAAGACACTGAAGGAGGAGTTGGGCAGGAGGCTGCAGGGAAAGAGTTCTTCTCACTACAGAAGAAAGTGGGAATGTTCTGGAAAGCTGCTGCTGAGGGGACGCATGTGTAAAACAGATCACGTGTTCCCATGACCGAAGTCTGTCATCTGACAGGCCAAGTCTTCATTTCTTGGGATCTCAAATATCGATGCTTCCTGGCCAGACCTCTCCCATGAGATGGCACCTCTGGCCGGGTGAGTCTGAGGGCCCATCTCCAGGTGGCCCAGACACTGGAGGGAGGTGATGTGGGGCACAGAAGGGGATCTGCAGGGGAAGGACACCTGTGCTAGTCCAGCTTTGCCATGAACCTGCTGTGTGACTCTGGGGAGGTTAACTGTACCTCTCTGGGCTTAGTTACCACATTTCTCAAGTGGCTCTGGCATCTGTTAAAATGCCAAACTCGTGGTCCTTAACACCTTGTGATGCTGGCACCTCTCTGCAGACTTTTCTCAATGTAACCTCAGAAGTTGGGGAGGACTGGGGAGAAGGGAGGTCCTGCGGGGAGGAGAAAAGGGAAAGTGGGCAACTCCACTGAAGGCTGTCACACATTTGGGGGCTGTTCCCGACAGTTTTACCTTCCTCTTTGGGCCCCTCCTTTCTCTTCCCTCTCAGTCCCCTTGTCAGATGGTTGATGGGGATCACTGGGAGTTGGGGTGACTGTCAGGAAGGCAGAGAGGGGGTTTGGGCAGCAGGTGGGAAGTGGGGCCAGGTGGCCTCTCGGGGTTCTCCCACCTCACAGTTCTGGGGAGTTCAGGGTTCTGCAAGCAGAGTGATCCTTAATTAATAAACAGCGGGGCAGGCTCGGGCTCCACGTCAGGAAAACTGCAGTCAGCCACGCTGGGCCACCCGCCCTCTGCAGAGCACACGCAACAGCGCAGTCATTAAAGCTGAACTGAGCCCTCTCAGGACCAGTGGGAACATCTCTGAACACTGAAGTTCTGCATCTGAAAGAGAAACCTAGGAATGCCTTGCTGCTTCTCTGGGTGTAGAGACGGCCCCCAAAGAGCAGGGCCCTGGGGCTGCGCTCTCAGTCCCTCCGGGAATGTGGGGATGAGCTGAAAAGCGGGAATTCTGGAGGAACCGGAGACCACCATGGTGGGCTGACTGGGACAGGACTGTGGGCAGGGTGTGAATCCGCCCACGGCAGTTACTCCAGGGGAGACCTCCCTTTCAAACCAGCAGTGCCACCTGGCCCAGAGTGGCTGGGAGGATGAAATGTGGTCATCTGGGTGAAAGCACTAAGAGAAAAGAGAGTGTTCTGGTTGTTTTTGATATAAAAGGATTTGGCATCAAGATCGTCAAATGACATCAGTCAGCCTCACCTCAGGGAACATGTCCACCGAGGTCTCATTGGAAATGCAGGGAACAGGGTGGCTCATGGGCTAGTCTGGGTTGTCACAGACTATGACAAGGAGTAGATACTTCAGCACACTAGCCCACCTCCCTTCTCCTCCTACCCACCCCCTCTGACTCCAGGAGAGCCCTCTAAAGTGCTGTGTTCAGTTACATGCCTTATATATGCTGAACACACACACACTCACACATGCTCACAGACACAATGCACACACACGCTCACATGCCACACACATGCACCACACACACAACACACATGCTCACACACACCACACACAGACACATCACACACACATGCTCACACACCACACACATATCACAACACACCACACATGCTCAAACATACACACTCACACATGCTTACACACCACACACACATCACATGCCCACACACATGCTCATGCACACACCATACACAACTCACACACCACACACACCTCACGTCACACATACACACCACATACTTCACACACACACTACACACACAGACTCACACACGCTCACACAGCACACACCCCCACACCACACACATACACACTCATGCTTACACACCACACACACTCACCCCCATCCCCCCACACTTTGCGCGCACACACACGCACTCCAGTCTCTAACATGACAGGGTTAGGCCAGATCAGAGCTTTTGTGACCAGGGACATTCGTCATGCCTGCCAGCATCACTTGAGGAGCCTTTTAAAAGAACCCTTCTTCCGGATATTTTCATCCTTTCCAAGTGTGCTGATGCCTGAGCGTATACATGCATTTAATCTTTTTTAAAAAGCAATTGGCTGGGCAGGGTGACTCACGTTTTAATCTCAGCCCTTTGGGAGGCTGAGGCAGGAGGATTGCTTGAGTCCAGGAGCTTGAGACCAGCCTGGGCAACATAGAAAAACTCCATCTTGATTAAAAAAAATAGCTGGGCACGGTGGTATGCGTGCCTATAGTCCCAGCTACTCAGGAGGCTGAGGTGGGAGGATTGCTTGAGCCTGGGAGGTTCAGGCTGCAGTGAACCATGATTGTACCACTGCACTCCTGCCTGGGCAACAGAGAGAGACCCTGTCTCAAAAAAAAAAAAAAAGGTAAAAAGTAACATTTAAGCATGGTAATACAAAATTAATAGTAGAGAAATGGAAATGACATCTCCCTTCACCCAGTTTCTCCCCACCAGAGGCCACCACTGAAACTGCATTCTCATTCTTCCTTCCAGAGTTAGGCTATGTCTGTGTGGACTCTGTTGCATGCGCTGGCCTTCCTTGCACGCAGAGGACAGTACACAGTACCTGCCTTGTTCCTCACTGCTTTTCTCACTGACCCACAGGATCTGAGGGGCACCCGCAGCAGTGCAGACGGACCGCTCCATTCCGTCAGAGGCCACACTTATTTCACCAGTTCCATCCTGATGTTTTCCAGACTTCTACATAACAGATGATTCACCAGTGTGTCCCCCCATGGATGCCTCTGCTCACATAGAAAGGGTTAATTCTTGGAAGCTGAGGTGCTGTCAAAGGGCATCTGACAGATCAGGCGCCCTCTGCTCCAGGGGTGTGGTCTTCCTCTCCGACCCATGATGCGTGGCAGCCTGGCTGCCCACACCCTGGCTGCCCACACCCTCAGATCCCTGAGCAGCAGCGTCTCGCTGTGGTTTTATCAGCAGTCTTTTTAAATTAAATTTTGTTTTTCTGTCACTTGCCTGGATGGAATCAGCAGTCTTTTTATTATGAGGGAGATCAAGCACCTTTTCATGTTAAATCCCTCCTCCTTTTTTTATCCTTTTCCTGTGAGCTACCTGTTTTTCTCTTTTATCAGGCCTGGATATTTTGGGGCAATGCTGGGCTGTCCTAGTACTCCCTGCCTGTTCCAGTTGATCCAGGCTCCTTAAAGCTCCAACAGTGTGGATTCTGTGAGCATCATGAAAGCCCAAGGGTGGTGGTCTCTCCAGGTGTCAGAGAGCCAATGGTGAGTGAGAGAACCCCCCGGCCAGGGCAGCAGAGAAGCCTCATGCCCACCAGTGCCAATAGCCTGGCATGGGAGCAGCCCTCTTTGTACAGGAAAATGGGCCACATTTGTCTTTAACATTTGCTTCTTGTCCAAAGCATTTTAGAGTGTGATGGACATGAAATGATGGAGACAGTGTGTATCTACTTCCCTTGAAAGCTCCTCCAGCGAATCCAGAGCCAGCATCTTCCTGTAGCATCTGCCCCTCCCTCCCTTTCAGGCCTGTGGTAACATCTCCTCCTGCAGAACCTGGGCCCTGCTATCCTGCTATCAAAGGGTGGAGAGCCTGATGGTCTGTGAAATTCCCAGGGAAGGTTCAGGTATCAGAAATGCACTGAAGAACCACCTGAGCTCACTCTGTTAATGGCGATATTTCACGTGATTTATCTGGAAGGGTTGGTAACTGATATGGTAACAAATCTCATCTTGAATTCCCACATGTTGTGGGAGGGATCTGGTGGGAAGTAACTGAATCATGGGGGCAGGTCTTTTCTGTGCTGTTCTCTTGATAGTGAATAAGTCTAACGAGATCTGATGGTTTTAAAAAGAGGAGTTCCCCTGCACAAGCTCTCTCTCCCTGTCTGTCTGCTGCCATCCATGTAAGATGTGGCTTGCTCCTCCTTGCCTTCTGCCATGATTGTGAGGCTTCCCCAGCCACTTGGAACTGTAAGTCCAATTAAACCTCTTTCTTTTGTAAATTCCCCAGTCTCGGGTATGTCTTTATCAGCAGCGTGAAAACGGACTAATACAGAAACTTAGCCTGGAGGTCCTGATTAACAGCTAACGCCTCCACCCTTACACATAGCTTCTGTTTTGTAGTAAGTGCTCAAATGACTGTTGAAAGAAGAAATCACGAACAACTGTCTGACTGCCCTCTCTTTTGTCTAGAGGTAGTACAGTTCAAATTGGTTCGGTGGTACTGTGTTTACAAAGTCCACTTTCTGACAGCTCCAACCAGCTTTCTTGCAAATTTCAAAAGCCTCTTTCTTTGGGCCTGGGAACTAGGTTGGCCAAATAAAATACAGGAGACCCAGTTAAATTTGAATTTCAGGTGAACAACAAGTAATATTTTTGGTGTGTGTCACAAACATTGCATGGGACATACTTACTGTTTTTGATTCCTGTGGCTGCTGTAGGAAATGACCATAAACTTGGTGGCTTAAAACAACAGATATTCATTCCCTCACACTTCTGAAGGCCAAAGTCCAAAATCAGGATCACTAGGTTGAAGCTAAGGTGTCAGCAGGGCCACACTCCCTCTGGAGCTCCAAGAGAGAATTGGTTCCTGGACTTTTCTGGCTGCTGGTAGCTGCCAGCAGTCCTTGGCTTGTGGCCACCTCACTCCAATCTCTGCCTCCATCACCACATTGTCTTCTCTTCTGTGTTTTCCATCTCTCTCTTCCTTCCTCTTACAAGGATGAGTGTGACTGCATTTAGGACCTACCTAGATAATACAGGATAATCCCCCCATCTCAAAATCCTTAATTTAACCACATCTACAAAGACCCCTTTTCCAAATAAGATCACATTTACAGGTTCTGGAGATTAGGACCTGATATCTTTGAGGGACATTATGCAGCCTATGCCAATTATTTGTTGTTATCTGAAATTCTAATTTTCACAGATGCCCTGTGTTTTAATTTGCTAATTCTGACAGCCCTACCTGGGACCACACCTTATTAGGAGACAGCAAGGATTTAAGTGATTTTCCTTCAACTGGCACCACCCTTCCTTGTGTGGTGGGGAGAGGCCCAGTCCACAGACCCAGCCCTGTTCATCAAGATCTTTTATCTTTGAAGTGGGGCTTATAGTTTACAGTGGCATTCCAGTTTTCAGGAGAATCTAAGGCATTTGGCTTAACTTTTGAACAGATCATGGCAAACAGTACATGTATTCCCACTTTTAGCATTCAAAACTCCAAATACAGACCTGTTCCCCTCCACCCTCCAGGAAGGTGGAAAGATGAACAAATAAATATATAAGTTATGTATCTGTTCCCCTTTCTGTTCTCAAGTCTCTTTAAGAAAGCCTTTTTTTTTGTTGTTTGTTTGTTTTTTTGAGAGCAGGTCTCGTTCTGACGCCCAGGCTGCAGTGCAGTGGTGCCATCATGGCTCGCTGCAGCCTCAATTTCCTGGGCTCAAGTGATCCTCCTGCCTCAGCCTCCTGAGTAGCTGGGACTACAAGCGCACACCGCCATGCCCAGCTAATTTTTAAAAAATTTTTTGTAGAGACAGGGTCTCCCTATGTTGCCCAGGCTGGTCTCGGACTCCTGGCCTCAAGTGATCCTCCCATCTTGGCCTCCTAAAGTGCTGGGATTCCAGGCGTGAGCCACTGCACCTGGCCCTGTTTTTGTCATTTGAGACAGGTTCTCGCTATATCGCCCAGGCTAGTTTCAAACTCCTGGGCTCAAGAGATCCTCCTGCCTCAGATTCCCCAGCAGCTGGGACTACAGGCGCAGCCACTCACCAGTGTGGCCTTAGGGTTTTTGTAGTCAATATTGAACTCACCCACTCATCCATTTATTCACTCGTGAATCAATTACTGAGTGCTTATTCTGTGCCATGCGCTATGCCCGGCACAGAAGACACAAAGATGAATAAAGCATCTCCCTGCGATGGGCGAGTGAGGGAGGCTGGATCCCTGGGGAAGCCCAAAGAGTGGAATTAGACAACATTGTGGAAATTAAACACAAATAACGGGCACTAGTGATGTGAAGGCAGCATGATTCCATTTGATGTGAAACTAGAAGGATAGAAACTCATTTACCAATTATCTTTAAATTCTAACAACTATTTTTAGCCTTTAGATGTGGAAAAAATAACTTGTATTACAGGATGTGTTACCTAACTGTCTGCTTTAACATGATGGTGGTTTTCCTCCTTCTGTCTTCTAGATCCCTGGAAATGTGGGTGCATATGAGGCTCCCTCTGCCTCCTCCCACAGCCATATGAGCTGCCGCCTCCTAGGAGAACCTGGCAGGGCTGGCAGCACCCCCAGCTCCCCAGTTCAGCCCAGAAGGGGGCTGCCTGGACTCCAAGATTTCTCCCTTCACCCGCGGCTGCCTCCTGCCCCCATGACTACAGTGTGGTGAGCACTTTTTGGTACAAATTATGCCTCACTGCAAATACATCTTAGTTTTTTTTTTTTTTTTTTTTTAAGGAAAAAGCCATCTGTTGATTTATTTATCATATGGCACAAATTCTCAAGCTGAAATTCCAGGTCTCTGCCCATGAAAAACAAAACAAAAGCAAAAACACTTTTTTTTTGTCTTTGGGGGAGAAAAGCAGTGAGGCACTGGCAGTTTAATAAAGGGTAGGACCCCTAGGCTAAAGCAGTGAATGGGAAAGCTAGGGGGAAGACCATGCCCCAGGGAGCAGAAGCCCAGGCATAAGAAGCACAAATCCTGGGTTCGAATCCCCTACCGGCCTCAAATTAGCCACGGGACTCCAGGTGCCACTTGACTTCCCTGAATCCCTCTGAACCTCCCTGAATCTCAACGTCCTAATCTGTAGAAGAGGGGAAGGAATTTTTCACTCACAGGCTCATGTTAAGAATCAAATGAGATCATATAAACTGTAAAGTACTATCCACTTGTTAGTAATTTGGGGAGTGGGGGGACCTCCCAGCACCCTGAAATCACATCGTGTGGGCTACCCAAGTGTGAGGACACCCCGTGCCTGTGTGTTTCCAGTGCCCCCATATCACTCTCCTGTCTCAAACACCTAGAGGTTGACATCCAAATAACAATATTAAAGTGACTCAGATTTATTATTTTTTTGAAATGGAGTCTCACTCACTCTGTCGCCCAGGCTGGAGTGCAGTGGCGCGATCTCAGCTCACTGCAACCACTGCCTCCCAGGTTCAAGTGATTCTCGTGCCTCAGCCTCCCAAATAGCTGAGATTACACGTAGTGCTCCACCAGGCATGGCTTTTTTTTTTTTTTTTGAGACAGAGTCTTGCTCTGTCAACCAGGCTGGAGTGCAGTGGCACCATCTCAGCTCACTGCAACCACCTCCTGGATTCAAGCGATTCTCTCCTGTCTCAGCCTCCCTAGTAGCCAGGATTATAGGCACATGCCATCATGCTTGGCTAATTTTTATGTTTTTAGTAGACACGGGGTTTCACCCTGTTGGCCAGGCTGGTCTCAAACTCCTGACCTCAGGTGACCACCTGCCTCAGCCTCCCAAACTGTTGGGATTACAGGCATGAGCCACCACACCCAGCCTAATTATTTGTATTTTTAGTAGAGACAGGGTTTTGCTATGTTGCCCAGGCTGGTCTTGAACTTCTGGCTTCAAATGATCTGCCCACCTCAGCCTCCCAAAGTGCTGGGATTATAGGAGTGAGCCATCACGCCCAGCTGACTTCGATTTGTTATTGGGACTGACCTTCTAATTAGTCCAGATTGGATCAATATTTGTGTATCCAGAAAGCCAGGTAGTCCCAAGTGTTCTCTGCACATTGTGGGCCCAGTAGGAGGCAGGGCTTATCCCACTGGAAGGTGGCAGTCTTAGGAGCCTTAGTAGTGGAGTCCCCGTGACATGGGGTCCAGGTGTCGATCTCTCTGTTGCCATTGGGCAGCCCAGGGCACACTGGTTGCATCTGTCCCCCGGGCACAGGGTGTTCGTGGTCTAAGGCTATGACCAGTGTGCCCTGGGCTGCCCAATGGCGACAGAGAGATGCCCTCTGCCCAGCTCCTAATTTTGCACTCAGGGCTGTGTGCCAAGGTGCCCGCACTCTGCAGCTCCCGCTGGGATCCATGGGGGCCTATGCAGGCCATGCTCGGGGCCAGGACTGATGATACTGTCTCCAGGTGGCTCCACCCTTCAGTTTTGGATGCTTCTAAAACTTTTCTTGAAGAATGACTCAGTACTCACCCTTAATACAATTTATAGGCTGAAATGATCCCTCTGCCTGCTCCACCTGCTCCAAACCCTGATAAAACAGAAACTAGGGTGGGATATCACATATGGTATCTTCACTTTGTAGCTGGTGGATTTTTTTAAATGTGGAGGAGAACGTGGGAGGCAAGACCAGAACTGAGAAATGACTCTTGCTTTTAGTTAGAGGGAGGGTGGCTGTGGGAAGTGTATTTCAACGCCATGAAAGTACCCTGTGAGGTTGCAAATTCTAAGTAATTCGATATGCATAACCCCAGCCTCAGCTGTGTGAGCTCCTCCCTTCTCTGTTCCCCATCACTCCCCCTTTTCCTGGTCCCAGAGTGTGAACCACATTGGTGTAGACATGGGGAAAGTAAAGTGGATTTTTGAGGAAGGGGGATCAGGTAGTGTAGCCCAACAGACTAGAAAATACAGACTCAGTCTCCTCACCTCCCCTCTCACTGTGACCCTTTTTCTTAACAGTAGAGGGCTGACTTTGTCTGCCTTGCTCAGGGAAACCGCCCCACTTTTAATTAAATTTCTCCCTGTAGATGCTGTCTGGGAAGCTGAATGTCATTTTCCCTGGGCTTACCTGCCAGGCTCCTCTCATCCACATCTTCCAGCCTCTAGCCACATGGACCCCTCCGGAAAGCATGTGTGTGTGTGGGGTATGTGTGAACATTTTTCATGCTTGATGTGAGCCGGAAGAAAAATGAGCTTCTCTATTTGATAAGTGTGGACCTGCCCACAGCACTAAATTTGGTTCTGCCGTCACCGGCGCCATGAAGCAGCAGCCTGGTTTAGAGGCTTGCCTTTGGTTTCAAATAATTTCTCCAGGCTCATGTTACATATGACCCATTCACAGAGGCTGGAGGGCATGGCTTCTCCAGTCCTTAGCACTAAAGACGTGTCTTTTGGCTCCTGCACGACTAGCACAGGCAGTAGAACCAGATGGGGGATGCTCTGAGGTTGCAGAGGCAGGAAGGCAAGCGGGAGAGAGCTTGGGCCTGGACAGAGGGATGAGCTGGCTCCCTCCCCAGCTGTGAAATCTCTGAGTCTCAGTTTGCTTCTCTGCAAAATGAGGATAATAATCCCCACCTCGGGACTGAGGATTAACGAGGCAATGGTTTTAGCAGAATAATCCACTGCTGCTATTATTATCAGCATCTTCGTATAGCAAAACTCATTTGGACCAATGGGGAGTGCGTTAAGTTGGTCTGAAGTAGGGCAAAGGAACGATTATAGAATGTTTCAAAGGAAATGTGTTTTTTATTATTTCCATGTATATAGAGTACTGGAACTGAGTGCTAGGAGGTGGAGAACTGACTTGATTTAAATAAGGAGAGCTCATTTGACATTGGCCTGTTTGATTTCTCAACATCCAACTGTGTTAATAAAGAGGGTTTTGAGCTATCTATGTGCCCAGCTCTGTGACTGGAGAAGGAAAGTCACATAAGACACAGTCCTTGCCCTCACAGGACGTGCAACCTGTGGGCAGATGAGTCCTACACAGGAAGCGGGGGCAAGAAGGAAACTGTGAGGCACTGGGGAGCACGGCGCTGCCACAGGTGAGAGGAAACGCGTAGCCTCTGGACCTTGAGTGCCAAGGCTGGGGAAAGCTTCGGGGAAGATGGACACTGAGGAAGGTCAGGTCAATTTAAATAGGGGGTGGGGCAGGGAGAGAGGGGCAAGGCTGCCATGGGTGAGCAAGGGGCAGAAAGAGCACGGCATCTATGAAGGAGCCACAGGGCAGGCTGGCAGGAGGCGGGACTGGGCAGGGAGGTGAGCCAAGGTGTGGGGACCCGGGCAGGCAGCTCGAGGCCAGCTTGGCTTAGCAGGCGATGCCCATGGCAGGACCACACTTGGAGAGGGCCAGGGCAGGTGACGGGGTTGCTCTGGGAGGAATTTGGCAATGGCATGCAAAACGGATTGGATATGAATTTTGGAATTGAAACAGGGAACAACTCATTATTGTTTCCATAAGGATCCGAGGGTGAGATGATAAGGTCTAAAATCATTTTATCGCTGGTGAGAGTGTGACTGGAAACAGAGGGGCAAACTGAGGCAATGCCTGGAAGAAACTGGCGGGTCTGTTCCAGGATGTGGAGGGAGAAGAGCTTAAGGCTCCATGGCTTGCCACATTCGGGACTGGAAGATGGCAAATTCCAGTGACCGAAGTGCACAGACCAGGTGGTAATGGGGGCAGCATTTTACTAAAATGCAAGGCTATGGGGCCACTGGACACCCAGGACTGGCACTCAAACCTGGCCACGCTGGAGAAGAGATGGGCCATTGTCAGGGTGGGGGTTATGCATACACCCTGAAATACCTCCCACCATCCACGCTCCGGAGAAACCCTCCATTTACAGGGTGAAGGCAAACTGACTTTAGCCCCGCTCTGGCTCAATTCAAATGCCAGGTGCAAGCAGTTCAATTAACGCGCCTGCCCCGTGCCTTTGACACCAAACAGATGTCAGAATATTACACCATCCAAGTCAATGCCTGGCTTTAATTTAATCACTCATGCCTTAATCGATTCCTGTCACATGCTAAACACTGTGAGTGGTGGGGAGAGGCTGCTCCTAGGCATAATTAGAATATGAGATTCTGTACCAAGTCCCTGTCTGGTTAGGAAAAAACTGAAAACTCCAGAAAAAACAGAAAAGCTCCCAGGAAATTCCATCCAAGGGTCGTGACTTGAGCCCAGAAGGAAGTCCCAGCCCTTCCCCAGAGAAGTCAGCACTGGCAGGGGCTGGAAATCACTTGAGGTCATGCTCAAGGCACCCCCACCCACTGTCTTGCACCCTGGTTTGGGGCTCCTTCCTTCCAAAGAAGGGGACAGACAAGATCAGTGCAGGCTGGGCTGTGGCCACCCATGCATCCCTCCTGGGCACGGACCCTGCTGGCTCAGCCCTCACCCCTAGGAACCAGCTGCACCGTCTGACTGACGCTAAGGGAGCCAGGTGGCAGCAGCTATACTATTTCAGGTCAGGCTAAAGTCAGCCCACCAAAGACTTCAGATCAGCACCTGACTGCGGCTCCTGGGAGGCATCCCCCAGCCCTGCAGCACTTCTGAGAAGCTCAAAGGAATTCTCTTAAGTTGTTTTATTTCAGTTCTATGACTATGCGAACAGAAGAGAGACCACATTATCATCCATTCTGAGGGGGAAGACAGTATAATCTCCATTTCTCAGATGGAAATATGGAGGCATGGGAAATCTTAATCTTGGCCAAAAATCTCTTAGTTGACAAATGAATTCAGGGCTTGGCAACCCTAAGCAGCCAGTGATAACAGGGGCCCACAAATGAGGGAGTAGCTTGCTTCTGGAATTCAGTCTTACTGGTAACAAACGATAAGATCTTTTTAAAAGTCTTTTTATTTTTATTTTTTTTAACTTGGCCCAGATTGTCAACTTATGAATCCTACTGATTAAAAATTTTTTCTTGCATTTCTCATCAGCCATCGAACATTGGTTCATGATTATTTATAGCACTTAATGACATTGAAAGGGATTTATTTCAATTTATTCAGTCTTTATTAACACTCCACAGGGAACAGAGTGCAGCCGCCACTGGCCTTTTCTCAGGCACAGTTGAGATGCTAAGAAGGGAGGAACTTCACCACTAAAGGAAGAACTGAACCCGGTGGAGAGAAGCCCAGGAGGCAAGTTATCCCTATAGGATTATCCAGGAAAAATATTAAATAGGTTTTAATAAGGTTCAGGTGAGTTTATGAATGATCACTTCATTATTCAAGCGGATTTAGGGATGTTCTGCAAAATCCTCCGTTTCTAAGCTGGCCTCATGGGGACCAGCAGCAGAGGCAGAGGCTGAGCCGCTGCACTGGGGATTGGGGCCAGCGTGGAATTTCCCCTGCTCATAGGGAAAAGACAAGACAGAAAACGGATGGTGGGAGGGCTGATGACTCTTCCAAATGGCTATTCCTGATGTTTCCTGGCAATGAGCAGCTATGAAAGGGACAGGTTCACATGCGACTACACCATGACTTTTGCTGTGCCCCAGTGTAACAGGAGGTTATAGACAACAGTTTTATTTGCATATATAACCTTTGCTTGGCTTATTAACATATTGCTGATTTAAATTCTGATACATTGTCAAAGTAGAAAGCTGTTCGGGTTTTTGGCAAGCCCAGTATAAAAAATGCAGGCATGCAACAAATAGGTAGTGAATATTCACATTTAAATACATGTAAATATAAATAGAATTAAAAAAAAAAAGTTTAGAGACAGGGCCTTGCTGTGTTACCCAGGCTGGAGTGCTATGGGACAATCATAGCTCACTGTAGCCTTGAACTCCTGGGCTCAAGCGATCCTCCTGCTTCGGCCTCCCAAGTAGCTAGGGCTACAGACACATGCCATCATGCCCAGCTAATTTTTACAGTTTCCTTTTGTAGAGACAGGATCTTGTTTTGTTGCCCAGGCTAGTCTCAGACTCCTGGCTTCAAGTGATCCTCCCACAGTGCTGGGATTACAAGTGTGAGCCACCGAGCCTGGCCTCATTTATATATATATATGTGTATATATATATAATATATATAAAATATATTTAATATATATAATATATATAATATATATATAATATATAATATATAATATATGTTTTTATATATATTATATATTATACATATTATATATATAAAAATATATATAATATATAATATATAATATATATTATAATATATAATATATATAATATATATAATATATTAGATATATAATATATACAATATATTATATATATAAATATATATAATATATAACATATATAATATATACATATATAATATATAATATATAATATATATAAATATATATAATATATAAATATATAATATATAAATATATAATATATAATCTATAATATATATAAATATATAATATATAAATATATAATATATAATATATATAAATATATAATATATAATATATAATATATAAAATATATAAATATATAATATATATAAATATATAATATATAATATATAATATATAAATATATATAATATATAAATATATAAATATATAATTAATATATATAATATATAATATATAAAAATATATAATATATAATATATTTATATATTATATTATATAAATATATATATTATATTTTAATATATATTATATATATAAAAAAATATATATATAAAACCAAAGAGATTCCTTTTTTTTTTTTTTTTGAGAAGAAGTCTAGCTCTGTCGCCCAGGCTAGAGTGCAGTGGTGCGATCTCGGCTCACTGCAACCTCCACCTCCCGGGTTCACGCCATTCCCCTGCCTCAGCCTCTCGAGTAGCTGGGACTACAGGCGCCCGCCACCACGCCCGGCTAATTTTTTGTATTTTTAGTAGAGACGGGGTTTCACAAAGCCAGGATGGTCTCAATCTCCTAACCTCATGATCTGCCCGCCTCGGCCTCCCAAAGTGCTGGGATTACAGGCGTGAGCCACCGCGCCCAGACTGCCTGATGTTGCCCTGATTAATTACCCAAGAAGTCTCTTTTTGGGGGACAGGCCATGGGAGGGGGATGAGGCAAGACAATAGTTTGGTGCCACTGTTCAATTAAGAACAACTGGAAACAGGTACCACTGAAATGACCTGCAAATCAATGGCAGAACTGGATCCGATCCAGGACAACTCTGTTGACACATGATTTAGAACGCTGGCTCCAATTCAGGAGGAGGAGCTGTCCTTTACGCTGGGGGAGGAGCACCGTCCCACGGTTCCATGAATTTGTCCTTCCCAGCACTTCGTTCTTGGCATTCTGTGGCGTCTGTAGAGCACATGACAAGCAATTACAGAGCCAGGGGTCTTCTAATATCCTTGCTATCCCAGGGAGGAGGACACAAGCATGAAAGTGCATCCCTGGACTTTTTGTGGTGAAACTGCAGACTTAGATCCCAAGATAACATCACCAGCCTTCTCAGTAAAACAGAAAACTGGGCCATAGGCTGGAAGGAAAACCAGCAGCTGGGACTAGAGATAATTATGTCCCTCTTCTCTTTGATGCCTGGATTTAGCAGTAGGGTGGACGGGGCCAAAGGAGAGGAATGAATGAAACATTATTATCAATTGCTTCAGATTTAATTCTCACTTGCTGATTTAAAACTGTTTTTAGTGTTGGACATTGATCTAAGACTCTTTCCTCAGGGGAGTTAATATAGCAAAGGGAATTTAAACTTATTTTCAGTCTGTTGAGGAGGATTTTACCCTCTTAAGTTGGGATTCTATGTGAATGACTTCAAAGTGCTGTGCTAGTCCTGGCAGACAGACAGAAGATGGGCGGGGAGAACGCCCACCTTTTACTAATTTATAAGTTTCCCCAGTAGGTGTTCTTCTGATACCCTGTAAGAATAAGACATGAAGGTCTGTAAACATGCAAGGCTGGGGTCCACACAGCCTGATCTGCAGTCAGGACTGCCTCTTATCACAGCCAAGCACTTACTAAAGGTCATCTGTGCCCATTCAAAATCTTGTATGTACACCAGACTTGCTATAATAATCACATATCCTAAATAAGGTGCAAGCTGGCCGGGCGCGGTGGCTCACACCTGTAATCCCAGCACTTTGGGAGGCCGAGGTGGGTGGATCACTTGGGTCAGAAGTTCGGGACCAGCCTGGCCAACATGGCGATACCCCATCCCTACAAAAATACAAAAATCAGCCGAGCATTATGGTGTGTACCTGTAGTCCCGGCTACGGCGGAGGCTGAGGCGGAATTGCTTGAACCCAGGAGGTGGAGGTCGCAGTGAGCCAAGATCGCGCCATTGCACTTAAGCCTGGGCGATAGAGCGAGACTCCGTCTCAAAAAAAGATTAAAAAATAAGGTGCAAGCTGATGGAGTAAAAGTGCTGAGGAATAAGCTCTTCAAATCATTCAATGATTTTAAGAAAATTTAGTTGAATGTTTTGGAAAGACTTCATAAAGGTGAGTAATATTTACTATCAAATGGGATGGTAAAGACCATGAAAAAAAAAAAAAAAGTAAAATCCCTGAAGGATTCTGCATTCAGATGACTCCACAATGTAAACCCAAAATCCAAACTGAAATCGGAGGACCCAGACAGTGCATTATTAATGTGGCATAGGCAAAACAGACAAGAAATTTCAACTGGCTGATCCAGACACCAAGAGAAGACCTGAGCCCTGTGTCAAAAGATGGGTGAACAAATTCACATTTATATAGTTTCGGTTAAAGTAAAATCTTGGAAATCTATGTGTATCATTTAAATGATTTTCTGATATAATGACTTTTTAAAACTGATATATTGTTACTCAGTCTTGATTTAAGCGATAAGAAGGCTTCTTAGGCCGAATTTATTAATTCATAAATGACTATACTTATTGGATACATGGAATTCCTAAGATTCAGTACACCACAAGTTTGCTTTATTTAATCCTTTTCTACTCTACTCTCAACCAACCACCCTGAAATCTGTTTGCCAGTTTACCAATGTCAGCACTCTGTTGAATTACTTCATTTGTAAAATCTCTTCTTTACCTCCTTCGCCTTCCCTGACTGCCATTACTTTCTCGATCAGCCCTCACTTTTTATTCAACGAGTAAACTGGAAAGATCTCTGAACCCGATGTACTAAGCCAGGTCACCCTGCCCGGGATGGCTGGCGGGAAGGCAGGTCAGTTTGGGCTGGTGGAGAGCATGCAGTTTATTCCTGGCATGGAGTGGATTTCAGGAAGAAGATGAGGCAGGGACAGCAGATGACAAATCTCCGCTTGCCTGTGGCAAGAGTTCTGTGTGTACATTTAAACATGGGTGTGTGCAATTTTCAGAGGATCCACTTCTGCCCAGTTTGGTGCAGGGGAGCTGGGTAGTTGCCGACTTTTCCTATCTTGATCCCTACTCAGTGTAACAATTTATCTGTACAACTGATTCCATCACCAGGATCTTTAGACCCCTCTGGTCATTCAGCCAATCACAAGCACTCATCCACAGGACACCGCCGATGATGCCATTTACTGAGCAGTTACTATGTGCTTGGCCCTAGTGAGTACCGGGTTAGCTTGTGTGAACCCCATGGCAACCCGTGAGACAGGTACCATCATACTCCAAGTTGTGGATGACAAAAAACTCTCCAAGCAGCTAAACAATATGGCTTAGGTCTCACAGTGAGCAGGGAGCTGGGATTTGTGCCCAGGAGGCCCGATCAGAGCCTACCTCCTTAACCATTAGGCCAAACTGCCTCCACATGCAGAACACTGCCCTGCACTGGGGACCTGGGGGAGGGTAACAGTGTCTGCCCTTGAGCTGCTCCCAAACCTTCCTTGAATAGCCTTGGCACAAAATGCATTTCTTGGGGACTCGCTGACATGGTGTTTGGATTTCTATCGGGTCCCTGATTGGGCTCAGCATGGAGCCTGATGAAATATGAAAAAAGCAAAGAAAATTAAGGGACTATACCTGGAAGTTGTTCGAGTTTGTATTTTGCTGAAGCCCATTCTATCTGCATGCTTACAGAAAGTTTCCTAACTGGAGAACCCAGAAAGCTCAAAACCTGTCTCAAATTCCTCCTCACACTCAGTTGGGAGCCATCTGGGCAGGCAGGGAACCTGGCAGAGGTGGCAGGAGCATGGCACCTGGAGACAGGAAAGGAATTCTTGGACAGCAAACTCTTTGGCAAGGCAACAGGGGCGAGACAGAGGATTCTCAGGTAGCCCCAAGGTACCACAGTATAATGGAATACTTATTGCAAAGCCTGGGCCCCAGGAAGTGAGAAAAGCCTCCCAGGCCCATCTTTGCCAAAAGATTCTTACAAGAGGACTTGCCTATGCCCACCCAACTCAACCCACACCCACAATCTCAGAGCAGGCCTCATCAGTGGGCGCCAACGCTTTCACCTTGCCGAGGTACAGAACCTAAGCTGGGGATCTGATGTCCCTAAACCTCAGAGACTTGACCTTGGCCACACTGAATCTACGTCTTGATCCCCCAGTCTTGATTTCCAGCCTTCCCTGGGTCAATCAAACCAGCTGCCCCGTCATATGGCAGAGCAGTCCAGAAACCCTGGATTGGGGGAAGAGGTTTAAGGACCTTAGGAAGAGATATTTGCTCTTTGTTTTATAAACAGAGCACCAATGTAGAGTGAAATGCCTTGCTCTCTGTGTCGGGGCCAGATAAGAAATTGAGAGCTTTAACTCCACATCTCCCTAACCTTATTCTGGGTCATGCTCCGATTACAGACTCTTGTAAAAATTCATTTGTGAGACAGTGGTTTTGGAATCAATATTCTACTGGGTCAATGTTATAGATCATATCTGGGTTCCCAGACTAGTCCACAATGGCCAAGTAAACCCACATGTGGCTGAGAGGGGAGGGAACTAGTGTCAGGCAACCAGCTCCACCACCCACTGGCTCTGTGACCTTTAGCAAGTTACTAACCCTCTCTGTGCTTCAGTTTCCCCATCACGGAGATAATAACAGCACCTGCTACATAGCGGAAGTGTTGTGAGGATTAAATGAGATAATCTTAGCAAGCACTTAGAATAGGGCCTCCTAAAAGACACTCAATGAATGTAATTAAGATAGCAGTGCCAGTGTCAACCCCAGCAGTGGTGACATTGGGGCTGGGTCATATTTTGATGTAGGAGACTGTCCTGTGCCTTCCTTGTAGGATGTTTAACAGCATTCCTGGCCTCTACCCACAAGATGTCAGTAGCACCCTCCCCGAGTTGTGAAAACAAAAACATCTCTCTAGACATCTCAGTGGCCCCCAGTTGAGAACCATGGTTTTACAGGAAAACAGCTGAGAGTCCCTGCTGGAACATGAGGACTCCTCTCCCTGCTGCAGCCCAGCTGGTGAGGCTGGGGTCTTCTCTTCCCGTCACCTGCTGAGGTGCCCCCCAAACGCCAGCTCCATGTCACTAGTGGAAGCACCTAACTCCTGGGCATGGCAAGTTAGGAGTGGCCAGGGGGGTGTTTCTGGGAGTGTGAGGGGGCTTTGGGGGTCTCTGAACACGGTGATGAGGAAAGTGGTGGTGGAGGAAAGAGCAGAGTCAAACGCAGTTTCCCACCCGCTTCCCACTGTATTTCCCCATTTATCCTTCATGGATAAAATCCATTTGGTATGGACCGAATACCTCTTGTATGTCTAGCACTGTATTAGGCCCCTACGGCTGTTTTTATTTGTTTTTGAGTGATTCTTTTTCAAGGAGGGAGTAAGGAAGATGCTAAATAAATACATCAATAGAAGGCAAGGTCCAGTTGGAAAATTATCACATGTCCAATTGGAAAAATAACACGTGTTCGTACATATAGCCACAGAGCTACTGAAACCACACACATAAATGCTGAGGGAAAGTGGAATAAAACAGTTTCTTTAAATTTTCAACAAATGGACTGTAACAACAGATGTTAAAAAGGCAGAAGGAAAACCACAATCTTATCCCATCTCCAGGCTGGCACCGACCTCCAAGGGCATGAGGGTCAAAGGGCACGTTTAATAGAAAGGCCACTTTTTCCAACCGGAATAAATCTAACCTTTCCTCAATCAAAGCGATTCTAAGTTTTCTAACAATTTATGGGCAGTATCCATTTCTTTTGTTCCTGTCGGAGGAGCAATGCCTGATATTAGAAACCACTTAAAAGTCACGCCCTTCCAGCAGGAACAGTCATGGACTGTCACTCATCCAAAACCCAGCAAAGCCAACAAGCCCCTTCCCCAAATCGTCCAAAGGTGAACCCAAGAGCCAAGCCAGGTTATTGCTATATAAACATCTGTTAGAGAAGCAAACTTGGCCAAGGAATGTATGAGCTTCAAGAGTCACTCCGGACCTGCGTAGCAGGGGTGGGGGCAGGGGATACACTTATCTGTTTATCCATTAATTTGTTTACGTAGAGGGAGGATTTGGAGATGCTTATACAGTAAATATAAGCAGCTTATACAGTAATTATAATACAATGCTTATACAGTAAATACAATGCTTATACAGTAAATATAAGCAGCCATCACAAAACACAAAATGACACCCCAGAATCAACCGCGGTAGGAAAGACATTTCCCTGTCTCCTGTAGGATGGGTCAGTTAAGGGGCCGAGGGGGATCAGATAGAACTCAAATTGGTCCTGCTGAGCCTGGAGCCTGAGCACGCAGAGGGGTGAGCTAGGCAGTCGCTGTCGGAGCCCCCATCATCCCTTCCAGCCTGGACCATTCTGAGACGGAGGTTTGGAGTTACAGGTGTGTGAGCGCCAGAGGGTGAGAGGGGTCACTCGCTCGGAATGTAAGAGCTCCCGCCTGCTGGGAATGGGGAGGAGTCGTCGATGGCCCCAGGATCCGTGCCCAGACATTTCCAGAGGCGCACCGGCTGGTTCAGCACCCCACCGTCATCCGCGCAAAAGCTGCATCCCTCGAGGTCCTGGAGGGAAGCCATTTCCTTAAAGCGCGCGCAGAGCCAGGATAGAGTTTCCTACGAAGGACCGTCCCCCTGAGGTTCCTCCATTAACAGCGCCCCCGGCCTTGCCCACCGCAGCGGCCCCACCAAAGCGCCAACACATTTCAAAATGGAGCGAAATCGCAGAAGCGCGGAGTGCGCTTTGTTCCCAGCATTGGGCTAAATGCGCTCATCCCCACCGGGCTCCCTTTCCTCCAAAGGCAGGAGGTGACATCTCTGCTCGCGAGATGGCAATACGTAGCCGTGGCCGCGGGCTCCCCTTTTCTGGGGCCACCCCGAGACCCTCGCTCCATCTGGAAGGGGAACCCCGCGCCCAGCTCTGTCTGGGGGCGAGGGAGGAGAGACGATGCTTGAATCGATCCCTGAGCCGCTCTGCAACCCCTCGCGGCGGGCCCAGCCATGCGAGGAGCCTCGCAGTACCCAGGCTCCAGCCCTCTACGCCACCGTCAAGGAGGGTCGGCCTGGTCCCGGGCGGGCAGCCAAGCCATTCCCCAGAAATTCAGATCAACCTGGGCGACCCGCGTGGAGGATTCAGCTCCTAGATGCTCTTCCGTCTCAGAAGTGCGCCCCCCGCACCAGTTTTCAGCGATAGAATTAACCAGAAAACCGTGCGTACCAGGTTCATCACAGGAGGGCGAGGCATGGATTCGTTGGCCAGGAGTTCCCCCTGCCGCCCCAGACTCGGTTTTGGGGGCGCGGTGAACTTGGACACGGGTGAAATTTATTTAAGATAAATAATATTAATCAGTACGGACATAATATTAATAAAAATACACCCAGGGCCGCCTATCTGCGTGTCTGCGGCCTCCAGGGGCCAATCAGAAACAGCCTCAGGCGCGGGGGTTCGGGGCTTCCTCCCGTGTCCTCCAGGAGGCCGACTGGGCGCGGCTCCCCCTACCCCAGGGTCCCCAATCTCCGCAGGGAAGGGGTGAGGCCAGCCCCAAGATCCCCTCTCCGGACACCTGTGGTTTCCATGGCAATCCCCCCTCTGCGCCCAGTCCAGTGGGCTCAGAAAGATGGGTGTGGCCGAAGCACCAGTAACCTTATGCCCCTTCCTCACATTCTCCGGCCAGGCGAAGCAACAGGGCGTAAAGCCGGAGAGGCCCCGCCAGGGCTCCCCACCCATCCCCGGATGGGTAGCCAGCGTCCCTCGCTGGGCAACCTGGTGTGGCGTGGCCCTCAGGACACTTGGGGTGTAGGGAGGGGCGAGATCCCTCTGCCGCCGCCCGCAGCGCGCACGGAGACTCGAATCCCATCCCTTCAGAAGCTTCCCGGCGCCGGCAGACTCCGAGACGAGGCTGCGCGCGGTCACGCCCGTTCCATGCGTGCCGGGGGTCGGGGGGTTGACTCGAGTTCATCGACCCCAGCAAGCCTCGAGATCCAACAATGGGCTCGGAAATGAGGAGCGAAAAAGGAAAGAGAGGCGCATGGGCGTAGGGGGGAGGTTGACTGAACACCCTCAGAATAAAAGCCAGAAACCAGGGCTGGGAGCGCAGATCACGTAACCTCTACAGACAAAGCAAAGAGCCCCCGAAGAAGGTGCTGGGCGAACGCCCCCAGTGCTCACGCCCGCAGCAGCAAAACGCCAAGATTTCAGCGCTGATTGTCCCCCTCCCTTTAATGCCAGGCCCCGCCCTGTCCTATGAAGCCCGGCCACCCGGTTTGGCATGGCACCGTAAAGACGTGACACGCCGAAAAAAGATGGCACCTCGCGTTCCGAGGGGGAAAAAAAGGGGGGCTGGGGGCGGGAGTGGGAGGAGGCACAGCCTATCCTCCCCCTTCCTCGCCCACCAGGGTCCACACCCACTGCCGCAGTGAGGGGCGAGCCCTGCGCGCCAGCCCCGCGCCTCCGGCAGGGAGCGCACACGCCGGGCGCCCTGCGCTCCGAGCGCTGAGAAAGAAATCCGCCCCGAGATGCACCTGCAGCCCCGCGCCCATCCGTGCATGGCTGCGGCTGTGCGTGCCCGCGAACGGGGACCAGCGGCCGCCGAGTCCGTCCACATCGCCAGGCCAGGTGAACCCTGCCTTTGCGAGCGTGCACAGTGGGATCCGCGCACTGTTCTCAGGCACGGCGCTGTCGCGTCTCTGTGCCAGGCGTGCGCAGGGGGAAGGGCAACTAAAGTGACAGCGCGTGGACCCCTCCCCATCTCCTCGATTTCTCCCAGCCCCCAAATGTCCCCTACGGGTTTCTGAAGGAGGAAAAGGGGAGGGGGCCGGCCCCCGCCTAAAATCAGGGGCAGTGAAGGCCCTGTCGGAATCACTGCTCGGGAGGTGCAGGGAGGGGCGTGCAGGGAGTCATCTTTTCTAGAACCCGATCCACGTCTTTCTTAGAGCTGATGGCGAACAGCGGCAGGGACAGCGGATTTCAGATTCGGTTTCGGGGGTCGTTATCGGACCCCTCCACACACACACACACACACACACACACACACACACACACACGCCCATTGCGGCAAAAGGCTGCAGTCGAGAGTGAAGGGCAGCCCCCTCCCCCAAGTCACCGCCGCCGCGCCCCACCCTGCCGGCACAGCCTCCACCTGGGGTCTGCGCGAATCTGGTGGTGAAGACCCTCCAGCACACACACACGCGCGCACTCACGCGTGCGTGCATCCCTTGCTCAGGTCCCTTTCCAGGCCGCCCTGGCCCCAGCCCCCGAGCAGGGGAGGCAGGGAGGGGCCCTGCGGTGGCCCCGACCGATGCCCGGCGCACGAAGCCCCAGTCTGCGGAGAGGGAGGGCGAGGGGCGGCGGCGCAGGGGTGCACAGAGGCGGACGGCGAGGCAGATTTCGGAGCCGCGGCGCTTACCTGATAGTCGACAGAGGCGAGGACGGGAGAGGACAGCGGAGGAGGAGAAGGTGGCTGTGGTGGCGGCGGCAGAAGGTGGGCGGTGGCAGCGGCGCTGCTGTTGGTGCCGGAGCTGGTGGGTGGCGGTGACTGCGAGGGCGCGCGCCGGCGAAGAGGGCGCGTTCCTGAGGCCGGCGGGCGGCGCAGGCGCGAGCAGCGGGAACGCGAGCCTCCCCAGGGGAGGGGGCGGGCAGCGCGGCCTCCGCGGGAGCCTTCTCCTCCGGCCACTAGTGGGCGCGCGCGAGCGCCCTGCCGCTCGGCCGTCCGGCGTCTCCCGGCTCGTTCCTCTCGGCGCTGCCCTTTCGCGGTCCCCCTCCCGCTACGCCTCAGGCCGCGGCGCTGACCGCAGCGCGCACGCGCGTTCCGTGGCGCACGCGCTTTCTCCACCTCCTGTAGTTGGAGTCTTTGTGTCGTTGCGGGGGTGGGTGTCCTCCTTCGGGCCATGCGGGGTCGGGGCAAGGCCAGTGGCTCCGCCGCTGGGTCCGCTGCCCTTTACTTTCAGTCAGCCTGGGGCGGTGTCCTCTCCTACAGAAGTCCTGAGCGGCCTTCCACGTGGCCGGCCCTCGAGTCCGTCCGCCCCGACCCTTCGTAGTCCCGAAACCGCCCCCCTGGCTAAGGTCTCTTTCCCCCAGGCTGCTTCCTTTCTCCTTGCTTTTTTCCCACCTTTTTTGTTACTGACCAAGGTGAATCCTTTCCTTAACAAATCGGCTTAAAGCAAGCTAACTCAGTTACAATACAGTAGAACTGTACTTAAAAAAAAAGAAACGTGAATCTAACCGTTACGTCAGAAAAAAAAATCTTAAATTAGACGAATTTCAAACAGTGCTTAACACATCGCAGAGCATTTGCAGTTATTTGTATCACGTCTTTTGAAACACCTTTATGCTGTAAATAGAGCTTGAAGTCTGAATGTTTAAGGGCCAGCTAGAGATTGTCCCCTGGAAGACGCACCTCAGCCTGAAACTGACCAGTGGTCCTCATTCTGCTGGTCGCCCAGGCCCCAGGCTTCGGCCTTAGCTTGGATTTTTCATTTCCCCAACATCAAGTTTAAGCCCAAGCAGTGGGATGATTTCTATGTAGGGGGGTTTAGGGCAGCCATCTCCTCCTAGGGAGATGGGAAGTTGTCTTGAAGCTCCAATTTGCATAGCTCTTATATTCTTTTTAAAAAATCAACATATGTTATAGATTAATAGAAAAAGCAAGTAAAATGCTTTATTCACACAGTTTCTGGAACTGACCTTTTTCTCCTTTTTTTTTTTAAATGCATATTAACTTTATTTTTAAACAGAGGGGCATATACCCAAAGAAGTAGGAGTGAGAACCACCATGGGGGCTTGCTCAAAGCAATCTGCCCTAGCCTTCTGACTACAGAATGTCTCATGAGCCAATGGCCTGGAGATGGAGCTGCCCCTTGATGGTGTACACCTTAGAAAAGTCAGTGGAATTGACCTTTTTTTGGAGACAAGGTCTTGCTCAGGCTGGAGTGCAGTGGCACAATCGTAGCTCACGGCAAGCTTGAACTCCTGGGGCTCAAGCAATCTTCCCACCTCAGCCTTCTGAGTTGCTGGGACTACAGGTGGGCACCACCACACCTGGCTAACTTTTTTTTTTTTTTTTTTTTAGAGAGGAGGTCTTGCAGTGTTGCCCAGGCTGCTTTCTAACTCCCACCTCAGCCTCCCAAAGCGTTGGGATTACAGGCATGAGCCACTGCACTCAGCCTGGAATTGACTTTTTGTTGTTGTTGTTCTAACTGCCACCATCCTAGTTCAAGACCTCTATCTTGGTTCTGGACATGTAGGGACCTTAGTGATCTCCTTGCTCTCCAGTTTCTCCCTATATCAGCCCACCCTGCAACCCCTAGTTAGATCAGTATTCAGAAGTGATCATTTTATTTATTTATTTTTGGTTTTTTGTGTGTGTTTGTTTTGTTTTTTTGAGATGGAGTCTCGCTCTGTTGCCCAGGCTGGAGTGCAGTGGCACGATCTCGGCTCACTGCAACCTGTTTCCCGGGTTCAAGCGATTTTCCTGTCTCAGCCTCCCAGCTACTGGGATTACAGGCATATGCCACCACTCCCGGCTAATTTTTGTATTTTTAGTAGGACGGGATTTCACCATGGTGGCCAGGCTGGTCTCGATCTCCTGACCTCAGGTGACCCAAGCTCCTCAGCCTCCCAAAGTGCTGGGATTACAGGTGTGAGCCACCACACCTGGCCCAGATCATTTTAATTATGTCACTCTCTTGCTCAAAAATATGTAAAAGCTTCTAACTGCCTCCTAAATTAAGTTCAACCCCTTAGTTTAGCTTTCAAGTGTCCCCCCAATGCCCCAACCCCCCATCATCTGAGCCCTTGTCCTCCCATTTTCTTTCCCACCTACTCTGTAGCCAGCTGAAGTGGCTTGACTAGAACTCTTTTTCCACCTCTGTAATTCTGAGGTTTTCCTTTGCCTACAAAGGTCCTTGTTCTTTCTTCACCCACCAGTAGTCTACCTAACCTTCAAACTCTAGCTCAAATTTTACCAAAGCCTTCCCTAATCACCCCAACTGGAAGGGACATTTCCAGTCTCTAGAAGGAGTTCAGCAAAATTACTCTTCTTCTTTCTGAAAGTGGGAAGGGGGTGCAGTCAATATCCGTCTTGCAGCATTGAAATGTGGTTATTGTCCCCAATAGTGTCCCCTTTTTTTGGTGTGGGGATTATACATACTTGTCCATTACCATTTACATGATGTAGACATTCCAAATAGGCGCTTCAAGAGCATTGCAAGGTTCTACCACTTTTACTCTTCCTTTCCGCCACCAGAATGGCGTGGCTCCAGAGAGCTGTTCCTTCAGCTTAGATCTCAGGAAGGAAAAACTCGAGGAAGTACATGTCACATGAGCAAGAAATAAACATTTGGGGCTGGGCGCAGTGGCTCATGCCTGTAATCCCAGCACTTTGGGAGGCTGAGGTGGGTGGATCGCTTGAGGTCAGGAGTTCAAGGCCAGCCTGAGCAACATGGTGAAATCCCATCTCTACTAAAATCACAAAAATTAGCCAGATGTGGTGGCGCGTGCCTGTGTTCCCAGCTACTCGAGAGACTGAGGCAGGAGAATCGCTTGAACCCAGGAGGCAGAGGCTGCAGTGAGCCGAGATTGCACCATTGCACTCCAGCCTGTTACAGAGCAAGACTTGGTGTCAAAAAAAAAAAAGAAATAAGCATTTGTTGTGCAAGCCACCGAGATTTGAGGAGTTGTTACCACAGCGTCCTGTATCCTGATTGATACAGGAATTAAATGAGGTGTGTGTGTGTGTGTGTATAAAGTTTCTTACACAACATCTGACAAATAGTCATTAAACTATCATACTATTATAAATACTATACTATTATACTATTATAAATACTAGTTATTTCATTATCATCTTTGTAATAATGCTTTTGCTACACATTATTTTATTTCTATACGTAAAATAAACTGTAGCAGTCAAATCAACACTCGTCTACATTCAAATTTCACATTTTTCCCCCTCTAAGATAACAGTATAATTGAGAACTGACAGGGACCTAATGACAGTATGGTCCCCTCACACTGAATGGTCACATTTGCCTAAATTGAAATAATGTATGCTAGAAACAATCTTAAGCAGATCTGTCATTTTAACTATATGTGATGTAGAGTTGAATGTTCATTCCAGATAATTTAGTCAATGTAGGTAACTAATGGCTCACACTAATTCAGGCCAAGAAAATGCATTCCCTCTCTTTCTTCCTGTCCCTTTCTCTTGCTGAAAGAGAAATCTCATGGCCGCATATGTTATACAATCATGCCCACTTATGTAGGATCACAGAAGGCAGAATAGCAGAGAAGAAAGAAAACTGGAGAGTTGGGTCCTGATCCTAGCCATCTTGTATGACCTTAGACAAATTCATTACCTTCTCTGGGTTTGCAATTCCTTTATTTAATGGTGTTCCAGATGCGGTTAGGACTGAGATCAATGTATCTATAGAATTTGGAGGCTCTGCCACTAAATCTATTCACAAAGCAAGCTAAACTGTTGTAATAAATAGACCCCAAAACACAATGGTTCAAACCAACTCTTCGAGCAGTCTTGGGTGAGTGATCCAGGTTGGTAGCCAGCCTTCTCCGTGGAAGGTTTGGGACTCAAGCTCCTTCCATTTGCAGCCTACACCACCCCTGAGGGACTTGTTGTTTGCTTGCTTGAGGCAGGGTCATCATTTAGAGTCTCCAGTTGGGAGGAAGAGAAGGAGCTTATGGAGGAAACACACTGGCTGTCTTAGAGGCTGGAAGTGGCATCTGATCATGTTCCACTGTTAGAACTTAGTCACATGGCCATCCCTAAGCGCAAGGTATACCAATGTATGTAGGAGAGTTGTGGGCCCAGGAAGAAGAGGAGAAAGGATTTGGGTGGAACCTAGGCTGTGCCATATATACTTTTTATGTGGGGGTGGGGGGATGTGGTAAAAAGAACCTGGGAAAAGAACCTGAACTTGTCTATCATGAGATTCAGACATATGTGAATAGGCTATGATGTGGGAGGTGGGGAGAGAGGTAGAGAACTAGCAGAGAAGGAGAAAAACCAGATTTTCAATTAAATGCATGAGAGAGAAGTCATCATTGGATACTTCTGAATCAGAGAGTATTTAACCTTTTTTATATCGTGGCACCCTATGGCAATATGATAAAAGCCCTGTCTCAGAAGAATATTTTCAAATGCATAAAATAAGATCTATAAGATTATAAAGGAAACTCTTATGTACAGTTATCAAAATATTTAAATGTCTGTGATATCGTATGTGATGGACATGGAGATGGAGGTGTGCCGCCCAGATTCCCCTATAGGGAAGGACTTGTTCCAGCCACTGGGAGTGCTGTTGGCAGACAGGCTTCAGCCCTCTGTCCCTTCAGGGATTGTCTCGGCTGCAAGAGTCACCTTGTTGCAGGGAGACCACGTTGAGTGACTGACAGAGGTGGGGGTATAAAGACCCAGTCATGTTGGCCCCACACTGGGAAAGTCTGATGGCCCTATTTAACTCCAGAGCTCCCCATGCCAGCCAGGCAGTTGTTGGGTTGAATCACAACTCAACTTCCTCCTCTGCTCAGTCCTTCCTTCCCCACTGCCTCTGGTATTAATTGTGCATTCTAATAAACATTCTGGGCTGGGTGTGGTGGCTCACGCCTGTAATCCCAGCACTTTGGGAGGCAGAGGTAGGTGGATCACTGGAGGTCAGGAGTTTGGGAGCAGCCTAGCCAACATGGTAAAACCCCATTTCTACTAAAAACACAAAAATTAGCTGGGTGTGGTGGCGCACACTTGTAGTCCCAGCTACTCAGGAGGTGGAGGCAGGGGAATCACTTAAACCCAGGAGGTGGAGGTTGCAGGGAGCTGAGATCATGCCACTGCACTTCTACCTGGGCAACAGAGTGAGACTCCGTCTCAAAAAAGCCCAAACACACACACAAACAACAACAGCAACAACAACAAAAACAAAACAACATTCTGTATCCTGAACTCTCTGCCTCTTGGAGAACTCAACCCAGAATAGTTGGTTGTTAGGAGTGGTCTAGGAAAGCAGATGATAAGGTGAGTTTTAGAGCTGGATCACTTGCTCCCTGGCTGTCAGTGAGGACCTTATCACTTGTAGTAGTTGGAGCACAGATAGTCCCTGACACAAAGTGGCAGTCCAATTGTTAAAGTGGTAAATTGAGATGGTATGCTGGTGGAAGAAAGTGCACTAGCCAGTGTGATATATCAGATGTTTGAGAAACATATGGAAAATAGTAGCTGAAGACAGCATAACTGGGTGACTACTGAACTTAGGTTCAACTGAATAATCATGCTCCAAAGAAGGTTAAGCTTCTGATATGGTTTGGCTGTGTCCCCACCCAAATCTCATCTTGAGTTGGAGTTCCCATAATCCCCACATGTCGTGGGAGGGACCTGGTGGGAGGTAATTGAATCATGGGGGCAGTTACCTCCATGGTGTTCTCGTGATAGTGAGTTCTCATGAGATCTGGTGGTTTTGTAAGGGGCTTACCCCGCTTTGCTCTTCCTGTCACCATGTGAGAAAGGATGGTTTGCTTTCTCTTCTGCCATGATTGTAAGTTTCCTAACACTTCCCCAGACATGCTGAACTGTGAGTCAATTAAACCTTTTTCCTTTATAAATTACCCAATCTTTGGTATGTCTTTATTAGCAGCATGAGAAAGGACGAATGCAGCTTCCAAGCAAGGTAGGCCTGCTATATCAAGGTCAGAGCCCTTGTTGGGAAAGGATGGGACCCTGACATGTGAAACAGGGACATCTGAGTTGATGCCCCTGAAAATCTTGGATTTCCAGATTCTCTTGAATGCTCTGAGCCTGCAGAAGTGCCCTTCCCTGGCTCCTACTCGAAAATGCCAAGGCTTTTTCCCACAGTCAACAAGGAACCCACCTCCCCTCCTGGCCATGAAATGTAAACTAGGGTTAAGTCACAGTATAACTCAGGGACATGATGGGCCTAATAAAGGAGAAAAGGGATTATACCCCAAAGTAGCTGCAAGACCTAACCAGCATACACCAGCAAGAAGCTGGGAAGGACATGTGGGACTGAATGCTGAGGGTGCTTGATCAAGGTGGCCAGAACATGAGATTGGATGAGGGAGACTGTGTTGACTTGGGAGCATTCTATCCCATAATACACAATTTAACATCCTAGCAAAGGCTCCCAGAGATTCTATGAACTCACTCTTAGAAGCATGAAAAAAATAAAGGCCTGCTGGGTGCAGTGGCTCACATCTGTAATCCCAGCACTTTGGGAGGCTGAGGCAGGTGGATCACCTGAAGTCAGGAGTTTGAGACCAGCCTGGCCAACGTGGTGAAACCCTGTCTCTACTAAAAAAAAAAAATACAAAAACAAGCCGGGCATGGTGGCAAATGCCTGTAATCCCAGCTACTGGTGGACTGAGGCAGAAAGACTGCTTGAACCTGGGAGGCGGAGGTTGCAGTGAGCTGAGATCGTGCCACTGCACTACAGCCTGGACAACAGAGTGAGACTGTTGTCTCAAAAAATAAATAAATAAATAAATAAAAATAAAAAATAAAGCCCGTAGTAAATGGGGTAGAAATGCCATCATTGTCCTGGTGGACAGTAGAGGAAGGTGTCACAAGGGGAAGGGCAGTAACCTTCTGGAGTAGACACACTGCAAAAAGTCCAGAAAACCCACCTGATGGTAATGTTCCATAGGGAGGCGCAGAGGACAACCATTCTGAGGACATCAGAGTGTACTGATGAGAGGGGACACCAGCATCAATAAAAAATTCAGGCCGGGTAGGGTGGCTCACACCTGTAATCTCAATACTTTGGGAGGCCAAGGCAGAAGGATCACTAGAGCCCAGGAGTGAGAGACCAACCTGGGCAATGTGGCAAAACCCCGTTTCTGCAAAAAAATGCAAAAATTAACCAGGCTTTGTGGCGCACACCTGTAGTCCCAGCCACTTGGGAGGCTGAGGCAGGGCCTGGAAGTTCAAGGCTGCAATGAGCCAAGATCACACCTACTGCACTCCAGCCTGGGGGAAAGAGCAAGAACCTGTGTCATAAGTAAATAAATAAATAAATAAATAAATAAATAAATAAATAAATAAAATGTAGACTTAGCTGTCTCTGTAGGCCAATACTGGATTGAAGAAGTTCTTATAGAATAAGGCCTACTGATAGCAGAGAGAATGATAGGACCCAAAACAACAGAGGTGGTTTGGCCCTTAACTATCTGTGTGGGTATGGGGGTCATTTTTCCTGGCTGCAACCTTGTGCTTATCTCTAGGGGATCCCGAAGCCATAGTGCTGAGTCGTGATCCATCCAGAATGGAATTTGCAAACCATTGATTAGTGTAGTTCTGTACTGAGTCCAAAAACTACTACAGATATTCTGTACCAACTTGTCACCATTGTTAAGTGAAAATGTACAGATTGATTATTTTCACCTGGTTTCTGTTAGATTATCTTAGTTGAGCCTGATCATGCAAGCTGGTTTTGGCTATGTGACCAGAAGGATATTAAAAACCATCTTAGATGAGATTGTGACTTCCCTGAGACCAAGGCATTTTGCATGTATCTTGGTGGTTTATCATCCTAAGATCAAGTACATCCTATGTACCTGAAAGGAAGATGCGCCTGGATGTCGGACAGCTCCCTGGTGTTTGCCTTTATCCTGCTATATTATTTTCTTTAGTTTTATGAAAGCCCTATGTGAGTATACTTTCAGGAGTCTTCTTGTGATTCCTTCCACTACCTGAGGAGGCACAACTGGGGCACCATCAGAAGCCAGGCAAGTGCACTGATTGTAGTAACTGGCCAGGTTGGAGTGGCAGCCCAGGAGCCTGGTCTACAGAGAGTTATGGAAGTGGGTGATAGAGCACAGAGTCCATGGGGGCAAAAGAGATGGGAGACCAGGCCAGGCGCGGTGGCTCATGCCTGTAATACCAGCACTTTGGGAGGCTGAGGTGGGCAGATCACAAGGTCAGGAGTTTGAGACCAGCCTAGTCAATATGGTGAAACCCCATCTCTACCAAAAATACAAAAATTAGCCGGGCGTGGTGGCGGGCACCTGAAGGGCCAGCTACTCAGGAGGCTGAGGCAGGAGAATCATTTGAACCTGGGAGGCGGAGGTTGCAGTGAGCCGACCTTGTGCCACTGCAATCCAGCCTGGGTGACAGAGCAAGACTCTGTCTCACAAAAAAACAAAAACAAACAAAGAAAAGAAAAAGAGATGGGAGACCCAAAAGGGTACTGCTCAACCTGCACCATTAGAATAAATCATGATGAATGATCAGGAAGCTAAGGCAGACACCCCAGTAAAAAGTCACACGTTGCCCAGTTTTCAGACCTGAGGTAGTTTTCAGATCCAGAACCAATTGATTGAGAAGAAGCCTGGCTCCTCATTAAGAAGGACTGTGCAGCACCATGGCAAATGGGAAAAGAGGAATACCCAAATATCCTGAGGACTGTAAGACACAGTGTCTGAGCTGGCATTGATAACCAGAGGCCTGAAGTATCATCACGGCCTTCGTTAGAGAGGAAGTATTTGGAGACCTGGTAATAAATTGAGTCCCGGCCAAGGTCTGGCTGACAGTGAGTCCACTGGGTCCACGGACCCCATCCAGTCATTATCTCCCACATGAAAAATCGAGATAGAAATATTTGACCCGGATGTGATCTACAGGTGGAGTGACAGCCCAGGAGCCTGATCTACAGAGAGTTGTGGAAGTGGGTAATAGAGCACAGAGTCCCTGAGGGCAAAGAGAGATGGGAGACTGAAAACGGGACTGCTCAACCTGCACCATCAAAAGAAACCAAGGATGAATTCTTGGAGTGTGTGTGATCCTCTCCTATATACACACTGAGCTGGCTTGTGGAGTAAGAGCTATAGTAGTTGAGAAGCCTCCAAGCAGTCCCCTTCCAACCCAGATCAACATAATAAGTCAGAAACAATATTGCATCCCGGGATGAAAGAGTTGAGAAGGTTAATGCCACCCTTGGGGAACTGAAGGATGCAAGGGTAATAGTTACCTTCATGTCTCTAGTATGGTTCATGTAGGAGAAGAGGGATTCTATGGAATGACACTAGACTACTGCAAAGTAAATGGAGTAGTAGCTGCCATTGCACCTACCATGCCAGATCTTTGCTAGAATAGATGAACAGTTTCAGACACATAGTGTGTGGCCATTGTTAGAGAATTCATTCTTTTCTCTTCCTATCTGAAAAGAGGATTCAAAATAGTCCACATTCACATGGAATGGACAACAGTATACATTTACAACTCCCCCCCATACATTAACTTTCCCACCGTCTGTCACAGTCTGGTCTGTGCCAGTTTTTCAATGTATTGACTCTCATCTCCAAGTCACCCTGCATTACCTGCTTTGTGATAATGGAGCTAGACACTTTAAGCATTTCTCCCTTGTGGTGAGCATCAGGTTAAGCTTTGTTGTAGATGCCCTAGAGCGACAAAGCAGAAAGAAAAGCCTTTCCAGCTGGGTGTGGTGGCTCATGCCTGTAATCCTAGCACTTTGGGAGGCTGAGGCAGGTGGATCACCTGAGGTCAGGAGTTCAAGACCTGCCTGGCCAACATGGTGAAACCTTGTCTCTACTAAAAATACAAAAATTAGCTGGGTATGGTGGCATGCACCTGTAATCCCAGCTACTCAGGAGGCTGAGGCAGGAGAATCACTTGAATCCAGGAGGTGGAGCTTGCAGTGAGCCAAGATCACACCACTGCACTCCAGCCTGGGCAATAGAGTGAGACTCCATCTCAAAAAAAAAGAAAAAAGAAAAAAGAAAAAGAAAAGAAAAGAAAAGGCTTTTCTTGCTGTTTCTGTCATGCTTGGGTTTTGCTTCTTCTTGCCTCTACTGTATGGTTGCCAGAGGCACAGGAGAGAGGGCCTCTGCCCCAGCTCCATACGCAGAGTGTGGGGTCCTTGGTGAGCTCACAGCATTGGCCCCAGCTAGGTGCCCAGCTCACTGTGGCTCTCCCAATGAGGTTACATGCACCCAGGATTTACACTGCTCTGCTAGGGATCAAGCTCCTGACACACCGACTCCTCCTGTGCATCCACCTTCCAGCACTGGCTCACCTGTATAATGCAGGGTTGCTTCCTGGGGCCCCCCTAATACAGATATGGCACACCTCAGTCCTTACTCTGCCTCAGTGCAAGCAGGCTCCTGATGCCCCGACTACCTCTGTGCACTGCTCACCAGCACCCTTATAATTCCTCCTCTGTTGGAATCACTGCTTCTTTATCTTAAACTTTTCCTGTTCAAATTACTCTGTGGCTTCTGTCCCTGTTTTGGACCCTGAATGATACAAAGAGATCTGGGCCATCTGGACATTTTGCAGAACATGGCCTTGATCTGTTATGTGAATGACATCCTGCTAAATGGGCCAAAGGAGCAAAAAGTGGCTAGCATGTTAAAGGCATTGGTAGGTTACACACACTCTAGAGGGTGGGAGATGAATACTACAGATATTTAGGAGCCTGCACACCAGGAACAATTTTAGGGGTCCTGTGGACAGGAGCATGTCAGGACAGTCCATCCAAAGTCAAAATCAAATGATTGCATCTCATATTTCTCACCATGAAGAAGGAAGCACAAAACTTAGACATTCTCTTTGGCTTCTGGAGATAGCATATTCCACACCTGGGAATACCACTTGACCAATAATAACCAGTTAACCTGAAAGGCTGTCAGCTTGAATTGGGGCCCAGAACAGGAAAGGGCTCTGCAGTAGGTCCAGGCAGCAGTGCAAGTAGCCTTGCGATTGAGCCATCAACCCAGCAGACTCTATAGTACAAAAGGCATGATGATGAAGAAGATGCTGTGTAGAGCTTGTAGCATGCCCCAGTGGGAGAGTCACAGTGCAGGCTCCCAGGGTTCTGGAGCAAGGCCATGCCATCTGCAGTGGAGGATCATATGCCTTTGGCAAAACAACTCCTGGCACGCTGCTGTGCCCTGGTAGAAATGGAGCACCTGATGGTGGGATACCAACTGATCTTGCACCTGGAACTGCCCTTCATTAACTGGGTTACATCAGATGAGTTAAATTATAAGGTTAGGCAAGCCCAGCAACAATCCATTGTTAGATGGAAGTTGTACATCTGGGATTGAGCATGGACAGGACCTGGGCCACAAGCAAGCTGCACGTGCAGTCTGTTCAGACTCCCAAGCCACCCACCGGAGTTGCACCAGCACCCTCCCTCTACACACACCTAAGGTTATAGGAGGGGTCCTTCTGACCAGCTGATGGAAGAGGAAAGAGCAAGTTTGGTTTGTGAATGGCTTGGCTTGGTTTGTGGGTTTAGGCTGAAAACGACAGGAAATGTACTACAATCTCACTCAAGGGTGGCCTTGAAAGAGAGTGGCAAGGCAAAACCCTCCTAATGGGCAGGGATTTGGGTGGTGTAGCTGTTCACCCATTTTGTATGGACAGAGCAGAGCTCAAGGTGAGAATATATACAAACTTTTGGGTAGTGGTGAATGGCCTGGCCAGCTGATCATAGATGTGGAAAGGGAACAATTAGAAGACTGGAGACAAGGAGATCTGGGCAGAGGCATGTGGATGACAAAGGCAAGAGTACACAAAGGGCCAGGCCTGGTGGCTGGTACCTGTAATCCCAGCACTTTGGGAGGCCGAGGCAGGTGGATCACCTGAGGTCAGAAGTTCGAGAACAGCCTGGCCAACATGGTGAAACCTCGTATCTAGTAAAAATACAAAAATTAGCTGGGTGTGGTGGCCCGTGCCTATAATCCCAGCTACTTGGGAGGCTGAGGCAGGACAATGGTTTGAACCTGGGAGGCAGAGGTTGCAGTGAGCCAAGATCGCGTCACTGCACTCCAGCCTGGGCGAAAGAGCAACTCTGTCTCCAGAAAAAAAAAAAAAAAAAAAAGAGCACACAAAGCTTGATCTTTGTGCCACGTGTTAATGCCCACTAGAGATGACCTACTATGGAAGAGACAGTGGACAACCAAGTAGACAAGAGGACGAGAGTGGGGGATGCCAGTTGGCCTCTGCCATGGGCCGTCCCAATGCTGACCTGATGGACATACGAATGAAGCAGCAGTGGTGACAGAAATGGATGCTATGTGCAGGATGGGTCCCATGTACCAAGGCTACCGCTGCCACCAAATGTCCAACCTCCCGCAACAGAGACCAGTGCTAAGTCTTCAGAATGGACCATTTCTCAAAAAGACGAACCGGCAGGTTGACTTTGTTGGGGTCCCTCCACACATAAGGCCCAGTAATTTGTTCTGACAGGAGTAGACCCATGATCTGAGTACGGATTTGCCTTTCCTGCCTTCGGTGCCTAAGCCAGTATCCTTATCTGAGGGCTTACAGTGTGTTTGATTCTCCAGTACAGGGTCCCACATAGTGTCACATGAGACCAAGGGAACTGCTTTACAGCAGGGGAGGGGTGGGACTGAACCCACAGCCACGGGATCCTCTAGTTAATTCATAGGCTTCTCCATCTAGAAGCAGCTGCCCTGAGTTTGGAAGGCACACCTGAACCATCAATTCTTTACAAGGGTAGGAGACGTACTCCAGGATGCAGGACAGACCTTGAATCAAAGACCTTTTTACAGCCTTGTGGTAGAAAAATGGCCCTAAAGAAGTTCATGCCCAAGTCCCTGGGACCTGTGAATGTGGTTTTTGTTTGTTTGTTTGTGTTTGTGTGTTTGTTTGTTTGTTTTGAGATGGGGTCTCGCTCTGTTGCCCAGGCTGGAGTGCAGTGGCGCAATCTTGGCTCACCGCAGCCTCCGCCTCCTGGGCTCAAGGAATTCTCCTGCCTCAGCCTCCCGAGTAGCTGGGACTGCAGGTGCACACCACCACACCTGACTAATTTTTGTGTTTTTAGTAGAAACGGGGTTTCACCATGTGGGACCTGTGAATGTGTTAGTGTACATAGCAAAAGGAACTTTGCAAATGTGATGAAAAGTAGGGACCTTGAGATGACGGGTGGATCCCCGATTATCCAGGTGAGCCCAGTATAGTCACAAGAGTCCTTAAAAGTGGAAATAATTTCCTGGCTGCAGTAAGAGTGAGAGATGTGACACAGAAGAAGGATCAGAGAGATGTAACGTTGCTGGCTTTTTTTTTTTTTTTTTTTTTTGAGACAGGGTCTCACTCTGTCACCCAGGCTGGAGTGCAGTAGCGACATCTCAGCTCACTGCAACCTCCATCTCCTGGGTTCAAGCGATTCTCCTGCCTCAGCCTCCCGAGTAGCTGAGATCACAGGCGTGTGCCACCACGCCCAGCTAATTTTATTTTATTTTTTTTTGTACTTTTAGTAGAGACAGGGTTTTGCCATGTTGGTCAGGCTGGTCTGAAACTCCTGGCCTCAAGTGATCCACCAGCCTCAGTCTCCCAAAGTGCTGGGATTACAGGCATGAGCCACAGCACCCGGCCGTGATGTTGCTGGCTTTGAAGATGAGGAAGAGGCCAAGTGCTAAGGAGTCCACCTACTCTAGAAACTGGAAGAGGTGAAGCAGGGGAGGGGTGGGAGTGAACCCACAGCCACGGGATCCACTGGTTATATCATAGGCTTCTCCATCTAGAAGCGGCTACCCTGAGAGAATTGGTCAAGCACAGCTTGGAAGGCACAGCCGAACCATCAATTCTTTACAAGGGTAAAAATTCTTTACAAAGGATGCAGGATCCTCTGCTAGAGCCTCCCTGTCGACACCTTGATTTTAGCCTAGTGAGGTCTTTGTTGGACTTCTGACCTACAGAACTCTAAGATGATATATTTGCATTGTTTTAAGCCACTGAGTTTGTAGCACAGCCATACACCAGACAACCACAATGGACTGCATTTATGACGGCAGTCCCATAAGATTACACTGGAGCTGAAAAATCCCTACTGCCTAGTGACTTCATAGCGGTGATGATGTTGTAGCACAATACATTACTCCTGTGTTTGTGATGATGCCGGTATGCAAACCTACTTGCTGGCTGTTGTATAAAAGTCTAGCACATACAATTATGTACAGTACATAATATTGGATAATGATGGCTGGGTGCAATGGCTCATACCTGTAATCCCAGCACTCTGGGAGGCCAAGGTGGGTGGATCACCTGAGGTCAGGAGTTTGAGACCACCCTGGCCAACATGGTGAAACCCTGTTTCTACTAAAAATACAAAAATTAGCCGGGCGTGGTAGCGGGCACCTGCAATTGCAGCTACTCAGGAGGCTGAGGCAGGAGAATCACTTGAACATGGGAGGTGGAGGTTGCAGTGAGTGGAGATCGCGCCATTGCACTCCAGCCTGGGCAACAGAGTGAGACTCCATTTGAAAAAAAAAATTGGATAATGATAATAAACGACTGTGTTACTGGTTTGGGTACTTACTATACTATATTTTTATTATTATTCTAGAGTGTACTTCTTCTACTTATTAAAAAAAAAAGTTAACTGTGAAACAGCCTCAGGCAGGGCCTTCGTGAGGGATTCCAGAAGAAGGCATTGTTATAATAGGAGATGACGGCTTCATGCATGTTACTGCCCCTGAAGACCTTCCAGTGGGACAAGATGGGGAGGTAGAAGATGGTGGTGATACTGATGACCTTGACCCTTTGTAGGACTAGGCTAATATGTGTGTTGATGTCTTAGTTTTTACCAAGAAAAGTGTAACAAGTAAAAAAAAACAAAATAGAAAAAAGCTTATAGGATAAGGACATAAAGAAAGAATTTTTGTACAGCTGAAAATGTATTTGTGTTTTAAGCTAAACGTTACTACAAAAGTCAAAAAGGTTTAAAAATTTAAGAGTTTATAAAGCAAAACAAGTTACAGTGTGCTAAGTTTAATTTATTGTTGAAGAAAAATAATTTTAATAACTTTAATATGGACTAAATGTACAGTGTTTATAAAGTTGATAGCAGGCTGGGAGCTGTGGCTCACACCTGTAATCCCAGCACTTTGGGAGGCTGAGGCGGGTGGGTCACCTGAGGTCAGGAGTTCAAGACCAGCCTGACCACCATTGAGAAACCCAATCTCTACTAAAAATACAAAAAATTATCTGGGTGTGGTGGTGCATGCCTGTAATCCCAGCTACTTGGGAGGCTGAGGTAGGAGAATCTCTTGAACCCGGGAGGCAGAGGTTGCGGTGAGCCAAGCTCCTGCCATTGCACTCCAGCCTGGGCAAGAAGAGTGAAATTCCATCTCAAAAAAAAAAAAAAAAAGTCAACAGTAGTGTACAGTGATGTCCTAGGCCTTTACATTCACTCACCACTCACTCACTGACTCACCCAGAGCAACTTCCAGTCCTACAAGTTCCATTCATGGTAAGTGTCCTAAACAGAGGTACTGTTTTTCAACTTTTTATTTTATTTTATTTTATTTTATTTTTTGAGATAGAGTCTCACTCTGTCTGCCAGGGTAGAGTGCAGTGGTGCAATCATGGCTCACTGCAACCTTGAACTCCTGGGCTCAAGCAATCCTCCTACCTCAGCCTCCTGGGTAGCTGGGATTGCAGGTGCATGCCACCATACCTGGCTAATTTTTGATTTTTTGTAGAGACAAGGTCTCGCTGTGTTGCCTAGGCTGATCTCGAACTCCTGGGCTCAAGTGATCTTCCTGGCTGGGCCTCCCAAAGTGCTGGGATTACTGGCATGAGCCGCTGCGTTTATACTATTTTATACTGCTTTTACTATACATTTACTATGTTTAGACACATTTAGATACACAAATACTTACTATTGTGTTACCGTTGCTGCAGTACTCAGTACAGTAACATGCTGTACAGGTTTGTAGCCTAGGAGCAAAAGGCTATACCATATAGCCCAGGCATTTAGTAGTACCTAGTGCCATCTAGGCTGTGTAAGTGCACTCTATGACGCTCACATGAAGAAATCACCTAATGAAGCATTTCTTAGAACGTATCCCAGTCTTTAATTGGTTCCAGCAGCGATAGAAAACAAACCCCGACAGGAAAAAATACATGGGTTTGGGAACCAAGGGTGAAAACTGAAGTGGCCGCATTTACCGCCACATCATTACAGCTCTAAGCTCTTCAGGGTTAGAGGTCCTGGTCTCCCAAAGGGAAAACTTCCACCAGGGGACACAGCACAGTTTTATTGAACTATCAGCTGTGGCTGCTGCCTGAGCCCTTCTGCTTCCTTAGGTCCAGACATCAGCAGGCAAAAAGAAAAGTTACCATCTTGGAAGGGATAATTAACTTTAGTCATTAGCAGGAAGTAGGGCTGCAATTATACAGTGCAGCAGGGAGGAACACGTTTGTTACCTGGGCACCGGTTGCTACTCCCTTGCCCAACCATGATTGCTAAGGGACAGCAATTTCTCTTATTTCTCTCTTACATAGAAGTCCAGAAGTAGGAGTCAAAGGCTGTTTTAGAAGCTCCAAGACCATCAGGGAGCTCTTATCCAGCTGTATGATTTCTCTACCATCCTTAGCATGCTGCCTCATAGTCCAAAACAGCTGCCTGAGCTCCAGTCATTACATCTGCATTCTAGCCCCCAGAAAGAAGGAAGAGATGAGGAAGAGAACAACTTTACTTTAAGGACATTTCCTGGAAGTCACATATGACATCCTTGCTAACATCCTATTGGCCAGAATTTAGACATTACCACACAAAGTTGCCATCGAGGCTGGAAAATATATTTTTATTACAGGGACTTGTGTCCAGCTAAATACCAGCTATAGGAGGAGAAGGGGACATTGGGGAACAGCCACAATAATGCTAAGAGGCCATCATACTTGGTAATTCTTCCCAGTTATCATGAGCAGCTTACTCTTTGAAATAGTTTCATGAAAACACTTTCATAAAAAGGCATTTTCTACCGAAACAGATGACAGCCTTCAAGACTAACATTCCTTTATTTTCTATTGTAAATTCAGACACCAAATTCAGGGCATATTTAGACAGACTAACATGCATTTGTTCTGCCTAATTGTCTGCTAAACAGGGTGCTTTGATGAGACACGACAGCCCTCTCTCAAAGCCAATATTGGGAAATATCAATATAAAATACAGCTAAATTAGAAAGAGAGTATTAACATTACAGACAAATACTTCACTCTACAAAATGAACCATTACCAGGTTCCCCTAATGTCAGTTCTCCTGTTGCAAATGAAATGTGAGTTGGTTTATGCGGACATTTTCAACATCTTAATTATATAACGTGAGGCAGATCCATGCTTTCATTTCCCTGGACTTACCTCTCACTGATTATTGTTTAGACCCACATGTTCCTTTCTGTGTGTCTATTTCCTGGATGCCTCCTTCCCACCTGCCCTTCCCTCCATTATCCTGCCAGTGACAACTGCCCCTTGTCCAGGTTTCCCGGGTTCTAGCAAGAAGAAGGTAACTGCAGATGAGGGTTTGAGTTACCCATGACTCAGCAGCATGACTCTATCGTCAAAAAAGCAAGGATGATCCTGGGGTCCAGAAATAGGGACAAGGCATCACCGATCCATGAGCTCATCTTCTCATCATATTTGGCTTTGTGCAGACACTCTGGATATCCTGGCATAGGGGAATGACAGATCATTTGAAGAGTGCCCCAAATACAAAACTTGAAAAGGGTGAGCAGAAATCCCTTTCACAGAAACCATGCTATCAGTTGTGAAATCCTACTTTATGGAAGATATAATCGGAAATTTAAAAGTTACCAAAATATTAAGATCTGAGTCAAATCTCATGACCTATAGTCTGGCATTGATACTTATTTTATTTAGATACAGGGTCTCACTCTGTCACCCAGGCTGAAGTGTAATACTGTGATCAGACCTCACTGTAGCCTCGATCTTCTGGGTTCAGGCGATCCTCCCAACTCAGCCATCCGAGTAGCTGGGACTACAAGCGCGCACCACCATGTCTAGATAATTTGTGTGTGTGTGTGGAGACAGGTTCTCACTGTGTTGCCCAGGCTGGTCTTGAACTCCTGGGTTCAAGCCATCCTCCTGCCTCAGACTCCCAAGTAGCTGGGACTACAGGTGTAAGCCACTGTTCCTGGCTTGGGCTTCATTTTTTACAAGCTGTTCTTTATTCGGAATAAAAAGAATTAGCATCTCTTTTTCTAAGTAATACTAAGTACAACCACTCACTGTTACTAGATTAGTGTTCTGGTTTTTCTTTTGAAATCGGAGAGGCAGGCTATTCATCTTTCCATCCATTCAACAGGTGTTTGAGTGTCCCTGTACACCGTGAATACAATGAGGACTAAGATCTTAAGTTGCTTACAATGTAGTGATTTGCAGGTGAGTTATATATATATATATATATAGTTTGTTGGTTGGTTTTTTGAGACGGAGTCTTGCTCTGTCGTCCAGGCTGGAGTGCAGTGGTGCGATCTCGGCTCACTGCAAGCTCCGCCTCCCGGGTTCACGCCATTCTCCTGCCTCAGCCTCCCAAGTAGCTGGGACTACAGGTGCCTGCCACCACGCCCAGCTAATGTTTTGTATTTTTTAGTAGAGACAGGGTTTCACCATGTTAGCCAGGATGGTCTCAGTCTCCTGACCTCATGAGCCGCCCGCCTTGGCCTCCCAAAGTCCTGGGATTACAAGCTGAGCCACCGCACCCAGCCTATTAATTTATATTGGTCTAGCTAGGCATGGTGGCTCACACCTGTAATCCTAGCACTTTGGGAGGCCGAGGCGGGTGGATCACCTGAGGTCAGGAGTTCGAGACCAGCCTGAGAACATGGTGAAACCCTGTCTCTTCTAAAAATACAAAAATTAGCGAAGCGTGGTGGTACATGCCTGTAATCCCAGCTACTTGGGAGGCTGAGGCAGGAGAATCGCTTGAATCCGGGAGGCGGAGGTTGGAGTGAGCCGAGATAGTGCCTGCACTCCAGCCTGGATGACAGCAAGACTCTGTCTCAAAAAATAAGTAAATAAATAAATATTTATATTGATTTCAAGAATTTGGGGATAACTACTCTGAAAAGGCTACATACTGTAGGATTCAACGATATGAAATTCTGGAAAAGGCAAAACTATGGAGGCAGCAAAAAGATCAGTGGCTGCCAGGGGTTAGCAGGGAGGGAGGGATGGATAGGCAGAGCACGGGGGATTTTTAGGGCAATGAGACTGTTCTGTATGCTAGTATAATCGTGGATACATGTGATTGTATATTTGTCAAAACCTATAGAGTATACAACAGCAAGAGTGAGCCCTAATATAAACTATGGACTTTGGGTTATAATGACATGTCAAGGTAGGTTCATGGATTGTAAGAAATGTACCACTCTGGTGGGGGATGTCGATAGTGCGGGAGGCTGTATAGAGCAGAGGGTATACGGGGATTTTCTGTACTTTCTGCTCAATTTTGCTGTGAACTTAAAATTGCTCTAAAAAGTAGTCTATGTTTTAAATTAAAAATGAAAAAATAGATTGGCATGGTGGCTCACGCCTGTAATCCCAGCACTTTGGGAGCCTGAGATGGCAGACAGCTTGAGCTCAGAAGTTCGAGACCAGCCTGTGCAACATGGCAAAACCCTGTCTCTGCAAAAAATACAAGACTTATCTGGGCTTGGGGGCATGGTGGTCCCAGCTACTCAGGAGGCTGAAGTGGGAGGATCACCTGAGTCCAGGAGGTCGAGGCTGCAGTGAGCCAGGATCATGCCACTGCACTCCAGCCTGAGCAACAGAGTGAGAATCTGTCTCAAAAAAAAAAAAAAAAAAAAATTAAAACATAACTGGGGAAATCCACAAAAATTGGGGGTTAGATACCCTCTGCGAAGCTTCAGATGATCACTTTCAACTATTGTGTGTAGCATACGTCCTTTAAAAATGAAATTCTAAGCAACAAATTATACACTTCAATGACAAAGGAAAGTCCCTGCTGAGTTCAGCAGATCAGCTTGGAGATTATACTCTGAAGGAATTGTGTTCTATACCTTTTTTCCCCATACAGGAAACTATCTGTGCTTTCAAATACTACTTTTTTCTTTTTTTAAAAAAATACGTTGACACTTATGATTTCTAATATGTACTTTAAAATAGTAAATAAAACCTGTCAGCGCAATGTCTGGCATTTCAAATACACAATTGCCCTACAAGAATCCCTGGGCCTGAGCAGCTCCAGGAGTTTACTTATCACTCTGTTCTGGAAAATTCTGAAGCATCAGGCTGCCCAGACTGTTCTCTCAACACATTGCTGGGTGGGCTGCTGCGTTTCGGTCTGCAACTGGTGGGTCCAAGACACACTGACTTCCTGACGCTCCTCCACATAGGAATGAACGCAGAGAGTGTCAGTGCTGACAGCTGACACAGCAGAGAAACCCTGGGGGCTCTGAGGTTTCGATCTTGTCTGGCTTGCCTCGCATCAGGAAATGAGCTGTAAGTCACCCTCTGACAGGCTGTCTCTAGGCTGACACAGTGTCTGTTTGGACACTGCTGTAGTATAGTGTGGCTGTATATGAGTTCCCATATCTTTAGCCTTCAACCCATAGATATCCCTAAATTCACTCATGTCTTTCTTCTATATTAGAGGAGAAATCTCTGTAGAGAGAGTAAAAATATTCTAGTAAAATATTCTCATGCACATCGTAGTCATTGGCTGTACAGAGAATTTAGGGGTTCATATTTATGGTTTGGATCCTCATTATTCATAATTCTAATATTTGCTAATCTTTCTACTTGCTAAAAATGGGTTTGTAACCCCCAAATCAAGGCTCAGGGCACTTTTGTGGCTATTCATGGACATGTGCAGGGTGGCAAAGACTTTGCTTACTCTGAGACATGTTCCCAGCTGAGCTCAAACAAAGCAACACCCTGCCTTCTTGTTCAGCTCTCATACTGTAATGAGTGTCCTTTTCATGGTCTATTTAGTGCCACATATTTTTTGCATTTCACTTTTGTACTTTTTATTGGTGATTTCATTGTTTTTTTTTTGTTGTTGTTGTTATGTTTTTGTTTTTTTTGATGGAATCTCACTCTGTTGCCCAGGCTGGAGTGCAATGGCACGATCTTGGCTCACTGCAACCTCCGTCTCCTGGGTTCAAGCAATCCTTCTGCGTCAGCCTCCTGAGTAGCTGGGATTACAGGTGCCTGGCACCATGCCTGGCTATTTTTTTTTTGTAGTTTTAGTAGAGATGGGGTTTCACCATGTTGGCCACGTTGGTCTCGAGCTCCTGGCCTCAGGTGATCTGCCCACCTCGGCCTCACAAAGTGCTGGATTACAGCTGTGAGCCACCATGCCCGGCCAATTTCACTGTTTAAAATGGCCCTCCAATGCAGTGCTGAAGTGCTGTCTAGTGTTTCTATGCTCAAGAAGGCTGCGATTGGGGCAGGCTTAGTGGCTTACACCTGTAATCCCAGTGCTTTGGAAGGCCGAGACAGGAGAATCACTTGAGGCCAGGAGTTAGAGGCTAGCCTGGACAACATAGTGAGACCCTGTCTCTACAAAAAAAATTTTTTTAATTAACTGAGTGTAGTGGCTTACACTTATAGTCCCAGCTACTCAGGAGGCTGAGATGGGAGGATCTATTGAGCCCAGGAGGTTGAGGCTGCAATGAGCTATAATTGCTACACTGCACTTCAGCCTGGGCAACAAAGTGAGACCCTGTTTCTAAAGGAAAGAAAAAAGTAAAAAAGAAGTCTGTGATGTGCCTTATAGAGAAAATATGTGCGTTAGATAAGCTTTATTCAGGTATGAATTATGGTGCTGTTGGCTGTGAGTTTGATGTTAATGAATGAACAGCATATATTAAATAATATTTTAAAACAGAAATGCACATAAAAAGGTTATGTATTGATCAATTGATGATGATGTTATCAGAGGCCGGCAGGAATCTAATGCTGTATTTCCCCTAGGAGCCCCGGTTCAGCTTTCATTCATTCAGTGTTCATGGTAACTTCGTGGGACATGGCCACTGCAAATCCTTAAAATGGACCATAGCTTGGTAACGAGGGACAGAGCCCTAGAGCAGAGCCCCTTGACAGGGCAGATGTGGCCTCGGTTGGCCAGCTTGGTCTCAGTCCTCACCATCCCCACTTTGCTGGCTACTATGCTAACACATCTTGCTCTCCACAGTTCAATGAATCACCAGTCTCTTTCATGTCTTTCACAGCCCGGATCATTCTCTTATCTCTGCCTGAGTAGTCCCTGTGTCCTTCAAGGCTCAGCTCAGGGGCTCCTTCTATGGAGGCCTCCCCTCCCTTTTTAGGGTCAGGAGTTGCCGTGGGTGTCCCACTCACCACACTCACCACGCTGGGGTGTGATCGCCTGTGAACATACCTATGCCCACTCTCGTGTGATGACTCAGAATGCCTGGCCTGTATTTTACTCACCATTGTACCCTCCACCCATAACACAGTTGTATTAGTCCATTCTCACACTGCTATAAAGATACTACCTGGGACTGGGTAATTTATAAACAAAAGAGGTTTAATTGACTCACAGGTTTGCATGACTGGAGAGGCCTTAGGAAACTCAAATCATGGTGAAAGGCAAAGGGGAAGCAAGGCACGTCTTCCATGGTGGCAGGAGACAGCAAAGGGAGAACTGTCAAACGCTTTTTTTTTTTTTGAGACAGAGTCTTGCTCTGTCACTGAGGCTGGAATGCAGTGGCGTGATCTCAGCCCACTGCAACCTCCACCTCCCAGATTCAAGTGATTCTCCTGCCTCAGCCTCCTGAGTAGCTGGGATTACAGGCATGCGTCACCACCCCTGGCTAATTTTTGTGTTTTTAGTAGAGATGGAGTTTCACTGTGTTGGCCAGGCTGGTCTCGAACTCTTGACCTCAGGTGATCCACCTGCCTCAGCCTCCCAAAGTGTTGGGATTACAGGCGTGAGCTACCATGCCTGGCCGTGGAACTGCCAAACACTTTAAAAACCATCAGCTATTGTGAGAATGCCCTCACTATCATGAGAACAGCATGGGGGAAACCATCCCCATGATCCAATCACCTCCCACCAGGTCCTGCCCTCGACACACAAGGATTACAATTTGAGATGAGATTTGGGTGGGGACACAAAGCCAAACCATATCAACAGCCCTGGATGCACAGTAGGTTCTTTGAAAATAGCTGATGAATGGCTGACAGACTGGATGGATGAAAGAACAGCCGGGTGAAATACTTCTGAGAAACAGGTGCTATTGTGGAGCATAGCATAGCCTGGGAGCTCAGTTTATTAGCAACCCAGAAAAGTGTTCAGTTAGTGGGGGTTGGGGGGAGGTGGGGGTCGGGGGTGGGAAACAGGTACAGACCTAAGACAAATAAAAGATATACATAAACCCTTTTTAGAGGACCTAGCATGGAAAAGGGCATTCAGGCTGTCTCTTCTGGCTTTCAAAAAGTCCTGAATCATTGTTTAGACTGAACAGCCTTTTATTAAATAACACTCACTCCCTTTCAAGGTCACTGTCAAACTTTATTGCATTCTGAGATGGACCAGAAGGAAACGTGAATGTTAAGGAGCAGGGGGCATCTCTTCCTTTCCCCCCTCCCACCCCTGTCTTTTGATTACAACTGAACAAGGGGCAAGAGGCCGGTAAGAGATCAGCAAACTCAATAATCCCTCGATAATGACTTTTTCCTAAGCTACAGGCTGATTCAAACTGAATTGAAGCTGTTCAATTCTTCTTGCCAATAGCAAGGATACAGCACACACACACACAAACACACACACACACACACACCCACACACACACACCCCACAAACTTCCCTCCTATTCTTGGGCACATTGCACTTTTCTGGGTATATACTGCTTGCTGTTTATCCTCTTAACTTCTCCTCCCAAAATCCTTTACCAGTCCCTCTCTGTCTCTTATTCCTTAGGTCCTGTGATGGCTCTTTAGAAGGGAGGCACAGGGCTAGGCCAGGAAATGCCTTTTGGTGCATTTGTGACCTCGCGTGCCTTTCCCCTTCCTCCTCTTTTCCCAGCCATCCTCCCAGCCAGTGATCGCCCCCTGCCTCCTCCTATCATCTGGGCCATCCTGCTGTGCAGCCGAAATCCTCACTCCACTCTGTGCGTGGGTGTGTGTGTGATGACATCAACAGTGACAAAATGAAAAGTGCAAGAACCCAAGTCCCAGTCTGAGAACTTCTGAACAGACTCTAGGGACTGCCCTGTTCAATCCTCTCATTTTACAGACAGGGAAACGGGGGCCCAAAGAGGAAAGGCCCTGGGTGATTTAGTGGCAGAGCCAGATTTAAAGTCAAGCTTGACGGGTTCCTCTGCACCAAAATAGTGCCTGCGGGGCCAACTTGGAAGTTCTATTAGAGGAGAGTTCTCACCTGGGGAGATTTTGCCCCTGGGACATTTGTTAATGTCTGGAGACATTTTTAGTTGTCACTGATGGGAGGTAGTGCTCCTGACATTTGGAGAGTAAAGGCCAGTGGTAACCCGTACCCGGTCCCTGGCCGTGCCCAAGGCCCTGCAGCAGCTCACCTCATGGGCCTCCTGCGTGCCTCTTACAAGGGCAGCTGTGGCCTGGTCGCTAATCCAGCACTCAGGGGTGGAACTCCAGGCAGATGTTTTTGCTTGTTGTGTTTTGGGGATTTATTTTTGTTTTTGTTTTGCTTCCCCGACCCCCAAAATGTGAACTTTGCATTACTCTGATCTAGAATTTCTGGACCATGGCACAATTTTAGACCACATGCATCTTTGTTTTTTAAATTAAAAAAAATTTTTTAGAGACAAGGTCTTGCTCTGTAGGTCAGGCTGGAGCGCAGTGGCGGGATCATAGCTCACTGCAGCCTTGAACTCCTGGGCTAAAGTGATCCTCCTGTTTCAGCCTCTTGAGTAGCTGGAACTACAGGTGGGCACCACCATGCCTAGCTAATTTTTTTATTTTTTATATTTTTTTGAAACACGGTCTCACTTTGTCACCCAGGCTGGAGTGCAGTGGTACGATATCAACTCACTGCAGCCTGACCTCCCAGGCTCAAGCGATCCTCCCGCCTCAGCCCCACAAGTAGCCGGGCCTACAGGCTTGTGTTACGATGCCCGCTAATTTTTTGTATTTTTTTTAGAGACAGGGTTTTGCCATGTTGCCCAAGCTGGTCTCGGCCTTCTGAGTTCAAGTGATTCTCCTGCCTTGGCCTACCAAAGTGCTGGGATTACAGGCGTGAATCACAGCGCCCAAACTTTTATTTTTACTTTTGTAGAGAAGGTTCTTGCTATGTTGCCCAGGCTGGTCTCAGACGCCTGACCTCAAGTGATTCTGCCACCTTGGCCTCCCAAACCACTGGGATTGCACACATGAGTCTCTGTGCCCAGCCACATGTAAGTCTTATTGTGGGGGTGTCCTGTGTGTTGTAGGATGTGTAGCAGTTCCCCTGGCCTCTACCCACTAGATGCTATAGCACCTCTATCACTTTGGTCTAAATACCTATTCCTTACTCCTCAGTCCTGTCCAGGGCCTCTCTCATAATTGGTACTTAAACCTTTGACTAATTGCTTCAGCTCTGGGCTCTCCTCAAAGATGCTGTTACCTGGACCTGGTATGAAGGTGGGATTCTGGCGTGCAGCGTTGTGGGTACACTGAGTTCTGTGCTGAGCAACAGTGTAACCGTCCAGTGGGTTCACCTTGCCCGCTGACTAAACAGAGCTGATTTCTCAAGACAGGGGAATTGCAGTAGAGAAAGAGTAATTCACCCAGAGCCAGCTGTGGGGGAGACCAGAGTTTTATTATTACTCAACTCAGTCTTCCTGAGGTTTCGGGGATTAGAGTTTTTAAGGACAACTTGGTGGGGCGGAAGCCAGTGAGCCAGGAGTGCTGATTGGTTAGGTAGGAGATGAAGTAATAGGGAATTGAAGCTGTCCTCTTGTGCTGAGTCAGTTCCTGGGTGGGGGCCACAAGATCAGATGAGCCATTTAATTGATCTGGGTGGTGCCAGCTGATCCATCAAGTGCAGGGTCTGCAAAATGTCTCAAACACTGATCTTAGGAGCAGTTTAAGGAGGGTCAGAATCTTGTAGCTTTCAGCTGCATGACTCCTAAAGCATAATTTCTAATCTTGTGGCTAATTTGTCAGTCCTACAAAGGCAGTCTAGTCCTCAGGCAAGAAGGAAATTTCTTTTGGGAAAGTGCTGTTATTGTCTTTGTTTTAAACTATAAACTATAATAATCTCCTCCCAAAGTTAGTTCAGCCTGTGCCCAGGAATGAACAAGGACAACTTGGAGGCTAGAAGCAAGATGGAGTTGGTTAGGTCAAATTTCTTTCACTGTCTCAGTCACAGGCGGTTTCAACAGGGCCACTCTCCTTTCCTGGCAAGCACAAGGAGCCCGAATTTCCTGGCCCTCTGGGGTTGCCTGGGGTCATGTGACCAGTTCAGACCAATGAGATGTGAAGGAAAGTGACAAACATCACTTCCGGGCTAGATCATTTGCTTGCCTGTTCGAGGCCCTCCAGAATTCTCTCCGTTTGCTGGTAACTGTGGAAACTCCGAGCTCCCCACTGATCTCACAGAACATGTAGCATGAGCGGAAACCAAACTTTTGTCAAGCCATTGAGATATCGACATTGTTACTACACCATAATCTAGCTGATCCTGACAACAAGGTGCATACACGGAAATTGGCCCATATTCAAAGAAAACATCTATCTTTGCGTTTGATTGGCAGCCATTCAAACGCAAAGATTATATAGAGTTAAAGGAAAGCTCACGAAGTTAATTGACATTTTATTGAGTTAAAAACACCAGCAAGCTAAGAAAAACAACAACTTGTTTGTGTAACGTTTGGGTTGTTTACAAATTCAGGAGGGCTGCACAGAGCGTGAGCACAGTGAGTGCCCTTCTTCCTGCGCTGTGTGATGGGGGATTGGCTCTCCCAAAGCCATAGAAGGGCTTTTGTGTCCAACAATAGCATCTTGGGCCCCACGTGCTTTGCTTGTTCATCCACAGTAACTTCTTTCTCTTGCAAGTTAGGGCTGGTGACTTTGGGTTTGGAATATGAAAACAAAATTAAGAACCAACTAAAGAAGAAAAATTATACTGAACGATTATAAATATAAGGGTGTATTCCTCTTTGAGGAAGACAAGCGTGAAACTCCGAACTAGATTAACCAGGTAGAGTGACCAGTGGCTGAAGGGAACCTTTTACAAAGAACTCCTTTAGCCGTCATTCCCATGGTGCCCTGAAGTGTTTATTTACAGGTCCCGAAATGCCCTAGGTAGTGGTGATGGCCAGAGAAATGTAAAGCTGGGATTCATGACCACTGAAGATCAATCACATACAAGGATGAAGCATTTTATAGATGAATTCACAAGAGAGAAAAGTTAAGATTTAATATTAATATAGTTTAAAAGTATCTATGGCTTAAATCTGAAGCCTTAAAAAAAAAGTGAGGCTGGTCGTGGTGGCTCACATCTGTAATCCCAACACTTTGGGAGGCCAAGGTGGGAGGATTGCTTGAGCCCAGGAGTTTGAGACCAGCCTGGGCAACATAGTGAGACATTGTCTCTACGAAAATAAAAAAAAATAGTAAAAAAAAAGTGAGGCACACTTTACCAGGAGAATTGTTTGTTACCACGTTTTTCTCTGAACTGGTTTGCAAATATCAGATGGAAACCCCTAGTGTTGATTCCCTTATTGCCCGACTACTTACTAACTACCTAGTAGTTAGGATTAGTTAAGTAGTTAGTACTTTTGGATTCCCTTATTGCCCTTGCTTCTTACTATCTGGTATAACTGGGCAAAATGCTCAACCTCTCTATGCCCATTGCCTTGTTTGTAAGAATGAGGGGGTTGGAATAGAAGACCTCTAAGGGTCTTAGCTCTAAAAAATAACTATGATTCTTCAAGAAGCAGCATCCTAGAGAGAAGTGTGAGCCCATCTTTTGTATTCAAATGATGCATTTCTGAGACAATCGGCCCCCAGATTTGACAGTTTAAAATAAAAAATGACTTTCGCCTGTATGGGTTTGTTGCTGACAAAAGTCAGACTTGGCAGCTCCAAGGGTTCTGGTGCCTTAGAAGTGAATGCCTTGCAGGAGGGGCTGTTGGAGCCAGCACTTGCTCTTGAAGACAGCAACTGGGTGGGGAAGTGAAGCAGCTCGTGTTCCCAAGGGCTCACCTGCCTGCCGAGAAGCCTGTCTTCACACACACCAAGACCAGGCCATGTGGGCTTGTGAAAGGAAAGTTAAGTCTCGGGACCCCCAAATCACTAAGCCAAAGGGAAAAGTCAAGCCAGGAAGTGTGTCAGTCAAACTGCCTCTCATTTAATTCCTAAGTAAGATAGCTACAAAGATTTTTTTAAAAAGCTCCATACCCCCCTCACAATTTGTCCACAAAGAAATTCCTTGTGGGCCTCAAGATCTTTACCCTAAAACAGTTCTGTGGAATTTCACCCTGGCAATGTAAATTGATAGCTTATCTTCACAGGTATGGGACAAAGGACAGAACTCAAAGTCATTCTTTTGCTCACCCAAGACAAACTCATATCCAATTGCTTCCTCTGCCCTATTGTTTACGTAAAAATGCAGATTCACTGAGCCACATTAAGGCATAAGGGACTATTCTTCTATCCCCTCTCATATGTAAATTGTGTATTTGGTGAAAGGCTGATCAAATACCCCAAAAAATGCAACTGTTTGTCTATTACCTACCTATGACCTGGAAGGCTCCCCGCTTCGAGTTGTCCCACCTCTCCGGACAGAACCAATGTACATTTTACACATATTGATTGATGTCTCACGTATCCCTAAAATGTATAAAAGCAAGCTGTGCCCCGACCACCTGGGGCATGTGTCATCAGGACCTCCTGAGGCTGTCATGGGTGCTTCCTTAACCTTGGCAAAATAAGCTTTCGAAATTGATTGAGACTTTTGGGTTCCCAGGCTGAACATGGGGCAGTGTGGACACCTGTTGTTTTGTCTGCCTGGGACTCTTTTCCCCTTTCTAGAGCATAGATGTCCTTGTCTTTAGGAGAAATACCCCTATGTGGTTCTGGTCAGGGTCTTCTACTATGGTGGCCATCCCTCTGGCTGTGCAAGTGAGCCTGTGATCCAAGCTTGGCCGACCCCTGGGATTTTTCTAGTTGGAACTGGAGGAAGAGGCTCCTCTACTCTCAGATGGCCAAGCTGGGAAGGAATGAACCCTCACTCTGCAGTGTCCATGGTTCTAGCCTTCCAGAGAAAGCCCACCCGAGAGAAACAGAAACAGGAGGGGAGAGATGCCCGATGGGGTTTGAGTCATGGCTGGAGCTTTCCCTGCCCCTCGCCCTCTGCAGTTCGTTATGAACCAACAACACCCCCTCTTCCCAAGCGAGTTGCACTTAACCATTTGCATCTGGTGAGTGTTAAGCTCTTGGCTAGGCTTGTGGGAAGAATGAAGAGAGAGGAAGCCCTGCAAGCTGGTCTGGGGGTTCAGCCTGGGGGAATCCAGCTGTGAGCAGGTGAGGGGGGCCCAGCCGTGGAAGGTGTGGCCAGGCTGAGAGACCACCGGAAAGGGTGGGCAGGATCAGCTACAACCGGCTACCCCGGGGAAGAGGAATGGTTAAAGGATGGCAGATCTCACACAGAAACATAGAGAGGGGAGGGAGAAAGGGAAATGGCCAACAATCTTAAGAAGTTTAGGAAAAAGAGGATGGGTGGAAAACAATGGTTGAGAGAAAGAGAAAGACAAAGAGAGTAAAAGCACAGAGGCGATATGTCATTGTGTGGAGAGAAATTTCTGAGAATACATTTGAGTTTCAATGCAAGGCTCTGAGAAGAGGCAAGAACAGGAAACTCTATGCCTTAAGTGCATATAGGCAGGGCAGTCCCACCCAGGAGAGAGAAAAACACTACTGCAGAGTGTCTGCTACTCCAACAGGAAACTCTCTCAAAATAAATTCACTCTGGGCCTTCGTTACTCTTGGAGTTCTGTTTACCTCGAGATGACTCCCAGTTGCTTAAAGACTCATTCTACCTTATGTTCTATGCTCTAGCAAGATTTGGATTAGACTGAGTGTTGGCTTTGATGATGTGCAGAGGCAGCCCAGCCCCACTCCTCATCTCCTAGCCTCCTCCTTGAGCATTTCAAACCCTCCTGAGGCTGAACCCCTAACTCCTCACTCTAGTCCACAGGCCCTTTCTGATTCAGCTCTGCCCTTCTCTCCCACCTTGTTGTTACTCTGCACAGTCAGGGAGGCCTCCCTGCAGAGGTGAACTTTAAGCTGAGCTATGCACGGTAAGAAGGAGCCAGCTATCTGAGGCTGTGGGAAGAGCTTGCCAGTGGAGGCGACCACAGGACAAAGGCCCTACGTCAGGAATGAGCTGGAAAATTTGAGGAATAGAGAGAAGCCAGCTGGTTGGACCAGTGTGCTGCAGAGTGGGGAGGGGGAGTGTGGAAAGAGGGCATAATAGGACACAACCTCAGCTTCATGGTAAAGAGAAAGTCAGAGCTGGAAGCAGCCTCTCGGGGGGCCCTGCCCCAACTCTATTTTAAAAACAAGAAAACTGCATGCCGGAGAAGGTTAGCACCTGTTGGTGGCTCACACCTGTAATCCCAGCACCTTAGGAGGCTGAGGTGGGGAGATTGCTTGAGCTCAGGAGTTTGAGATCAACCTGGACAACATAGTGAAACCCCGTCTCTACAAAAAAATACAACCTGGACAACATAGTGAAACCCTGTCTCTACAAAAAAAATTAGTTGGGTGCAGTGGCACGCATCTCCCAGCTACTCGGGAGGCTGAGGTGGGAGGATCACTTGAGCCCAGGAGATTGAGGCTGCAGTGAGCCATGATTGCGTCACTGCACTCCAGCCTGGGCGACAGAGCGAGACCCTGTCTCAAAAAACAAAAAAACAAACAAACAAACCCAAAACAACAACAACAAACACTGCACAAATAATACATGAAAGTCTTATTGTTAAAAATTTGAAGAATACAGAAAAAGTGAGTCTTCGTCATGACCTCCGCCTGTCCTATCTATTCCAATCTCCAGTCCCACTGCCCTCTCCAGAGGGAACTCTGGCTAATGGGATGTTGGGGAGATCTTTCCTGACTTTGGATGGGCACGTACATTTGTATACATACATTTAGAGATGTATGGCTTTATTTGTGCTTTTCCTTTACATCCATAAGATCATACCGTATATATTGTTTTGCAGCTTACTTTTTTGCTTTGGAAACCTTTGCATTTTTGCTCACATAGCATATGGCATTCTTTCTACCTGCTGCATAGTAGTTCATGGTTAGTTACGCTGTATCATTTAACTTTTCCCTGTTGGTGGTCATTTAGGTTGCTCCTGGCTATCACAAATACCCTTGGCCACATCTCTTTGAATACAAGTGCAAGGATTTGTGGAGGGTGAATACCAAGTTGTGGAATTCCTGGGTCAAGGGGCACACACAGTGAAATGGTAATCCAAACTGCCAAAGTGCTCTCCAAAAAACTTTGTATCAGATGGGTAAACAGTTTTCTTTGTTGTTTTCTGTTATTGTTGTTTATCTTTTCTTTTTTAGTAGAGACGGGGTCTCACTATGTTGTCCAGGCTGGGTCTTGAACTCCTGGACTCAAGCAATCCTCTTGCCATGTCCTCCTGAAATGCTGGGATTTTTACAGGTGCAAGCTACCATGCGTGGCCTACCTTTTCATTTTGAAATAAGTTTAGGCTTGCAGAAAGTTATAAAGATACAGTGTTCTCACAGACCGTTTCTCCAGCTTTTCCTAATGTGAGCATCTTACCTAACCACAATACAATTGAGAGGTGAAGCCAGCTGGACTTTCTGGGTGAGTGGGGACTTGGAGAACTTTTCTGTCTTACAAGAGGATTGTAAAATGCACCAATCAGCGCTCTGTAGCTAGCAAGAGGACTGTAAAATGCACCAATCAGCACCCTGTAAAAATGCACCAATCAGCACTCTGTAGCTAGCAAGATGATTGTAAAATGCACCAGTCAGCACTCTGTAAAACGCACCGATCAGCACCCTGTAAAATGTACCAATCAGCGCTCTCTAAAACACACCAATCAGCAGGATCCTAAAAGTAGCCAATCGCGGGGAGGATTGAAAAAAGGGCATTCTGATAGGACAGAAATGGAACATGGGCGGGGGCAAATAACGGAATAAAAGCTGGCCAACCCCATCCCCACCACCCAACACAGCCTCTCCCAGCCAGCAGCGGCAATCTGCTTGGGTCCCCTTCAACGCTGTGGCAGGTTTATTCTTTGGCTTTTCAGTCTTCACAGTAAATCTTGCGTTTATTCTTTGAGTTCGTGCCATCTTTAAGAGCTGTAACACTCACTGCGAGGGTCCGAGGCTTCATTCTGGAAGTCAGCAAGACCACGAACCCACTGGAAGGAACCGACTGTGGACACACAGTGACCAAAACAAAGAAATTAACACTGGAACAATGCTATTAACTAAACTATGGACTTAATTCAGATGTCACTACTTTTTTGACTAGTGTTCTGGTTATTTTAAATTTTACTTCCTTAATGACTAGGAAGATTGAACATCTTTTCATATTTTTTGGACCATCTGTATTTTTTATGTAAAATGCCTATTCAAATTCTTTGCCCATCATTTTCTCTGTTGGATTATTTGTTTTTCTAACGATTGGTAGGGGTTCTTTTCGAACCTTTCCAAGCTTGCACAGCGAATTAGTAGCAGATCTGGGAAGATAACCCAAGTCTAACCTATTTACTTATTCCTGCCATGACGCTCTGTCCTCAATTCTCCTTAACTCTCAGCTGCTTCTCTCTTCCCTGGGCCCATGTATAGCAGTCCCCAGCTGGACCATTCTTATCAGCATCTGTCAGAGAAGCACAGCAGGCCAGGCCTGCTTACTCTTCATTTCCCTCATTGTTGCTGAGCTAATGTTCAGGATGGATCTTGTCTGGACATAGCTTGCTTTCTGGAAAGTCTCATCCTCCTGGCACTGAGACGGGCAGCACAGAATGCTGGCTGCGGGGCCCAAGAATGCGCCATTTGGCTGCTCGTTCCCTTCCTAATTGCCATCCTGGCAACTGTAAAATCTCCTGCACTAGGAGAACGGAAGCTGCAGAAGGGAGTTTGTGTGTGTGTCAGGATCACTGGGCGCCCTGCAAGACCCATCCATCCAGGATGGGATGCTCTCCAGGATGCTCCGGCTCCCCGTGGGCGTTATCTCATCCTCCGGGCATAGCTCCAGAACCTGAAAGGAGCTAGTGGGCAGGGGTAGGCACTGCCATAGTGGGGTAGAAATATGGCACTCCTCTTGGCAGCTCTGCTTCCATTGAGCCATGGGTTCCTGGAGAAGAGGGGCCATGCCTTATTTCTCAGATGTTCTTCTGGCTCTGGCTGTAGTATGGGGATGACCAGAAACCTTGTCCTTTGTAGTTCTGATTAGGATGGAGGTGGAGTGGAGACACCAATTGTCCCTAGTCTGGTCCTGTGTGTTTGATGGGGAGGGTGGTGTAAGGGTTTGAATAGTGTGCCTCAACCACCAAATAGATGTCCACAGGAAGCTGTGGATGTGACCTTATTTGGAAAATGGGTCTTGCAGATGTAATTAGTGAAGAGCTTCAAAATGAGATCATCCTGGATCTCCAGGCAGGCCCTAAATCCAGTGACAAGTGCACCATGAGAGAAAGGCAGGGGGAGATTTGAAATGCGCAAAGGTGCGGAGGAGGTCACATATCAGTGGAGGTGGAAATTGGAGCGATGTTGCCACAAGCCAAGGAGTGCCTAAAGTCACCAGAGGTGGGGAGAGGAAACACAGGACTCCTCCCAGAGCCTTTATGGGGAGTACAGCCCTGCTGGGCACACCTAAACTTCAGACTTCTGTGCTCCAGATGGGGAGAAAAGAAATGTCTGTTGTCTTAAGCCACCTGGTTTGTGGAAATTTGTTATACCAACCGTGGGGCATGAGCGCAGGTAGGAACCAACCAGGGCACTGAAACTCATGATTCTTGAAAGGATCCAACCAGTCAACAGCCCCAGTTCTTCACTAGCTCACCCTCCACAATCCCCTTAGAGACCTCACCCAAAACTACTGTGGGAGATGGATTTGAGGGTCTCCATCTCCTCACTTGGTGCCCTGCGATCATTAAACTCTTTCTCCCTGTCAACGCTGCTGTCTCAGTTACTGGGTCTGTTAGCGCACAGTGGGCATACAAACCTGTTGTTCCTACAACACTTCCTACCCGTCACCCATGCTTCTGAGCTGTGCTGGCCACCAGGCAGCCATGTGGGAGCTGTGGGCAGACTGGAGAGGTGAGCTCCCAATAAAGACAAGAAGAGCAAGTGTTAGATCCATGAGAGAACAAAGGTCATTTGATGACAAGTCAAGCAGAAACCAGAAGTCCAGAAACTGAGGTCAGCCAAGACATGGCAGCAAAAATCAAAAAGGGCCCAGACTTGCCTGAGAATCCTGCCTGCCACATGTGCCTATTCTTTATTATCTATTGTTATGGCTGCTTAAGTGCTATGACAGCAGAGTTGAGGCCACCAAGTCTAAAGTATTTACCATCTAGCCCTTTAGAGGAAAAGCTTGCCAATCCCTGCTTTAGGGCAATAGTTCTCAAACTTTGGTGCCCATCTGAGTCACCTGGAGGGCTGTGAAAACAAAGGACTGGGCCCCACCCCCAGAGTTTCAGATTCAGCAGGTCTAAGATAGGGCTTCATAATCTGCATTTTTTTGTTTGTTTGTTTCTTTTGTTTTTGAGACAGAGTGTCACTCTGTTGCCAAGGCTGGAATGCAGTGGTGTGATCTTGGCTCACTGTAACCTCTGCCGCCCAGGTTCAAGTGATTCTCCTGCCTCAGCCTCCCGAGTAGCTGGGATTACAGGCACACGCCACCATGCCAGGCTGATTTTTTGTATTTTTAGTAGAGACGGGGTTTCACCATGTTGGCCAGGCTGGTCTTGAACTCCTGACCTCAGGTGATCCACCCGCCTCGCCCTCCGGAAGTGCTGGGGTTACAGGCATGCGCCGCCGCACCGGGCCCATAATCTGCATTTCTAACAAGTTGCCCAGTGATGCAGAGGCTGCTGGATCAGGGACCACTCTCGGAGAACCGCAGCTCCACAGCTGCACTTCTTACACTTTATTATTTTTGTTTTCACTTATTTATTTATTTTTTGAGACAGAGTCTCAGTCGCCCAGGGTAGAGTGCAGTGGCACAATCTCGGCTTACTACAACCTCTGCCTCCTGGGTTCAAGTGATTCTCCTGCCTCAGCCTTTTGAGTAGCTGGGATTACAGGCACGCACCACCACTCCTGGCTAATTTTTGTATTTTTAGTAGAGACAGGGTTTTGCCACGTTATCCAGGCTGGTCTCGAACTCCTGACCTCAAGTGATCCTCCTGCCTTGGCCCAAAGTGCTGGGATTACAGGGCTGAGCCACTGCACCCGGCCTGCTTCTTACACTTTAATCTGCCCATGATTCACCCAGGGATCCTGATAAAATTCAGACTCTGATCCGGGAGAAGCAATCTCCAGGAAGAACAACCTTGTGATCCAGTGGCCCCTGCCTTCCTCACCCTCCCTCTCCAGCCACAGCTGATTGGACCTGGGGTGGGCACCTGAGTCAGGGACCCATGGGCTCACCCACAGTCAGTGACAGGATGCCAAACAAATAGGGTCCCTAGAGAGTGTGGAAGCCAGGTAGATTCTCTCGAGAGAGTCTGAAATGTGGCTGCATAGACACCGTTGCCTGTTGTTGGTGACCCCTGGGCTGAGAGGCAATGACGTGGAGTTGGGGGCCAGTGGCATGACGAGACAAGGGCAAAATGGGTGAGCAGAGGCAGCCAGCCCAGGGAGGGGAGGAGAGGAAGTGGAGGCCCAGAGATTATGAAGCTCGGCGAGGCAGAAAGCTTTCTAATTCCCAGTTCCCATGAGCCCTGACTGGGCTGTTTGCCCTTCTGTTCTGAGAAATTCCTGTGTCCCTTCAAATATGCTTCTCTTTTGGCTTAAGCTACTTTGAGCAGTTTCTTATTCTTCAAAGCCGAAAGAGTCTTAAAGAGAATGCATCCGTGACCCTCTCCCGCCACTCTCACATCTTGTTTATGTTCATCTCCAGGACCTTGGACAGGGCCCAGCACAGGGGCCCTGGAATGTGGACTGTCTCAGTGGATTCTTGTTTATAGGAATTAGAGGAAGGTGGAAGAAGCTCATTCCAGGTGAGCAGAGGCACGGAGCAAGGGTGAGCGTGTGAGAAGAGCCATGTGAACAGGATGTATAGGGGCCAGTGGAGGGAAGGCCAGTCAGGAGGGAAGGCTGGATGCAGATGGCCTTAAACACCAGGCTGAGGAGTTGGGGTTGGTTTGACAAATGGTAGGGAGGTATCAGAAGTCCTGCAGCTGGATGGACATGACAAAGAACAGTTGTGCCCTTTTCTTTAACAAGGATTCAGATGGCCTGGGTGACAGATGACATCTTGGGACTGAAATGAACAAATAATAAACCTATGCATGGAACTCTTACAAGAAAACATCAGGCAAAAGCTTACCAACATCGAATTTGGCAATGATTTCTTAGATATGACACCAAAGGCACAGACAACAGACTTCATAAAAAAGAAAAACTAGACTTCATAAAAGTTAAAAAAATTTTGTTAATCCTAAGACACTATCAACAGAGTAAAAAGGCAACCCACAGTATGGAGGAAAATATTTGCAAATTATATATCTGATAAAGGATTAATATTTAGAATATATAGAGAACTTCTAAAACTCAACAACTAAAAGACAAACAACCTGATTCAAAAAAGGACAAAGGTTTTGAAAATACATTTCTCCATTTAAAAAGACAAATGGCCAATAAGCACATGGAAAAATGAGCATTAGAAAAATGCCAATCAAAACTATAATGAGATATTACCTCATATCTATTAAGAAGACTGCTATTAAAAAAAAAAACAAAAAAACAATACAAAAAAACCCCAGAAAATTGGCTGGACATGGTGGCTTATGCCTATAATCCCAGCAGTTTTGGAGGCTGAGGGAGATGGATCACCTGAGGTCAGGAGTTTGAGACCAGCCTGGCCAACATGGTGAAACCTTGTCTCTACTAAAAACACAAAAATTAGCCAGGCGTGGTGGTGCACACCTGTAACCACAACTACTTGGGAGGCTGAGGCAGGAGAATGGCTTGGACCCAGGAGGTGGAAGTTGCATGAGCCGAGATCGTGCCACTGTACTCTAACCTGGGCGACAAGAGCGAAACTCTGTCTCAAAACAAACAAACAAACAAACAACAACAACAAAAACCCAAAACTAGAAAATAGGTATTGATGAAGATGTAGAGAAATTGGAACACATGTGCACTATTGATGGGAATGTAAAATGCTATAGTCTCTATGGAAACAGTATGGCAATCTCTTAAAAAATTAAACAGAGGCTGGGCACTGTGGCTTACACCTGTAATCCCAGCACTTTGAGAGGCTGAGGCAGGAGGATCGATTGAGCTCAGGAGCTCACAACCAGCCTGAGCAACATAGTGAGACCGCATCTCCACTAAAAAAAAAAAAAAAAAAATTAGCCATGCATAGTGGTGTGCACCTGTAGTTCCAGCTACTTGGGGGACTGAAGTGGGAGGATTGCTTGAGCCCAGGAAGTCGAGGCTACAGTGAGCAGTGATCGTGCCACTGCACTCCAGCCTGGATTACTGAGCAAGACCCTGTCTCAAACAAACAAACAAACAAACACCATAAAGCCAGGGGCTCATGCCTGTAATCCCCGCTACTTGGGAGGTTGAGGGAGGATTGCTTGAGCCCAGGAGTTCGAGACCACCCTGAGCAATGCAGCAAGACCCCATTCCCAATAAATACATACATACATACATACATACATAAATAAATACATACATACATACATAAACAAAAAATTGAACATAGAATTACCATGTGATTCAGAAATTGCACTTCTGGGTATATAACCCAAAGAACTAAAAACAGGGCCTCAGAGATATTGAAAGTAATGGCAAAAACCACAATAAATTTTGCACTATCTAATATTTGCACACCAATGTTTATAGTAACCCAAGTTTCCACCAACAGAGGAATGAATGGCTAGGCAAAATGTGGTGCATACACACAGTGAATGTTACTCATCCTTAAAAAGGAAAGGAATCCTGCAGTATGCTGCCACATGGATGAGCCTTAAGGCCATTATGCTAAATGAAATGAGTCAGTCACAAAAAGACAAATTCTGTGTGATTCCACTTATATGAGGCACTTAGGGTAGTCAAAATCATAGAGACAGGAAGTAGAATGGTGGTTGCCAGAGGCTGGGGAGGAAGGCATGAGAGTTATTGTTTGTGGGTATGGAATTTCGTTTGACAAGATGAAGAGTTCTGGAAATGGATGGTGGTGCTAGTTGCACAACATTGTAAGTGTATTCAATAATATTGCTGAGCTGTACACTTTGATAAATTTTGTTATGTGTATTTTACCACAATTAAAAAAATAAAAACAAAACCAAACCCTTATGCGTGGGGAAAACAAATGACTGGATGGAAATAAAACAAAAGCTTATAGTAATGTGGATTTTTTTTTCTACTTTCCTGTGCTTTCCAATTTTCCTCTAGAGTGCAATCAATAACAGTGGAAAGAAGTCCCTGGAGCCCAGTGCAGTGGCTTGAACTGAGAATGCACTCACTGGCTGTTGCAGCCAAGACTCCAGTTCTCGCCTCTCTTTCCCTGACTCCCCTGTGCCCACCTTTCCCCTGCAGGAAAGTATACCCGGCGGGCCAGGGGGCTTTTGTGGTTGGGTTATGTCTTCATCTTGTCTGCTCTGTGAGCCATTTACTTCTCAGGCACAGCTCTGGGCGCAAGGGCAGCCTGTGCCACAGATGTCTGTTGAACCCTGGATTCGCGTCTGTGGCTGCTGTATAGATGATCACACGCCTGATGGCTTCAAACGACAGAAATATACCCTCTCACGGCTCTGGGGGCCAGAAGTCTGGAATCAGGATCATTGGGCTGAAATCAAGGGGTCAGGGCTGTGTTCCCTCTGGAAGCTCTAGGGGGAATTCATTCCTTACCCCTTCCAGCTCGTGCTGGCTGCTGGCAGTCCTTGGCTTGTGGCCACATCACTCCAATCTGTCTCCATCACCACATTGCCTTCTCCACTTCCATGTGTGTAATCCTGCTGTCTCCTCTGTCTCTCTCTCTAGCTCTTTTTTTTTTTTTTTTTTTTTTTTGAGACAGAGCTTCGCTCTGTTGCCCAGGCTGGAGTGCAGTGGCGCAATCTCGGCTCGCTGCAACCTCCACCTCCCGGGTTCAAGCAGTTCTCCTACCTCAGCCTCCCAAGCAGCTGGGATTACAGGCACCCACCACCATGCTCGGTTAATTTTTGTATTTTTAGTAGAGACAGGGTTACACCATGTTGTCCAAGCTGGTCTCGAACTCCTGACCTCAGGTGATCCACTTGCCTCGGCTTTCCAAAGTGCTGGGATTACAAGCATAAGCCACTGCACCCAGTCCTCTCTCTCTCTTTTTTTTTTTTATTGAGATGGAGTCTCACTCCGTCACCAAGGCCGGAGTGCGGTGGTGCAATCTCCCCTCACTGCAACCTCCGCCTCTGGGATTCAAGCTTTCTCTCCTGCCTCAGCCTCCCAAGTAGCTGGGATTACAGACATGTGCCACCATGCCTGGCTAATTTTTGTGTTTTTAATAGAGACAGGGTTTCGCTGTGTTGGCCAGTCTGGTCTCAAACTCCTGACCTCAATTGATCCACCTGCCTTGGGCTCCAAAGTGCTGGGATTACAGGCGTGAGCCACTGCGCCCAGCTTCTCCTCTGTCTCTGTCTCTCTCTCTCTCCCTCTCTCTCTCATAAGGGCCCATGTGCTTGCGTTTAGGGCCCGCTAGGACGATAGAGGATTATCTCCCCATCTCAGGATCCTTCGCTTAGTCACTTCCGCAAAGTCCTTTCTCCTTTGCTCCCTTTCATGGAAGGTAATGATCACAGGTTCCAAATTTTTGGGGGAGGACATTATTCAATGTGTCACAACTGGCTTTAAGGATTAAGCAAGGTAGGTGGAGACCAGACTCCCTTGGCTCATGCTCTGGGGCTGTCCCGGGGGATAGCCGGGAAGAGAACCTGGGCTGTGATGGGTGAGGGTTCTCAGGTGTGGCCCCTCCTGCCTGAGTTCACTACAGTGTCTGGGTCAAGTCAGGAACTGCAGGCAGGGCCAAGCCTGGGTCCAGGCTGGACGAGGGACTGAGGGTTTTGCTCAGAGTTCTTTTCTCTCTGGACCCAGGGGCCTCCTGCTTTAAGAAGACCCAGTATGTGGGGGAATTTGGGGGCTTCATGAAGCAGCCTCTGAAAGGCAAACCAGAAAGCGTCTCCTGTTTACGAAGGGTTTCTGCATTAGTTTCCAGGTTCTCGGTTGCCTTGGGCTTGTCACTGGGTCTGCTGTCTGACCTTGGGCAGGCTGCTTTCCCTCTCTGTCCTCAGTTCTGGATGATCACTGGAGGCTCTGCCAACACCATTATTCAGACCTCACTGCAATCCCCCAAACCCCACCAATCTTTGCTGCCATTCAAGTCTTTGGGAGCCTGGGGAATACTACTTAAAGGCATTTCTCAGAACAAGGTCTCAGGTCAGGCTCAGTGGCTCACACCTGTAATCCCAACACTTTGGGAGGCCAAGGCGGGAGGATTGTTTGAGCCTAGGAGACCAGTCTGGGCAACATGGCAAAACCCGATCTCTACAAAAAATACACAAAGATTAGCAGGGCATGGTGGCGCATGCCTGTAGTTCCAGCTACTGGGGAGGCTGAGGTGGGAGGATCACCTGAGCCTGGAAGGTTGAGGCTGCAGTGGGCTGTGATCATGCCACTGCACACCAGCCTTGGTGACAGAGCAAGATCCTGTCTCAAAAAACAAACCAAACCAAGCCAAACCAAAACAAAAACAAAAACTCAGAACGTCTCAGATTTTAGCAGCCCAAGGTTCTCTCAGCAGCAGCCCCAGCTGTCTGCTTCCCTTCCAGGTCCCGTTCCAGGGGCAAGGACTGGGTCTGGACCTGGGGGTGGGGGTGGGGAGGGGCCATATGGGGAGTCTCCTCATCTTGCGTACAAATAGTCCAGGAACCGGGGGGCCTGAGGACACTTATTCATGGTGGTCTGATTCTATGGGGTGGGGTAAGTGTCAGGGCATGGACCGTCTTTAGGCATTAAGGACATTCAGTGATGCTGTTTTGGGCTATTTCATTCAATAAAATATCAAAATAACCTCCTCCAGGGCACCTCACCCTTCTAACAACCCAGATTCTAAAGCGTTAACCTTGAGCCCAATAGGGGCTTCAGAACTCTGCTGATTGCTAGTTTATTAAACATATTTTAAATATCATTACTGATTATAATTATCCCCAAATTCCATGAGCCCCTGCTTGCTCTTATCTTCCTGGCCAGTAGGTGGCAGCACAGGAGCATTCAAGGTTCAGGGTTGCAGGAAAAAAGGCGCAAAACGTTGGTGGTTCAGTTAAACTGCAGGACCCAGTACGTGGGGGAATTTGGGAAACCTTTTCTTGGCTCTGCGGTGGTGCCCTGCTTACCACCAGGCACCCACCCACACACCACATCCCAGTGAGCGTGGGCAGGGGAGACCAAGGGAAGAGGATGACTCCACTTCCGGGAGCTCATTTGGGGAAGACGGCATTTGGGGGTATGTCAGGTGCTGTCCTGGAAAGTTTTTCCCCAAACCTGGGTCACACGTAATGAGATAATGCATTTATCTGCCCTGCTGTAAGTGCTTAGCCAGTGTTAGCTGTTCATACACATACTTCACTTCATTTAATCCTTACAACGAACCATTAGGTGAGTCTTAGCAGCCCATTTTACAGATGAGAAAATTGAAGCTCAGAGGGCTGGCTTCTGTTGTCCAGCATCACATGACAAGAGAAAGCAATGTGGGGCTTTGAACCCAGGTCTCAAAGTCCAGCTGTGTTCTCCTTCTAGCTGGCAAGCGGATTGATGCTGAACCTTTATCAAGCAACACACACAGATACTTCTCAAGGAGAATGTGGGGCTATACCTCCCAGGGCACAGGAGTGGGTAGACCCAGAGTTTTCCTGGGGGAGGTGTGATTTCAGAGGAACAAAATCAGAGACCAGGGTGTGTGGAGGGAGGGGCTGTTGAGGATGAGAGCTGGTCCCAGCTGCTGGGCTGGGAGGCAGGAGACCAGACTTGCATTTCGTTTCTGCTGTCCCATTGCTGTGTGACCTTGGGCAGGTCCTGGCCCTCTCTGGGCTTTCCTTTCCTCATCTGTGGATGAGATCATCTCACAGGTCCTTGCTGGTCCCCACTGTCCCAGAAATCCAGAAGCTCCAGTACTAAACCCTCTCATGAACAAAAGAAAACCAAGCCCATGCTCATAAAGCTGGTGCTGGGATTACCAAGGTCACAGACAGAAATGCCAGTTGGCCTGTGTAAAACAGCTCGACCCTGAGGCTGGGCCACCTGGGGCCCTGGGGGTGGCCTTGAGGAGGCTATTCCTGCCCTGGTCTCATCTGAGGGTTCACCTATCACAGGTGAGGCTGTCCAGGAAGCAGGTGCTGTGGTGGTTAGTGGTGGAGCCAGGAGGAAGCAGCTTGCAGCACGGGGAGCCGGCAGCCTGGGATGCAGCCCTGTGCTGCCTCTGCCAGCCCATGGGATCAAAGCAAAGACCACTCTGGGTGGAGACAGCCAGGGCCTGGGCCCCTGTCTTGCTCAGCCAGTAACCGGCCCTTTGTGCCCCCTCCCCTGAAGAGCACGAGTGAGCCGGGCTAGAAAGCTGAGGTGCCCCCAGGAGGCTGTCCTCGAACCACACTCCTCAGAGCAGCTGGGCAGCGAGTTCTGTCTTGAAGGGGGATCTGTTCCACCAGGAAAGGGGTAGGCCTGCAGGGAGGGACCTTGACCACCCTGTCCTTTGGGATGGGAAATCCAGGGATCAGCACCCCCACTCCTGTAAGCCCAGGAAAGGCCTGGTGGGGAAAGGCTGGATCTGTAGGGAACCACACGCAGCAGGTCAGAGCCCAGAGGTGTGTGTGTGTGTGTGCACGTGTTGGGTGTGAACAGGTGTGCACGGGGCATGTGCATGTGTTCAGTACAGGTATATGTGTGTGGATGTGCGCATGGGTGTATATGTGTGCAGGTGTGGGGTGTGGGGGTGTGTGAAGTGTGCAGCATGGGTATGTGCCCATGTGTATATGTATGTATGCAAATGTGTGTGCATGCGTGTGTGTATATGCCCATGCGCAGTATCTTGTGTCCCTCTGGCATTCAGGCAGGGGCTTCCAGCTTTGGGCACCGCTGGCAGGTGGCAGCGTGGTCTGGACACCTGGAGTTGGCCCTGTCCTCTGGGAAGAGGACTGGCAGAGTAAGAGGAGGCCTCTGGGCAGGAGTAGGGACATTGGGCCATCAGAGGGCACAGCAGGGGCAGCAGGGCAAGATCTAGGAGACTTGACTCTGTGCCGGGCACTGGGCTCAGCTCCTCACCCATATGGCTTATTACTTACCACAACCCCTGGGGCAGGAGGTGTTATTACGCCCACTTTATGGTAAGGAGACTTTTGCATCCTCAAAGTCACACAGCTAGTAAGGGGGACATTCATCCAGCCAGTGAATTCATTCAACAGATGTTTTATTGAGCACCTACTATGTGCCAGGTCCAGTGCATGATGAACAAAACAGGACAAAGTCTGCCTCAGAGGACATGCTAGAGAGTGGGGTGGGGGTTGAGAAATGTGGCGGTTAAGTGAAGATTGTTGGTTGGTAAAGTTGCTTCAATTTCTCCTGCCCCAGACCGGGATTGGCCAGGGGAGCAAGGTGGAGGTTGAGCCTCCGGGTGTGGTCAGGTGTACCCAGGGCTCAGGGAGGGGAGCCTGCAGGGCCCCCAGCTGAATGTGTATGTCAGGATGGAAGGCAGGACCTGCCTTGGGCCCCCGGCACCTTGAAGCCTTGGTCTCCCTCCTCCCCATCTCCTCCTGGCCCAGCCAAGACAAGAGGCTGAAGCCAAACTCTAAAGGTGTTCACCCTGGGGTGGGGGTGGGGGTCCCTCAAAATGGTTGATGCCTGGTCCCACCCCAGACCTGTCAACTCAGAATCGGTGGGGCCAGGAATCCAGATTTTTGGCAGGTGCCCCAATGATTCTGACCTGCAGCCGTGCTTGGGTGCCTCTTTCTAAACCCTCAAGCTGCCTCTAGACCCAGAGTCCTTGCCCAGCCCCATCTGTGAAATGGGCAGAGTTGCTGCAGAGTATTCTTGGGAGGAAGAAGAAAGGTCCTGCCCATCACCTGCCTCCAGCCCCGTCTCCACACTTGTTTCCTGAGCAGGGCAGAAGAGCTTGGAGGATGTAGGGGTGTGTGGGGGGACTCACATAGTTTTTCCAGTTCACACGTAGAAGGCAGCTGTCCCTGTGTCTTAGCTTGGGCTCCCTGGGAATGAACCTCAGGAGCATGCTGGGTGGGAGGTGCTGGGCAGTGGTCTCAGGGGAGATGCTTGCGAGGGAGTGAGGTCTGCAGGAAGGTGAGGATGAAGCTGGGCCTCGGGGCCGGTTGGCTGGGGCCCCAGTGAGCCCTCGGGAGCTCTGGAGCTGGGGTGTCCTTCATAGAGGTCCCCGACATTGGTCAGTCCTGGCTGTGGCCACACTAGGGAACCAGCAGGGGGAGGGGGTGGTGAAACTTAGGTGACTAGGACGAATTCCCAGTGAGAAGCAGAGCTGAGAGCTACCTGGGCACTGTGATGCCACTGCACCCTGGGCTGCTGTCCACCCCAGGCCTGGCCTTGGGACCCTGTGAGCACCTCAGTTCTGCTGCCCAAGCACAGTGCAGCAAGCTGGGGGTTGGGGAAGAGGGATGGAGGCAGCAGATCCAGGCCGTGTGGGCCCTCACCTCCCCATCAGGTCTGGATGCCGGGAAGGGGGAGGCCTCCTGACCCAGACCCTCCCTGAATCCCCTCTCCTTGGAGGTAGGCATTGGCCTCCCTGCAGGCCTGCGGAGCTCCAGGCCTGCATCCTCAGAGCCCTCAGACTGGATTTCTGGGAAAGAGAAGTTCCTTTATCCTGACCTCCTGCTTTGGGGGATGTGGGGGCCAGGGAGCCCAGGAGGCCTCGGCTCTGTCCAGCCCTTCCCATCGGGCCTGGCAGAGGGTGCAGCTGCCCTCGGCAGGCCCCGTGACGCAGGCCAGCAGCAGGGAGGCTGCCCAGGCTGGGGCTGAGCCAGGGCCTGCGGAGGGCCCTCTGTCCAGGCCAGATGGCCACTGCTCCGGTGGGAGGGGCTGCCAACACCTCCGCAGTGGCCTGGCCGGGTTCTCCAAGCTTCCCTTGTCTAGCGGGCCTTCAGCTGCTGTGTACCGAGAGGCTGCACTTCTTCCCTGGCAAGCGGGGCTTTGAGAGGCCCACCACCTGCACTGCCTCCCTGGGACTCTCTCCCCACTCCAGGGCCCAGCCAGGCCTGCCAAGTCTCACGTCAACACTGACCAAGGTCCTGCAGGAAGCCTGTGAGGTGGCCTGGGCAGTGGGGCCTTCCCTCATAGCATTCCCTCCTCTGCAGTTCAGGCTGGTCAACTCCTCATTCATTCATTCATTCATTCATCCATCCGTTCATTCCTCCAGCAAATACATCAAGCACCTGTAACACTCCAGGGGCTGTTCTGAGCCCTGAAATTACACAGATGAACAAGATGGGCAAGGCCCCTGCCCTTCCAAAGCTGGCCCTCTACCGGGGAAGATCGGAAAACTAAAGGTGCCTGGTCGTGTGATTGAGACAGGGATGCTTTAGGAAAGGCTGCGAAGAGGAGCAGCCAGCCAGGCCAAGTTCACGGGGCGTGGTAAGGAAGGGGCAGAAAGAGAGTTCCAAGAAGAGGAAAAAGCATGGGGGGTGTGGTGGGTCTGGCGTGTGCTTGTGGCGGTAGGGGTTTGGAGGGGTGGAAGAGGGCCGTTGGGCTGGGACCTCAAGGTCTTGTAGGAGCTGGGTTTGAGTCTGTGAGGCTTTCACTAGGGGAGCAATATAAACATAGCTCACGTGCAGGGGGCTCTTCGGACAGGCAGGGCATTGTGCCAATCACCTGACATAGGCCAACTCGTTCAAACTTCCTAAGAACCAGATGGTAGGTCCTATTATCCCATTTCACACACAAGAAAACAGAGGCACTGAATGGATAAGTCATTTGCTCAGTGAGATACTCCAAGTCAGTGGTAGGGCTGGGATTTGTGGTAGGCAGCCTGGCTGTAGAACCCTAACCACTGAACCACACCGCCTCTTGGGATACACTTTCCTCCCCTCCAAAAACACCTCCTCCAGGAAGCCTTCTCACCCCAGAGTTTGTCTGCTCTGATTAAGCAACACATCAGCACCCTACATGGCCTAAAAGCCTGTAGAGTCCTTAGGAGGTCATCTCGTCCATGCCCCTGCCTCCAGATGGAAATGGTATTATAAGTCTCATTTTGCAGATGAGACTACAGAGACCCAACGAGGCTTGAACATTACTTAGAGTCAGTGAGGGAGGCCTTGGTCTCCGGAATTCTTCCACCCTGGGCCCAACCTCTCCAACCCCTCCCGACCTCTTTGAGACAATTCTAAGTTTGTTTCTTGTCTGCCCACCCCTCCCCCTCCCCCAGCTAGACAGAGGCCTTCCCTGTGCCCACCACATGGCGATGCACATAGTAGGGGCATACTCAATGCCTGAAGATGGAATGGGTGGTGCATACAGGAACTTGCTGGGCTTGGTGCTGCTGCCTGGGATTCTTGAACAGAGACGTTTTGCAGAATGGATGTGAGCTGAGGAGTAAAGGATGCTTCGGAATCTTCTAGTGAGTCAGGGAGCCAGGCTGGAGTGTTTCTGTCTGGAGAGGGAAGGGCATCCCAGCTGGAGGGAACAGCATATGCAGAGAGAGCGGGTGGGGAGGACAAGGAGTTCTGTTTGACCTGAGCATGGAGAGAAGATGGGCAATGAGCCTAGGGTGGGTGGCAGGGATGGGATGGGGGCTGTGTGCCAGGCTAAGAAGCTGCCACTCTGGATTGGGAAGGGGTTGGGCAAGCAGGCAGAGGGGAGTAGCTGCCCAGTGAGCCCTGGATGCAAATCCCGACCTTGCCGCTTGAACTTGTGCAAGTCATAGGCCCTCTTGGAGCCTCAGTTTCCCCCCTTCATTATTTGGGGGTGGTGCCCACTCCTAAGGACCCTTCGAGCCCTGCACACTCTTATTATGTGGTTGCTGCTCTCTTGCACTCCCGACAAACAGAGAGACTCCTTGGGTAGATATGAAATCTCTTTGATGCCCTGATTTCTTGTTGCCATGCATGGCTTTGCTCTGCAATGTTCCACCAGCCCTTTGAGAGGCGTGTGTCCCAGTGCCTCCAGTTCACAAGGGAGCCTGGGTCGACATGCTCTTTCTTACTTTCAAACCCTTCCTCTTGTGGAGTCCCGCCCAGGGCAGGCCAGTCTCGTGGGCCTGGGCCTGGGCATGGACATGGCCCAGCTCTGAGGGCGGGGGCATCAGGGGCATGAGTGGGATCAGCATGGCCATTGGCATCAGTGGCATCAGCTCCTCCGAGGCCCCAGGGGGGATGAAGGGCAGCTCATTAGGATCCAAGTGGGCGTCACTCCAGCCCTCGGAGCTATCACTGCGGTCCTCTGGATTGGTGGCTTCATTCTCAGATATGGTGACAATCTCAGTGGTGTCTTCTCCAGGGTTGCTGTCTAAGTCCCCTGCTCCTCGGCTGGTGCCTCTCTCAAGTGTGCTGGCTGTGTGGGCATCTGCTGCGCCCTCCTGCTTCTGCCTAGAGCCAGCCGAAGGGGCACAGCCGAGCCCACACATCTTAGCTCTGCCCTGGCCAGTCCAGAAGAGGCTGAGCTCTTGGCGGCAGGCAGCCACAGCCAGGCTGGTGAGCAGGGTGCTGGACACTAGGTAGAGCAAGGCAGGTTGGCCCATCTGCATGAGGACCATGGCCATGAATGTGACCAGCAGGCCCACAGCATAGGCCACGGTGCAGGCCACGAAGTAGATCTGACGGGAGCAGACTTGCACATCAAAGCGGCAACAGTAAGCAACCAGGAAGCCGGGGACCACAATGTCACCGAAGCCAAGGATGGAGAAGGGCTGGCTGCACAGGGTCAAGGCGGAGACTCTTAGCCGGGGCACTTTGAGTACCATGGGCAGCCTCTCATGGCTTGAAGACTCTGCAGGGCCCAAGGCAACCTGCGCCATGATGCTCTCACCGGTTTTGGTGAAGAAGGGGGTGACGAAGACAAAGAAGACATCAAAGGCCAGCAGGGCCAGCAGGAAGGAGGAGCAGTTCTTGAGAGTGGGCAGCCGCACACGGTGCAGGACGAACAGGCAGTAGGAAATGCCCAGTGTGTCCTGCAGGAGCCACGCCCAGCGGTCCTCATTGCGGTAGGCCACCCAGAAGATGATCACGGTTGCGCACAGGCTCGCCAGCAGCAGCAGAGGCAGCGGCAGAGAGGCCCAGAGGCTGTGCGGAGGCCTCTGGTATTGCCGCAGGGACAGGTGGCACACCAGGGGTGACAGGCAGCTGTAGAGGCCAATGCCAGCACCCAGGCCAAAGATCCCAATGGTGACATAGACAAAGTGGTCATAGAAGAAGTAGAGCAGCAGCATGAGCGAGCAGGACAGGGTGACCACCACGCCTGTCATGGCCGGCGTGAAGTCCACTGGGATGTCCTCATTATCTTCCTTCTGGGCTCCCTCAGCTGCTGCAGCTTCCTGCAGCTGATGGTGACCACCAGACCCCCCTCCTCTTCGGGCACGGCGCCGCTGTAGCCGGTTGGCTTCGGTCAGGCCGGCCCAGTAGCCGCCTGCAGCCACTGTGCCCACAGCCAGGATGAAGATGACCAGCATGTTGTAGTCGATGATGGGCTCTGGGGGTGCGTACATGGCCACGCGGACGACGGCCTCCCCACGAGTGTGGCTGAGGATGTCCAGCATGTCAGCATAGTGGAGCATAGCCACAGGGATGGTGAGGTCTGCCAGGGGCTGGCGGGGATCCTGGGGTGCCAGGGTGGTGTCTGAGCACTGTTGGTCACTGACCCGGCTCACGATGAGCAGCCCGTGGGCACCTTGGCCCTGAGCCAGCCAGCCTTTCGTGTGGAAGCTGCAGTTACCCCTCATGACCATGGCAGTGGTCTGGCGGAGGGGCCGCTGGCTGGGGGAGCGGAGCTGGGCCTGGTGGGGGGAATCCTCACCCGGGCACCAGGGTGCCTTGGTGCCATCATACAGGGGCAGGAGTGGGGCGTGGTGCAGGTCCCGGGGGAGGGTGATGTAGTCGGAGCTGAACAGGATACAGTAGTCCTTGCTCCAATTCTCCGACACCACGTGGGCCACGCCGTACTTTCCCCCGGCCACGGTGCTGATGAGGAGGAGGAAGCCCACGGGGAGGAGGAAGCCCAGGCACGCCATCTTCTTCAGTTCCTACTGCAACATCTGCGGGCGGCAGCCCAATACCCCTCCCAGGGGCAGGCGTGGCCCTTTGTCACAGAGCAGTCTGGCCACCTGTCCTGGAAACCAGGGCCACACCTACCTAGTCATAAAGCTGTGTGGTCCCCAGCCGAGGGCGCTGCTGTGGGGCACAGGGTCCCTCTAGAATGATGCCCCCCAACCCTGGGAGACCAGGGGAGAGGTCATATGGACCCTGCTCTCTGCCCAGACCCTAGTGGGTTTAGACCAGGTACTTTGAAATAAAAGGTGTGAGCATGGGGTTTGCAGGCCAGATAGGATTCTGAACCAACTTTTCTCCTTACCCATGGGGAACACAGGCCAATGTCACTCCTCTCTAGGCCTGTTTCTTTAGCTGTAAAGAAATGAGGACGTTGGGCCAGAGAGTTTCTAAGGTCCCTTGGAGCTCTGAGCTCAGTAACATTGAGCACTTTTACCGAGGGCTTACTAGGCGCCAGGTACCCTAGCTGTACCTATTGCACAGTTGCAAGGAGGTGTCATTATATCTGCACAGCCTGAGGCTGTCCCTCAAAGTTGGTCCCCATTTCTACCAGGCACATGACCAGAATTCACCTCCAACTCCATTTACAGTTGGGAACGGACAGGTGACCAGGAGAAATTAAGCAAAAATGATGTGAACTCTTTACATCAGGGGCTTAGGCTGACAGACCGTGGGGCTCCTGGTTTACCCTCTCTTTCCCTTTCTCAGGAGTCAGAACAAGGACGGGCCTGTGATGTGTCTGTCTATGACGAGGAGGACAATGTCCTAAGGAATGGAGAGGAAGAAAGTGAAGGGAACCAGGTCCCTGGATTCCATGTGGAACAGTAGCCCAGGATGTGCACTATGGACTGTTACAAGAGAGAGACATGATCTTCCTTAAGGCATTGATTTGTCATGAGTCTCTTTGTTATAGCCACTTAACGTTACCTTAATACACCCACTTCATGGATAAGTAAAACTGAGGCTTGGAGAAGCCCACATTGACACAGCAAAGAAGGCTGGGGCTCTTGTGCTGGTTAAATGGACCTTGATGTCTTCCAAATGTTTTCATGCTGGATTCTGAGCCACTCTCCTGGCTGCAACTCTGAGGCCGGGCAGACTTTCCGCTGGAAAGAGAACTCAAATACTGGTGAGAGGTGGATTTGAAGCCAGGAGCCCCAGGTTTTGGCTCTGCAGGTTTGCACCCAGCTCTGTGGTGTATGCCCTCACAGGTCACCCAGGACCTCCTGTCCAGGCTTCTTCAGGCCACCCATGATGGAGTAGATTTGAGGAATGAGGTTTTCAAAGCAGTTAGTGTGCGGGAGAGTAACCCTGGGGCCTCCGGAACCAGAAGGGAGGGATTTGGGGGCTGGAGCTTGGCAGTCCAGGTTCCATTGTCCTCATGTTCTCCCCACTGGCCTGGCCTGTCACTCCAGTCTCTGCATAGGTTGTCACATGGCATTCTCCCTGTGTGTCTCTGTGTCTCTTCTCTTCTTTATAAAGACATAGTTATAATGGATTAGGGCCCACCCTAATGACACCATCTTAACTTGATTATGTCTGCAAACACCCTACTTCCAAATAAGGTCGCATTAACAGGTACTGGGGTTTAGGACTTCAACATGCCTATTTGGGGGCACAATTGTGGGCAGCCCCACAACACACATGTAATTTTAACCTCTAAGGAGTAAGCATGCTGATTTTTTTTTTTTTTTTTTTTTGAGACAGGGTCTTGCTCTGTTGCTCGGCTGGAGTGCAGTGGCACGATCTCAGCTCACTGCAAACTCCACCTCCTGGTTTCAAGCAATTCTCCCCCGACCCAGCCTCCCGAGTAGCTGGGATTACAGGTGTGTGCCACCATGCCCAGCTAATTTTTGTGATTTTAGTACAGATGGTGTCTCACCATTTTGCCCAGGCTGGTCTCGAACTCCTGGCCTTAAGTGAATCGCCCACCTCAGCCTCCCGAGGTGCTGAGATTACAGGCACAAGCCACTGTGCCTGGCCAATCACTGATCTTTCTCAAGGACTCTCCTTCTTTTCTCTTTGAGATGGAGTCTCACTCTGTCCCCTAGGCAGGCTGGAGTGCAGTGGCACAATCTTGGCTCACTGCAACCTCCACCTCCCAAGTTCAAGCGATTCTCCTGCCTCAGCCTCCCAAGTAGCTGAGATTATAGGCGCCCACCACCATACCTGGCTAATTTTTGTATTTTTAGTAGACATGGGGTTTCACCATGTTAGCCAGGCTGGTCTCAAACTCCTGGCCTCAGGTGATCCAGCCACCTTGGTCCCCCAAAGTGCTGGGATTACAGGCGTGAGCCACCGTGCCTGTCAAGGCCTCTCCTTCTATTACGGGTCCATCTCTTGCAGTCCCAAACTGCTTTCCTTGGGAAATCCACAGGGATGAAACATCATCTCCAACATCAGCTGTGGATTCTTTGAAGTGGAGGGTGAGTTTAAAGGGCCATGTGAAGTGGTCAGCAAGTGGAACCCATCTGAGATTCTGACAATTCTCTCTCACCCAGTTATTTACACTCATCTCACCCACACCTAATTTGCCAATATTTTTGGTGACTCATTTGTAAAGTATCCTTCAAAGCATTAGACTGAATTTTCATAAGAAACATCTCTCCTTGTTAGTGCACTTCTGATTCATCAGTAATATAACATTTAGTTAGATTACGACAGTAATTACAATGACAAGTGAACTGTCAGAAACATGTTCAGGAACAAATACAAGTGACTGGCAAACAAACCACCAGCCGGTGTGAGGAGAAGCAGGCAGAGCCCAGGGGAGGAGGCTGCCAGCTGTCCCTTCCGAGTGCTCCCATTTCAAAGGGGAGGTTGGCAGGAGGGTGGTTAGGAGAGGGAGGCTCGCCTGTAGGCCACAGGAGGGCTGTGACAGTAAAACCCTTTCTGGCCCCCCAGCAACGAATGGGCAACCTAGACCCTCACTCCAGGCCCTGTTCTCCACGCAGGGAGTCGTGGATCTTTTAAAAAACAAGAACCAGCACACCCACTTTGTCACAAAACCCAGACAATCACAAGCTTTGTCGAGGATATAGGGAAGTTGGGACCCTCATACACTGCTGGTGGGAATGGAAAATTGTGCAGCCGCTGCAGGAAACAGCTTGGTGGTTCCTAGATAAGTTAAGCAGAGTTATCATATGACCCAGCACTTATACTCCCAGCTATATATCCCAAAGAATTGAAATCAGGCCTTCAAACAAAAGCGTGTACATGCATGCTCATAGCAGGACTATTCATGATAACTTGGAATAGGTGGAGAGAACCCATATGTCCATCCACTGATGAATGGAGAAACTGCGGTCTCTCCACACAAGGGAATAGCATTCAGCCATAAGAAGGAATGACGTTTTGATACCTGCTACCATGTGGATGGACCTTGAAAACATTATGCTAAGCCGAAACACATTATGCTAAGTGGAAACACATTATGCTAAATGAAGACGCCAGACACAAAAGGACACATATTGTACGATTAATTCCACTTACGTGAAACAGCCAAAACAGGCAGATCTACAGAGGCAGAGAGCAGATTCGTGGCGGGCAGGGGCTGGGGGAGGGGAGAATGAGGAGTGACTGGTGGGTATGGGATTTCCATCTGGGGTGATGAAGAAGTTCCAGAACTTTTTCTATCTCAGTGGTTTCAGTTGCACGACATTGTGTATTTAAAGTCACTGAATTGTGCACTAACATGGTTGAAATGGGACTTTTTTTTGAGATGGAATTTCGCTCTTGTCCCTCAGGCTGGAGTGCAGTGGTACAATCTCAGCTCACTGCAACCTCCACCTCCCGGGTTCAAGTGATTCTCCTGCCTTAGCCTCCCGAGTAGCTGGGATTACAGGCATGCACCACCACCATGCCCAGCTAATTTTCGTATTTTTAGGAGAGACAGGGTTTCACCATGTTGGCCAGGCTGGTCTCGAACTCCTGGCCTCAAGTGATTCACCCACCTTGGCCTCCCAAAGTGCTGGGATTACAGGTGTGAGCCACAGCGCCCAGACGAAATGGAGCAACTCCAGTCCCCTCCAGCTGCTCTCTCCTCAGGACAGGTCTCATTTTAGTTCTTCTGGACTCCATCACACCAGCACATGCCCCAATTTGGGGGTCTGCACAGACACCTCAAGCAGAGCTTGCTCCTGCCCCTTCTCCCAGATCTACCCGTGGACTGGTTGCCCAGGGCCCAGATAATTCGCAGAAGGCTCATTCCCTCCGAGACTCTGCCTGGGACCCCACTCACAGAAGGCTTTCGTGGGTATGTTTGATCACTGCTTCCCCAGGTCCCCCATCCCTGTGCCCACCCCCATCCATCAGCCCTGGAATCATTCCTCTGGTGGCCACTCGGAGCACTGGTCAGTGCCCTCACATGAGTGGCTGATGCCCCTTGGGGCCATGGCCCACTGCCAGGCTGAAATCCCGCTCCAAGACTTCAGTCCCGCCACCCTCCCCACCCCCACTCCAGATTCAACTCCTTTCCTGGAGGGCACCCCCTGTATCTGTGACTTTGCTCCCCACAACTCCCCCTCCCTCCCCCCACCCTACTGCCCCCTCAGCTATGGCCTGGGCTCTCGGGGTGGCTGCCCAGAGCAGGCTGGGGTAGTGTCTCTGCCTTCTACTTGAGGACCTAGGTGCACCTGGAACATTTATCTTCAACACACAGGGCAGCAGGGCCAGCAGGCCCCAGGCAGCAGGTCTCAGGAAGGGTGGGGAAGGGGCCTAGTTCACCTGGCCCCTCACCTGCCCTTGCTGCCCTGCCCAGCAGCTTCCCCGCTGCATGTTCTAGAGTGGATTGCCATCCACTCCCTCCCCCTTCCCCTGTGATGAGGATGAGCCAGGCAGGCCCACCAGCTGCTGCCCCCATGCCCCCTCACCCTAGCTGATGCCTGCCGTGCCCCCAACCTGGGCTCCTTAGGCACCTAAGAGGCCACCACCCCTTCTTCTGCTCCACCTGCCTTGGCCCAATGGGCAATGAGGCTGGGCAGCAGGGATCAGTCAAGGACCCCTTGGAGGGACAGAAGCCGGTAGGGCTGCTATCTGGCAGCCAAGGGTGGTCTCTGGCCTTATCTCCAAATAATAGTCTCATTGGTGTTCCCAAGCCATTGAGAGCTTTGATAAATATATATGGCCCAGGCCTCTCTTGAGCCTGGTCTGCCAGCAGGACCTGCAGGTGTTGGTGAGCTGAGGGCAGGGGTGGGAGGTGATGCTCTGAGGTAGAGCTGGGATGGGGCTGGGGACGGGAGACTGGCAGGTGGAGCTGGCTTGGAGGCCAGATTTGGGGAGTGGGCTGCCCGAGGCCCACGCTCCGCAGGCTCCAATTCCTTCAGCTAGCTCATCTCTGAATGCTGTTTGACCACAGACTGGGGATGGAAGGATTTCCCTGGGGAGGGGATTGGAAGGGGCAGTGGGGCTGGGAGGACAGCCTTACTAAGAACTCCCACTGCATAGGGGTTAAGCTTCACGGATGCCTAGTGTGGCCTCCCTGGCTTTTCATCCATCCGTGGGTGCCATCAGGCAGGTATCTTAACCTCTCTGGGTTTTATTTGCCTTATCTGTTAAATGGGGATAACAGCCCCGCCTCATAGGGCAGTATAAAGAGTCAATGAGATAAACATGTGAGGGGCTAAGCAGCACCTGATGCCCGGTAAACAATCAATAATGATCAGTGTTGCTGTTAGCAAATTGTAGAAAGCATTCTCCTCGGTTTGAAGCAAGTGTGGGCAGCTGAGTTGGAAGTCAGTTGGCAGTTTGGATGAGCTGGCTCTGAGGTACCCCTGGGCTGGAGGCCAGCAGCACACTCCTTGGCTGGGGTGTAGGGGGGCCCACTGTGGCTGATGGTGGCCCCGGCTGCATTGTTTGAAATTAAGCATCATTTTAAGGAGCTGGGGGGTGGAGGATGTCAGGAAGCTGGGGAAGGAGATGCTGGATCCACAGAACTCTCATTGCTCGGCGGCTGGACACTGGTGGGGCCATCTTTGGGGAAGTCCCATCTTCACGTGGGGCACGTCCCAGATCACGGAGACCCTGAGGCCTCCTTGCTGCCCTCTTGCCACAGAGCTCTTCATTGGTTCTGGCCTCCCAGAACCCAAGCCCCTTCAGTTCACTGAGGGGTGAAAAAAGCCTTAGACTTGGAACCAGACCTTCAATCTTAGGGGAGCTGCCAGGCCTCAGTTTCCCTGGCTGCAAAACAGGTGGGTTACTACCTCTGTGGGCTAGTTGAGGATTACCCTAGAACTTAAAGTATAATAAAAATAAACAAATAAAGACACACACACACAAATATAGAGATGTGAAGTGGGAAATCAGGGGTCTCACAGCCTTCAGAGCTGAGAGCCCCGAACAGAGATTTACCCACGTAGTAAAAAAAAAAAAAAAAAAAAAAAGACAAATGTTATAAGGATGTTTGTGGATGGCAAAGTAATCTACAATACCCACAATGAAGGTATTATTCTATGGATTCCAAACCCACCTCATCTGCTAACACATGGTTTTCCCCATCTGACTCTCCACCCAGTCCTGGTCCCAGGAGAGCTGAGCCATCAGTAGCAGGGGGCTAGAGAAGGAGGCCTGGAGGGGAGGCTGAGGACCTCTGGGCAGGGGCTGTGCTGTCACACTAAGGGACGGGGAGGGGGTGGCCTGAACTGGAAAAACAGTGGGGCTTTTCCTCCACTACTGTTCTGTGCCCATGAAGGAGGACGTCAAGGAGAAATGGGCTCAGGTGGGGGTAGCATTAGGGGACCGCAGCCTTTAGGCATGGTGTGGAGAGAAATTCTTCCAGGCATGAGGTCTTCCGGGTCTGGGAGGGCCTCCAGCGACCTTCCCCCACCACTGCAGCTTGGAGGGTCCCCAGTGGCTCCCCCAACTTTGTGTAGTCGCATGTGTGTTTTTCGGCTCATCACACCCCACTCACTCCCACAGGGGCCTCGCCACCCCAAGCTGAACCTGAGCAGAATGGCCCAGATGCCTGGTCTCAGGGCTGCCTTCTCTGCGACGAAGCCCAGAGCGCATGTCTGCCATGGGAGATGATAGAACTCTGGGCCTCTGGGCTGCAGGTTCTGAGGCTCAGATGTTCCTGGCTGTTCCCTGAAGCAGCCCCTCCGCCCTCAGATTCTCTCAATGGGAGGGGAGCCCCAGGCTCCATCTGCCTGCCCAGGGATTCCGCCTCCAGCTTCTCCGATGACCCTCAGACTTGTCTTGGAGCTGTCCTCTTGGTGGCCTTCCAGAGCCAGAGGCTCTGAGCTTTGTGTTTTTTGGGGGGTCCCTGGGGTCCCCCCTGGGTGGCTGCTCATCTCTCACCCAAGACCTAGCACAGTGCTGAGCACACAGTAGGTGCCCAGAAGGTGCCTGGCAGTGAGAGCAGCCAGGAAGCCCACTCAGGAAAGCGGGGTGCGGCCTGGCTGGGCTTATCCACACTTCCTGGTCTGTACCGTCCCTTCCCTGTCTTCCCCTCACCCCCACCCTCTCGGCTCCTCCACCCCTGCGGTGCGACCCTCATCCCATCCCCACTGGCATTGTCTCGGGAAAGCCTCGCCTTCTCACTTCTCCACCTTCACTGGGTGAGAGGCAGAGTTGGGAAAGCTGTCTCCGTTGTGGCCATTAGAGACTCAGGTCACTTCTAGTCTCTCCAGGCAGCCAGGACCCTTTACTGGGCTTCTTCCCACTCCCCACAATATCCCCCACGTTGCTCTGGAAGCCTCCAGCCTACCTCTGTCACGGTGCTCCCTGGGTCCCCCACCCCATCTCTCTACTTCAGGGCACAGAGCTTGGAGAATTGGCAGAGCAGAGTACCCCATAGGGCCTTCAAGGATATCCTTAGCTACACCCGGGCCCAGGCCCTCCCCAACGAAACGTGCCCTCCCTCAGCAGGAGCTGCGGGGCTTTCGGCACTGTGTCACCTTTGTCTGTTCCTGGTGTCCTGACACTGCAAGCTCTTGTGTGCGCCTGGGTGCACAAGTGCACATGTGTATACACACGTCCCACCCACGGGGCTCTCCTCCCTGGTTAGAGAGACCCAGAGACAAGGCCCGGGCTGCAGTGGGGCCCTGTGTCCAGTTCTGGTGTTCCACCCACACCCCCTGCCCCTCCAATGCAGCACACACTGGCTTCCACCCACCCGCACATCACTGTGCCGGAGAACTCTCTCTGGCCCTCTGTAGCCTGATGTGGGAATGCAGAAGAGTTCATGTCCCCCTGGGAGCAGCCCTCAACCCGCAGCTGATGGGAGATGGTGGATAAATACCCCAGCTCCCTCACCTGTTGGGTGGGATGAGGGAGGGCTTCCCCAGCGGAAGGGAGCTCCAGGCGCCCACAACAGTGTTGGAGTGTCAGTCCTGCCCCAGAGGCCACCCAGGGCTATACAAGCTCTGGCCCGGAGTTGGGGGCACTGAAGCCAGCAAGCCAGGGGAGCCTGAGTGTGCCACCCACCTCAGAGCGGCACTGGCCAGGGCTGGGGCATACCTGTCTCTTGCTCACAGGCTACCGTGTCCCCCTCTAGCCCCCACCTTTCCCCTGCCTTCCTTGCCTGGCTTCACTCCCTGTTGCCCTCTCTGTACTCCCCTTCCCTCGAGTTTGCACAAGAAACCTCAGGGTCTCAGGGATGGCTTCTTGTGGCGGCCCTAGTGGAGACAGCTGCATTCACAGCCTGTCCAGTGGCCCAGCATCCTAATTCTGCTTCCCACCAATCAGCACAGCTCATGCCTGGGGCTGGGACACACTCCCGTCTCCTTTGTTCCTTCCCCTGACCCATGGTGTCCCTCCTCTGCATCCCTAACCGTGGCCCTCCTCTCCCTCTAATTCACCTCCTCACAACAAGCTGTCCCTAACTAAGGGGGCCCTGGCCAGACCCACCTGTTCCTCGAAGCCCTCCCTCCTGCCCTCACCCCTCTCCCGGCCCTCAGGGGCTCTCCTGGCACCATCCTTGCCGGGGTGAGAGTGGGGTCAGGTTTCTCAGCAACACAGCAGCCCCTGAAAGCTGGGAAGCAGCCCCCACCTCTGTGAGACACCCTCTCCATCCAGCCCCCTGTGGAGTCCAGGCCTTCACAAATGCTGGTTGAAAAGATAAATATTATTTATACCAGCCACCCGCCTCACAGCCGACACCCTCATCTTCTAGTGCCCCCCAAAGCCCTGCCCTGGCTGTCCAGTCCCTCTGGACATGGGCAGGTCAGTGGGGGCTGCGGCCGGTCCACACCTGGAGTGTAAGCAGCACGTTGTCCCAAGAGCCACTTGGGCAGGGGTCTTCTCCTGGCTTGCTTAGCTAGTGGTCCTGCCCCAGAGGCCATCCAGGGCTACAAGCTCTGCCCCAGAGGCTGGGACTGGGACACCCCTGGCTCTTGCTCACAGGCCACTCTGCCCCCTCCAGCCCCCATCTTCTCACAAAAGAGGAAAAGGAGCAGGAGGTGACTGGTATGGGGTGGTTAAGTGAGGGGAAGCTGGCCTGGCCTGCAGGGTACTAAATGTTCAGGGTGAAGGCAGCAAGGCAGGGCATTGCTGGTGGCAGTGCCACAGTGCCAGTAAGGTTCTGGAGGCCTGGGGGGGTGACTCTAGTGCTGTGGCCGCAAGTCTGATGATGACACCTGACTTCTGTCTCCAGGGTTCCTGAGTGAGGGCCCTTGGTTCCCAGTGGTGTCGGAAGGCATCACCGAGGTCCAGAGGCGTCATCGTGGTGAGTCAGAGGCTGTCACGAGTTGCCCATGATGCCCCAGGGCAGCAAATGGCCTCCCCACGGTTGCCGAGGGCAGCCCCAGGGCCCAGTGGGCTGGCCTTCTTGTGCTCTGGGAGAAGACAGCCTTGGAGGGACATGCGTGCTGCTGTAGGTGTCCAGCGCCCCATTTCAATTCATTCCCATGTCCCTTCTCCAGGGAGGATTGGGCAGGGAAGCCAGAGGCCCTGGGCCCGGCCCAGTCCTGTAGGTGACTTTCCACTCATGAGCTAGAGTCCTGCACGGCTGCAGGGGGAGAGCGGCCCCCCCAGGCTGTCAGTGCCAGCTGCTCCTGGGGGAGTGGGCATGAGACCTAACAGGTCACCTCCACAGGCAGGGTGGTCAGGGAGCCTGGCCGTCATCCCCCCAGCCACAGCTCTTTGGGGGCTGCTCCATGACCTGCCAGCTCAGACTGCTGTGGACTGCTTGATGCTGTGAAAGCTGACACGGGTTGGGGAGGTGGGGATGGACATGGCACGGGCCACTCGGGCACGGATCGAGTGCTTGTCCTGCCACCGGTGCCACCTCTTCCGGATGGCAGAACGGACCTGTGGGCACAGGGAGGAGCACGACATCTGAGCCTGTGGCTCAGGACCCCCTCCCTCCCCTGGGCCGCCACGAGCAGCTGTGCAGGTAAGCGGCTGTGCAGGTCAGCTGAGTACATGGAAGTCCTCAGTAGGGGATGACACTCACAGCCTTAACACGACTGCTTTGCATATTTGTCGGAACAGGTTTCTCAAATGTCCTGGGGAAGGGGCACCCTTTTCTAACCCACACGAAGGCACCATATGCCCTTTGCCATGAAGGCTCCCTGCCCTCAAACCACATGTATCCCCTGCCCAGGGCTCAGCCCTTCCTGGTTTTCACAGGCTCATCAAAGATACTGGAGCTCTGGCTTCCAGCCTGGTGCCAGCGGCCTCTGAGAGCAAAGGAGGGGGCTGTCACTGTGGGAGTGGACAGGTGGGAGGGGCCACCCTGGGGCTCCCAGCAGCATACCCCTAGGGACCTAGGAGCAGGGAGGGAGAGAGGCAGCCCTGGGAGGGGAGGAGAAGGCTCTAGACAATCGCCAGTCCCAACAGGCCTCACAGCCCTGAACCCCGCTGCAGGGCCCCCGGGTCCTCACCTCACTATTGAGGAAACAGTAGAACACAGACACAAAGAAGCCCTGGGGAGGAGAGAGGAGGCGTCAAAGGTCGGCTGCAGGTGTTGCCCACCCAGCCTCTGGGCTGCCCCTTGCTTCTCCCTGGCCTCCTGCCCTCCAGGCCTCTGCTTGGCAGAATCCCCACCCAAGGAGGTGCTGATGTGTCCCTCCAGGGCTGTACCTGGAAGGATTCCAGGAAGGAGTTGAAGTAGATGAAGACGACCCGGGAGACCTCATCCTCCCCGGGATTGACGAAGAACAGCATGTAGGTGATGCCCAGGAGGGGCAGCAGCACCAGAGTGGCTTTCACAGCCTTCCTGGGGTGGGGCGGGTGGGGAGGCTCGGAGTCACAGCCCACCCCAGGACGGGCTGCCCGCTGGCTCGGCAAAGAGGGCCAGGTCGGGGGAGGGAGTGGCAGGTCTCTGGCACGTGAGAGGCATGGGGAGCAGGGGTTTCATCAGGGGGAGGCCTGAGGAAGGTGGTACCCGGTTACCTGTACTGAATGGTCTCAGACGTGGTGGATGCCCGGAGCTTGGTCATGAGGATGCGGACGATGTTGAAAAGGAAGATGAAATTGATCTGCAATTTGAGCACACCAGCGGGCCGGAGTGTGCAAGAGGCTTGGGACCCAGGCTTCTCAGCTCTGGCCTCAGTGCCCCTGCTGTTCTCCCTCCTCCTCATGAGCACCTGCACATCTCTGACCCATGCCCCCTCTTTGGGTGGCCCCCACCTCTAGGTAGAGGGGTCCTTTCTGTCCACGGTTGGCACTGATTGCCCCTCCCCACTGGGCCCTGTCTCCTGCCCCTACCCAGGTTCTTACCAGCAGGACCAGGATCATGGGGCCCTGGTAGATGTAGTCGGTGTACACCCCAGGCCTTTTGCCAAACCAGCACCTAGAAGGCCACAGAGGAAAGGGGAGGAAGGGTCATCTGCGTCCACCTTGATGGCATGGGGAGGGACAGTGCTTGGCCAGGACAGGACTGGGGCTGGAGGCCAAGAGGTAGATGTCCCAATTCCAACCCTGGCAGAAGGTCAAGTCACTTGATCCCACTGCCATGCCTCAATTGTCCCATCTGCAGAACGGACAGCATCCTCTGTGATGAGATGCAAAGTTGGAAGCAAGCACCGGGGCAGGAGGTAGACAGTGGGAAAGACTGAGTGGCTGGGAACGGGCATGGGCCCAACACGAGGCTGCATCCTCGGCTCCTCCTCACAGTCCCCTGGCAGTGGCTGAGGCCCAGCATGCCCTCTGGGGGGCTGCTGGTGGGAGTGGCACCACACCTGTCACCCAGTGGGCACCCAGCAGTTCGCAATCTCAGCCTGAATCTGTCCAGTCACAGCCTGAACAACCTTGAGAGGAATACTTGCACAGGTTCTACCTGCTGCAGGAGGTAATTGCTTTGCATTTTCCCGAGTGTCCCTCCAGCAAGCTCCAGGGAGGCCTGGGGAGTGGGTGGGGACCAGACAAACTGGAAGCCCTTATGTCCTCGTGGGTATGAAGACCCCCAGTGGCTAGATCTCATAAGCCAGAAATTGAGATTTGTAAATGAAACCTTTGGATTTTTTAAAGGTTGGCTACAAAATCGAGTTTTCAGAAAACACCATGCTGGCCACACACAGCTTCTGAGGGCCGGGTCCAGTCCTCGGGCCTCTGGTCTGCAAGTTCGTTTCTGGTTTCTCACACCCAGATCCTCTCTGTTGCAGTGTTGAATTCTCACCACCAGGTGGAGCTTCAGAGCCGCTCAGACTCACTTTCTCCTTTAGCCCAAACAGTTTTTGTTTTGCTTTGTTTTTTGAGACTCATGGAGTCTCACTCTGTTGCCCAGGCTGGAGTGCAGTGGCACGATCTTGGCTCACTGCAACCTCTGCCTCCTGGGTTCAAGAGATTCTCCTGCCTCAGCCTTCCCGAGTAGCTGGACTACAGGTGCGCACCACCACACCCAGCTAATTTTTGTTTTTTTGTTTTTTTTTTAGTAGATACGGGATTTCACCATGTTAGCCAGGCTGGTCTCAAACTCCTGACCTCAAGTGATCCGCCTGCCTCGGCTTCCCAAGGCCTCAGCCAGCCTGAGTCAGGAGGGAGTCAGGAGGGAGTCAACCACATAAACACGCAAGATAATCTTCCAGGCTCCTCTTTCAGCCCAATGAAGCCGTGCAGGCCCCCTCCCCTCCATGGGGGAGGAGAGGGCTTGTCACTGTGGTGGAGGCCACTTGGACGCCAGGTCCGTCAGTCAGATAGGTTCCCGGGAACACTTGTTTGGCAAAGAAGGTCCTGGGGCTCCCCTGCCATCCATGTCCACCTTTTCTGCCCCGCTCTCTCTCAGTGGTTCTCAATCTGAGCTGCACATTAGAATCACCTGGGCAGTTTTCAAGACTTCTGGGTGCCAGGCCACACCCCAGACCAATTGCGCCTGATTCTCTGAGGGTGAAGCCTGGGCATTGGTACTTTTCCAAGCATTCCAGGTGATTCTAATGTGAGCCAAAGTTGAGCTCCACTGCAGCAGAAATCAAGTTTCCAGGCACGATTGGAAACATCTGAGTCCATTTCATAAGGAACCAAAGAACTTCAGAGCTGGAAGAAGCCTCTGAGATCATCTAGGTCCACTTCTATTAAATTCATGGACTCTTTTATTAAGATGTCTTAATATTAATAGAACACATTTATATAGCATTTACTCTATGTGCCAGGAGCTATTGTAAATGCTTAATATAGATGGACTCATATCACCCCACAACAGCCCTTTGAGGCAGTAGCATGTCCATTTTACAGATGAGGAAACTGAGGCACACTGCAGTAATCTGTCCAAGGTCACACAGCTATTTGAACCTGGGCAGTCTGGCTCCAGGCTGCTTCCTGTGTAAGCTCAAGGCAGATAAAGGAGGCTGGGTCCTGCTTGTCCAGCCCCACCCAGGCAGAGCACAGGCAGGGACCCTCTGAATGAGTCCAGCCCCCAGATCTCTCCCTTTATAGATGCAGAAACCATGGTCCTGAGGGGAAAAAGCCAGCATGGCCAATGCCCGTGGGGAGTGTCACCAAGCTGGGCTGGGAGCCTAAACCTTGGGGTCAGGAAGGGAAAGGAGATGACTTACTTCTCATTGTCGTAGTACAGCTTCCCAATGGCCCAGGCCACAATGATGGGGAAGGGCACACCTGGGGGAGAGATGGGCTGTCACAGAGCCCTCAGCGGGGGCTGGAGGATGTGGGCCTGGAGAACCCCAGTGCAGCCCAGGCTCCAGGGGGTCTGGGGTTACTCAGGGTGGATCTCAAACTCACACACCTCCTTCAAGGTGCTTCTACTGCCGCCCACCCCCAAGAGGAGCAGAGGGCTATCGTGCACACCTTACCGCCCCAACCCGACCTCCATCCCTCAGGCCCCCCAGCCCGCTGGCCTGAGTCTGGAGGAGAGGGCAGCCCGGCGGCCGCCACTGCCCAGGCTGCGGAGGTGGCTGCCCAGCTCACCCCAGCCAATGCAGATGAACATCCATTTGCGCAGCCGGTCAGTGGAGTAGGTGAGCACGATGGCTGTGTGCAGGTAGCAGCCCTCGCCGAACATCCAGAAGAAGTTGGTCACATGGAAGTAGTTGTAGGCGGCTGTCACCAACCTGCACCAGCCCTGCCACCCCACCCCCAACCAGAGATGATGATGGGGGGCAGGGGAGGCACCAAACCCTGGGCCTGGGCCTCCCCAGGGCAGGACAGGGCATACCCTGGGATCCCACTCCTGTTCTGTGGGCTCCTCCTCTGCAGGGCAGGCGGGCCCCTCCTCTGACCTGGGTTTGGCCTGACCTGCTCCCCGCTCCCCTGCCAGGACGTACCACGTTGCTCTGGTGGACCTCGGGGCTCATGGTTAGCTGGACCACGAACCAGGTGGCGTTGCGCAGGATGAAGGCGGAGATGAGGTTCCAGTGGATGATGTTTCGCAGGCACCGGATGCTCCTGGTGCAGCAGGGCGGGTGGATGATGGGAGCGATAGGAGAGAGAGGATGAGGGGTAGGCCACCTCCATCACCCCAGCCCAGATGTGTAGATGAGGAAACTGAGGCACAGGGTGGGGCTGACTGGCCAAGTCACACAGGGAGGTGACAGCCAGGCTCTCCTAATGCCCCATGGAGCCCTTCCTGCCTGCAGCCCACCCAGACATAAGCCCCAGGCAGAGCCTGGCACTCCATGGAGCCTGTGCTCCATGGACCAGGGCAGCTGGATTCCTGGCGATGCCCGCTTCCCCTGGGGGTGCCTTCTACTCCCTGCCATTCCAGGATGGACAGTCACAGGGGTCAGCCCTGCTCCCAGCCTCCAGCCCTGATGCTCGGCTCCTGATCCCAACCATCCCCATCCCCGGCTCTGCCACCTGCATCCTTGGCGGTAGTGCTGGGGCCCAGGTACCTTCGAACCTGAAATGGGGCACCACTCCATGGAGCCCCCACCTCCAGGGCTCCATCTGCCTGGTCACCCCAATGGGTGCAGCCTGGCCTGGGTATGGGTGACATAAGACAAGTTTTGTCCCTCCCCACCATTCCAGCAGCTACTGGGGAGAGGGCAGAGCGGCTCTGCCAGAGGTTCCCAGAGACCTGAGACTCTCAGATAAGCCAGCCCCTGCCACCCTCTCCCAGCAACCCCCACCCCAACCTAGAGCTGCTCCTCTCACTTCTCCACCCTGCTTCTGCTCTAGGTCCTGGGGACAGGAGGAGGCAGTGCTGGGGTCTTCTCACCTGAGCCGCAGAAAGAGGACAAAGGCCACCAGGAGGGCCACCAGGGAGATACAGTGGCCCAGGTAGTTGATGATGACTGCGACATGGTAGTGCACCTTGCTTTTTTTCTGGAGCAGGAGAGAGGGGCAGAGGTGAGCCTTCTGCTGGATGGGAGCTGCTCTGTGAGGACATCGCCTAGGGGTGGCTGGGATGGAGCGGGTCATGATCTCAAGGGCCACTCCCCCTTCCTGAGCATCTGCTGAGGGTCAGGCCTCGCTGCAGAGCAACGCCGTCCAGTTTGAGGCTCTGCTTGTCCCTGAATCCCATGCTGTGTTCACTGCTCCGTGTTGTGTCGAACTGAATCTCCACATCACGTGGGATTCCCCACTCCACATGGACCCCCCGCCCCTGCATGCACAAGCACATGTGGCCGGCTCACAGGTGCGCCCTCACACTCGCATCTACCCATGCTGCCACCCAGTCAGAACACCAGGTGGACCTCTCAGCTGCAGAGACACCAAACTCCCGGGATTTCTCTTCTCCACCCATTTCTGAACTGAGTCACCACCTTCTCAGCCACCCCTAAATCCCTCCTGCTGCAATGCCGCCTGCTCCTGTGAGCAAGGAGGGGCCGGGCAGCTGCTGGGCTCTGGCATCCACAGAATCAGCAGAAACCACAGAAAAGTCTCCTTAGGCTCCATAACTCACTTTCCGGGGCCTTCCCCATCCCTGGCCCAAGGGGATCTGTGCAGAGTGAGCAGGATCCTCTCCCAGGACTGTAACACATTCCCCGGGTTTATTTCTTAATGAATTTAATATACTGATGGAGGTCACTGCCCTCCTCTTTACAGCAATCTTGAGTTCCAAGAGTGGTGAAGCCTTCCTGTTTACAGAGGATTTTCATATCTGTTATCGTCTTAAACCATCAGGGCAACCCCGTGGGGGGAGCCGGAAAGGCATCTGGGCTTTATTTTGTAGGAAAACAGCACAGAGGTTATGCTGACGCGCTGGAGGTCGCGCAACTCCAAAACCACCTCTTGCCTGCACATGTAGATTGGCAAGATACGAAGGCTGCAAACAGGTCCCCAGCCCATAATAGGGGACTGGTCAGTCCCCATGCCCAGCTCTCTGCAGACTCCTGCCCAAGAGCACAGCCCCCATCCACACTTTTATAGGTCCCAAGAAGCAGGGCCTAGAAACCAAGAGCTTGACACGCAGTCAAACTCCAAAGCAGTGTGTGAGTGAAGGAAGGAAAGACGGGTGTTGAAAAGCAGGTGACTTTGAGAAGGGAGGGGTCCCTGGCAGCACCTCCCTTCCTCCCCGTTTCTAGGCTCTAGGGTGGGGCTGAATGATCATGAGGCACAAAGGTGGGTGACATGCAAGTGCTGAGAAGCACTGAGCTCACAACGGCCCTCATCATCTTCTCAGAGCCACCAAGGAGCTACTGGCCACCAAGGAGCTACTCCATAGGCCTTCCTGTTGGAATTACAGAACCCACTTGAAACCAGAGATCAAGTCCAGCCCTATCCACCAGGCATCCCAGGAGAAGCCAAGACCCTATGCCCAGTTCCGCCCGGCCACCAAGGCCCTTCTGAAGGAGCACCCTCATTGGGGAACCTCTCCAGAGGCTGCTACAGAAGCTCTGTTCTTGGAGCTGGTTTCCAGGCAGAGGCTTTCTGGAACATGGCAGGTAATTACATTAGCAACTCCAGCCTCCAAAGGACTGGGATCCAGGGAGGTGTAAATGAAGGCAGGAGAGACAGAGACAGAGAGGGGAGTGAGGAGAGGGTACCTATCACCCGTGCAAGTGGGGAGGGTCTCTGAGCGCCTGGCGGCAGATGCCCCAATCCGGAGGCTCTGGAAGATATGCACACATCACAGGCTGTCTGGAGCTGGTATTTAATATCCTTTTATTAAATTTTCCACAAATCCATGCTGAGAAGCCCCTGGGTAATGACAACATGTGTGGAGCCGAGCATGGCACAACACCCCGGCCTTGTTCACAGGCCCAGGCTGGGCGGGAGGAGCGCAGTGTGCAGGGAGACCCTTCAGTGCTGCCTTCCAGGGCCCCTGCCTCACTCCCGAGTCAGGCCGTACCGGGCCCTTGGGGTTGGAGTGGGGAGGAGTTATCTGTTAAGCACCTGCTGTATGCTGAGCACTGTGCCAGGAGCTCTGCAGACACTACTGCTTTTCTTTCCCACAGCTGCCCTTGGAGACTGCTCCTCTCATCCCAGTTCTTTCCGTAGAAGAGACTGAATAATTGGCCACGCCACGCAGCCGGTATCTGGAACCTGGGTCTGCCTGGCTTTAAGCTCCCTCTTTTCCCTGTTTCCCAGGGACATTTCTTTTTTTGGGTGGGGGAGGGATGGAGTCTCACTCTGTCGCCCAGTCTGGAGTGGTGCAGTGGCAGGATCTCAGCTCACTGCAGCCTCTGCTTCCTGGGTTCAAGTGATTCTCCTGCCTCAGCCTCCCGAGTAGCTGGGATCACAGGCATGCACCACCATGCCCAGCTAATATTTTGTATTTTTTGGTAGAGATGGGGTTTTGCCATGTTGCCCAGGCTGGTCTCGAACTCCTGAGCTCAGGCAATCCACCTGTCTCGGCCTCCCAAAGTGCTGGGATTACAGGCGTGAGCCACCGTGTCCGGCCCCCTGCGACATTTCTTGGGGGACAAGCAGGAATTGAAAGCAGAGGCACTCTCTGGGGTGGTCTCACGCCACTTTGGGCCCAGGAGCCTCGGGGGACCTCCTGCTGGGACAATAGCGCCCAAGAGGGCTTTCCTCCAAGAGCCTGAGGGAGAATCAGGCCAAACCATTCCCGGGGGACAAAGTCTCAGTGTGCCTCCCTGAGCAGTCGGGCCTGGGCCGGGTTCAAGCCCTGTCTCTCATCGGCCACATCAGCATCATGCAACCTGAGAAGACAGCTGGAGAGACAGCCTGAGGGATGGCTGCTGATACCCTGAGACAAATACATCCTGCGACACCCAGACAGAAGCCAGTGACACTGTGACATTTCCAATAACAACCAGAGTTCTGGCCAGCATTATTTAGAGAGACAGCAAGGCCTTAAGAGGCACCCAGGAACACCCTGAGAGGTGGCCAGTGATACCTGGAGAGGAGAGTCAGCAGCACCCCCAGGGACAGCCAGTGACACCCCGACCGATGGCCACGATAACAGCAAAGCAGCTGGGATGTCCGAAGGACAAATGGGCACAGCTACCCCTCGGGCCCTGACCAGCACTCCATCTCCATCCAGTCTGGAGACCTAAGACCAGCAGGCACCCCGCCCTAAGGAGGGTGGCACAGCGTGGTACTTGGCAGAGGCCACTCCGCTGTACCCTCAGTGATCTGAATTGAATAAGCAATTTGTGCCCGGCTGACTCTGACTGGACTCTCTGCAGGACACCACCTCGTCCCAGGCGCTGCAGTGCCAGATCCGTCCTGATGCCTCTCTGGGTTGGTGGCAATGAGACCTCCCTTCCAAGCTCCCCACTGGTGCCCACTCCATTCTGGCACGTCCTCTCCACCGAGGCTTCCAGAGCTACTCCTCTTACCCTGCAGTGGGCACTCACTCCAGCCCCTCGATCCTCAAAGGGTGGCCCCTGGCCCAGCAACAGCACGCAGAGGAGCACGCAGAGATCTTGAGGAAAGTGGAATGTATGCCCTACGCCAGGCCCATGGAATCGGAGCTTGGTTTTAGGAAAAAGCACCTCTGCAGTTCAGAAGCCCTGGTCCAACCACCACTCACCTCTCCCCACACGGTGAGCAGTGAACCTTGGTCCACAAACCAGACCCCCAGAATCCGTTTCATGTCCCACCACGGTGTGCTCTCCCAGGCTGTGCCTGAGGCCCAGGCTCCTGTGCGCAGCAGAACGTGGGGAAAGGGGATAGAGTGTGTGCAAGTGTTGGGTGGGTGGGGGAAGGCTGGACGGTGGGGAAGGGAGTGAACAGTAGTAGCGGGAGGTGGTGGGGGGAGGAGAGGGTGCTGATACAGGCAGCAGGTGTAGGGGTGGTGCTGGGGGCTCAGTGCCATCCCCCGGCCAGCCATGCATGCAACAGTTGGGGGCCTGTCCCCTGGTGGTGCTGGCTGCGGGCAGATCTCCTGGGGTGCCTGGCCTTGAGGTGCCCTCGCAAGTCCCATTTCACAGGCAGACTTCTGCGAATCCATTATCTGCGATACCCCAGGGCGCTGGAGCTTAATTAGGGCTTAGCCCAGGCCCAGAGCTGAGAAACCTACCACTCAATTAATTGGATACTTTCCTCTGCAGTTCTGGGAGGGGTCTGGCGAGGCTGGGGGCTGGCAGAAGGGAATGGCATTTTCACTAATTAAACTAATCGATTACCCAGAGTGCTAGGCACCAGGCCAGCAGGGGCTGCAGAGGAAAGAGATGGCAGAGCCAGGCACGGATGGGCTGGGGGGTGGGGCGGGTCACTCCCCCAGGTGTACACTACAACCTCCCCTGACCTCACAGGGGAGATGAGAGACAGGGGGCGGCAGGTGAATGGAACGTCTCCCATAGGCCAAGACAGGCCAACACCACCCTTCCATCCCCAGAAGGCAGAGATCTGAATTCCTGGCCACCATTTTTGGGAACTTGGTGAGGTTAAGTTGCCTCCTCAAGGTCATGCAGCAGGTTCCCGTTGAAACCCAAACCCTAAGGTCCGTGCTATTCCCACTGCAATGCAAAGAGGGGGCTGATGAGACCGGGCTCCCGATCCTCTTCCTTGTCCTAACCCTGCTGGTGGACAGAGGTAGAGACCCCTGTCCTGGCAGGGTTGGGTGTTGCAGGGCAGGCTGAGGGTGGCTAACCTACTGCCCTTAGGCCTTTGAAGGGTGCTGGGGAAAATGGGGGCTGCCGAGTGTCCCCATCAGCCAACTGAAAAGAAGGGGCTTGCAATAGAGCAGGAGAGACAGGTGAACCACGAAGACCCCGCGCTGACCCTCAGGAGGGTTGAGTGCAGGGCGTGAAGCTGGGACAGACAGTGCGGCCTGCAGCCTGACCTCATGGCTTAGCTGTGCCTCCTGGACACCATCCCTCTCTGCAATGGCGTGTGGTCCTGAGTCACTGACAGCACTGACCCGCTCCTCTGAGCACCAGCCCTGTTTCCTTTCCTCCCACCTCCTCTACTGTGTGCCAGGCTACGGGCTCCTCACATCCCTGAACGGTCTTGCCCACTCCCACCCCACCAGCCAAGGCCAAGGCCATCTCCTCTGGCCCAACTAAGTCTCCTAACCTGGAACCCCACCTCCTTCCCCCAGTCCAGGAGGAGCCCTCCTCCCAATCCCAGGACTTCCCAGGTGGGCTCTCTGTGTGGGGGCTTAGCAAGCTGAGGGCTTTCCCTGCTCAGATCAGATCATCAGGGAGCCTGACCAACCCACCCCAGCCTTGAGTGCCACCCAAAGGTCTGGCCTGTGGGATCTGAGATGCCAGGCAGCCCCTCGCCCTGCCAGAGCAGCACCGTGGAAGAACTCGTGAGTCTTTTAAGCTAGGCATTGACCTAGCTGCAGCTTCCGGAAGGAGACAGCAGAGCCCCGCATTAGCTCAGTGACTTGAGGCCAGGAAGCCAGGGGTGGGGCTAACCAAAGCTTGCCAGGCCGGGGTGGGAGCTACAGGTGAAGGAAAGTGATTCTTTCCCCGTTAACTTTGTTTCACGCCAGATACCTGGCAGTGGGCAAAGCAGAGCCTGGGCTGCAGAGCCTGTGCTCCGGAGCCTGGGCTCCAAAGCCCTGGGTTCCGGGCTCTGACTTAACTGCCAAAAATACAAAAATTAGCCCAGCATGGTGGTGCATTCCTGTAATCGCAGCTACTCAGGAGGCTGAGGCAGGAGAATCACTTGAACCAGGGAGGTGGAGGTTGCAATGAGCCGACATCGCGCCACAGCACTCCAGCCTGGCGACAGAGGAAGACTCTGTCTCAAAAAAAAAAAAAAAAAAAAAAAGGGAATGTCCCAGAGCCACGTGACCTTGTGTGAATCATTCCCCTTTTCTGGGCCCCAGTCTCCCCATCTGTAGTGTGAACGGGTCGCACTAGATTAGAGTTTCTCACTTTTGCCCCATCAGAAGGCTCCCCTGGGGCACTCATGAAAGACACAGATTCCCAGGTCCTCCTTGGACAGTGTGATTTCTTAGGTGTTGGGTGTGGCCCTGGGACCTGTATTTGGACAAGTGCTCTGGGAGATTCCATTTTTTTTTTTTTTTTTGAGACAGAGTCTTGCTCTGTCGCCAGGCTGGAGTGCTGTGGCGCGATCTGGGCTCACTGCAACCTCCGCCTCCCTGGTTCAAGTGATTCTCCTGCCTCAGCCTCCTGAGTAGCTGCGATTACAGGGATGCGCCACCATGCTCGGCTAATTTTTGTATTTTTAGCAGAGATGAGGTTTCACCATGTTGGCCAGGATGGTCTCGATCTCCTGACCTCGTGATCTGCCTGCCTCGTCCTCCCAAAGTGCTGGGATTACAGGCGTGAGCCACCGCACTTGGCCCCACTTTTTTTTTTAATGGAATTTCGCTCTTTTTGCCCAGGCTGGAGTGCAATGGCACAATCTCGGCTCACTGCAACCTCCGCCTCCTGGTTTCAAGCGATTCTCCTGCCTCAGCCTCCCGTGTAGCTGGGATTACAGGTGTAATCCCGCCACACCCGGCTAATTTTGTATTTTTAGTAGAGATGGGGTTTCACCATGTTGGACAGGCTGGTCTTGAACTCCTGACCTCAGGAGATCTGCCTCTGGACGATTCTTATAACCAGGCAAGTCTGGGAACCTCAAGATGGGAAGGAGAGTCTCCACGGTCCCTTCCAGCTCTGATCTTTAGGCGACGGGATTCTTGGGACTGCTTAGGTCAGTCTCTCTCTTCCACAATCAGAATCCCTGGCCCTCGGACAGCCTGGGGTGTCCCCCCTTCTGCCCTTTGACCCCCGTCTTCCTCAGCACCAAGGGAGAAAGCGTCGGGTGGGAAAGGAGACAGGGTGGGAGAGACCGAGGGCAGTAGCAGCTCCAGGATAGATATATTTGTGCCTCTGCCAAATATCACCCTTCAAAGATTATTCATTGCAGCAGCATTTGTAATAACTAAAGACTGAGAATAAAGACTGGTTTAAATAAGTTATGGTACATTTTGTGATATTATGCAAATGCAAAAAGAATGAAGATGCTCTTTATGTACTGATATGGAACCATCTCTAAGATAGATGATTATATGAAAAAAGCAAGGTGTAGACAGTGTGTATAACATGCAACATTCAGGTAAAAACAAAAAAGAATACGTATACAAAATTACTCGTGTATGCGGAGAATGTCTCTGGAAGGACACTTGTGAAATTGGCAAAATGGTTGCCTCTGGGAGGGAATCCAGTGGCTGGGGACGGGGTGGGAGGGGACATTGTATTCCCATTTGTACCTTCTGAGTTCTGTGTAAGCAATATCTGCTCAAAAACATTTAACATTTTAAAAGGCTTTCCAAGGGCTTTTTCAAACTGCATTGCTACCTCCATCCCGTCCCTGGTTCCCATACAGCCCTGTGGCTGGAACTGGATGTATCTCTCAGGCATGTGTTGTGGAAAAGGGTGGGACTCCTGTGACCGAGTCTGGTCTCCCTTTGCACCCCCAGGACAGTCCCATGCCCAGTGCAAGCGGCTGCCCGATGAGCACAGGGAGAAGGAAGGAAGGAACAAGGACCCATCTCATCACCATCAGAGCCTGCCCAGTGCCCCATTGGTCCAGCCTGCCCTCGAGGGCGCCTGCTCATGGGCCTTTTCCAAGTTGACAGCTCCAGCTCCCCAGTCAGCTTCACTAGAGCAGGGCCTTGACATTAGCCTCTGGCTCCCTGACTCCAAGTAGCAGGCACAAAACTCTGCTGGGGACCCTGGACTCCCCTCCATATGGGCAGCCTTGTTCGGCTCAGCCTCACCTCCTCATTGAGGATCTCCTGGCACTCGGAGTAATTCACGCGGGCGGCCCAGCTGCCATTGGCCAGGCACTCCCGGTAGCCATTGTCTGGAAAAGGAAGAGAGAGGCAGTGATGGCGGGGCAGCCCCGGCCCCTGCCTGACCATCCTGGCCCAGATGGATGCGTAGATGGATCTGTAGATGGCCAGTACAGGCACCTGCTGGCTGGGGGTTGTGTAGTGAAGCTGGGGAGAGGGGCTTCCTTACCACCCCCATCTTCCTGCCTCTTTCTGCCCATTGGCCTCCAGCAGGGGTTGGTGGCTCCCCCGGCTCTGCCCACTCAAGCTGGCATGATCATGCCCACAGGACTGGCCCGTGGACAGGCTTGACCAGCTCCCTGGGCTGTTCCTTTGCAAGTCATTATGTGGTGGCAGATGACAGGTAGGTGCTCTTCTGAGAAACCTCCTTTTCAGGGGTCTTGCAAGACAGCAAAAAAATGGTGAGACCTCATGAGTCAATTTTCACGAGGCTGGGCATGACACGGTGGAAGGGTATGCGGTGACAGCTCGCGTGGCAGGTGGCATGACAGGGCTTCTTGTGGTAGAGCCATCTCACAGAGGCTGCCGTGGGAGGTCCTCACTGGCTGTGCTGCACATGGGGGCTCAGAGTTCATGGGGCAGATCTTGGGGAAGGTCCCATGGTGGCACTTCCCCATAGCGGGCCTGTGTTGGAAGGTCGTGGTCTGTGGGTGGGGGGAACATCCATGATGGAGGTCTCTTGGACAGAAAATGACAGGTGACAGGCGTGTGTGGGGAGATGTCATCACTCAGGTCTGTCACAGCTGCTCCTAGCCTGGCCCATGTCACTCAAGGAGGAAGGCAGGAGAGTGGCCCAGGGACATATGGAGGTTTGTGCAGCCACCGGCCTGGACTGTGGCCCAGAACCTGTCACCTTCTAAGGAGATGGGGAGGGGCCCTGTGAGCTGAATTGATGCCTGGCTTTAGGGCCCTGGGATGGGCAGAGCTGCCCAACGTGTTCCCCTTACCCTCCTTCATGCCTACCAGGCTTGAGCTCCAGGGTCCTAAAACCTAGCTGGGAAGGGACAGCATGAGTTCTAAATTCCATCTCATCTTCTCTGCTGGCAGAGGTTGCCCCACCCCACCCTGTACCCGGCTCTGGCATCAGTAGCTCTAAACATGCTTCCTTGAGTTAATTCTGGCTCTGACTTCAGGCAGAACTGCCTGGCAGAGAAATGAAGCCCTGAGTATCTCACCTGGAGCCTCCCTCACTGTAGGCCTTCCTGTGGCTCCCAGTGGCCCTTGGGGCTGGAACAGGGCTGGGAAAGCTGCTGGAGTCCCAGTCCTTGAGTCTGGAGCCCCATGGGGCAGAACCCTGTGAGGATCTAGAGGCTGGGGCCCTGGGACCAGCTGAGCTGCTGCCGTGCTGCATGACTGACCTCTGGGGACCCCTTCTCATTTATAAAAGGAGGGGCTGGACTGGCTGATCCCCAAGGGACCATCCAGCCTGGGAGCTGCCTCTGCTGGCAGCATCAGGACAAGAAGGTGATGATAGGGAGCCCGTCCTGGCCTCCAGGGCTGAAAAGTAGATGTGGCCTCTCCTCTCTCGCACTACTCCCCTCCATTCCCCTCCCTGGTCCCCCTGCTGAGGAGCTGCTCAGCTACAGCTGGCCAGTGGGAGATCCGGCTAAATGGATTTTTAAAGCTCTTCCATGTCAGTGGACCGCAGTCTCAGGGAGCCTCAGGCCCTTGGGCAGAGTTGGTGAAGAGGCTGCTGATTCTCTCCAATTGCCAAATGAGGGATGAGTTACCGGAGGGCTGAGGCTCACCCAGTGGGTTTTCATGGAGGTCTGAGGGGAGGGTGAGACGAGGAACCAGGAGAACCCAGTGTCTCTGCCATGGCTGGGAAGTCCCGGGACCAGAGGCTGCTCTGAAATACCTCCAGGGATAGGGGCTTTGGGACAGAGATCCGGCTGGAAGGGGCCCGGGGGTGGTGGGATGGGGTGGGGTGGTTCTTGAGTTAAGAGGCAGCATGGAGTAGTGCTAAGAGCGTGGCCCCTGGACCCAGACAGCCTAGCATCAAATCCTGGCACTACCTTCCACTAGCTGTGTGACCTTGGGCAAATCCCGAAACCTGTCAGCTTCCTCCTCTGTAAGTGAGAGCATCTGAATAGCAGCTCCTACATCAAGAGTTGAATATTTTTAGTTAACATGCACAAGGTGCTTGGAACTGTACCTGGGATGTGATGTTGGCTGTTATTTTTATTATTATTGTCTTGGAGCTGTATTTATATAACCTTACGTGAGACTCAGAGCGTGTCCCTTGTCCCCATCAAAGGGTACCGGTGGATATTGTGGGAGGAGCCCCTTTGCTCAACACCCTTGCCCCCCTTGACATGTGGGGGAGAGTCAGGAGTCCCATCAGAGGCTGGGTCACCCAGAGGGAGCAGGCTTTGATGGGGAGAAAGGAGGTGATCCGAAAGAAAGCAGGCCCAACAAGCAGGGAGCCGTTGCCAGGGAGGATGCGACCTCCTTGTCTTTAATTGCTGAGCTGAGCAGTCCTCCCAAAGAATCACGGGAAAATAGATATTTTTGGAAATGCTTCCCATCCCTTTGAAGATCAGATGCAGCAGGAGGGAGGGCATTAGGGAGAAGGCCTAGAAGTCCTGGCAGCAACTCATCAGTAAATGGATTAATTAGTGCTTAATGATGAGGTGCAGCTCTGGGTACCCACTTGTGACTGACTGCACGGGCGTGCTCCACCTCATCTGGCGCTGGAGGCACCTGGAAAGGGGTCTTCCAGCCCTGCCCTCACAGACTGACCCCATGTCGAGAGGCCATCACCCCAGCTCCTTTCCTGGGATCACAGAGGGAAGCGCGGGGGAGCCTAGAGAGCACCACACTCAATCCTCCCACCCATTCTGCAGGTGTAGAAACTGAGGCCCACAGAAGGTCTGTGCCAAGGGCTACTTAACCAGCTGCAGATGCAGCTGGAATGAGAACTTAGGACTCCTGACTGCCACTTCAGGCAGGGCCAGCAAGTGAAGTGTGTGCCCAGGCACTGAGGGCTGAAAATGTTTATCTGGAGCATGTCAAGTAACCCTTTGCAACGGGAGCAGAGGGAACTCATGGGGGGTGGCCAGGGCTGGCTGCAAAAGGTGACAGGGCCATGACCACAGACAGCCTGGCCGGCCCCACCCAGCAGCCTGAACACGGAGGCCACACAAGAGTGGATTCCAAGTGAAGGAGTGACCAACTCAGATCTGAAACCTGAGGCTGGGCGGTGGCGCTGGGGAGTGGGGGCAGGTAGGCCCAGACACGAGGATCACTCTGGAAGTGGACATGACAGGAACTGGTGCCTCCTCCTGGAAGCTCCTCTGATGTGCAGATGCTGCCTCCTTCCTAGGGGCTCCAGAAGGACTCAGCCCCCAGCATCGTGAGAGTTATCGTCCCTGGGCTGTGACCCTGCCTCCAGGCTCTGCGACCTCCGATAGGTTATTAGCCTCTCTGTGCCTCAATTTCCTTATTACAAAATGGGCCTGACTATATTGGGGGCTGGCCAACTGTGCACCCCTTGGACTGACCTGGCCAAGAGGCCCTTCTTCCTTTCTGCACTTCCTCCCCTTGGCCCCCAAGCCCCTCCCAGTGTGTCTTCTCCCTCTCCCGAGTCCCTCCCATGGCCAGGACATGGTACAGACACACGAGGCTGCTAGATCTGGCTGCCCCAGCCTCCTGCCCTGCCCTGGCCTCCCAAGTCACTCCCTGGGGAGTCACTTTCTGGCTGGGTCTTCCTACTCCTCTGCTGTAGCCCCCAACCTTAACACCCCAAATCCATCTGGTAGAGGAAAGAGGGGCAGGAGAAGGAATCTGGGAGTTTTGAGCTGGAAGACATCTTAGAAGCCAAGCCATCCAGCCCTCTCCATCCTCAGATGAGGGGCTGAGGGCCAGATGAGGGGCAACAATGTGCTGGGAGGTCACACAGTGAGTCTTGGAGTAAACTACATGGTGTCTGGGGTCACCCCTGTGCCCTCTTGGGACTCTGAGTTCAAGACCACAAGGACCCAAGGGTGCACACAGGAGGCCCCAATTGCAGGGATCAGGCCCCCAGCCTCCCCTCAGGTAGGTTAGGGCTCCTGGCCCACAGCTGTTGCTCTCTTGATAAGCAGGGACCTGACTCATTGACAGGGGAGAGCAAATTAATTCTGAGAGTGGCAGGCGGAATAGCAGGGAGCTGCAAAGCCCGGCTCTGGGGGTTTCGGGCCTCCGGGGAGCCAGGTGTTTACATGAGGATCAAGTATCCGACGGACCCTGGGTCAACCCCGTCCTGCCCCACTCCACCTACAAATCCAGGATGCAAGTTGAGCCTGTGCCTGTGCATCTGAAACTCTGGGTCCCCTGCCTCCTGGCTGGAGGGCCCGGGGTAGGCCTCAGAACCTCTCGACTCAAGGTTCTTATCCACACAGCTGGGGCTCTGATGATTCCTGCCCTGCTTCATGGTATTACAGTAGGCTCAAACAGACTAACCTGAAGTTTAATGGCAGAAGAAAGTGCCAGACAGACGTGGATGCAAATTCCAGCTTCACCCCTTACCAGCTGCCAATGGGGCAAGTTCCCTAACCTCCCTGAGCCCCAGGGGCCTTAGTTATAGGAGGCGTGATAGTGTCTTGCAAGGGTATTGTGAGAATCACGAGTAATGAGCACAGGGCACCCAGGAGAATACAGCGCTGACCTTTGGAAAACAGGGGCGATCCCCACAAGAGGTATTACTGTTATTGTCATCGTCATTCTTCCTTCCCCCACCTCCAAGCTCTCCCCATCCTGTCCCACCTCCCAGCAGATGGTCCACCCTCCACTTCTTCCTTACTTGTGGTATTGTAGCGGACACCATAGAAAAAGGCAGGGCAGGGCCGAACCACTAGCTGCCCCGCAGGGCTGCGGGGCCAGCAGGTGCCAATGAGGTCCACGGATGCGTTGCACTGCAGTCCTGGGGGCAGAGACGGCTGGTAAGGCACAGCAAGATATCCGGCCAAGGCCCCAGGCAGGCAGAGGACATTCCAGAGTTCTGCCCACCTCCCCACTCGTTCCCACTCACACCAGCTAGGGACAGGATGACAACAATGACCAGTGCAGAAATGAGCTCATCCTATGCAAAGAAGACACAAGGGGAAGAAATCTGAATCTGATGCTATGGTACTAGGGAGCCAGCATGGGTTCCAGAGCAGAGGAGGAAGAGAGATGGCTGGAGGTGGTGTTAAAAGCTAAGGTCCTGGCATTTAGAGGAAGCCTGGGCATGCTTCTGGTCCCCTGCTCTGTAGCCTAAGGACATTTCTCTTGGTCCCTCGCATGGTGACAGCCTGGAGCTCTGAGACATCACAGGAACACCCTGGAACAGACCCATCCAATCATTGACCTAGCCCCTCACGTCTCTGCAATCAAACCACATCTACCCTGGCCCTGCAGGGAAGAACCAGCTAAATGAAGTTGGCCCTCCTTCCGGCTGGCCTGTTCCTTCTTCCGGCTGGCCTGTTAACCACACTTACTGACCATACGTCACGTGTACTTTGTTCTGTGCAGGGCCCTAGGACAGGACTGATGGAGAAGTGAGCTATGGAGAGGAAAGGGAGGGAGACACCATCTGGGGGAGTGGAAAGGACACACTGAACTGGGAGTCTGGGCCCACTGCTTCAGAATGGGCTGTGCCACTAATTTGCTGTGAGATCATAGGCAAGTCACTTGCCCTCTCTGGGCCTTAGTGTCTTGTCTTCATCTATAATAAAATCAAGTGGTTGAACCAGATCAGAAATTCTTAATCTCAGCCCACTGGAAACTTCAACAGTTCACAGAGACCCTGAATGTAATGAAAATATTGGTGTATACATGCATTTTAATGGGGAAATGGGCCCACGGCTTTCATTAGATTCTCAAAGGGGTCTGTGACTCAAAGAGATATAAACATCTGAACTAGAAAGAAGATGTCAAAGTCCCCTTCCAAATATTTGCTTTTTGGAGGAGAGAGAGAGAGCACGCGAGAGAGAGAGGATGTTGGGGCAGAGTTGAGGCCCAGTGACACTTCAGGAGGGGAGGGTGGATATGGCCTCCAAAGGGTGGGGGCTGGCACAGTCCTGGCACCCCCCTGAGGCTGCCCCTTCTTTCTCTGCCTTTTAGTGCCTCCCTCTGAGTGAGGCTGGCACACCAGTCCTTTTGAGCCCCAGCGTCCCCAGGTTAATAACCTAGAATTGGCACAAGAGTGGACAGACAAGCCACGGAGGGCCAGGAACCATGAACCAGCGCGGGTGGGGGCAGCCTCTTCAGGCCTGGGCCGAGGCCTTAGCAGCTGCCAAGCCCTGGCTGGGGCTGCCTGCCATCTCCTCCCCAAATTAGCTTGTCCCCAGTCTCTCAGGAAACAGCACTGGGTTAAATTGGCTCCCTTTCTCTGCTGGACTCAGGGCAGTGCCGAGCAGCACTTGTACCAAATGCTGGTTTTTCTTTCTAATCAAAGCTATTCATAGGGCATTTGTGCAAATCAGGACTCAAGGGGCAGAGGCCTTCAGGCCAAGTGGCTTAATTGAAAGAGAAAGAAATCTGGATTGGGGCTTAATGGACACGAGGTGACTGCGGGCCAGGCGGCTGGAGTGGGCCAAGCCCAGGTGCTGTGCCACAGCGGAGTCTCTGTGAATGTTATCACGGAGTGGCAGTGGAAGCAGTGGAGTGAGGAAGCAGGGCCATCCGAGGCAACGGCGTACCAGGCTGGGATTTTAACCTGTCCTGGATCCTGCTGACAGTGTTGAGCCCGGGGACAGGGACTTGGGGGGAGAGCTGGGGGCATGTGGCCGCGGGGAGGGGAGGATCGTATAGAGGCCATGCCCTGCTGTTTCAAAGCTCTTCATCTATTTCGTTTGATCTTCACACATCTGGCAATGTGATTATTTCCTTTCTACAGATGAAGAAATTGAGGCCCAGGGAAGTTAGGTGACTTTTCCAAGGTCATGGGTCAATGGGTGAAAGAACCAAGACTCATAGGCAGGTATTTTGGACTCTAAATCTAGTGCTCTTTCCATTACGCCACATTGTGAGTCAGTCACAGGGGGTGAGGGACAGTTAAGGGGGCAGCAGGAAGGGAGCAGCGTTTGTTGAGGGCTGACTGTGTGCCAGGCACACATGACATATGCCATCTCATTTGATGGCACCATTGTACCTTCCTCAGTAGCTTGCTCATTCACTCCTCACTCATTCATCCACAGTATCTAGGGAGCTAGGCTCAAATGTAATGTTCCATGTGGCAGCGTCTGGAATGAACACACGGAACACACCCTCTCCATCAGTGTGGCCCCTGCCCTTCCTTCTTCCCTTCCCCGGCCAGTCTTCTTGCGCCTTGCTTTCGCAAGGCACGGAGGGCAGGAAAGGACTGGGCACCAGCCACAGCGAGGACGAGGCCAGAGCCGAGGCAGAGGCCAGCCACTGAGGATAGGCCTTCTGGCCTAGAGGACCTGCACCGGCCACTGCTGGGAGCTCTAAGGGCTCTAACCAAAGGCCTGACCCCGTCCACAGCTGGCCAGGGACGTGGAGACCTTCAAGGGGTGGGCAGGTCAGAAGCCATTTGCCTCTCCTCTGTGGTATGGTTCCCAGCCACCTACTATGCCACCATGGGTGCTAATTCTCTCTTGTTTTACAGATAAGAAAACTGAGGCCAAAGTGGCCAAATGGCTTATTCCAAGACAATCAGTAACCAAAGATACTGAGACGGGAGTGGATTTTCAATGCTCATCTTTTGATGCCAGCTCAGGGTGCTGCCCACAGCTGCACAGCTGGCCCTGATCTGGGCAGCTGCCCCTCGATCGCAGAGCTGCGACTCCAGTTCCCCAGCAGCGCCGCGCCTCCCCCTCCCTCCTGGCCCCCGCAGCTCCTAAGGATGCACAGAGGGGGCGCTGGTGACACAGCATCAGTGGCAACCTTTACATTAAGAGCCCAGAAAATCCTGGAAGGAATTGAAAGTCTGTGTGAGACGGGAAGAAAGGGAGAGAGAGGCTGCAAGAACGGGGAGGAGAAGCCAAATGAAAAGGGGCGAGGAGACAAAGTTCCCCCATCCCCGAGTGAAAGGTCAGCACTCCTGCTGGGTCAGGGGCTTGGGGTGGGGGGGTTGGGGGGGCGTGGCCAAAGGCACAAGGGCCTCAGCCGCGGAGTGGAGTTAGAAGGGAGGGGACCTAGAGGACAAGGGCAGGGAGGAGGCAGCAGGACAGGGCCTCAGGCGCCACGCTCCTGGCCAGTTGGCACTGTCCACTGGACTTCCCGGCCTGGGACTGCCTTGTGGGCTCGGTGCCTTCCCATAAGGCCTCGGGGTCCTGCCCTCTCTGGGCCTTAGTGTCTCTGTGTCTGAAATCCCCACAAGGATTTCAGATCGCCATCCTGCGTCCTGCGGACACCGAGTCCAGGGAGGAGGAGAGTGGGGGGTCCCTGGGACCCTGTAGGGACAAGGCCTCAGAAGGGAAATTGTGTATAGGACTTGAGGGGGATCATTTGTTGGACACTACTATAATATAAACCAGGCACTGTGAAAGGCGCTTTGCACGACTTAATTCATGCCACTCACTTAAGCCACCCGACTACAATGAGGAGGAGAAAACAGGCGGAGAGGGAGGGAGGTGGGAGGCCAAGTGGGCCAGGAGAGAGGTGGGGAGACAGAGGAAAAAAGATGGAGAAGAAGACACTAAGGAAGAAATAGAGAGAGGCAGGCGGGAAGTCAGGAGAAGGAGGCAGAGAGAAAGATCATTTCACAGGTGCTGGGGACAGAGAGGGTGTCCATCCCCTAGCTGGGAAGGGGAGAAGGCAGGAAGTCAGTTTCTGTGTCACTCAGCTTGATGGCTATAAGGACCTCAAGGACCTTCTGATTCTTGGGCCAATGTCCCCTCCCTCCAGTTCCAGTGCCACAAAAGCCTGACCTCTTCTGCTCTCCTGGCAGGTGGAGGTATTTTCCTAGTCAGCCGTCATAGTCCTGGGATGAGGAGGAATTTGGACCAGAGTAATCCAACCTTGCAAATAGCCAAGCCAATTTACCAACCAGCTGCACAAAGGCAGAGGTGCTGTTAGGTGCCAACGCCTCCTGACAGCTCCCTGTCCCACAGTGCCTCTCCTGGTAAATTAAGGAATAGTGACTTTGCTCTTTATTTAACAAGTACAATTGTTTCTCCATATCCATAGGTTTTGGGGAAAAGTGTACTGAACACGTACAGACTTTTTTCTTGAAATTATTCCCTAAACAGTACAGTATAACAGCTATTTATATTTATATAACATTTACATTGTAGTAGGTATTAGAAATAATCTAGAGATGATTTAAAGTATACAGGAGGATGTGCATAGGTTATATGCAAATACTACTCCATTTTATATCAGTGACTTGGGCATCCCTGCATTTTGATATCCATGGGGAGTTCTGGAACCAGTGCCCCATGGATACCAAGAGACAGCTGTTATTTACTGACTACCTAAGAAATGTTCAAGGGGCTTGGGATATAATAATGAATCAAATAAATGCCCTGTCCTCATGGTGCTTACATTCTAGTGGAGAGGCAGCAAACACACACACACATTTCTGTTAACCAGTGAGAAATACTATGGAGAAAAACTAAGCAGTGCAAAGAGATAAAGGCTGACCAAGGTGCTCTTTTAGTGTGGTGGCTTCTAAAGTACTACCATTTAAGCAGATACCTAAAGGAAGTGAGGGAGAAAACCTGCGGGGAAAGTGTTCTCAGCAGAGGCAACTGCAAGTACAAGGACCCCCGGAGCAGGTGTGTGCTTGGTGTGTCTGAGGTGTCAACGTTCCTATCACTCTGTGGCTCACTCCCTCATTCACGGGGCAGGTAGACGCCTTCAGGGTCTTTCCTGGTTGGGGATGTGGGAGTAGAACCAACCCACTCACCAGCGCACGTCACCACAGGCCTTTAGGTTGAGGGTGAGCTGCTGGAGTCAAGTGGACTAAAGTAATGCAAAAACCGGTCCTATATCTTCCTCCTTCCCCATACATGCACAGAACAAATGCGTGGGGCCCGCATTCTGGTCAGACTGCCTCAAATCCCTGCAAAGGGAGAGCAGAGGAGAGGTGTGGAGGGCTCCCACCTGCCAGGGAAGAAACCCTGCGGGGTCAGGGTCCTGGGAGGGCTGCTTTAGTGAACAGGTAAGAGCCCTTTGAAGGTGGCCTATTTAGTGCTGTGCACAATCAGGCACTGGCTTCTTCCCCCAGGTAGGTTACACAGTTTGCCTCCCATCAGGCTCAGGGTCCACGTGTGCTTGGCAGATCCGCCCATGGTAGATAACTTCAGAGGAAGCTGGAACCTGGCTCTGTCCCAGTTACGTCGGGTCTCCCATCAGCGGCTTCTGGAGGTGGGCACTTGGCAGCAGCCCTGAGGCTGGGAAGCCCTTCCCCCTATTTGGCTTAAACCCAGGAGGGGGACTCAGCCCAGGCTGTCCAGAGGGGGAGCAGCCAGGTGGCCCAAGGGCAGCCTGTGAAACACACGTTCTTGCCCAGTCAGAGGAATGTGCTGTGGGATGAATGGGCAGGGCCTCTGCCTGGGTCCCCTGGCATGGAGAGGGTGGCAGAAACCTGGTCTTTGCTCGGCCACCTCATGGCTGAGCTGCCTTCTGTTTGGCTGGGCAGAGAAGAAAGCTGCCTCTGTAGGGTGTGTGATCCATCAGGACAAGTGGATGGCCCTCCTGTCCTGCGGGTCTGTGGGCTCTTCACTTTTGCCTTCCCAGCAGCTAGTACAGTGCCAGGCATACGGGAGGCATGGAGGAGAATATGGGGCCGTGTGCAAACCTAGTGTGGGTACGGAAAACTGCAGGGGTGGCCCTGCACCCCTAGACGGCTGACTACACCGGGCCCTGGGCACCCTGGCTCTGAGTGGCCGCATAACGCAGTGCTGGTGGCAAAATCTGAAGTCAGGCCCACATGGTTCATATCTTGCAGCCACTGCTTAGTAACTGCTTAGTGTGTTTGGGCAACTCGTTTAACTTCTCTGAGCCTTAGGTTCCTCTACTGTAACATGTGGATAAAAATATTCCTGACTACAGTATTGTAATGATTGAATGAGATTAAAGCACTTGGAATGGCGTCCAACACACAGTGGACACTAAATAAACATTAGCTATTATTATTATTATTATTATTTGAGACAGAGTCTCGCTCTGTCGCCCAGATTGGAGTGCAGTGGCGTGATCTGGGCTCACTGCAACCTCGGCCTCTGAGGCTCAAGCGATTCTCATGCCTCAGCCTCCTGAGTAGCTGGGATTATAGGCGCCCACCACCAAGCCCGGCTAATTTTTTATTTTTATTTTTAGTAGAGACGGGGTTTCACCATGTTGGCCAGGCTGGTCTCGAACACCTGACCTCAAGTGATCCGACCGCCTCGGCCTCCCAAAGCGCTGGGATTACAGGCGTGAGCCACCGTGCCTGGCCTAGCTATTATTAATTATCATTCACTACCTTAAGACCAGAGATGAGAACTGATGAACCCAGGTAATTGTCAACTCAGATTCTATTTGTCTGTGATGTCATTAGTAAATGATTCTATTACCTCCTGGCATTGTCATACTCATGCCATGATTTTATGAGTCGCCAAGTCTGTGGTCTGCCACATGATAGGCCTCAGCCCTGGGGACCCACTCTCTCCCAGTTCCTGGCATGAGGCACGTAAAAGGCCCCCCAAAGGCCCTGGCTCGGTGCCAGCCGCCCCGGCCAGACGCCCATCCATCTGTCTCGCCCCTCCGCCCCACCCTCACCATCTGTCTCTACCAGTGCCCGTCGGTCTGGGTAGGTCTACGAGTCAGAAGACAAATGGCCCATTATCAGAGGCCATCGTGGAGGGTGATGGATCGCGTGCCATGCAGCCAGGCAGGCTGGGCTGGGCTGGGGGCACGGGCACAGAGTACAAATCACTAGGGAATGAACACTATTCATCATGGCCTGCTGGCTCCAAGGACAGGTGACACCTCTGTGGGCTCAGGGATGTCTCTCCTCCTGAGCATAACGAACAAGTTGATAGAGCCTAACCTGGCCCCAGAGCATGGGGGAGCTGGGGATAGGGCCTTTCCTCTCAGGCCCAGCCTCTGAGCAGCTCTCCTCCCTCCCCATCTCTCTCTCCTAGAACTCCAGACTCATGCTCAAGAACTTACTTCCCCATTCCCCAAGCACAGCTTAATCAACTTTGCAGCCAGATGCTCTGGGCTCCTAGCACCTTCTCAGTTTCCCACTCCTCCCTCCTCACTTCTTCCTGGTCCTTCCGCCAAACCCACCTACTGGTCCTTGCTCACCTCCTGCTGTAGCTCACAGCACTGGCTCTCTTCTGCCAGTTCACACTAACAGTGTCTCTTAATATTCACCTTGAAAATTCCTCCTTCAGGAAGCCTCCCTGGATTTGCACCACCCCTGCTTAGCCTCCCTGCTCCCTCCATCATTATGAGCAATTACTGGCAAGTACCTTCCCTTCATTCCAGCTATACAGTAAGCCTTTTAAAAGCCTGCTGAGGCTGAGACAGGAGGATCACCTGAGCCCAGATCTGGGCTGCAGTGAGCTATGATTGTGCCACTGCACTCCAGCCTGGGCAACTGAGACCCTGTCTTTACAAAACAATTTTAAAAATTAGGCCAGGTATGGTGGTGTGCACGTAGTCCTAGCTTCTCAGGAGGCTGAGAGAGGAGGATTCCTTGAGATCAGAAGATCGAGGCTGCACTAAACTATGATTGTGCCACTGCACTTCAGCCTAGGTGATAGAGTGAGATCCCATCTCTAAAACCAAACCAAACCAAACCAAACCAAACCAAACCAAACCTAGTACTGGCATGACACTCTACAGTTTACAGTTTGTGAAATATTGCCATAAAACTTAGTACATTGAATCTCATAAGAGATCCTTGGGGCAGGTAACAGCCCCCCTATCCCTCTACACTTGGGCAAGGTGAGGTTCAAGAGGGGTTGAGGGTATGCTCATCCCTGTGGCTACCAGTACCCACCCCTAGCCGGGACATGACCAGGCACCTTCTGTGAGCCAGCACAGGGACCCAGTGTGCCTTCTCCAAGTCCAGGGCTTGTTCCTCTGCCCCCAGGCTCTCCCTAGTGAAGGAACAGCTGGCCAGGAAGCAGCTACCATGAGATGTGGAGGCCTCCTGTTCCCACAGAGCCACCTTCAGAAATGAAGGCCTCCTGCCCGCCTGCAGACACTTGCGTCTGTTTCTTTGCAAGCATGCGTCTTCCACTCTGCCTCATCGCACATGCATTTGTGGATTCGATGCCCAGACTAGCCTGTGAGCCCCCTTGTTTCCCCCAGTGCCCTGCGTGGGGCCTGCTGTGTAGTAGGTGCTTCATGAAAGAGTTGGTGTGAATCAAGGAGAGGCTTGAAGACTTAAATAGAAGGTCCACAAGCCTTCCAAAGACACTCAGGTGCAGGGACCCTCTCCATTTTTGCCCAGCAGCAGCCATGCCCAGGACCACACCCAAAGTTTTAAAAGACATGCCCTAGGCAGCCCAAACACCTAGATTTGGGTCCCAGTCACTGCCATGTACTGGCTGCATGGTGCCATGGGGGTTATGTAACTCTCCCATGCCTCAGTTTCCTCAACTGTACAAACGTTCGGCTTTACACTCTTGTGAGGATGAAACGAGATGATTATGCAAAAGCACTCTGTAAATGGTAAAGTGACACAGATATTAACAATATTTGCAGCTATGCTGTCTTTTCTATTGGAGAGATACAGAGCACGGCGCTGGAGACCACAACCAGAAGCTGGGCTGCCCGTGCTCCACTCAGGGCTCTGGCGCTTACTAGTTCTCTGTGCCTCAGTTTTCTTATGTGTAAAATGGGGGCAACAGCACCTACTTCAGAGGGACATTGTGCAAATTGGGTTAATACAGCTCCAGTCCTTGATCAGTGCCTGGCACGGGTTAGCACCGTGGAGTATTACACTCTGGGCATTTTTAGCCACAGACTGTGGCAGCCTTTCCTCCGTCCCTTGATGCCTCCCCGAGTCACAACTCAGCAGCAAGGGCTGGGATGCCCTCCCCTGTGCCCACCCTAAAGCAGGGAAGATAACTACTCAGAATCCTTGCTGCAAACTCCTGTGCCCACGGCAGGTGCTACTAACCAACTGCAGCTCTTCCCCACCAACCTTACACCCAACCTCAGGATCCTTCTCAACACGGTGCTCGGTGGAGATGTGAAGAATTGCTTGGAGCCCTGGAGAGGAAATGACTCTGCAAATCCTGCCTTAGGGCATGGTTCTGTGTGCAGGCTCTGGGATACCTGGGGTAGGGGGCATTGTGGTGACCAGGAATCTTGCAGGAGGGGGTTGAGGGGACTCACCTGAGATGTTGCTGGCCAGGGACAGGCTCTCGCAGTGCTGGTCCTGGAGGGAGGCAGAGACGGGGTTCAGCCCCAGAAGGAGAAGGGCCTGCAGGCACAGGAGGCGAAGGACACATTAGGCAGGTGCCATGAGCCATGAGCATGTTGCTCCATCACCCAGGAAAACTGCAGGGGTGACACTGCACCTGCCTGCCTCCCCTCCCACCCTGTCACACATCCAGTCGCTTCCCAGACACCCGCCCCTCATCTCCTCTCTCCTCCTTCTGGGTCCTCTCTGCCTGGAGGGTCTGGAGTTGCCCTGCTCTTGGAGGGGCCTGGCAGGGAAGCTGACAGGATCAGGAGCCCAGGCTCCTAGGGAAGAGGCGAATTTTACCCCTAGGGGCTGAGTGCGGCCAGAGGAAGCCACCTCCATCCCCATGGAATCCTGAACATGGTCCAACGGTGTCCCACCATATACACGTGTGCATGTGCACACACACACACACCCTCCCACCGGCCCGCTGACCACCATGGCCGCTGACATCCCCATGCGTGCACCCACTTCCCTCCCTTCCTCCAGAGCTGGCCTCTTGTTTTGTGAACAGTTTCCTGGGCCCTCATCCCCGCCTGCCTAATTATCCGTCATCACAAATTGTGCCTCACCATTTATCAAGCTCTTGTACATCTGCCGTGACACTAAATTTTCCCTGGGGTTGGTGTGGCTGTGCCTATTTGCAGATGAGGAAACTGAGGCACAGAGAGGTAAGGGATAAATGTGTCTGGAAAGATGGACACCCTATTCTAGGGCAGACCTTTGCCCTTTAACCTCCCTGAAGGCTCCGTGTCACTCTGATTCCAGAATTTTAGCCCAGTTGGGAAGGGAGTGGCATAGGCCCTATACCTGGAGGGCTGCCCCTTCTTCAACTAAACCCACCCACACAACCATCGCATTACCCCCCTCCCGACAGGGTTAGAGTCAAGAGAGAGGCCGAGTGTCCAGCCCCCCGTTACGCTGTGTTGCCATGGGCAGGGGACTTGACCTCTGTGTGCCTCAGTGTCCTCACCTGTAAAAATGGGTCTAACTGTCCCACCCCCTTTAAGCTTACATGATGTATGTATATTGAAGTCCTTTAAATAGCCCTGCATGCTCTGTAGGGGCAGGGATTTTGTTCATTGCACTCAATTTTGCTGAAGAAATGAATGAATGACATTGTGTTTCTGGTATACAATAGGCACTCAAGAAGGATATGTTAACTGATCTGAACTTAGTGGTTTTTATTTAGTTGTTGGAGGAGAGGTGGCTGTTTCCCCTGGGATTTGATTCAAAAGGGGTTAAGAAGCATGAGTGAGGGGCAGGGAGAGGGGAGCATTGTAACCGGTCCTCCCCTCTGGCTGTGGGGAGCTGGGTGCCCGGCCACCAGCAGAGTTCCCAGACAGGGTGGTGAGCCTGAAGCCCAAGAGGCCTCATGGGAGGCTGCTCTCTTCATCACTTCTCTGCTGTTTCTTCTTGGGGTCTGCTCCTTCTGAGGCCCCCAACCCCATGGCCAGGTGTCTCAGCCCCAGCCCATTTCTGTACCAACTGCAAATTTCACTACAGAGCCTCAGACACAGACCCTTAGCTCTGGAAGCCAGCTTGGGATTTCACAGCAGGAAAATAAGATCGGGAGAGAGGTAGGGGCTTGTCAAGTCCCTTGGTGAGCAAAGACTTCTAGGGTGTAGGCTAGAAGCAGGTCGGTGGCCAGCCCAGGCAGCACGCAGCCTTCTCACAAGGGGCCGGGACTCCACGTGGTGAGTGCAAAAGTGAAGGGAGCATCGAAAATCTTAGTCGTCAAGATACGGAATATTTTAACATAATTATTTTTTTAAAATAAAGATTAACGCCAAAAAATCCATGATGAGCAAAATATCAAAAACTTTTTAAAGGAAAGATAGGCTCAGTAACAGTGCTGGGCCATGTTGGAGCTTGGGGCAAAAAGGGAAAAAGTCAGTAATGATATTAAAATATTATCTATCATGGCCGGGTGCAGTGGCTCATGCCTGTAATCCCAGCACTTTGGGAGGCCAGATCACGAGGTCAGCAGTTCAAGACCAGCCTGGCCAACATGGTGAAGCCCCGTCTCTACTAAAAATACAAAAATTAGCCAGGTATGGTGGCAGGCACCTGTAATCCCAGCTATTCGGGAGGCTGAGGCAGGAGAATTGCATGAACCCGGGAGGTTGAGGTTGTAGTGAGCCGAGATCACGCCACTGCACTCCAGCCTGGGCGATAGAGTAATACTCTATCTCAAAAAAAAAAAAATTATCTATTGCGATTACTGAGGTTTGAGGAAATGCCTCACTTGCTTCACTCCAGTCGGGCCCCACTCATGCGCCATCTTCCCAAGCCAGACGCCATCCCTCCTTCCCTGCCTGCCCCATATCCTTCAGGGGTGTCCATCCTCTCTTCCCTGGACTCCTCTCCACTCACCCTTTTCGGATCTCAGGACCTTCTCCCTGTCCTTAGAAGCAAACTGACCTGCCTTTTCCATGTTCACCTGCCGGGAATGTTCTCCCTTATCTCACCCCACCCCACCAGGGCCACCCCCTTTCACGGTACCCACTCCCTCCCAGTCCTGTCCCGATGATGAAGGCAGACTCTGCTCCCCTCTCTCCCACCCACATTCCAAGGTCCAGGGGAAGAGTGCCCACTCCTCGTCAGAGCCTGGTCCCCACTACCCATGACTCACCCACATGGTCCCCCGAGTCGGTAGTGCCTGAGTTTGTAGTGGTTTTGTTCACTCCATTCCCTTGCTGATACTCTCATAGGGGTCTCTCTGCCCTGGACCAAGCTCCAGGTTCTGAAGCATAACCCCAGCCTCACACCCCCATCCTGTGCTCTGCACACGGGACACTCAGCAAGATGGCACTGGGGTTAGCCAACTCGCGCCTGGGACTCAGGAGTGATGATAACAAACCCATTCATCTCTCTGGCCTCAAGGAACTTCCAACACTTTATTAATCAGTAATTAAACTTCACAGTCTCCAGAGAGATGGAGAAATATCTTTACCCTCATTTTCCAAGTGAAAATGCAGAAGTAGAGAGAGGAGGAGGCCACCAGGCCAGCCGGTGGCTCTTGCCAGCTAAGCAGAAAGCAAAGTGTCCTCATGACAAAGCTGCACTGCCCGCTCAGCAATCAGCAAGGACCCAGGCTCGGCTCTGTCCCCGGAGAGGGGCAGTTCAGATGCTAGGGCCAGAGGCCCCTTCTAGAAGGGGACTAGAAATCATCACTCCTCGTTTCCCACCCCACATCTGCCCACGCCACCTCCCAACACACACACATGCACACACGCGCACGCGCGCGCACACACACACACACACACACACACGCACTCTCTCTCTCAAACTAGGGCTCCCAGAGCCAGCTCAGCCACAGGCAAATTAAAGAAACTGGAGACACTGGCCAGGTGCAGTGGCTCACGCCTGTAATCCCAGCACTTTGGGAGGCCAAGGCAGGCGGATCACCTGAGGTCGGGAGTTTGAGACCAGCCTGGCCAATAGGGTGAAACCCCCATCTCTACTAAAAATACAAAAATTAGCTGGGCATGGTGGCATGCCTGTAATCCCAGCTACTCAGGAGGCTGAGGCAGGAGAATTGCTTGAACCCAGGAGGTGGAGGTTGCAGTGAGCCGAGATCACGCCATTGCACTCCAGCCTGGGCAACAGAGCAAGATTCCATCTCAAAATAAATAAATAAATAAAATAAATAAAAAAGAAAGAAAAGAAACTGGAGGCATCCTATTTGACAATATCAGCCCCATTGCCTGACATTCCACTTATCCATCTAATCCTTAAGCTGTGCTTCGTGCTCCGGTCTTTCATATCCCCCACCTTGAAGGCACATCACGTTCTATTTCCATCCAATTACTTATTATCTCCCAGTATCTGGGATCCTTCTCATGTCTGCAACCCTCTGCCCATGCAGTCTGTGCCACCCCCCACCCCTGGTCACCTGGTCAACTCTGCATTCTTCAGAGGCCAGTTCCAGGGCCCGTCTGCTTAGTAGTACCTGCCCAACTCTCCAAAGCAAAGCAGCTCAGTTCTCCCTCCAATGTACCCCTTTTCCCAGTGCACTCTGTACACTCACTGGACCCTGTGCCCGTGAGGCTCACAAGTAGAGCACTTAGACCAGCCTAAGTGCACGAAAACCACCTCGGCACAAAGCACTTAGGACCCAAGACACTAATTAGATGGCAAATATACAGGCTATAAGTTCTTATTCTCGCATCTTAATGTCCTGGCGTGCACAGAGGAGCAGAGCAAATCTTGATTCGTCAGAAAATGAAGCCAAATGCCAGGCAAAGGGCTAGTCTTCCCTTGGCTGCCTAGAACCCTGACACTTGTGTCCCTCTCTTGAATGTGATGGTTCACACAGGCATTTTCTAAACACAGAGGACTGGTGTTGCGTTATGCAAAGAAAAATGCTTCTTAAAATTCCCAAACCAACCTTTCCTCTCTGGAAAGGTCTGCTCTGTAGCAGAATCTGTGCCTGTGCCACCTCTTGCTCTGTGGAAGGTTTGTGAGGGCTTCTGCCTTATTCCGGAATCATACTTCCATGAAAAGTCCAGAGATTTCCTGCATTTTTCCTCCCACCATCCGCTGATCTCCTCTTCACCATCCGCTGATCTCCTCTTCAAGCTCCACTGTGGTTTTCTATCTCCATCAATAGGCAATTACTGCACTGGCAGGAACAGGCCCCCAAAGTTTCAAGGATGTTGTTTGTTTGCCCTTAAAATGGAGAATTTTTTTGTTTGTTTGTTTTTTGAGACAGTCTTGCTCTGTCGCCCAGGCTAGAGTGCAGTGGTGCGATCTCCGCTCACTCCAACCTCTGTCTCCTGGGTTCAAGCAATTCTCCTGCCTCAGCCTCCCAAGTAGCTGGGATTACAGGCCTGCACCACCATGCCCAGCTAAGTTTTGTGTTTTCAGTAGAGATGAGGTTTCACCCTGTTGGCCAGGCTGGTCTCAAACTCCTGACTTCAAGTGATCAGCCCGCCTCGGCCTCCCAAAGTGCTGGGATTACAGGAGTGAGCCACCATGCTGGGCTAAAACAACAAAAAACAAAACAAACAAAAAAAAAAACACGGAGAATTCTTAACCTGGGGAGCGGGCAGTGTGAAGATTTGCAAATAAATGCAGTTGGTGTGTGTGATGAAAACCATTTTCCCGGGGAGGGTTCTTGGCTTCCTCCACTTCTCACCAACAACTAGCACCCTGAAACAGTGGGAACTACAGTCGAAGCATATGGTAAATGGGGTGAACTGAACATGTCATCTTCTCTGAAATCAAACCAAAGTGCTTTTGGCCTTTCTCAGATGCCTCTTGCTCCTCCACTCCATCACCAGTCCCAGCCACTGGCGCTCCTTTCAGAACCAAGTTTTCAAGACTTCATGTGATTTACTATCTTCCAACTAGTAGAGAAAATCAAAACGGCACTGAAGCTGAAGCTGGCAGAGCACGAGGTTCACTCACTGGCTAATGCCTCACTTCCGTGCACAGCCTGGCAGCCCCAAGGCTCCAAATAAAACTTGCAGCTGAGCTACAAATCTCTCCACTCACCAAAGAGCCAAACCTTCAAGGTTAAAGTCTGAGGCCAAGGGTGCGTGCGGCTCAATTATAGCATCGCGTAAAAGGATTTTCCAAAGATCTAGTGGGTCCCTGGGATGGAAGGGAAAGCAGACTGGGCGGGTATCATGCTCCCATTTTAAGTCTGGGGTAGTTGATGTACCCAATGTCACATAACTGTTTTTAGGAGCTGGGATTCAGTAAGCAGGTGCTCCTGCTGTCTTTCAAGGAGATGAACCATGAAGACAGTCGCGCCTTCTGGCTGGCCAGGCGCAGGTCAAGACAGCGCCTTGGAAGAAGGGATGGGCAGTGGGGAGGAAGGTGGTGCAGGAGCCTGTGGAGGGGGTGGAGGGCCAGGTTCTGACATGGCCTGCTCCAGCCTGCAGCAGCTGCTACCCACACCCCCACCCCCAGGGCCAGCACAGAATGGGGCTGGAATGAAGCTGCCATCCCAATTCCCAGTGTGATTTTGGTACAAAGGTTAATCACACCCAGAAAATGCTTATCAGAGACCATAAATAACCGTGTTGTTGAAGCTCAGTTTGGTCTTTAAGGCACAAAAGTGCAATTTCCTTTGATGTGATGATTCGGTAATTAACCTTTTGGGGAGGGTCCTGAAGGCCACTGGAGGGAGGGAGGGGTGGCCTGGAGGCAGCTGAGGCATCTCAGGCCTGGTTCCTACAAGTTCCTGGGGAACAGGGAAAAGGGAGCCTGTTTTCTCTCTCCTTTCACAGCTAGCACTGATGCTCAGCTTGGGAGAGTCCCCAGAGCCCCCAGGGGTCAGGGACCGCACTGGCCTTCGGCAGAGCCACAGCTGGACAGCCATCCTTCAACACGGTCCCTCGCCCTTCTGCTGAGCCCCAAGGCAGTCCTGTCACTGGCTGTGTGGCTTTCGGTGAGTCACCTGACTCCTCTGAGACTCAACATCCTCATCTGCGAAGTGGGGGCAATGTGGTCTTTCTTACCCACTTCACTGGGAGATGGACCATTTGTGGGGAACCAGGAGACCTGCATCTGCAATATAAAGTCCCTACAAGCATCGGCAGGGTCATCAGCCCAGCTTGGCTGTTCTGGGCCCCAGAATGCACCTCCACTGCAGAGGGCTGGCCTGGAGCAGCTTTCCTGATGTCCCTTCCGGGCCCTGGGGGAGGCCCCGCAGGCTGGACCTGGCCTCTCCTCATCTTCCGCCAGGTCCTTCTGCCTTCTCAGGAAGCCTTGCTTTGGGAAGGAGTTTTTCCATTTAAAAGGTAAGTTGCTTTTTAGGTTTGAAATCCACTGGATTGAGTGGTGTCTCCAACCCCCTTGGTGGTCTGGGATCCTTCATTCAAAGAGTCCAGGACTAAGTACATGATTTGGAAAAAAGGAAAGGAACTCAGAAGAGATGGGGAAGGACAGACAGACACACACATACATGACGATGGCAAGATGAGGCACAGACTGAGGGCAGGGGGACCATGGAGTTTCAGATGGGGTCAGCACCATGGCCATGAGGGCAGGCTTCCTGGGGGAGGTGAGCTGGAGGTCGGGGCAGAGTGGACGTGGCTGTCAGAGGGAGGGAGAGGGCCTTCCCGGCAAGGGGAGGGTCCTGAGCTTGTAGGGGTGTGGCAGGCTGCCTGCGGAGGGCCTCAGACACTGGGTTGAGATGGATCCAGTCGGCCTGGAGCACCATGGCAGGTTCCTGAGCAGTGAATTATCCCAGCTTGTCACCCTCATCATCCCAGCGAGACAGCCGACAGTCACCTGTTCCACGGAGGCGGTTCAGCAGGTCAGAGTGAAACCAGGCCTTGTTGCCTTCCCTGGCCTGGGAGACTCTGGCGGACCCTGACTCGGGGCCCAGAGAAGCCCTTGACTCTCCAGTGTGGCCAAGATCAAAGATGTACCTGGTGACCCCAGAGGCAAGGGCCCCAGCCCACACTTTCCATCTGCTGGCCAAGGTCCTGGGTCCTGGGGTCCTGCAGGCTCCACAATCCCAATATCCGACCCTTCTGACTCTGCTTTGCTTTGCACTGTGTTCAGGTGGAGCCTATTTTAAGCAAAGGCAAGAGAAGAAAATCTAAATGCGAAAAAGAAATGAGGTCATAAATGAAGATTTCTGTAAAAAGCTGGGTCCGCCGTTGCATTTAAATACTGGGATCTGGTTTGCAGAAATAAAGCGTCAGTGCAATCAACTCTTCAGAAACGTCTCTGTACCTACGGGGGATATATCTGTAGTTACGGACTAATTGAATACAAGAGCAGGGCAGGCCCCACACGCAATTGTGTGGTTTCTGCAGAATTTCTTGCTACAGAAGTGCCAAGTGGAGGGGTCAGTGGGGGATAGACTTGCAAGATGTGTACCAGCAGAGGGGCACCCTCATGGGGCACCTTTTTCTCATCCACCCACAGGTGGAGACCAGCCAGAGTAAAACTAGGCTAGGCACAGAGGACAGAGATGCCACGGGTCCTTTCTCAGCCCTCTTGACTGCCCAGGCTTCTCCCCATCCCGCCTCGGGCCTGGCCCTCCTCCCACAGCCTCTTTCTGTGACAGCCACAACCAGTTCCCATCTCAAGGCAAAGAGCCAGTGCTTCCCCTCAAAGTGGGTGAGCACTGAAAGATTATTCCAGGCAGGCGAGAAATAATTTATTGTTACATTTAATTAACTTAAATTGCTGTTGTACAGAGAAGAAAAAATGGAAAGGAAAATCTCCTGCCTACAGTTAAGGGAGGGGGGAAGCCTGGGTGTTCCCCGCCCCCGGCCTTTCTCCCTGGGGCCCCGGCTCAGGGTGCCCCCGCCCGCCCCCCCTGCTACTTCACGCCTCTACTCCCCTAAGAAAACCTTGCAGCAGGGCTAGAAATAGTGGGTCACCTGCCTCTCCCACCCCAGGGCAGCAAGGGCCATGAGACCCCAGCTCCAGAGTCACACACGCCCCTCCAAGGTTCCAGATGTACTGTTATAAGCTTGGGTTATAAGCTCCCTGCAGGCAAGGCCTGTGTTTGGCTTTTTTTTTTTTTTTTTTTTTTTCCCGAGACGGAGTCTCGCCTTGTCGCCCAGGCTGGAGTGCAGTGGCGCGATCTTGGCTCACTGCAACCTCTACCTCCTGGGTTAAAGAGATTCTCATGCCTCAGCCTCCTGAGTAGCTGGGATTACAGGCACCCACCATCACACCTGGCTAATTTTTATATTTTTATTAGAGATGGGGTTTCGCCATGTTGGCCATGCTGGTCTCGAACTCCTGACCTCAGATGATCCACCTACCTCGGCCTCCCAAAGTGCTGGGATTACAGGCGTGAGCCACCCTGCCCAGCCCGTGTTTGGCTATTTTTGTATCCTCAGTGGGGCCCGATACAGAGCAGGCCCCAACATGTTTGTTGAATGAATAAATGACTGAATGAATAAGTGAACAGATGGGTTTTCACTTTCTGCCCCCTCTGACCATGGGGTCTCATGATGATTCCCAGCAGGAGATTGTAGGGGGCTGTTTCCTTTTTCTCATTTTCCACTCTATTCCTCCTGCTCAGCAGGAGCTCCCTCTCCTCTCCTTGCTCCCGCCATAGCCCCGCACCTTGGACTCCAGAAGGGTGTGCTGGAGGAAAAAGCACTCTGGGTGGGAAGCACAGGGCTGACTCTGCTGAACTTGCTCCGTGATGGTAGAGAAGTCACCTCCCCACCTCAGTTACCTCATCTGTAAAATGGGGAGGTCACTGTGTTCTCTACATTCCTTTCCAGGTCTGAATATGCCCTGGCTCCAGGATGTACAGGAGAGTAGAAATTCAAATCTCTAAACTTGGGGCTGGAGAGATGCTTGTTGGAATCTTTTATCTGCCCCCTCCTACCTGTGTGACCTTGGGAGAATCACCGAACTTCTCCAAGCCTCATTTTCCCCATCTGTAAATGGGGCTGATAGGGATAAAATATTCACATCCCAAAGCTCCTGGAGAGATTCAACAATATGGTGCATATAAAACTGCATGGGGCCGGGCGTGGTGGCTCATGCCTGTAATCCCAGCACTTTGGGAGGCCGAGGTGGGCGGATCATGAGGTCAGGAGATTGAGACCACAGTGAAACCCCGTCTCTACTAAAAATACAAAAAACTAGCTGGGCGTGGTGGCGGGCGCCTGTAGTCCCAGCTCCTCGGGAGGCTGAGGCAGGAGAATGGCATGAACCCGGGAGGCGGAGCTTGCAGTGAGCCGAGATCGTGCCACTGCACTCCAGCCTGGGTGACACAGCGAGACTCCGTCTCAAAAAAAAAAAAAAAAAAAAAAAAAAGAAAGAAAGAAAAAGAAAAAACAGCATGGGGCTAGGTGCGCAGGCCGCACAAATGGTCACCACTCTGTTACTCAACTTTGCACGTTCTTCCTTCCTGACTTGGCTTTTCTTCCCAGAAGTGCCCCTTGCCCAGCCCCCTGCCCACTCAGGGCATGTACCCCACTTTCCAGCTCCACTCTTTCCCAGAAGCCAGCAGTGGTCACCTACAGGAATGGAGTGTACATCCAGGTCAATGATATGGATTTGCTAAGCATGGGGGCAGGGGGTGCCCGGAGCGTAGCTCCCATCCTCCTTGTCTTCCCTTCATTTCTGCCTCTCATGCATTCACTTGCTCCCCGTCTTTGTATGATTTGCTCTCAAATTGACTCATGGATATGTTCTTGTAGCCCGTGCCTTCTCGGCCTCCTGCCTCTCTCCTCCCCATCTTGCTCTCTCCCTGTCTTAACCACCCTACCTTTCTCAGTCTTCCCTGGCTTCCATTTTCCTCCCTCCCTTCTTTCCTTCCTTTCTTTCTTCCTTCTTTCTTTCTTCAGCCTTTACTGAAGGCTTGCACAGTGCCAGGCCCTGTGAATTTCTTCATTTAATCCTTCTCGACCCCTGCAAGTCAGAGCCTTTACTATCTCCCCACTGTTCAAACGAGAGACTGGTGCACCCGGAGACAGTAACTTACCCAGGGTTTTGACTGCAGTAACTGGAGGGACTGGGATTGGAGCCATGCTCCTGCCCCTGGGCAGCACAGCCTGTTTCCCTGCCTGCCCTGCCTGCCTTCCCTTCCCTCCTCTTCCTCATCACAAGCCTGGATCCTCCAAAAGACACATAGGTACAGGTTTCCTTTGCCTTTCAAACTCTGGCTCCTGGCTGCAGCCCAGCTCCCCCAGAGCTGGCAGTGGGAACGAGGGGGCGGACAACAGTAGGACCCTGCCAATGGATGGGACTCAGGAAGGGCTCTGTTTGGCTCTCACAGAAGAGGGGAGCCCAGCCCAGGGTTCTGATCCAGTGCCTGCCCCTGGGAGCTGTTAGCTGTGAGTGGCTCCCAGACACTGGGAAACTGTCCCTGAGTGGGTGGGAGGCACAGCCGAGGTGTGGGGACAGCCGCAGAGACACCAGCTACGCAGGTGACACTATCAGCTGTGCTCTCGGCTCAGCCGCTCTCTGACAAGTGTAAAGTGAGGGGGATTTCGGTGTCGGCAGAGAAAAGATGTCCTTTATGGAGCTGCGTTTTAAAAGGGATTTAAAGAGGGCCAGAAAGGAAGAGTGAAACTGGTGGCTGAAAATTAGGTTCTACTTTATTTAAAAATGCTAAAGGCTTTGGGGCTGTTTTTCCTGGAAAAACGACTGCCTTCTAAGGCCAAAGGTCAGTTTAAAGAGGGCTGCTGGACCGCCAAACCCCACCGAACAGGGAATATTTAGGGCAGAAATAAGGACTAACCAGACATAAAACAAGCAACGGCCCCGTCCTCTGATTCTTTGCTTGTAAAGGCAGTGACTTAGACAAAATCAGAATTTCCAGACAGTGCTTGACACCTGACCTGGGAGACAGAAAATCCCATTTCTCACAACTCACCCCCAAAATTGGGGTTCAATAGGCCTGTGGGGAGCCCAGGGACCCTTATGTTTTTTAAATGCGTTCCAGTGATTCTGAAGCATCAACAGAAGTGAGGATAACTCAGCCAGCTCAGAGATTCTCACCTGGAGGCCATTTTGCCTCCCGGGGGACGTTTGGTGATGTCTGAAGATATTCTTGGTTGCTATAATCAGGAAGGGGGAGGTGCGACTGGCATTTAATGGGTAAAGGCCAGGAATGCTGATAAACATCCTAAAATGCACAGGCCAGCCCCCACAGTGAAGGATTATCTGGCCCCAAATGTCAATAGTGCTGAGGTTGGGAAGCCCTGGGTTGGAGGGTTTCAATGCTCCATCCCAGCTTTGAAGACACTTGCCTGCCTGCCCATTATGGGGGCGGGGCAGGGGAGGAAGGTGGCTGTAGAGTGGACCTTGGGAAGAGTGTGGGATTACAAGAGAGAGGCACCTTCAAGGCAGGAAGAGGACCTGGATTGCACTCTTCTTGGTGAATGCCCTGTGCGACCTTGGATCAGTCAGTCTCCCACCTCCTGGCCTCAGTCTGAAGGCAGCGGACTGGTGGAAACGACCTTTCCTGGCCAGCTGGGCAGATGGGAACTCCTTCCCCTGACTCACTCTGTCCTGGCCCTGCTGGGTCAGCTCCTCCAGATCTCCTCCTGCAGGGGGTGCACAGGAGATGCAGGAAGGTCTGCCTGCTGATGCAGCCAAAGTTGAGGAATGAGGCAGCCCAGAAAGAGCTTGAACAGCAGCCTCTTCCCAGAGTCAGCGAGCTGAGCTCACCCAGCTGAGGCTCCACCAGAGCCTCTCCAGGGCCGGCACCTCAGAGGCAGGAGGCAGAGCCGGGTCCTGGGCCCTGGGCCCTGGAGAAGTGGGATTCCTTTACCTTGGATGAGTGCGGGGACAAGGGGTAGAACAGCATGGGGCTAAGTCCTGTGAGCTTTGGGGAACCCACACAGAGCAAGGCTGCCCTTGCCCCACTAGGGGCTGCGACCACTGATCATGGGTCCTCAGCTCACCTTGTCACCAAGTGCAGATTGATGAGTGTGACAAGGAGGGGGAAGGGGCCTGCTCAGAACCCGCCACTGGGTAAGGGGTCTGAGTAAACCAAAGAGTTTCCTCCTCCTGGACAAGGGTTCTTCCTTCTTCCGTCGCCCAGCCTTGGCTGCCAGAAAGAGCCACTACATCACTCACATCCATGCAATGGAGACACACAAGTGCAAGAAGCATGGCAGGAGGGGCAGGCTGTGTGAAGGGTGAACCAGAGATCTGGGCCAGGCAGTGAATTCTGGCCCCAAAGGAGGGCTTTAGGCCCGTGCTATTCAAAGGGTGGTGAGGACTGGTCCGACTGGTCAAGTTTGCCAACCTACCAACAATTGGTTCCTGGTCTACAACTTGAGAAGTACAAAACTGGAGAGTAAGCATTTCATGTGAATCCATCCCTGCGGTGACATCCGAGCATGCAGTCAAGACTCATCTCGTCAAACAGGGTCTAGACCAATTCAGATGCTGTCAGACTTGCCAGGTGAATCACGTGGTGCAGGCTACACAGCAGGACCACACGCCAGTTGGCCATGGATTGGAAAAATCCATGTGGTCCTTCCCCACAGCTGGTTTGAGAGCCCTGCTTTGGCTGGAGGACAGAGTGTGATGCCTGGCTCACCAGGGAAGGCCTCATGGAGGAGGCGGGTCTTGAGTGATAGTTGGGCTTAGTTCTGAGGGGAGTCCTGGGGTGGGACTCCCACCCATGAAAACAGCAGGTCTCACTGGCCTTTGGTGGGAGCAGGCCCCTTGCAGCAGCACAGGCATTTCCTCTTTCATTCTGCATTGTGGTCGGTCCAGTAAAGAGGACACAAGGGTCCAGAGAGGTCATGTGATTTGCCTAAGGTCACCCATCCAAGAAGTGGCTGAGTCAGCTCCAACCCCAGGTCTCCTGCCCTGTCAGCTTTAGGGACAGTGGTCCTTCCTCCAGGGTGCATGTGAGCCCCACCACTCCTAGGCCCCCCTGCCCTGCATTTCACAGCCTTGCAGCAGCTTCCACAGTCAGGCCATGAGGCCCCAGCCATCAGGAGAGAAAAGACGCCCCAGGCTGCACCCCCACACCGACTCACAGGGAGCTGGAGGGGTGGGATGCCAACGGACGGGATCTCACGAAGGTACCAGGAATGCCAGTGCTCTTGGCGCCCCTGCCTTGCCTGGCTACTCCTGCCTCATGACCAGCAGAACCAGGACAGCACCAGGGAGGGAACCCCAGGATGCCACCTAGGCCGCCTCCCCAGTCCCCATTTGGAGGCTAGAGTGCCCTGACCCTGCTCTCTGGAGGCCCCAGCTTCTGAGACCTTCTTGCCCCTTTGTTTCTAAGCCCAGGGCCACAATTCCCCCTAGCAACATCTCCCACCATCCCTGTCCAGAACCGCTCATGAAGCAACATGCTGCCCTTGCGTGCACGTGGACAACGCCCCCAGTGCTATGGGGACCGGAGGCGGAACACAGGGCAGTGCTGGAATCTTTTAATGTTACTAAGCCGCGCTGCCGCGTAGCCCTTGATAAGCCGTTGAGTCACAAATCCACACGCGGAGGCAGAGAGGGACCTATCTGTCTGGCTTGCCACTTGTGTCTTCTGTCGCCATAGCACTTCCACACTCAGACAGACGTTCATTGGGGAGTGGGAGCAGGGAGAGACCCTCCATTTAGTTCAGCATCTACTGTGCACCTACTGTGTGCACAGTTCTGGACTAAGTTCTGGGCACACAGAGGTTTTGTTATTTTTTTGTTTTGTTTTGTTTTGTAAGGGAATCTTTCTGGTCTAGGCAGAGCTCATAGTCTACGGTGGGAACAAGGGCTCAGGTTAGATGTGGGTCACCAGGGGTCCATGTGGAATCTGGTTAGTAGGTGTTTTTGAGCCCCCTGTGGGGGGATACATCAAAGAGCTGTAAGACCCCATGTTGTGGGACAGCCCAGGATCCACGATGAGCTAGAGGCTCACACCAGGGGACGGGATGAGGTGAGAACAAAGGAACAACCAGTGAGAGACAGATTTAGACTGGAGGGCTTCCTGGAGGAGGAGGTGGGGCCAGTTCAGGAAGACTTTGGTGGACATGACAGATGAAGATTGGCACAGAAAGACTTGGGGGCAGAAGCTCCTGTAAGAGAAGTGTCATATATGTATATTCTGCTGGGTAGGGGTTGGCAGGGGAGGAAGGAGAACAGTGCGACTCAGGCAGAGGGCCAGGAGTGAGGAGCAAGAGATTAGGGGAGCATCAGGTTCTTTCCCCTCTAGAAGGGGATGGGAGGACTCAATGGGGTCACTTGTGTGGGCCTTAGTGCAACAGCAGCTCAGTAAATGGCGCACCTGGCCAGTAAACAGTGTACCTGCTTAAAAGAACCTGGGAGGCGTAGGCAAGGGACAGGAGCAGAGTTGGCAGAAAGAGGAAGGGGAAGGGCGTGGCTTAGACCAAGACCAAGCCCAGGACGCAAGGACCAGCCTCCCTCCAAGGACCAGCCTTGCCCTACCCGTCTGGGAAGATGAAGGAGTGGCTGAGTCTCTCGGGCTCCCAGCCAGGCACGGGCAGCTGAGGGATGCCGGGGAGGCTGTCTAACCTGCTAGTCACTCACCCAGCTAAGCCCGTGGTCCCCAGGTGCCCAGCTGCTCCTCTGGAAGTCAGCCTCTAACCCTGGCCTTGAGGTGGCATTGCACACCTGCCGTACAGGTCTGGCTATGCTCAGAGGAGAGGTGGTGACCACACAGTGGCTTCTGAGGGAGGTGGCAGGTGCGGGTGTTACAAACACTGCAAAGTAGCTCACTCGCCAGGGTACCAGCGTGTGTGTGTGTGTGTGTGTGTGTGTGTGTGTGAGAGAGAGAGAGAGAGAAAGAGAGAGAGAGAAAAAAATGCCCACTGAGAAACACACAGGCCCACAGAGGCAACAGATCCTGTCCCTTCTGCACCCTGCTTCTGGGGAGGAGGAGCAGCCCTGGGGGTGGTGGAAGGGATCATGGCGGGAGCTCATCTGGGGCATCTCTGCGCCGAAGGCTCTCCTAACAGCTGAGGACGGCTTCGGGCACCCAGGCACCAGGATAGGGATGGGTGGAGGAATTCTTGTGAGAAACAGAGAGGAAGTTTCCAGGAGATGCCACCGCTGGCCTCAGAACCCGGGCATAGGCTCTCTTGGATGCTAGGGAGAAAGTTAAAAGCAAGAATGACCAAGGCAGGCAGGCAGGTCTTTTTCTTCTCCCTCCCCTTTTGCTTCTCTCACTGTCTGTCTGTCTCCGCATCTTCCGTAAGAGTGAAATCATCCACCCTGAGCGAGCCCTTGGGCACCCTGCCAGGCCCGTGCTCTGAGTGCAGTTGGGTCCCCAGTGCAGGGGGCCTGGACCTGTAAGGACTGTGCCTCAGATGGCCCTGGACTCTCCTAAAGCCCTTTCCCCAGGGTAAAACCCCGCCTGGACCCGGTTTGCTTTTCCAGCCCACCCAGCCCAGCCCCTTGTCCCCCAGCCACACTCCTTTTCCCTGTCTCTGTGCACAGGCTCCCCACCCAGCCTGGTACCTCTGGCCTCTGCTGAGCTAGGAAGGGCTTTCTAGAAATGAGCCCTTCACACACCTTGCCAAAGAGGCTGGGAAAACAGGGAGGGAGAGGTGGATGGATCACAGAGGGAGGGCACTCCCCACTGGAAATGGCAATGCTGCGGCCATCACTTGTCCCAGCCTTTCACCCTGGGCAGGTGCCTTTCAGCTCTGTGGGCTTTGGTACTGACCAGGGATGATGACCAATATATTGTCCCAATTCTCCTAAAGCCCCTGACATCCCAGCACTCAAAGGTTCAACTAAGATTCTCACTGTGCTTCCTGATAGCCCCCACTACCTCTTAAAACTCCAGTGGGTAGACTCTAAAGTATAGCGGTCAGTCTAGAACAAGCCCTGCCTCCCTGGTTCTGCAGCCACGAAGTGACTGGACCAGTCTAGCCAGTTTTTCTGGGCTCTGACCTAGGCGCACTGGCTCCCAACCAGACTGGCTGGGGCTTGGAAACCAGCTGACATGCGGAGGGGGGCAGATGCACACCCCACAAATCCCATCTCAAAGCACCTCGCTGAGGCTTCTCTCTGGGCCCAACAGTGCCAGGCGGGTGAGATGGACAAATTGCCTGTGCTTATAGGGCAGAAAGAACAGCCGCAAACATCTTCATTTGTCCCAGAAACAGTTTTATGGCTGCTGGGTGGACAGTTGCCAAAGAACATGTTTGGCTAAAGCATTTGAATCCGCAGTTCTACGTGAAGGGGAACCCGTCTTCCAAAGCCAGATTCTGACATGCCTGTTTCATGAAGTCTGCCTCCCTCCCTTCCTGCCATCCATTCAATTTTGTGGAAGCGGATACCACATACTCAGAAAACAAGTGATTAAGAATCTGTTGTCTAATAGAATCCAGCTAGTTATTTTCAAAATGATTGTTTGCATCAGTGAGTGAATCATTTCGTATTATCCTCCCTACATATCTACTTTTACTGTCAGGTTTTTCCATATCCCAGATGTTCAGGTCTGTCTATGACCTTCAAGCTCAGCTGATGGCTGGTAGCTGATCCCTTTTCCCCAGGGACTGTGAAAAGTGCTCTGACGCAGGAAGAGATTCTATACGCCAAATACCCTTCCTCTACCCCCATCCCCTCACCACTTCTCCTTTTGATGGCCTTTCTTAGACTGAGGAAGTTGGTAAGATTTATTAAGTGACTACTATAGCTAATATTTATTATGCACTTACTGTGTGCCAGACACTGTGCAACTGTGCATAATTTCACACCTGGCATCTCATGGTCATTATGATTATGCCATAAAGCAGGTATTATTTCCCCCGCTTTAGACAGATGAAGAGGTGACTTGCCCACAGCTTCAGGGCAGAGTAAGGATTCAAGCCCACATTTGCTTCATCTGCTGTTCCCACCCATACAAGAAGATGTTGACTGCCACACTGGGTGGGGTAAGGGATGGCTGGCCTAGAGCAACAAGTCCAAAGACAAGCATTTTAAAAGGATGAAGGCTGGGCACTGTGGCTTACGCCTGTAACCCTACACTTTGGGAGGCTGAGGTGGGAGGATCGCTTGAGCCCAGGAGTTTGAGAATTCGAGACCAGCCTGGGCAATACGGCAAGACCGTTTCTACAAAAAAATTTAAAATTAGCTAGGTGTGGTGATGCACACCTATAGTCCCAGCTACTTGGGAGGCTGAGGTGGGAGGATCACTTGAGCCCACAAGGTTGACGCTGCAGTGAGCTGTGTTCACACCACTGCACTCCAGCCTGGGCAACAGAGTGAGACCCTGTCTCCAAAAAAAAAAAAAAAATTCCTAGGGACTCTGCTGACAGGGACCTCCCTGAATTTAGGTAGACAAGAATGATTTGTAGTTAACAAATTCATTGTTTGACTATTAAAACTGCAGCTGAAATCTCGACCTGGCCTTACGTTCAAAATGGGCTCACCCTTCTTTGGTTGATACCGTGAGCAGTTAGGGTAGAATCAGAGCTGGGAGAGATCACCCTACTCCCTCTTTTCACTGAGGAAGAAACGGCCCAGATCACTGTTAGTGACCTGCCCTCCTCCAGACACGGCAAAAGCGCTGGAGTTTCACTGGCTGAGGCTCTACCCTCAAGGGATTCTCCAGATCACTGGGGTGCTGCACTGGTTGTGTGTTGTTTTCTCTTTTTTAATAACCACAGTGGGCTTAAGGGGGAGTTCTAGTCCTTTCTGCATCAGAGATGGCTTTTCTGCTAGGGTGGTTTAAGCATCTCTCAGCCTTCTGTTTCGACCTGACATCTGCATCTGGTGGGAACAGAAACGGGTTCTTTCCAATTGTACAATACCAAATGGAAGAAGCAACAATAAACTCATCCATGAAGTCGACAAACATTTGTTAAACACCTACTCTGTGCAACGGATTGTGAGGCTCAGTGCCGTGAAGGGTAAAAGATGCAAAAAATATATAATATATTGCATGTCCAAGAGCTGCTAGTTGCTGTTCCTGCATTAACTTATATCTGCTGAGAGTAGCCACCTTGCAGCTTTTTCTGAAAGCAGACTGTGCCAGGCACTGTTCCAGGCACTTTCCATGTATTAATTCCTTTTGTCCTTACCTCAACCTCCTGAGTTAGGCATTTCCCCCATTTTATAGCTGGGGACACTGAAGCCCAGAGAGAGTACTTAGGTCCAAGTATCATGTTCCAAGGTCCCTCAGCTTGAGCAGAGCTGGGAAGGGGGAGTGCTGGGAATCCAGTTCGTGGCACCCCCCTCTTTCTATGTGAGGTCATGTCCCTAAGGAGTATTTGAAAACACAGACCTTTCACAGAGACATGAGAGATAACAGAGAATCCAGTCCAATACCCCTGTTTACAGACAGATAAACTGTGGCTCAGAGAGGGAAGGTGACCTACCTGTCATCACACAGCTGATTGGAGGCAGAGCTGGGATCAGAGTCAGGTTCACTGACTCCCAGGCTGATGGTCTTTCCCCTTCAATAGCTGCTGAAATTATCAGCCCGGCACCTAACTGCTTCCTTCTAGGCCACACGGGCACTTGGGGTGGTGGCACCTTGACCCCCAAACTCCTTATGTGTGGCTGAACCTGGAGGTTGATGCTTTTGAGGAGCCAAATGTTAGAGAGGGTGAGAAATGGATTTTCCACTTGAGCTCGTCCTCACTGGCTCTGGGTGAGTGTTCAACTTTTCCATAATCTACACACTCCTCTCTATGGCTGGTCATTTCAAATCCAAGGGGCTTGGCCTGGCTTTTGGCCCCTCCCTGTCTTTGCCCCCAGTCTGTGGCCAGGCCAGCAGTCCCGCACGCCACAGCAGCCCACTGGCCCACCCTGGGCTCACTGTTTCGCGTTCCTCATGCCTCTTGCCAACGCTCCCCTCGAAAACCTGGCTCTATATCGTTTAATCAAAGAAACAACTTGGAAATGGCCCAGATATGCACCGATATAGGGATGGCAAAGTCCATTCACTCACAGGCAACATGCAGACATTGACAGTCTCCTGCAGAGCCTCGGGAGTAACGTGAAACAGACTTGGGCTGTGACACTGAGGAGAGGGCTGCCCAATGGCCACAGCTGTGCCCAGACAGGTGCTTGAGAAGGGGACCTGTGGGGGTTATTTTTTAAATGAATTATACAGTAGCCAGATTAAAAGAGTGAGGTTGCAATCATTTTCCATTCTGGTTTTCAAACTTTGCCTATTGCTGCTAAATTGGCTTATATAAGAATAACAATAGCCAGCTCCCTCCTGGGAGCTCACTCTCCTGTTAGAATCCATCCAGAGGCCTTGCCTTCTGCACCCCTCACAGACACTGGGACCCATGTTTACAGCCACACTCCATCTCCCTACGAGGAGATGCAGTGGGTGTGTGGCTGACTCCGAGGTGCTCAGGCCCCTGCCCCTCCCTGGGGATAGAGACAATGTCTTGTCTGTCTTCTCCTGACTCATGGCCACTTGTACACACATCGTCTCTCCCCACTCACACACACACTTTCACACACCCTGTCTCTCCCCATTCACACACATTTTCCCCCAGGACTCTGTAACTGTTATAGTGTGAGGCCCACAATATAGGCCCCAGAGTGGACCCTTTCCCAACACTGGCTGACTTGTTGGGGATGGAGCTGGATTTGGGATTAACCCTAAATCCCCTAGATTTGTACTCTCATGCTGACAAAACTACCTGAGCTCTCATCTGGCTGAGCTCTAGAGTGAGATTTAGGTGGCTTCGAATATTTTCTGGTAATGGCCGGGCATGGTGGCTCATGCCTGTAATCCTAGCACTTTGGGAGGCCGAGGCTGGCTGATCGCTTGAGCCCAGGAGTTCGAGACCAGCCAGGGCAATATGGGGAAACCCCATCTCTACAAAAAATACAAAGATTAGCTGGGTGTGGTGGTGCATGCCTGTGGTCCCAGCTATTCTGGAGGCTGGGGTGGGAGGATCACCAGAGCCTAGGGAGGTTGAGGCTTCAGTGAGCCATGATCACACCATTACACTCCAACCTGGGCGACAGAGTGGGACCCTGTCTTGAAAAAAAAAAAAAAAAAAAAGGATATTTTCTGGTAAAAGCAAACAAAACAAAGCCTTTTATCAGAGTGTCTGGGTTTGAATTCTGACTTCACTACTCACTGGCTGTGTGACCTTGAACCAGTTACTTAGCCTCTCTGTGTCTCAGGAATAATTCCTACTTCCTAGGGCTGTTAGGAGGACTAAATGACTTAATATTTGCAAAGCAGGTAGAATAATGCCCAGTGAATTGTACATGCTACATAAATAAAAGAAGAAAAGCAACTATTTAATTGTAACCAACGTTTGAAACCAGCATTCGCTGGCCATTCACTCACTGCCCCACATTCATCTGGAATTTATTGAATGCCTACTGAGTTTATTAGGCCAGGCATAAAGGGCAAACACCCCACCATCTAGTAGGAACAAAGGAAATAAAAAGACTTTTTTAAGGAAAACATGATCATTCTAAACAGAGATTTGCACACAATTCTATGAAAGGCCAGAAAAAGAACATTGATCTATTTCCGCGTAAACCTGAAAAAAAAAAAAAAGAAAAGAAAACACCCGCAGTTCAGTTCTTTGAATCCATTTAAAAGACTGAATTTGGTCTAACTGGTTTGTGCATTTAGACCAGGCTTCGGTACACGCGAGCCTTTTGGAAACTATTCCCATTCAGTGCCAACTACTCGACCTCTCTGGATGTTTTTCTTCTACCTTCCTCACCTGTCTGTCTCCTCGAACGCCCAGAAAATAATCTGAGTTCATCCCTAGCCCTCAGGTAACGGATGGGGGAGGGGATGTGGGTTCAGTAAGACCAACCCTTGATCATTTTAAGAATCAATTTATAAATATTTGGGGAGGGGCAGGATTAGAGAAAAATCTCAGTAACTTGTAACGTCTCAACTAAGGAAGCAGCAGCTGCTGCATTTAAAAATCTTGGTGGTTTAACTCAAACCACTTGGTAAGCCGGTATACGTACAGTTGGTTTAATAACTGATGGAAAAATGAAATTCCGCCAATCCGCACCCCTCCCCCAAATCCACCGAAGTCTCTTGAATGTAATCGCTCTGAATGCCCTGAGCCGGGTCAAGCTGGTGTCTATGTTTGTGGCTGGAGCGGACCCTGCGGAGTCCCGAGCCCCGGGTGAGGCGATGCCCAGACTGGCGCGAAGCGGGGTGTCCCGGCAGCAGCGCAGAGGCCCACCCGCCTCTCCGGCCGGCTGCAGCGGGCGCGCCTATACCCTGCAAAACCAAAACGCTCTGGAAAGCGCTTGGGGCTGCAAGTGACGCCTGACACGAGCGGCGGGCCGGACTGCCGGCCTCCCGGCCCTTCCCTGGCTCACACAACCCGCGGGCCGCCCCCACCGCCCACGAACTTCAGCGGGCAGACGCTGGACGTGCGGTCTGGCTACTTTCCTAAACTCCAGCGCCCGATCCGCGTCGCAGGGTCGGCCGCGCAGCGCGGGGATCGCGGGTGCCCAGGCTCGGAGAACGAGCGTCGCGCTCCCAGCCGCGGTCGGGGAACAGGAACTGCCGCCAGAGGCACCGTCTCCTCCCCCGAGACTGCGATATTGATCAAGGGCTCGCAGGCGCGGGCGGCATTCATCTCTCCGGACTCGCAGCTCGCCGCGGAGGGGAAGGGGCAGGACGCGCTCCCAAGACTAGGGCGGGGGCGTGCGGAGTCGGGGAGCTGTTTGGGGGCGCTGGGGCGAGGTGGGAACCCCGCTTCAGAGTCTCCAGTCCCGGGGCCGAGGTCTGCAGGAAGGGCGTGGGAGGTGGAACCTCCCCTCCCCTAGGCGTCTGCCCGAGAGCCTAGAGCGATTCTTGGCGCGGAGCCGGCTACCCGGGTGGGCGGACCCCCTCCTCCGCCAACATCCCGGCGGCTTCGCCACGATTTCTTTTCTCACCTGAGTCTCCCCCTGCCTACCCAACCCTGGCTCCAAAGGTCCAGAGAGTTAGGCTGCCCCGGAGCCCAGCCTTCCCCGACCTAAGCACGGCTCTCCCAGCGCCCCCGCCCCCATCACACCCACAGCCCAGCCCCGTCCCGCGTCCGCCAGGGGCCGGGGGCGCCAGCGCTCGAGGGATGGCCGGCGGGCTGTTACCTTGACGAGACGGAGCTGCGGGTGCCCTCCCATCCTCGGGCTCGCTCGGCTACCGTCCTGAATGCCCGGGTCCTACGGACATCCCAGAGGAACCGGCGGGCGGCTGCGGGCTCGGGCGGCACGGGGTGGGCGGCCGGGCTCCTCGGTCGCTGCCTGGTGAGGAGATGCCCGGCTCGGCGCTTCCCGGCCCCGCGGCCCGGCCCGGCCCGGCCCGGCTCTCGCTCGCCCCTTCCCGGGGAAGTCTGGCCGCCGTTTCCCGACGCAGCCCGGCCCGCGGCCGCCTCTTGCCGGCCTCGCCCCCGCCACCTCCCCCACGGTCCGCGCCGCTCCTCGCCTCGGCTCCCCGCCCCCTCGCCCAGCTCGTCCCCTCCCCTTCCTCCCCCTCCCTCTCCCCTCCGCTCCCCTTCGGTCCCTCCTCCGCGCCTCGCCCCTCGGCTCCCTCCCAGCTCCTCCTCGCCTCCTCCGTTCCCTCCCCTTCCCCCGGCCCGCTCTCTGTGTCCCGCCGCCAGGATCCCCTTTCCCTGCGCCCGGGGTTTGCGGCAGTCCTCGGGGCGCGCTGGCAGCAGTGGCGGCCGCCGCAGCCCGGGGAGAAGCCGGGAATGGGGGAAGGGGGCCGCGGTAAAGGATCAGCCTCCCGCCCGGCCGAGGTCGGGGCCTGGGAAGTCCCAGGGATCTGGGGTGACTTGGGCCAGGGTGCTCAGGTGAATTTATGAGGGCGAGGCTATTGGGGGCTAGGGAACAGGGCGGTCCCTACTGAGCGGAGCCGCCGCGGAACCCAGTGAGGCTGCGACCTGCGTTTGGGCAGTTCCCGCCCTGCGGCTGGCTAGGAGGAGCTCCTCGCCGCCCCCATTCCAGCCGCGCCGGGCGCTGGGCCCGACCCCCAGCACCTTTGGCACTGATGTGCCTGGTGCGCGCTGAGACGCGAACGCTCTGCAAGATGAGCCCTTATTCATTCGTTCCTTCTTTCCTTCATTTGTTCATCTTACAAACTGAGTGCCTGGCCACTTTGGTTCAGGCAAGAGGCTGGATCTGGGAACCCTTTGGACCTGGGAGCCCCAGGATGAAAGGGAGACGGCGGTGCCCTGCAGGACAAGCGGGCACTGAACGCTGCCCAGGGGAAAGCCGGGCGCGCATTGCGTTGCAGCGCGGCGAACGCTGCTAGGAGCCCGCGGGCAGGGCGTGGGGAGGACACAGCGCCCCCTCCCGGCCGGCCGAGCCCTCTGGGCAGCGGTGGGCCTCCCCGCCAGACCCCGGGGCCGTCTTCTGAATTGGCTTCGGAGCTCCCCATCCCAGGAAGCAACTCCCAGCCCTTCCAGATGAACAGAACTTTTGACTTCCTCTTCACTCTTCCTCTCTCCTACCAGAGCTGAAAAGGGAGAAACTGGGAGGTAGAGAAATCTTCACTCCACCCGCAGAGCCTAGGCCGCCTGGCCAATGCAGCCCCTATTGGGTACACCAGAGCACCTGGGGCGGCGGGCAGTCGGCTTTGAAATCAAACTGAACCCACCTGCCCTGCACCCTGTGCCCTGCCGTGCCCACCCTACTCCTCCCTCCTGCCCTCTTCTCAGCACACTGGGCAAGAGCCAGCGTGTTCATGGGTCCACTGGCCTTCATTTGGAGCTGGAGTTATTTTAGAAGATCGTAAGATCCAACACACACAGTTTACTGGTGAGAAAATGGAGGCACACAGAGGGTAAGCCTAGTCCTCCTTCACCTCATTCCCAGCTCACAGTGCCTGGAGGGCTGGGCCCTAAAGGGGCCTGGGACACTGAAGTGGGGAGGGGCATTGCCCAGGAAGCCAGCTGCTCACATGGCTTATCCACACACCTGGCACTTTCCAGGTGAAGCACACAGTCCCGAGTCTTGCAAAACCCCCATTAGGTTAGTGCTCCGGAGCTGGCTGTGCCGAGTTGGGCCCTGACTTGCCCCAGCCAACCCCAGAAGGGATGGACATGCTAAGCAGATGGACAACTAACTGTTACCAACAACAGTTAAGTGCGGGGCAGTCTGATGTGCAGGTTCTGGAGTCAGATGGCCTGAGTTTGAATCTTGGCTTTTCCACTTACAAGCTGTATAAACTTGGAGAGTTATTTAACAATGCCTCAATTTTCTCATCTATAAAATCGGGGTAGAAACGCTACTTCTGAGGGTGGTTGGGGAGTTTGAAGGAGTTGGTATTTGTAAAGAGCTTGGAACGGAGCCTGGCACATAGTGAGAGCTTAATGAGGGTTAGCTGTAGTCACCAATACTATGATCATCATCATCATCACGATGGAGTGGACTGGATGCTCAAGTGTGAGGGGTGGCTTGGTCCCACCCTCTAGGCAGTTCTTTGTGGGGAGCAGAATTCTTGATCAGAAATTCACCAGCAGCAGTAGGCTGTGGAATCAGAGGAGAGGAAGCCGGTTGGTCCTCTGGTAGCTTTGCCCAGGCCCAGCCAAGGCCTTGCTCCCTCCCTGGTCCCACCTTGGAGCACACTCTCTAAGGACTAGACGGCTCCAGCTTCTGTGTTTCTCTCTGCTTAATAAACACCATCAAATTTTGCCTCTCTGAGCCCCATTATCCTCCCCTTGACATGATCTTTAAATATGCTAATGCCATTGATTGGACTGCAATCAAGTCTTGCTCTTCCTGACTTTTTTGCCCAGGAGTCAGACCTTCTCGCTTTCTGAAGTGGCGTCTACAGATAGCTCATTTCATCCTGTCTGTGTTGATTTCACTGACTTAACCTCCACCCCACCACATCCCGCTGACGGACAGGTCAGGGGAGGAGGCTTCTGCCTAATTCCTCGACCTACTTATTTATAGTTTTGGCCTTGGCAGCCTCAGGGGGGTTATGAAAGTTTGGCGTTTAACATTCCTTCTGTAAAAAGGTTCAATATCCCCTTTCATTTGTCCTGAAACTACTTCCTTTCACCTTCAAGGGCCTGGCTCTCATCTGCTGGGCTTGGTGAAGGTGCTAGTGTCTGCCCTGTCCCTCCCTCCTACACCCTTCCTTCCCTCAGCCCCAGCCAGAGCAGCCTCTGCACACCCTCCTCAGGATAGGCTCCTACTCCATTCCAGCATTCTTTTCCCAGGATGGCCTTTTCCAAACTCTCTTCTCATCCCATCCCTCCCTTGCCTTCTCACCCCTTCCTGTCCAGCCAGCAGCAGAATCAGCTTTCATTCATTTAATCTGCCAGATTTGGAAGACAGGAGAAATGTGAGGATTCCAAACAGGAATAAAAGACAATCACATTTCCTTCCCAACAGTAGGAGAGACAGATTTGATGTAATGATGGGTGAGACCCAGGGAGGCAGGGCTGAATAGGCACTTCCTACCTGTGGGGTTCCACTGGCTTAACCATCCCCGGGAGGTTGCTGGTCTGGAACCATACTTCTCAGACAACTGTGGCAAAGAACTGGTTCTGTATTTTAAAATTTCTAATCTGTCACAGGCCAATGCGATTGCAAAACACTGCGGGAATGAATTATTAGAAAAATGCAATAAAAGGCCAGATGTGGTGGCTCATTGCCTGTAATCCCAGTACTTTGGGAGGCCAAGGCAGGTGGATCACTTGAGGTCAGGAGTTTGAGACTAGCCTGGCCAACATGGTGAAACCCTATCCCTACTAAAAGTACAAAAATTAGCCGGGCATGGTGGCACGAGCCTGTAATCCCAGCTACTTGGGAGGCTGAGGCAGGAGAATCGCTGGAACCTGGGAGGAGGAGGTTGCAGTGAACCCAGATCCTGCCACAGCACTCCAGCCTGGGCAACAGAGTGAGACTCAGTCAAAAAAAAAAGAAAAAAAGAAAGAAAGAAAGAAAGAAAAAAAGACAAAATGAAAGCCCTGTTTTAAACACTAGCACATCAAATGGACATAAAACTATTCTGTCTAATGGCTTAAAAATGTCAAAATGTAGCTAGGTGCAGTGGCTCACACCTGTAATCCCAGCACTTTGGGAGGCTGAGAAGGGTGGATCACCTGAAGTCAGGAGTTTGAAACCAGCCACCGCACCCGGCCCAACCTCACCAGACTCCCCTCACGCGGTTGCCTCTTGTGTGCCTCTGCCTTGGAATGCCCCTCCCCATTATGCCTTCTTCAAGGCTCAGAACAAACATCACCTCCTGCATAGAGCTTTCCAGAACCCGAGAAGTTAGCATGAATGTTTCTGTTGAGTCCCTTGACTCTCTGCCAGTGATGTGGCTGAGGCGTGAGCTGTGGATCAAAGTGCTTGGGTCACCACCTCTGCCCTACCACTGCTCTCTAGGACCTTGGGGAGTTGCTTAACTTCAATAAGCCTCAGTTCCCCCTGAAAAATAGGATGATAGCAATAGTTGTGGAGATTAAATATGAGCCATGGGTCGGGTGCCATGGCTCACGCCTATAATCCCAGCACTTTGGGAGGCCCAGGCAGGCAGATCACCTGAGGTTGGGAGTTCGAGACCAGCCTGACCAACATGGAGAAACCCCATCTCTACTAAAAATATAAAATTAGCTGGGCATGGTGGCGCATGCCTGTAATCCCAGCTACTTGGGAGGCTGAGGCAGGAGAATCGCTTGAACCCAGGAGGCGTAGGTTGTAGTGCGCTGAGATCACGCCATTGCACACCAGCCTGGGTGACAAGAGCAAAACTCTCACTCCAAAAAAAAAAAAAAAAAAAAAAAAAGTCTAAATGCTTATGCTCAATTTCTGCACTTACCAGGTCATAAACTGGCAACACAGTTTGCAGACAGGTGCCGGTCTGTAGATCATGCTTGGAGTAGCACTGGTCTGGAATGTTTGTGAAGCATGAGGCTAGGAAAGTGGCCTCTTTAAAATCCCATGAACATTGGGGGATATTGTATTAATTACTCCATTCATCTGTGCATTCATTCAACAAACATTTAATGAGGAGCAACTAGGTACCAGTCACTGTTGGACACTGAGGCTAATAAAGATAAATATAACAGGGTCCTGGCCCTCAAGATGTTCACAGGCTGGAATGGGAAGCAGCCACTTTGATAAATAATTAAGAGCTAGTGAAATTAGGTCAACAATAGACCAGGCACTGCGGGTGTGGAGGCAGGAATATTAATTCTGCCTGAGACCAATGGGGAAGACTCTACCAAGGAGGTGATGCTTGTGCTGGGGTTTGGAGGCAGAGGCAGGTGTTTAATCCCATGTGGCCAACCGGCATTTGATAGAGGAATTAAAATACGTAAAGTGCTTAGCGCAGTGCCTAGCACATAGTAAATGCTTCAAATGTTTGCTATTTTTATTATTCAATATTATGAATGATCGTCATTGTCATTGTTACTATTCACCTAGATCTGCCTGGCAGTGTGCTTAGTTTGGCATGGGGTTGTGGAGGTCACAATAGGTAATTCAGTTGGGGAAAGAGGTGATCTGGCTTTGAGCTCACCCCCTTTGTCAGAGGAAAGATTTTTCTGGAAGAGGTGGGTTGGGAGCTGGGTATTGAAGGAAGTGGGTATGGACATGTGAGAGAGGGAGACTTTCAAGGTGGGAGGGTCGCTTAGAGACAGAGCCCAAGGAACAAGTATAGGGCAGGGGAGGGGGCTGGTCTGATGGGAACAGGAGATGGGATGACGCTGGGGGGCTGCAGGGGAGGGGGCTGGTCGGCTGGGAACAGGAGATGGGATGAGGCTGGGGGGTTGCAGGGGAGGGGCTGTGGGTTTTCCAGGCCTTTGGATAAGGGGTGTGATGTTCTTCATTCTCTCACTTAGAACAACAGATAATAATAATAATTAAGATTTGTCTTGCAATTTGCACTATGTAGTTCCTTCACAAACATTTTCCCATTTAATTCTTTTAATAACTCCATGAAGGAGGTATTAACAGCCTCACTTTACCGATGAGAAGGCTGAGTTCAGAGGTCAGTACCTCTGAGCCCAAGGTCACACAGCTGGCTTCCGCACAGACAGGATCGGAACCTCACGTCCCCAACTCCCACTCCAGATATTTTCCAGTGTACCATGGAGAGGTGACCTGAGCCTAGCCCTCTGGTGAGCTGGGGTATCACCTATAGGAGGCTCCAGCTCCAGGAAAATGATGCTCTGGGGTTAGTGTTCCCTTTTTGCTTTCCCCAGTGGATGGGCTAAAGGGGGGAGTGGAGACAAGCCATGGGACAGAGGTTGGCAGTGACAACAGGTGAGGGCCACAGAGGGCTCCTCCTCCTCCCTCCAAGTCTGACTCTGTACCACTCAAGGGCAAGAGAACTTACCCTGGGCACAATTACCATATTTTGCATTTATTAAGTGTGGCCAAGAGGGCCATTGAAGTTTGTTGCTTTTTTTTTTTTTTTTTTAAGAACACTTTTTGGCTGGGTGTAGTGACTTATACCTGTAATCCCAGCACTTCGGGCGGCCAAGGCGGGCGGATCATGAGGTCAAGAGATTGAGACCATCCTGGCTAACATGGTGAAACCCCGTCTCTACTAAAAATACAAAAAATTAGCTGGGTGTGGTGGCGGGCGCCTGTAGTCCCAGCTACTTGGGAGGCTGAGGCAGGAGAATGGCGTGAACCCAGGAGGCGGAGGCTGCAGTGAGCTGAGATTGTGCCACTGCACTCCAGCCTGGGTGACAGAGCAAGACTCTGTCTCAAAAAACAAACAAACGAGAAAACAAAAACACACTTTTTAAAGGTGAGGTTTGAAATAAGAAGAGTTGGGCGAATGAGAAGGCGTCTTGGAAGTGAAAACACATCATAGATGTCAGCCAGAAGATCAGCGTGGACAGGACCTGCACACATCCACTTATCTTTACAGAGAAGTTGCGTCCCTCCAGCCCAGACCAGTGGCTCTCTCCAGGGGGGACGTTTCACAATATCCAAAGACATTTTGGGTTGTCATAGCTGAAGGAGTGCTACTGGCATTTGGTGGGTAGAGGCTGTGGTCCAGCTAAACATCCTGCAGTGCACAAGACAGCCCTCACAACACAGAATTATCTGGCCCAAAATACCCATGTGCTGAGGTTGAGGAATCCTGGCCTTGTCAACAGTGTGGCACCATGGACAGCAGAAATGCGGCTCCTCCGTGAGGTTGTGATCCAGACCCATCCTGTCTGAAGAGGCTAGGGTCCACCACTCTGCATTTCCTGAACTCCATCATTTCTGGAGCACTGGGGCCATGGGAAGGCACTGGGGTGATAGCCATGGTGGAGCATCAGCTGGTAGTCAGGCAAGCCAGGACTTGAGACTCTGGGCTTTCAGTGTGGATGTTCCTCACCCTGCCCTCCCCTCATCTCTACTATAGGTATAGGTTGTCCCTTTTTTCCCTCTTCATAAAATCCCACTTTAGAGCTAGAAAGGGCTTTGGTAGAAACCAGCTGCTCTAATAGATGAGGTACTATTTTTCCATTTTACAGATAGGTATATTGAAATCTAGAGGTTAAATACACAAGGTATGTGCTTAGCTGATTCCAAGTGCGTCAAGCTCCCAGAGGGCAGAGACTGCTTTCCAGTCGTCACTGCAGTCCCAGCCTCTGGCAAAGTCATATCTCAGCAGATGCCAAACGAAATGTTTTTGGTTAATGGTCATTTTTACCAGCGGCTTAGGCCCCAGGCTCCTGCCTCCAGGGCAGCGCACTCTCTGAGCACCATCCTCTTCTGAGTCCTGCTCACTATAGTGAGGCACCCCCCTTTTCTGGGGTTCAAGGCCACCCAGTCCTGGATGGGAACAGCCCCACACCCAACCCCGGTCAGGCAGCTACAGCCTCCTGGTGGGAAGACGCAGCGGCAGCCTCACCCAGCCCTTCACTCCTTCCCTCCTCTCCTTTTCCCTCTGGCCTTACAAAGGGGTCAGGGCAGGACAAATCTCCCCTCCAGGCTCTTGGGAGTGTCTTCACTGCCCCCGAGGAAGCCCATGCAAATGGCCACCCTGACCTTCAGTGGCCACTTCTAACTCCCAGAGCAAGACAAAGAGAGACCAAAGAGACATATCAACCAGCCACAATATGTTATGTGGACATTTGGACTCTGACTCTTTTAACAGATTTTAAAAAACAACCAAAAACCTATAAACAGACAATTGGAAATATGAACCCTGCTTAGATATTTGATGATTTCAGGAATGGTTGTTAATTTTTAAAGGTGTAATGATGACATTGTGGTTATATATTTAAAATGAGTCATTATCTTTTAGAGATACAGACTGAAATATTTATAGATGAAATGACATGATGTCCAGAATTTGCTGAATACTATGGGAAAGGAGGAAGCAGGTGAGGATATTGATGAAATAAGATTGGCTGTGAGTTGTTAATTGTGGAATCCAAGTGATGGGTACATGGGGAGTTTATAACATTTTGCCTATTTTTATATGCATTTAAAAATCTTACAGCCTGTGGGAGCTGCCTGGGACCACTCAGGGAGCACGCAGACCATGGTGTCCAAACCGTTTTCTGTGGAACCCAAGATTCCAAAAAGATGCCTTAGGACTGGTGCTGAAGGTTGGGTGCAGGGAGGGGGTGGTGAAGGGGAGCCCAGGGAGGGGGCTGTGGGGTGCACTTCTGTTTCAACCAGTTTTATATAGTGGGGTTCTATAGGAGATCTCAATTTGGGAGAAAGGTTCTGCTCAGAAGAGGAAGCAATTTTCCAAAGACCATGTGTGTGGGGGCAGCGCAGAGCCGAGCCCGGGCTCCCAGCTCTCAGCCTCCCTGGCTCTGTACCACATTGCCTTCCCAGGGCATGGCTGCTGCCCCAGGGCCCCTGCCAGACTCAGTGGACCTGAAGTCTAAGTCTGGTGAGCCACAGCAGGATGGGGCTGGGCCACCTGGGGCTCTGCCCTAGGTGGCTGAGGGCATCTGCCTCCCTTGGGCCACCCGTTGCTCAATTTTCACAGCCAGGCCTGTGGCTCAGAGCCAGCTTTGGCATTGCTGCCTGCCATCTGGCCCGGCCCCAGTGGCTCAGCTGGATGGGGGCCAGCACCTTCCAGGCATGCCTGAGCCAGGGAAGTGCTGACCAGGGATCAGCCCACTGGCTACACAGCAGCAGCTCATTCCAGAAGAGGAAGGCCTCATGCCCACCCCTTCCCGAGTCCCTCCTTCATGAGAGGACTGGTCTGAGCCTGGCTAGATGGTTCTGTTCCCCTGGGGTTGGGGCAAGGGGGTGATAATGGCTTAGGTTATGGTTCCCACCTGCAGACCAGCTGCAGGAGGAGCACAGAGGGCTCCTAAGTCATGTGGCGAGGAGGGGAGGGAAAGGAGGTGTTACCTGGGAGACGAGGATTCATCAGCTGCATACAGCCTGGTAGAACTCGTGAGGACAGGAGGGAGGATGGGCGTCAGTCCATGGTGAAGGAAGTAGGTGGCTATGCTGGGGATCTCCCATTCCCCTCCACATCCACCCTTCACCCTCCCCGTCTGCTCTGTGCTCAGGGCTGTCTAAGGTCTCCGTCACCTTCCCACTCTGGCTGGGCTCAGCCAATAGGAAGCCCAGGCTGGAGCAAGGAGGGTGAGGTTGGGTACTTATCCCTCCAACTCTCTCCCTGTGGGTTGGCCATGGGCTGGCTGTGTCCCTTGACTGAGGTCCTTGCGGCTCCCGTGGCAGCCTCTCTCCATGGCTCTTCTACCGGGTGTGGTAACCCCTCCCTCCCCTTTTTCTTTTGGACCTAACAATGGTCACAGCTGAGTTCCCACTGGCCTCAAGATGTTGCATGTCCCCTTGAGGTCTCCCCACCTTGTGCACATATTTGTAAATAGTCCCCGTAACAAGACCTTCTCAAATTATCCAGATACTAGTGGGCTTGGGCCATCGCTTCCCGCTAAGACCTTGGCGACTGCAGGCTGCTTGGGAGCTGAGTTTGCAAATGCTAGTGCATGATGAGGCTTTCCTTGCCTGTGATTCCAGCAAACTGGAGGGATGGGGAGGCCACCCCAGGGGGCCTGATGGGACAGTCCCAAGGCAAGGGGGTGAAGGTAGGATGGGAGTCACCCCAAATAAATTAGCAGAGATCCCCGTGGAGGAAATGCAGGTGGAGGACTTATTGATAGGGGTGTCACAGAGGAGACCTGGGAGTCTCCCCTCACGGGAAGGATGCTGTTATGGGGTGAAAGAGGCAGGAGGCAGAGAGGCTCAAGGAAGAAAAGCAGTGAAGGTGAAGCTCTGGCCATGCCTCTCCAGCTGTGCCAACTATACAGAGGGGGAGTGGTGTGGTGCAGACTCCAGAGGTGCGTCCATGCAGGCTGCAGAAGGAACATGTTCTCTGGAGTTTAACAGCACTGGGGGCCCTGAGCCTCTGGCTGCTGTATTCCTACGGTGACTCTCCCTGGCTGGAACAGAACCTCTGTCCACCCCTCCTTCCCAGCCTTGCTCCGGGTCCTCCTGCTGGGAGTCAGAGTGAATCCTGTGCACTCCCAAGCCCCCTGCTCTGGGGCTTTTCCTCAAGCTCTGCCTGGAGTACCCTTCCTTCCTTCTCTTCTGGATTGTCACACACTCCAGGCCCCCCACTCTCATGCATCAGCTCCCACCTTTTTTAGGGTTGTATCCCCAAATCTGCCTGCCAGACCTGACCCAGCCATCCCCTTGCTGTGTGGCCTTGGGCACATCATGTCTTCTGGATCTCGGTTTCCTGGTCTGTGAAATAGCAGTGGTGCTGAGAGGTAATTAGGGGACCTCTCCTGTCCCTTTCAGACTTGGATGAATCCACGGACCTAAGTCCTTTGTCCTACTAATAAAAGATGAAAGACGCATGCTTCTCTCATTCATCTTTGTGTTCTCCACAGCACCCTGTAGAGGGCCCCACCAGAAGGACTGGTGGATGGTAAATCTTTCTAGAGTGACCAGGGGCCATTCATTCCTTGGCCCTAATGTGTCCAGAGTTTTTTCCTTCCAGTGGGTTTGTGGTGCCGCTGACTTCAAGAATGAAGCTGTGGACCTTCGCGGTGAGTGTTACAGCTCTTAACGGTGGCACAGACCCAAAAATAGTGAGCAGCAGCAAGATTTATCATGAAGAGCGGAAGAGTGAAAGAAGGAAGCTTCCACAGCGTGGAAGGAGACCTGAGCTGGTTGCCACTACTGGCTGGTTGGGTGGGGGGGATGGGGGGCAGGGGGGAGGTGACCAGCTTTTATTCCCTTATTTGTCCCCACCCATGTCCTGCTGATTGGTCCATTTTACAGAATGCTGATTGGTCCATTTTACAAACCTCTAGCTAGCTACATAGCACTGATTGGTGCATTTTTACAGAGCACGGATTGGTGCATTTTACAAACCTCTAGCTAGCTACAGAGCACCGATTGGTGCATTTTTACAGAGCACTGATTGGTGCATTTTACAAACCTCTTATAAGACAGAAAAGTTCTCCAAGTCCTCACTAGAATTGGGAAGTCCAGCTGGCTTCACCTCTCACTAAGTTGATAAAAATATCCCCTGGGAACCTGACATCATTTCTTCCCATTTCCTGGCAAATCCAGCATGTTCTCATTTATAACCTGGTCTCCTGAGTAGGCTGCCCCTGAGAGGTACATCCAGGACTAGCAATAATAGTTATCCTTTAAACGAGAGACTGCCCCACAGTTACCTCTGGGGTGGGAGCCTGGAAGGAATAAAAGGTGTTCATTTTATTCCCTTTGGATTTTTTTTATACCACACGTTATTATTGTAATATGAAAGAGTCTTTTTAGAAAAAAAGTTATACACAAAGACTGATAATTTGGGTTGCTTCCAAAGAGGGGAACTGGGTAGCTAATGATTGAGGCAGGGTGAGGACCAGGGAGGAGACTCACTGGTCAACTTATGTCCTTTGGTACCTTTGGAATTTGTACCATGCACATTCATCATCTACCAAGAAAATAAATGTAGGCTGGGCGTGGTGGCTCATGCCTGTAGTCCCAGCACTTTGGGAAGCTGAGGCGGGCAGATCACTTGAACACAGGAGTTTCAGACCAGCCTGGGCAATATGGTAAGACTCTGTCTTAAAAAAAAAAAAAGTATCCAGTCATGGGGGTGCACATCTGTGGTCCCAGCTACTTGGGAGGCTGAGGTCAGAGGATTGCTTGAGCCTGAGAGATCAAGGCTGCAGTGAGCCAAGATCATGCCACTGCACTCCAGCCTGGGTGACGGAGTGAGACTCTGTCTCAAAATGGTAAATAAATAAAAATAAATAAATAAATGCAAATTTATGAACTCACCAGCTTGTGTATAGTCCTTCTATAGAGATGAAGCACTTTGACACATAATAGCTCACTTTATCCTCCTCATGCCCCTAGGTAAGTCCTATGATTAACCCTATTTTCAGATGAGGAAACTGAAGCTCATAGAAGATGAAAGGTTTGCCCAGAGTTTCCTAGTTGGTGTGATGTGGCATGGAGGCTCACACTCTGGATTTCTGATCCTGAAGCAGGCTGCTGATAAGGTTTAGCTTGTCAAATATATTTCCATTAAAAAAAAATGAATTGACATTTTGATGTACGACTCAGTCTTTGGAAGGTGTGTTTATTGTGAGTCGAGTTCCCATTAAAGGCGACTGAAACAACAGAGCTCCCCATGCTGCAAAGCTGAGGCCCAGACACGGGGCTGAGGAGGCCCCACCAAACCACATATATGAGAGGCCTCCTCAGCCACCCGTCCCATCTCAACTCCTCACCTGGACTCCAGACTCCTCAACTTCTTTGGAAATTTTGCCTTAAACCTCACCCCCTCTAGGAAGCCTTCACCAGTGCCTCCTGTGGGCCTCTCCCTTGCTCAAAGCAAGGTCTAAAGCCCGTTTTCTCTGCTACATTCTCAACAGTCTTGTTCACAGCTACACTCCTGCACACCTCACACTGGGCCCGGCACACAGCAGGAGCTTAATGGATACTCACCAAATGAATGAGTAAACCAATGGCCAGGACTCTGCTCCTGCCAGGCTACCCTGCTTGTCTCCTTTCTCTGTGATCTGTGCCAATCACACCCCTCATTGGGAAGCAGAGGGGCGGCCACAGGGGATGGCTTAGCACCCCCAGCCCCTGAGGAGTCCGTGCCTGCCAGCTCCATCCGAGGATGGGTGTGGGGAACCAGCTGCCCGTCTCATTAACAGATGAGTGTCCTGAGCTCTGATGGGTGGAAGGGGGGAGTGTCGCAGGAAGGAGGGGGCTGTAGAGGCCTCAAGTGGCTCCTTGGCCATCTCTGAGCAGCGCAGACTCTGATATTAAGCAGAGCTGTGTGGAAATTACTCATTTCTGCATCTCCGCCGCCCCTCATTTCTCTGTGCTCATCAGCACATTGCCTCGCCAACCTCCCCTGCCACTTCTCAGAGGAAGACAGGAGGAGCTGGGGGGAGACTGAGTTCCATCCTCTTTGGAGCTTGTTCAGATTTTCAATGAGCTGCAGACCCCCTCATATCCCGTCATATCCTGCCACCCGCTGTCACCATCACAGCCACCCTGACCACCTTCCTTCCCCAAAACGTCCCCTCCCTGCTGATCGATCTCCACCTCTCTTCCAGCCTCCCTTCCTCCCTGTCTCTGCCCCTCCCCCTCAGCTCAGCCGCAGGATTTCTGCTCCACTGTGAATTGCAGAATCCCTAAGCCCTGGGAAAGCCCAGCCCCACTAATGAGCTAAAGCTGACCTTGTCTCCAGGCCGCAGCAGCTGAATGTATTAACCCCTCACTCCAGCAGAGACCTCATTGACTTCCAAACCACTTTTGCATCATTGTGCAGTCAGTCCAATGGAGCCGTTTATTGGGCACCTACTATAGACAAGGCCCTTGGGGCAGGGTGGGGGGTGCTGGGGACAAGGTCCTTTCACTTGTGGAGCTGCAACCTTGCAGGAATAGCTATAGCATCAGCGGCTCTGTGACAGAGGAAAGGTCGCTGCTGTGAATCAAGGACACTGGACTGTGGTCCGAGTCTGGCCACCAACTGGCTGCATGACCTTGATCCAGTCCCTTCCTCCCTCTGGACCTTGGTACTTCTATCTGCAAATAAGGGGTCGAACTTGTTCAGTATTTTCCAAACTGCAGTTTGCAACCCATTACAGGATGGGGAGATAAATTTAGTGTCAGAACCAACATTCGAAGAAAGAAAAAAACTTTAAGCAACTGCATCAGAACACGGCACACAATAGAGGTAAGTATTACACAAAGAAACTTATTGGGCTGACACGGTGGCTCACACCTGCAACCCCAGAGCAGTTTGGAAGGTCGAGGTGGGCAGATCGCTTGAGCTCAGGAGTTCAAGACCAGCCTGGGTAATGTTGTGAAATCCCATCTCTGCAAAAATATAAAAATTAGCCAGTCATGATGGTGCATGCCTGTAGTCCGAGCTACTTGAGAGCTCAAGCAGGAGGATCGCTTGAGCTCAGGAGATTGAGGCTGCAGTGAGTTGAGATTGTGCCACTGCACTCCAGCCTGGGTGACAGAGTGAGGCCCTGTCTCAAAAACAAACAAACAAACAAACAAACAAACAAACAAAAAGAAACAAAAAAACTTCTTTTGGCTGCACATCTCTGTGTACATGTTTCCACAGGTACCTGCATGTATGTGTACGTGTGTCTATTTGTGTCTATGGTTGAGTGTGGACTATATGTATATGCACATGTGTTTTATGCACTTGTGTGTCTCTGTGTGTGTGTGTGTGTGTGCTGGGTCACAACAGAGTGGATTTCTTACGATGAGTCACAGTCAAAATATCTTGGGAAACGCTGTTGTACATGGTCCCTAAGATTCTTCTGGTTCCAAAACTACATCGTTTCAAATGCTGTTAGAAGAGGGACACTGAGGGGCTCATTCTAGCCACGGGATAGGGAAAACTTCATCAAAGAGTTGGTGGCACTTGTACTTTCTTTTTTTTCTTTTTTCTTTTTTTTTTTTTTGAGACGGAGTCTCGCTCTGTCGCCCAGGCTGGAGGGCAGTGGCGCCATCTCGGCTCACTGCAAGCTCCACCTACCGGGTTCACGCCATTCTCCTGCCTCAGCCTCCGGAGTAGCTGGGACTACAGGCACCCGCCACCACACCTGGCTAATTTTTTGTATTTTTAGTAGAAATGGGGTTTCACCGTGTTAGCCAGGATGGTCTCAATCTCCTGACCTTGCGATCCGCCTGCCTCGGCCTCCCAGAGTGCTGAGATTACAGGTGTGAGCCACTGCACCCGGTCCATTTGTACTTTAAAAGATGAGCAGGATTTCTACCAACATAGAAATGTAGGGGACAGAGGGGAGAGAGACAGAGGGGAGAAGGGGCAACAGCATTCCAGGTGGAGGCACCATTGTGAGCAAAGGCCGGGAGGTGGGACTGTGCTCCGTCTGTTTGGGGAACAGTGAGGAGTCCTAGGACCCCAGGACAGGGGATGACGTTCTGAGATTGGAAAGCTGGGCTGGGGCCACGTCTTGTGGCGGCCCATGGCTTCCACTTGGGGGATTTCCACAGGGATGGTGGGAAGCCAGGTAAGGCTTTTGATATCCCAACAGCCCCAGGAGGAACCCCAGACTCCATGCTTCCCCCTGTCTCCCAGGAAAGGACTTCTAGACTAAGGTATGACTGATTGACAAGACTTCATGAACCACCTGTTTCATAGGGGTGGTGGGTGATTTATTATTGGCAAGTGGTTCTAAGGCAGAGGGTCTGACATAGGGCTGGGCTGCTTCTCTGTACGTGCTGACCACTGCTCTGCGAGGGGGGTTGCACACCCACGTGTCAGCATTTCAGAGACTTTGACGCATGTGAGCATACTTGGGACAGAGTACTTGCCATTGTGAGGCTCACCATGCCTGAGGATCTAGACAGAAACAGATCAACTTATTGAATCCTTCGTTTGCAGATGAGGCAGCCGAAATCCAGAGATGTGACTGGCCCAAGGAGTCACAGTGGGCGAGAACTTATTCCTCAGGCCATTAGATTCCCTAATGCTGCACCTTCGGGCCCCTTTGTGCTGCTGCTGGACGGGTGGGGATGCGAGAGGGTGCTGAAGAGGTGGTATTGGGAGGCCTCAGGAGGTGGCTGCCTACTCAAAAAGCCTTACTTGCTTTAAAACAGCTCAGGCCGGCTCCCGTCCCCCACAGAAGACCCCCACTCCCTACCCTGCGGGCAATTCCTTGACAGTCACATTAGTGAAGGCTGGGTTAACCCTTGATGCTCTGCCCTCCAGCACCAGGGCAGGACCTGGACACCAGGGTCATTCCCTCCCTGGCACCTATGGAGACTGGATGCTGAGGAGGGAAAGGTGAAGCCACAGCCAACTATTTTTAGTTCAAGAATTGGTTGCCAGGAACACTGAGCCGACTCCCTGCTGTATATTAGGTATGCGACAGCAGCGGTGTTGTTTGCAGGGTCTAATTGTGGGGATTTATTGTAACATGCAACTTGTCAGCCACTGCTCTGCCTAGGGCCCAGTCTCCTTGTCATCGGAATCTGAGCTATTTCCCAACTCCCTGGGTGCAGGGGAAGGAAATGGGGCAGAGAAGGAGCAGGAGTGTGCCCAGGGACCCTGGACAGCTCACAGCTGACCTTGCACCAAGAGTCGCTCTGCCCAGGAGGGGGCAGAGAGGAGAAAAGTGATGAGACTGGGTTGGAAGCAAAGAGAGAGGGCCTGGGGCTGCCCATTGTTGGGCCCACAGGACTCAACCTTGACTTTCCTTGGGGCTTCAGATCTGGAAGAGGCTCAGTGGGAACAAGCTGAGAGCTTTTTCTCTTGTGCATGACAGTAGCATAGGAGGGCACCGGCCTGGGTAACAGCGGAGAGTTTTCAGTTAGATGGAAGGAGGACCTCCTTGACTTGAGGGTGGTCCTCCTTCCACCCTCAAGTCAAGGGTGGCAAGGAGGGGACAGTGTCTGGTCTCAGCAGTGGCAGTGGTCATCCTTCTGCCAAGGGAGGGGGAGAGATATGCAGACACCTAGCAAAGCCTACTATGTGCTGGGCACACTGTGCAGCACCCCGATGCAACCTTATTTAATCCTTTGCAAAGGGGGCCTCTGTCTCCATTGCGTAGATGAGGAAACTGAGGCTCGGGTAGATATTCACCTAAGGTCTCATAGCAGTAAGGAGGCTACAGCTGGGATTTTTACCCGAAAGTGTCCAACTTCAGAGCTCTGCTCACCAACCATTATTGACTAGGACCCCAGGAACTGGAAGGAGGGGTCATCTTTCCCCTTGTTCCTGCATGCCTGGAATTCTGGGACAAAAAGACATTCAGCCAGCCAGCCAACAAACGCGCCAGGTACTGCGCCAGGCCCCTGGAATATAGGTACCCACCCAGGAAGAGCTGATGTGAAAAGGTCATTTCTTCCAGCCTCCTGCCTCATCTCCTCCTCTCCAAAAACCGTGGTCTGCATTTCAAATCACTCGAGAAAGGAAGGGCTGCAACTGTCCTTCTTCCCTTAAATAGTCAGGACTATTTAAGAAGCTTCTGATGTCTCAGGTAGGGGATAGGGGAAGGACGGCTTGGACTCTCAGCATCTTGGGGGAAGGCTGGACTCAGGCCTACTTTAATTATTTAGAAACCCTGGAGTAATGATGCAGAACCACCTTATGGGAGTGGTAAATGAGAAAGAGAAGGTTGAAAGCTGCCAGCCATGGGTTCAACTTTCCCGAGACAAGCTAAAATTGGACTGATCATTATAGCAGGCACCCAGGTATATGATTATTCTTCATAATTTTTTTTAGTTGCATAGACTACATTTTAAATAGATAATGCAAACTTGCACATGATGCAAAAATCAAAAGGTGCATAGGAAATATCCTGAAAATCTCCCTCCCTTCCCCACTCCCAGCCACCTAATTCCTCTCTCCACAGGCTCCAAGGTTATCAGTTTCTTGGTAGATTTGCAGAGATCGTCGATCCAATAAGTAAGCAATTACGGCTATATATTCTTTTTGTTTTATACAAACGTGCTCTTCTATACCTTGCTTTTTTTCCCACTTAGCAATTTATCTTGGAGATTGTTCCAAATCAGTCCATAAAGAGTAGCCCCCTCCATTCCTTTTTAATGATTGCATAATATTCTGCCAGTTGAATGAACCCTGATCTGCCGAACTCATCCCCAGCGATGGGCATTTAGGTGTTTTCAATCTTTGGCTCTTAAAAGTAGTGCTGCCATAAATAACCTCATTCATAGATCATATGGCATATGAAAGGTTATATTTATGGCATAAATTCCCAGAAGTGGAGCTGCTGGCCCGTGAACACATACATTTATAATTTTGATACTTATTGCTGAATCTTTCTCCAAATAGATTGCACCAATTTATACTGTCTTGAGTTTCCCCAGAAGCAGGACCTGTGAAAAAGATTCAAGGGCAGGTTGTTTATTTGGGAGGTAATCCCAGGAGGTCCCAGTAGGGAGGTGGGGAAGGCGGGCAGGGGAGGGAGGAAAGCCTGATGACTGGACCTTAATCCCATTGAGGAGCTCAGGGAGGCATGTGGGACCCCCAGCTCAGAGTCATCCCAGTGGAGGGCACGAGGGTAGGGCACTGGTGACATCTGCCATCCCCTCCTCTAGAAACATAGGGATCCCTGTTGCCCCACACCTTCACATTGGGAAAATCTGATCATCCTTCCCCCCACACCCCTCCCTGGGCCCCATCTCACCCCAGTGCATGGACAGCCTGTGAAGGGGGCTGCCCACCCCACAGCCCCGCCCCAGGCTGGCACCGATCACTCTGCCCCTGCAGGGTCCCTCCTAGCTGCTAAGCCCTGGGGAAGGTAGAGAGGCACATCTAGGGTCACAAGACCCTAAACGCCCTAAAAGGAAACTACCTGTGGCACAACCTTTGTGCCCGTCACCACCCACCCTCCAGGCATCACACAAAACATGCCCCCTCCAGAATTGTTTAACCGATCGAACATAAGATTCCGCCCTTGTCCCCCAGAAGCCACACCCTGCATGTGAACTCCATGTAGAGACAAGGCCACACTCACTGGGGGCACAGACATAGATGCTAGGAACCAACCCAGGCTGGGGCGAAGGCTCTGCAGGTGGGCAGAAGCAGGTCTAGGGGTGGTGTTGGCCCTCGGGGCCCCAGGACCCTCTTCCAGCTCCCTACATCTGCTTTCCCCACCCTGTCCCCACCAGGTTGGTTCAGAGCTCCAGGCTCCCCCTCCCCAAGGCCCATGAGGAAGACTTGGGAGAAGTGGGTCCTTTAGGGGTCAGCCCTGGCCTCCTTGCTGACTAGGTTCTCTGTGGCCTCCTCTCATCTTCAAGATGCTATCCCTCCACCTACCTTATTTAACTGAGGGCTACTGTCCTCACTAGGGAACTAGCAGTCAGCTTATTTAACTGAGGGCTACTGCCCTCACTAGGGCACTAGCAGTCCGCTTATTGAACTGAGGGCTACTGTCCTCACTAGGGCACTAGCAGTCAGAGACACAGAAGAATAAGAGAAAGCACAATCCTCTATGCAACTAGGCTCAGGGCAGGACCCTAGTTAGGGCCTATTAGCCCTTAAAGCAAACCTGCAGCTGCCAGTAACATAAATGTGGTGTTAATGTAGGAACAGAAATGGCCACCCTGACATCTGCTTAACCAAGGTGAGGTATTAGCTACAGTTTATCCCTACCTGAGTCCTTTCTTTACTTGACTGTTAACAGAAATGCTGAGAGAAAACCCAGCAATTGTGGCAGCCAGCTCAGGGTCAGGGAGCTGGAACCTAGGCTGGCACACACCACTGCCAAGCTTCGCTGGTGAACCCTGGGGCCAGGCCTGGTGGCTGCCTAGGTCTTAGTTTACTTCTTTATAAAATAAAGATCTTGGACTAATTCAGCTGATAAATGTGTTTTGAGGACCTATTACATGCCAGATGCTAGGGAAACAGTTGAGCAGCACATAATTCCTGCCCTCAAAGAGTTTTCTGTCTGGCAGGGATGGGCACAACCAGCCAACTCCATGTGAAGGAAACAGAATAAAGTGGTGTATAAGGGTCATGGAGGCACAGATAAAGATACTAGTTAATTCTCCCTGGGGGAAAAGTAGGGAAACACCACTCAGTGCCAAGGGCATTTGAAGTGGGCTTCAAAGGGTGAGTAGGAGTTTTCAAGAGAGACCTCAATGACCCCTTCAATCTTCCAGTGTGAATATTCTATTCTCTAGTCCACAGCAACATTTTTAAACTGCACTGTACAAAACTTTAGTATCTTCAGGATGCAAAGTAAGTGCTCTTAATTAAAAAAAGAAAAAGTTACATGATGGTAGAGGTTTGGGAAGCAGTGAGTCAAAATCAAATAGGTGTCCTTGCTGCAGGACTCCTCAGAGCGGCTCTTACCTGGAAGCCCCATCTCCCCTCAAGGCAGAGCAGAGCTGGACAGGAAGAGGAGCCCAGACCAGGAGAACACAGACTACCTCCACCTTTTCTCCCTCCCTCCCTCTTCCCTCTTCCTTCCTTTCCTCCCTGTCTTCTTTCCCTCCATTTAGCCATATACCCATCCATCCATCCATCCATCCATCCATCCATCCATCCATCCATCCATCATCTGTTACTACAAAGGGCCTTGAGTCCCTCCTCTGTACCAGTCACTGTATAATTAACAAGATGTCTGTTGCTAATGAAAGATTCCTTCCGGCCAGGCGTGGTGGCTCACGCCTGTAATCCTAACACTTTGGGAGGCCAAGGTGGGAGGATCACTTGAGCCCAGGAGTTGGAGACCAGCCTGGGCAACATAGTGAGACCTTGTCTCTTAAAAGAAAAAAAAAAAAAAGATTTTTTCCTTTCCTTCCTGCCCCCATGATTTCTTTCTTTCTTCTCCGTTTATTCATTCCTTCTCCCCCTCACCTTCTCTAACTTTCTGGTCCCTGTCTCTCATTGGCATGCTCTGAGTGCTCATTACATCCAAATTCCAGCTCTGTCCCTCCTAAGGGGACTCGGCACAAGGACTTTCATGGGGAGCTTGATGCCCACTGCACTTGGTACACCAAGGAGAGCAGACAGGGGTAGGCTGCTCTGTTCTGAGGATAAGCCTTCTGGCAATTCAGTGCTCAGAAAGATGGAATGAAGGAGCAGGGACACAGGTGGACCCCGAGAAGGAAGTTAAACACCACCATGTGCTTACTATGTGCCGAGCACAGATTAGGCCTGCTGCGTATACCAGGTAATTTCCTTGGTCCCAAAATGCAGGGAAAAGAGTGTTATTGTCTAGATTATTACCTATGAGGAACCTGAGGCTCAGAGAGGTTATGCAATGGGTCCAAGGCCACACAGGAATGAATGGAGACCAGAGGCTATTGACCCCAAAGTGCCTGCTTCTTGGAGGAGTGACACTGATGTAGTGATGGAGGGAGGCGGCAATGGGCTGGCCTGCTGGGGAGGCCCTTGACCTGAGGCCAAAGACGAGTGAGTCTACAGGCGGCTGGTCTGGCTGGGTCTGGGGCTAGCCGCCAGGATGGAGCACAGAGCCGAGACGGGAGGTGGGAAGGGGCTGCTGAACAAAGCTGCTGGTAAGAGGAGCAGGGAGGCTGGCTTCCCAGAAGTGGCTCATCAGATGCCCACGGACAAAGGCTTCTGGCTAAGGGAGTGGAAGGAACACCTGGGAAAAGGCACCGAGACTGTGCATTGAAAGCTTATCTGCTTTATCTGCTGCAGGTTATGTTGTGTGTATTGATTTTCTCTTAATAAAATCCATTCCGATTTTTTTAAAAAAAGAATAATGACAATGGATGCCTGTGGAGACAGGAACCTGGGCAGAAATTGTTTAGTATTGGGCACAGCCCCTGGGAGGAAGGGGCGGCCCCTCCCCCCGGGGGGAGGAGGGCACTGTGGGTGGGTGAGCAGGCATGAAAAAGACACAGGGGCCAGAAAGGCAGAGCGGAGGTCTTCAGACTTCAGTCTCTGCCACTTCTTCGCTCCCATGAGCCCCCCTGAGTGGGAGCAGAGGCTTCTTCCCTCGGCCATGCCTCTGCTGGGACGTCTGCATGGACTCCAGGCTTCCCTTGGGTTACCCACCTTCCCCTGCCTGGTGCTGGGGCCTTTCCTTCACTGCCTGGCAGCTATTAGACCTGGGGAAGCCACATCACCTGTCTGATGCTTACCTTTCTTGCAAACCGGGATAACAACACTTTGTGGATGCCTTTGCCTACTCCATAGGAAGTTGTGATAACAGTTTAATTTAAAAAAAAAAGAAAAAAGCATTTTGCAGAATCTAAGTCTCCCCCAGGGGCAAGGGAGGAGGATGAAAGGCCGTTGATACCCACCACTTTGCAGAACAGCCCTTCTCCCCAGTCAGATGCCCCCTCACTCACACGTGCCTCCTCCCTCTCCTTCGCACTGGTCCTCATCCTACCCACGTTCTGTTCTGGAAACAGGGGTGGAATTGGCAAGGTGGGACAGTGCCCTAGAGGGGCTGGCTAGTTTCTCTCTGGCCACCTGTCTGTAAATCAAGTAGCTACCACCACAGAGCCTGAGCCAGGGGAGAGTCGATTCTTCAGGAACAGGTAACTGAACTGTGACAATTTACCCATTGCTATTCTTAAACAGATTTTTTTTTCTCATAAAGCAGAGACTTGTTAAAATAATGATACAAACACTTATCTAACTCCTCTCTTTTGCCCATTAAATTTAAGACAAGATCTCATTGGAAGTGATATTTAATGTAACCCAGATCTCTGAGTACAGATGGGGACCTTCCATCCAATAAAAACTGTTATAAATCTCTGCTTAACTCAATTCTGGCTTTTCCCTCAGCCTCTCTGGAAATCCTTTAGTTGTCAAAATTCATGGTTCTGGACCTATCCATAAACATTTGCAAACCATTTGCAATTTTTCTTTTTTAAAGGCCTTTTTGCAGACCTCTCCCCTGCCATGCCGACGGAGCCATTGACTTCTAACGATCTAGGCAGGACCTCACCTGCCTCCTCTGCACCTTGCTGATTCTTTCTTCCCAGGAAGAATTTGGCCTTTAAAAAAAAAAATTAAATAATCATGTATCTGAAAGATCCATCATCCCAGGTATAGTCTCCTTTTAATCAAGAACACTCTCAGGTCCGTGTGATGGCTTCCTGTAAACAAGGCCCAAACCGCTTGTGCAGGGATGGACTGTTCTGCTTTGCCAGGTCTCTCGCACCACACTTTTTCTTTTTGAGACAGAGTCTCGCTCTGTCACCGAGGCTGAAGTGCAGTGGTGTAATCTCGGCTCACTGCAACGTCCGCCTCCTGGGTTCAAGTGATTCTCCTGCCTCAGCCTCCTGAGTAGGTGGGACTACAAGTGCATGCTACCATGCCTGGCTAATTTTTGTATTTTTAGTAGAGATGGGGTTTTGCCATGTTGTCCAGGCTGGTCTCGAACTCCCGGCCTCAGGTGATCCACCCGCCTTGGCCTCCCAAAGTGCTGAGATTATAGGCGTGAGCCACCACCGGCCCAGCCTCACCAGACTACCCTCACGCCGTTGCCTCTTGTGTGCCTCTGCCCTGGAATGCCCCTCCCCATCATGCCTTCTTCAAGGCTCAGAAAAACATCACTTCCTGCACAGAGCTTTCCAGAACTCGACAACTTAGCATGAATTTCCTGTTGCGTCCCTTGACACTCTGCCAGTGATGTGGCTGAGGCATGAGCTGGTGCGGTGGCTCACACTTGTAATCCCAGCACTTTGGGAGGCCCAGGCAGATGGATCACCTGAGGTCTGGAGTTCGAGACCAGCCTGACCAACATGGGGAAACCCCATCTCTACTAAAAATACAAAATTAGCTGGGTGTGGTGGCACATGCCTGAAATCCCAGCTACTTGGGAGGCTGAGGCAGGAGAATTGCTTGAATCCAGGAGACGGAGGTTGTAGTGAGCCAAGATTGCGCCATTGCACTCCAGCCTGGGCAACAAGAGTGAAACTCCGTCACAAAAAAATAAAAATAAAGGCTGGGCACAGTGGCTCACACCTGTAATCCCAGCACTTTGGGAGGCTGAGGTGGGCAGATCACGAGGTCAGGAGATCGAGACCATCTGGCTAACATGGTGAAGTCCCGTCTCTACTAAAAATATAAAGAAAATTAGCTGGGTGTGGTAGCGGGCTCCTGTAGTCCCAGCTACTCGCGAGGCTGAGGCAGGAGAACTGCTTGAACCTTGGAGGCGGAGCTTGCAGTGAGCAGAGATCGCGCCACTGTACTCCAGCCTGGGTGACAGAGTGAGACTCCATCTCAAAAAATAACATAACGTAACGTAACGTAACGTAACGTAACGTAACGTAACGTAACGTAACGTAACGTAACGTAACATAAAAATAAATATGAGCCATGTAATCAGCCTGGTGGATGCCAAGGGCTGCCCATATGTCAGCTAATTGCAATGGCCCTGGCTATAGATATTTGTTTACCTGTGTTTCTCCCACTAGACCCTGAGCCCCTCAAAGACATGGGCCATGCCTCATTCATCTTGCAGCACAGCATCCATCAGGACAGCTCAGGGCCAACCTTAGCCATACAGCCTTCTTTGAATGTTCCAACCCTCCTGGTCCTTTCTGTTTCTCGAAACCCCAGTAGCATTCATTCTACCACTCTGTATTCATTAGGATTATGTTTAGGTACACATAATAGAAAATCAAAATAGTGTGGCTTGAAGGAGATCACAGTTTGTTTCTCTTTCATGCGTCCCAGCAGGTAATTAAGAGATAATAGGGTGTGTCAACTTTAGGATCTCACATGTTATTGCTCTGCCAAGTGTGACTCCAACTTCATGATCCAAAATGGCAGCACCCATGCTCCTGGCAGCCAATGGAGGAATAGACAGACACTGTCGCTTAAGGAAGGTTCTGGAGGCTTTCACAGGACCTTACCACTTATAGCCATTGGTCAGAACTTAGCCATATGGCCATACCTACCTGCAAAGGATGTTGGGAAATGTAGTGTCTAATCTGGGCAGCCATGTACTCAGCTAAAAGGGGAAAGCTGGGTACAGTGGCTCATGCCTGCAATCCCAGCTACTTCGGGGCTGAGGCAGGAGGATTGCTTGAGGCCAGGAGTTTGAGATCAGCCTGGGTAACATAGCAATCTCTAAAAATAAGTAAATAAAAAGGGGGGAGAATGAATACTGGGGAACTACCAATGTCTACCATCCCCACACAATTTAACACTTAGTTTTCCTCTTCCTTTTTAAACAATTTTTAAAAATTTATTAGGATAACACACAATTCACCATCTTAACCATTTTCAAGCGTATAGTTCAGTAGCATCAAGTACATTCGCATTGTTGTGCAACCACCTCCAGAACGCTTTGTATTTTTTTGAAATAGGGTCTTACTCCACTGCCCAGGCTGCAGCCTTGACCTCCTAGGCTCAAGCAATCCCTCCACCTCAGCCTCCCAAGTAGCTGGGACTATAGGCACAAGCCACCACCCCCAACCAATTTTTGTTGTTTTTGTTTGTTTGTTTTTTGAGACAGAGTCTTGCTCTGTCACCCAGGCTGGAGTGCAGTGGCGTGGTCTTGGCTCACCGTAACCTCCTCCTCCTGGGTTCAAGCGATTCTCCTGCCTCAGCCTCCCTAGTAGCTGGGATTACAGGCGGGTGCCACCACACCCAGCTATTTTTTTGTATTTTTAGTAGAGACGGGGTTTCACCGTGTTAGCCAGGATGGAAATCTTACTTTCCAAACAGTTCCCCTGCTGATTCCACTGTAGTCAGCCCGACACCGGGAACCACTAGAATACGGAGGAAGGAGTCTGTGGACCTGAACAGCCCTAGCTCTAACGTCAATTCCAGCACTTGTTTGCTGTGAAACCTTGGCCAAGTTACTTAACCTCTCCGAGCCTCATACCAATACCTGCCTTATAATGTGGTAGTGAGAATTACATAAAATGATGCATAGAAACTTTTTAGCACAGTGTCTGGCATGCCCAGACCCTAATAAATAGGGAGCTGATGTTGCAGTTATTATATCAATAATAATTATTATTACACCAACATTAATATCAGTAATTACATCAATAATTATTACATCAAAAATATCAATAATTATTACATCAATAATTATCATATCAATAATTTATGTAAATATTATATATAGATATTATAATTGTATATATTATTATAGCAATAATAATAATTATTATTATTACTCAAACGCCTGGAACAGCCCACTCTGAGGACTGTAGTTCTGATGGTCCTGGTGCTGCTATCAGGCAAGGCCCTTAGAGTGTCTCAAGTTGAAAGCCAGCTAGATAAAAGACAGCAATGAGGCTATTTGCTAGATGCTGGGCTCAGTGATAGTTAAAGGTCCAGGGAGACCAGGGAGATGAAAGAAAGGGACTCGCCGTGTTAGTGCCATTACCCCACCGCAGCAACATCTGCCACAAGCGCTTACCCTGAGTACTCCAGCCACCGCCAACCAGTAGCTGTCTGCAGCAGCAGCAGAGGTTGACAGAAACTTCAGCGCAGGGAAGTCGTATGGAGGAGTCCCTCTGGGCTGGAGCAGGGTCCAGCTGGCACTGCCCCAGAGCCCTGCTCCTGGCTGGGAGGGAGAGGAAGTCAGTCCCTGGAGCAATGTCCAAAGTGATGGCAAGAAGGAAAGCCATGCTGGGCCTAAGAGATATTCCACGCAGTCTTAGGTCTCAGCGCCAATGTTGCCTCCTCTGGGCTGAGTTCCGGGCTTCCCTGCACATTCCACTTCCACGGCAGCACTGGCCTTTCTGCTCTGATAGTTCCCTGGTCTGCCATCACCACTGGAGGACAGTGACTTAACCAACCTCCGCTAGCACCGCTTCACGCTCGATCTTATACACCTGCTTCACTGGCCTCCTTTCCATTCCTCAAACCTACGGAGCTGTTCCCGGCCCTGGGGCCTTTGCACTTGCTGTGCTCTCTCCTGGTTCCTAGCTCTTTCTCTTTACTCTTCAGGTCCTAGAGAGCCCTCCCTGCATTGCCCCTGTCCAAAGGAAGCTGCCCAACTGCTCTTCATCACAGCACCCTGTGTATTTCCTTCATAGCACCTTCACAATCCAGAACCATCTTGCTTATTTATCTATTTACCTGCTTATTGTCTGTCTCCCATGGAGAGGAACGTGTGAGCTCTATGGAGGTAGGAATATCTGTCCTGTTCATCTCAGTGCCTGGTGTGGAGCAGGAGCTCGATGCCTCCTATTGAACAATTTGATTTTCTAGTCATCTCAGTCCTTGGCCTGGCACGGTGCCAGGAACCTAAGAGCTGCCTAAGAAATGTTTATTAAATGAAGAAATGATACCAACAGCCATTCCTGCATTGGATCACTACCAGGAATCTTCTCTTTCTTTTCTTTTTTTTTTTTTTTTTGAGACTGAGTCTTGCTCTGTTGCCCAGGCTGGAGTACAGTGGCACAATCTCGGCTCACTGCAAGCTCCACCTCCTGGGTTCACGCCATTCACCTGCCTCAGCCTCCCAAGTAGCTGGGACTACAGGCACCTGCCACCACGCCTGGCTAATTTTTTGTATTTTTAGTAGAGACAGGTTTTACCGTTTTAGCCAGGATGGTCTCGATCTCCTGACCTCGTGATCTGCCCGCCTTGGCCTCCCAAAGTGCTGGGATTACAGGTGTGAGCCACTGCACCTGGCCCAGGAATCTTCTTAGAGTGATCCTAGAGCTAGAAATCCATCTGTTCAACAATATGTATGGAACTACTCTATGCCTGGCCCTGAGCTAGGCTCAGAGGATGCAGCAGATATCAGGACTGAAACAGAGTCCATTCATGGTCTACATTACAGAGGCGAGGAGGTCAGGTGGAGAGAGGGATTTTTGGGGAGGTGAGTGTAGACACTCTCAACACCTTCATTTCCTCCCATCCTTTCCCTGAATTCAGAGATGCTCTCCATGCCATCATCCTCCCGGGTTGTGTTTGTGGGTTTGCTGGCAGGGGGTTGAATGTTGGACGAGAAGTCGGAGGAAATTGCTCTTCGCTGGCAGATCAAAGCCGTGAAGCTCAGAAACAAAGCCTCTCCCCTCTCCCCATCCCTGTCCCTCTGCTTCCACCCACCGACAGCCAAGACAGCCTGCAATCAGGCACCTTCATTATGAAGACTGATGTTACCAGACAGGGATCTGAGCAAGGTTTTGCTGTGTCTGATTTTGATGGTAGTAATTTAGAGCTCTTGGTAACTAGATCAACACAGCTCCGTTACTCCCCACCAATCACCAGGTTTGTGGCAAAAGGTTTCTGAGAGGGCCTGGAATTCATTGGTCCTGGGGACCTGGGATTGCCAGCTGAATGAGATGGCCAGAGCCCAGGAGTGGGCTCCCCAGCCAGTATGGGCACACGGAGAAGCAGACCCAGAAATGAGGCCAGGTCCAGGGTGGCAGGCAGGCTGGGGAGGCAGTGCGGGACAAGTCCACAAGTGGTGAATGCTTATTGGTATAAGAAGGCAGGGAGCCTGGGAACTGCCCAAACACGGATGCTGGCCATGGAGATGGAGAGGAACCAGAAAGAGCTTCCAGAGACCCTCCGGCCCTGGAGGGTGGGGGACTCTAAGACACAGCCTCCAAAATACGAATTTCAGAGTCTGCTGATTGGCCTGATCCCCCAAATCTCTGAGACATAACCAATCCCACAAACACCCACTTGAGCCAACTCAAATCTGCTCTCAAATTGGGGTTCTGGGAAGGAGGCACGAGGGAGCTTTTCCTCTAAATTCCAGGGCCACCCCATTCCTGTCAGTCGGGACCTCAGCCGTGGGAGTTAGTGATGCCCATGGTCCTGGGGTCCTCTTCGGTTCCCTTCTTGACCCCAAGCAGCCCCTGGAGTCTGGGAGGGGGCCTCTCTCTCTGCCTGGAAAATCAGCCCCAGGCCCTGAAGTGCCAGAGCTAGGAGGGGCCTTGAGCTCTGTGGTCCAACTCCCTCATTAACAGAGAGAAACTGAGGCCTGGAGAAGCCAGAGACCTGCCCAGGGGTGGGTGCTGGAATCTAATCTCATCCCATGGTTCTTTCTATTTGACACGCTGCCCAGCATGGAGGAGGCGCTCTGTATATACAGGTTGAAAAACTGTATGACCCAATGGATGAATGGATACATGGCTGGGTGGCTGGGCAGATGGTGGATGGATAGGCTGCCTCCTATCTTTAGAAGAGGAGCAAGTACCTCCTCCTGATTTCCTGTGGTGTGGTTAGCTCTGCAGACCATACCTTGGAAATTTATGAATAAACAAAATGATTAGATGCCACCCAGAAGTGTATAACACACTACACAGTGGCGACCAAATTGGCTTTAGGAACAGGAAACTCTGCCAGACCAATTTAATTTTCTCTCCCGTGATAGAATGATGGACCTCATCAGTAAGGGATGGGAAGGCAGCTGTCATCGATCTTGATTTCAGGGCGGCTGTGGGTTCTGTCCTACATGACATTCTCATCAACTTGCCAAGGAAACACTGTCTGTTCCAGCCTCCCCTGGGGATGAATGACTGGCCCCAAGGCTTTATGCCCGAGGCCCTGTCCCCATGTCAACTCCCCATGGGCACCCGGCTCCCATTCAGATGCTGCCTGTGCACACCTGGTCCAGCAAGGGCTGGCCCGAGTGTGCTCACACGCAGAGAACAGGATAATGTCTGGATGCAGATGTGTACACATGAGCATGTGGATAGAGACAGGCGTGCACATGACACACAAATACACACATGTATTTGCAAACATGTGTGTGTTATACCAAGGTCAGCACCCAGGTATCAGCCATACATGAGCCCAAGGCAGCTGCGATTGAGCCTGAGGAAGTGGCGGAGGTGGGAAAGGGTTAGCCAGGGACAGCACAGGGCTGAATTGTTGATCGAGTGCAGATCCACGCTCTAAAGAAGTGCTGTCCGATAGAAACAGAACTCCAGCCGTGTATATAATTTTAAATTTTCCAGTAGCCACATTGAAAAGTAAACAGAAAACAGATGAAATCAATTTTAAGATATATTTTTGCTCATTGTATTAGCTCAATAGATCCTAAATATGATCGTTTCAACATGTAATCAATAAAAATTATTAATGAGAATGTTATTCTTTTTTTTACTTTCTTTTATACATATGGCAACTATGGGGGCGCTAATTCACACACAAGGATTTCACTGGATAAGCTAGATCTGCAGTTAGATTTTGTTAAATTTACAGTCGAAAAGGTAGGTTCACATACCCAAGTTGTTCCAAACATATTTAAAAGGGTTTTTGTTGTTGTTGTTTGAGACAGGTTCTTGCTCTATCACCCAGGCTAGAGTGCAGTGGCAAAATCATGGCTCACTGCAGACTCAAACTCCTGGTCTCAAGCGATCCTCCCACCTCAGCCTCCCAAGTAGCTGGGACTACATGCGTGCACCACCATGCCTGGCTCATTTTTTTATTTTTTGTAGGAATGAGATCATGCTATGTTGTCCAGGCTGGTCTCAAACTCCTGGCCTCAAGCAATCCTCCCACCTTTTAGGCTACCACACCCAGCCTAAAAGTTTTTCAATAACCGAATTGATTATCAGTTTTAAAATCTAGGTTAATGCAAATCAAATTAAAAGTGTAGTTCCCCAGTGGCACCAGCCCCCTTCCCAGTGTCCCCAGCCACAGGCGGCAGCTGGCTCCCACAGTGGGCAGCGGGTCGGCAGCCTTGAGGGGAAGGGGGGAAGAGAAAGGGTCAAATGGGTGTGGGGGTGGTAGGAGGCTGGGCTTAGGGGAGGTGGGGGCGGGCGATGGGTGGAGTGGAAGGGGAAGGAGGGGAATGAGGGCCCTGCAGAGCTGGAAGCTGCAGGGTTTCCCTATGGCTGCTCCAGGAGCAAAAGGGGGTGGCAAAGAGGCAGAGAGGATGCTGAGGCTGGATGAGCTATTGTTAGCCTCCTGTGGGTATCTCCAGCCCCCAGGACACAGCCCAAAGCCCCTTACCTCTCCGGGAGGAATCCTAGGGCTGCCTATGAGCTTGGCCAGGCTCTGCCCACCTCCTTCGCCACAACTCTTCCCACCTCAGTCCCTACCCACAGGTCCCCCTATCTCCACCTGCCATGTGGGCAAGGTATTGCTGCTCCAGCTCCACTAGAGGGTTGGCTGCCCACACCTGGACGGGCCCTGGTGACTTCAGCACCCTTGGCAGAAATAGGGAATGACAGGGAATTGCCTTGGGGGTGGGTTTAGAGCAGGTTCTGGTTTGAGATGTGCTGGATTTGGGGGGCCTGTGGGAGGTTCTGAGGAGAGTCCAGCAGGTGGCTGGAAACGCTGGACCTGAGTTCTGGAAGACAGGCACGAGGGAGCTCTTCCATGGAGGAAGGCACACAGCCACGAGCACACACGGCTCACTCCTTCCCCCATCCATGCGCACACGGCTCACTCCCTCCCCCATCCATGCGCACACGGCTCACTCCCTCCCCCATCCATGCGCACACGGCTCACTCCTTCCCCCATCCATGCGCACACGGCTCACTCCTTCCCCCATCCATGCGCACACGGCTCACTCCTTCCCCTGTGCAGCCACTTCCTTGCCCCGGCCAGTCTCCCCACACCTGCCCCAGAGGTGGTTACCCAGAATCTTTGTCCCGTCCCGGGGTTCCCCTAGTTCCCCCCCAACCTCAGCAGCAAATCTGCTCTCAAATTGGGGTTCAAAGGGGAAGTGCCCAGGCATTGGGATTGGTCCCAGGGATGGAAGTGCCCAGGCATTGGGATTGGTCCCAGGGATGGGAGTGTCAGCACTTAGGGAGGCCATGGTGGAGGAGTCTGGGGCCAGAGAGGGCAGGTGTGGTCTCAAGGAGAAAGGGTTGGGTCAACAGAGTCCCTGGCCCTGGCATATGTCCCCTCACCCAGTTCTGGTTATCTGTGGATGTATGTATGGCACACATAACCCCAATCTCAGTGCCTTAAAACAATACTTTGCTTTTATCATGTCTCACGATTCTGTGGATCAGGAACCTGGACAGGGCACAGAGGGAATGGCTCCTCTCTGCCCCTGGATGTTTATGGCTGAAGCTCGGATGGCTCAAATGGCTGGGAACAGGAATGGGGGGCCAGACAGGTCTCCACCCTCTTCCCCCTACAGTCTCTCCTCGTGGCCACCTTGGGCTTCCTCACTGCATGGAGGTCTCTGGGTGCCAAGAGTCTCTAGAGTTCCAGGCAGAAGCTGCAAGGTTCTTAGGACGTTGCCTTAGAAATCCTGAACATCACTTCCGCCACATTTTATAGGTTGCGCAAATCACTAGGGAGAAGCCCTGATTCAAGCAGAGGGGAGGCACAGATTCCACCCCTCAACGGGAGGAGTGACAAGTGACACTGAAAAGGAGAGAATGGAAGGCAGCCATGCTGGGATCATGCCACCCCCCGCCAGCTGCCACTCACCTGAGGGCAGCAGCTGTGTGTTTTACCCCCTCTCCCATGTTAGTCAACCTGACAACCTTCCTGTCACTGTCACTGCCTTCTGCATGGAGGCCGCAGCCTCAGTAACATGTCAGAATGCTTGTCTCACCTACTTAGCTGGAAATGTAAACCCTTCAAGGTCGAGACGGTCTCTTTTACGCCTTGCTGTCCTGGCTTTGACATTTTGGGTGTTTTGTTTCCTGAATCAGCGCTCCTCGACTGGACTCATTGGTCTTCTGCACCAGATACCCCCAGCTCCTCAACACATCCTTATTGAGTATCCTGGTCCCTGGCCCTCTGGAGTGGAAAGAGGTCCTAGCACCTCACCACCAGAGCCCAGGTGCTGGCCCAGATGGAGGTGGAGGATGGAGAGGAGCATACCCCAGGGGCTGTGGCCATGGCAGGCCTTGGAGCCCTCGGTGCTGGCAGCCACCTGGATTTATGCCTCTCTTGGGGATATGTGCCCTATGTGTCTACCTGGCCCCCACCGCTGCATTTCAGTGTTGTTGTCCTGGCCTTACAATGCAAACTGTGTTAGAGGATTACACTGTTTCTGGGAGAAAATTTAAAAGAAAAGATAAACAGCAAAAAACAGGGAGGGGACTCATAGTACCTTTAAATAAACTACTTTGTCAAAATATTTCTAAATAATGACGACTAGGATAAATCTACATTCAAGTCCTTGCACAGAAATCCAGGCAGCGGTGTGCTGAGAAGGCGAGGCATCCCAATGTGTTCTTGCCCCCGGCGGAATGCCACAGAACAATGAGGCTGGGCGGTGCAGAGCACAAACTGTTGATGGAAAAGACGATTTCTGCTCAGGAGGGCAGGGGCTTGCCTCTATCTGGGTCCTTTTCATTGCTCTACAAAGAATCCTTTCTTCCTCCCAGGCCGCACTAAGTAATAACAACTGGGGACTTTTCTCACGCCAACTTCTGAGCCGCTTCAAGTGTCATCTGGTTACCCATAAAATTCATACCTGGAATAGTGTCTTTGACCTTGGGCAAGTGTGCGTGTTGCCTGGCTCTTTCGCGGGATTCTGGGAGAGATCTCTCGGAGAGATGATGCTGAAATGTTGGCGGGTCGTGTGTATACTGTGGATTTTGTAGAGTACATAGTTTTTCCTTTTGGCCGCTGTTAGATTGGGGAAACCATGTGTTTCTCAGAAGGAGGAGCACAGGCCCTCTCCCTCCGCATTCCCGGGCACGCTGGCCCGGCTTCTCCAGCGTTTCCCTGCACTACAGGGAGCACCGTGTCCTGTGGGTGCTGCTGTACCTGGGTCTCCACCCACCAGTCTTCCGTCCCTGCAGGTCTTGGGTCCCTGGAATAATTTGCCTTGTCCCCCTCTGGGTTTCTGTGTTCATCTGAGCATGCTTTGCTGCCCTAGCTTTGATAATTTGAGGACTTTGCCTCCAGAATAGGTGCTCTTCACCTGGTACCGGTGGCCTTTGGCCACCCAGCCCCTGAGTGTCACTGTGTCTTACTGAGTGGGACAGTGGCAAGGGCCCAGCCGGCTTGGGAATGGGGGCTGGATCTGAATTCAGTCTCCACCACTCACTGGCTATGGGATCCAGGCAGGGTATTCAAGAAGCCTGGGCTTCTGTCTGCTCATCTCTAAAAAGGGGCTCATAAAATCCTCCTTACAGGGTTGGTGTGAGGATGATGATGCTTGCATGCCAATGGTCTGGCCCTCTGAAAGTGTCCAATAAATGACAGCTCTTGTTCCTCCCCTCGCCTTTACTGCTGAAGGCAGCAGTGGGCAGTCACTCCACACACCCTAACTATTAACTGTCTGGCCCAGGCCTCTGGAAACAAGCGCAACCCAAAGAGGCTAATTGAGAGGGGTGAGGGAGAAGTGATCTAGCCATCATGGAACCCCTATGTCTGGGTATTTTGCTGGGAGCTCCAGTTATCTCATTTAATCCTCAAAGATCCCTAAGAGAGAGGCACTACTACTATGATCATTTCAAAAAAAGAGGGACTTGGGGCTCACGGCAGAAGGTAGGTGTAGACGTAGACGGCTGTAGAGCTGGGATCCAAACCCAAGACTGGAACTGGGACCAAGGTGAAGGTTGGGTTTCAAAGAACTAAGAAGATAACAGGTGACTGGATACAGAATCTACCAACCCCCAGAAATACCCTCCATCTGGAAACAGGATTGAGGTAGGCGGATCCTACAGATGTAAGCAGATTGGCCCCCACTGTAGGGTGGGGCAGGGAGGCAGGCAGGCCTCTGGAGGCCTGTGGGGTCTATGGCACTGTGGCTGGCACAAATTCTACACATAAGGACTTGTTTACCCACCTGCTCTCTCTGCACAGTCTCTCAGAGCAGGGGCATCTGTGCCAGGAGGCAGGAGCAGCAGGCAGTATGGGGCCAATGGAGAGAGGTCCTTCAGCCTCTGGGACAGCACACCATGGCCTGTTCAGTCCTTGCCTGCTACCTGCTTCCCAGTTCCCTGTCCTTCTCCCTTCCATCCTGCAGATATCTCCCCAGCCTCTCTTCTCTCACCAACTCTCTGTACTTCTGACATTATTCCCTCCTTCCTCCCACTGGGATCTGAGGCCCAGAGAAGTGCCTCACTGGTCCGGGCACACAGCGAGTCTACTGCCTGGACCTGCTTTCGGACATGCTGAGATTCCGTCCCCTGCCCCGTGTCCTAGCGGGGCTGCTGCCTCATCCTCCCCCAGAGGCGAGATGGCACAGCCCCTTCAATGACAATGTCTCTCCTCCCATTACCGGGAACAGCCTCACTGACTGGCTGTCATAGAACTTTTGCAGCCTCAGGGGAACATGAGCTATCTCCCATCTCCCCAAGCTGTGAAACTGAAATACAGAAATAAAAGCCTTTCCTCAGGGGCCCTTCATCTCTTGGCAAATCGTGGTTAAGGAGCCCTCTTCCCTTGTCACAACTGCCCGGCTCAGGTTTAAAGCTGAGGGCACAGCAGACAAAGAGGGTAGGACGGGCACAGACCAAGCCACCATGGTGCCTGCTGAGTCCTGCAGTTCCGGCCTGACCCATGATAGGGGTAGGGAGGCAGACAGGCCTTTAGAGGCCTGCGGGGTCTACGACACTGTGGTTGGCACAAGTTCTATACATTAAGACTCGTTAACCCACCTGCCAGCTCAGCATAGGGCTCCTGGGCTAGGGGCACCCATGCTAAGAGACTGGATTGAGAGATGGTGGCAGAGAGAACGAAACGTAACAGAGGAATAAACACTGGGCTTTAACATCAGGTGATACTCTCCCCGTCAATTATCCCGGTGGAGCTAGGGGATGGAGAGGACAGCTGCTGCAGCCTCGGCTCCCTTAGAGAGCAGACCCCAAGCCCTGGCTGTCCCACCCCACCGTCCCATGACTGGGCCAGCTGCTCTCAGGAGTCCCCTGGGAGTTCCCAAGCGAGCACCCAGGCCTCTTGCTTTGAGATTAGGCATTCCACTGTTTGCATTTGCTCTTAAGAAGGAAGTCACATCCAGAGACCTGTCTCTGGTGCTGAGTAACTCCCAGACTTGATGAGAGTCATTCGTCGCTCTCATTAACAGGGAGAGGCTGCCCAGACTTATGCAGCTGCATGTGATGAACAGGGCTGGGCACAACCACCCCAAACCGTGGACCGGGAGCTTCCCACAGGGCTGGAGGAGAAGCTCCAGGAGAAGTCTTGGAGTTTGAAGAAGCAAGACTTTCAGCTGGATGAGTCCCATCCAGTCCTGCTCTTAGCTAGCACCTGCTCTTAGAGGATATGTAAGGAGCCAATGTAACTGAAGAGTTAACACTGGGCTTTGGTATCCAGTGACTTTGGGTTCAAATCCTGGCTCTGCTACTTCCTATAGGTAACCTGACTTTTCTGAGCTGCTTCATCCTTATCGGTATGGAGGTGAGAGTAAGAGCAGTTTCACAGTTTCCATGCAGATCAAGTGAGGTCAAGCTGTAAAGCCTCCGGTGCACAGGCCATCAGTGCACAAAACTGGGCATTTATTACTGAGATGTTGCACAGGGCAGAGCACAGCGTGTGTTGGACAAATTTGCCTCATGAGGGTGAGAAAATTCTGGGCTGAGGCTTCTCAACAACCAGGGCAGCTTCTCCCTCCTTCATCGTCCTAGGGAAGACCCCCAGGGCATCTTTGGAATTTGGAGACACCTCATCTCCCAGCAGATAAAACGCAGGACTTGCACTTGGGAACTTAGGCCCCCAACAGACTCCCCCAGCAGTAGCAGAGGCAGGCCCCTCACATGCCCAGGGCAGGACCCAGAGACACAGACAGACGCTCCTTGGAGGAGCTGGAAACTGTCGGGTTCCTCTCACACAGACTCTGCAATGACGTCTGGAGCAGATGGCAGGGGCGGATGTTCCTGGCTGGGTTGACAGAGCCTCATGTGCCTGGAAATTCCCCCAGTTCCGGGGGATCCCTTCCAGATGTTCCCACCCACAGCCTGGCTGAGGAGGAACAGTGGGGAGCTAAGAAGCCAGGGCTGGAAAGCTGAGCCAGCCTTCTGCACAGAAAGGCAGGCAGCCACCCAGGAGACCAGTCCAGAGTCCCCAGTGTCCTCAATACCCAGCCACCTCCACCAACACCTCCCTAGGGTTCCATATTAGAGAGCCATTCCTTCGAACATGTCATTGCTATCTCAGGAGGGATAACACATAAAACCCCTTGCCACTCAAACTATGGCCTAGCAACATTAGGCATCATTTGTTGGAATCTCAGGCCCATCCCTGATCTCCTGAATGAGAATGTGCATTTTAACAAGATGCCCAAGTGATCCCATATGCACCTCTAGGTTGGAGAAGTGCTGCGTTAAGCTGCTATTGTCCACTCACTTTCTGAAATGCAAGCTCCACAAGGATATGGATTCTTTGTTTTGTTTACTATATCACACCCAAAGAGTCCCTTAAACAGAACTCATTAAATGCTTTTTGAGGCCAGGTGTGGTGGCTCATGCCTATAATCCCAGCACTTTGGAAAACCAAGGTGGGAGGAGTGGTTGAGGCCAAAAGTTTGAGACCAGCCTGGTCAACAGTTCCTACAAAAAATTTTTAAAAATTAGCTGGGCATGGCAACACTTGCCTGTAGTTTCAGCTACTTGGGAGGCCGAGGCAGGAGGATTGGTTGAGCTTAGGAGTTGGAGGCTGCAATGACCTATGATCATGCCACTTCACTCCAGCCTGGGTGACTAAGACCCTGTCTCTAAGGAAAAAAAAAAAAGCTTTTTGAATAAAATGAATTATTTAGATTATTTAGGGCTTAGTTTCCCATAGCACAGAGAGGCAGGTACACAGCATAGGTAAGTTTTTTTTTTTTTTTTTTTTTTTTTGGTTGTTGTTGTTTCGGTTTTGGATTTTTTTGGAGACGGAGTCTCACTCTGTCACCCAGGCTGGAGTGCAGTGGCACAATCTTGGCTCAGTGCAACCTCCACCTCCCAGGTTTAAGCAGTTCTCCTGCCTCAGCCTCACAAATAGCTGAGATTACAGGTACCTGCCACCACACCAGGCTAATTTTTGTATTTTTAGTAGTGACGGGGTTTTGCCATGTTGGCCAGGCTGGTCTTGAACTCCTGATCTCAGGTGATCTGCCCACCTCAGCCTCCCAAAGTGCTGGGATTACAGGTGTGAGCCACCGTACCCGGCCAGCACAGGTAAGTGGAAGGAGAAGAAATTAGAATGGGTCATCCCAGGGTCCAAGGCACTCCCAGGGTGAGGGGTAGGAAAGGAGGAGAAGGGCAAGGAAAGAAGAAGTGTGGTGGCCCCAGCCATCTGTATAATGAATGACTGTATAATCATCTGTATAATGAATGACTCCCAGCACTAGAAGTGCAAGTGGCACTTGGGAGGAAATAGGACAAACCCCTTCTCCTAGATATCCTCTTCCTCTGTCTCCACCTTCATCAGGCCTCTCTGGAGCCCTGTCCCTAGCGGCCCCTCTTACGACCCCTCAGAACCCCGATGCCTGCCAAGATCCTGAGTACACTTCAAGCTTCTCCTGGGAAGGCACGTTCAGCGGCTGTACCCTCTGCCTCCCCATGAGGAGCTCTGGTTGATGTGGGAGGGTCCTTGGGGGCGACAGGCCCCAGCACTGACCCTGGCCCATTTCCGAGCACATGGGCTTCTTCCCACCCCACTCCCAGCAGAGCCTCCGGGCCAGGCAGGCTAGCTTTCTCTGAGGCTCAGGTCACCTGGGGCTACAGATGCTCCCTCCACAGTTGTGCCCCAGCCTCAGCCCAGGAGCTCAGCAGGAGAATCACCCAGTGATTGGCAAGCTGAGCCCTCTATTTGCAGTGGGGAAAGCTGAGGCCCAGGGCGATGAAACCACATGGCCAAGTTCACACAGCTGGAATGGCAGGAATGCATGCCCAGGGCCCTGCCTCTTGGATGGGTGCACTCTCTGGCTCACATTTGGATAGCTTAGGTGTTCCTCCTCTGGGTACCCTAGCATCTAGAGCCTGACAATGAGTAGGTGCTCAGTTATTGTGGAATGAATGAAAGAGAAGCAAAGAACCCCACTGGGAGCTAAGAGAATGACAATGGCAGTAAAGGCCACTGTTTATCTGTGCTCAGCACTTTACACAGGCTGTTTCTTTGAAGACTTACAACAACCCTCTGGGAGAAGCACTGTTATCATTCCCGACTACATATAAAGAAACCAAAGCTCTCAGGGATTAAGACATGAACCTCAATCATGCCTGAGCTGGGATTTCAACACGTTTCTGCCCAGAACTCTAAAGCCCCAGTCCTCATCAGGATGCCGTGCCGCTTTCTTGTTGGCGAACTCTTTTCTTTGAAAGAGGCCACTGCAGCCCAGATGGCTCTGGCAGAGGCTCTGAGCTGGATGAGTTTGTAATTCACTTTGATGACAAGCAGAATGTGTCCCCACTGGCTCACCAAGGAGCCTGGGATGTCAAGGAATTCTTCTTTCTGAATCCCACTCCTCACCTGGGATGCCCCAAATCCCCCCTATTCGTTCTCAGTGGTGGCTTCCATTTAAATTGAAGCTCTTCTGCAGGACCTCGCTGACCCTTCAATCTGAAATAGCACCCCACCCACCCCACTCTCTCCATCCCCCCTACCGCTTCATCCTTCTCAGCACAAAGCATCACCTGACAATATCGTGCAGCTGTGTTTGCATTTTAACTGTCTCCTCACTTGGATGGGACCTCCATGCAGGCAAGGACATCGGCTCCTTTACTGCTCTGTCCTCAGGGCCTGGCATGTAGCGAGTGCTCATTACACACTGCCTGCATGAATGAACCCTCAGAGCATAACACATAAAATAGCACTTTTCTAAATCAGCACCCCTGTGTAGTAATCCCGTGAAAGATGGGCCTCCAGGAATTTGCTAATAAAGTAAAGGGCCAGTATCTGCCAGATGCTGACTTTCTTCTTCTTCTTCCTCTTTTTTTTTTTGAGAGAGTCTCACTTTGTTGCCCAGGCTGGAGTGCAATGATGCAATCTCAGCTCACTGCAACCTCCGCCTCCCGGGCTCAAGTGATTCTCCAGCTTCAGCCTCCCTAGTAGCTTAGATTCCAGGTGTGCACCACCACACCCAGCTAATTTTTGTATTTTTTGTGGTGACAGGGTTTCACCATGTTGGCCAGGCTGGTTTCAAACTCCTGACCTCAGGTTATCCACCCACCTCGGCCTCCCAAAGTGCTAGGATTACAGTCATGAGCCACCATGCCTGGGCCAGAGGTTGACTTTCAATAAATCACAGTGGGGCCAGGCATGGTGGCTCACACCTGTAATCCCAACACTTTGGGAAGCCAAGGCAGAAGAAGCACTTGAGCCCAAGAGTTCAAGACCAGCCTAGGCTCCGTCTCTACAAAAAGTCAAAAATTAGCTGGGCGTGGTGGCACATACCTGTGGTCTCAGCTACCTTGGGAGGCTGAGGTGGGAGGATCTCTTGAGCCCAGGAGGTTGAGGCTGCAGTGAGCCATGATTGTGCCACTGCACTTCTGCCTGGGTGGCAGAGTGAGACCCTGTCTCAAAATACAAATAAATAAATAAAGTTTAAAAAATAAATAAATCACAGCAGATCCATGTGCTCACACATTGAATGTGTACTGAGCACCTCCTTGTGCCAGGAAGTGTGTTAGACTCTGGGCATATTTCCGTGAACAAGTCATGCCCCCGCCCCAACACACCACCCAAAGAGGTTATTTTAGTGGAGGAGATGGACATTCAATAATCCCCCCAAATAGATATTGATTCTGCATTGTGCTAGTGCTGGAGCTGATCAGGGGCCTGGTAGGAAGGGGACAGGTTTGAGGCTTGCCCCCTGACAAGGACACTGGCACTGAATGGCACTCACGTGTGTCTTCCTGAGTGGCAGTAAAGGGGCCAGGGCAGCAGCTGGCATGCCCAGAGCTGTGTTCACCCCAGAGTGTGGGTTTGGCAGAGGAGCAACATCCCTCATGCCAGCTGCAGGGAGAGAGGCTTGGTAAGTGCTGGGAGAAAGCTTTTCTCCAGGAAAGGCTGACCCCCACAGGGTCGCAGGGTCTGGGGCTCTGCCTCACAGCATTAGGGGGTCTCACAAGTTACCTACAGGAACCTCACTCCACCCTCAGTCTGGGCTCCAGGAGCCCGCTTCTCTAGCTGGAAAACAAGATATGTAACAAGATCTGCTTCCCTACAGGCACTGAGAATATTAGACAGATCTGAGGGGCCGAGCCCTGTGCCTGGCTGGCAGGAGTGACCTGTGTGGGTCTCTAAATGCAGGAGTGGTGGACATTCCTGGGATGTGCAGTGGGCAGAGGTCACAGTGCAGTGAAGGGCCAATGCAAGGGCATATTAAAGGGACTGGGGTTGTTCCACCTGGAGAGCAGATGGTTCTCAATGTGCCTCAGTTTCTGAGTCTGTAAAATGGGTCACCAACCAGTTGTTTTCACACAAAGGGCAGGAAAAGAAGTGGACTTTAACTAATGAGAAAGATTTGCAGTCAGATAAGAGGAGAAATTTCTTAAACCTCAGAGAAAATAAATGTCGGGTGATATGGTTTGGCTGTGTCCCCACCCAAATCTCATCTTGAATTGTAACTCCCACAATTCCCACGTGTCATGGGAGGAACCCGGTGGGAGGTGATTGAATTATGGGGGCGGGTCTTTCCTGTGCTGTTCTCATGATAGTGAATGACTCTCATGAGATCTGATGGTTTTAAAACATGGGAGTTTGACTGCATAAGCTCACTCTGTTTGTCTGCCACCATCCACGTAAGATGTGACTTGCTCCTCCTTGCCTTCCACAATGATTGTGAGGCTTCCCCAGCCACATAGAACTGTAAGTCCAATTAAACCTCTTTCTTTTGTAAATTGCCCGGTCTCGGGTATTTCTTTATCAGCAGCATGAAAGCAGACTAATACACTGGGTACACTGGGATAAACCAATGAGAGGAACAGGTGGAATTCCTTGGAAACAGAATTATAAAGCTGGAAGGAAAGTCATACCTCACCCCCTCCCTTAAATTTTAGAAGTGAGACTCTTAAGGGGACAGTGACCTGCCTTGGTAAGCAGGTGGTTAGTAGCAGAGAACCCAGAACTCCTGACTCTAGATCCATCTTTACCTTCTACCTTTCCCCATTATATTATCCTAGGAAAGAAACCAAAGCTCACAGAAAGGATATCTAACATCAGCCCAGATTATCGAACATTATATGCCAGGAAATGTCCTCAGCTTCTCCATAGTTTTAGGGTTAATCTTCCAAGCAATCCTATGAAGAGGGCACCTTATCTTAATAAGGAAACTGAGGCACAGAGAAGCTAAGCAACAAACTCATGGTCATTCAGCTCCTCAGGGACAGAGGGAGGATTTGTACCCTGGCCTTCTGAGTTATCTGCTGGCTCTGCAGCCTCTCCAGTCCTTAGTTCCCACCCTAGAGGGGACAAATCAGAGCTTTTCAACCTGTCTGGAACTGTTAGTCATCATGACCTCCATGGTTCAGCTTGACTGCACTAAAAGATCCTGATGGCTTCCAAAATGACAGCTATTTCCCTTTGCAGAGCTTTGCGCACTTTCTCCCACACCTTAACAGGACTCCCTTAGAGGATAGTTTCAGGCAGGACCAGCTTCATGGGAATGCCACCTGTGCAGTCAGGCAGAGCCACATGCTTAGAAGGAGTCTGCCTTTGGCCTAATGCATTCTTAATATTTCTTGAAGAAGTGCCCTGCATTTTTATGTGCACTGGGCTCTGCAAATTATGTAGCCCATCCTGATTTCAAAGTTAGCAACCTTCACCTGAAGGGGGGTGGCGGTGGTGGTGCTACTGCACTAGAAGGATGGACACCCAAGGTCTTGTTGGCAGCAGGGCACCTTGGGATGATGGGGATGCCACCTGCTTCTTCCCATTCCACTTTCCCCAGACAGAGGTGCGAGGTGAGCTTGGAGCAGGGCAGCGTTCTCATATTCACATTCTCTCTCTCTCTCTCTCCCTCCTTCTCCCATCTCCCCGTCTCCCCGCCTCTCCTTCCTGCAGGCTGTAAATGAACCAGACAAGGCCAGGTGGAGGTGATGCTCCTTCCGGGCCCAGAGTTGAAGACCTACCCTTAGGTTTCCTTGACAGCCTTAGTTTCTTTCTGACTCTGCTGGGCTTGCAACCAAAGGCAGCCCATCTGGCTGTGCCAGGGGTAAGAAAAGACATGATTTAGCGCCATAACAATTTTAACATCAGGCAAAACAGATGCCATGTGAGAGAGACTCAAGGTAGAACAGTACATGGCAGATAAAAGAAATGACCTAATTAGATCTCAAACATACAACCTTGAGTTTAAAAAAGGCATTTTGCTGTGTGATATGTAACTGCGCCACCCTCTGTGTAAAACAAGCCACACATACACACACACGTGCTGACACACAATATATATTTCCCATGAGCCCACGCATATATGTGAAAAAAAATTTTTAAGTGTGAAAGGATCACACCAAATTCATATAGTACTTGTTGCCTCTGAAACTGAGGTGGGTTGTCAGAGGGAAGATTATCTGTGACCATCTAACAATTTATAAAAGATAATCACTCGAGTGGTTTTCTTTTAAGCACAGATGCTCCAACTGTGGGACAAGGGAGGGTTGTCCATCCATCCCTTCCTCCCTGGGGTTCTGGTAGTGCCTAGCCCCAATGGATTGCACAGCATGCTGCAGTTGATGGAGCACCCTCGCCTCCCTTGTCTTAGGTGATGCCCAGAGCAATGCCTTGTGGGGGTAGGGCAGGTATAATTATTATTCCCATTTTACAGAGGAGGCAACAGAGTCAGAAAGGTTGAGTGACTTGCTCACACACGCAAAGCCAGTAAGCAGCAGATGGGGACTCTTTTGTCCTCCAAGCTGAGTCAGACACAGAGGGGGTGGAATGGCCGGGGCCCAAGTGCTATTTATTCCCCATGGCTATTTAGGGTTTGCAGGATATGTTTTCCCTCTAGGCAGATATAGTTTCTCCTAGACCCACTTTGAGCCTCCAAACAGACAAGGGATGTGCTAACCCTTCTCCTGAACCACAAAGGTGATGCCCTCTCTACCTGCCTTATGGTGCTGGGAGACACACTCAAACAGAAGCAGCCAAAGTAGAGACTTCTTTTCCTCTGATACCAGTCCAGCTCGCTGCCTGCCCAGACTAAAGCTTCAGGTTCCCTTGCAAGAAGAATCCCAGCCTGCCGCATCCTCTTTTCCTGATTGGTTCTCCCTCTCTGGCTCCTCTTCCTCCTTTCAGGCCACTGAGTGGCTCCTCCTCTCACCTTCCTGGCCACTGATTGGCTCCCTTTCTCAGGTTCCTCCCCCCATCTTTCTGACCCCTGATTGGCTCCCCTTCTCTGGCTCCTCCCTCCTTCCTGGACCTGCCTTTCTGTCTTCCACCAGAGGTTGCCCTAGGCTGCTGGACTTGGTGAACTTTTAGGTAAGTGGGTCTGGAGATATCAGTGACACACTGGCCATATAAAAACCGGCTGGAGCCCGTTACACAGCCAGAAGCCAGGACCCCAGGCCCACAGATGCTGATTCAATAGGTTTGTGGTGGAGCCCAGGGATCTGTAGTTTATAAAAACAAGTCCCAGGTAATGCTGACATTCAATGCAATTGAGAAATCACCCATCTAGTCCAAACCTTTAAGTCAAAAACAGGCAAACCCAGGCCTAAAAAGGCTAAATTACTTGTCCAAGGCCACACAGCTAATCAACTGAAACTGAATATTGGGCAGCTCCTGGTCCCCACATGACACCTCTCCCCACCCCGCAGATACACACACACACCTCACGCACCTCCTCCAGATTTGACTGGCTCGGCTTCTGTCCTGAGGCCTGACTAAGATCTGGTCCCTTTACTTCTAGGCCACAGGACCCAAAGTCCAGGCCAGAGCAGTCCCTGTGGAACAGGAGCGGGACAGCAATTTCTTGGTGAAAGGTGTTACACCGCAGGGGCTAAGGCCTGGCATTATTCTGCTGCCTGGGTGGAGCCCAGGTCACACACCAAGCAGTGAGGAAACCTGAGCTGCCCCTCCCTGTTCCCAACTGTCCCAGGAGGCCCCAGGGGCCTGGTCCCACAGCCACTCTCCCCAAGATTCAGGTGTCACATAACTGGGCCCCAAGCCAGGCCTCTGGTTCTCAGGCAACTCTCCCCCTCCCTGGGGCCTGCAGGAATCTCAAGAGATTGCAGTTTCCTCTGTTAGAAATGGCTGGAAACCTTAGGAGGGCAGAGGGAGGGTGCTGAGGCAGCAGGACCCCCTCCTGGGCCCCAAGTGATCCTTTCCCACTACCAACAAGCCCTGAGCAGACGAAGTGTTCCAGGTCCTGCCACTGTGGACTGCTGCCACTTGGACCCTTCACTGCCAACCCTGTGCCCCCACTACTCCTTCTGCCTTGGCCCTTGTCCTGATTCTGCTCAACACACTTGTCACACCTTCCCAAAAACTGCAGTTCTGAAGTTCGTAGTGTGCAGGGGAATTATGAGAGCCAGCCCTTCTGCTTCTGGAAAATTGCTATTGTGACTATACCCACTCTTCTCTGGCACTCAGGAAGGGGAGACAGCAGAGATAGAAAGAAGGGCTCTGAAAGTCTGAGGTACAATATCAAGTACCAGCTGAACAAAGCTGGAACTCGCACACATTGCTTGGTAATGCAAAATGACGCACAGTTTTGAAAACAATTTGGCAGTTTCTTATAAAGTTGAACATGTACTCACCATACAAATTAGCAATGCCAGTCATAGGTATTTGAGTAGCATTTCGTTTCCCAAGGGAAACGAAAACCATTTACATACAAAGACCTGTTTGTGAATGTTTATACAGACTTCATTTATAATCACCAAAAACAGGGAACTCCCCAAATGTCCTTCAGCTGGTAAATGGATAAATAAACTGGTACATCCATACAATGTATAAATGGCTGCTCAGTTTGTTTATCCATTTACCAGTTGTCCACCACATTAACATGATTATATCAATTGATGCTGAAAAGTCAACACCCATTAAACAACAATTCAATACTCATCCATTATAAAATTCAAAGAAAAATTGGAATAGAACTTTCTCAACTTGATGAAAAGCATCAACGAGAACCCTACAGCTAACATTATACTTAATGGTGAAAGACTGAATGCTTTTGCCTTAGATGAAAACAAAGCAAAAATGTCTGCTGTCACCACTTTTATATGACATAGTGCTGTGAAAGTTTTAGCCAGTGCAATAAGGCAAGAAATTAAAAGGCATACAGATTAAAAAGGAAGAAATAAAAACTGTTCCTATTTGAAAAGAACATGATTGCTTTTGTAGAAGTTCCCAAGGGATATACAAAATATTAGTACTAGTAAGTGAATTCAGCAAGGTCACAGAATACGAGATAAACATACAAAAATCTGTTGTATTCCTATGTACTAGAAATGAACACCTGGATATCAAAATTAAAAATACAATACCATGTGCAACTACAAAAAGAAAAAGAAGAGATACTTAAGTGTAAATCTACAGGATTTGTATGCTGAAAACTACAAAAAGAAGATTAAACAAGTCAAAGAACAGCTAAATAAATGGAGAGATGTATTATGTTCATGGATTGAAAGATTCAACATAGTAAAGATGTTGACTTACTCCGCAAAAGGATATATGAGTTTAATGCAATTCCTTTTAAAATCTTGCAAAAGTTTTTGTAGCTATACACAATATTACTCTAAAATTTATGTGGAAAGACAAAGGAACTAGAATAGCTATCTTAGTCTGTTTTGTGTTGCTATAAAGAAATACTAGAGGCTGGGTAATTTTTAAAGAAAAATGGTTTATTTGGCTCATGATTCTCATGGCTACAAGTTCAAGATTAGGCATCTGCATCCGACGAGGGCCTCAGGCTACTTCTGCTCATAGCAGAAGGCAAAAGGGAGCCAGAGTGTGCAGAGATGGCATTGTGAGAGAGAGGAGGAAAAGGAGGGTGTGCTAGGCTCTTTTAACAACCAGCTCTCACAGGAATTAATTGAATGAGAACTCACTCACTCCAGAGAAGGCCATTAATCTATTCATGAGAGATCCACCTCTATGACCAAAACACCCATTAGGCCCCACCTCCAACATTGAGAATTAAATTTCAACATGAGATTTAGATGAGACAAACATCCAAACCATAGGAATAGCAATTTTGGAAAAAAAAAAGAATAAATTGGGAGGAATCAGTCCATCTCATATCAAGCTACAGTAATCACTGTATAGCTACAGTAAGACTGAATATTATTGGCATACAAGATACAAGATAACTTACAAGACTGTATGTTATTGGCAGAGAGATATACATCAATGGAACAGAATGGAGAAACCAGAAATAGACCCACACAAATATGCCCAACTAATTTTTGACAAACGTACAAAACTAATTCAATGGAGGAAAATAGCCTTTTCAACAAATGGTGCTAAAAAAAAAAAAAGCCTCTAAGTCTTACGTACGCCTTATACTAAAATTAACTCAAAATGGATCATTAACTTAAATGTAGAACATAAAACTATAAAACTTCTGAAAAAACAGGAGGAAGTCTTCAGGATGTAGGTCTATGCAAAGAGTTCTTAGGTTCAACACCCAAAGCATCACCCATAAAAGGAAAAATTAATAAATTGGACTTCATCACAAAAGCTTCTGTTTTGTGAAAGGCCCATTAAAAAGCATTAAAAAGATGAAAAAAAGCTTCATACTGGGAAAAATATTTGCAAACCATATATCCAACAAAGAACTAGTATGTAGAATATATAAAGAACACTCAAAACTCAGCAGTCAGAAAACGAACAATCCAATTAGAAAATAGGTAAGAGACATAAAGACATATTTCACCAAAGAAGACATCATATGGCAAATAGCACATAAAAAGATGCTCATTGTTCATCATTAAGGGAATGCAAGTTACAATCACAATGAGAATCACTATGTACCTATCAGGATGGCTAACATAAAACAGTAATAATACTAAATGCTGACAAGGATTCAGAGAAACTGAGTCACTCATACATTGCTGGTGGGAATGTAAAATGGTACAGGCACCGTGGAAAACAGTTTGGCAGTTTCTTTCAAAAACTAAACATACAACTACTGTACAACCCAGCAATTGTACTTCTGGGCATTTATCCCAGAGAAATGAAGACTTGTATATAAATGTTTATAGATGCTTTATTTATTTGTATTAGCCCCAGACTGAAAATGATCCACTTGTCCTTCAACACAGAAATGATTAAATAAACTGGGGTATATCCTACCATGATCTAATACTCAGTGACACTGTTAGGCTTTGTGTCCCCATCCAAATTTCATCTTAAATTGTAATCCCGAGGTATTGAGGAAGAGAACTGGTAGGAGGTGATTGGATCACAGGGACAGTTTCCCCTATGCTTCTCTCATGATAGTGAGTTCTCACGAGATCTAATGGTTTTATAAGACAGTTTTCCCTGCACTTGCTCACTGTCTCTCACCTGCTGCCGTGTAATATGTGCCTGCTCCCCCTTCTGCCAAGATTGTAAGTTTCCTGAGGCCTCCCCAGCCATGTGGAACTGTGAGTCAATTAAACCTCATTTGTTTATAAATTACCCAGTCTCGGGTAGTAGCTTTATAGCAGTGTGAGAATGGATTAATACAGTCAGAAAGAACTACTGATACACAAAACAACCTGGATGAATCTCCAGAGAATTATGCTGAGTGAGAAAAGCCAATCCCCCAAAGTTACATATGATTCCATTTATATAACATTCTGGAAATGACAACATTATGGAAATGGATAACAGATCAGTGGTTGCCATCAGTTAAGGAGAAGATAGGGATGGGAGGGAAGTAGATATGGCTATAAAAGGGCAACATGAAGATCCTCATGGTGATAGAAACGTTCTGTATCCTGACTGTGTTAACATCAATATCTTGGTTGTAATATTATAGTTTTGCAAGTTGCTATCATGGGAAACTGAGTAGAGGATTCCCCAATTACCTCAAAATTTAAAATTTTAGGTAAGAAAATTTAAACTTTGAAGACAGAAAAAAGATAAAACGCTGCTGCTTCTCCAAGATAAAATAAGAATGGCCATGGCTTCCCGACAATCACCTGGACTTACCTGAAACAGACTCATTGAATCAGGAGAATTGGCTTCCAGGTTCTACAGCCTCTCTTCCTCCCTCCAACATGAGTAAGCCCTCTGTAGTCTCTCCTCCTTTCCCCCACCAAAATGTAAAAAAGCTGATAAAGCACTAATACTAATCATAAATAATTGTTCAGACAGTGAGTGCATACTCACAAAGGGATGTGCATTTTAATGGGAACAAGTCATAGTAAGCTAAAAAATGAACCACCAATAGTGAAATTGCTGATACAGCAGGCAGAGGTAGGAAGACATTTAAGATGGCTGGAAAAGGAAGAACTTCCTTGAACTCTGAAAATCCATCAGGCCTGCAGGCTGGGTTGATTCATCAGGCCAGCTGTGCCCAATAGGTAGAGTGGAGAGATTTAAACACCAGGGTAGGGGACAGGAAATGGCAGAATGAAGATATCAGTAGTGTAGTGCTCCAGGATTGGATGGGAATGATTAGAAAGAAAGAGAATTGAGATTTGAAAGGTAAAAGATATTTATTCATTTGCCTAGGACGTTTCACCACTTTAAAAATTAATTAAATTTGTTAGAGATGACATCTCACTATGTTGCTGTATTAGTCTGTTTTCATACTGCTATAAAGAACTGCCCAAGACTGGGTAATTTATAAAGGAAAGAGGTTTAATTGACTCACGGTTCTGCACAGCTGGGGAAGCCTTGGCAAACTTACAATCATGGTGGAAGGTGAAGGAGAAGCAAGGCACCTTCTTCACAAGGCAGCAGGAAGGAGAAGTGCCAAGCGAAGTGGGAAGAGGCCCTTATAAAACCATCAGATCTTGTGAGAGCTCACTCACTATCACGAGAACAGCATGGGGGAATTGCCCCCATGATTCAATTATCTCCACCTGGTCTCTCCCTCGACATGTGGGGATTATGGAGATTATAATTCAAGATGAGATTTGGGTGGGGACACAAAGCCTAACCATATCAGTTGCCCGGGCCAGTCATGAACTTTCACCACTGTTTTCTGCAAAGCACTGTGCATTCCCATTCTAGTTAGGCGATCTAAATGTAAAGTGGCCATTTTGGAACAATTATTGGCCTGGGTGTGATCACCTGATCCAGCCCTGACCAATCATAGTACCTTTCTACCTCTGAGTTTCAATAATTGGTTGAGAAGGTGATGGGTAATTCAAGCCTAGCCAATTGGAGTCTTCTCCTATTGGTTGGTTGGTTGGTTGTAACTGGAATTGGAGTTTTGTCTACTGTGATGAAACTGAGAGTATTAGGCCTTGGACCAGCAGCACGGGAGAAGCTATCTAACTAAGCAGGGAGCTGACACCTAGAGAACCAGGCAGTAGGAGGGATGCCTGGTGGCCCCAGAGTCCCTGGTTTAAGTCATTCCTGAGGCTGGCTGCATTCTTGTCCAGCCAGTGGTTTGGATACTGGAGTCAATAAGTAATCCCCATACTCCCCTTTCCCAGAAGCCCGAGCAAAGCTGGCTCTGTACGCAGGATGAGGGGAGGCTTGTGTGTGTGTGTGCGCTGTGGGTTCCTGATCAGAAAGTTCTACCCCATCTGATGAGCCCTGGCAAAAAAGTCATCAGAGATGGTACTGAGGCTCTGAAAGCCTACGTGCTGGGGAGGAAGATCCCAAGGAAGCAATAAGGTAGGAACCATCTTTTCACTTATGGAGCACCTGAGCTGCACTGGATAGCACACTCCAGTGTAAATGTTATTAGTCCATTTTTCAGAGGAGAAAACTGAGGCTCACACAAGTAAAGTCAGTTGTTCGAGGTAACATGGTAATAAGAGGCAGGCTTGGTATGGGACCCAGTCATTTCTTACTTCCAAGCTAGTTTCTTTCTAGTTGGCCACCCTATTCTCCAGGAGCCTCCCATTCTCTTAGCAAGGCACAGCTGCTTATTTAAAGATTACCCAAAGCTTTTGACCAGCTCAGACATCTCAGGACTCTGAATCTCATAACCACAGGGGTCCTGGGAGGCAAGTGCCAATCCAATGAGCCTTAGAGGCTACTATTTAGAGCCAGATATGAGATGGTGTCCAGGCTGAATATGAGACCCTGGGAAATTACTTAACCTCCCTGAACCTCAGTTTCCCTATTTCTATCTGAGTTAATAATAGTAACTGCCTCCTATGGTTGTTGGTGAGACAATGAATGAAAGGTGCTTAGCATATATGAGCAGCCTTTGGTCCTTATGAAAGAGAAACCCAGAGTCCCCTGTTTCCAAGTCAGCACTCAGATGTCCCTAATCCCCCAGCCTCTGACCTTCTCCCTCCTCCCAATTTCAGCCCCGGCCAGGCCATTCCTGTCTAAACTTTTCCAAATGTCACTCTTTTTTTTTCTTTTTTCTTTTTTATGCTTTTTGTCTTTATCTAGGTGACATTTTTCTTTTCTTCCGCAGGGATTGTTATAAGAACAGGTGTGAAAATAACAACAGAGTCTCTGGCCAGGCCCCTCCTGAACAGTGGGAGGATATTTTGGCCTAGAGACAGCCACAGAGAGTCCCAAGGGCGTGGGGGTCAGGGGAGGGATTGAGCTAAGGGAATGCTGGGGCAATTCTACAGCTAGGTCAAAGGGCAGGCCTCCCTCTCCAGAAAGGACTCCACTGACATAATCTCAAGTATGATGAGTCAATAAAATCCAGCTCTGGAATTCTTGGCAAAGCTGAAGCCTTCCCTGTCCACAAGAGACTGTGTTGGGTGGCTCAGTTTGGTCAGTCCTGATCATCTCCCGTCTGGGTGGAGAGACCAAGAGGCAGAGCTGGCAGCGACAGACCCCCCCACAGCCAGGCTCTCCCAGGGCTCCAGGCCCCTCAACCTTGCGTGGCTGTGCTTGGTGAACTCACTCGTCTTCACAGGGGTGTGAGGACTGTCTTCATCTCAGAATCCTCCACAGAGGCCGGTACCTGTGAGACATCAATTACAGCCTCAGTAAGGGTTGAATCAAGTGACAGAAAACCCTGCTGTCTGGAAAAAGGAAGAGGAGGACCTTCTGAGAGGAGATATGAGTCACTGGCAGAAGACTCCATTCACAAACATGACTCCCCATTGTCTGCCTCACACACAGTGCCCTCTCCCATTCTCCAGGAACTGGCCATCCTCAACCATGGGTCCCAGCTAAAACCCCGGGGCTTAGCTCACTGGACCAAAGAGCATCTGACTGAAGCTTGCCAGTCAGATTCTTTTCTCCTAGGAATGTGAACTTTTAACCTGAGAGACATAGCAGGTGAGAGGCATAAATGGTGACCCCTGGAAGGAAGGTCCATGGGCACAGGGTGAAACCACCTTTACAAAAAGTGCATCAGCGAGAGAAATCTAAGCTAACTGACTCCAACTTCACAAGCTAACTGCCTTTGTTAACTTTAAAACAGAGATGATAACAATCCCTTCCCAAAACTAACCCCCTTCTTGCTTGATGACCAAAACTGCCTCTGTAAGGCTGTGTATGGCGGCTCACGCCTGTAATCCCAGCACTTTGGGAGGCCGAGGCAGATGGATTACTTGAGGTCAGGAGTTCCAGACTAGCCTGGCCAACATGGTGAAACCTTGTCTCTGCTAAAAATACAAAAATTAGCTGGACATGGTGGTGCATGCCTGTAATTCTAGCTACTCCAGAGGCTGAGGCAGAAGAATCACTTGAACCCAGGAGGCAGAAGTTGTAGTGAGCCGAGATAGTGCCACTGCACTCTAGCCTGGGCAACAGAGCAAAACGTCGTCTCAAAAAACAAAAAAAAACAAAACTGCCTTTGTAAGACTAATGAAAGTCCACAAGATTAGGATCATAGGAGAGGCCTGAATTCTGCTAAGATGCAGGTGTAGTTAAATGATAACCAGCCATTGTTCCCTAGCTTGAATTTCTGTAATCATTTACTGCTCCAGAGATCACAATATTTGTAAATTCCCCAATTGCTCTGATAGATGACATCACTATTGTAAAAATGAAAGATTGGTCTTTGAGATATTTTTTGGACTTTTGCATTCTAGTAACAGACTGACTTCACCTGGGCCCATAACTCATACCAAGGAACTAATTCAACTGCTTCTGTGACTTCCACCCAGGAACTGACTCAACACAAGAAGACAGCTTCAACCCTCTGTAATTTCATCCCTGGCCCAACCAATCAGCATCCCCCATTCCCTAGCCCCTTGACTGCCAAACTATCTTTGAAAAACCCTAACCTTTGAGCTTTTGGGGAGGGTGATTTGAGTAATAAACTCCCATCCTTCCACTTAACTAGCCCTGTGATTATTAAACTCTTTCTCTACTGCGGTACTGCTGTCTCAGTGGATTGGTTTTATCTGTACAGTGAGCAAACAAGAGCACCATGGTTTCCAGAGCTGCTTCTGTTGCTCTTCCTCCCAAGGCCTATGTTGTTAGCTAAAAGCCATAGTCTCTCCCTGATATAGTTTGAATATATGGCCCTGCCAAATCTCATGTTGAATTGTAATTCCCAATGTTGAAGGTGGGGTCTGGTGAGAGGTATTTGGGTCATGGGGGCAGATTGCTCATGGCCTGGTATTGTCCTTGTGATAGTGAGTGAGTGCTCATTAGATCTGGTTGTTTGAATGTGTGGCACACCCTACAATCCACTCTCCCTCTTGCTCCTGCTTTTGCCCTATGATGTGCCTACTTCTGCTTTGCTTTCTGCCATGAATGAAAGTTCCCTGAGGCCTCCCCAGAAGCTGAACAGATGCTGGGGCTATGTTTGTACAGCCAGAAGAACCACAAGTCAACCAAACCTCTTTTCTTTATAAATTACTCAGCCTCAGGTATTTATTTATAGCAACACAAAGAATGGCCTAATACACTCTCCAGTTCATCCCCTCTTGTGGCTTGAGCTGGCTAAAGTTTATCTGTGTTGCTTTCAAGCAAAAGAACCTTAACTTTCATTCCCATGGACCCTTCAGAGGCCAGCCTGTAGCCCAGTGTGATACAGATGTGCCTCTGTCATCCAGATGTGAGAACAAGGTGGCAGCTAGAGGTAATTAGGGTCCCATGAACCATGGGCTGTGTGCTTCTTTCTACAATCCCAGGGAGCTTGAAAGAAGGGACATTCCAGCCATGGGCCTTCTGGAGGAAGTGAGCTCAGAGGAAAGAGCGCTAGATTGGAAGTTGGGAAGCCCAAGTCCTAGGCTTAATTCAACCCCTGACTTGCTGTGTGACCTGGGATTCTTCTCACTGTATATCTGGGCCTCTTGTTCTTTTATCCTTTCTAAGTCTCCTCTCCAGTGGGTTCTTGGGCACCTCTTTTCCTGTCCCAGTCTTCCCTTCAAACTTGTCCCTCTCTTCCCTTCCATTCTGCCCCAGTGTGCACACACACATGCACACTCACAAATGTTCTCTGTCTCTTCTGTCTCCTTCCTTCCTTCCTTCCTTCCTTCCTTCCTTCCTTCCTTCCTTCCTTCCTTCCTTCCTTTCCCTCCTTCCTTCCTTCCTTCCTTCTCATAAGATGCCTTAAATTAGATGCATCATTTTGGTGTTTGGTGAGAAGCCAGGGGCTGTATCAGTCAGGGTGGGTGAGGTTGGGCTGTAGTAACAAGCAGCCCCCAAATTTCAATGGGTTTCTGACTCATGCCACCTGCCCATGATAAGTCCACCAGCTTTTACTCATCCTTACCCCAAGGCCTGGAATGACAGAGTAGCCACCCCCAGGGAAATTGCCAGTTGGTTGGCCAACGGACTGTCATGACAGCAGGAAAGAGGAACATGGCTGATCCAGAAACAACAGTGTGAGCGCAATCGTTTATTTGGGAGGTGCAGGAAACACTGGTATCAAGTAGAAAAGTGCAACTGGGAAGGGAAAGCAGCTAATACAAGATGCATATGAAGCCAGGTACCTCTGTGGGTGAATGAACTTAATCCCGTGGGATACCCCAGGGAAAGAGTGAGGAGCACATACTGCAGAGTGATCCCACCTGCAGCATGGAGCGAGGGAGCCTGGGTATTTGTGTCTCAATTCCCCAGAGTCACTGACTGAGAGCTGATGAAGGTGATAATGTGTAATTCCCCTGCACTTCTGGCTGGTAGTGCATGTAGGCTGAGCTGTCTTTTTTGGGCCTGGAGAAATCCCTCAGGCACAGAGATGCAGACACTGGCAGGTAGAATTCAGCAGGGAGGGTCCAAGGGACACTGACAGAATCAGCCTCAAAGGTGAATCAGGCACAAGCTTTTCAACCTTCCACCCGGAAGTGACATGTACCACTTCCACTCACATCATTTGTTAAAGCAAGTCACGTGGGCAGGCAGAACTTCAAAAGCATGGAGGATGCAATCCTACCGTGTACCTAGATGGAGATGCAACCAGAATGTTTGTGCTTGGTCCACGGACAAGCACAAGGACCCAATCCACTTGCACACTGCAGGCATAGAAAGCAACTGGACTGCACCTGCCAGGAAACATCAACACTCCTGCCACTGCCCACATTTGGTCTCCTGCTGGAACTGCTTCCAGCTCCTCCCTTCCCCCACCTCTCCACGTTGGCTTTCCTCCTGCTGTTTTCTCCCACTCTCTTCTCAGCAACAGTCACTTCCAGTTGGCCCTTGGCCCTCCCAACACACAAGTCCTAGGGGAATTCCTCAGCTCCTCCTGGCCACCTCTCAGTCATAATAACTGAAAACATTGTGAGGAGAAAATTGCATAGGCATCCACTTTTTATTCTTCTTCTCCTCACCCCCATGTGAGGGGAACTATCATCAGTTTGACAGATGAGGTAACTGAGGCACAGAGAAAGTGACTATGCAACTGTGTATCACTTTCTCTGTGCCTCAGTTTCCTCATCTGTGTGTCATGCAGTGAAACACCTGAGCAGGATCATGGATACACTTGAGCTCAAGGATACATGGATCGTGGTAGACCTGGGAGTGGAAAGTCAGGTCTCCTGGCTCCTAGCCCAGCGCTCACCCTTTCCCCACATGTGGCTTTTCTGGGGTCAAGTCCTGATTCCACCTACATCCTAGGGCCACCAGCACTACCTCACTTCACCATTCTAACTGCCAAGCACTCATTTCACAACTCCATGCCTTCGCATGTGCCGTCCCCTCCTCCTTCAATGCCCTCCATCTCCAACAACCAGAGGGCACCCCAGAAGTTGTCCATCTCCCTCCAGGCCACAAGTGCAGGCGCCCCTGGGTCCTCTCCCTGCAGGCTGGATGTGCCAGCAGATGAATTCCTTCCACTTGTGACTACAGCCACTCCAATGCCAATTCCATGGCTCATCACCCCAATGCTGGGAACGCTCCCCTCCTCTTGGTCAGCCCACTCCACTAGTTCAATTACCTGCCCCGGTGAAGTTCCATGTGGCTGTCAACCTCAGCAGCTGGCAGCCAGCCCCAAGCTCCACAGCTGGCTCAGCCCCACTCCCTCTCTTGGGAGGGCAGCAACAAGAACCTTCCTGCTTAAACCACCCTCCTGGGCTCTGGTGCAGGCAACCCATGGACACTAGCCTGGGCTTTCTTGTGGAGCTATCCCTACATAGGACAGAATCTGCAGTTCCCAGACATCTGTTGTGCCAGGATGTTCCACACTAACCTGCATTATCCCCTTTTGTCTTCAGCATACAACACTCAACTTACAGAGGAGAAAAAGGAGAGAGAAATGGATAAAGATGCAGAGAAAACAGTGATCATTGATCCACTCAGAGAATATTTATTGAGGACTTACTATGTGCCAGTCACTCTTCTAGACACCAGGATAGACAGACACAGGGAGGAGCTATATAATAAATATTTTAACAAAGACATATTTCTGATAGACTGGTAAGTCATTGATAACTTCTCTGGAGAAAAATAGCACAGGGAAGGTGATGCCTGGTGAGGGTGGGCCTGCCTAAAAGGGGAGTCGGGGCTTCTCCCTCTGAGGAGATAAAATTTGACCAGAAATCTGGCAAAACTGAGAAAAAACATCATGTAAAGCTTTGTGGAAGAGCATTCCAGGAGGAGGGAACACGGCCTGGCCAAGGCACTAGATGGGAATGAGCTTGGAGTCTGAGGAGCTACGAGAAGGTGGTGTGGTGGGGCACAGTGAGGGAGAGGGTGAGCAGGCATGGGTTTGGACTGAGGTCGACTGATGTAGGGCCTCGTGTTAGGATAAGCCAGCTGCTGTAAAAAAAAAAAAAAAACCCAAGTTTCAGTGACGTGACACAATAAAGAATCAATTTTTGCTTGTGTAGTAGTTCAGTTAGTGTTGTCACAAGACAGGTACAGGAGTTCTGTTTCGCATACTTGGGGATCCAGGCATCTTCCACTGTGTGACTCTGCCATTTCCTCAGGGTCCTCACTGGATGTCCATCCAGCTGGCATGTGGGGAAAGTGTGGAGAAGGCACACTGCTCTCAACCACTTCGACCTGGGTTAACACATGTCACCTCCACTCACACTCCATTGACAAGAATAAGGCATAAGTCTCCGCATCCACCATCACCCCACCCACGCAAAGAAGCAGAGAAATGTGGCACAGCAGGGAGCCTGGGACAAAGAGGAGAATGTAGAGTTTGGTGAGCACTGGCTGCCTCTGCTGTAGGCCTGGAAGGCTTTGAGGAGGCACTTGGATTTTATTCTAGAAGTGATGAGAAGCTGTTGGAAAGTTGAGACCAGAGGAGTGAAATGATTTGGTTGGTGTTTTAGTCTCCACGGGCTGCCGGGGAGGAAAGGCTAGGAGTGGTGGTTGGAGTAAAGCATCGCCCAATGTTGCTCAGCTAGTTCAGTGGTACAGTTGGAATTTGAACTTGGCCTGTCTGGCTCTAGAGCCCTTGGGCTTCACCCCTGTGTCTGCTGCCTCTTGGAGTGTGATGTACAGATGTCAGCTCTTTCCTGGACAATTGCAGTAATCGGCCTTCCAACCCATCTTGTGGCATCCTGGAGAGGACTGGGCATGGTAGGTAGAGGACAGATGTATTAGTCCATTTTCACATGGCTATAAAGAAATATCCAAGACTAGGTAATTTACAAAGGAAAGAGGTTTAATTGACTCACAGTTCCACACGGCTGGGGAGACCTCAGGAAACTTACAATCATGGCAAAAGGGGAAGGGGAAGCAAAGACCTTCACACGGTGGCAAGAGAGAGAAGAAAGCACATGTAGGAGGGACTGTCAAACACTTATAAAACCATATGATCTCCTGAGAACTCACTATTGTGAGAATAGCATGGGGGAAACCCCCCCATGATCCAATCACCTCCCTCCCTTGACATGTGGGGATTACAAGTCCCTCCCTCCACATGCGGGGATTACAATTCAAGATGAGATTTGAGTGCGCACAGAAAGCCTGACCATATCAACAGGTTTTCTCAAAGTCCGGCTTGGAGTCTAAATGAGGCTCAGCACTTAGCCAATACAGGACCTCTGTTGCCTTGCTCAGCCTGTTTCCCACAAAACATGAGCTACATGATGTCAACAGGGTGGTCATGAGCATCAGATGAGACACTGCAGAGGAAGTGGGCGGGGGTCACAGTGCCTCTACACTGGAGTATCCAGAGGCAGCCTTCTAGTAGCCTTGGGAAGGAGGCCCCCGATCCCCAATGTTTGATTTCCTTTTCCTTGTCCTTTTGGTTTAAGGTTTTGCCTCCTCTTACCAGGCAAAGTCTCTAAAAGAGGCAGCACATTTCAAAGTCCCTGTCAATCCTCTAGGGAAATCACTTCAGTGAATCCTTCTTAGAAGCCTGCTTGAATGGTCTTGGGGCCCAATCCAGGGGGAAGAGAAGTGCCAGCAAGAAGAAAAATGACCCTCAAATTAGAGCCAAAGAGCCTCATTCCCTCTTGGGTAATTTTGCCTGCTCTCTCATTCAGAATTCTCTCATATTCCTTGAGTCCATTTGGGGAATGAGAAGTTGGCCAAATTCTGGCCTCTCTGAGCACCTAATTGTGCCTCCCAGTCTGAGGCTCAAAATCTGGAGTTTTTCTGATGCATAATATTCACAATGATTCAAAAGAGGAAAGCTCTGAAGAGATTATTAAAATCTCTGACCTAAACTTGTTCCTGGCTGAGCACATTTTGACAAGTTGAATAGTGATGGAATGAAGAGCTCTGGATGAATAAAAAGGGATGCTGACAAGTTTGCACGGAAGATAAAGCCCAACGGCACAGATCTGGGGCAGTGGGGTGCCTGCTGGTGGTGTTTAGTGGCCATGTTAGGGGTCTGGAGCTAGAGAACCAAAGGGAGAAGCTGGGGAGGGTCAGCCAGGAGCCTTGAAAAACACCTGACAGAGTATCCCCTGAGAACACACAGTGCCAGCAGCTGAGATCCGGCAGATAAATGTGGAGAGAAGGAGCAAGAGACAGGAAGGACAAGAGAGGAAAAGGGAAAAATTAGAAAAAGGAATTAAAGAACGCATGAAAGACAGTGAGATTTCAGAGTCCATTGGCCATCCTGAGAAGCCCTCCCACTGCACAACACCTAGAAATGCTGGACAAAATACAACAAACACCCTTCTTGTGAGCGCTAAACTCACAGGAAAATGATGGCAATCTTCAGGGGTCCCAAATGAGAAGAGAACAGGAAGTAAGAATGCTAAGATGACACTGAGGGTGAAAGCTCCCCTTGAGGCATTAGCTCAGTTACTTCACAGAGTCTTGAATTTTAAAGTCCACATGGGGACTCAAGCAATGTGAGAAGGTGGAAGTGAGACCACAGCATAAAATCTAGATCCTTGAAAGGTTACATTTGGAGGGAAAAGTAGACTCATCAGCAAAGAGGGACTGAAGGAAATATGTCTGTCTTGATCTGGGCTCTGAGTTGAAAAAAACCAGCCTTCACTGAGAATTTGGAATCATAGAGTCATAGGCTCTTCTCCTCCGAGGGTTGGGGTTTTAAGGTAGACTGCATATGTGATTTGGAAAACTCCAAACTGAGAAATTTACTTACAAAGTGGGATCAGGTTGGTAGCACTCAGGAGTGTTAATGTTAATCCTCTTTGAAGCTGACACTTTTTTTTTTTTTTTAAGACAGAGTGGCTCTGTAGCCCAGGCTGGAATGCACTGGCATGATCTCAGCTCACTGCAACCTCCTTCTCCCAGGCTCAAGCAATCCTTCTGCCTCAGCCTCCCAAGTAGCTGGGACTACAGGCATGTGCCACCACTCCTGGCTAATTTTTTTTGTATGTTTGGTAGAGATGGGGTTTCACCATATTACCCAGGCTGGTCTCAAACTCCTGACCTCAAGTGATCTGCCCATCTCAGCCTCCCAAAGTGCTGGGATTACAGGCATGAGCCACTACGCCCAGCCCTGAAGCTGACGCTTTTAAGTCATACTTAACAGGATTCTCACAGAGAGAGGTTGTGAATATGAGCTCACAACCTACAATTACAAGGTACACGATAAAATAAACCACCTTGAGTGAAAAATCAGCAGATAAAACAAACAGCAGAATTAGACCTTCAGAAGACCTCAGCTATTGAAATTATAAAATTCAGACTATAAAATAAATATGCTTAAATTAAAGAAAAATACTTGAAAATATAAAAAGCTCTTGCCAAACATTATCCTGCTTCAGCCTCATAAAAACTCTGGGGTTTGCAGGTGAAATTGCATTTGCTCCATTTTTTCAATGAAGAGATACTCAGAGCAGAAGTGAGGAGACCTACTCAGGACCACACAATTAGTAACTGGCAGGACATGAAATCTAGGTCTTCCACCTGCAAAACCAATGCATGCTTCTTGTTTTATCTTCCACCTGTTTTTCAAATGCATGCTCAAGGGCCATTTGGGCCGAAGATGGCTTAGCATGGGTGAAGTGCTCATGGGCTAGTGTAGGCAAAGAAGGCAGGAATGTATACCATTGTCCTTATCCATAACCCAGTCTGGTGTGTCCTGACCCATGGAACTTGGAAACTCCATCCTGTTTATCCTAGGGATTCTGTACTCAGTGAGGGAAGAGGTAAAACAGTGAGAGTGAGGGGTGTGTTGAGGGAAAGAAAGAAGGAGGGGAAAGAAGAGTGAGGGAGAGATGGTAAATAGTGGAGAAATGCTGCTAAAAAGACATTGTCACAAGAAGGGACTGGCAGAGGAAAAATACAAACTTTTGGGTTGACATAGTTTTCAAAGCTACAGAGACTGCTGGTAATCTATCAAATTATATATTCTCTTTCTTCCTCAGTAATACAGTTGGATTTGAGCATGTGCGAACCTGGCTAAGAACCACATTAGTCAGCCTCCGTGGCAGTTAGATGTGACCACAGCCCTAAGTTCTCATCAACAGAATGTGAGCAAAAAGGGTGCTCACTTCCAGGCTGGAACCCTGGCCTGAATGTTCATGTTTCCCCAGAATTGTGTTGATACCTGATCCCCAATACAATAGTATTAAGAGTTGGGGACTGTGGAAGACGATTAGGTGATGAGGGCTCCACCTTTTTTAAGGAATTAATGCCCTTATAAAAGAGGCCCAAGGGAGCTTGTTCCCTTCTTCCACCATTCCACCATGCAAAGCCAGCGAGAAGGTGCCATCTATGAGGCGGAGAGTGAGACCTTACCAGGCACCGAATCTGCTGCCACCTTGATCTTGAACTTCCCAGCTTCTAGAACTGTGAGCAATAAATTTCTGTTGTTTATAAGCTACCCAGTCTAAGGTATTTTTGTACAGCAGCATGAATGGACTAAGATAAGCCCTAAGACAGCGGGTATGCCTCCATGGACACCTAAACTAGGGGTCAACAGAGCCACACCACAGAAGGAATCTGGATCCCTGTTCTTCTGTGTGAGTGAAGTCACCCACTGACTTGAAATATCCACCTGATTAGAGGAAAGAGAATTCAACTTCTATCTTCTGAGTTTTTGTTAGGTGGTTTGTGACAACAGCCTGGCTTATACTAACTAATACACCAAGGAAAATCCCCAGCTGATTACTGAGAGGGAGTCAGATGCAAAACTCTACAACACACTGGCATGAACCAAAATCCATGAAGGATAAGGGGTCTGTCACAGGTGATGTAATAGAAGTGTCATTGTCACCTGTTTTACGCTGCTGCAGGGTTACAGTTTTTCCTAATTTGGTTTTTTCCTTTTTATTTTTTCATGAGACAGTTTTCACTCTGTCACCCAGGCTGGAGTGCAGTGGCACAATCATGGCTTACTGCAGCCTGGAACTCCCAGGCTCAAGCAATTCTCCCACTTCAACCTCCTGAACAGCTGGGACCACATGTGCACGCCACCACGCCTGGCTGATTTTTAAATTTTGTTGTAGAGATGGGGTCTCACATGCTGCCCAGGCTGGTCTTGAACTCCTGGGTTCAAGCGATCCTCCTGCCTCTGCCTCCCAAAGGGCTGGGATTACAGGTGTGAGCCACCACGCCTGGCTGGTTTTTTCTTTTTTAAATACTATTTCAACACATATAGAACTTGGACTTTTATTTCACGACTTACATCACGGCTTTCATGTACTTGTGACCATTCTCACGTTTCTAATGTCGTGAAGTGTTGTATTTTTCCCTCTGAGGCACTTTGAAAGCAAGTGCCTCCACCGCTTACTGGGGGCTCCACCGCTACACGGACGATGGAGGGCAGCGCTGGGCCAGGAAGAGCCCAGCTGGGCCAGCCTGGTGGTGAGGAGTGTTTTGCTCTCCCGGCTGCTTCCATCTCTGGGCTGTCTCTCCCCCTGCTGGACAGTGGCCTCAGGCTGGGTCCCAGGGAGACTGTCTAAAGCCACTGTCCTTCTAAAGATGAGCTGTGTGTGAAGTGCCAGGAGAGTAGACTGTCAGCCCCACCCCATGAAGACCTGCTGAGCAGAAGGCACAGGAGTGGCCCCCCTGGGGAGGCCTGAGAGTGCTTCATACAAATCATGCCAACTCCATCTGTGGGAAAAGACTTTGGAGGGTCTCACCCCGTCTCCACTGTGGTGCTGGGGACGGTGACAAGGGCCTTATAGCCCTTTCACAAAAGCAAAGCAAGTCAGAGCCAGAAGGGCCTTCAGACACTCCTCAATCCAACCTTCTCCATCTACAGAATGGAAATTGAGGCCAAGAGCAGGGAAGGAACTTCCAGATAGAGCTTAAGTCTCGGGTCCCCGGCAAGAACATTTTCTGCTAAAGCCGGCCAGCTCCCTACAGAGTTGTATAGGCAGCTTCATTTCCACAGCCCATTTTGTATTAAAAAAGCAAACCACAAACAACATTCCATCCGCTCTAACTGAAAATAAACGCAGGCCCTCAAGATGCTGGCCCCTGAGCTCATTAAAAGCAAGGTTTCCTGACTCTCTGGAAGGAAGACGACTTCCACACCCTGGTGGGATACTGAATGTGCCCTGTGGTACACAGGAGGAGACCTAGACTAGGTGACAGACCAGTGGCTAGAAGCCAATGACCTGGATTCTGGTGTTAAATAAAATGTATGGGAGGGCATTGATTTGGACTAAGCTCCTGCACTAGGCTCTAATAGCTCAACCCAAAATGGAGTCACTCATGCTAAGGTTACATGACCAAACCGAAACCTAAGTTGTTTACTTATGAGATCTGACCTTCCAAGAAATCAGGAGAGAGATGGTAGCCAAATCCCCAAACAGGCCAGTTTTAGTTGGCTGAAGAAGAAAGTATCTGCATTAACCCTTACGAGGAAAGTAACCTGAAGTAACCTAATGTTAACCAATCTTCTTTTTTGTACTATGCTGTTTTCTTGTTCCTGCTCAAGTTACCATACAAAAACCAACTGTCCTTGGCCAGGTGCAGTGGCTCATGCCTGTAATCCCAGCACGTTGAGAAGCCAAGGCAGGAAGATTGCTTGAAGCCAGGAGTTTTGAGACTAGCCTAGGTAATGTAGTGAGACCCTGGCTCTATAAAAGAAAAAAATTTAAAATTGGCTGGGCATGGTGATGTGCGCCTATAGTCTCAGCTACTCAGGAGGCTGAGGTGGGAGGATCACTTGAGCCCAGGAGTTCGAGGCTGCTGTAGTGAGGCATAATTGTGCCACTGCACTTCATCCTGGGTGACAGAGTGAGGCCCTGTCTCAAAACAAAGCAAAATAACAACAACAACAAATCTCAAACAACTGTTCTGCCAATGGGGTGGAGCACCTTTCTAGACATTTCCTAGATGGAATACTGCCTGATTCATAAATCCCTAATAAAAGTCAATTAGATGACAGTGTCATTGGGCCTTATTATTAAACTTACTAAACTCAACTTGTTGAAATTTGGTTCTTTGACGCAGGTCACACCTAGAACTTCGTGTGGCTGTGGGACCCTCGGGTGCCCTTTCTGAGCTTTGAAATTTCAGGGAGAAATTTCAGAGGGAATTGGATCCGGTGATATTCCATGATTCTAATTGCAGAGGAAGGAAACGTTTTTAGGCCAATAGGGCAGGCAAAGCAGTATCCTGTTTCCCGGTCAGCCCAGCCCAGAAGACAGCAGAGAGAAGAGCCAGCTTGAGCGGGGGCACAGGGAAGAGGTCTTCCCAGCCACCCTGTACGGGGGCTCTGAAGCCGGGCACTGCAGCAGAGAAAAACTGTGGCACAGGGTCCGTTTGCGGAGCACGTGGGCCTGCTGGGTCTGGGAGTGTCTTCCCACAGGGGTGTCTTCCTGGTGTGAGAAGTCATTTGCCAGGGGCTCTAGCTGGAAGCGAGTGAAGCTCTTGACAGAGAACCCGCAGGCCCATTTTTGCCCGTGCACTCATCATCCACCCTTTCTTGCAACCCTGACAAGGCTGAATGTGGCCCAAACTCGGGCTCCTGCAGGCCTAGCTTCCTTCCGCAGTGCCAGCATCGCCCCTATCCTGGGCATCCCCTGACTCTGTGCCCACTGTTCCCAGGGCTGAGCTCCCTGCCACTTTCTTTGGTCTGGAGAATTACAGCTCCTAATGAAACACAGCCACAACACCCCTGTGCCAGGATATGCTTCTGTTGTAGCCCAGGATGTAAAACTACTTCATACACTCTCAAAATTAGCTTCCGACTCCTCTCCATGAGTAAATGCACAGCAGTCTATTCAAAACCCCACACTGTGGTTTCCTGGGAGGTAGGGATCATTTGTAACCAGAAGGAACATGAGACTGCACCTCTGGTGGCCAGCCTGAGAAGACAGTTGGAGTTTCTGGCTTTCATTCCATTTCTGTCTGTCTTCCACTCAGCCAGGGCAGCTTGCTGACTGAAGTCCTATGCGCATGACTCAGAGGCAGACTGACTCCCTCTAACCACATCTTCCATCAGTTCCAGGCCACCCCCAACCTGCCTTAGGCTCAAGCCTTCCAGCTGGCCTCCACCTCCTCTCCCACCCACCATTTTCCAATCTCCGCAAGGAACCCTCCCTGCAGCCTTGATTTCTGATGCTTCATCTCTCTCTGTCTCTTCTCCCCCAGAGTGTCTTCAGTCCTTTCTGCCAGGAAGCCTCTTCTTCCTTGCTTCAAAATTCTCTTCCACCTCTCCTTTTTCTCTTGCTTCTTCTTCCCCTCTCTGCCTTTTCCACTGAAGCCCTCCTTGATTAAGCAGGAGAGAAAGGAGAACATTCCTGAGCCACCTGTAACTGTGCAGCATGACATCATTCTTTCTGCTGGACTCTGCATACCAGGACCAGAGGAGGCAGGTGGCATCCCCTGCTCACCCACACCAGCTGTACCGGTTCTTCCTTTTTGGAATTAGTAAAGCCCATTCTAAAGTTTATAGAGAAAAATAACCAAGCAAGAATAGGCATATTCTAAAAAAGAATAGTGAGGGGGCCCAGACCTACCAGATATTTAAAACAGTATAAAGAAATGGCAATTAAAACAACACGAGTAGATAGATCAATGGAACAGAAAAAAAAAGTATAGAATGAAACCAGAAAGAAACACCAATCTGGTATGTGGTAAAGAATGTGTTTCAAATCACTGGGGATACGATGGATTACGTATTTTAAAAATTGAACAACTCAGTAGTTATCTGGAAAACAAAGTTGCTCTAAAAAAAGCCTCTCTTTACCCAAAAACTAGAGCAAATGCAATCTCATTTGCATGCCCCAAAGAATTTTTATGGGGCTGAATTTCGTAACTAATTGGCATTAAAGAAAAAATACTTGAAAACATACGAAGCACTTGCCCAAACATTGTACCTTATCTAAATCTCAGATGCTTTAAAGTCTTAAATATATAAATGAGTCATAAAAATACTACCGAGAGATTTTAAAAATTAAATGGAGATGGAAAGACCTTTAAAAAATAGGGTACAAAACCTAGAAGGCATAAAGAAAAAGTTGACAAATTTGACTATATAAAAGTCATATTTCCTCCAGGGGAAAAATATCATAAGCAAACAACAAACTGGCATCTCTTTGAACAGGGAAAGGGTTTAGTTTTATATATATATATATGAAGATTCCTCCAGAGCCATAAGAACAGTTCACAGTGTGGTATGGTGGCTCATGCCTATAATCCTAGCACTTTGGGAGGCCAAGGTGGGTGGATTGCTTGAGCCTAGGAGTCTGAGACCAGCCTGGGCAACATGGCAAAACCCTGTCTCTACAAAAAATACAAAAATTAGCCAGGTTTGGTGGCACTGTCTGTAGTCCCAGCTACTCAGGAGGCTGAGGTGGGAGGATTGCTTGAGCCTGGGAGGCAGAGGTTGCAGTGAGCTGAGATCATGCCACTGCACTCCAGCCTGGGCAATAGAGTGAGACCCTGTCTTAAAAAAAAAAAAAAAAAAAGGAAAAACCTCACAAGAAGCAAAAAAGAAGAAGAAGAAGGAGGCAGAGGAGGAGGAGGAGAAGGAAGAGGAGAATGAGGAGGAGGAGAAGGAGGAGAAGGAGAAGAAGAGTTCACAAAGAAGAACTAGTGGTTTTTAAACAGGTGAAAAAACGTTCAACCTCACTCATAAAAGAAATGCAAATTATGCTACAAGGGGATAGTGTTTTTTCACCTGTCAAATCAGCAAAGTAACATATCCTCATACATTGCTGGTGAGAGTGTAAATTAGTACAATCTCTGAAGAAGGTAAGTTGGCTCTATCAGAATTAAACATGTATATGCCCTCTGACCCAGAAATTCTCCTCCTAGTTATTTATCCCACAGATTAAATGTAAAAGGGTGTATATGCAGGGCTGTTGTATTGAAGCATCTCTTGAAAAACAAGATAAATGGCTAAGGGAGGAATTGACTAAATGAATTATCTGTAAAATAGAATACAAGCAACTGTTTAAAAACTGTGGCTACTAGGCTAGGTGCAATGGCTCACGCCTGTAATCCCAGCACTTTGGGAGGCCGAGATGGACAGATCGCTTGAGCTCAGGAGTTTGAGACCAACCTGAGCAACATGGCAAAACCCCATCTCTACAAAAAAAAAAAAAAATATATATATATATATATATATATACATATATACATATATATATACACACATATATATGTATATGTATATATATATGTATATGTGTATATATATATATGTATATATATATATACAAAAATTAGCTGGGTGTGGTGGCTCATGCCTGTAGTCCCAGCTACTCAGGAAACTGAAGCAGGAGGATCGTGTGAGCCCAGGAGGCAGAGATTGCAGTGAGCCGAGATCGCGCCATTGCACTCCAGCCTGGGCAACAGGGTGAGACCCTGTCTCTAAATAAATAAATAAATAAAAACTGTTGCAACTCTCTCTGTGTGCTGAAAGATCTTCAGGATAAGTGAAAAAATCAAGGAGCCAAAAAAAAAAAACCCACAAAGTATATGCATGGTGTGTAACTGTGTTACCTGTTCCAGGAAAATAAAAGTAATTTTCACACATATGCATTTATCGACACAGGCTGTCTCTGAAAGGATCTGTGAGAAAGTGGAACGGTGGCTAATGTGGGGTGGGGCTGTGTGTCTGGAAAGAAAAGGACACTTTCCACAGGATACCCTTTTGTAGGTTTTAGATTTTGTTCTAACAAATGAAATCATTTAAAAGCAACAAAACCCAGTTCTTCCTGCAGTCTCCCTGAGCTTTCCTGGCACGGTGGATCCTCATTTCTTGTTGATTCTTTGCTGCTGGCCTCATTTCAAAGCCCACTCTGATGATCCATCCCCACCACTCTCGAAAAAAAACCGGCCAGGCGCAGTGGCCTATAATTTCAGCACTTCGGGAGGCCGAGGCGGGCGGATCACTTGAGGTCAGGAGTTCGAGACCAGCCTCGCCAACATGGTAAAACCCCATCTCTACTAAAAATACAAAAATTAGCCGGGTGTGGTGGCTCTTGCCTGTAGTCTCAGCTACTTGGGAGGCTGAGGCAGGAGAATCGCTTGAACCTGGGAAGCTGAGGTTGCAGTGAGCCGAGATCACGCCACTGCTCTCCAGCCTGTGCGACAGAGTGAGACTCCTTCTAAAAACAAACAAACAAAACAAACAAACAAACAAAGCATGCATTTCCCATGGAGGGAGTTCCTGGAACCCTCCTGGGCTTCACCACTACCCTCTGGAAGAGACCCCCTCCAACATCCGCTGGCGGGTAGATGAAGCCACAGCCACTGAAACAAATGAGACAGTTAAGCTGCCCCCTCCTCCCACCCCACCCCCCAGCAACTTCCATACATCCGGCTGTTTCAAAGAGCAGACAAGGCCAAGGCCAGGACAATCCCTCAGATCAGATTCCTTGGTGTGTGTGTGAATGTTAGTGTGTGTGTGTATGCTCACACCCGTGTGTGTGGAGGCAGGTCTGGGGGCAAAAGGAGAAGGAAATCCACCCACATCAGCGTGCATTTTCCCAGCTGAGAAGTGCCACATCACTAGTAGAAAATGGGAACAGGTCCCATGGAGCTTATGATTGTCCCGAGGCATCTGGCAAGATTCCTGTTGGGCTTGGAAAGTCATTCCTCCTTCCCATCGGCATTCCCTAATCCCTTGCTGGGACCACCTAGCTCAGGCTGGGGTGCAGCATGCCACTCAAGGGAGGGGAGCACACAAAGGCAAGCCGCATGGTCCTCACTTGGAAGAGCAGCCTACAGGAACTGCGGGGGAGCTGAGAGACCAGGCTGATGGTTCCCAAACATTAAAAATACAGGTTCCCAGGGCCCATCCCATCCACTGAAGCAGAGCCTCCAGAAAGTGGGGTCAAGGATTCAGCATTTTAAATATTTTTCCAGATGATGCTGATGTAGCCTATCCAAGAGGTGCTGTCTGGGGTCTTGAACCAGGGCAAGCCACTTATGGGCAGGTAGGGAAACTGAGTCCCATAGAAAAGAAGTGATTCACCAAGGTCACCCAGAGAACTAGAAAAGAGCTGGCAGAGTGTCACCCACAGTCAAGCCTGTGCTGCAGGATGGCTGAACACAGACCAAAGGCCCCACAGAAGTGCCCAGGATTGATGGGCTGGCATTTCAGAAGAGTAGGAGGCAGCCTGGGTGGTGTTGGGGTGACTGAGGGACCCCCCAACTTCAAAACCTTAAGGGGAGAAGAAAGAGGAGTTCACATTTCTTGAGCATCTACTATGTGCCACATATACATTGCTAAACAATGGTGCTGTGTTGCTTTGCACCCAGCGTTCACATAATCCTTACCACAGGTAGGCATCATTCATACCCACTGTGCAGACAAGGGAACTCAGGCTGCAAAGTCCTAAAGTCAGTGAAGCTCAGAGCAGGTCGCCAACCCTGAGGGGTGTGGCTCTGATCCCAGTCTTTTCACTGCTTTCCCCAAGGCCTCAGTCCACTCTCTGCCACTCACTTAAGGCAGTAGGCACGAGACGGTGCTATAGGTTGAATGTTTGTTCTCTCCAAATCTCATATTGAAATGCAATCCCCAGTGTTGGAGGTGGGGCCTGCTGAGAGGTGTTTGGGTCATGGGAGTGGATCCCTCATGAATGTCTTGGTGCTGTCCTTGTGATGGTGACTGAGTTCTCTCAAGATCTGGTTAAAAGTGTGTGGCATCTCCCCTGCCCCTTGCCCCTGCTCTGGCTATGTAATATGCCAGCTGCCCCTTTGCCTTCTACCATGATTGGAAGCTTCCTGAGGCGTCCCAGAAGCTGAGCAGATGCCGGCACCATCCTTTCTGTACAGCCCGTGGAACCATGAGCCAATTAGGCCTCTTTTCTCTATAGATTAACCAGCCCCAGGTATTTCATTTTTTACTTTTTTCCCTATTTCTTTTTCTTTTGTTAAACTTTGTTGTTTGGGGTTTTTTGTTTGTTTTTTCTTTTTCAGGTATTTCTTTATGGAAATGCAAGAATGTCCTAACACAGATAGGGCTCCGTGGTGGACATCCAGGCAGGCATTTATCTCTTCATTTGCAGAGTGTCTTCCTATGGTCATGAGCACGCAAAGCTGGGCTCGGTGCCTCTTATTTGCCGTGTGACCTTGGGCAAGTTACTTAACTTCCCCAGTCTGTGTTTCCTCACTTGTAACAGGGGATAAGATCAGCTATTCCACAGGGTCACTGGCAGAAGTCATCTTATCAAAATATAATGATGTCTAATATTTACTGGGTTCTTCATATGCGCCAGTCACTGCACCGATCACTCTACAAGCATTTCTTCCTTTAGTCCCCATGACAGCCCTGCCAGCTGGTGCTGTGACAGCCCTGGTTTACTGATGAGTTTCCTAACTGAGACTTAGAGAGATTAGGTCATGTGTTCAGGGTCACACAGCCAGAGACCAGACCCAAAATCAGAACTGGTATGCTTTTTCTTTTTTTTTTCTTAATTTATATTTCTAATAGATAAAGAGTGTACGCATTTACTTCATAAAATATGTTGTTCGAAATATGTATACAATGTGGAATGGCTAAATTAAGCTAATCAACATATGCATTACTTTACATACTTATCCTTTTTTGTGGTAAGAACACTCAAAATCTACTTTCAGCAATTTTCAAGAATGCAATACATGGTTATTAACTATAATCACCGAGTGGTACAATACATCTCTTGAATTTATTCCTCATATCTACAGAAATTTTGTATTCTTTGACGAATATCTCCCCAACCTCTCTGCACCTGGCCCCCGCCCCTGGCCAGTCCCTGGTAACAACTATTCGACTCTCTACTTCTATGAGTTTAGCGTTTTATGATTCCACATATAAGTGTGATCATGCAGCATTTTCTTTCCGTGCCTGGTTTATTTCACTTAACATAACGTTTATCCATGTTGTTGCCAATGACAGGATTTCCTTCTTTTAAAAGGCTGTATAATGTTCCAGTGTGTCTATAAGGCACATTTTCTTTATCCATTCATTCATGGATAGATGCTTGGGTTGATTCCATATCTTGGCTATTGTGAACAGTGCTGCAATAAATATGGTAGTGTAAATACCTCTGCCATACTAATTTGATTTCCTTTGGATATACCCAGTAGTGGGGTTGCTGGGTAATATGAGAGTTCTATTTTTAATTTTTTGAGGAACTTCCATACTGTTTTACATAATGGCTGTACTAATTTACATTCCCACCAACAGTTTACCTGGGTTCACTTTTCTCCACACCCTCTCCAGCACTTGTTATCTTTCATCTTTTTGATAATAGCCATTCTAACAGGTGTGAGGTGATATCTCACAGCAGTTTTCATTTGCATTTCCCTGATGATTAGTGATGTTGAGAGCATTTTTGCATGTACTTTTTGGCCATTTGTACATCTTCTCTCTTTTTTTTTTTTTTAACTGGGTCTCTCTCTGTCACCCAGGCTGGAGTACAGTGTTGCTAACAGAGCTCACTGCAGCCTTGATCTCCCGGGTTCAAGCAATCTTCCCACCTCAGACTTCCAAGGAGCTGGGACCACAGTCGAATACCACCATGCCTGGCTACTTTTTTTTTTTTCAGAGATGGGGGTCTCATCATGTTGCCCAGACTGGTCTCAAACTCCTGAGCTCAAGCAATCCTCCAGCCTTGGCCTCCCAAAATGCTGGGATTACAAGCACGAGCTGCCATGCCTTGCCCAACTTCTTTTCAGAACTGGTGCTCTTCACCACTACACGTAGAACTGCCTTTAAGTGCCTCACTGAGTGCTCAGCCGGTCCTAACTATTACTCATATTACTATCCTGCCACTGTCCTCAGAGCAGAGAGCAAAGTCTGAGGCAAGAGGATACAGTCAAGGGCTCAGAGGTGAGGAGTACCTGTCCTGGCCCCAGGAGACTGAAGCAGGAGGTCACTGTGGCCTAGTTATTGGCAAGAAAAATACAAGATTGGTGCTTGGAAAAAAAATTTAAAAAAAGGTGTGGTCCCTGCTTTCACCAAATACTCTTCCTGCCTTGTTTTGCCCTGATTTGGTGGGATTCTATTTCTAATTCCACTGTGAAGACTAATCAAGTGGCTTAGGTGAGAGCCTGGCCACACTTTAAACCACCAGGTGTGGACAGGTTGGCTCGGCCTGTCCCGGGTAATGCAAGCAAGTGTGAAACTGGCAGAAGTTTGAGAAGTCCAGCCTGTCCCTAACTGCTGCACACTCTTCAATTAAGGTGCAGGGCTGTAGGTTGAAGGAGCACATGACACGGTGGAGGCAGGCGAGTAAACAGGATCTTTAATTAATCTGCGATTCGGTCCTCTGTTACTGATATCAGCTGTTGGGTGTTTAGCTTGTGACGAATGCACTTCTGGAGAGGAGCTTTGTCCTAAAGGAGACTCCTGAGTGGAGTGGGGGCCTTGGGAAGGCTGTTTGGAGAAGCTGTGCCTTGCATGTGGCCATGGAAGACAGGAGGGGCTGGCAGAGAAGAAAGGACGGAGAAAATTATTTCAGCACTGACTGTGCTCCAGGTGCATTCTCGTTCAGGACTCTGTGTCTCCCCTGAGATAGGTATGATGCTCCTCATTTTGCAGAGGAAGGAACTAAGGCTGAGAGTCATCTCCAAATCTGGCCCAAGGTCACAGGGCGGAATAAACAGCAGAGACAAAATTAAAAAGATGTGATTGTTGAGTATATCCCATGTCTGCCATGTATATTACCATTCCTGTGCTCGCCTTAATACTTCAGAAAACCCTGCAGCAGAGATGTGCTTATTTTACAGAAGAAGAAACTGAGATCCAGGCAGTTGAAGTGGCTGGGAAGTAATCGATCTCACAACAAAATTCACTCTCTTTCCGCAGTCCCTATGAGTCTCAGATTGCAAGGAGTCCATGAATCTGAGGGGTAAGCAGCAGTGAGGGAATAAACACTACCCCTTTTATGTTCATATACTGCTTTTCAAATATTTGTAAACTGTTGTTCTGTTGGATAAAATATACATTAAAGCATAATCAATTTTAAAGGGTAACTGATTCATAGTTGCCTATTCTCACTGTGCTCCTCCCCACACCTAGTCCCAATCAATGGCTACAAAAATATAGCCACTGAACCTTAGGGGGCAGAGACAACATTTGATGCTATAAATGGGCTTTCACAATGGAAGAAGTTGGAGAGCTTGTTCTGCTCTCCTTGCGGGGAGCATGTCTGGCAGGGAAGCAGGTACCCTTCAAAGGGCATGAATTTGACAACAAAGTGCCTGGATAAGCGGCCAGGAGATGCTTTTCCAACAGGGCATGGAGGTGGTGGGGAGGGGAGGGTGTGCTGACTTTTCTGTGACGATGCCTTATGACAAACAACTCTACATCTCAGTGTCTTACACCAATGAGCTCATAAGCCTGCAGGTTGGCTGTGGTGACTGCTCCTGGCTTGGCCCCATGGGTGTCTCATCCCAGATCCAGGTGTGAGGAACAGTGACTTCCTTGGGGCACAGCCTCTTCTCAGAGTGCAGGACTGGAGCCCAAGAGCCCCAGCTTTCCACATGAACTCACTCAAGGCCTCTGCTTGGAGGAGCCCTTAGTCATATGCCTGCCCTCCACATTCCATCAGCCCAAGCCAAGGTCTGTAGGATCATCAGGCAGTCCACTCAAGCTGCCCAGTGAGGAGGGGACAGTAAATATTTGCTGAACAATAACATAGTTGAGCACAGAGGGTGATCCTGCCTGCAGCCCCCTGGGCAGAAAGGCCTGGAGGACCAGCTGCTCTAAAGGGGCAGGTCCCAATAGGCAGAATTTAAAGACCACAATAGTCTTAGACTTCGACACCCCTGGCCATTGCCCAGCAGGCATCTAGCATAAACGCCCTTTGGGACCCTTTGCGGAATGCGATTCTGCACCCACTCTGCCCAGGGCACATCCCTTTTGAGTTATGGTGGCTTCTGGCTTAAAGCCTCAGGACAGTTGACCCAGCCCCAGTCCAATGCTCTCCCACCTCCCCGGCCATCCCCCTGCCCATCTCAGGGGATGGCTCCCCTGCTGGCTTGTAAAACATTCATTTCCCCTAATTCAAATATTTTCACCCTTTAGAAAACTTGTTAATATTGGATTTTAAGAAGCATTATAATATATCACTCTCTGCTCTGGCTAAAGCAGTATTTCATAAATTATTGATTTCTGCTGGTGGGAGATGAGGGTTCTCTTTCTTGAACAGTAGGCATTGCCCTGGCTGGGATCTTAGAAGGGATGACAAGTTGTGCAGTGGTGCAGAAAGAGCATCGTCACCCACCCCGGGCAAAGGAAGGAAGAAACAGGGCCACCAACCAATGGGGTTCCAATTCCTGGCTTTCTTTACTGTGGTTTAGGCCCCTGATATGGTGAAGTGGGAAGAGCAATAGGCCTGGCAGAATCCCTGCTCTGCCTCTGGCCGGCTGTGTGACCCTGGGCCAACTGCTTGGCCTCCCCAAGTTGCAGTCTCTGTGCCTGTAAATAGAATAGTACTGCCTGCAGCACAGTGCCGTTGGGAGGTAAGGAATGAATGAGATGATCCCTGAAGAGGTCACTGTCCTCCTCAGGTACTAATCAGTGGTCATTTTCTTCCTTCTTCCTCTGACTTTAGGTTCCATCAGAACGGTGGGCCCTGCACTGCAGCCACCACATTCAGACTGAAATCAGTGCTGGTTTGGGCCTAGGGCAAGAAGAATTCCCAGCCTGAGCTCAGCAGGGAGGCCCTTTGTGCTGCCTAGAGGCCCCCACAGGGCAATCCAGCAGTGCCCCTGAGCCTGGCTTGTCCACCTAGAGGTAGAAATGGCCTTGATCAGGGGTCTCAGTGGTGCCAGAGCTGCAGTGCTCCGTGCTCTGGTGGGAGCTGGCGCAGTCTGTCTTCCCCATGCCAGGTTCCACTCCAGCCTGCCATTCCCAGGGGATCTATTAGCATCTCAAGACTCAAGTAAGGCTTGGTAAAGCAGGCTCCCTGTGTGGCAGTATTCACCGGAGACGCAGAGAAAGGGAGGTGGAGATTTGGAGAAAGCCAGCTCAGAGATCCAGGGAAAAGGGCTGGGGAGCACTCAGAGCATGATCTGCCCAAGTCCACCGGAGGAAACAGGCATTTGACTTGCTTTCCCAGCTACCATCTGCTGGGAAAGGTGCGGCAGGTAGAGTGAGGGGCCACAGTGACCCCTGATCAGTGAGGGGCATGGAGGCTGGACACCCAGGCTTGCCCAGCTCTGCCTCCTGCCTCAGTGGATGAGACCAGACCTCAGGGTACACTCAGATGCCCAGGATCCTGGCATCTTAGCACCTCAGTGAGGAACCCAGGAAAGCTAAAGATTCTCAAGACAGTGACCCAGGTGCCCTGTAGGTCATTCATTCCCAAACACTGAGTGCAAAGGCTTTGGAATTTGTTATATAAATTAGAACAGAGGCAAGGGTATCCCTGCAATGCAATTCTCAGGGTTCTCTGTTCTGATGATCTTTCTGGAAAAGGAATAAGGGTTTGCATTACAGCCCCTATAGGGGTACTGGAAGTGGCCCGGGCCCATGGAAAGGGCTAACATGTGCCCATTGTGGTTAGGAAAAGTGATCTGGAAGTCACTGATCTGGTCCAAAGTTCACACTCGAGTGAAGAAACCCAGAAAAGATAAAAGGTTTGGACAAAATCACACAGCAGGTTAGGGTGGAGCCTGGACCAGAAGCCCAGACCCCAATCCAATTCCTTTTCTGCTTCCTCATTCTCTCTGTACTCACTTAGTCACTGTGGGTCTCACTCTTCCCTTCTGTACAATGGGGATGATCACACATTCCTTCCCACTCTCAAGGCGGGAGCTCTCCACAGGAAGCAGACAAAGCAGGGTGAGATCAAGCAGGATCGCAGCTGTGCCCTTGCCTTGAGGCTGGGATGATCACCAGGCCCTGCAGCTCAATCCTGAGTCCTCCCTGGAGACTGGGAAAAGCCCAGCCGCACTCAGCCTGCTATTTGTCCAGCTTAACCTGCACATCTTCCTTGTAGAGCAGCAGAACCCTGATAAAAAACATTTCATTGAGATTTATTCTCCCCAGATCCCTGGGCTGGCTTTTATTTGGTCCACCTGCCAATCAGGAAATGCGCACTTTGGCAGTGGACACGGTGAAGTTGTAAGGCTCCTCTGCCACCACTCCCCCTCTCCTTCCAAGGGGGACCCAGCCAGAGTTCCCTGCCAGCCTGTGCCCTTGAGCCCATCTCTTAGGAGTTTGCATTTTAAAAGAGGAAACTGAGTGGGGGAAATGGCAGTTTCCAAAGGAACAGATGGCTCCTGGCAGAATATGAGGCTCTGGGACCCTGCAAGGAGGCAGGGGATGCATCCACCCAGGTGGGCAGCCACTCACTCTCTGATGCATGAGACCTCCCCAACTGCCACTGGCCACCTTGGCTCTGGTGTACTTTGCAACACTATGGTACCAACTTCACAGCCAAAGCTGCTTCTCATAGTTCTTGCCTGGGTAAAGAGCCAAGAGACCTGAATTCCACGCTGACCTTGACTATGTGATTTGGGGCAAAATACTCCTCTTCTCTAGACTTCTGTTTCCTCATCTCTCAGATTTGACCTGATGGTGGTTAAAGCCTTCTTGCCCCAAAGGCAAATGGCTGTGCATGTCTACAAGGATCTTTATGTGCCCAGGAAAGACCTGAGGGGGTGTGTGATGTTTGTCCTGTTGACCAATTGGAAAGCAAGGCATGAAAAATTACCAGAAATAAGTGGCAATACAAGACGACCCTACAAAGGCCATCTATCACCAGACAGTTTACATGAAGGGTCAGGGAAGCTGAAAATAACCAGGAAGAGACATAAGAATGAGAGGAAGAGAGGAGGGGAGATGGAAGGGCTGGAGTGATCAAGGCAGTACCCCGGCAGGAGATGGGGCAGAGCTGAGCTTGGAAGGATGGATAGGATTTGAATCAATGGAAATGAGTTGGCCAGGGAGAGGACATGAGCAGAAGTAGGCACTGGTGAGTGGGTGAGTCGGGCTGGAGTGAAGAGACCACAAAGATAAAGCTTATAAGATGACAGCAAGAATGAGGGGGGAAAAGAGAAAAAGAAATTTAAAAAAATAAGATACAGCCTAAAGTTCAGGCAGGGTCACTGTGGAAACAGCCCTTTTATTTTTCTCCCTGAATCCACACTGGGAGCCCTGGTCTGCAGGATGGTCTTAGGACTTGTGCCTGAGTCCTAGCCATTTGGCCTTCCCTGCCCAACTGCCTTCCTAGATCCATACTCCTTTCTGCTGGCACTGAAGAGGGAAGCCCTCCCGTCATGTACCATGCGACTTTGTCCCCTCTAGGCTACAGGAGATGGATGAGAGGTGAGCAAGTGACTCTCCCATCCATAGGCTGATTCAAGGGCATTAGAAATGCTTTCTCTTTTGAGAACATTGAGACACACAGAAATCCATAGTCAGGAATGGAGACTGAAACCAAACAGGGGGAAAAGACAGTGGCCGCTAAGTTGGACCTTATGAAAAGTGAGTAGGCTGACGGGGCCCAGGAGAAGGGCTCCCTGCTCATCCAGCTCCAGCCTCCAAAAGCCCATTCCACAGCCTTGAGGCTGCCTGTTTGTCATCTTTGACAATCAGCAACACCCCTTCACTCAAGGCAGCGCAGTGGGTCGCAGTTCCCTGTAACAAGCACGGCTTGAGCAGACTATAGCTCACACCCGGGCAACTAGCCTGAGAATTGTGGCCACGAAAGGCAGAAGCTTCCCTAGTCCCTGGTGCCTCTGAATTAGCATCAGAACAATCTCCACAGAGGCCCTGCCTGTCTCCCACCCCAAACTCCTTGTTCCTCTGGGCCTTTGCCAGTGCGGTTCCCTGCATATCTAGAGCCCATCCCAAGACGCACTTCCTCCACAAAACCTTCTCTACTAACCCCAACCCCATCTGATCACACTGCAACTCAGGGTCAGCCCATACACCACAGTGGAGTCAGGATGAGAGCCATACAGGCCACTCTTTATAATTTACAAAGTGATGATACTTCCATTACCCAGAGGATGCAGAGTGGGCTGGCTTATCTCCACTTTGCTGCTGGAGAGGGCCAGGGCTGGGGCTTGCACCCAGCTCCCCTGAATCCCAGTCTGAGCCTTTCTTTGTCCACTCCATCCTCTGCAGTGGGTAACCCCTGCCTGGGCATATAACCTTTCCTACTAGCACTCAGAATATTCTTGGTCAATTCACTAAATCTTCAACTAAGATTAATGGGAACCTTCTTTGTGCCAGGCACTGTTCTAGGGATTGGAGATACTGCAATGAACAAAACAGACTGAATGCCTATCCTCATGAAGCCTGCATTCTAATAGGAGGAGGTATAAAATAAACATAGTAAATGAGTAACAGTATATTAGTTGGTGAGAAGGCATATGGGGAAAAAATAAGGCAGGAAAGGAAGACGGAAAATGCTGTGGGTAGGGTGGCATTTTAAATACTGTGGTCAGGGAAGCCTCACCAAAAATGTGACATCTGAACAAAGATCTAAAGGAGGTGAGGACACTGGCCATGCAGGTGTATGGGGAGGAGCCTTCCATGTGAAGGGAAGGGGGAGAGCATGTGCAAAGGCCCTGAGGCAGGTGGCTGCCAGTGTCATGAGGCTTGTGGCAGCGTTCCCCTGCTCTTCTTCCTTGTATAGCTTGGACGACTTTACTCTCCTGCTCCCAACAAGCTGCTGGCCAAAGAAGGAAGGCAGCAGCCCTTAGCATCTAGGATACTGTCCCTCTTCCCATATTCCAAAAAGAGAGACCTATGCAGAGCATCACAATGTTCAGTGACTAAGTCAGATGCTTAAGAGCCTTTCCCTATGGCAGACTCTGTTCTGAAACTCAGATCAAGACACTGGTCCCAGCTCCATGCTCCTCTGATGGATGTGGACCCAGTAGCTGGGACACTGGCTGAGGATTCCTTGAGGCCTCTGTTCACCACCCTCCCTGGCAAAGAAGGACTAAAGGGGTCAAGATACAAGGAGTCACCAAAGAATGCAGAAGAGACAAGTTCAGGAAGACTACCACATACGTATTGGTTACCCAGAGAGAACCTGAAAACAGCAGCACCATTGGGCCAACATGGCATCAGTAAGCACCAGCTGGGCCTGCTCCAAGTCCCCTGAGTTTCCACATTCCCTTGGGCAGGTAAAAATTTGCAAACCCCTTGTGTTCACCCACATTGTATTCCCTTCACTGAGTCATACTCTCCCTGTCATCTGCTCCCACTCACAGTGACTCACTTATGTCAACAGGCCCAACATACTTTCCCCACCCTTCCTGCAGGTCCCAAGACTGGCCCCTGATGCAGATGGGGCAGCAGTGGTAAATCCCAGGTTTGGCTCCTGTGTTGCTGCAGGTGGAGGGGGAGCCAGTGGGAGACTGGAAGGGGAGCTCTTGGAGGCCCTGAAGGCAAATGCTTGTGGATTTCTACTAAAAGCAACTATCACATTTGGAAAGTAGGGCAGAAAATGGGACTGGAAGCAAGAGTGAGAGATGACTGGCCCTGAGTGGCTGGGGCAGTCCTGCTGCACATTCAAACGTGGCTGAACCTCCAAGAAGCATTCCAGACTCTTCTCCAGATACCCCTCCCAGCATTTCCGCTCCTGTCCCAAGTCGTGCCAGATGTGAGAGAATATTCAGGGATGTGTGGAGCATGTGGGTCCACTGGGACAGCAATTGAGAATAACAAAATCGATGGACTGAAAAGAAAAAACATCCATTTCTCTTCCCCACCCCAATATTTACCAAGCATGTAAGCTTCATTCTCCTTTGTCCTTGCAGGGAAGCAATCACGCAGCCTGACAGTCACTGGAGCCTCGGCTTGAGTTACCAATGACTAGTAATGTGGATTTCATACTCTTGACCAAATTAAAATAAATTTGGACCAAGCCAGAATGGCTCAAATGAAACTCTGTATCCATTGCATTTCCCATGCATGTTCACACACTTACACAAACTTATGTCTGAGCCCTACATTCTCCCCAAGTTTGGGAGTCCCAGGACAAACACCCAACCCACAGAGACCCGGCATCAGGATCAACGTCCTTCTTGTTCCTATTGCAGAAAATAGACTCCAGCATGCAAGGCCCTCATCATTTGCCCGCCCCACAATCCTGCATCTCGCCAAATGCATCTCACTCTCTTCCCGCAGCCCGCTGGAGCCCACTGGAACTCTCCCGCTCCCCAAATACAAGTGACTTGCCAATTACTGCTTCTGTCTTTACAAGGTATGCCTCTGTCTTCTCCCTATATCTCTACAGATCCTCATTCAATGCCTGTTCTGATAGCTTCTCTGAGAAACCTTCTTGGGTAATCTTTACCACCCACTGAATTGAGGTTTATGTCTTTTTCCCACACCCTTCCCTGTGTGCCAGCCTCCTCCTGGGATCACCCAGTTTTTTCCTGAAGGTTTTGAAATGAGGGATTTGTCTGGAAGAGTGGAAATCGACTCTTTCTTCTCTTTTTTTATCTTCCCAAGGTGGTGAGGCTGTGGAGCAGGACATGCCCTCTGCCCTTCCTCTTGGTAGTTAGAAGAAATTAAAGCAGAGCTCAAAAGAGAGGCTGGCTCTAGTGAAGGTCTCAGGAGAGATAAGTGAAGGGTTCCTATAGGATCCATGTTTTCTACCCCAGTTCCATAGGTAGGAAATCAAATGGAATAGAGAGCAACAGTCCCAGATGAGAGGAAAAAAAGAAGTGTTCTCATGGACACAGAATTCCCTGAGTATTGGCTCTCAGGGAGGTAAGACTTCAGGGAGTGGGGTAGATGGATAGGGTACATATTTATCTAAGGTAAAGAAGGACTCATCCCACTCCTTCTGATTCAGAGACTGTTAGGATGAATCAGCAGAAACCTGTTTGATCATCCAGTCAGCTCCTCTTGTTTTAAAGGAGAAACTGAGGTCAATAGATGTGTGATCTGCCCCTCAGACATCAGGTTGGTCAGGGATCAGGGTATTTGTCTTATGAATATTAATTTTTCCAATTCCGAAGATAGACCTAAAGCAGTTCCTTTTGTCTGTGAATGAGAAGACCTCCACAAAGATACAGAGGCTGGATGAAGATGTACGCAAGCTCTTTCCTCCTGAGACCCAGTGAGGGAGGCAAGGGAGGCTCCCTAGCTAAAGAGGGAGCTCAAAGTTGCAGCCTTTCCTCATGCAAGGCAAGGGAGGGCACCTGCTGGGAGCAGAGCAGGGAGGCCATGCGTTGTCTCTGCATACTAAGATCCTCACAATGCTGAGGACAGAGCAGCGCCTGGGGAGGGAGCGCACTCCCATCAGCAGTGGGTGTGGCAGACACGCTGCTGTGTACATGTCCCAGGGCCTCAGGCTGCCCTGGAAAGTGAGGCTCTGGAGCCTCTTGCTTATAGGGTCAGCTCTGTGTGACTATGACAAGCAAGGGTTGAGAGACCGTGGCCATATGGCCTGGAGCTGGGGCACCCAGACAAAAATGACTCACCAATCCTTTTTTAAAGACATAACTAAAAGCCAATGGTATGCTTACATTTCAAACATAGCATTAGCACCTAAATTTAAACTGCTGCACTGCTGCATTTAGATAAACTAGTTTTATATCCAAGACCTTTAGGTTTTAAATACTGCAGGGAATGGTATGGTGACTAAAGAAAGAGCATTTCATTACAAAGTGGTTTTTTCTTCAAAGGGCCTAGAGCCTAAAATGGGGTTTGCCTCAAGGTCCCCTTTATCAAGGCAGCCAGAACTCTCCTATGTGCAGTTTTCTGAGACCCATCATTATTTGGACTGCTCAGAATTATTCCTGTGTGTTCTCATGTAGGTGTTTTATTGTGTCCAACTTGCCTAAAGGACCTTTTATGGCAGGAACTGGGATCCCATGTCCTTTGGGCTCCTCACAATGTACAGCTGAGCGCTGAGCCTCAGGTGGAAGGTCAGCAAGTAATCACAGTATTCCTGGGATTGTTTTTTCAGAACCATGGACAGAACCCCTTCTTCCCAGGCTGTTTTCTATTTTGTGTCTCTCCTTCCTGATTTCCTTTAAGACAAAGTCTCCAGTGCCTCACTGAGGATTCAGCTCTGCTCAAGTCTGCCTGTTTCCTGGGGATACTGGACTGGAAGCCAGAAGCCAAACTATGCCAGGTGGGAGTAAAGATGCAGAACCCTGGAAAGGAGGTGACCTAACAGCATTTCCTGCTGTTATTAGAATAAGAGGACCATCTCAGTCATGTGCCCCAGTCATAGTCACAATCCCCAACTCCTTTTAGAGCTCCAGATCCCCCTCTAAACACTACACAGTCAGTCTGAGGTCACAGGGCTTATAGGCCAGCAGAGCACCTGACCATCTGGGGCAGTGCTGAGGTAAAGCCTGGGACAGGCTGGGCTGGGGAGACCCCTGGCATGGCAGAAGACAGATGTGATGAAGAATGTGTCTGGATTATAAATGAGTGGGGAGTCAAAGGCTGAGGGTTGGGAGGGAAACATCAGTCATCAGGGTCAAGGAGAGCCTGCAAGGCCCTGGTCAGGGGGTAGGGCAAGAGGCTGGCAGCTGAGGCCTCAGGAACAATTCAGAGAAGATTCCAAGAGGGTGAAGCGATTGATAGGTTCAGAACAAAGGCTGCAAATAATACCATGGAGGTAGGAGCTTTCCCTTGTTGATGTTGGCTGTGAGATGGAGACAGATCACCTCTTTAAAGGTAGGGTGTGAGGACAGGTTGCCATTGGGACATAACACATGGCAGAAGCAAGACAGAATTTTCCACAGGCAATAATCCTGCACCCACTAAAGGTCAGATAGGGACACTCCAGAGCTGGAATTAGTAATTCGGCACTCCAGGATAATTTCAGACATCTAGTTGGTCACTCCACGTGTGCACTCCAAAACACACAATGATTCCACTAAATTCATTGCCTCTCCTCCTCCTTCCACACTCTGCCCACTCTTTGAGGCCCACTTGGAATCTTTCCTCACCCAGGACGTCTTCTAGGGCTAGAGTTAACATAGGTGCCAAACACTCGTTTGCTGAATGGATGAACGGCTCCTGCCGATCATTGGATCTGGTGAGTCTCAATTTTTTGTGTGTGCTGCCTTGGGTTGGGTTTCCTGGGAAACAGACTCTGAAATGGATATTTTCATGCAGGAAATTTATTGAGGTTGCTTTTGGCATCAACAACTTGGGGTGGGGAGGAGAGGGAAGGGGGTGTGGAGGAGAGGGAAGGAAATGGGATTAGGCAGAGAGAGAAACTGAGCTGGGATGAAGGGTCCCAGCCAAGCCTACCGGGAGTTCTGGAGCTAGGATGGCCTTCTAAGTTGTCCTGTCCTGAAGCAAAAGGAATGGGTATTTACACCCCCACATCCACAGTTTGATGCAGGCTGCCCCAAGGAAGTGAACTTGGCTCTCCTTGGCTGAGGCAATTCCTAGAGAGGGACCTAGCTGAGAGACATCATCTGTCAATACTCCTAGCTGCAACTGGAGAAGTGAGGACCTCAATCCTGAAGGAGGGACCAGGTTGACATTCTACAGCATCCACTACATGTACCAAGAGACTTGGATGAAATTGGGAGAAGGGCAACTATCAGAATTCCTGTAGGGAGTATATTTTTAAAAGTTGTCCAGAATGGTTCTATTGCATCTCCTTTTCCCCAATCCGCAGACTATTATGACTAGGAATTGCAGATCTACTCTAACCTCCTCCAAGACAGAGAGTTATTTGCCCAAGGGACACACAGTAGGCAAGTAGCTAGTTTGACTGGAGCCCCCACATTTGTGGGCTGATCTCCATTGCAGAGGGAGCCATATATCCCAAGCAAGTACCCATACCTCACCGGCTATCATATCCCCTGTAACAAACAAAGAGGCTAGCACACACCTAACCCCGAGAGGTTGTAAGTGTGTTGGGGGTGGGGGAGGTGAGTGTGTCAACAAATGCATGCTGAATTGAATTGGTTTCTTTAAAAGCAGTTATCATGTATAGACATGCCCTTTGTGCTGTGTATACATGACTTAACCTGATGAGCAAATCCTCTGATTCTTAATTAACCTTTTCATTTGAACCTCTTGACCAAACAGCAAATGGAGGCTGGTGAATTGGAAATGACAGCTTCACCTCCCCCCATGTCCCGACCTGGCCCAGCCACCTAGGCTGGTAATTACCTTTGCCAAAGCTGGGAACTTTTTACAGGCTGATGAACAAATAATCTCCTACTAATAGCTGAGATAACCACAGAGCCCAGTTCTCTTCTCGTCTCTTTCCTGATGATTACCTTCTGTGAAGCCGGGGAGCAGGTTGTGACAATATTTCTAATATTTCCCTCCCTCTCTCTCAGCCTCTCTCCCAGTCTCCTTTAATAAAAAAGAGACCATGCAGACTGGGAAGCAGGATAAGGGGCAGTGAGGAGGGAGAGGCGTTTGCCTGCAGAAGCCTCTCCCCACAGGAAAAGCCAGGTGCTCTGACCATGCCCTTTAGCAGACCGGCTGAACAGCTGATATTCCTGGAACATGCTCCTCAGTGGATGTCAAAGCAATTTGGAAGGCTGGTTCTTGGCCCATAGTCACATGGGGGTGGTGGGGAAGTGTTAGCACAGTCTTCAGCCTCCAGGGCTCAACAGAACTGAGCAAGGATCAGCAGGGAAGAAAGGGGAAATGGATGGAACAAAGAAAGGGAGAGGAAGAGGATGATGGGCAAGGATACAGGAGAGGAAGCAAAAGACTAGGTCCAGGGCATCTAGGGGGTCTGGGCCCAGAAAGGAGGTCCTGACAGTGGCCTGGGTCCCTGCACTTCCCCTTGAGATGGCTCATTGCTTCTGCCTGGACCACCTCCCTGTACCCACCCACCTCAAAATGTAATGGTAATGGCAGAATCCCTTTCAGAGTGCTTACTTTGGGCCAGGCCTGAACTATAGCTTATGTGAGCCTCATGCAACCCTAGGAGGTGGGCACCATTCTTCACATGTTACAGGTGAAGGGGCTAAAGCATAGAGAGTTAAGAAACTCATCTACGGTTCACACACAGCGAGATGGAGACAGGCTTTGGAGCCAGACAGTCGGACTCCGGAATCCAGCCCTTAATCACTCTGCCAAATTCTACCTTCCCCTTGAGCTCTGGGTACCTTTCCTGTGTGTACTTGATGTAGCAGAAACAGCACTGGATTTGAATCCCAGCTCCGCCTTCTCCCAGCTGTAGAACCCTGAGTAAGTTAACCAGTGCTGAGTTCTCTCATTTATGAAATGAGCATAAGCATGTCTGTCCTGCTTATTTTACAGAACGGGTGCAGGGATGGAGGGAGATAGTATTTGTCAAGGCCATTTGTCAGCTCCAGAGGACCCTGTACACATCAATTGGCATCCTCTTCCCTCTTCCCTTCCTCGTTATGAGCTCTCACAAGGACCATGATGGTCCACCTTGTTTGTCCAAGCCCCTCTCACATGTGGTGGGTGCTCACAAATTGTATGTTTCTGTTGAGCAAATGAAATAGAAGGACCAGGCTGGGCGCAGTGGCTTATGCCTGTAATCTTAGCACTTTGGGAGGCCAAGGTGGGCGGATCACCTGAGGTCAGGAGTTCAAGACCAGCCTGGCCAAAATGGTGAAACCCTGTCTCTATGAAAAATACAAAAAAAAAAAAAAAAAAAAAAAGCTGGGTATGGTAGTGCATGCCTGTAGTCCCAGCTACTCAGGAGGCTGAGGCAGGAGAATTGCTTGAACCCAGGAGGCAGAGGTTGCAGTGAGCTGAGATCACACCATTGCTTTCCAGCCTGGGCGATAGAGTGAAACTCTGTCTCAAAAAAAAAAAGGAGAAGAAAAGAAAAAAAGAGGAGAGGAGAGGACAGGAAAGAGAGGAAGAGAGGAATCAAATCTCCTCGCTTTCTTCCTCCCCCTTCTTCTTCCCCTTTCCTTCTCTTGTCCCCTCTCCTTCCTCTCTTCCCCTATATCTTCCTTCCTCTTCCTCCTCATTCTTTTCCCCATACCCAGTCCCTCTCCACTGCTTCCCAGGACTCACGCTCTAATGGAAAGACATTTGGCCCTCTCTTTCCAATCCTTCCCACACTCTACTTGGAGATAGTTTCCAAAACCACAACTGAGACCACGTCACATATGCTTAGAATCCTTCGATGGTTCCCTGCACTTACAGGAGAAGGTCAGAGCTTCTCAGTCCCGCACTAAAGCCTCTGCCATCTGCCTCCACCTCTCTTTCCTGGCCTCATTTCTCATGACTTCTTTCTGGAATCGTCCAGTCCTCACCTGCCTTTCCACCATCATCAGTCTCTTTACCTGTAAAGACTTCATTGGTAGTGGGTTAGTTGTGCCTGACACATAGTTAGAAGTCAATAAATGGAATATATTTAAGAGGACATTCACCAGGGGCTTGCCCTGTTGTTTTAGAATCTCCTCTGAGGTCCCAAGGCTGAGAACTTCAGGTGTGAATTGCCCACACACTGTGAAGGGAGATGCCAGACCATCCAGTTGGGACTTGCTGAGAATGGTCCCTCACTGGTTCTGCATCCCCTGCCCCATTACACCTTAGCCCATGCCAAAGAGAAGGCTAGAGGTTCATCGAGGTGATTAGAGGGAGGTGGGGATTTTTAGACTTCTCAGCTAGTAGTGAGGCCTGGGATGACCCAGGGCCTCCCCATCTCCATCTCCCCAAGCTAACTGTGGGTGTTCCACTGGCTGGATGCCGTCATGGAGCTGGAATGAGAGATATAGGGAAGAACCTGACCTGCAACCCGCAGAGCTGGAAGAACACAGAAACTAGGGCCCAACCAGTCACCTCCCAAAGAGTCTCAAGTCAAGAGAACTGGAGCAGCCTGTGTCTACAGCTGAGAGAAAGAGAGTACTGAGCAGGAAACAATCCTCACTTGTAGAGTTTAGTGCAGCAAAGATACAAGTCTCTCCAAGGACTGGGAGATGCAGGGGAAGGTGGATGGGCTTGAGCTGCATTGAGGGACCCACTCAGGAAGACCTGAGGACCACCTCCTGGGAAGTGGCAGCCCTAGCAGAAGAAGGCTGTGTGGGTGACATATTGAAGGAAGGGGAAGAGGAGGGGGAGGAGGGGAGGAGCTTCTGAGGAGTCACAAAGTCATCAAGGGGTGGTGCATCACCCAAGGTGGTAGGGTACCCAACTGGTTATAGTATTATTTTAATTAGTATCTTTTCCAGCATTAAAACCTGAAACCTCCTCTACAAGAGTAGTCTAGACTAGACTAGTTTGCCCACTATCTCCCTCCAGACCTCCAACTCATTTCCTCAAGCCATGCTATCTCACTCTCTTAATAAAGCCTTCCCTGACTTTGTCTTTCTATGAACTTGTTACCTATGATAGCCATAGCTAGTTGCTTATCCCAGGGTTGATTATCCTCCTCTTTAAAAACAGAACCTTGTAGTTTTACCTGGGCACATGGCCACCCACAATAAAGACTGGTTTTCACAGTCTCTTTTGTTGCTAAGTATAGCAAATTAGATATAAGGAGCAGTATTTGGAGCCAGCTTCCAGTACATTTTTGTGAAAGGCTCCTAGCATATGTCCTTTAGCCCTTTCTTCTTTGTTCCTTCCTCCTTTCACATGCCTGGAATGCAGATGTAATGGCTGGAGGTCAAGCAGCCATTTTGGCCTATGAGATGTCTTTGTTGAATGGGAGTTACATGCAAGGATAATGGAGCAAAGGAGAAGGACCCTGGGTTCCTGACACTGTGGGGATGCTCTCCACGTTCTGGACTGCATACCTCCACTTCAAATGACAGCATCCCTTTCCCTCCCCTCCCCTCCCCCTCCCCTCCCTCCCTCTCTCTCTCCCTCTCTCTCTTTCTTTTTTGAGACAGAGTCTCACTCTGTCACCCAGGCTGGAGTGCAGTGGCACAATTATAAGCTCACTGTGGCCTTGAACTCCTGGATTCAGGCCATCTTCCTGCCTCAGCCTACTGAGTAGCTGGGACCACAGGTGTGCACTACCATGCCTGGCTATTTTTAAAATTTTTAAAAATAGTGACAAGGTCTCACTTTATTGCCCAGGCTAAGAGTTATATTTTTGTCTTGGTTAGACCATTTTTACTTTGGGCTTCCTGTAGGAAGCAGCCAAACCCAATTCTAATGGGTACACTGCCTAAATCACTCACAGGCTAACACAGGTGAGAGTACCTGGCATAGGGAGTCCTATATGACAGTGTGTCAATCTCTTTTCTCTCTTAACACCTCTGACATCATAGCTTTATACAGTCTTTATATTGTGAGTCAACTATTCATAGGCATGTGTAACCTCAACTCTCTAAATATAGTTCCTATTATGTAGTGCTTTTCAAAATGACTTTACTCCTGAGCTTATTTAATCAGGCAAAGGATGCTTTATTTTCCCCATTTACAGATGTGGCTCTGCAGGCTCTTCAGGGACTGAAGTAGGCTTGGTATCCAAGTCTTCTGGCTCTAGGTCTGCTGCTGTTTCCCCTACATTACACCCACAGCAGCTACAGCAAAGCTTCTTCATTCATTTATCTTTGTGTTCTTTCTATTGCAACTGGTATGAAGCTATGTGTACAGTAGGTGTTCAATAGATACATTATATAATGCTCCAGAAAGTTAAGCAATTCATCCAAGTTAGTTTCCAAAAGATATCTAGACCAGGGGTTGGCCAATTATGGCCATCAGGCAAATCTGACCCATAGTCTGTTTTCTGTATAGCCCTCCAGCTAAGAATTTAATTTTTTTTTGCATTTTTAAATGCTTCTGGAAGAAGAGGAAAGAGAAGGAAATGAGGAAGGGGAAGGAGGAAGACACAAATGTGTGATGGGGACCATAGGTGTCCTGCAAAGCCTACAATTATCTGGCTCTTTATAGAAAAATGTGCTGCCCTGGTCTAGACCATCATCATGCAGCTGAATGTTTGATGTACCAGCAGAATCTTGACCAGTTGCTATCCCCTGAGAGACGCAATGACCTAGAGCGCTTGGTGATCCTGCTGCAGACAGCCTGTGGGTTTAATTTCCACTCCTTTTGTCCCAGAACCCCCAGGAGGGGCCTCCCTCACTCTACCTTCTTGAAGAGAGATGGGTATACATTTTCCATCTTCACTTCCACCTCCTTCCTAAGACTTGGAAGACTTTCTGATTCACTGGTCAAATAGTCAAGCTCAATTTGATCAAAAATTCATTGGGGTTTTTTTTTTTCCTGTAAAAAGGAATAAATGAGTACACACCAGTGGCTCAGACTGTAAACTGAAGCGTGAAAACCCCAAACAGGCTGAAACCATTACAGGAAAAACCATTAGCTCCAAAGCATTTCTATTTCCAAAAATACCAGCCTTCCAGAGGGAAAGCTGAGCCTGGTTCCTATTTCCAGCACCCCTGACGGCACGTTCCCTCATAAGCATCCCTTGGTTACTCACTCAGTAGACGTTCGAGTGGTTAAGAGAATAGGATTTAAAGTCTGATTGAATGTTACCAACTGTATTCCTTGGCGAAAGCACTTAATATCTCTGAGCCTCAGTTTCCTGTCTATAAAATAAGAATATTAACAATGTACCTTGCAGGGTATGCAAAGCGCTCAGCACAGATCCTGCCCCTCAGAGAGGCCTGCTAAATGGAAGCTGTATATTTGTATAATTACACAGATTAGCCCTTGTTCTTTCTCCCCTCCTCCTTCTGACTCCTTTATTTTTCCCTCTTAATTGCTCCTCAGTTTCTTGCTAAACCCCATCCCTGAAAGCAGTTCCAACCTACCTCTCTAACGTGGTCCTCTTCTTCCTGGCCATGGCCCTCAGCATTGGCACCAAATCTTTCTGAAACTGGCTCAGGCCATCGCCCTTCAACTCTCCAGCCGGGGGTCCCTTGCCATTCTTCTTTTTCACTTCTCCTCCCAGGTCAGCTTTCTGCACTTTTCTGGCACCGTGTAAATCTAGAGTCTAAAATTTCATCTTTCATTTGATGAGACACATTAAAAGCAATCAGTCCATTTTTGAGAGTGGGCTCTGTGCCGTCCTTAATCTACTTACAGCTCCTGAGCTCGGCACACAGTAGGCGTTCAATGGACTTTGGCCGGCAGACTGGCTGGGAGAGTGAACAGTGACCAGGTGGTCAGCTTCAGGTGGGCAGACCATGGCCCGGTCCTGTAACCGATGTGAATCCTAAAAACCACTTTGGACTCAGGGACTGGGCCAGGCACAGACAAAAATCATTCAGCTGGAGGGCTGCCTGATGTAAGAGGAAAACAAGAAAATGGATGTTGAAGTGAGATGTGTCTGGTTTGAATTCTGGCTTTGCCCCTGGCTATCTGAGTGTACTTGGCCAAGTTGCTTTGCCTCTTGAGCCTTAATTTCCTCATCTATAAGGAGTGAACCTACAATGACATACCAATTCACACCCAATAGGACGGCTGTAATCAAAAGGACAGATACAGGTTGAGTACCCCTTACATGAAATGTTGGGACCAAAAATTTTCAGATTTTGGAAAATTTGCATATATATAAAGAGATATCTTGGGGATGGGACCCAAGTTTAAACATGAAATTTATTTATGTTTCATACACACCTAATACAAATAGTCTGAAGGTGATTTTCCACAGTATTTTAAATAATCTTGTGCATAAAACAAGGTTTTGATGGTGTTTTGACTGCAGGCGGTCACATGGGAGTTTCCCACTGATGGCATCATGTCAACACTCAAAAAGTTTCAGATTTTAGAGCATTTGGGATTTGGGATTTTTGGATTAGGGGTGCTCAACCTGTAATAAGTACTGGCAAGAACATGGAAAAAACAGGAATGCTTATGCCCTTTTTTTGAGATTATAAATGGTGCAGCCACCATGGAAATCAATCTGGTGATTCCTCAAAAGTTTAAACATAGAGTTACCTTATGACTCAGCAATTCCACTCCTAGGTTTATACCCAAGACAAATGAAAATGTACATCCATATAAAAACTTGTATGTGAATGTTCATAGCAGCATTATCCATAATAGCCAAAAAGTTTAAAGAACCCAAATGTCCATCAACAGATGCATGGATAAACAAAATGTCATATGTCCATACAACAGAATATTACTTAACCATAAAAAGGAATAAAGTACTAAAAAGAAAAGGAACAAAAATACCGACACATGGTACGACATGTATGAACCTTGAAAACACTGTGCTGAGTGAAGGAATCCAGACACAAATGTCCACATATTGCATGAATCCATTTGTATATGAAATGTCCAGAGTGGGCAAATCCATAGAGACAGAGAAGACATTCGTGGTTGTCAAGGGCTGGAAGGAGGGGGAAATGGGAGTGATTAAAATGTTCTTTTTAGGGGGTGATGAAATGTTCTAAAATTGGCTAGAGGAGACGGCTGCACAACTCCGTGAATATACTATAAGCCATTGAATTGTATACTTCAAAAGGATGAATTTTATGGTATGTAAATTTTATCTCCAAAAAGCTGTTATTTTTGTAAATGGGTGGGCAAGGCCTCCCCACCCACTTCCTGGGGTCATTGTAAGACTCTAAGGAAGGCATGTGTGCCAGGTTTTGAACGCCACATTATACTCTTAGAAGGCTGGGATATGGGCCGGGTGTGGTGGCTCATGCCTGTAATCCCAGCACTTTGGGAGGCCGAGGCGGGTGGGTCACTTGAGGTCAGGAGTTTGAGACTAGCCTGGACAACATGGTGAAATCCTATCTGTACTAAAAATACAAAAATTAGCCAGGCATGGTGGTGCACGTCTGTAGTCCCAGCTACTCAAGAGGCTGAGGTGAGAGAATCACTTGAACCTGGGAGGCAGAAGTTGCAGTGAGCCGAGTTCATGCCACTGCACTCCAGCCTGGGAGACAGAGTGAGTCCCTGTCTCAAAAAAAAAATAAATAAATATATAAAAACAAAACAAAAAACCAGAAGACTGGGGTATGGCATCTGCCACAGACGGAGCTGTTTTCTGCTCTTCCCTCTTTTCTGCCCTGGCTCAGGCCTCCCTCTGGGAGAGACTTGCTGAGGAGTGGCACGGCCATCTGGTAGTGGCAAAAGGATGTTCTGGGCCTCCAATATGTCCATCCCAGGGCTGGGGAGGCAAGAAGTGTTTCCTCTCCGAGCCAAAGACTGGGAGGGGCCTGACACTGCCAGGGACACTCCCTTGTTCGTCCCAACACTGCTCCTCCACTCAGAGCACCTCAGGGTCCATCTTCCTCCTGGAGAAGGGCTCAGGCAATTAAACTTCAGGTTTTGGAGGAACTAGAGGCAAGCTGAGGGGAGCAGAGGAGGGCCATGGATGACAGACCACATTTTTAATAAAGGAGACTTCAGCTTTGTCAAACTCTTTGCAAGCCTCAAATGCTAAAATAATGATGATGGTGATGACTTATATTTATGAGTGAGTGTTTACTATCTGCCAGGCTCCATGCTAAGCATTTATATGTTTGACTTAATTTAATTTTCCCAAATATCTTGTGAGGTAGGGACTTGTTAACCCCATATTATGGATGAAAAGTTTGAGGCACAGAGATTTCAAGTGACTGGCCCAAGGTTGCACAGCTAGAAATGACAGGACCAAGATTTGCACCCTGGCAGCCTGGCACTACAACCTGTGTACTTAACTGCTCTGCTGGACCAAGTCAACCCTACAGGCTACACACAATGGAAGGCCAAGTTTATTACCAGGACTGTTCAATCACTCCCCACCAACCACAAGGAAATGGGTCTCAAACTTCACAGAGCATCAGAATCAGCTGGGTGGCGGGGCATGTGAAAAAAACAGAATAGGGTCCTGGGCCCACCCCAGGGATAGCAAGTCACTAAGCCTGGGGGGTTCAGGAATCTGCATTTATGACCAGCAACCCCAGGCGACCCTGCTGCAGGCTGTTCAGGACATATTTGAAGAGACTTGGCCTCCTAGCATCAAGACCCAACTTATGGGCCTGGCTGGATCTGCCCCTTGGAGTAAACACTTTCTGCTGTAAGCCACACCACACTCACCCCGCAACCTCAAGTCCATCCCATCTTTAAAGGCCCTGGTCAAGTTCCATGGAGCCCCCTAGGCCCTCCACAGGAAAAGTAGCCCACCCTGGCTTCCCCTTTTCTAAATACCTAAACCCATGTAGAGGAACCTGCACTGCTTCAGAACTCATTACAAACTGCCCGTTATTCTTACATCAGCGTCCCGTGGCTACAGGCCTTTTCTGATGAACTAGATCACAAAAGCCTTAAACAGAGATGCTTTCTTTCTTATTCCTTGTGTCTCCCACACATCATTCAATAGACTGGTGGATTTGCTTTTGGACCTAATGCACCAACACTCCTGTTTCAACGATCAACATGGCTCGTGTGCAACTGGCCAGTTCATTATCTACCCACCCACGGGCAGAGTCCAAGCATCCGGATTCTTCTTCTACAGAATCCAGGTGCTTCCTCTATGCCATCCACTGTTCTAACACTGAGACTCCAGAGGCCACACTGTCTCTGAGGCTGACACCCCCAACAACTGCTCTCACTTGGTGTCTTTGGGTGTGATTTGAGGGATATCTGGCAACGGCTGGAGATTGTTTTGGTAGTTGCGACCAGGGGAGTGGGGCTGCTGGCATCCAGTGGGCAGAGGAGAGGGATGCTGCTAAAGCTGCAGTGCACAGGACAGCCCCTCCCTGCCCTCCAACAAAGCAGTATCTGGCCCAAAATAACAGGGCAAGGTTGAGAAATCTTGCTCTAATGAAATATGCTAAGACCTATGGCAGAGGTAGCAAGACAGGAAGCCAAATGAAGGAACGATTAACCCCCAGGGAGGAGGAGGGTTGGGAAAAAATTCCCAGAGGAGATGCTTAATACAATGAATTGATTGATGAACGATGGGTGGGAAGGGTTTCCCACAGCAGAGGCAGGGGAGGAAAGAGGAGTTTCTGGCAGCGAGGTGCGAGAGCGCTTGGCAGGTTTGGGAAGCTTTTACTGGGTATGATGCGGCTGGAGGGCCTGGCACTCCTTCTTTTCATTCATTCTACACATCCGCTGTCATCTTATTTTCATTACTTATTTGCTGAGCAAACCTTGTCACCAAGCAGCATGGAATGGTCAGCTCTGGCCCTGGCTGGATCATCCTCGATTCTGAATCTGTGGTCTCTGCAAAGGCGGGATGGGGTTGAGCAAAAGGCACCCATAGAGCTGCACAGAGAGGTGTGACCACGTGAAAACACAACAGCACTGTGAAAACACAACAGTACTTTAAGGTTTTCAGCGGCATCATCTGAAAAGGTTACAGCACGAGGTGTGAGATCTCCTTGCCGGGAACTGTTAACGAGGAGTTCTCTGGGTGGCAAATGAGGAGAATGGATTTTTAAGAATGCCTGAGCTTCTCAAAGTTGGACAGGAATGCAAACACATTAAAAAGTAATGCTGGGAAAACATAATTCTGATAATGTTTGCTTCTTTAAAAACAAAAACAAGCCTCGATTGTGGTGTTGGTTGCTTTTAAATAGCTGTATTGCTTGCTGAGCCCATCTTCGCCTGTCTCCCTCCCATGTCCCTCTCTGTGTCTGCTTCTCTTCCTCTAGCCTCCCCATCTCCGTCTCTCTCCTATCAAGTGGCTGGGCTGTGATGTGTGCATGCTTCTCTTTGTCTGTATTTTTGTGTTGCTTTGCCTGCGACTGTCATTCATGCCCTCTCTTTTACGGAGTTTTGATTTTTTTTTCCTTCTTTCTAGTCACCTGTTTCTGGCTGCTTCTCTCCCCCTGTCCTACTTCTTGAGCCCCTTCCTCCTCCTTCCCCTTCAGCCTCTCTCCAAGAACCGGCCACAGCATACAACTAAAGAGCATTTGTATTACTAGTTGTATTTACTGGAGAGAGTTACATGCTCCCCATTCTTGATTTTTAAAAGCAAATGACAGAGGCATTTTCTATTTTTCTCTCCCAAAAGCTCCCTGAATGAAGCTGCATTTTACTTTCATCTTCCTCCATTGAATTATTTTTTCATTCTGTAGGTCATTCTCTTGATAGGAAAAAAGATAAGTTCTCTACTAGAATTTTACAGTAATTTACAGAATAGGTGGCCCATGTGATGTGCGATGTGCCACGGAGCGGGGATCAGGGGGAGGCTGCAGCGTGGCTCTGGGCTGGGGGTGCCCCAGGGCTCCACATTGAGGGCTTTTCATGTTGAATTTGATTTCAGTGGAGCCAAGACCTGCTTTGGGTTTAACAGATGCAGCTCTGGAGAAATATCTACAGATGCCTAATTCATCACCGTGGATTCCCTCGCCTTCAATGCAGGCTGTAGTGGCTGAAGAGAGACAGAAAATGATTGAAGATGAGTGTCAGGGAGCAAATCTTTTATATCTTAAAAGGAGAGAGATTTTCAGCCTGGCAGGAACATTAAAGTGGCTCCAGGAAACCTGGTACTTTACTGTCTTTTCTATGCAGGATACATTTTAGCTTGGTTAGCAGCTCCAGCTTTCTGACTTCTGGCTGGAGTTGACTCTCCGTCTTTTTGCCCTGGTCCCTATCAGAGGTCCTGAACTGGGAGCTCACAGAGGAAAGGTCCAATGGAACATTAGTCCAGTTATTTCTAAGATCTCCTCTTCCAGAAAGCTTTCCTGGACTAACCCCCAAAACTGATTTGGGAGGGAGGATTGGTTCTCTGCCACTCCTGGCCCCTGCCTGGGGACATTATAAAGTCATAGGACATGGATCATCAGGGCTGGAAGGGTCCAATCAAATTGCCTTCATCTGATAGAGGAGCAAATGAGTCTCAGAGGGTGGGCATGATTTACTAAAAGCACAGGTGGCAGATGTCCCCAGTCCCCTGCCAGGCCTGGCCACACATCTATTAAAGGTGATGCTACCTGGCCGGGGTCTGTGGGCTAGATCTCCAGCCCTTCTGACAGCTCCAGGATCCGGGGCACATGGCCAGCCTGGCACATAGATCGGTCCATATGGCAGCCCTTGGGGACCATCCCAAAGCACATGTGACATCCACCCCGAGAGAGCTCTCAGATGACCTCCTGAGGGAAGGAAAAGTGAGGCGCTGAAGCAATTACACCGGCGTCCACATTTGATCTCATTCAATTCAATACCACTTACTGATCAACTAGTATAAGCCAGACCCTTTGCTAGAACCTGGAGTATAGCATGAAGTATTGCGCCCTAGGGTATAATGCTGTGGTGTGTGGGGGTTGATAAAAGGTCAGAGATCCAGCCCTCCCTCCCAACTCAGCCTGGGGCGATAGCCCAGGAAAGGTTCCTGGAGGAGGTGATGTCACTAGAAATAACTGGACTAATATTCCTTCAGGCCTTTCCGCTATGAGTTCCCAGTCCAGGGCCTCTGACGAATACTGTGAGAACAAAAGCCATTCTGCTACATTGGGAATTCAGACCAAAGCACTTCTCGTTTCCATCACAGCCTCAACACTCACCAGCTGTGTGACTATATGCATGTCACGTGACCCCGGAGTCTCTGGAGCCTGGGTTGAGTATTCAGCGAGATGTGATCTGCAAACGCGTTTTGCACATTTCAAAGTGCTCCAACATTGTGGGCTGTTACAGCCCCCAGAACTCCGTTTAAATCCCCTGACCTTGGAGTGCAGTGAAATCAAAGCCGTCCCCACTCCTTTGAGGCTACAACAAAGAAGCAAACAAGGGGCCTGAAAATCTCTGTGCTCAGGCTTGACCTGGAGCCTGTCTGGGCCTCAGTTTCCTCACCTGTGGAATGAGAGTGTTGGCTTCTTTCTCTGAGCTCTGCCCCTCTCTGCAGCCCTGTAAGTTTAGGACAGCAGCCAAGAGTCTGAGGCTAGGTCCTTGAAGGTCCACACTGTAGTGCATGGGTGCCACCTTTGCCTGGCTGAGCTCACCCCAGGCAGGGACTTGGCCTTAGAGGCCAAGCCCAGGCCCTTGTGCAACCTCTCACCCAGCCTCCCACCTCAAGCTAACCCCTGACTCTGACACTCTGGAGTGGCCATCAGCAGGGGAGAGGACCCAGCTCTATACAAGAACCAAGATGCTGGAAATGAGCTCCATCCCCAAAAAGAGGGAGTTAAGGAAAAAAAAAAAAATCTGCCATTTTCCTCAAAATAAAAACAGAGGCAGATGGCTGGGAGGGTTTCCATGGTTAATTAAATATGCTTTAGTCTCTAAGTTAATTATGAAATGAGTCCTGCAGGGGGATGCTCTGCTTTGTACGGAGCAGGTTCAGGTGAGTAGTTGGGATCTGTCTGGGGAGGCTCAGGGGCCCCTTTTCCATCTCTCCCCAGCAGGAATAAAAATTGTGTGGTCTAGGCCTTTAGGAGGCCTTAGCGGCAGGAAATGCTACCCACTCAGGGTAACAGGAGCCACTCCGCCTTTCTGAGCATCCATAGGAGACAGGTAACACCCAGCAGAATTGAGACTCCACAATTTCCCTTCTTGGAATCTCTTCTAAGGAAATTATCAGAAACCCAGATAAAGATTTCCTGGACAAGAATATTCACTGCAGCATCATTTATAATCATGAAAAATAAGAAACCTCCTAGAAGCCTGCAAATAGAGAACTGGCTAAATAAATCCTGGTACAACCAGACAATGAAATATTATGTAGTCATTAAAACGGTGTTTTTGAAGAGTAGACGATGACATGGAAGAATGTTCTGGTTGTTTAAGGTGAAAAAAGCAAGATGAAAAATTGTAGATAAAGTACCATGTAATTTTATAAATTGCTGTGCACAGAAAAAGGAGTGGCATATTAAATGCTAATAATGGTTATTTCTGAGAGGTAACATCTTGGGAGATTTTATTTCTATGTACCTTTTTGTATTTTCTTAATTATTTGCAATGAGCATGTATTACTCTCGCAATCAGCAAAATGATTTTTCAAAATGCCAGCACCTCTTACAATGGATTTCCAAGTGGGCTTGAACAATTTTATTGCACCTTCTTTGAAATAAATAAATTTTACTAAGGTCTGAGCTTCCAAGATTGATGAAAGTGGGCAAGTTTTTTTCTCTCTTTTTTTTTTTTTTTTTTTTTTTTTGAGATGGAGTCTTGCTGTCACCCAGACTGGAGTGCAGTGGTATGATCTCAGCTCACTGCAACTTTCGCCTCCCGGGTTCTAGCAATTCTCCGGCCTCAGCCTCCTGAGTAGCTGGGATTTCAGGTGTGTGCCGCCATGCCCAGCTAATTTTTGTATTCTTAGTAGAGACAGGGTTTCACCATGTTGGTCAGGCTGGTCTCAAACTCCTGACCTCGTGAGCCTCTCACCTCGGCAGCCTCTCACCTCGGCCTCCCAAAGTGCTGGGATTATAGGCATGAGCCATCATGCCCAGCCTGGTTTATTTTCTAGAATTCTCCACTTAAGGTGCTTTCAAAGGGAAGTGTTGCATATGTTAACTGGCCATTCCCACTGTGGAACATGATCTGCTGTCATCTCTGACAATGGCACAGGAGAAAGGAGATAGGTGTGAGTTCCTGGAACCACCTAATCTGAAAACTGCATGAGAACTTGAGGCTCACGAGAGCTGCAAGGATAGAGCTGAGGCCCCCGGAAGCAGGAGGAACCCTTGTGGTTTGGAGAAGCACACAGCACGATGACAAAGTCAATGGTGAAATTTCAGTTCTGGCCAGGACCACAAGACTGGACTCTCCTTGGTCTCTGGGACTTCCTTAGAGTCGCCAAAATCATGCAGGGACAGTGGCAGCCAGGCTGACTGTAGAAGCTTAGAAGGCCATGTTGGCCTCACATGCCTAGTGGCATGAAAAGATTAGGGGATAGAAATAGAAGAAACATTCAGAAATGTTTCTATGGTTCAATGCCACTCGGACATAACCACTGGCACCATTCCCTATCAATTCAGCAAACCCCCATCACCAAAAGAACTCACATCCCAGGATTAAATAGGGCGGACCATTACTAAGAGAGGGGAAGGAAGGAATTTGATGTTTTGTCTTATGAAGTTCTATCTGGTGATGGCATCCCCCACTCCGCCCGCCGCAGGAGCCCTTGTGTATACATAGCCATCTCGTCAACATGTGAAGGCCTCGGGTGGCATCAGGGCTCTCTTGATGTTTCGGTGCCAGACATACTGCTCAGGCTTACACGCGTCTTCCCCAGCTTCCAGAATGTAGCCATCAAAGAAGGGAGCATACCAAGACTGCATAAACCCTAACTGTCAGGAAAGTAAAGAACTCCACCTCTAGCTATCTAAACCCCAATCGCAAAAGGACACAATGAAATGTGGTGAAAAAGAACTGAAGGCCAGGTGCGGGGGCTCACGCCTGTAATCCTAACACTTTGGGAGGCCAAAGCAGGAGGACTGCTTGATCCCAGGAGATGGAGACCAACCTGGACAACATAGAGGGACCCTGTCTCCACAAAAATGAAAATAAAAATAAATTAGCTGGGCCTGGTGGCTCATGCCTGCAGTCCCAAGTACTTGGGAGACTGAGGCTAGAGGATCATTTGAGTCTGTGAGATTACAGCTGCAATAAGCCATGACTGCACCATTGCACTCCAGCCTAGGCAACAAAACAAACCTGTCTTCAAAAAACGAAAAGAAAAGAAAAAAGAAATGGAGACATTAGTGAGTGTTATCAGCTATAATGTGAGACACTCTCTAGGAGAATAAAAGGGGGAGGGATCAGGCCACACTGAGGAGGTAGCCTGGAGTATCTGTTGCTCCTTGTAAACTTAGGCAGTCTGCCGTAAATTTCACCGTATTTCCAGAAGCTGGAAACCATCATTCTCGGCAAACTATCGTAAGGACAAAAAAACCAAACACCGCATGTTCTCACTCACAGGTGGGAATTGAACAATGAGAACACACGGACCAGGAAGGGGAACATCACACACCGGGGACTGTTGTGGGGTAGGGGGAGTGGGGAGGGATAGCATTAGGAGATATACCTAATGCTAAATGACGAGTTAATGGGTGCAGCACACCAACGTGGCACATGTATACATGTGTAACAAACCTGCACGTTGTGCACATGTACCCTAGAACTTAAAGTATAATAATAATAAAATTTAAAAAAAAAGAAAGAAAAGAAAACACATACATTAGCTAAATTCTGAGGCCCAAGACGAACCTTGGTGCATCATTATATAAAACTAATAAAAGTGGAAACTTGTGTTTAAAAAAAAAAGAAAAAAGAAAAGAAGCTCCCCTTGAAGCTTCAGCTACAGGAAGGAACAGCAATTACTAAAAGTGCTTTCAAATCTCTCTCACCATAATCCCAGCATGACAAAGACCTGGCCCTATCCACCAAAACTTTTCAAAGCTCTCCATTTTCCTTTAGAAGACCGTCTTAGTTTTATAATGGAATTTTTAAAAAAATGTGACTCACACTATGAATAGTTTCTTTATAGCCAGCTCTCTTGGAATGGGTCTGTTATCAAAGTGAAGACTATCTGTCTCCTACTTCATGGTAACAAATTGCTCTTCCAACAAGATCATTGACATGAACCCAGACATACGTCCCAGCCTCAAGGATTTTTGGCTTTTGAACCATCACCACTGTTATAGGTTTGGACTTTGACATTCCTAAATTGATTTTTCTTCACCAAATCTGGACTTTTTCACATCCACTGGCAAATATGTTGGGATGTCATGAGGTGACATAAACTACCAGCCAGCAGCCCCATTTTTGAAGTATCTCTATTCCACTTGGCTCATATTGTATAGCCTGTTGATGCAATTGTTTGAATATGTTGTTGTGTTTATTGATAGTAAAAATGAGCAAAAATGGAAAATTTAAAGTATAGGTACTAGGTAATAAACAAGAAAGGGTCTCAAAAAGTTAATATAATTAAAATTAAAATGAGGCCAGGCACAGTGGCTCATGCCTGTAATCCCAGCACTTTGGGATGCTGAGGCGGGAGGATCACCTCAGGTCAGGAGTTTTGAGACCAGCCGGGCCAACATGGCAAAATTTGGCTTTTACTAAAAAATGCAAAAATTAACTGGGCATGGTGGCACACCTGTGGCCTCAGTTACTTGGGAGGCCGAGGCAGGAGATTCTCTTGAACCTGAGAGGCAGAGGCTGCAGTGAGCTGAGATCGTGCCACTGCACTCCAGCCTGGCCAATACAGCAAGACTGTCTCAAAAAATTAATTAATTAATTAATTAAAAATAAAAATAAAAAATGAAAGTTGTTTTCATTTTAGCCCAGTGTTCATTTAACTCAAGTTGGTTGACTGGATTCATGTGTGAGGGGTAAAATAGTTGTTCTTTTTTAGGGTCTCACTGTCACCCAGGCTGGAGTGATGTGACATGATCATGGCCTACGCAGCCTTGACCTCCTGGGTTCCAGTGATCTTCTACCTCAGCCTCCCAAGTAGCTGGGACTTACAGGCTTGTGCCACCACACCTGGCTAACTTTTTACTTTTTTTTTTTGTAGAGATGGCGGTCTCACTATTTTGCCCAGGCTGGTCTCAAACTTCTGGGCTCAAGCAATCCTCCCACCTCAGCCTCCCAAAGTGCTGAGATTACAGGCTTGAGCTACTGCACTCAGCCAGAAAATAAGGCCTTAGAAATAAATTATAAGTGATCAATGTTCTTAGAAGCAAAATATAATTAGGGAGTTGTCATTATTTTTAGCTGAGTATAGAATCCACCTTAAAACATAAAATAATAATTATTAACATATTCAGTGCATACGACCCTGTTCTGAGCGCTTTATATATATATTACTTAATTTGCACAAGAACCCTATAAGGTGGTTTCTATAATCATTCCGTCTTTCAGAAAACTGAGGCACAGAGAGGTCTCAGCCACACACCTAGGAAGTGGCAGATTTATGCCCGTGTAGGTAGGTCACTGTCCACATTCTTAACCGCCAGGCTCTCCTCCTTCTTGCATAGTGTAAGATTATTATCTAACTTTGATACATTTATATTCTTAGACATTTTCAGGAACTTATTATATGTGAAAAAAAAATGGCTGGGTGCAGTGGCTCATGCCTGTAATCCCAGCACTTTGGGAGGCCGAGGCGGGCACATCGCAAGGTCAGGAGTTCGAGACCAGTGTGGCCAACATGGTGAAACCCCGTCTCTACTAAAAATACAAAAAATTAGCAGGGCGTGGTGGTGGGTACCTGTAATCCCAGCTACTCGGGAGGCTGAGACAGGAGAATTACTTGAACCCGGGAGGAGGAGGTTGCAATGAGCTGAGATTGCGCCACTGCACTCCAGCCTGGGTGACAGAGCGAGACTCCATCTAAAATAATAATAAGAAGAAGACAAAGTTGTACTGGGATAGGACAGTCTTTGGGGAAGCCATTTCTCTTTGCTGCTTAGCTTTTGTGAACATGCTGTGGTCAGCTTTCAGACCTCAGGTTAAAGACGGATTGAGGAGGAATTTAGGTGAGATCAAGATAGAAGTCATCTTGCCATGATCAGAGTCATTAGCTTGTGAACAACCCTATTTATACTTAAGGTTAGGAGGCTGAGTTCTGTTCTGGGAAACACACTAAAACTCCTGCACAAGGCAGAAGCCCTCGTGTTTGAAACAAAAGAAAACATCTTTGGAAAGGGGCTGCTCAGATGCAAGATGTTTGCATGGGATGGAGATTTACCTGTCACTGGGAACATTGTCAGTAGCCTGGAGTGTAGCTGTAACCCGACACTGATCCATTTGGATGCAGGGAAACTGAGGTCAGCCTAGGAGGAGAAGGATAGAGGATGTACCCACTGTGCCGATCTGATCTCAGATCTCCCTGAAGCAGGTTAGGTGTTAGAATTTCAAAGTGAAGAGGCGAGTGCTTCATCAGGATGGATGCTGACAGCCCTTAAGCTTGGAAACCAGATTTGCTGGGAGTAAACATCCAGGTGGGCCTAGACTGGAAAGCTGGTACCAAGTTAGTTAGACCATTTTATGGTTCGCAAAGCCTTTGAAAAGCGGCAAACACTCCAGAAAAAAATAAAAAAGTATTTGTGCATACAGCTGTAGATTTAAGACAGGCAATGCATCTCCTACCCTCAAACAAATCCATACCCCTCCCCAGGTTAAGAGCGCCTGCAGAGCGTGAGGGTATTTGGGATGTGAGCCATGAGCCGGGAAGGCTAAAAGGGCCGAGCAACATGGGTCACATGATCCGTCCTCTGGTTCAATGCCAGGTCCGGAAGGTTACAAAAGGTCTCCGCACCAGGCTATGCCTGTCAGAACCCCTCACAAGCTGTTCTCATTCACACTCACAGCATCTCTGTGAGAGGCATGGGGTGGCAACCTCATTCCTCCCATGGCCATTCAGGAAAAGGGAGAGCCAGATGCCTTGTCCATCTGTCCATCCTGGGGCCTGCCCTCCCTGCCTGTCCCCACACCTTGCCCCTCAGGCTGGGCAGACACCCCATCCATCTGCCTTTCCTCTACTTCTAGTGTGGGAGGTGGGTGGAGGGGAGTCAGGGTGTCTACAGATGGGGTTTCAGTTTGAGGAGGCCTGGGGACCCAAAATTCAAACCACTTAGGAAGAGGCTGCTGTGAAAAGGGATGGTGCGGTGTAGGGCCCAGGAAAGAGCTTGGAGGGCCCTGAATAGCAGGATGAGGGGCCAGGTTCCTCACAAACAGGACCAAAGAGCCTGTGGAGGTTCTTCAGGGAGAGGGTGGAGCAGGATGAGGGTGGAGTTGCAGGAGGCTCCAGGCAGCCCCTCGACTGTCCTGCAAGCACAGGCTAATGGAGGCTGTTGGCCATGGCTATGGTAGAAGCTGTGGTTGGGAGAGAGGTGGCAGGGGAGTGTCCCATCAAAGCATGGAGCTGTGGAGAGGGAGGCATCCCAGAGTGGGCTCTGCCCCCACCTGCAGAAGGGGGTGTGGAGGAAGGGCTTCAGATGCCAAGTGCAATGCCCCAGGCCCCGGGAGAGGGGCAGGATCTTCTGATGCCGCTGAGCAGTAGCTTCCCGAGGCTGCCCCAGGTGCTTGTGTCCAGCCCTGTGCACTCCTGATCTGACTCTCCCAGGAAGGTGCCTCCTGCTGAGCTCTGGGTGACAAGATGGAGTCAACATGCATTACCCCAAGCACGTTTCTTTTTCTGTTTTTTTTTTTTTTTTTTTTTTGAGACAGGGTCTCGCTCTGTTACCCGGGCTGAAGTGTAGTGGCATGATTATGGTTCATAGTAGCCTCAATCTCTTTAAGTCAAGCAATCCTCCTGCCTCAGCCTCCCAAGTAGCCGGGACCATAGGCATGGCACTATGTGCAGCTTTTTTTTTTTTTTTTTTTTTTTTAGTAGAGACAAGGACCCCCATGTTGCCCAGGCTGGTCTTGAACTCCTGGCCTCAAGCAATCCTCCCTCCTCAGCTTCCCAAAAACCTAGGATTACAGGCATGAGCCACTGCACCTGACCTTGAGCACATGTTTCTTGGACAAGTGCCAGCTGTTGGCATCTGTGTGGCTACAGAGCAGGAATCAGGACGGAGGTGAAGAGAGGGGCAAGGCCAAGGGCAGGGGTGATGTTGGTGTCATTGCAAACAGACCTGGGCACACATGTCTGTGAGGGAGAATCAGGAGATGGTATTGCTGAAGGAAGCTACACGTTTGCACAGGAGCTCTTAAAGCCAAGCTGTCACATCCTCATCCTTGGCTCACTAGATCTTTAGCAGACAGAGCTGACCTACCCTGGGGCACCCTACAGGGCAAAGGCTATGAGAGCAGGGTTCACACACCTTACTTAGAGAATCCAGGGCCAGAGAGCACCAGGTTCAACCTTCTCATCAATATGCATGCAGTCGGCTCAAGTTCTATGCAAGCCCCAAAAGCGGTGGGTCTTGCCCAAAAATCACTGAGATCATCAAGACAGCATCAAGAGTGGGAAAGTATGGACCAGAGCAGACAGACTGGGCTCAAATCCTGGCTGTGCCACCGATGAGCTCGGCAACCTTGGTCACATGACCTGACCTATCTGAGCCCCAGTTTCCTGACATGGACAACAGGGGTAATAGCACTAACAGTAAATGGAAGGACACACATCCAAGCACTGCACTCCATCCTGACAAATGCTGGTTCTCTGTCCAGGTCTTTGGGTACCACGCCTGCCTCAGTCCTCTCACCTACCCACTCAGCTTGTCGATGAAGGCTGTGGCTCCTGACTTGTGTATTAGTTTCCCATCATTGCATTTAAAAAATGACCCACAACTTAGTAGCTTAAAACAACAAACGTTTGGTATCTCACAGCTTCTGTGAATCAGAGATTCAGCAGCAGCTTGGCTGGGTGGTTCTGGCTTAGGGTCTCTAATGAGGTTGCAGACAAAACATTGGCCTGGGCTGCAGTTCTCCGAAGGCTTGACTGGGGATGGTGGTTCGGCTTCCAAGATGGCTTATTCCCACAGCTCTTGGCAAAAGGCCTCGTTTCTTCGCTAGCTATTGGCAGGAGGCTTCAGTTTCTCACCATCTCTCCACTGGGTTGCTTGAGTATCCTCACAACATGGCAGCTGGCTTTCCCTTGCAGTGAGTAATCCAGGAAAGAGAAGGAAGCCATGGTGCCTTTCATGACCTAGTCTCAGAAGTCACATATTCTTGTTTCTACTTTCTGCATTAGAAGGAAGTCACTGAGTCCACCCACACTCAAGGAGAGGAAAATTAGGCTCTGCCACTTCAGGAAGGAGGCTCAACGAATTTTTAGACATATTATGAAACCATCACAACTTGAAACAAATGTCCTCTCCAGTGACTTTTGGCTTTTCTTACATAGAACAGAAACAAATGGGCTAGGGACCCTTGGCAAATGGGGAGCCCTGAGTGTTGGCGTGTCTGGCTGAAGTGAGGCTAAGATAGCCATAGATCTGAGGACACTGCCAAGGTCTCCATGATCCTCAGCGAACAGCCCCTGGAGGATAAGGCAGGACTGGCCAGGGGCAAGGGTGGGCGGGGTGGGGGATGCAGGCACACCACACCATCCTGCAGCCCCATTCTAATGGCCTGAGTTGGGCTTGGAGGGGAATGAGCCGCCAAACCCACAAGACTCATCCAAGAGGCGGGGGGCAATTGTAACAATTTGGGGCACAGCTAAGACAGTCAGTCGGGGTTTGAACCTTAAGTGGGGGAGAATCCTGGCACCCATTGGGAGGTCTCTGTGTGCCAGTATTTCCCATTATCCCAGATGATGAGAGTCACCTGCAGTGCTTGTTAAAGGGCCCCAGCTCTTTTTTGTTTTTTTGAGATGGAGTGTCACTCTGTCACCCAGGCTGGAGTGCAGTGGTGCAATCTCGGCTCACTGCAACCTCTGCCTCCCAGGTTCAACCTCCCGAGTAGCTGGGATTACAGGCGCCCACCACCACGCCCAGCTAATTTTTGTATTTTTAGTAGAGATGGGGTTTCACCATGTTGGCCATGCTGGTCTTCAACTCCTGATCTCAGGTGATCCACCTGCCTCAGCCTCCCAAAGTGCTGAGATTACAGGCATTAGCCACTGCATCTGGTAAAGGGCCCCAGCTCTAACCGACTGCTTCCTAAGTTTTTACAGCAGCTGACAGGTGATCCAGAAAGTTAGCAAGTGCCCTGGGATTCTTATGCTCATTTGATAGGAGAAATGATCTGATAGGAAAAAGGACATTTGGGAAGTATCATAGGGCTAACGGGAAGGAGGACAAGCCAGTGAGAACCACAGCTGGCTTCTGTGATCTGTAAAATGGGAACAACCAGGACTACCTTGATTGCCTAAAAGCAAAAGCCTTGAACAAATGGCTTCTTGGGGTTCCTTTCAGCTTTGGACCAGAGCAGAGAAATGAGGAAGATTTTAGCAACTGGAATTTTAGCCCCAGGAAACTCCCTTAGGGAAAGAGATGGCAGTTAAGGCAGAGGAAGCAGGTATCCCCATCTTTCCCCTAGGTGCTGAGACACATCTGAGGAGTTGGTGTCTTGGGGCCCTCTAGAGCCCCCCGGGGCTGCCCACCCACTCAGTAGCCTTGGCAGAAGAAAATGTGTCAGCTGGGCTTGGCAGCTCTCCCAGCACCAGCCCAAGATGCTCTGAACAGAAATAAAATCTGCCTTCTCACTCCAGAGGATGGGCTCTCCTGCTCCCTATGAGTCAGCCCCACACGTGCAAACCCAGAATAAGCTGGGTGGACAGATGGAGGGAAGAAGGGAGGGGAACCTGATGCAGGCTGTGGGGCAAGCTGGCAAATCCAAGGGCTTTGCTGGCAGGGAGATCTGGGTTCGAGTCCTGCCTCTACCACCTCCTGGCTCTGTGATCTTGAGCAAGTTGCATGGCCCCAGTTTCTTCATCTGTAAAATGGGAATAAAAATACCACCACGGGCCCAGGCGCAGTGGCTCACGCCTGTAATTCCTGCACTTTGGGAGGCCAAGGAGGGTGGATCACCTGAGGTCGGGAGTTCGAGACCAGCCTGACCAACACAGAGAACCCTCGTCTCTGCTAAAAAAAAAAAAAAAAAAAAAAAAAAAAATTAGCCAGGCGTGGTGGCACATGTCTGTAATCTCAGCTATTTGGAAGGCTGAGGCAAGAGAATCGCTTGAACCCGGGAGGCAAAGGTAGTGGTGAGCCAAGATTGCACCATTGCACTCCAGCCTGGGCAACAAGAGCAAAACTCCGTCTCAAAAAAAAAAAAAAAAAAAAAAAAAAAAAAAAAAAAGGCCACCATTGCAGTTATGAAGAGAAGACAGCAGAGCTTAGCTCTGGAGCCAAACTTCCTGAATTGACTCCTGGCTCAACCACTTACCACCTGTGTAACCATGTGCAGGTCACCTAACTTCTTAAAGCCTCAGCTCCCCATCTGTAAAATGGAGGTAATTACAGTGCCTACCCTCCGGGTTGCCGTGAGGATTTAATGCATTAATTCATATAAAGCATTTAGAATACTAAAGGATCTGAGCACCTGATAATCTTGGTATTCATGGGGGTCCTGGAACAAATCTCCCACAGATACTGGGGGACAACTGTACTACCAGGCACACTGTCAACGCTAAGTGCTCACTGTATAAAGGAAGGCTTGGCAGCACCCAGGGACTGCTCTTTGTCACCCTATAGCATTCCCTTCCCTCCAGAAGGCTGTGCACCTACCAGGTGCTGGATGGAGCTGGGGAGGAAAAGGCGGGGAAGGGAACTGGCCTTCACTGAATCTTGGTGACATGCCACTGTGCCAGGTGCTTCTACATCCAAGTCCTCCTCCTGCTCTCTCCCCTCCCTCCTTCCTCTCCTGGTTTGTTTCCATTCCACACTCCTTCACCCGCACAGGTCATCCCCCCAACCCCGTATTGCAACACTCCTAACCAGAGATCGGTTAGTCGACAAACTTGAACTGAGGTCCTCCCTAATCACAAAGCCCCATAGAGAGTTTCTAGGAAGGAGCCAGGGTGCCAGGGGGTTGGGGGATAAGACAAAGGAAAAAACCAAAACCCAGATCTCAGGGAGCACTGGGTGCCCCACCTTGGAGAAGCAGGTGTGGTTGGAAGCCAGGTGGCAAGCCAGCTTTAACCACACCAGTGATAACGCCGCTCTAGGCCAGTGCTTTGCAATACTCTGGAATCAGCAGGCAGCTTTAAAAGTTCTGGTTCCACCCCTAGAGAGTCCAAGGTAATGGCCCTGAGATATGGCCCAGGCATTAGGAGTTTTTAAAACTCTCCAGGTGATGCTCAGATGCAGCCAGGGCTGAGAGGTAGGACCCCATAACAGTGATGATGCTTAAACCGCAGCATGCATACGAATCACCTGGAGGACTTGTTAAAACACACATCACTGGGTCTCAACCCCAGAGTTTCTAATTCAGTAGGGCCTTGGCACTCACCGCAAAAGCTGTACTTCTGTTTCCAAATGACCCTGATACTGCTAGTTCCCTGGGAGTATACTTTGAGAACCACCCTCCTAGGATGGTGATCAACAAACTACAGCCCTTGAACCAAAAATCCAGCCTGTTTTGTAAATAAAGTTTTATTAAAACACAGCCATGCCCACTGATTTACATATTGTCTATGTCTACTGTCACAATACAAGAGTTGAGTAGTCAGGACAGAGACCACGTGCCTTGCATGGTCTAAAATACAATCGAGCTCTTTACAGAAAAAGATTGCTGACCCCAATTCCAGAAACCTGTGAAGCCACAGATAGCAGGATCCTGAGTCCCTGAGTGACTGCCTGGAGCAGAGCTTTCCTACTGACCTGGAGATGTTTTATGAGGAAGAAATAACTGTCAACATTCTTTAAAGCAGTGTATTTTGAGGCCTCTTTATTACATGGCTCAGCCTCTGCTACATTCCTAATCCTGGCTCCAGCATATCCTGGCTATCCTTATAACCTCTTGAGCCTCAGTTTGCCCATGTGAAAAATGTGAATAATATTGACCCTATGGGTTATTGGAAGGATTAAATAAAATATAAAACCCTGGCAATAGATCTTAGTTTTCTTATTGCTGCTCCCTTTGAGGGTGGGGGAAGGAAATCATTTCTGTTCCCCAAGAAGTCCCAGTTGGCTGGGGGAAAGCAGGTGACCATCTTTGTCACCCTACAGCATTCACTTCTGACCCTATGACATGTCACAATCTGACATGCCAGAGAAAGTTGCTAAACCTCTAGATGCTTGTTTTGCTCCTAAGCCAAAACACACTTCGTTTCCCCACTCCCATCCCCTGTTCCAAATTAATCCAGTTTTCTTTTATTTGGAGGCTGCCATAGCTGTTCACTTACACAAGTGTCCTTTTCAACTCCGTGAGCCAATCTTGGAGCTACTTTAAAATAACAGTTTCTCTAGGTGTGGAAGCCTCTGGCTGGGCTAGAGGGTGAGGCAACCGGCTTAAGTGGCCGCCCACGGCTGGGGAGGGAAGGAGCTAAAGGAGAGCACTCTAAACCAAGGTCAGTAATTATATGGTTTCTACTTGGCTCGCTTAGTGCCAGCTGTGGAGTGAGGTTGCCACTCGCCTCTACTGGTAGAGAGTGGGTCGCTTGGTTTAAAAGCATGTCTTCATCATCTGCTGAATGTCAAATACTGTGTTAAGGAGCTGGGGAGGAAGGCAGGGGAAGGGACACATAAGAAACAGACCTAGAAATGTCACCATCACCAGCACTTTACAGGAGGCAGCTAGAAAGAGGCCAAGAAGGCCAGGTGTGGTGGCTCATGCCTGTAATCCCAGCACTTTGGGAGGCCGAGGCGGGTTGATCACCTGAGGTCAGGAGTTCGAGACCAGCCTGGCCAACATGGTGAAGCCCTGTCTCTACTAAAAATACAAAAATTAGCTAGGCATGGTGGCGCGCACCTATAATCCCAGCTACTCGGGAGGCTGAGGCAGGAGAATCATTTGAACCCAGGAGGTGGAGTTGTAGTGAGCCAAGATTGTGCCACTGCACTCCAGCCTAGGTGACAGCGTAAGACTCCACCAAAAAAAAAAAAAAAAAAAAAAAGAGAGAGAGAAAAAGAAGAGGAGAGGAGAGGAGAAAAGAGGCCAAGAAGCCACCAGGTCTAAAGGCTCAGGGGTGTCAGGGTTCCTGCATTAGAGCCCCTTCCACACCTGGCTGATCACCCAGTCACCTGGAGAGTTTATAAAATATGCAGGTTCCCAGGTCTACCCAGGCCCATAGAAGCAGATTCTCCACAGTTGTAAGCAAGCTCCTTGGGTGACTCTCATGGTGCCTGGCACTGGCCTTAGAATAGACTTTGAGGCAACACTACGTGAGATGTAATAAGAAGAAGGACTTTGACATTCACAGATCTGGGTTTAGATTCCAGGTCCAGGGCACAAAAAGGACCAAGCATAAAAGTAAAAATGGATAAGCTGTACTATATCAAGATAAAAAAAAACTCTGCTCTTCAAGACATACCATTAAGAAAATGAAGACAGGCTATAGGCTGATAGAAACTATCTGCAAAAACTAGAGATACCATTTGACCCAGCAATCCCATTACTGGGTATATACACAAAGATTATAAATCATGCTACTATAAAGACACATGCACACGTATGTTTATTGTGACACTATACACAATAGCAAATACTTGGAACCAACCCAAATGTCCATCAATGATAGACTGGATTAAGAAAATGTGGCACATATACACCATGGAATACTATGCAGCCATAAAAAAGGATGAATTCATGTCCTTTGTAGGGACATGGATGAAGTTGGAAACCATCATTCTCAGCAAACTATCGCGAGGACAGAAAACCAAACACAGCTTGTTCTCACTCATAGGTGGGAACTGAACAATGAGAACACTTGGACACAGGGTGGGGAACATCACACACCGGGGCCTGTCATGGGGTCGGGGGAGGGGGGATGGATAGCATTAGGAGATATATCTAATGTAAATGACGAGTTAATGGGTGCAGCACACCAACATGGCACATGTATACGTACATAACAAACCTGCACATTGTGCACATGTACCCTAGAACTTAAAGTATAATTTAAAAAAATATAAAAAAAAGAAACTATCTGCAAAACGTATATCTGATAAAGGACTAGTATCCAGAAAATTTAAAAAAAAAACACTCTCAAAACTCAATAGCAAGCCAATAAACAACCAGTAAACAACCAATTTTTTTAATGGACAAAAAATTTGAACAAGTATGAACTAAACAAGATGGCAAATAAGGACATAGAAGATGCCCAACAATATTAGACATTAGGAAAATACAAATTAAAGCTACAAGATACCACCTAACACCTATGAGAACGGCTTAAATCAAACCCCGGGTCTACTGATTACTATCTGTAAAACCTCAGGCAAAGTACTTGACCACCCTGTGCCTCAGTTTACACAGTTGTAAGACAGGGATAATGCCTACTCCGTGGGGTTGTCAAAAATTTTTAAAGTAATGTATCAAGAGTGTGCATCACTAGGTGCCTTCGGTTTCCATCTTTCCTTTGCCCCACCTTTTCTCCTATACAAGGGACCTGAATCATTTACTCAAGTTTTTTTACTCTGCAATACTTCACCATCTAAAGCCTAATTATCTTGTTTCTATTTCATAGGAAAAGAGACTGTTGAAGGTAGGCCCAGTGATGGCAGGGAGGAAGAACAGCAAAAGATATCCACAATGTACCCACTCTCTCGTTCGCTCCTTTCTTCATTCATTCATTCATTCACTCATTCACTCATTCATTCACTCATTCATTCATCATGACGTACCTGATGCCTTCAGACACTGCACTAGGATCATAGAGATGAAGGAGCCCCAGTCCTTTCCCTCAGGGACCCCTCGTTCCTGAGGGAAGACAGAAACATTCTCTTAGCCTGGTCTCTCTCAGTTGAGTAACAGACCCAGTTCACCCCAGCTCCAGGAAAGTTAGACCTCATGTGGCTGGGAAAGCTGGGACTCATAGACCCAAGGAAGCAACCAGAGCCTCAGGTGCTCAAAACCCCAAGACGCTCCCCTAGTCTCTCACGCCTGCTTGTCTCTTCTTTCGCAGGGGTCTCACCCTCTCTCTCACATCCCAGATCCCGCCGCCTCCACGTGCTGGGCACCACCTGCAGCCTACGCAGTGCCTACACGTGAGCAGCTCGTGTTTGCCCAGGGGAGGATTCTGATTGGCCCTGCTTGGGGACACACTCTATCTTTTGGCCAATCACCTTCACGGGGATGGCAGTCACGTGCGATCTGAGCGTGCAGCTCCCAGGAAGCAGGGCCAGAGACAACTTGGATGCAGGTGGTTAACCGGGGAGGCAACCATGTGAAGCAATCAGGGGGTGAGGAGGGTTAATGAGGTGGTTCTTAAGTGGGCCTGAAGCGGTGTGGAGTACACATCAGAATCGACTCCCTGAAGGCCGGGAGGCTGAAGCACCTATCCCCCTCCTCTTGCCTCCCACTTCCTCCTCCCACCATTGCCATTCCAGGTTGCACCTGTGCAAGGACTGAGCCGAAAAGGCACAGTGAGGGGCAGCTGCTGGAGCTGGGGTTGGAAGAGGGCCAAGGGGTGAGATGCCAGGCACAAAAGCCTCTGCTCCTGTGGCCAGGAAAGCAAAATGATGAAGAAGAGGGTGGGAAAGCTGGGCGTGGTGGCGCGTGCTTGTGGTCCCAGCTACTCGAGAGGCTGAGGCAGGAGGATTGCTTGAACTCAGGAGTTCGAGACCAGCCTGGTCAACATAAGAAAACCCAGTCTCAAAAAAAAAAGGGCAGGGGCGGGAACACTTTCTGGACACAACCCGGTTGTGGGGATGCTCCCACAATCTTGCAGCCCCTCTACCAACAGTTATAATACAATGCCCTTAGGGAGCTGCCTGGCCCAGGCCAGGGTCAGCAGAGCCAAGATCAGTTTTCTTCAAACCACCCTATTCATTCCCTCCCCTACCCTCCAAGGGCTGCCTATGGTATTCTCACCTTCACGAGTTCAGCAGGGCAAGGGGGCTACTCCACCCTGGCTCTTAGGCCCTGAGCAGTGATGGCAGAAAACCCATCCCAGTGCCACTCTTCCCATTCTCGCACAGAGAAATGTTAAAGAAACACATTCCTGCCAGATACTGAACTTTTCTCCTTTCCACTTTGCCACTGCCCCACAGCAGGGGAGATAAACTTCTCTGCCATTGCCAAGAGAAGCAGACACTCAGAACGGTGAAGCAGGGTCCCCATGGCCGAGTCTAGTTGGAGGTGAGGCCAGCTGGACTTCCTGGGTAGAGTGGGGACTTGGGGAACTTTCCTGTCTGACAAGAGGATTGTAAAATGCACCAATCGGCTGGGCGTGGTGGCTTACGCCTGTAATCCCAGCACTTTGGGAGGCCAAGGCGGGCGGATCACGAGGTCAGGAGATCGAGACCATCCTGGCTAACACGGTGAAACCCCATCTCTACTAAAAATACAAAAAATTAGCCGGGTGTGGTGGCGGGCGCCTGTAGTCCCAGCTACTTGGGAAGCTGAGGCAGGAGAATGGCCTGAACCCGGTGGGCGGAGCTTGCAGTGAGCCGAGATTGCGCCACTGCACTCCAGCTTGGGCGACAGAGCAAGACTCCATCTCAAAAAAGAAAAACGCACCAATCAGCGCTCTGTAAAATGAGCCAATCAACGCTCTGTAAAATGCACCAATCAGCAGGATTCTAAAAGTAGCCAATTGCGGGGAGGATTGAAAAAAGGGCACTCTGATAGGACAGAAACAGAACATGGGAGGGGACAATCAGGGAATAAAGCTAGCCACCCCCTAAGCCCACCCAACCTCAGCCAGCAGGCAACCTCCTGGGTCCCTGTTCCATGCTGTGGAAGCTTTGTTGAAGGTTTGTTCTTTCGCTTTTCACAATAAATCTTGCTGCTGCTGGCTCTTTGGGTCCGTGCCATCTTTAAGAGCTGTAACACTCATGCGAAGGTCCGTGGCTCCATTCTTGAAGTTGGTGAGACCACGAACCCACCGGAAGGAACCAACTCCGTACACACTAGGGCTGCCTTCAGCCTGGTCGAAAAAGCCAAGGTGGGCTGTGTCTGTGTGACTTGAAGCCAACCTGGCAGGGATGGACCTTAAAAGAATAGGATCCAGGAAGGAGGGGATGCTGCTTACCTAGTTCTGCCCTCCTGGGCGTCAGAATCTTGGCTCTCGGAAGTCAGGTTCGGCCCCCTGGCTCAGGTAGCTGTAATACCTACACATGTTCTTGAACTTGGACTTTATGAAAAGTACAAATGATTGATGTTTTAATGACTTAGCCCTCACAGACTCAAAATGAGAGCTCAATGTAATTAAACTATATGGAAAATATTTTGATTATCCTTATCAGGCAATACTTAATAGTATCCACGATGTGCCAGACTTTCTAAGGACTTATTGAATCATTAGACCTTTTGAGGGTAGATAGAATTATCTCCATTTTACAGATGGAGAAACTAAGGTCCAGCAAGGCTAGATAACTTGCCTGAGGGAACAGAGCTAGTAAATGGCAGAGCTCGTTACCAATGCCTTAAACTTTCTCGCAACTCAGGCATAATTAACAAGCACACAGCTAGTAAAAAACCTATTATCAGGAATGGCTAAGAGGATGCCCGGCTCTTTCCCTGATTGAATTGGAGTTTGTTCCTTATTTGGGGGAGCTTGGACCTCCTCAGGGGGCCCCAAGGTCTTTGTGCTGCACAGGAGGTTTGGGGTTTGGCACTGTCTCTAAGCCCTTTGTTGCTCATTCTCTGTCTGCAGTTGCTTCAAGTTCACCTGAGCACTGGTTCTTTAGCAACAGCATTCCCAAGGAGGTTTTTGCCCTCTGAGATGTAGTATGCAGGATGCCAGGTTCTGATGGATGCCAGGGCATGGCCTCCTTCTTGATGTACAGGCTCAGCGCCCTGACCTGGGCACTCTGTAATTATGCTACCCTCGTGATGCCCTGTGCCTGTCCTCCCTGTTCTCACGAGGTGAGCATGGGAGGGGACTGACCCACTTTTCTGGACAGCAAGAGTAGCTTCCTGATTGAAACAGATTCTCTACTGGACAAAAAAATGTGAATGTCTTGACCCCTTCTGGGGAACATCATTGATTATCCGCGGAGTTTCTGCAGCCCAGGAGTGGTTGTGTTTAACCTCGTTTTTTTAGCCAAGACCCCATGGGTTTCATACCTGATGAGGAGTGCCATCCAGAGGATGGGGGGTGTGGGCAAATCAGAAGACCTCTGGAGCCTTCCAGACTGCATGAGCATCAGCTGGCTGGGAGCCATCCAAAGCGGGGAATCAGGAACTCGAACTGAGCAAATGCGTTGTATCTATGGAGGGGCAGTTTGGAGCAACCACCTCCAGGAGCCTTCTCTGAGTCTAGCCCCATGAAGGAGAGGGAAGGAAGTGGAGGGAGGGAAACCAAAACTCACAGCAGCAGCAGCAGCAGCAGTGGCTATTTCCCACCCAAGGGCCTGGGATACATTCAATGATGCCCAGATGTTACAGGGCACCTGCCGTGTCTATGTCCTTTTCCAGACAGAAGAACACCACCCAGCTGGGAAATAGGACATATATACAACATAAGAGCTGAGGACTCAGGACAGCATTGCCTGGAGGGGCTGCAGGGAAGAGGTAAGCTGAAAAAAAAAAAAATGACACACCTTGACTGGCCAAGAGGAAGGTAAACATGTTCCAGACAGAGAGAACAACATTTGTTCATTCATTTGTTCATTAATTCTATATGCATTTCTTGCTCTTCTACTCTGGTTGGGCACTGTTTCAGGCCCCACGCTCAAAGATGAATAGAAAGTGACCTCCCTCCTAAGCAGGGCTGTGTGTAGGGTGACCTAGGAAGGGGACCTAGGATGCAAAGTAAGGAGGCAGTCATTATCAGGTGCCGGCGTGCACTGGTGCGGCTGAGAGTGAGTGTCTCCGTAAATTTTGCACCTTGCTTGTCCTGCTCCTGAGGGGGCACAGTCTATGATGAGCAAAGGCCTGGAGGTGAAAAGCCATGACCTCTCAGTGTGACATTCAAGGCCTTCAGGGTTTGGCTCCACCCAGCATTTGAGGACATCTCCTGCCCTTTTACCCTCAAGCCCTCGCCAGGTCAAACCATGTATATTCTTCCGAATATGATGCCCACCTCCATCTCCTACCTGGAACTCCCTGCACTCCATCCCCTCACCGGCCTGGCAAACCCCTGCCCACCCGTCAAGACTCAGGCAAAGCATCACCTGCTCCCTGGTGCACCCTGAGCCACCAGAACTATAACTGGCAACCTTGATGCCCAGGACAAGGATGATAAAGGTGTCCTCACATCAGCTTGGGAGTGCCTGGTTGTGGCTGGGGAGACAGTGAGGAGCAGGATAGTATTATGTGCACTGCCTGGGAGCTTCCTATTGTAAATAACCATTCCTGCCAAGTACTTGCTGCATGGGAGAGCATGTCCTATCCTGTAAGTGTAACATTCCCCATCACACATCTAATCATTTCCCCCAAATGTCATAGCCTGTGTATTTGGCTGGCCTGGGGCAAAACTCCAATTGTCTGACCTCCAGCTCTGCCAATCACTGTGCTTCCAAGAGATGAGGGTTTCCCTCTTTGAGCTCCCAAACTCCACTGTGCATTGTACCATAAGCACAGGCATCTCACGTTAGTGTCTTGCCTTCCCTCCCACCCACGCACTCAGCTACCTGAGGGTGAGTGGGTGGAGAGGGGGCTCCCTGTTCATCCCTGGAGCTCCAGGACATGGTATGGGTGAAAGTATCAGCTGAGCTTGTGGATGTGCTGGAGCTCAGAGGTCACCATTGAGGGGACCATCAGGCTCGGACAGTGCAAGAAACAAGAGGTGACCGAGGCACAGGCAGGTGCCACCCATGGCAGAGACAGCTGGAGGCCACACGTGAGTCAGCCAGAGAGGGAGGCAGAGAAGGTGGTAGAGGAGGAGGACAGAGGTAGAGAAGGAGGATGGGCCCCAGATTCAGAGCTCCTCTGATTCAGAGCAAAGCCCAGGACCTCTGAGAGGCAGAAACAGTGATGAGGCCTTGTCACACCCATGCAAGTGGCTCCATAGACGTGCCCTGTCTGCTCCAATGAGAATTTCCTCACAGCATGCCAACAGATGCCTCATCAAGGAGGGAAATTGCAGAGAAATTACAACCCCTTGTTGTGAGTTCTCCCACGGAACTAAAAACAGCACATCAATCCCACGCTCTCTGTCTCCAGATGGATTCTGCAGCCTCCCCACCCTGGTGGGACTAAGGAGGAAGGGACACTGGCCCAGGGAGAGGGTCCTTGGAGGAGAAGGACAATCCTTGAAGCTAAGATAATGGGGTGCCTCCTCAGGCTGGGTTTGCAAGCCTGGAGAAAAAACACCTAGTGTGCTCTCTGTGCCATTCCCCATGACACCCCAATCTCCAGGCAAGTCTTGGGGAGCCAGGAGACAGGGGGTCTTCTGTCCCCTTTATCTCAATGGGGTCAGTCAGGCATGGTAGGCTAGGGCACATCAGCACCAGCTGAAAAATCAACCTTTTCCCCCACGTGACCCACCTGAAAAAGAGCTCTGAACCCTGAGAAAGGAATCAGAGGTTAAGAGCATGGCTTGAGAAGCTGGAGTGAGGCAAGTCATAGTAAAGCACCTGTGAACATGAAGCTGCTATGTTAGTACAGCTGGGTGGGGTGGCATCAGGATTCTGAATGCAGTTACAGTCACCTGGAGCCTTATTGGGTGGACCCCAAATCAACTATCCAGTCCCCTTCCAGGCCCACTGGTCTGTTCCCTCCTCCCCCGCTCCCTGGTCTATGGGAAGGCTGCCCAGGTGTCAGGTAGGGTGGCTGCGGTGGGCTCAGACACCTTGGGCCCGGCCTTAGTAGTGAGGACGGGGTGGATTGCAAGTTCTGGAGGAGGGGCTGCCACAGGCAGAGCACATGGAAGGATGTGACAGTGATGGTCAGGGAAGACTTCCTGTCCCAGCCCAGGACCAAGGCACTCTCTTCCCAGAGCAAATGGCCCTGGGTCAGAGCAGCACGGGATCCCTTAGGGGTATGTGGGGAGCTCCAGCCAAGTACAGCTTCTTGCTTCCCATCCATGGCATCAAACAGAAGCTCCTTGGCCATCCTGCCACGGCTTTTCCCTGCTGTGCCTCTCTTATTTTAATGTTTATTAGAAGCTGCTTCCTTTTCAGCCTGACTGGCTACGCCTATTGTGTGCCACACAAGGTACAAGGCCCCTTGGAGGCTACCAACACACAGGGCACACCTGCCCTCACCAGGGGCAGTTTCCCCAATCCAGCAGGGTGCAGTAAAGACCCTGACCACAGCGGAACAGAAGCTCAGGAGCTGGGGGAGAGGAGGAGCAGGTTCCAGGTGGCAGTCTGGACACAGGCAGGTTTGGTGACATTTGAATGGGTCCCCAGAGCTGGGTCTCATCACAGCTTGCTCACCCCCACCTCATGGCCTTTCTTTGGCCATTGCCCATGCCTGGACTGCCCTCTACCTTCCAGCTGGATTCCTGCTTCTGACTTTGCTAAGTGCACCCACAGCAATGGATCTAATACCAAGATAAAATAAAAATACTTGTAAATGCTGCTGTTTATTAGCACTGGTTGTGTGCCAGGAACAATGCTAAACATTTTACATGGATAATCCCTTCTAATCCTTACAACACCCTCACAAGGCAGACATTATGATCAGCCCTATTCTATAAATGGAGAAACAAAGTCTTGGATTAGGTAACCTGCCCATGTCACACAAAGCTAGTAAATTGAGTTGTTTCTCTCTAAAACCTACCTTTACAAAAAACTGCCCTCCATGTTCCCTCCCAAACTCTGTTCCCCAGTGGGCCCTCAGGGTGCCCCATTTTCATTTTAGTTCCTAGATCAGCCGATCTAAAGTTTACATGGGAAAATCCACCTGTCAGGAGGAGAGAAAGATGACAGCCCCGAGAGGCAGCTCAGGTCAGAGATCTGACCCAAATGGCACTTTGCCGCTTTGGAGGAGTCCCTTAAATCAGACTGACTGTAAGAACGTAGACCTGCTGGCTGTCTCCGGGCTTCGGTTTCCTGATGTATAAAATGATGCAGTTGGATTGGGGCAGTGGCTCTTAACCCCAGACTGCATGTCAGAACCACCTGGGGAACTTGAATAAATGCCCATGCTCAGGTCTGGCCCCCAGAAAGTTGACGAAATTGACTTTCTACATGGGGCCCAGATATGAGTAGTGTTTGAAAGTTTCTCAGGTGACTTTACTATGCGGGCAGGACTAGAAATCACTGGTCTCTGAGGCCCTCCCAGTTCTGTCTTTCTCCAGGAGTCTACACTCACTGGGCCTGTTTTTATAAATAAAGTGTTATTAGAACACAGCCGTGCCCATTCATTTACATGCTGTCTGTGGCTGCTTTTCAGTGGGGGTGGGAATGTTCCACAGGAAGGGGGAACCTCATGTCCACATGGACCAGGGACCTATGCACTTGCTCAGATGCTGCAGGCAGTTGCCAGTTTCCTGTGAAAGCAACTTTGCTTCCTACAGACTCAAGTTCAAAGAGACTGGAGAGCAGCCTGTCATGGCCCCCTCGCAGGGGTTAATACAGGGGTTAATAACCCCTTGCAGGGGTTAATAACCCAACTGTTTCCTGAAGATAGTTGTGAAGCTGCCCCTCCTGCTGCTCTTCTCTAGCTCATAACCCCGGTTCATTTCATCCTTCCCTGTAGGTCCCATGCTCCAGCCCCTTCGTCGCTGTTACACGCTAACGTTTTCTCCCTTTCCCACATGCCTCTGCCTCTCCAAATACACAGCAGGACAGAAGCCCTTAATGCCACCTTCTGGCCAAGGAGGCAGCCCTGGGATGATGCTCCCATCTCTCATCTGGTGCCTCTACTTCCTTGTATGCACTGAGATCCCAGCTCCTGTCTGGGCCTGTGGGATAGGGGGGCTTGTGCTCCAGCAAAGTCAGCCACAGAGTGAATTGCTGTCAGCAGAATCTTTCCCCACAGCGTCCGTTATGCAACCAGTGATTATTTTCAAGGATGGAAGAGAAAACCTTAACAAGCAGGGTTGTGAATGGTCCTGCATGGTGGGGCCCCAGCAGCCTTATAGGAAATGGATGGTATCACCACCACCTAGTAATTCTTCCCTCCTCTCCCTACTCTGCAATCATCCTCCTTTTTTCTTTTTAGCTGCTTTGTTGAGATGTAATTCACATACCATAAAATTCACCCATTTAATTCAATGGCTTTTAGTAGATTCACAGGCCTGTGCATCCGCCCCTTTGTTACCCAAGTTAACAGTGTCTCCCGTTTGTGGGCTAAAGAAATGTTTATTGTGGTATGCCACTCAGGTTTTGTGGCTATTTGTTATACAGCATTATTGTGGCAATAAATAACAATGATCTCATTTGTTTTTTAGCACAATCTTGTGAGATTGGTAGAGTAGAAAAAAAATCTAAAGTTAAGAGATTAAAATAGAGGAGAGGGAAGAAATTAGCATGTATTGAACACCTACACTAAACCAAGTTCTAGGCTTGGAATTTTTGCATATTTGTTATCTTATTTAATGCTCACAACAACCCTGTGAGATTGCTGTACTACAGGGAGGAATGCTTTAGGTGCAGGTAATGGAATACCCAATTGCCAATGTCATATGGAATAAAGATTCTTCACTCTCAGATAAGAAGTCTGGAGACACACACAATCCCAGAGTCCATGCAGCAACTGACACTGCCCCCAGAGGGTTGACAAGGGTTGCATGCCAGGTTCTGGACAGAAATATAGTTAGAATTCAGCACTAATCAGGCTGCACTTTGGCCCATTTCCTTGTTGCTAAAGGTCGGGTAGTGCTAGATCCTGACTGTTTGCATCCCCATTGCTCCTACAGACAGGGTCTCTGACATCAGAATCCTAAAGCTTTTTTTTTTTTTTTTTTTTTTTTTTTGAGACAGAGTTTCACTCTTGTCGCCAGGCTGGAGTGCAGTGGCACAATCTCGGTTCACTGCAACCTCCACCTCCCGAGTTCAAGCAATTCTTCTGACTCAGTGTCCCAAGTAGCTGTGATTACAGGCGCCCCCCACCACACCTGGCTAATTTTTGTATTTTTAGTAGAGACGGGGTTTCACCATGTTGGCCAGGCTGGTCTCACACTCCTGACATCAAATGAGCCACCCCCCTCAGCTTCCCAAAGTGCTGTGATTACAGGTGTGAGCCACCGCGCCTGGCCGAATCCTAAAATTTTATGTAGCGTATCCATACAATGAAATAATATTCAGCCATAAAAATGAATAAAGTAGTGATACACACTATAACATGGATAAACCTTGAAAACATTATGCTAAGTAAAAGAAGCCAGTCATAAATACTATATATTAGATTCCTTATGTGAAATGCCCAAAATAGGTATATCCATAGAGAGAAAAAGTGGATTAATAGTTGCTTAAAGCTTGGGGATGTAGGGGGTTGGGGAGTGATAGCAAAAGCATAGAGAGTTTCTTTTTGAGGTGAAGAAAATATTATAAAATTGGTTGTAGTGAAGTTTGCACAACTCTGTGAAGATACTAGGAATACTTTAAGTGGGTGAATTGTATGGTATGTGTAGTATATGTCTCAATAAAGCTGTTAACAGCCCCTCCAAAAAAAAATCATAAGGCTTTTGTTTAAGGATCACTTCGGATGTTTTTCACAGAGGAATGGGATCAGTAAGAGAATTCAGCTTCTTCATCTCCCTGTCCCATGACTTCACCCTGTACTCTTCAGCCAATCAATGATCTCCACAGTTTGGCCCACTCCAAAATCCTTTAAAAACCCTAGCCCCAAACTCCTCAGGGAGATAAATTTGAAGTTCCTTCCCTTCTCTTCATCCAGCAACCCTATGATTAAACTTCTTTCTCTGCTGCAACCTAGTGTCTCAGCATATTGACTTGCCTCGCACATTGAGCAATGAACCTATTACAGTTCCACAGCTCAGCAAAATGCTCAAGGACCCAGCTTCTTTCTATTTTTCTGCATCACCATCCTTGCTGTGTTTTCTTTTCTTTCTTAGGCTTATCACCTCATGGTTGCAGAATGGCTGCCACAGCTCCAAGCATCACATCCTCACCCAACCACATTATGGTAGGAAGATGACAGTAGGACTCTTTGACATAATCAGAAAGAAAAATCTCATTGGTTAAAATTAGGTCACATGCCCTCTCCTAAACCAATCAATAGCTAAAAGAAAATGACATGATTATGCTTAGATCCGACCAATTGCAGTTTATCTTGCTGAAGCTGCAGGAGAGGCCCTTCTTCCCTAATGTTTCATCTAAACAAAATCAAAGGAGAAAGGGAGATTGGCTTGTGGATGAAAAACAAACAGTGACATCCTTGGGTATTATTCCTACTTTACAGCTAAGGAAACAGATTTAGGAGTTTTCAAATAAGTTGCTCAAGGTCATCTAGCTGCCAATCGGTAGAGCTAGGATTCAAGCCCAAATTCGTCTGACTGCAAAGCCCTTTCTACTCCATTGTCAGGGTCTTTGGGCAGATTTACAGAGCTAAGTGCCAGAGCACAGCTAGAACTATGGGAACTCCAGTGGGAGCTTCACCCTCACCCCAGGCGCCTGGGCACTCCCTTTACACATACAATGCCATTGCACAGTTCCCATCTTCCTTCCTCCCTTTGAATATTTCCAGTGCCTCTGGAGTAGCCACGGTGCCACAATTGATGGTGCATCACTGGAGGAGCTCCCACCACGTAATGTATTCCAGCCTGAGAAGCCTCCAGTCAGGGCTTCAGGGTCTGCAAAATGATTTAGAGTCCTGCCTCTCCCTCACCATAAATCCAGAAGCCTGTACATCACATTTCCTGCAATAAGGATACGTGTACCTGAGCCTGATAAATAGATAGTCCCCCATCTACCCACCCTAGCCTTCTGCCTGCTCTTCTCCAGAAGAAACAGCCTCAGCTCTTTCAACTCAGCATATTTTACCCTCTTCCTACCACCCTTCTGGCTCCCAGAGAAGCATCCCAGGTACGCTTGCTTCTGTCCTGATGATCAGGTATTACAGGCTCATTCATCGTGCTGATGCGTGTCAACTTCAGGCCCATGAGGCCAATTTGATAGCCAGAAAACATCCTTGTGGGTGGCTCCCACTTGACCTCCCTTCTCACCCTCCACTGGGCCTGGGAGTTCACTGGTGTTTCACACAGGACTGTCACGGGAACTGTGAAACGGGTTCCTACTCCTTCGCGAGTGGCGTCTTCCAAGTGGAAAACACACACACAAACACACCCGGGAAGGCTCGTAGTGACCACTGCAACCTCCTTCCCCTACTCAGCCCCACTCCACCTTGCTTGAGGTGCCATGCCCTCCTAGACTGGCCAGAGGGCTGCAGCAGTCACCACTCAGCCAGCCGGCCACTGCCCTATCCCTGTCATGGAAGAAACACGTGTTCCTGAGCATTGAGTTCCAGAAGCTCAAGGAAAATTCAAGACTGGTGTCACATGCAGGCTGGGACTTGGAAAAGATGTAATGGTCAAAGAACTATAGAATATAGAAGATGAAACCAGAGGGGAAAATGTTCAAGATCATCTCGGCTGTTGATTTTCAAACTACTTTTTCCCAGCAGAACTTTGTCTTCCAAATGAGATGTTTACATAGAACTTTCAGATATCAAATACAAACGAGGCCACTCTAATAAAGCAGAGGTGGCGAACTCGGGGTATACCTTGGCCTTCAGCGAATCCTCGAGCTCTGTGGAACATGGTTACAAAATCATTGCTCTCGTCGTTTCTTTAATTTGAACAATGGGGAAACTGAGGCCCACAGAAGGGAAGTGATTTGTATGCAAAATGGGGAAATCTGAGATGTTGGAAACTGTTTGCCAAAACCAGAGGCCAACAGTAGGCAAAGGTCTCCAAAGCTAGAGTTTGGGGGAAAGAGAAAGGGGCGGGTCAGAGGGAGCCAGAGTTGGGAGCTCTGAAGCAGAGGACCCTGTGACTGGCTACCTTGGACAGAGCTTCAGTGGACGGCTCTGGGGCCTGGATGAAAGGCTCTCTGCTCCAGAGGAGAGGCCAGGCTTTCATTGTTTTTTTCCCACACCAGGCCTTGGGGGAGGTATTTCAGGGCAATCTTTCACCAGACTCAACGCCTGTCAGCCATTTAACACACTGAATAAAATGCCAATGCCTCACCTAGAACAGCTCCAGAGTGAAAAGTCGATTGAAGCTGATCCAAAGCTAACTTGGAACTTTAATTCTTGTGCCGCTGTTGGCCCCAGCAAAGGCCCTGACTTGTTTGCAGAGACAGAACAGGGGACACTCATATTCCAGACGGAGCAGGACAGAGAGTCTGGGAATTGAGGAAGGAAAGGAATCCCTTCCCTGTCTTCCTCCCCGGAGCCTAACAAGATCTTGAGTTGCGGGGCTTCTGTTTTATGCAAATGTGGAAGGGAAAGAACTAAGCAGAAACCTCCTAGAGCAAAATATAAAATGTGATGCCTTCAAGCCTTGGTTCTCCAGTGATCCCCAGACCAGCAGCATCAGCACCTGCTGGAAAGTTGTTAGAAATGCCAGTTCCAGGGCCCCACCCTAGACCTGCTGATGTGGACCTTCATCTCAGCACCCCACTTCCTGGGCTACTGCAGCAGCAGTTGGGCTAAGGAGACTTGGGATGTGATGGGACCATTTGAGGTCGAGTTCTAAAGAGAACAGAAACCTCCTGAAGATGACCCAGAGGGGGCTGTTGCTAGAAAGAATAAGAAACCTGTTTCGGCTGGGTGCCGTGGCTCATGCCTGTAATCCCAGCACTTTGGGAGGCTGAGACAGGCAAATTACCTGAGGTCGGGAGTTCAAGACCAACCTGACCAACATGGAGAAACCCCGTCTCTAATAAAAATACAAAATTAGCCGGGCATGGTGGCGCATGCCTGTAATCCCCCAGCTACTCGGGAGGCCGAGGCAGGAGAATCGCTTGAACCAGGGAGGCAGAGGTTGTGAGGAGTGGAGATCGTGCCATTGCACTCCAGCCTGGGCAACAAGAGCGAAACTCCTTCTCAACAACAACAAGAAAGAAAGAAAAGGAAAGAAACCTGTTTCAAAAATAACAAGAGTTGTTCAGGATGGAGAAATCAGAACCCATACATGTTGCTGGTGAGAATGTAAAATGGTGCTCTCACTGGGGAAAGCAGTTTGGTGGTTCCTTAAAAAGCTAAACATAGAATTATCATTTGATCCAGCCATTCCACTCCTAGGTATGTACCCAAAGGAATCGAAAGCAGGAACCCAAGACTGGGCGCGGTGGCTCATGCCTGTAATCCCAGCACTTTGGGAGACCGAGGCAGGTGGATCACCTGAGGTCAGGAGTTTGAGACCAGCCTGACTAACATGGTGAAACCCCATCTCTACTAAAAATACCAAAATTAGCCAGGCGTAAGCCAGGCATAGTGGCAAATGCCCATAATCCCAGCTACCTGGGAGGCCGAGGCAGGAGAATTGCTTGAAGCTGGGAGGCAGAGGTTGCTGTCAGCTGAGATCTTGCCACTGCACTCCAGCCTTGGTGACAACAGCAAGACTCTGTCTCAGAAAAAAAAAAAAAAAGAAAGAAAGCAGGAACTCAAACAAGATACTTGTACACAAATATTCACAGCAGCATTATTCATGATAGTCAAAAGATGGAAACTACCCAGTGTTATCAGTAAATGAATGGATAAACAAAGTGTATATAGACAATGGAATATTATTCAGCCATAAAAAGGAATGATGTTCTGACACATGCTACAACATGGATGAACCTTGACATTGTGCTAAGTGAAAGAAGCCAAATATAGAGGGACAAATATTTCACTTATATGAGGTACCTAGAATAGGCAAATTAGCAGGACAGAAACATTGATTAGAGGTTACTAGGGGTTGGGTGGTGTGGGGGATGTGGAGATGTTGCTTAATTGGTTCAGAGTTTCTGTTTGGGGCAATGAAAAAGTTTTAGAAATAGATAGTGGTGATGATTGTACAACATCCTGAATGTGATTGATGCCCCTAAATTATCCCCTTAAAAATGATTAAAATGGGCCATGTGCGGTGGCTTACGCCTGTAATCCCAGCACTTTGGGAGGCTGAGGCAGAAGGATTGCTTCAGGTCAGGGTTCGAGACCAGCCTAGCCAACATGACAAAACCCCGTCTCTACTAAAAATACAAAAATTAGCCGGGTATGGTGGCGCATGCCTGTATTCCCAGCTCCTCGGGAGGCTGAGGCAGGAGAATGACTTAAACCCAGGAGGCAGAGGTTGCAGTGAGCCAAAATTGTGCCACTGCACTCCAGCCCGGGCAGCAGAGTGAGACTCAGTCTCAAAAACAAAACAAAAAACAAAAACAAACAAAAAAATGATTAAAAAGGTAAATGGTAAATTTTATGTTATGTCTATTTTCCCACACAAATTCTGCTGGTGGAAGATTAAGGCAGGGTCGACTTACAGGTGGCTGTGAAGTGAGAACAGGCGTCAGGGAGGAGACCCCTGTGAAGCCAGGCAAGAGCTGAGGCTCAACTGGGAAGGGCAAAGGACCGTGATGGGGCCAGGCAGGCGTGAGGGACAGAGAAGGGGAGAAGGTACAAGTTCAGGGGTATCAGTAAGTCTATCTCAGGGTTGAAGACATTGGAATACAGTCAAGGGATTAGACAGAGGAAGACAGCTCAGGCTACTATGATTATGCTACTGCACTCCAGCCTGGGATGGCTCTGGGTTTGAAGGATTTGGGGAAACCAGACTGCAATCCTAACTAAGCTAGTCTTGAAGATTTAGCTTCCCAGGCTGGCCACGGTACTGGCCTGGGCAGGGCCATAGCACTGCTCAGTGGCTATTTCTGGCCACCTGCACACATCTAAAGTTACTGTGCCTCTCTGAACCTCCCAGGTGTCTCCTGCACCTCCTGAGGCCTGAGCTACAGCCCTGGAGAGGCCTGAACCCCCACCTCAGCTGCTTGACCTGAGGGAAAACGAGGTGGCCTGGGTCATCTAGGGACTTGACAGCCAGAAGAAGAGCGGAGTGCATGTGAGTACCAGGGAGGTGTGGACACACCCAGCTGAGCACTGGCTTGACTGTTACTCTGAACCTCACCCAAGATCACATGGATAGTCAATGAAGGATAATCAGGCCTCCTGGCTGGATTCACCAAGCACCTACACAGGTGCTCAGAGGCCCTTTCTCTGTACTCTAGAAAAGCAAGTCCCTTCCTTTTGTGGGCTTAATTTCCTCCTGTATAAAATGAGGAGCTGAGGCCAGGTGTGGTGGCTCATGCCTGTAATCCCAGCACTTTGGGAGGCCATGGCGGGAGGATTGCTTGAGCCCAGGAATTTGAGACCAGCCTGGGAAACATAGTGAGACCCTGTCTCTATAAAAATAAAAAAAAATAGCTGGGTGTGGTGGCATGCAACTGTAGTCCCAGCTACTTGGAAGGCTAAGGTGGGAGGATCACTTGGGCCCAGGAGGTCAAGGCTTCAGTGAGCTGTGATCACCCCATCACTGCACTCCAGCCTGGACAGGAGAGTGAGACCTGTCTCAAAAAAAATAAAAATAAAAAGGAACTGGACTAGGGATCTTCCAAGTCCCTTCTGGCTCTGAACTTCTAGGACTTTTAGGAGAGGGTCATGACTTATGGGGAGGTAAGGGTGGGGAGGCCTGAGTAAGAATGGGAGGGGGAGGAATAAACTGAAACTAAAGGTGACAGGTGGCTCCTTGGCAAAGGGATTACCCAAGTCCCTTCCATTAGCGTGACCTAATGATTCCGTGAGTTAATCCATAAATGCTGTGCGCAGCCTGGCACATAGTAAGCTCTCAATCATTTTTTAGCAGCGATTATTATTATGATTATCAGCAGCCTAGATTTATAAACACTCTGCTTACTTAATCGCCGGTACCCACAAATCTTCAAATGACCACATCATTGAATCAAGAATTACTGAGTCATTGAACCTGAACGCTGCTGGACCATCAAAAGTGAGTCTCTCCAAGTCACAGCATGGACCCATCGCTGAGTCGGCACAAAGTGCCCTGCCGAGCCATGCCTCTATCCATGTTGCCCTTGCTGCTTTTGGTGTCCTTCTAGATCTTTCCACAAGGCAAATTCCGCTTGAAGGTCCAATCCATGGATGCACTGTGTGGACATGACTTCATGTGACTCTCCCAACTCCATAAATAGTTACTGCCATATGGTACTAATAAGGAAACTGAGGTCCTCAGAAGTCACACAGCCTGGTGTTTCATGCTAAGGCCCATGGGTGGCTGGTGTTTCACTCTAAGGTCCATGGGTGGCTTCCAGCTTCCCGAATGAGCTGAGCTAACTTTTCCCTCCGTGCTGCCCGGTTATTTTACCTTCATGTGTAGCACACTCCACAGCACCCTGTAATTTCTCTGGGTGCCTGTTTCCCCAGCCCCCTAGACTAGGAGCGCCATACAGGCTGACAAGGGTCATGTCTGACCTTCCTCATGTTCCCCACAAGTGCCAGGTTCATCAGGGGTGCCAAACAGGTGCTTTGAATGGGATCATCCGTAGAAGGGTCTTGACTACTGTCCAGGTAGCATGGGGATGGACCTTGTGAGGGAAACGACATCCTGGGGCTTGAGTCTCCATCTTCCTTTGGGTACCCAGCCCACCCCGAAACTGGAGGTGGTCTGCATTCCCCACTCTTGCAGTGGCCCTGCTGGAATCATGTGCTGGCCCACCTTTTCCTGCCTTAGCATGGTCTACCATGATGGTTTCCATGGTGGGTGCTGAACCCACTGGAGAGCAGGTAAAAGCTCAGGCCCCCTTCCCAGAAAAGAATTCTAAACCCGGCCACATAAGATTTTTTTCACACCCATAAAGTTTTGCATATAATATCAACGGATTTTCTTTTCTTGAGACAGGTTCTCCCTCTGTTGCCCAGGCTGGAGTGCAGTAGCATAATCTTGGCTCACTGTGGCCTCAAATTCCTGGGCTCAATCGATCCTCCTGCCTCAGCCTCTCAAGTAGCTGGGACTACAGGCTCAGGCCACTATGCCTGGCTAATTTATTTTAAAAATTTTTGTAGAGATGGGGGTCTCACTATGTTGCCCAGGCTGGTCTTGAACTCTTAGCCTCAAGCAATCCTCCCACCTTTGCCTGCCAAAGTGCTGAGGTTACAGGTGTGAGCTACCACACCTGGCCCAATATCAATGGATTTTAAAGTTCATCAGTGGGGCCTCTAAATTGCACCCCAAATTAGAGAAAAGCCCAGGAAGCTTGGGAAGCAACTAGTATAAATAACAGAGATAGGGCACTGAGCTCTCTGGGTGGGTCACAGTGAACTTCAGAGGGGAGCCCAAACCATCCCTCCCTAAACCTTCTTGGGCCATCCTCACATCTCCCCCACCTCTTCCTTGGCCCACCTTCTCTGAGAAAGCCTCTGCTCTCCCCAGTATGGCTATACCACAGAGGTTTGTCTAATGTGTGAGTTGTTTTGTATTCGCTTCATTAGAAAGCCTTTTAAAATGCATTTTCAGGTCTGTGTTCAGTACAGTGTGTATCCAAATAAAAATTCTCTGGCAAATCACCTTAAGAAGTTTGGCTGTTTTTATTCCTTCCCAGCCAGCATTGTCAGTACAAACCAAGGGAGAATGTCATAAACCATAAAGCAAATTTGGGGCATCCGAGGGCCCTGACCTGCCTGATTATCTCCAACACTACATCTAACTGGTGGGGACCTGTGGCTATCACCTGTGCAGCTAGACCAGAAGATAGACTGTGAGATATCAGTAACCCCTTCCCACACCCAGACCCAGGTTGACCTTGACCACAGTCATAAAACTAGCCCTTCATAGGGGTTCTCGTCTCAGTTTTACAGATGAGGAAAAAGGCTCGGGGAGATGACAGAGACCCAGTGGGTCCCTGGCAAGGCCTGGTCATCTGGCAAGGTGAAGAGGGCCTCAGAAACCACTGCTGGCGTGTGCTTTTCTGCTGGTTAAACATTCCAAGAGAAAAGAAAACACTCAGAGATTGTAGACAGAACCTAGAATTGGCCTGGAGTTTTCTAGATGCTGTAGTTCAATCAGCTCAAAAAGGCCCAGACAGGGCCGGGGACAACTGTGGGGACAGGGCTGGCAGCGGGGCTCCAGACCAAGTGCAGGGCTGCTGACTCTGAGTGATGACATTTGACTCCAGTCCCACAAGAGGGGTGATGTGTCTGACAAAGGGGCAGCAGGAAAACAGCTGAGCCTTCCACTCCAACTCAGGTTTCTGAGGTCTCTGTGCAGTTTCTGCGGCAACAATTCCTTTTAGAAGTGAGACAGAGGGCAGCATGGATTTCTCCTCTGAGCACAGGGGCCTGATGTCCTCAGGAGACCACCTGTGTCCTTAGATCAGATGTGGCCCTGCTTCCCATCTGGTTTTCTGTGCCCATCCTACTCTTCCTCTGCCTTGATGGTACCTGCACAGACTCAGGGGCATCTTGAGTCAGATGTGCTTCTCCCTGGGTGGGTGATAATCTCAGTCCTGCCACAGAGGCAAGTAATGAAGTGGCCCAACCCAATGCCTTGCACACAGTGGGCATTCAATAAGCTTTTGCTGAGTTAGAAATTTGGGGGGTGGGGGAAATCATGAGGGAGATGTAGAATCTGGAAGACCAAGTCTGTTGGGGGAAAACACATTGACATCTACTGGCTCCAAAGGAATATGGTTCTGTCCTAGACAGAGGAGGCTTTATTGGGAGGCTAATAAGCTTATGCTTAAGGCCCACTACTGCAGAGTTTACGAGCCCCTTCCTAGGCCCCGTATCTAATTTGACATCCATAATTTTGCATTATTTTTCTTATACAAAGCACCGAAAATTGTATAAGCTTCAGGTTTCACAAAACCTGGATCTGTCCCTGGTCCTGATGCTCTCTAGCTTTGCAAACTCTGAGCCCCTCGACCCACTTGAGGGTAGAATCCCAGAATTAGATGGGCTCTCAAAAGAGTATCTGGTTTGTCCCTCAAGCAGGTATTAAAGATCCATCAACTCCCAGGAACTCTTTTTTTAGGGATCTGCAAGGATAGATATCACCTTGTCTTGGTCCATTTTTTGCTGTTATAACAGAATGCCAGGGGTTGGGTAATTTATAAACAATAGAAGTTTATTTGGTTCACAGTTCCAGAGGCTGGGAAGTCTGAAATTAGGGGACAGCATTTAGTGAGGGCCTTTTGGCTGCATTGTAACAGGTGGAGGATGGCCGGGCACAGTGGCTCATGCCTATAATACCAGCACTTTGGGAGGCTGAGGTGGGTGGATCACTTGAGGTCAGGAGTTCGAGACCAGCCTGGCCAACATGGTGAAACCTCATCTCTACTAATACAAAAAATTAGTCGAGCGTAGCCACGGGCACCTGTAATCCTAGCTACTTGGGAGGCTGAGGCAGGAGAAGTGCTTGAACCTGGGAGGTGGAGGTTGCAGTGAGCCAAGGTTGCGCCACTGCACTCCAGCCTGGGCAACAGAGTGAGACTCCGTCTCACACATACACATACACACACACACACACACACACACACACAAAGATAAGAGGAGACATTTCACCCATGATACCAAAACAAACAACTATACACAAAAGAATAATTTAAACTGGATTGTGGTGATGGTTACAGACCTCTGTAAATTTACTAAAAATCATTGAATTAGACACTTAAAATGAGTGAATTTTAGAGTATGTAAAGTGTACCTCCAATAAAACTTTTTTTAAAAAAAAGAATAATCAGAAAAACAGTGCAAAGTACTGAAAATTTGATCCCATAAATAAAATAGTCAGTAGAAGATTTGGAAGATAAGGTCAAGGAAATCTACCTGGAAGAGGAAAAAAAATAAAGGTATGGAAAATCAGAGAGAAAATAGAAAAGCAGAAGATCCATCTAGGAGGCCCAGCAAAAGGAATAGGGAGTAGAAGAAATGGAGGAGAGTCCATTATCAAAGAAATAATACAAAATCACTTCCTAGGACTGAATGACCTGCATCTGCAGAGTTTACGAGCCCATTGTGCACCCAATACAATGAATGAAAAAAGGCCCACGCTAATTTCATAGTGATGTATATGAAGGTAAAATCTTAAAATTTAGGCCAGGCATAGTGGCTTACGCCTGTAATCCTAGCAGTTTGGGAGGCCAAGGCAAGCGGAACACTTGAGGTCAGGAGTTCAAAACCAGCCTGGCCAACATGGTGAAACCCCATCTCTGTTAAAAATACAAAAATTAGCTGGCCGTGGTGGCACATGCCTGTAATCCCAGCTACTTGGGAGGCTGAGGCACAAGAATTGCTTGAACCTGAGAGGCGGAAGTTGCAGTCAGCAGAGATCGCACCACTGGACTCCAGCCTGGGTGACAGAGTGAGACTCCATCTCAAAAAAAAAAAACACTTAAAATTTTCCACAGAGCAAAATAAAAGATTATAAAAAAAGATCAAGACTAAGAATGGCATTGGACTTCTCCCTGGCAACTTCTTATTCTAGAAGTCAGAAAACAATAAATGTATTCAAATCGCTCTCTTACAGTGTAAAAACAACAAAAGACAAACTTTAATTTTACAAAGCAGGTTTTCCATAAGATCAAAATGTGTGTGTGTGGAGGGATGGTTCCATGTTCATCTCTTCTTCACTCTCTCTCTTTGCGTCATCATCTCTGTGTCGTACTCTCCTTCCTTCCCATCTGCCCTTCCCGTTCTATCTTTTCTGTGCTCTCTCTTCCTTTACTGGCCATCACATAGAACTGGAGGAATTTTTTCTAATTACTTCCTTCATTTGTGAAGTCATTTTATGTTCTCTGTTCTCCATTTTAAAAGCAAACAAGCGGAACACTTCATTTCTGCATTAAAAAATCTAAACTAAATTGCTTGTTTGTTTGTTCCCTCTGTAGCCTTTGACGCATCTCCCTGGGTTCTCACTGGGAAGCCCCGTCTCACTTTCCTCCAAGTGGGTGCAGTTCAGGTTTCGTGAGTGCCTTCAGTTGGGAACAAGAGGCTCCGCTACCCCTAAACTCAAACTCATCCTGTACATTTAGAGACAATTCCAAACTGGTCTCTCCTAGTTTATTAGGAAAAAAGAGTTGAGAGCTTTGGTCCTCAATAGGAAAAGACCTCCTCATTCTAGATCCTTGTATCCAGCGGGCCTTCCAAACCCCAACCCTTCACTAAAGCAGGTTGGTCACTTTAAGCCAGGCTTCCAGCAGGGGTGGGAGGCTGCTCCGTGTCAAGACTTGTGCAGGGGTGGATGATGACATCAGTAATGACAATCCATTCCTCAGCACGCATTTGCGGAGTGCCACTATGTGCTCGGTCCTGCAGAGAAAGCTGAGACTTGGCTGTTCTTGGCCTCAAGAACTCAAGGTCTAGGGTAAGGAGAACAGACACCTAAACAAATAATGACCACCCAGTGTGACAGTGTGGTAGTAAAAGCATGTCCAAGGCATCAGGGCCACTGGTGGGAGGTAGGGACTCCCGTGATCCTGGAGCACTGCAGGCTCCCAGAGCTTCCTGGGGACTGAGGCTTGGGGACATGTGGGACGCTCAGATGGAGAAGGCCCGATCCAGGGGAGGGCAGGCTGGGCAGAGGGAGCAGCCATGCCAAGGCACAGAGGTGTGTAAGAACATTTCTGTGTGACTCTGGGGATGCGTGGCATGATTGAGGGGTGGGCAGATAGCCTAACTTTCCCCCCGAAGCTTCCCAAGCCCTCATGATATCTATTATCCTGCCTAGGCAAAGGCAGCAATGTCTGGTTCTGCACAATCCAGGGGAGACCTGTGAGTGACATCCCTGTCATTAGCAGGGCAGAGGGGCACTGTCCACGGATAAGCTTTCGAATGTGACAGCCAAGCTGTCAGCCAGCAGACCCATTCACTCCCAGCCAGAATCTCACCTCTGCTGCCCCCATCTTGTCTTGGGAAGGAGGATCTCCATCCCGCTGAATCACCCGGCTCTTCCTGGACGCTGAGGCCAATAGCAGCTCTCTTTTCGGTGGGGGCTGGGCAGGCTCCGTCTTCAGGGCCTGGGTGTCTCCAGATTCTGGCTCCCCCGTGACGATGATGAATCCTGCATCAGCATGGACTAACTGCTGTTCTGCCTAGCTGTGGGCACTCGGAGGGTCCTGTGCAGGGCTCACTGTTTATTCCATCTCTGTAGCCCCCCATCCTCCCCCTCCCCAGCGCCTGGCACAGGGCAGGCACTTCATCCGTGTTTGTTGAATAAATAATGTGCTAAGAAAGGGAAGATGAAAGGGAGAAAGATAGGGAGACAGAGAAGTGAGATTGATTTTTTAATGGGAGAAAAAGAGACTAGATATTGGGGCACCTAGGGCACCAAGCACACAGACATGACCCCAAGACCTGGAACCGATGCACAATTGGCCACAGAGATGACAACAGCCCCAGATAACACCTGTGGGGCACTTTTTAAATGCCAGGCACTGCTGCCATCTCCTTATAAGCATGAACTTGGTGAACTCTCACAACTCCATTTTGTAGTCCAGAAAACTGAGGCAAAATGTGGCTAAGTAACTTGCCCAAGGCCACACAGCTAATGCATGAACCCAGGCAGCCTGGCCTCAGAACCTGCCCTTCTAACCATGCAGTGTGACACGTAATCATGGCCGTGGCAGGGAGCAGTCTTCATAGGATCCAGAGGAGATAGTAGCCCCATGGGACAAGAGCACTGACCAGGAAGGAAGGGCTGTCACTACTCCCTGGCGATTTGCTCAGTGCAGGCTCTGGGCCTCTGGCCTTGGCACTGGCTTCCTGGAGACAATCCTGCACTCCCTGGCCGCTGCAGTGTGCTGGCTGGAAGATTGCTGATGAGAAGGTGATGGTCTCCAGGAGGACTTATTTGGCCTCCGGTGCCAACTGTGGGTCAAAGGAGCCCAGCTCCCAAAACCTTTGACACCATCTCTTTTTGTTGCAGAAACAGCCGGCCAGATGGTCAGCTCGCTTTGCCAGGTGCCCAGATCCCTGCCAGCACGGCTGTCTGAAAATGTCAGCAGAGTAAAGGTGTGTTCCCACAGCAGCTTTCGAGAGGTACCAAGAAGCCTTCCTCTGCAGAGCCCACCGTCTCTTCCCTGGCACGTCCTTCCCTCCCTAACTCTCCTTGTCGTCTCCTCCCCGGGCTGATACCTCCTACCCCAATGTCTGCTCCTGATCTAATAGTCAGCACTATTTGAATATCCCCATGTGCCAGGCACTATACCAAGCCTATTGCAAGCCTCTTCTCATTGAACCCTCACCACTGCATCCTATAAAGCAGGTACCATCTCTTCTTTTTATACGCAGGGAAGGGAGCCTTGGGGCCTTCCTTAACAAGCCCCTGGTCACACAAATGCTAAACGGTGGAGCTTGGATTCCAAACAGGATGTGGTGGCGCCAAAGCCTAGCTCTTTAGCTGGCTCTGTGAAGACAGGCCTTTGCCTTCTAAGCTGCATACAGGGGTCTTGGGGTCTTCTTTCTTTTAGCATTGGCTTTTTCAGTCTGCCTACCTTCATCTTGGATGGGAAACTAAGTCAAAACAAGGGTGTTTCCAAGAGTGGAGCTGGCAGCCTCTGTCACAGGCGGATGGGAGCCCAAGGCGTCATCTTCATCTAATGCTAAAATGCTTCACAGGGATTAAACACACTGCCTGCTGCAGTGGTTCCTAGGGGGCCAAGTGGGGGCTGGGTGGCTTAATTTGGTGAGGTGTGAATGTGATGGCGGGGGGAACTTTTGTGAGGGATACACACCCAGGACATGCAGGTAAAGGAAATCCAGACTGGATCCACCTATAGTGCCAAACACGCCCACATCTAGTCTGGCTTGACTAGACTTGGACATGTTTAATCAAGCTGCCCTGATTTACTGCTGGCTGCATTCTCCAGGCACAGCGCCATCTGCAGGGAAGCCCTGCACCAGCAAGGGTGGGGGGGCTGGTCCTAGGGCCTGTCCCAAGACCCTGTGATGGTCAGCATTTAAGGTAAAGTTTGTGAGCTACAAAGCCGGCACCGATTGCTGTCCTTTCAAGCTTAGGGCAGTCGTACAGGCACCACCTCTTCTCAACAACCAACCTCCTGAAATGATTTGGGCAGATATTATCATGCCCATTTTACAGATGACGAAACTGGGCCTCAGAAAGCCAGTCACCCCCCAGCGATGGTGCCAGGCAGGATTCCAACTCAGGCTCTTTGACAAAAAACTCTGGGCTCTACATCTGCCTCTCCTGATGCAGAAGAAAGAGAAGAAGTGTGGAGGGTGAAGGATGAAGCGAAAAGCTGCTGGCTGGATGGACTGAGAGCCAGGATTCGTGGCTTGGTTCTGTTCGCACTGTCTCTGCTGCCAAGCCCTACTCACCCCAGCCAGGAAGAGCAAACATTCCCAGACACAACATCCTCCTGGGTCTGTCATCAGGTTGACACAGAGAAAACTGAGCTCCTTACAGGAGACTGTCAGGGTGGGCTGGGGTGGAGTTTTTAAGTGTCTCAATAACTGGGAAGATAATTGAAGACATTATATTTTTTACTCTTTTCAGTGCCTGTCTCAGCAGCAAGCACTTGTCAGCCAGATCTTGGAGGCCAAAGCCTGTCTACCCTAACACAAAGAAGACACTCAAGTTGTCTAAATTCATCGACTTTTCTGAAATTTGAAATCTGCAATTTCCCGAGCTGTGTTCTGTTGTTAAGTGGCTGTCCAAATTCCTGAGCTCATGTTTAAGTGTCGCTGATAAAGAAGGAAACAATCCAATCAGGTTTACATTGGCGGTTCAATTAGGCACATATGAAGTAGTCACTCCAAAGCGGTTCACAGCAAATTTATTCCTGGGACAACCTTCTTTTACCACCCAACTTAAATCTCCCAGGAATTTGTTCCAAGAATAGAAGCTAACTGCTATAATATCCCGAGCTAATTGCAATACTATCCTGATTGGAGCCTAATTAGAAGGCAGATCTGCCTCACTAGCCAACACCACCTCTCCTCCTACACAGAGCCCTCAGAGATAGATTCTCTTGTCCTAGACAACTTTGTTATTTGATTATCTACACTGCAGCTCTTTCTTGCTAATTTACCACTTTTACATATTTATGCCCCCTAATTAGTCAACAAGTATTTATTAAACACCTACTGCATGCTCATCCCATGCATCCCAAGCAAACAGAAGGATGTTTGCTTCTGGTTCCAAAGAGAAATACATGCTTCTTTGGGGTGCTGGTCTCTTTTGGGGTCTTCAGTCAGATGAACAAGTAACGTATATGAGCAGAAGCTCATGCCTGTAATCCCAGCACTTTAGGAGGCCAAGGTGGGCAGATTGCTAGAGCCCAGGAGTTCAAGACCAGCCTGGACAACATAGTGAAACCCCACCTCTACTAAAAATACAAAAAATTAGCTGGGCATGGTGGTGTGCACCTGTCATCCCAGCTACTTGGGAGGCTGAGGTGGGAGGACCACCTGAGCTCGGAAAGTCAAGCCTGCAGTGAGCCGAGATGGCACCAATGCACTGGTGCATTAGACAATGCCTGGACAATGAACCTTGTCTCAAAAAGTAAAATAAAATCATACATATGCAGGAGTATTTGCACATAAAACACACGCCTGGAAAAATACATGTCTGGGGTATTTGCATATGCCTTGTGGAGAATTTCTAGGCTCGGTTAAAAGGAGAAAGAAACTAAATTATATTGTTCTGGAACTCTTCTCCACATCACTCAGCCAAGGAGCATAAGGAGAGTGCTTTCATTTCATTCATTAACTCACCAAATATTTGCTGAACATTGACCCTGTGCTTGGCCTTGGAAGAGAATTTTGCAAAAACACAGTCCCTTATTTCAGATTTGACAACACAGTGGGGAGACTGTATCTTTTTTTTAACGCAAATCATAGCACAGAGGCAACATTCAGGACTGATGAGGAAATTTGGCTCTTGGGAAATGGTCAGAACAGCTCATTCTGCTAAGAGCAGAGCATCTTGAAAAGTTTTACCCTGCTCGTTGCCCCACTTAGCCCTCTGCAGGTCGAGGAAGCAGAGGAGGGAGCCACTCCTGTGGACTCAATTCTCACCCTCGCTGGTGAAAACAGAAATGATGGGTTCACATTGCTCACAGCTCCCCCTGGAACGACTTCCTTCTCTCCACTTCCAGACCCAAGCCCAGGCTTCCCAGGTTTCACCTTTGGACCTTTTCCCACTCCCCGCACCCGGGGCCCAGTGCTCAACCCACCTCTCCGCCCTTCACATCCTTCCGTGGTTAAATGTTGGCTTCTCTCTTCCCATCTGTGGCTGTCTGTTACCCCAAGTCAAGGCCTTACATCATCTTGCTCGCCTCAGGGGACCCACCCCTCCTGCAGCCTCGGAAGGCTGAACTCCTCCGGTGCCCAGTTTGTCCTGACCTCAGAAGTACAACCCACTCCACTTGGAGGAAGCAAAGAGGGTTTTTAAAGAAATACAAGCAGCTTCACTGAGAGCTCATGGCTAAGCTCAGATTTTAAGAGGACAAGAACAAGAAAAACTAAAAGACAAATTGTAAGAATAGTTTCAGAAATGTTTACTAATGAGATGAATACATGGAAGGCGTTTAGCACAGTGCCTAAAACACAGTAAGTAACCAACAAATGGTAGGTGGTATTAATACTATTATTATTAAATCCCAGAATGACGGGATTACAAGAAAATGCACACGTAACAAAAGCAGCCTTAAAAAGCTAATTTTTTTTTCAGGGCCAGAGCAACAGGAAAGAGATAGACCCATTATTCAAGACAGATGATGTAATGTGAATAAAAGAGTGAACATTTTCAAGTGTCTTTTCTCCTAATATTCTTCTATTTTCTTTAGAAGAGAGAATAATCTTCAACCTGGAAAGGATAATAAACATGATTATGGGGAAATCGGGATCTAAGACAGATGATGCAGCACTCAAGGAGAACCCTTCCGCTTTATGGGAGCCCAACACTCTTAACTCCAACTAAATATATATAAACTAAACTCAAGGAGAGCCCTACTGCTTTATGGGAGCCCAACGCTCTTAACTCCAACTAAATATATCCAAGACCTTTACTGTGTGATTGCAAACTCCTACTGTAAATATTGAGAAGTCAGGAAGCTGAGAAGGGTGGAGAAAAATTAGAGATGAGCAAATGTCGCCCAGGTTTGTGAGAGAGAGAAGGTGGATTCCAGAAACTACAGATGGGTATGTCTGAGGTTGATCTGCAATCAGATAGGCTTATAAAAGATGGCAGATGTTACCAGTGGTCAAAGCGGCTTACTAGGAGTAATTAGTCAAATTAACCTTATTTCCATTGCTGAGGGATTGGTACATGAAGGCATTGCTACGCATATTGTATACTTAATTTTAGCAAAGCACTTGATAGAATCTTTCAGGATTCCTGGTGGATAAGATGGAGAAATAAGGGCTAGATTTAAAGTATGATTAGCCAAGTTACATAGATGGCTGAACATCCACATCTAATGAATGGAACAGTGTCCACTACAGAGCACATTATAGGTGCTTAGTAAATATCTGTTACTGTTACACAAATGAATCAAGCTGGAGGGAAGTTTCTGATGGTATGTCCCCATCTAATTTTATATATATATATGGAGAGAGAGAGAGAGACAGACAGACAGAGACTTCCTCTGTCACCCAGGCTGGAGTGCAGTGGTGCCATCTTAGCTCAGTATAACCTCCACCTTCCAAAGTCAAGCAATTTGCATGCCTCAGCCTCCCAGGCAGCTGGGACTACAGGTGGGTGCCACCACACCCAGCTAATTTTTGTATTTTGGGTAGAGATGGGGTTTCACCATGTTGGCCAGGCTGGTCTCCAACTCCTGACCTCAAGTGATCACCTGCCTTGGCCTCCCAAAGTGCTGGGATTACAGGTGTAAGCCACCGTGCCCAGCCTTATTCAGTATTTTTTATCATGACTCAGATGATGACTTATGAGTCATGGGTATCAAATTTATAGGAAGCAAAGCTTGGAGGGAGATCTGATGCATTCAATAACAAAATCCAAAATTCAAAATGAAGCCAACAGGTTAGGATGATGGGCCAAAGCCTAGATGAAATGAAAAGAGACAAATGCCAATCATTCATTATGTTCTTAAAAGCAGGTGCACAAATGCAGAAGAGGGAGCCCCGGCCCCATTGCATTTCATGCAAAAGAGATCTGCAGGTCTGAAATGATCCCAAGCCCAGTGTGCTTCATTAGTATGAGGCGGCTGCCAAACACAGCTGCAAACTTAGGCTACACAAGAGGATGGAGAAAAAGAGCCCCAATATGCATTGCCTCAGCAATAATAGCTCGTATTTATTGAGTGCTTATTATACTAGATGCTGCTACTGCGCTGTGTTTACAGAAATGATCTCATTTATGTAAGTACCCGGGGGTGTAGTCTGCTTTCTTTTTCTTTTTTCTTTTTTTTTTTTTTTTTGAGACAAGGTCTTCCTCTGTTGCCCAGGCTGGAGTGCAGTGGTGAAGTCTTGGCTCACTGTAGCCTCCACCTCCTGGGTTCAAGTGATTCTCATTTCTCAGCCTCCCAAGTAGCTGGGACTACAGGCGCGCGCCACCATGCCTGGCTAAGTTTGTATTTTTAGTAGCGATGGGGTTTCACCATGTTGGCCAGGCTGGTCTCAAACTCCTGACCTCAAGTAATCTGCCTGCCTCGGCCTCCCAAAGTGCTGGGATTACAGGCATGAGCCACCACACCCAGCCTTGGGTGTAGTATCGATCCAAAATGATATCTGATGTACAGGAAGGGGGAAAGATCTGTTTTGTATGTAAGAGTAAGTTAGTAGAAATACAGTGAGGAGAGTCATGAATGGAGGGGAACATTGAAGACACAAGGCTGGCGGAAGGCTGCAGGATGTTTACACCCCTGGGACCCCGAAGAGGTCAGTGAGAAGAGAGTCAAGTTAGATTTCAATCAGATGGCACCATAGACCCGGCTAAGATTGAACCGGGTAGGCCTACCCTAGGATGATCTAGTTCGGGAGCCCCCCTCCTTGGGGATCGTTTTGGGGAGGGGTTTGTGCAGTGGACAAAGGATGAGATCAAGAGGAGACTATGTTGAAAAAAAAAAATGCCAGCCAGGCGCAGTGGCTCATGCCTGTAATCCCAACCCTTTGGGAGGCCGAGGCGGGTGGATCCCCTGAGGTCAGGAGTTCGAGACCAGCCTGGCCAACATGACAAAACCCCATCTCTACTAAATATACAAAAATTAGCCGGGTGAGGTGGCGCACGCCTGTAGTCCCAAATACTCAGGAGGCTGAGGCAGGAGAATCACTTGAACTCAGGAGGCGGAGGTTGCAGTGAGCCAAGATCATGCCATTGCACTCAGCCAAGATCACGCCTTTGCACTCCAGGCTGGGTGACAGAGCAAGACTCTGCCTCAAACAAACAAATAAAAATGTTGGGGAAAGGAAGAGAAAGCCAGCAACTTCCTGGGTATCCAAGTCAGGCACATCAGCAGGTGTTTGTGTGCTCCCCCCAGCAAGTTCCTCACCTCCTTTACCAGGGGTTACAGCTCCATGAGAGAAAAGCCTGATAGATAGAGATGGAAGAGCCCCTTCTCCTAATGGTGGCTGTGTCTCTGCTTGGCTTATCAGCAGTGTGACAGTTTGCTGTTTTGATCGCTCTCCCTTGCCCAACCATTGCCAACCCAGGTTGAGCCCACCTCAAGGGATTGGGCAGATAGAAAGTGTGGGTCAGTACAATCCTCACAATAACTTAGATGATGACATTAGAGCTCAGTAAGGTAGATGTTTTTAACCATGGTCACACAGCTGGCCTACAGTGGAGCAAGGATTTGAACCCGGGGTCTTAATGCTAGGATCCAAATTGTTAACCACACAGCACTGGGCTGGCATCTGCAGAATCTCAGGTTCCCCATGGGTCCCCACATTTTAAGAAGGATGTGGACAGATCAAAGGGGTAGCTCCTGGAGAGCTACCAGGAGAATGGGAGAATGGGAGAGGCTGGAAATCTTGTCCTGTAAAAAACACAAGGAGAGCCAAGTACAATGGCTCACACCTGTAATTTCAGCACTTTGGGAGGCCGAGGAGGGCGGATCACCTGAAACCAGGAGTTCGAGACTAGCCTGGCCAATGTGGTGAAACTCCATCTCTACTAAAAATACAAAAATTAGCCAGGTGTGGCGGCTCACGCCTGTAATCCCAGCTATTTGGGAGGCTGAGGCAGGAGAATTGCTTGAACTCGGAATGTGGAGGCTGCAGTGAGCCAAGATCATGCTACCGCACTCCAGCCTGGGCGACAGAGACTCCATCTCCAAAACACACACACACACACACACACACACACACACACACACACACACACACAAAACAAGACAAAAAAACAAAAAACCTACAGGTCATCAGGGAATTCTGTCTGAGATAAAAATGACTTGGGAAAATGCAATAACTGTCCTCAAGCTCTCAGAGAAATGTTATGTGGCAAAACAAAGACATTTATTTTTCACAGCAGTACTAGAATAATAATGATGTATTTCAACATTCTAAGGTTTAGAGTTCTCTTAAACAGGAGTGGGCTGCTTTGAGATACTGAGCTCCCGGGCACTGAAAGTATTCAAGCAGAAGCTGGACGCCATGGGCCAGGCTTTCTTTTATTAAAACCGAGATGCTACTCTTCCTCTTCTCAAAGTGCCTACAGAACAGCTGAGACCTACTTACCCAGCTCGTTTGTCACTATTAGTTTCATGACTATAAATTTCATACAGCTTTACTGAGGGATAACCTATGTACTGTACAATTTACCCATTGTAAGTGAACAATTTGATGGTTCCTAGTAAATCTATACAGTTCTGCAACCATGACTACAGTCCAGTTGCAGAAACTTTGTGATTATAGATTTTTTCCCCAAAGAACATTGTTAGCATCAAGGGTAGATCCAGGTCCCATGGGCCGTGGTCTCCGCTGACCTAACAGCAGGCCTCTGTGCTGTGGCTCTTTCCTCATATCCTCTCCTCATTCCTTCTTGGGAGTCACCTGATGCTGCCCTGCCACATGCTGCTTGGCCTTCCTGGGCCCTGGGCACCTCGCCCCTCCCCGAGTTGTCCCCGCTGGGCACCTTTGCTTCCTTCCCTCCTTCTTTGCCATGGCTTGGGGGCAGGGGCTTGGTCTTCAGCAGATTCCAAGGCAGTAGGGTGTACTTAGAAGTATGTGAGCCCTGATAACCCAGACCTGTATTTGGCTCACAGCCATGTGGCCTCCAGCAAGTCACCTTATTTTTTGTTATTTCTGTTTTGTTTTGAGACAGGGTCTCACTCTGTTGCCTAGGCTGAGTGCAATGGCTCAGTCTCATCTCACTGCAGCCTCTATCTCCCGGGCTCAAGTGATCCTTCCACATCAGCCTCCCGAGGAGCTGTGACTACAGGCACACACCACCACACCCAGCTAATTTTATTTTTTTTGTAGAGATGAGGTCTCACTATGTTGCCCAGGCTGGTCTTGAACTCCTGGATTCAACCAATCCGCCTGTCTCAGCCTCTTAAAGTGCTGCGATCACAGGCATGCGCCACCATGCCTGGTGACTTTATCTTCTTGAACCTTAATTTTTCCCCTTTTGTAATGCAGACATAATACACATGCCTCGCTCAGTGCAAAGATCAGAGATGATGTGTATCAAGTGACTAGCACAGTATCTACTTTTTTTTTTTGAGACAGTCTTGCTCTGTTGTCCAGGCTGGAGTGCAGTGATGCGATCTCAGCTCACTACAGCCTCCACCTCCCAGGTTCAAGTGATTCTCCTTCCTCAGCCTCCCAAGTAGCTGGGACTACAGGCGTGCACCACCACACCTGGCTAATTTTTGTATTTTTAGTAGATAGTTTCACCATGTTGGCCGGGCTGGTCTCGAACTGCTGACCTCAAGTGATCCACCCACCTTGGTCTCCCAAAATGCTGGGATTACAGGTGTGAGCCACCATGTCTGGCCAATATCCACTATTTTTAGTAAATGATAGCCATGATTACTGCTGCCACCTTCATTATTGACACTCAAATGTCCTCTGCTCTGAGTGCTTATTTTGCCTTTCTCTTCTAGGATATCCCTGTTTTCTGGGTCTCTCCTGGTGTCCAGCCATTACCACAGGCACAGAGATGGATTCCTCTACACTTGGGAAACCCCAAGGCTGACCCCAGCCAGGGATGCATGTGGGTTACTTGGGAATGGAGCAGCAGCACCACCTAGTGGCAATGTGCAGCAGCATGCTAATTACTGGCCAAATGCAGGAGCTTGTCTAATAGCTACTACATCAGGACACCTTGGAAGTCACCTACTCCAGCGGTTCGTCCAGCACTTGTGTGGCCACAGCATCCTCCTAGAGAGGGCTTCCCATGCCATGCACTAGAACAAAAGAGGATGTGGAGAATGAAAGACAAAATAGGAGAAAACTTCTCAGTGTAATGCTCCTCAGGGACCACAGGGTAGTAAAAAAAAGTTTAAAAAGCATCTCCACCAGATCTAGAGACAGGAAGTAGGTCAGTGGTTAGTGGTTGCCCAGTGCTGCGGAGGACAGGGGAAATGAGGAGTGACTGCTAAAGGGTACAGGGTTTCTTTTCAGGGTGATAGAAATGTTTTAAAAGTGGCCAGGCGCAGTGATTCACGCCTGTAATCTCAGCACTTTGGGAGGCCAAGGCGGGCAGATCGCTTGAGGTCAGGAGTTCAAGGCCAGCCTGGCCAACATAGTGCATCCCCGTCTCTACTACTCATACAAAAATTAGCCAGATGTGGTGGTGCACGCCTGTAATCCCAGCTACTCGGGCAGCTGAGGCACGAGAATCGCTTGAACCCAGGAGGCAGAGGTTGCAGTGAGCTGAGATTGTGCCACTGCACTCCAGCCTGGGTGACAGAGTGAAACTCTGTCTCAATAATAATAATAATAATAATGATAATGATAATAATAATAATAATAATGCTGATGAGTTTGTGGCCAGCACTGCTGTTCATACTTGGACAAGATATCTCCAGGGAAACACCGGAGCAAGACATTCAAAGGTAGGAGACACTTAATCCTCATAACTCTATGAGGCAGGTATCAGTATCCCCATTTAACAGTTAAGCAAACTGAGGCTCCGAGATACAGAGGCTAAGAGTCAGTGGCCTGAGGCTAGCAGCCAGTGAGGGACATGGCAGGGATGCAAACATGGCTTTCAGAGACCCAAGTCTTTCCTTAAAACTACTGTACTGAAAAGTGCTCCCCACTTATACTTACTTTGACTCACCAGCTCCAGTGTCACAGTGTGGGAAAGGCTGTAGTGGGTGTGCCGTGAAAAGGCAAGGCGTACTGCCAGGGCCTAAGGCTGGGACAGCACATCTCAGTTTGTCTTCCATAAACACACCCTAGGAGTTTCAATAGAAACTCTGCTAAAATTGATGAGGAAAGAGATTTCAAGAAGTTCAATACATTCAGAAGCACATGACTATCCTCTCCTCCTTCCAAAGCAAGTTCTTTATCGTCTGAGCAATCAATAAGTGTTTAACGAGGCCTGGCACTGTATTAGGTAAGCTGTAGCATAAATACAAAAGTGTAAGACACAGTCCCTGCCCATTTGAGGCGTACAATCTAAATATTTCTCAGAGGCCGGGTGCGGTGGCTCACACCTGTAATCCCAACACTTTGGGAGGCCGAGGCAGGCGGATCATGAGGTCAGGAGTTCAAGACCAACCTGGCCAACGTGGTGAAACCCTGTCTCTACTAAAGATACAAAAATTCGCCGGGCGTGGTGGAGGGCGCCTGTAATCCCAGCTACTCAGGAGCTTGAGGCAGGAGAATCGCTTGAACCCAGGAGGCAGAGATCACACCATTGCACTCCAGCCTGGGCAACAAGAGCAAGACTCTGTTTCAAAAAAATAACATAACATAACATAACATAACATAACATAACATAACATAACATAACATAACATAAATAACATAAATAACATAAATAAAATAAAATAAAATAAAATAAAATAAAACAAATATTTCTCAGAAATTACTCCATGGTTAAAAAGCAAATCTGGACTTAGTTGCCAGTATTGCAATGAACATTCTTTAAATTCAATATTTTGAAGAAAAACATGATACCACACATTTATCATGGAATGAAATTTTTTCCTAGTAATATAAACTTCATTGTTATGAATAAATAAGGTTTGCTTCAGTTAAAATTCACCTGACATGGCCCTCCTGTATAATTTTTTATTTAATTTTATTTTTAAAATTTTATTTAAAATTTATTATATTAAATTTGGGACAGGTTCTTGCCATGTTGCCCAGGCTGATCTCAAACTCTGGGCTCAAGCGACTCTCCCACCTTGGCCTCCCAAAGTGCTGGGATTACAGGCATGAGCCACTGTGCCTGGCCAATCTTCTATAATTCGAATAAATATTTCTTGAAAAAGTAGTTTTAGAAGGTTAAATAGGCCAGGCGTGGTGGCTCACGCCTATAATCCCAGCACTTTGGGAGGCCGAGGCAGGTGAATCACTTGAGGTCAGGAATTAAAGACCAGCCTGGCCAACATGATGAAACCCTGTCTCTACTAAAAATACAAAATTTAGCTGGGCGTGGTGGCGGGCGCCTATAGTCCCAGCTACTCAGGAGGCTGAGGCAGGAGAATCGCTTGAACCCGGGAGGCAGAGGTTGCTGTGAGCCAAGATCACGCCACTGTACTCTAGCCAGGGTGATAGAGCAAGACTCCATCTCAAAAAGAAAAAAAAAAAGAAGAAAAAGTTTAAATAGAAGTGCTTAGGTACTAATATGGCCAACAATTGTCTGGACAAACGAGCTCTAGGCTACTTAGTGAACCTCCTCTCCGGGATATTTTTATTAATATTTGGAGAACAACATAAAACACATTTCCAAGTGGTTCATGAGATGCCATGGCCATCCAAAAGAGGGAGGCAATGCGCCGGAGCTTGGTCTTGACAAGAGATATTTTCCATAGCAAAATTTACCACTAACTCGAGGGCAATACCAGGTGGGCTGGGAATCTCACATCTCCCAAATTAGCCTCTTGATTCTGTCACAAACTTTCAGAACTCAAAGGCTTGTGGTTCTGGGAATGGAAACTAACCAAACATCATCTGGACTGAGACAGCCAAACCTGGAGACAGCGCCATCCCAAAAGTGAACCGTCTGCTTCATGGGAAGAACATTTATCTCAGAGCAGGGAGGGATGTAGCAGCTGCAGTCGCAGGGGACCGAGACCCAAGACGGTGATGCCCAGAGCACAAACACGACCCTCCACTGGCCTGTGGGGCTCTGGGAAAGAGCTTCGGCCTCACACTGGGTCACCTCCCCACAGGGTCCCCATCTGGCAAATAAGGGAAGGAACTAGCATAAGGAAAAGGCTGGATACCTTCCTAGTGTTATGAAGTATTGATATGCCAGTGAAAAAGCTCACGGATGTCTTTAAATAAAGCGTCTTACATCAGGAACTCTGGGCTACAATATAGTTTCAGGGAAAAGTTCCAATCTGAGCCTCTTTGCACCTGCAATAAGCAAATACCTTTTCTTTCCTGAGGATCATTTGCTTAAAGCACTGAAGAGTGAGCTGCTAGCTGCAGCAGTGGTGGTAAAGAATGACGATTTCTCGGTAGCGCAGTGGCTCATGCCTGTAATCCCAGCATTTTGGAAGGCTGAGGTGGGTGGATCCCTTGAGCTCAGGAGTTACAGACCAGCCTGGGCAACATGGCAAGACCCTGTCTCCACAAAAAATACAAAAATTAGCCAGGTGTGGTGGTGCACACCCATAGTCTCAGCTACTCAGGGGGCTGAGGTGGGAGGATTGCTTGAGCCCGAGAGACGGAGGTTGCAGTGAGCTGAGATCGCACCACTGCACTCCAGCTTGGGCGACAGAGTGGGAGGCTGTTTCAAAAAAAATTTTTTTAATAAAAAATAAATAAACATGAAAAGGTACAGTAAAAATATGGTTTTAAAAAAAAAAGAATGACAATTCCTTCCTTTTTACGAAAGGATGCCAAAGACTAACAGGACTCCAGACGCCAGACCAGGATTGCAACAGCTGAACTCAGTCCCCGCTCCAACTCGCCTCCATGAAGCCCGCTCTGGCCTTCGAGCACCAGCAAGCCCTCTGGACTTCTCCATCAATTGCAAAAATGATCATCAAAGCTACTGAAATGGAAGGTGGTGTTTAAAACTTAACACTGGGTTTCTTAAAATGTAACACTGCTTTTCTTATGGCATGGATAAGGCACTGTGAGAAAGCTGCCTCCACTCCCAGCACACACGTACACGTGCACACAGCAGAGGCTAGCTGATGTGGCCACAAGGCACAAAGAATAGATCCTTCTGATCAGTTCTGGTTCTGGAACTGGTTGGCGAGCCAGTTCAGGCCTTCGTAAAGCCCATGTCCAGTAGTGGCACAAGTAGCCTGAATGTGCCAGTTTCTGTAGCGGAGGGAATGGAGGCCGAGCTTGTCCGTTATCTCTGCCGCGTTCATAGTATTAGGGAGATCCTTGAAAAAGAACATTCAAAAGTCAATGTATACTGTTGTATCCATATAGCGAAATATGCTCTTCCCTGTTAAACGTGCCCAAACCCACAGTCTTCTCTGTTGATGGCAACTCCAACCTTCCAGTTGCTCAGGCCAAAAAGCTTGAAATTATCCTTACTTTTTTACTCTCAATGTCACAGCCAATCTGTCAGGAACTCCTAACGGTTCCACTATCAAAATTTATCCAGAATCTGACCACTTACTAACTCCACAGCTGTCGCCGTGATCTGACACCACATCGCTTCTCACCTGGATGACTGAAATAACTTCCTAACTGTCCTCCCTACTTCTCTGCTCTTGCTCCCGTGAAGCCTATTCTCAACCCAGCCATCGGTGAATCAGATTGAATCATTCTTCTATCAAAACTGCAACAGCTCCCCCTCTCTCAGGATACGAGTCAGAGTCCTTATGGTCCACAAAGCCTCCTGGACCGGAGACCTCAACGAAGTGGTCTGTTCCATCTTTTCAATATGGCACTCACCATACATTACTATATCACGACATTTACTTATTTAAGTATATTTATTATTGACTATCTATCTGTCTCCCCTAACTAGAATGCAAGCTTTACAAGGGCAGGAATCTTGGTCTATCTCGTCCTCTGATGTATCCCAAGTGCCTTGAAATGTGCTTGGCACAGAATAAGCTCAAACTAAATTTGAATAAATCAGCATTAAAGAACAAAGTAAGGCTGGACACGGTGGCTCACACCTGTAATCCCAGCACTTTGAGAGGCCGAGGTGGTCGGATCACCTGAGGTTGGTAGTTCTATACCAGCCTGACCAACATGGAGAAACCCCGTCTCTACTAAAAATACAAAATTAGCCAGGAGTGGTGGCGCATGCCTGTAATCCCAGCTACTCGGGAGGCTGAGGCAGGAGAATTGCTTGAGCCCAGGAGGCGGAAGTTGCGGTGAGCCAAGGTAGCGCCATTGCACTCCAGCCTGGACAACAAGAGTGAAACTCCATCTCAATAAATAAATAAATAAATTAATTAATTAATTAAAGTAGCTGTAGATGTACTGATATGGAAGGACTTCCAAGATATACTAAGTGAAAGAACATAATCATACAATTGTTTACACAGGCAGAGAAAGTTGGACCTCTGGAAAGAGAAAGAATAAATTTAACAATGAATAGTAGCACCAGAATATTTCACTTGAATATTCTCAACTGTATGCGTATTTATACCATGAGAACATTCTGTTTTTATCATTGAAAACAACAGAGGCACCAAGCACGGTAGCTTATACCTATAATCCCAGCACTTTGCGGGGCTGAGGTGGGAGGACAGCTTGAGCACAGGTGTTTGAGACCAGCCTGGGCAACATAGCAAGATCTCAGCTCTACAAAAAAATTAAAAAATTAGCTGGGCATGGTGGCACGTGCCTGCAGTCCCAGCTACTTGGGAGGCTGAGGAAGAAGGATCACTTGAGCCCAGGAGTTCGAGGCTGCAGTGAACTGTGATCGCACCACTCCACTCCAGCCTGGGCGACAGAGTAAGACCCTGTCTCAAAACAAAACAAAACAAAAAAATCACACACACATACACACACACACCCTCCAGAGTCATTTTCTTTCTTTAATAGTCATATGTTCACTAGTGCAAACTCTGGACTGACATTGAACCTGAACAGTGAGAGTAACGGTTGTACAAATGATGATCCATCCACCGTTTAAAATCAGGTCTACAAAGAGTTGGAAAACAAGAGACAATGATTTTGATAAATCTAAAGTGATAAAACAGGATGCAACATTGTCACAACAGTATGATCACAATTACATAATGAATGCACTCATGGAAGAGAAAGTGAAGGAAGGATGTCAGAATGTGACGGTGGTCATCTCAGACTGGTACAATTCCACGTGGTTCTTTCTACCTTCTTTTTCATGCTTAGTTTAGCTCAGAGTCCTGAGGCTGGATAGTTCTACGCTTGGTCTTCCTCCCATGTTTCTTTTACTGTTTTACATTTATGTACAAGCCCTTTTCCTCCTCCAAAACAGGCCCTATATGATTCAATCTCATCTCCTCTCTCTCTCCCCTGCTCATTCTGTTCCAGCTGCACTGGCTCCCATGCTGTTCCTAGAATCGTGTGGCTCCCTTCCTCCCAGCCTTCTGGTCTCCGCTCAGATGTCATCTCATCAGAGAGGCATTCCCAGTCTTTCCCACACCCGCCCTGCCCCTTTACTATGCTTTTGCTTCTTCCACAACACTTAAAAACCATTTGACACGTATTATTATTTATTTTACTCTGTAGCCCAGGATGGAGCGTAATGGAATAATCTCATCTCACTGCAGCCCCGAACTTCCAGGCTTAAGTGATCCTCCCACCTCAGCCTCCTGAATAGCTGGGACCACAGGTGCATGCTACCACATCCAGCTAATGTTTGTACTTTTTTGTAGAGATGGGGTTTCACTATGTTGCCCAGGCTGGTCTTGAACTCCTGGGCTCAAGTGATTCCCCCCGCTTCAGCCTCCCAAAGTGTAGGGAGTACAGGCATGAGCCACCACACCTGGCACATTTCATGTTATTTATTGGTTGACTCTCTTCCCACTAGCAACGTAAACTCCAAGAACACAAGGACTTTATCTGTCTTGGTTTAAGCCTAAAACCAAGTCTGGAACTTAGTAGATGCTCAGTGGCTCACACCTGTAATCCTAGCAATTTGGGAGGTCGAGGTGGGCAGATCACTTGAAGTCAGGAGTTCCAGACCAGCCTGGCCAACATGGTGAAACCCAGTCTCTATTAAAAATACAAAAATTAGGTGGGCATGGCGGCGCATGCCTGTAATCCCAGTTACTTGGGAGGCTGGGGCAGGAGAATCACTTGAACCCGGGAGGTGGAGGTCACAGTGAGCTGAGATCACACCACTGTACTCCAGCCTGGGCAACAGAGTGAGACTCTGTCTCAATAAAAAAAAAGACATTCTAGCAAGGAGATGGTGGGAGATATTATGGTTGGTACTGGAGAGAGGGAGGCAGACATCTCATTTAAATGTCTGTATTTACAAGTGAGACATTTGGCAGTAAATTTCAGTTCCAGCATTCAGAAAGCCAATAACAACATACTTGTTTATTGGCAAATACCAATAAAACTGCATTTCTGAGCTCATCGTCCTCTAACAAGTAAGTTAGCACTTCCCAGGCCTCATCAATCTGCTCTCTGTCATTACTGTCAACCATAAAAATCAGACCTAGAAAGAAATCACGAGCATGTTAGTGATCTGAGCCTGGAAAACGCAGCTGTTTATGTATCTTCACGACTTCTCCCTGCTTATGTGTGTGACTTCACAAAGGCAATCGATACGGAAGGATACATCATCTCTAGAGTTAGGAGGCCTGCTATACACTCAACTTACATTTTGCAGAAGCATCACAGCCCTGCACCATATTAACAACAAGAATATATCCTGAAAAAGTTAGTCTCGTTTTCTAATCACTTAATTTCCACGTCAGGGAAAAAAACTTTTTTTTAATTAATTAATTTATTTATTTTGAGATGGAGTCTTGCTGCAGCCCAGGCTGGAATGCAGTGGCGTGACCTCGGCTCACTGCAACCTCCACCTCCTGGGTTCAAGCAATTCTCCTGTCTCAGCCTCCCGATTAGCTGCGAATATAGGCACACCATCACACCCTGCTTATTTTTGTATTTTTAGTAGAGACGAGGTTTCACCATATTGGTCAGGCTGGTCTCGAACTCCTGACCTCAGGTGATCTGCCTGCCTTAGCCTCCCAAAGTGCTAGGATTATAGGCGTGAGACACTGCCCCTGGCCAAAACATTGTTTTTTAAAACATGTAAAGTTTAGTATAATAAAAGCATTCTAGGGCTAGCCCTCTAAAGCAAAACTTGAGACAAAAGCTTAAGTGCAGGTACGTTCTTTGGGAAGTGATCCCAGAGATCAGGAATGAGGGGCTGAGGGAGTAAAACAGGGCAGGAGGGACAGACAATAGAAGGACGAGTTATCAAGCTGGGCCCCCACTATGGGACCACTGCTCACCGTTGTTGGACATTCTAAGAAGCCATATCAAATGCCTGTCAGAACTGTCCACCCAGAGGACAAAAGAGGAAACAAGTATCCTTCAGTACCCATTCCCTGTTGCTCAAGAACAACTCAACAGGTGTTAGGCCACCCATACTTCTGGGTCACATTGGTATGAACACCAAGAGATTCCTATGGGCATCTTATAGTAATGAATTTGGCTGGTCTTTGTCCCCAGTTTCTAGAAGGTAGCCTCTAAACCCTTGGACTTTTCAGAGTGATAGCAGTATCTTTTTTTTTTTTTTTTTTTTTTTTTTTTTGAGACGGAGTCTGGCTCTGTCCGCCAGGCTGGAGTGCAGTGGCGCGATCTTGGCTCACTGCAAGCTCCGCCTCTCGGGTTTGCACCATTCTCCTGCCTCAGCCTCCCGAGCAGCTGGGACTACAGGCGCCCGCTACCGTACCCGGCTAATTTTTTGTATTTTCAGTAGAGACAAGGTTTCACCATGTTAGCCAGGATGGTTTCGATCTCCTGACCTTGTGATCCGCCCGCCTCGGCCTCCCAAAGTGCTGGGATTACAGGCGTGAGCCACCGCGCCCGATCAGCAGTATCTTTGTTATCATAGCGGGCCCACACCTCTAAGTTGATGCTAACAAGGTGACTCAGAGTGGGCCCCTAGATAGTGGATGCTAACAAGATCACCTCTGGGGAAATGAGGGTGCTAAAGTTTGAGTCACATGGCCAATGATTCAATCAATCGTACCTATGCAAGGAAGCCCCAATAAAAATGACAAATACTGAAGCTCAGGAGCACGTCCCTGGTTGGCAATACTCTATACATTGTCACGCATCGATGTGCTGGAAAGGTAACAGCCCCTGACTCCACGGGGAGAGAACAATGAAAGCTTTGCGTTTGGTGTCCTCCCAGATCTATGTGTCTTTCCCTTTGACTGGTTCATTTATATCCTTTTGCTTTATTGATCAATTAATAAAACTGTAGTTGTAAGCATAGCATGTCCCTGAATTCTGTGAATCATTCTGACAAGTGATCAAACCTGAGGGGGTAGTGGAAATCGCCAAATTTGTAGCCATCTGGCCAGAAGTGAGGGTGGGCTGAGGACCCCCAAACCTGTTGCCAGCTGGTGGCTGAAGTTGGGGATTCTTGTGGAGGATGGTGCCCTCAACCTGTGAAATAAAGTCCAACTCCAGGGGGTTGGTGCCGGAAGTCTCTGCAGCATTCCATACTATAGCATCAAATACATCCCAAAAAGTAAAAGATACCTGGGGCAGGCCAAAGAAAGGCACCACCCCATCACACCTGAGTGAAGGTGACCAAAACCTGCACAGACCCAGTCACTGCTACATTGGCTGGAGGAAGCTGTGGGGCCAAAAGCATCTCCAGGGAGGGGCACAGGTGGCATCCAACACACCCTCCAAGCACAAGAAGGGGAGACGCCTTTGGCAGTAGTTCATGTGACATTAATGATAACAACAATCTGTCAGCCAGGTGTGGTGGCTCAGGCCTGTAATCCCAGCACTTCAGGAAGCCAAGGTGGGCAGATGACTTGAGGTCAGGGGTTCGAAACCAGCCAGGCCAACTTGGCAAAACCCCATCTCTACTAAAAATACAAAAATTAGCCAGGCGTGGTGACGCGTACCTGTGATCCCAGCTACTGGGGGGGCTGAGGTAAAAGAATTGCTTGAACCCGGGAGGCAGCAGTTGCAGTGAGCTGAGATGGTGCCACTGCACTCCAGCTTAGGTGACAGAGTGAGAACCTGTCTCGGAAAAAACAAAAAACAAAACAAAACAAAATTTGTGTTTGGCTAAGAGTAAGCCCTTAACACAAAAATGTGAAGTGGCTGCCAAAAGAACAGTTTGATCCTAGGCTGCATCACCAGTAGTGACGGGGTCTCAGTTCCTAGGACATGGGTGATACCAGGCTTACTCTACATCAGTCAGAACATCCTGGGAACGTTATATGGGCAGTGCTGGATCCCACACTCTGAGACCGGGGCAAACTGAAAAAATTCAAAAAATGATCAGGAGAGCAAAGGCATTAGACACTAGGCCATATGAAGAACAGCTGCTATAATTGGAGATTTTACCTGGAGAAAAGAGTCACGTAGCGGCTGATGGCTATCTTCAAGTAGCTGAAAGTCTATGATGTAAAGAGGATTTAAGCGTTTTATAGAGCTCTGTGAGGTGGACTGAAGATCAGTGGTGAAAACTACAGAAGTCAGCCTAGCAGAGTGTCAGCAGATGAAGATGCAATGGCTGCCTCAGAAGGCACTCCTGTCACTGGAGATACTTGTTTGTGCACAACTTCAGCCACAATTCATGGGGACCCTGCAGAAGAGACCCTGGAAGGAAAATAGTAGCAGGATAAGATGACTTCTTGGTTTCCTTTGACCATGAGATTTCACGACTATGTCTAGGAGAGTAAACCAGTGCCGGCCCTCTTCCCTTTCCCTCCGTGCCTCCCAGGCCCACTCAACAGCTGCCTGAACCAACGGCAACAGAGCAGCCTACTATGGCTGATAGAGAGCTCCCGCAGCTTCGGCATGTTTGGGGCTTGCATGTGAGTCAATGTCATGTCTGCTACATCATATCAGATTAAAAAATGAAAAACATTCAAAACTCCCCCGAAGATTTCATATGCTATCAGCAAGTTCTGGTCTCTCGTCGTAACTAAGCAAGCCAGATTATCCAGAAATTTGAGATCCTTAGTCACCAATGCAGAACTGACAGGGAGGAAGCTGCCATATTATCCCTTTGCCATTCCTAAAAAAGCTTTGTAATATTAGGTACCATTTTATACTATCTTTATATAGGTCCTTACCTAAGAACCTAACATCAGACTGGTCCTACATCTGAACTAAGAGAACCTACAAAAAGCATATTTACAGCCGGGCGCAGTGGCTCATGCCTGTAATCCCAGCACTTTGGGAGGCCGAGGCGGGTGGATCACCTGAGGTCGGGAGTTCAAGACCAGCCTGACCAACATGGAGAAACCCCATCTCTACTAAAAATACAAAATTAGCTGGGCGTGGTGGCACACGCCTGTAATCCCAGCTACTCGGGAGGCTGAAGCAGGAGAATCGCTTGAACCTGGGAGGCAGAGGTTGCAGTGAGCCGAGATCGCACCATTGCACTCCAGCCTGGGCAACAAGAGTGAAACTCCATCTCAAAAAAAAAAAAGTATATTTACACATGAATAGTATACTACTAATGTGTTTTTTAATGGGAATATATGTATATAGAGCTGCCAGTATATACATAAAATATGTCTGGACAGATATATAAGAAATAAAAATGTTTGTCAGCCAGGCATGGTGGCTCATGCCTATAATCCCAGAACTTTGGGAGGCCGAAGTGGGCAAATCACCTGAGGTCAGGAGTTTGAGACCAGCCTGGCCAACATGGTGAAACCCCATCTCTAGTAAAAATACAAAAATGAGCTGGGCATGGTAGCACACACCTGTAGTCCCAGCTACTCAGGAGGCTGAGGCAGGAGAATCGCTTGAACCCAGGAGGCAGGGGTCACAGTGAGCCGAGATCGAGCCATTGCACTCCAGCCTGGGCAACAAGAGCAAAACTCTGTCTCAAAAAAAAAAAAAAAAGTTGTCTATGCGAGGGGAACCGAATGGTTAAGGGACAGGAATGAGACAGTGACTTGTTACTATAGAATTGGCCCTCCACATCCATGGGTTCCATATCCATGGATTCAACCAACCACAGATAGAAATTATTCAGGAAAAAAAAAAAAACTACATCTGTGCTGAACATGTACAGACTTTTTTCTTGTCATTATTCCATGAACAATAGCGTTTCACAACTATTTATACAGCATTTATGTTGTATTCAGCATTATAACTAATCTAGAGGTGATTTAAAGCAGGGGTCCCCAACCCTTGGGGCACAGACCAGTACTCTTAAGAACTGGGCCTGTTAGGAATGGGGCTGCACAGCAGGAGGTGAGCAGCAGGTGAGTGAGAGAAGCCTCATCGGTATTTACAGCCGCGTCCCATTCCCATGGCTCACATTACCAACTGAGCTCCACCTCCTGTCAGATCAGCTGCAGCATTAGATTCTCATAGGAGGGTGAACCCTATTGTGAACTGCACGTGAGGGATCTACACTGCGTGCTCCTATGAGAATCTAATGCCTGATGATCTGTCACTGTCTCCCATCACCCCCAGATGGAACCATCTAGTTGCAGCAAAACAAGCTCAGGCTCCCACTGATTCTACATTACAGTGAGTTTGTATAATTACTTCATTATATATTATAACGTAATAATAATAGAAATAAAGTGCACAGTAAATGCAATGTGCTGAATCATCCCAAAACTATCCCTGATCCCCCTCTCCGGCCCCCGGCTCTGTGGAAAAATTATATTTCACGAAACTAGTCCCTGGTGCCAAAAAGGTTGGGGACCACTGATTTAGAGTATACGGGAGGATGGGGGGCTGGAGGTTGCAGTGATCCAAGTGCCACTGCACTCCAGCCTGAATGACAAAGGGAGACCCTGTCTCAAAAAAAAAAAAAAAAGAGATATGTAGTACTCCTAACATTCAGTACCTCAGAATGTGATCTTAGAGATGGGATCTTCAGACCAGGTGCGGTGGCTCACGCCTGCAATCTCAGCACTTTAAGAGGCCGAGGTGGGTGGACCACTTGAGGTCAGGAGTTCGAGACCAGCCTGGCCAATGTGGAGAAACCCCATCTCTACCAAAAATGTAAAAATTAGCTAGGCATGGTGGCGAGCACCTGTAACTCCAGCTACTTGGAAGGCTAAGGCAGAAGAATCACTTGAACCTAGGAGGAGGAGGTTGCAGTGAGCTGAGATCACCCCACTGTACTCCAGCCTGGGCAACAAAGAGAGACTCTGAAAAAAAAGAAAGAGATAAGATCTCCAAAGAGGTCATAAAGTTAAAATGAGGTCATCAGGGAGGACTCTAATCCCATTATGACTTGTCCTTATAAAAAAGGGGAAATTGTGGACACAAAGAAATACACACAGGGAGGCTGGGCGCAGTGGCTCACGCCTGTAATCCCAGCACTTTGGGAGGCTGAGGTGGGCAGATCACTTAAGGTCAGGAGTTTGAGACCAGCCTGGGCAACAAGGTGCAGCCCTGCCTCTACAAAAAATACAAAATTTAGGCTGGGTGCTGTGGCTCATGCCTGTAATCCCAGCACTTTGGGAGGCCAAGGCAGGCAGATCACCTGAGGTCAGGAGTTCAAGACCGGCCTGGGCAACATGGTGAAACCCTGTTTCTACAAAAAATACAAAAAATTACCTGGGCATGGTGACACGTGACTGTAATCCCAGCTACTTAGGAGGCTAAGGAAGGAGAATCACCTGAACCTGAGAGGCAGAGGTTGCAGTGAACCAATATTATGCCACTGCACTCCAGCCTGGGCAACAGAGCAAGACTTTGTCTAAAAAAACAAAAGAAATATACACAGGGAGAACTCTACATAAGGACTGGAGTTATGCTGCCACCAGAAGCTAGAAGAGAGGCTTGAAACAGATCCTGTCCCAGTAGCTTCAGAGAAAGCATGCCTCTGCCCTTAGATTTCTAGCCTCCAGAACAGGGAGACAATAAATTTCTGTTATTTAAGCCACTCAGCATATGTCACTCTGTGGCAGCAGCCTTAGCAAACAGATGTCATAAGAAAATTCGCAGCTCAGGTTTACTAAGTACCTACCAGGTACTGTTCTAAACACTCTGCGTGAATAAACTCATTTAATCCTTATAAAGTCCACTCTAGGATCTAGGTACTATCATTACACCCTTTTTACGGTGTGGATGCCGAGGTTCTAAGAGGTTAATGAGCTTACCCAATATCACATAGCCAGAGCCCTCTCTCTCACCACTAGGCTATGAGGAGCTATTATTAACAGTAATTACAATAAGAGCTAGCGTGGTGGCTCACGCCTGTAATCCCAGCACTTTGGGAGGCCACGGCGGGTGGATCACTTGAGGCCAGGAGTTTGAGACCAGCCTGGCCAACATAGTGAAACCCCGTCTCTACTAAAAATAGAAAAACAAGCCGGGCATGCTGGCATGTGCCTGTAATCCCAGCTACTTGAGAGGCTGAGGCAGGAGAATTGCTTGAACTCAGGAGACGCAGGTTGCAGTGAGCCGAGATCGTGCCACTGAACTCCAGCCTGGGCGACACAGCAAGACTCCATCTCAAAAAAAAAAAAAATTAGTAATTACGATAAGTAGTAGTCCACTGAGCCAAACACTGCCCTATGTCCTTTACAGATATAATACAAAAGTCCTCTGAAGTAAGTGTTATTATTTCCAGTATGAAGGAGGAACCTGAATCTCAGAGAGATTAAGAAATTAAGAGATTAAGAAATCGCCCAAAGTCACACGGTTAAGAGTGCTGAGATTAGGCCGGGCACGGTGGCTCATGCTTGTAATCCCAGCACTTTGGGAGGCCGAGGCGGGTGGATCACCTGAGGTCAGGAGTTTAAGACCAGCCTGGCCAAGCTGGTGAAACCCCATCTCTCTAAAAATAAAAAAAAAATTAGCTGGCCATGGTGACAGGCGCCTGTAATCCCAGCTACTCGGGAGGCTGAGGCAGGAGAATCACTTGAACCCAGGAAGTGGAGGTTGCAGTGAGCCAAGATCACCTGGACAACAAAGCGAGACTCTGTTTCATAAAAAAAAAAAAAAAAGAAGAAGAATGCTGAGATTATATCTAATTGCTAACTTAAGGGGATATACAATGAAAACCTGTTTTTACTAAAACTTTAAGAACAAGTTAATTTTTTTTTTTCTTTAATGAGACAAGAGACAAGGTCTGGCTCTATCACCCAGGCTGGACTGCAGGGGCGCAATCACAGTTCACTGCAACCTCCACCTCCCAGGCTCGAGCCATCCTCCCACCTCAGCCTCTCAAGTAGCTGCAAGTACAGGTGCACACCACCATGCCTGGCTAATTTTCTTTTGTATTTTTAGTAGAGATGGGGTTTTGCCATGTTGCCTCATGATCCGCCCTCCTCGGCCTCCCAAAGTGCTGGGATTACAGGCGTGAGCCACTGCGCCCAGCTAAAATTTTCAATTTTCTATTTAATTTTTAAAATCTGATACAAACATCAGAAAGTGTAAAAAGATATAATGCAATGAGAAGTCTCCTCCCTACTCTGTCCTCTACCTGAACAATTCCTAGACCTAACAGGTAACCAGTGCCACCATTTTCTTATTTATTTTTCTAAAGTTTTGTGTTGTTGCTGTTGTTTGAGACAGAGTCTCGCTTGGTCAGCCAGGCTGGAGTACAGTGGCGTGATCTCAGCTCACTGCAAGCTCCGTCTCCCAGGCTCAAGCAATTCTCCTGCCTCAGCCTCCCGAGTAGCTGGGATTACAGGTGTGTGCCACCACGCCCCAGCTAGTTTTTATATTTTCAGTAGAGACGGGGTTTCACCATATTGGCCAGGCTGGTCTCAAACTCCTGACCTCAGGTAATCCACCCACCTTGGCCTCCCAAAGTGCTGGGATTACACGTGTGAGCCACCATGCCCAGCCCTAAATATCTTTTTTGTTTTTTTGCATACATACACCAATGCAAATTATCTTTTTCTCCTGTTTTTTTTTCCCAAAAAACACAAAGGGTATCAAATCATACATACTGTTCTGCATCTTGCTTTCATCACTTAACTGTCTGCCTTGCAGATCTTTCTATATCATATTAAATTATGTTTTAATTCTCTCGTTTTGCTTGTCAAGAACAGTTTTTACTTCATTTCACCATAGTTCAGTCTAGCACACAAGGCATCCAGCAGCCCTAAGAACTACCTGAGACAACTGATGATGGCTCCATGCTACACACTAAAGACCCTGTATCTTTTCTCTCCTCCTCATCTTCATTTCACTCTTTTCTCCAACTCACTCAATTCTCCTTCCTTTCCCTATTCCTCTCCCATCTCACCCACTCCTTAGCCCTAACCCTGACAACTAGACCCTAGTAACATCACTGACATTGCTTAGTCGTGGCTAGAAATATTCAGGCTTTAAAAAGGTACAGACCCCTAACACAGAGAAAAAGGGATAAATAATAATTTCCATGAGAACTTCTAATTAACGAGAGTGCCTTAAATTGAGGAGTTTTGGTTTGGAGTTATTCTTCCTTGTTACTTGCCTCCTCTGGCATTTTCATTTGTGAAGACTGAGTGAGTGTGACGCTATTTTCTATACGCATGGAAACAAGCACATACTCAGTCTAACATTTACGCAATGCCTGACAGAACGACAGAGTTCATTCTACAATAAGATAATTGGAAACAAAATATAAGATCTATATAAAATAAACATTTGGGCTCCAAAATATGCACTTTAATTAACCTATCATTTCTTTTTACTTAAATTAAGTAGCTCCAATCTGAAACTACATCTTAGAAATGTTTTAAGGATATTCACCAATGAAAAAGAGAATAAAGTTCCCTCTCCCCACTTCTATTTTCCAGCCCACAAACTCAATGCTATCCTCCCCGCAAAAAGGACCTTTTTTTCTGACCAGACGAACACTGTAATTTTTAAGGTTTCTAAGTAATAAAAATAGGAAGAAAACATTACCCCCAAAAATTGGTTTACACTTAGAAGATGTTTCCCACTGAGCAAAGGATTGGTAAGGAACATAATATTAAGGCAACCACCTAACTGCATTCTTAAGTAGTAACAGGTGGTAACTCACGATATGGAGCTGATTTCCTTTCTCTATTCCTGCCATGCCAGAGACCTCTAGTAGAACTTCTGAGGTTACTGTATTACAACCCAGGTTCAGAGAGATTTAGAGGTAAAACCTTAAACACTGGAAATAGCTTTAAAAGTAGGGCTTTGTGTACCAAATACATTCGTTAAAACCTAGGAAACTATAAAATGAAATCCAATGTATTGATCTCAATCCCCTTGCCTGCTTCCTAAAGAGGACAGAGGCCACCAACACTGGTGCTCAACACTTGCTAAGTCGAAACACTCTTACACAGGTCCTCTGATTCTTAACGGGTTCAGAACTTCTGGTTGCATTCCCCATGCAACCCCTCCAACTCTACAGGGAGAATGCTGGAAAAACTGTGTCACTTTGGCTTCCTGTATATTAATATAAGCACTCTTATCCAGCAATAGCAGCTGAAACATAAATGAAGATGAGAACTCAGCCTACATGACCTAAGATTTCCCACAAGTCCAGATATATAGGTTACACACACTGCACTATTGTCTGATTTCTCCTCTGCATCAATCTGGAAGTCCACAGAGCAGATTAGCACCCAACAATCTTAACTAAGCTAGTATCCAACTCTGAAGAAAGGCGAAGCTGGTGGAGGGTTTCCAAGACTCCTTATCCTTCTCTGTCCTTCCTCCCATCCCCTCCTTACGTCTTTTCTGTTTGTTTTTATTTAATTTTATTTTTTAATGTATTTTTAGTCACAAGAAAATCAAAGAAGCCACCTACTTAAGTCTTAAGCTCTGCCCTTTGCTTAGTCCTAATGGAGAGTTCTTTGGCCATCTATGTACAAGAGATTAGAGGAGCCAAAGAGACTGGAGAACCACATCAATGGGAGCTTTTTCATCTAAAGGTCATCTGTCCACACTGTCCAAATGAGGTTTACCCTGTGAAATAAAACTTGGTGTAAGTGCTACCTGCTGAGAAAAATAGTATGAAATGTCACACAAAGGACTGGGGTGCAGCAGGAGGACTCTGAAAGAGTCATACGTGTAAACCAGCAGGTCTTAGAATGCCCTAATATACTATATGAAGTTTCAGAGTAAACAAATGGTTAATGACACATCTTTTGTAACACGTGAATCAGCTACTGATTTGCAAGAGTGGGACACACCCTAGTACCTATGACTCTAAAGTACCTGTTTGAAAAGTGGACCTAGATGTTTGAATTGCCAACCCATCCTAAGACCGGAACATAATTTTACAACTATGTAAGTTGCCATAATTTAAAGTTAAAAAGATCACTGCCTTTCATTATAATGGAAGTTAATTTGAGAACTTCATTAAAACATTCACACCGATAATCAAAGAACAGTAGAGATACAAAGTAAGATATAGCCAATCAATCCTAGGAAGCAAACACAAGAGGCAAGAGAAATGGCAGGTAAAGGAAGTGAAGAATAGCAAATTCAAAAACTACAATATTCCCAATTCTAAAGAAAAATGAATAAAATGAGGCTGGTAATGAAAAAATAACACATCTTACCTTAAGAGGCATCCAAGTAGCATTCATAGTGTCAGGATATAAAGACAATACTCAGAAATGAGCAAGAAGTCTTAGAAATTCCCTCGGTTACCAAGTATAAGCAGGTAGGAAAATCTTTTGTTTCGAGAAGGTATCTGAAAGAGAGGATTTTCATTTAGACTAAAAAATAATCAAGACAATGCAAATAGTTTAAGCTACCTGGGCAGGGATTTTGAAGTACTATTTGCCTCATCGCACTAAAAAAGTATAGAAAATACAGTCCCCTTTAGAAAAGGGCAAATGTGTGTCTCCATATATATGTGTGTAGAAACATACTTTACATAAAAAGAGAAATAAATATGTAACACGTATTTTAGATAATGTAAAATTGCTTATCAAACAATTAGCCAAAATCCCAGAGAGAATAAAGTAATTTTCCAGGGTACTTCATAAACACTAAACGTGATTTGTTAATTAACCGTCTAAAAAAGACCCTTGCCACATTTAATTATATTTAGTAAAGTAAAACTTCTCTAATCATCCCGACTGTCCCAAGATTATGCTTAAGTTTCAGAGTCAATTCCACATGAAAAGTAAAACCTATTCTTGACTGAAGTACTAGAAACAAATAAAGGACCCTTCTTCCCCAGAGATCGTTAAAAGCAGACCGAGCAACTTAATTTTGAGGGTGGGAGGAAGGTAAATTTGCCTGGAGGCAGGAGGATGGACTAAATGACCTCTGGTAGGATCCTCGTTCAAGTCCTGGGCCTGTATACAATTCCAGCTTAACCAGTTACTGCTTCGCTTAAAATGGAGGCTTGCCCGCGTAGGGACAAAAATAACAGCACCCACTTCTTAAAAATAAATGTCGAAAAGTACCCCTTTTTAAATAAAAATAAAAAATAAACACCTCTGGAGTGGATGTGTTCTTGCTATGCGTTTGTCACTGAGGCTTCGAAGACTTGGCATCACTTTCCTTACCGCTCACCGGATTTTGGGGGAGGAGCGGGGGGCGACAGTTTGACTCTTGACCCAAGTCTCAGGCGGACTTCAGAGCCCCACAGGGGCCCCCAACTCCAGAGCCAGAGGGAGCGGAGAGGCGAGAGCCCGAGATCGCACCTCCCCCCACCGCGGACCCCAGTCCCAAACCCACCCCTCACCTCCCCGCAGTGGGGCGCCTCCTTCTGCCCCATTCCCATTGTTAGGGAGGGCAGAGCGCGGGGTGGGCTCAGGGCAGGGGCGCCCGCGGCCGCTGCCCGGCTCGCTTCAGGAGGGGCGCCCCGCGGGATGCGGCTTCCCTTCCTCTCCGCGTCGGTCCGTCCCACCTCGGCTCGGCCTGGCGCCCCGAGCTCCGCTCCGCGCCCCCGGCCGCGGCCCCGGCCCGCCCCCCGGGCAGCCAGGCCCTCAGGCCACTCGGCCGGCAGCCCGCGTCCCAGGCCTACGAGTGGGCGCTGGGCGGGCGTCCCCGTGCCCCACACACGCGTCCCCTCTCCCCCAGCCCCGCCGCTTCCAGGGCCCTCGGCGGCGCCCGCTCCCCGGGCCCCGCGGCCCCCCGCCTCCCAGCCAGGCCGCTCCCTCGAGCTCGTCGGGTCAGGGACACCTCCTCTACCTCACCATCACCCTGGCCCACTCGTGCCCCCACCCCCAGGGGCACCAGTGCCAAAGGCAGCTCCCCCAGCCCCGGACCTACCTGCACGGTTCAACCAAGCCTAGAAGTGGGGGCGGGGAATCTTCCGCCCTCCTCTGGCGCTCATTGGCCCTTCAGGGGCACATCGTGAGCGCCATTGGCTGAGCAATGGTGTCCGTCAGAGCGATGGGGCGGGACAGAAGGGGAAGAGGGATGCAGGTGCCTTGGCGTCTCTGTCTCTGTGCATCTCGTTGTCTCTGTCTCTGTCTCAGCCCTTGGAAACGAGAGGCTTTTGGCTGAGAGGACTAGAAGGGGGCCTGAGGTGGGAGGAATAGGAATAGGAATCCTGACAGAGCGTCACGCCAGTTGGCAACTCTGAACCCCCTACCTAAGTCCCCTTTAGGTTCTCTTCTCCATCACCCCCAACCCCTGCCCCTCACCCCTCGAGATTCTTTCATCCAGGAAGCGACGTGATGAAAACTCCAGGCCGGAAGGCCATAGGGAGAGATGTTATATATGTATATAAAATATACACATATAAATGTTTATATATAAACTCAACCAGATATCAGTTCACTAGGGCCTGGAAAGGAAAGGGCACACATCTCACAGACAGGGAAGGACTTGAGATAGAGCCGGTAGAAGAAGGAATCAAAAATCACTCTAAGAGCTGGCAACAGTGGTTACCTCCTGGGAGAGGAACTGAGTGCCTAGGGAACCAGTGGGCGGAAGACTTACATATCTCGGCATATCATTTGTATCCATTGATTTTTGCACCACTCATCAAGATTCCAATTTAAAGAAAAGGATTTAAATGTTTAAATAAGGTCGCAAAACCAGGGGACAGACAAGATAATTGGGCAGGAAAATTGGCGCAACATGCAGATTTGGGGAGGAATCTTAGCTTTTAATATGTTCAGTTCCCGGTAACAGGGTTTTGTAAAACCCAGTGAAGGTGTCCCAGAGGCAACTGAAGTTATGGAACTTGAGAAAGGGTAGACAATCAGGACTAGAGAAGATGCAGGGTCCTCTGCCTAAAGATAGTGATCTATGACATGCTAAAGGATAAACTCCCAAAGAAGGGTAATAAGACACCCACAGTAAAAGGTAGGAGGACGAAAAAGAATGTCAGTGAGGTAAAAGAAACAATATTAAAGAGGCATGAACATTAAGGGAGGAAGGGTCTGTGGAAAATAGAATAATAAAACTATGAGAGAGGCCGGGCACGGTGGCTCACACCTGTAATCCCAGCACTTTGGGAGGCCAAGGTGGGTGGATCACCTGAGGTCAGGAGTTCGAGACCAGCCTGCGCAGCATGGTGAAACCCGATCTCTAATAGAAATGCAAAAAAAAAATTAGCCAAGCGTGGTGGCGCGCCTCTGTAATCCCAGCTACTGGAAAGGCTGAGGTGGGAGAATTGCTTGAACCGGGAGGCGGAGGCTGCAGTGAGCCAAGATCGCGCCACTGCACTCCAGCCTGGGCGACAGAGCGAGACCCTGTTTCAAAAAAAAAAAAAAAAAAAAAAAACTGTGAGAGCCTCATAGGTCTTACCTCTTTACCTCTTTAGGCTCTGGTAACCATGGGACAATAAGAATGAAAGCCAAGGCCGGGCACGGTGGCTCACGCCTGTAATCCCAGCATTTTGGGAGGCCAAGGTGGGCGGATCACAAGGTCAGGAGATCAAGACCATCCTGGCCAACATGGTGAAACCACGGGCATGGTGGCGCATGCCTGTAATCCCAGCTACTCGGGAGGCTGAGGCAGGAGAATTGCTTGAACCAGGGAGTCAGAGGTTCCAGTGAGCCGATATCACGCCACTGCACTCCAGCCTGGATGACAGAGTGAGACTCCGACTCAAAAAAAAAAAAAAAAAAAAAAAAAAAAACACCTTTATCGATTAAGAATCTTTTTTCTGAGTTTATTAATTCTATTTAAATCAACCCCAGAAAACACCTTCAACACAGCCTCTCATTTCATATCTGTAAAATGGGGCAAAAAAAATAGTTCCTACCCTTTAGAGTTGTTGTGAAGATTAAATTAGTGAATACATATGATGGATTTTTTTTCTTTTCTCTTTTTTTTGAGACACAGTCTCGCTCTGTCTCCCAGGCTGGAGTGCAGTGGCACTATCTCAGCTCACTGCAAGCTCCGCCTTCCGGGTTCACGCCATTCTCCTGTCTCAGCCTCCTGAGTAGCTGGGACTACAGGCGTCCGCCAGCATGCCTGACTAATTTTTTGTTATTTTTAGTAGATACGGGGTTTCACCGTGTTAGCCAGGATGGTCTCAATCTCCTGACCTCGTGATCCGCCCGACTTGGCCTCCCAAGTGCTGGGATTACAGGCATGAGCCATGGCGCCCGGCCTGTGTGATGGATTTTTTAAGAGCCTGACTGGCGGGGTGAGGCGGCTCATGACTGTAATCGCAGCACTTTGAGAGGCTGAGGCAGGTGAATCACTTGAAGCCAGGAGTTCGAGACCAGCCTGGGCAACAGGGCGAGACCTCGTCTCTACAAAAACACACACACAAAAATTAGCTGGGCATGATGGTGCATGCCTGTAGTCCCAGCTACTCAGGAGACTGAGGTGAGGGTCGCTTGAGCCTGGGAGGCAGAGGTTGCAGTCAGCCGAGATCTCACCACTGCATTTCAGCCTGGGTGACAGTGTAAGAACATGTCAAAAAACAAACAAACAAACAAAAACAACAACAACAAAAAAACGCACGAAAAAAACCACATAAGCTCCTTGAGGGCAGAAACTGTCCCCTAGTCTTCTATATTTTATTTCACACAATGTACAGAAGACTAAATGAATAATTGTTAGCTGGTTTTTTTTTTAAAAGGGGATAAGATCAGTTACAATGTCTTTTTCCTCAGTCAATCACATAAGTATCTAAAATGACATTCCAAAGTAAGGACAGGAGTTTAAATCCTGAACTATGGTATCTAAAGTAAACTTGAACTTTCCTTATTTTTAAAAAATTTTGGCCGGGCGCGGTGGCTCACGCCTGTAATCCCAGCACTTTGGGAGGCTGAGGCGGGCAGATCACAAGGTCAAGAGATCTAGACCATCCTTGCCAACATGGTGAAACCCCATCTCCACTAAAAATACAAAAATTAGCTGGGCGTGGTGGCACGGACCTGTAGTCCTAGCTACTCGGGAGGCTGAGGCAGGAGAACCGCTTGAACCCGGGAGGAGGAGACTGCAGTGAGCCGAGATCACGCCACTGCACTCCAGACTGGCGACAGACTGTCTCAAAAAAAAAAAAAAGAAAGAAAAAGAAAAAAGAAAAGAAAAAAATTCCATACATAGAATTCTGTGTGGCATTTTAGAGAAAATCATGGTGACTAGAGACACCAGGTGAAATTTTTTTTTTTTTTTTTTTGGTGACACAACCCCAGGAGATCCTGTGAACATGTGTCCCTTGACCAGGTGAATTTCAGGAGCTTGCACTAGTCCCAGGTTAGCTGGCACCAGGTTGGCCCTAGTTTGAGTGCCTTCCACATACCAGGTACTGTGTTGGAGAAGTACATCAAAAAGGAAAATCAAATTTCATCCTCAATAAGTAATCACAATACACTGTGATGAGAGTTAGGGTGAAGGAGGTTCAGGTTACCATGGGCTTATATTAGGAGGGCAAATTCTGTCTTCAAGTCTTTTTGCTTCAACAGTAGCGTTTAGATCTTGTGGGCTGGGCATGGTGGCTCTAGCCTGAAATCCCAGCACTTTGGGAGGGTGAAGTGGGCAGACTGCTTGAGCCCAGGAGTTGCAGATTAGCCTGGCAACATGGCGAAACCCCGTCTCTACAAAAAATACAAAAGTCAGCCAGGCATAGTGGTGCCTGCCTGTAGTTTCGGCTACTTGGGAGGCTGAGGTAGGAGGATCGCTTGACCCCAGGAGTTCAAGGCTGCAGTGAGCTACCATCGAGCCACTTCACTTCAGCCTGGGCCGCAGAATAAGACCCTGTCTGAAAAAAAAAATCTTGTGATATAATAACAGCTTGTGCACTCTTCGATAGCTCAGCTGGTAGAGCAGAGGGCTGTAGACTGCATAGATAATAATAACAGTTTGCGTTTTTGAGTCAAAGATGATACCCCAGAATCATTATCGAAAATAATGGTTGTTCCATTCACCTGTGCCTATGACTGTGAGCCACATTGTGACCAATCTGTGAGCAACATGGGTGGGAATGCAGTTTGGGGCCATGGAACTCACTTAACAGGAAGTTCCAATAGCAGTGGATTTACCATGTTGCAGCTGTAGGATCTTGGACAAATATTTAATGACCTCTGTCTCTCAGTTCTCTCAATAATAAAACATCCATCCGAGAGTTGCTGTAAAGGTTAACATAGGGGGAGTCTTGCAAATAGTAGGTGCTAAGATCCTGTCTTGAAAAAAAAAAGAAAAAAAAATATATATATATATATGAAGAGATGAGATCTTCAATTGTATAGACTGTCCCTGTACCCATTCATTTGCATTTCTTTTCCTTTACAATAATACATATCTATGATTTCCTTTTATTCCCACTGTCATCAATTTAGTTAGATTACTGGGCAGAGATCACCAGTGGGGCTAGAGTAAAATGAAAATAAATGTACATTGACTCTAGGTATTCCTAAGTAATAGCACAGTTTACTGTGTTCTCCCTCATAAATCCTGGTAGCTGAATGTTGCCTGCTTTTAGCAGTTACGTTTCTGCTCATCTCACCCTCAATGTTCATTAAGAAAATAGTTATTGAATGGCCAGGCTCACTGGCTCACGCCTGTAATAGATTACAGGCGTGAGCCACCGCACCCAGCCTTGGTTATCATATTTCTAATTTATAATAGTTTTCCTTGTTTTCTTATTGTTCATTTTTTATAGCATCCTGTTCTTATATTATGCATATATATCTTCAGGTCTCGCTGAAGAAATAAAGAGGTGTATGTGTATATGTGTGTGTGTATTATCTTTATTTTTATTTTTTGAGATGGAATCTTACTCTGTCGCCCAGGCTGTAGTGCAGTGGCGCTTTTGGGAGGCTGAGGTGGAAGGATCACTTAAGGCCAATATTTGGAGACCAGCCAGGGCAACATAACAAGACCCCCATCTCTACAAAAAAATTAAAAATTAGCTGGCCATGGTGGTGAGTGCCTGTAGTCTCAGCTACTTGGGAGGCTGAGGCAGGAGGATTGCTTGAGCCCAGGAGGTTGAGGGGGAGGTGAGCCATGATTGAGCCACTGCACTCCAGCCTAGGTGACAGAGTGAGACCCCTTCTCTAAAAAAAAAAGAGAGAGAGAGAGAAATAAAATAGTTATTGAGCACCTACTGTATGTCAGGTCCAAGACCCTAAAGATGTAAAGATGAATAAGGTGGTGACCCTGCCTTCCAGTTTCCACAGAGGTGGGGAATATGGATAAAAGCAGACAAAGCCATTGCCATGGGATAAGGGCAGAGAATAGCATGTGCAAATTATAGAAGGTGAGGGATAATATACCATTTTCCAGAAACTGATGGTTCAATGAGGCTAAAGCATGGAGTTCAAGAAAGGAAACCAGATGAGATTAACTGCAATGTGGTTCTCAAACTTAAATGTGCATAAAAACTGGCCTTGTTGGCTGGGCACAGTGACTCACACCGGTAATCCAAGCACTTTGGGAGGTCAAGGCGGGTGGATCGCTTGAGGTCAGGAGTTCGAAACTAGCCTGGCCAATGTGGTGAAACCCCATTTCTTTTTTTTTTCTTTTTCTTTCTTTTTTTTTTTTTTTTTTTTTTTTTTTTGAGACAGAGTCTCGCTGTCGTCCAGGCTGGAGTGCAGTGGCGTGATCTCGGCTCACTGCAAGCTCCGCCTCCTGGGTTCACGCCATTCTCCTACCTCAGCCTCCCGAGTAGCTGGGACTACAGGCACCCGCTACCATGCCCGGCTAAATTTTTTGTATTTTTAGTAGAGACGGGGTTTCACCATGTTAGCCAGGATGGTCTCGATCTCCTGACCTCGTGATCCGTCCGCCTTGGCCTCCCAAAGTGCTAGGATTACAGGCGTGAGCCACCGCGCCCGGCCTGAAACCCCATTTCTACTAAAAATGCAAAAATTAGCTGGGTGTGGTGGTGCACACCTATAGTCCCAGCTGCTCAGGAGGTTGAGGCGGGAGAATCACTTCAACCTGGGAGGTGGAGATGGAGTAAGCCAAGATCAAGCCACTGCACTCCAGCCTGGGTGACACAGCGAGACTCTGTCTCCAAAAAACAAACAAACGAACAAAAAACTGGCCTTGTTTACATAGTCTCGCAAGCTCCAAGCCTAGAGATCTTGATGGAGCGGGTCAGAGTGCTGCTGCTCTTAGGGCTACACTCTGAGAACCACCGATGGAGAAGAAGGGCGGGGTCAACTTGCAGAGCTGTGCTGGGAGGTGTGTGCTGCAGCCTTGAGGAGGTGAAGAACCTTTGAGAGGTTTTAAGCCTGCAAGAGATGTGGTCACATTTACATTTTAGAAAAATCACCCTGTGTGCAATATGAAAAATGAAACAGAGAGGGCAAGACTGGAGTCAGGGAGAGCAGTTAGGAGGCTGCTGCAGAAACCCAGGCAAGAAATCATAAAGACCTGAAATAAAACAATGCCAGTGGGGAACGGGGAGGAGAGGCCAAATCCAAGGGGTATTTAGGAGCCAGAATTGAGAGGGTGTGATGAGTGTTGATGGGATACAGGACAGGATCCTGAGATGGCTTGCAGGTCTTCAGCTTTGAGTGACCCATGGAAGCGAAGGAAGATGGGAAGGAGGGTGCCTATCACACAGAGAGAATGAAGGTTTGAGAGGCAAGTGTAGCTTTTGACATTTTGCTTTTGAAATGTCTATGGGACATCAGAAATAATCTCAAAAGACCACAAGTCAGGCAGGGCGCGGTGGCTCACGCTTGTAATTCCAGCACTTTGGGAGGCCGAGGTGGGCAGATCACGAAGTCAGGAGCTCGAGACCAGCCTGGCCAACATGGTGAAACCCCGTCTCTACTAAAAATTCAAAAATTAGCTGGGCATGGTGGCGGGCACCTGTAATCCCAGCTACTTGGGAGGCTGAGGCAGGAGAATCACTTGAACCTGGGAGGCGGAGGTTGCAATGAGCTGGGATCGAGCCATCGCACTCCAGCCTGGGCAACAAGAGTAAAACTCTGCCTAAAAAAAAAAAAACCATGAGTCACTGGTTAACAGCCTGAGCAGCAGAAATCTCACAGTTCTGAGTCTGAATCCTATCTAGCCTGGCTCTGAAACTCACAATCTGGAGCTGGGGCTTGGTGCAGTGGCTCAGGCCTGTAATCCCAGCACTGTGGGAGGCTGAGGCAGGTGGATTGCTTGAAGCCAGGAGTTTGAGAGCAGCCTGGCCAACATGGTGAAACCCCATCTCTACTAAAAATACAGTTAGCCAGGCATGATGGTGTGCACCTGTAATCCCAGCTACTGGGGGGCTGAGGCACGACAATCGCTGGAGCCCAGGAGGCAGACGTTGCAGTGAGCCGAGATTGTGCCACTGCACTCCAGCCTGGGCAACACAGCAACACTGTCTAAAAAAAAAAAAAAAATGCTGGGCGCAGTGGCTTATGTCTGTAATCCCACTTTTAGAGGCTGAGGTGGGAGGATCACCTGAAGCCAGGAGCTCAAGACCAGCCTGGCCAACATGGTAAAACCCGCCATCCCCTCCCTGCCATGCCCCATCTCCCCCAACACTCCCCCACCCTGTCTCTACTAAAAATACAAAAATTAGCCGGGTGTGGTGGCACACACCTATAATCTCAGCTACATGGGAGGCTGAGGCATAAGAATTGCTTGAGCCCGGAAGGTGGAGGTTGCAGTGAGCCAAGATCGCACCACTGCACTCCAGCCTGGGTGACAGAGCAAGACTCTCTCTTAAAAAAAAAAAAAAAAAAAAAAAAAGAATTTTTTTTTTTAATATAGAGATGGGCTTTCTGTGTTTCCCAGGCTATACTCAAGCTCCTGGGCTCAAGCTATTCTCCTGCCTCTGCCTTCAACCAGCCTCAATCCTCCAATTTTCTTATTTTTTATATTTTTCAACACCTTTTAAATTCTACATTCTGGCCAGCTGCAGTGGCTCATGCCTATAATCCAGCACTTTGAGAGGTTGAGATATGAGACTTGCTTGAGGCCAGGAGTTTGAGGCTTGCAGTAAGCTAGAATGGCGCCACGGCACAGCAGCTTGGGAGACAGAGCAAGACCTTGTCTCAAAAGAAAAAGAATTTAAATACTACACTCTAGGAGATTTCTTCAACCTTCAAATTTTGTATTGAATTTTTAATTTTGGCTTTTATTTATTTATTTTTTTTTGAGACAGGTTCTCACTCTGTCACCCAGGTTGGAATGCGGTGGCTTGATCTCAGCTCACTGCAACCTCCGCCTCCTGGGTTCAAGTGATTCTCCTGCCTCAGCCTCCTGAGTAGCTGGGATTGCAGGCGTGGGCCACCATGCCCAGCTTATTTTTGTATTTTCAGTAGAGACGGGGTTTCACCATATTGGCCAGGTTGGTCTCAAACTCCTGGCCTCAAGTGATCCACACGCCTCAGCCTCCCAAGGTGCTGAGATTACAGGTGTGAGCCACTGCACCCAGCCTTGGCTATCATATTTCTAATTTATGATAGTTTTTCTTGCTTTCTTATTGTTCATTTTTTATAGCATCCTGTTCTTATGTTATGGATATATATCTTCAGGTCTCACTGAAGAAATAAAGAGGTGTATGTGTATATGTGTGTGTGTATTATTTTTATTTTTATTTTTTGAGACGGAGTCTCACTCTGTTGCCCAGGCTGGAGTGCAGTGGCACAATCCTGGCTGGCTGCAACCTCTGCTTCCCAGGTTCAGCTGATCCTCCCACCTCAATCTCCCAAGTAGCTGGGATTATAGGCACCTGTCACCATGCCCGGCTAATTTTTCTTTCTTTTTTTTTTTTTTTTTTTTTGAGATAGAGTCTCTGTTGCCCAGGATGGAGTGCAGTGGTGTGATCTCGGCTCACTGCAAGCTCCACCTCCTGGGTTCAAGAGATTCTCCTGCCTCAGCCTCCCAAGTAGCTGGGATTACAAGCGTGTGCCACCACACCCAGCTAATTTTTGTATTTTTTAGTAGAGATGGGGTTTCACCATGTTGTCCAGGCTGATCTCAAACTCCTGACCTCAAATGATCCACCTTCTTCAGCCTGCCAAAGTGCTGGGATTACATGCATGAGCCACTACACCAGCAAAATTTTTGTATTTTTAGTAGAGATAGGGTTTCGCCATATGTGTGTGTGTTTTAAGTTTTTCTGTTTCGTTTCTCTTGCATATATACCTAGGAATGGAATTACTGGGTCATATGGGAGCTCTGTGTTAAACACTTGTGTCATATCTAAGAAAACTTGCTAATCCAAAGGTCATAAAGATGTATGTCTATGTTTTCCTCTAAGGCCAACATGGTGAAACACCGTCTCTATTAAAAAAATACAAAAAACTGGGCTGGGCACGGTGGCTCATGCCTGTAATCCCAGCACTTTGGGAGGCCAAGGTGGGTGGATCACCTGTGGTCGGGAGTTCGAGGCCAGCCTGATCAACATGCAGAAACCCCGTCTCTACTAAAAATACAAAAAAATTAGCGGGGCATGGTGGCGCATGCCTGTAATCTCAGCTACTTGGGAGCTGAGGCAGGAGAATCGCTTGAACCCAGGAGGCAGAGGTTGCGGTGAGCCAAGATCGTGCCATTGCACTCCAGCCTGGGCAACAAGAGCAAAACTCGGTCTCAAAAAAAAAAAAAAAAAAAAAATTAGTTGGGCGTGGTGGCACGCACCTGTAGTCCCAGCTACTCCAGAGGCTGAGGCAGGAGAATGGCTTGAACCCAGGAGGTGGAGGTTGCAGTGAGCTGAGATCATGCCACTGCACTCCAGCCTGGCAACAGAGCAACAGAGCAAGACTCCATCTAAAAACAAAAAAAAGAGTTTTCTACTTTTCAGTCTAACAAATGTTTTATAAACAAAGGCTTTGTTATATTTTGAGTTAATTTTTATAGATAATATGAGGTGAGGGTTCAACTTCATTCTATTGTGTGTGGGTATCCAGTTGTCCCAGGACCATTGTTTGAAAAGACTTTTTTTCCTACACTTTCTCTCATTGAATTGTCTTGGCATATTTGTTAAAAATCAGTTGACCTTGGCTGGGCACCATGGTTCACACCTGTAATCCCAGTATTTTGGGAGGCCAAGGCAAGAAGACCATTTGAGCCCCAGAAGTTCAAAACCGGCCTGGGCAATATAGGCACACTCCATTTCTAAAAATAATAATTAAAAAGATTAGCTGGGCAAGCCAGACATGGTGGCTCACGCCTGTAATCCCAGCACTTTGGGAGGCCAATGCAGGTGGATCACCTGAGGTCAGAAGTTCGAGACCAGCCTGACCAACATGGAGAAACCCCATTTCTGCTAAAAATACAAAATTAGTCTGGTGTGGTGACTCATGCCTGTAATCCCAGCTACTAGGGAGGCTGAGGCAGAAGAATCGCTTGAACCCAGAAGGCGGAGGTTGTGGTGAGCCGAGATTGCGCCATTGCACTCCAGCCTGGGCAACAAGAACGAAACTCTGTCTCAAAAAAAAAAAAAAAAAGATTAGCTGGGCGTGGTGGCACATACCTGTGGTCCCAGTGACTTAGGAGGCTGAGGCAGGGGGATCGGGAGACGGAGGCTGCAGTGAGCCTTGATCACTGCACTCCAGCCTGGGTGACAGAGTGAGACCCTGTCTCAAAAAAGAAAAAAAATCAGTTGATCGTAATGTGGGCACTCATTTCTGGACTTTCAATTCTATTCCATTGATCTATATGTCAGTCCTTATGCCAGTGCCCAGGGGCTCAACTACTGGTACTTTGAATTAGATTTTGAATCAAGAAGCGTGAGTCTTCCAATTTTGTTCTTATTTTTCAAGATTGTTTTGTCTATTTGAAGTTCCTTACAATTTAATGTGAATTTTAGAATCAGCTTGTCCATTTTTGCAAAAAAGGTAGTTGGGATTTTGATAGAGATTGTGTTGAGTCTGTAGATCAATTTGGGAAGCATTGCTATGTGAAGAGTAGTAAGTCTTTCAATCCATGAACACACAATGTCTTTTCATGTATTTAAGTTTAATTTCTTTCAATAATGTTTTGTAGTTTGCACTTCCTTGGTTAAATTTATTCCTAAGTTTTTTTTTGGTGCCATTACAAATGGAATTGTTTTATTAATTTCATTTTTGGATTGTTCATTTCTGGTGTATAGAAATTCAACTGAGCCAGGTGTAGTGGTGCACCACCTGTAGTACCAGCTACTTGGGAGGCTGAGTCAGGAGGATTGCTTGCGGCCATGTTTGAGGCTATAGTGCATTATAATTGTGCCTTTAAATGATCACTGCATTCTAGCCTCGGCAACATAGTGCGGTCTTGTCTCTTTTTTTTTTTTTTTTTTTAAGTACAATTTCCATTTTATTTTTCTCCAGAGAATAGCCTGTCTTCAGTCTTTAAGAACTCAGCTCCTTACATGGGCTTTGGTGGGGGACCTGGGGCAGCACCCGCAGGTCTAAATCGGGGTGGGGGTGTTCGGTCCTTGCGGGCTTCACGAGATCGATTCCTGACTACTTTGCTGTGAATTGCACAACTCACACAGTAATGTAGCTTCACATACAGTTTGGGAAGCACATAGGCATCGAAGACGCTCACTTCAGAAATGTCCCTGACTGCTGCGGCCTCCACTATGTTTCGAATGACGAATTTCTTAATGGCCTTGTCCTTGGGCACGCATCGGGCACAGTTAGTGCAGCGAATAGGCTGCACGTGGCCGCGGCCCTTTTTGGCACGACCATTGTTCCTTCTTTTCTTTGTCATCTTGGAGGCACGGACCGGAGAGAGGAGTGGTCTTGTCTCTTAAAAAATAAATAAACAACTGATTTTTGTACGTTGATCTTGTATCCTCCAACTTTGCAAAATTAATTTATTACTATTAAGATTTTGTGGCCGGGCACGGTGGCTCATGCCTGTAATCCCAGCACTTTGGGAGGCCCAGGCAGGCAGATCACCAGGTCAGGAGATCGAGACCATCCTGGCTAACACGGTGAAACCCCGTTTCTACTAAAAATACAAAAAATTAGCCAGGCGCGGTGGCAGGCTCCTGTAGTCCCAGCTACTCGGGAGGCTGAGGCAGGAGAATGGTGTGAACCCGGGTGGCGGAGCTTGCAGTGAGCCAAGATAGCGCCACTGCAGTCCGGCCTGGGCAAAAGAGTGAGACTCCGTCTCAAAAAAAAAAAAAAAAAAAAAAAAAGATTTTGCTTTATTTTGTGTTTGGTGTGGATACTTTAGGAACCAAAAGATAAATAAATAAGAAAAAGGTCTAGCACTTTGGTCAAATTTATTCCTAAGTGTGTGTTTGTAAACGATATTGTAAATGAATTTTCTTAGTTTCATTTTCAGCTTGCTAATTGTTACTGTATAGAAATACAATTTATTTATTTATTTACTTTTTTTTTTTTTTTGAGACAGTCTCGCTCTGTTACCCAGGCTGGAGTGCAGTGGTGTGATCTCGGCTCACTGCAACCTCTGCCTCCTGGGTTCAAGCGATTCTCTTGCCTCAGTCTCCCGAATAGCTGTGATTACAGGTGCGTGCCACAACCCCCAGCTAATTTTTGTATTTTTAGTAGAGATGGGTTTTCACCATGTTGGTCAGGTTAGTCTCGAACTCCTGACCTCATGATCTGCCCACCTAGGCCTCCCAAAGTGCTGGGATTACAGGCATGAGCCACTGCGCCAGGCCAATTTTTTTTATATCACTCTTACACCTGCAACTTTGCTGAATTTGTTTACTTGTTCTAACGGTTTTGTGGATTCCTTAGAATTTCCTACATACGAGATCATGTCATATGCAAATACATATGGTTTTATTTCTTCCTTTCTAATTTGTGTGGCTTTTATTTCTTTTTCTTGCTAATTTCCTGGCTAGAAATTTAAGTATAATGTTGAATAGAGGTGGCAAGAGTGAATATCCTTGTCTTCTTCCTGATCTTAGGAGAAAAACTTACAGTCTTTCATCATTAAGTATTAACTGTGGGGCTGGATGCGATGGCTCAAGCCTGTAATCACAGCACTTTGGGAGGCCAAGGCGGGTGGACCATTTGAGGTCAGGTGTTCAAGACCAGCCTGGCCAATATGGTGAAACCCCATCTCTACTAAAAACATCTCTACTAAAAATATAAAAACTTGGCGGAGTGCAGTGGCTCACACCTGTAATCTCACCACTTTGGGAGGCCGAGGCGGGCAGATCACGAGGTCAGGAGATCAAGACCATCCTGGCTAACACAGTGAAACCCCATCTCTACTAAAAATACAAAAAAAAAAAAAAAAAATTAGCCAGGTGTCGTGGCACACGCCTGTAGTCCCAGCTACTTGGGAGGCTGAGGCAGGAGAATCACTTGAACCCGGGAGACAGAGGTTGCAGTGAGCCGAGATCACACCACTGCACTCCAGCCTGGGCGACAGAGCAAGACTCCATCTCAAAAAAAAATAAACGAAAATTAGCCAGGCATGGTGGTGCGCACCTCTCGTCCCAGCTACTCAGGAGGGTGAGGAAGGAGAATTGCTTGAACCTGGGAGGCAGAGGTTGCAGTGAGTCGAGAGCATGCCACTGCACTCCAGCCAGGGTGACAGAGTAAGACTCTGTCTCAAAAAAAAAAAAAAGGGGATTTATGGGAAGTAATTAAGGTCAAATGAGGTCATAAAGCTGGGCACTGATCTAATAGAATTAGTGTCTTTATGAGACGAGAACCCAGAGAGCTCCCTAGCTTTCTCTCTGCCACATGAAGCTACTTCAAGAAGGCAAGCCAGGTAATAAAGCCCACGCTGAGGTAGGAGGTGGAACTGGACTCCAGAGATGGGGCTTGGACACCAGACCAAATTGATGACTAGCTGAAACAGGGACAGGATGAAAGCAGCTTTCCATAAGACACGCTCACCAGTGCGCCATGTCAGTTTACCACCATTTCCATGGCAGAACCCAGAGTTACCACCCCACCGCCTTTTTTTTTTTTTTTTTTTTTTGAGACGGAGTCTCACTCTGTCGCCCAGGCTGGAGTGCAGTGGCACAGTCTTGGCTCCCTGCAAGCTCCACCCCCCAGGTTCAAGCAATTCTCCTGCCTCAGCCTCCGGAGTAGCTGGGATTACAGGCGCCTGCCACAGCGCCAAACTGATTTTCGTATTTTTAGTAGAGACAGTGTTTCACCATCTTGGCCAGGCTGGTCTTGAACTTTTGACCTCATGATCCACCTGCCTTGGCCTCCCAAAGTGCTGGAATTACAGGCATGAGCCACTGTGCTCAGCCTACCACCCCTTTCAATGGCAACAACTTGACAACCCAGAAGTTATCAGCCTTTTTCTAGAAATGTCTGTATAGTCTGCCCCTTAATTTGCATATAATTAAAGGTCAATGTAAATATGACTGCAGAACTGCCCTGAGCTGCTACTCTGGTCACACTACCTACAGGGTAGCCCTGCTCTGCAAGGAGCAGTCCCTCTGCTGTTGCTATAGGCCACTGCTTCAATAAAAGTTGGCATCTAGGCCAGGTGCAGTGAGTAATACCTGTAATCCCAGCACTCTAGGAGGCTGAGGCGGGTGGATCATTTGAGGCCAGGAGTTTGAGACCAGCCTGGTCAACATGGTGAAACCCCATCTCTACTAAAAATACAAAAAAATTAGTTGGGTGTTTTGGCGCACACCTGCACTCCCAGCTACTCAGGAGGTTGAGGCGGGAGAATCACTTGAACCCAGGAGGCAGAGTCTGCAGTGAGCCACTGCACTCCAGCCTGGGTGACAGAGTGAGACCCTGTCCCGAAACAAAAAAAAGTTGGCCTCTAACACCTTCGGTTTGCCCTTGAATTATTTCCTGGGTGAAGCCAAGAACCCTCTCAGTCTAAGCCCCAGTTTTGTGGCTTACCTGCCCTGCATCAACACCAGAAACTTAACCCTTTGGGAATCTCGATCTTGGACTTTCTAGCCTCTAGAACCCTGAGAAAATGATCTGTATTATTAGGCTACCCAGTCTATGATATTCTGTTGTAGCCTGGGGTGACTAAGACATTGAACCTGTATGACTTGAATTTTGTTACCTGCTTGGCCCCTTGATGGCATTTCAGTTTGTGACTCTTGGTTTACGTGATCACGAAGCCAAAACTGTTTAGGAAGGAAGCAAAATCAAGACAGATTAAAAATAAAAAATAAAAAATAAAAGGCTGGGCACCGTGGCTCACACCCTCCCAGCATGTTGGGAGGCAAAGGTGGGCAGATCACCTGAGGTCAGCAGTTCAAGACCAGCCTGGTCAACATGATGAAACCACATCTCTACTAAAACTACAAAAATTCGCCAGGCGTGGTGGTGGGCACCTGTAATCCCAGGTATTTGAGAGGGAGGCAGGAGAATCACTTGAACCTGGGAGGTGGAGGTTGCAGTGAGCCAAGATCACACCACTGCACTCCAGCCTGGGTGACAGAGCAAGACTCTCTCTCAAAAAATAAAATAAAATAAAATAAAATAAAATAAAATAAAATAAAATAAAATAAAGAGCCAAGCACGCTGGCTCACACCTGTAATCCCACACTTCGGGAGAAAGAGGTGGCAGGATTGCTTGAACCCAGGAGTTTGAGGCCAGCCTAGGTAACATGGCAAAATCCCATCTCAATTTTAAAAAAATTTTAAAAAAGAATAATAGGGCTGGGCACGATGGCTCATGCCTGTAATCCCAGCACTTTGGGAGGCCAAGATGGATGGATCACCTGAGGTTGGGAGTTCGCGACCAGCCTGACCAACATGGAGAAACCCCATCTACACTAAAAATACAATATTAGCAGGTCGTGGTGGCACATACCTGTAATCCCAGTTACTCGGGAGGCTGAGGCAGGAGAATCGCTTGAACCTGGGAGGTGGAGGTTGTGGTGAGCCAAGATCGTGCTATTGCACTCCAGCCTGGGCAACAAGAGCGAAATTCCATCTAAAAAAAAAAAAGAAAGAAAGAAAGAAATAAGGTATTTTACATAAGGATTAAAAAGAAATTAAAACCATTATTTGAAGATAATGGCTTAAACAGAAACTCTGCAAATCCTTAGAATAAAAAAGTTCAGGCCAGGTGTAGTGGCTTTTGCCTATAATCCCAGTGCATTGGGAGGCTAAGGTCGGAGGATTGCTTGAGCCCAGGAGTTTGAGACAAGCCGGGTCAACATAGTGAGATCGCATCTCTACAAAAAATTGAAAAATGAGCCAGGTGTGGCAGTGCATGCCTGTAGTCCTGGCTACTCAGGAGGCTGAGGTGGGAAGGTCACTTGAGCCTGAAGAGTTCAAGGCTACAGTGTTATGATCATGCCAGTGCACTGCACTCCAGCCTGGGAGACAGAGCAAGACCCTGAGACCCTGTCTCAAAAAACAAAATAAAAAACCCTCACTATATTGAACACAACATCAATATTCAATAGCCACTCCCCTTCTCCTTTTCTAATAAAATTCCACTTTTTTGTGTTCCATCCCAGGACCACGATTTATCTAAACTGGTCATTCTGGGTCAATAAGTTTGGCTAAAAATAAATAATATCGAAATTGGTCACAGGAAATCTATTCTTTTTTTTTTTTTTTTGAGACGAAGTCTCACTCTGTCACCCAGGCTGGAGTGCAGCAGCATGATCTTGGCTCACTGCAACCTCTGCCTCCCGGGTTCAAGCAATTCTCTGCCTCAGCCTCCCAAGTAGCTGGGATTACAGGCGCCTGCCACCACGCCTGGCTAGTTTTTGTATTTTTAGTAGAGATGGGGTTTCACCATCTTGGCCAGGCTGGTCTTGAACTCCTGACCTTGCGTTCTACCCGCCTTGGCTTCCCAAAGTGCTGGGTCTGTCACCCAGGCTGGAGTGCAATGGTGCAATCATGGCTCACTGCAGCCTCAACCTCCCTGGGCTCAGATGATTCTCCCACCTTAGCCTCTCAAGTAGCTGGGATTAAAGGCATATGCCACCATGCCCAGCTAATTTTTCTATTTTTTTTGTAGAGACAGGGCATCCCTACCTTGCCCAGGCTGGTCTTGAACTCCTGGTTTCAAAGGATCCTCCTGCTTCAGCCTCCCAAAGCACTGGGTCTATTATTCCCTTTCATATTCAAACTTAATTCTGCATTTTCAAGGCCTTGAATTTTCAAGGGCAGCTTTTTCTGTCCCTGAACTTAATCTTCAGCTCCTCTCACCTCCTGGGAGGTTGGGGGGTGGGGAAGAAAAGTCCCAACCCTCTAATCCTGCTTTGGTCTTTTGCCGCCAGCCCCCATCCTGAAGCTACCAGTCAATTTGTTTGCATACAAGAAGATATCACTTTGGAGATTCTAAGTGTATACGAGGAAATGAGGTCAAAGACCAAATATATATATTTCACTATATCACACTTCAAACTTTTGTTTACTGTTTCCCTTCTCCTACTCTATTATAAACCTTTGAGGGTGGGGACTGTGAGTTATTTATCTTTATATTCCCAGTGTCAAGAGTGTTTAGCTATAATGGGAATGAATCTCAAAGTTTCTTGAATAAATGACAAGAAGAATCATAGTTGCATGAACTAAATTCATTATTCTCAGTCCTTGAGGTAAATGAATATATTGATATTATGTCTGCTTACTCTTTTTTTGCGAGAGAGAGAAAGAGGAGGGAGGGAGGGAAGGAAGGAAAAAAGGAAGGAAGGCGAAAAGAGTGAAAGAAAAGAGAGAGAAAAAGAGAGAGAAAGAAGGAAGGGGAGGGAAGGAAGGAAAAGAAGGAGGGAAGAAGGGAAAGGGAGGGAGAGGAAGAAAAGAAAGAAGAAGGAAGGAAAGAAAGAAAGAAGAAAAGGAGGGAGGAAGGAACGAAGAAAGGGAAAGAAGGAGGGAGGGAGGGAAATGAAGGAAAGAAAGAAAAAAGAAAGAAAGAAAAAAGAAAGAAGAAAAGGAGGGAGGAAGGAAGGAGGGAGGGAAGGATGGAAGAAAGGGAAAGAAGGAGGGAGGAAGGGACATGAAGAGAATAAAGAAAGAAAGAAGAAAAGAAAAGAAAAAAGAAAAGAAAAGGGAGGGCTCTGCGGGTGGCGGCGGCGCGGGGAGCCGGTTGCAGGCCGAGATGCTGCAGATGGACCTGATCGACGCGACGGGGGACACTCCCGGGGCCGAGGACGACGAGGAGGACGACGACGAGGAGCGCGCGGCCCGGCGGCCGGGAGCGGGGCCGCCCAAGGCCGAGTCCGGCCAGGAGCCGGCGTCCCGCGGCCAGGGCCAGAGCCAAGGCCAGAGCCAGGGCCCGGGCAGCGGGGACACGTACCGGCCCAAGCGGCCCACCACGCTCAACCTCTTTCCGCAGGTGCAGTTGTCTCAGGACACACTGAATAATAATTCTCTGGGCAAAAAGTACAGTTGGCAGGATCGGGTGTCTCGATCATCCTCACCCCTGAAGACAGGGGAGCAGACACCACCGCATGAACCCATTTGCCTGAGCGATGAGCTGCCCCCCCAGAGCAGCCCCGCCCCCACCACAGATCGAGGCACCTCCACCAACAGCCCACGCTGCTGGTAGATGAGCACGCGCAGCTGGAGCCGGTGAGCCTGCGGCCGTGCTTCGGAGACTACAGTGACGAGAGTGACTCGGCCATCGTCTATGACAACTGTGCCTCCGTCTCCTCGCCCTATGAGTCAGCCATCGGAGAGGAATATGAGGAGGCCTCCCGGCCCCAGCCTCCTGCCTGCCTCTCCAAGGACTCCACGCCTGACGAACCCGACGTCCATTTCTCCAAGAAGTTCCTGAACATCTTCATGAGTGGCCGCTCCCGCTCCTCCAGTGCCGAGTCCTTCGGGCTGTTCTCCTGCATCATCAACCGGGAGGAGCAGGAGCAGACCCACCGGACCATATTCAGGTTTGTGCCTCGACACGAAGACGAACCTGAGCTGGAAGTGGATGACCCTCTGCTAGTGGAGCTCCAGGCTGAAGACTACTGGTACGAGGCCTACAACATGCGCACTGGTGCCCGGGGCTTCTTTACTGCCTATTACGCCATCGAAGTCACCAAGGAGCCCGAGCACATGGCAGCCCTGGCTAAAAACAGTGACTGGGTGGACCAGTTCCGGGTGAAGTTCCTGGGCTCAGTCCAGGTTCCCTATCACAAGGGCGATGTCGTCCTCTCTGCCGCTATGCAAAAGATTGCCACCACCCGCCGGCTAACCGTGCACTTTAACCCGCCCTCCAGCTGTGTCCTGGAGATCAGCGTGCGGGGTGTGAAGATAGGTGTCAAGGCCGATGACTCCCAGGAGGCCAAGGGGAATAAATGTAGCCACTTTTTCCAGTTAAAAAACATCTCTTTCCGCGGATATCATCCAAAGAACAACAAGTACTTTGGGTTCATCACCAAGCACCTCGCCGACCACCGGTTTGCCTGCCACGTCTTTGTGTCTGAAGACTCCACCAAAGCCCTGGCAGAGTCCGTGGGGAGAGCATTCCAGCAGTTTCACAAGCAGTTTGTGGAGTACACCTGCCCCACAGAAGATATCTACCTGGAGTAGCCGCGCAGCCCCGCCCTCTGCGTCCCCCGGCCCTCAGGCCAGTGCCAGGACAGCTGGCTGCTGACAGGATGTGGCACTGCTTGAGGAGGGGCACCTGCCACCGCCAGGGGATGAGGAAGTGGGGGCCGCTGGCTCAGGGTAGGGGAGGGTGGGGCAATGGGGAGAGGCAAATGCAGTTTATTGTAATATATGGGATTAGATTCATCTATGGAGGGCAGAGTGGGCTGCCTGGGGATTGGGAGGGACAGGGCTTGGGGAGCAGGTCTCTGGCAGAGAAGGATGTCCGTTCCAGGAGCACACGGCCCTGCCCCATCCTGGGCCATACCTCCCCTGCCAGGGCTCGGGTGCTCTGGCTCCTGCCTTGATGAAGCCCATGTCCTGCCTTGATGAAGCCTGTGCCACCTGCAAGTGCCCGCCCTGCCCCGTCCCAACACCCACCGAAGAACCCTGAGCTCAGGCTGAGCCCAGCCACCTCCCAAGGACTTTCCAGTGAGGAAATGGCAACACGTGGAAGTGAAGTCCCTGTTCTCAGCTCTGTCATCTGCGGGGCTTCTGGGTGGCTCCTGCCACCGACCTCACTGGCATGCTAGCCTGTGGCAGGCCTAGGACCTCAGCGGGGAGGAGGAGCTGCCGCAAGGCCCTATCCCAGCAGGAGAGGGAGGCTTCCTGACTGACACAGGCTAGCCCCATCTTGGTCCTGTCACCCTGGCCCCAACTATTAAAGTGCCATTTCCTGTCAAAAAAAAAAAAAAAAAAAAAGAAAAGAAAAGGGAGGGAGGGAGGGAGGCAGGAAGGAAGGAAGAGAGGGAGGGAGGGAAGGGAGGAAGAAAGGGAAAGAAGGAGGGAGGGAGGGAAATAGAAAGAAAGAAGGAAAGAAAAAGAAAGAAAGAAAGAGAAATAAAATAAAAATTAAAAAACCATAAGGTTAAAGTAAACCCTTTTTCTTCATACAGATTAAAACACATGACTTCAAATTACAGCTTTGCTTCTTAATAGCTTGGTGATGTAGGACGTTATGTAACCTCTCTGTGCCTCAGTTTCCTCATTTATAAAATAGGGCAATGATAATATCTAGCCCATAAGGCATTGTGAGGATTAAATGTGAAATGCTGATCACAAATACCTAGCAGCCCAATAGATACTCACTGTAATAATTATTATTTTTATAATTTCTGCAAAAGTATGGTGATGATTCTTGGGTTAACCTAAAGGCAGATTTTCTTTTATTTCTTCCTGTTTCTTTTCTTTTCCTTGTTCACTTTAAAGAATTAAAAAGAAAATTGATTCCAGCATTTTGGAATAAAAATTTGCATCAAAAAGAATTTATTCATTTTATTGACATACAAATAAAATGTCATTTGTTTATTCAATAAACATTTATTAAATGTCTGGTAAATTTCAGACATCATGCCAGGCACAGGGATGACAATGACAATAAGATGTGGTCTCTGCCCTCAGGGAGCTGATAGTCCAGGAGACTGACAAGTAGACAGGTGATTACATGCAATGTAACAAAGGCTATGATGTCATACAAGAAGACAAGTGGGAGTATGTGATGGGAGTATGGTTTTGACCAGTTCCTCCTCTTAGATTTATCCCTTTTTCTTTGGCTATAAAGCAAAAGAATTGGTCCTATTTTTTTTTCTTAACTTTGCAAATTAAACCATAAATTTTAATAACTTTATAAAGATAAAAGGCAAGCGGTCAGATTCAGTGGCTCACACCTATAATCCCAACACTTTGGGAGGCCGAGGCAGGTGGATCACCTGAGATCAGGAGTTCGAGACCAGCCTGGCCAACATCGCGAAACCCTGTCTCTACTAAAAATACAAAAATTAGCTAGGTGTGGTGGCAGGCACCTGTAATCCCAGCTACTCAGGAGGCTGAGGCAGGAGAATCGCTTGAACCTGGGAGGTGGAGTTTGCAGTGAGATGAGATGGAGCCATTGCTCTCCAGCCTGGGCTACAGAGCAAGACTCTGTCTCAAAACAAAACAAAACAAGAAGATGAGCAACTTGAATTATGGAGGACACTAGAAATAGTGTTTCCTACAGAATCAGGGCTTCCTACCAACATAGTCACTTCTAGGGTTTTCGACCTGAAAAGTTCTGTGGCATATTGTTTCTTTGCTATCCACTTTTTTTTCCCTATTTTTCCCCCTCTTTCTCTCCTCTACTTTATCTCCTAGAGATCTAGGTAGTTCCCGAAGGAATAATGCTTTACAGAGTCTAATGTTGATTTATTAGGTAAAAACAGAAAATGATTTTTTTTTTTACCCACAAGTTCCATACCAAAAAATGAATGTAAACTTCTTATGCAGTTTCACACATTGAAAATGCAGGTTATTTTAATTCCATTGCATTTTTCAGAATTCTCAATCGCAATCCTCTGACAACTGTTGAAGATCCGTATCTCTTTAAATTACTGGCATTAAAATATCGGTAAGTACTATAGTACTCTTGGGAGTCATGAGATGATTTATACTCTTTTTAAATTTTTCATCAAAGATTAAGTATTTTGCATTTAGGCTAAAATGTCATAATTTAAATTTTAACTGAGTTATTGAAAAACATTATTGGCAAAGGAAAGGATGTGTAATGGTCAAGATAGCCAGCAGGGGAAAGAGAACAGTGTTGAAGAACCCATATAGATTTGGAACATGTAGACACATGGAGGAATATTACTTAACCAAGAAAGCAAAGGGGAAAAGGTGTTCATTATTCTAAAAAGGAAGAAAAGAGTAAATATTCAAGATGGGTGAATGCAATATGAAACTGAGAAGTAAGATAATGGTAAAAAAAAAAAAAAAACAGTGTAAGACCTACTCTTGAATATCATTAATTTGATGATGCAAATCAACTTTAATTTCTTTAATAAGAGCTCTCTGGAATTTTGCGGCAAATAAACTGTTGAACTGGCTTGTTTTATAGGGAAGCCAAAATTGAAGTAATCACATGTCCTTGAATTATCTTTTTAAGTACAGAATTTTTTATTGGGGTTCATATCATGACTGTTTCGGCTTTCTTCTTCAGAGACGTGGGAACAACGCAAGTCCCACTTACAACACTTAAGAACATTCTCATGATGACCGTTGAACTGGAAAAACTGTAAGTTATTTTTTTCTTAGACTTATTTTCACCTTGTTGCGTTTTTAGGTTTGTTTTATTATTTTCTTAAGTCAGGTTTATTGAGATATAATTTTCATATACTAACATTCACCCTTTTTAAGTGTACAATTTGATGAGTTTTGACAAATGTATAGTTACATAACCACCACCACATTCCCAATATAAAGCATTTCTGTCACCTCAAAAAGGTCCCTCGTGTCCCTTTGTAGTCAATCACCTCCTCCCACCATCAGCCCCTGTTAGCTACTAATCTGATTTCCTATAGTTTTGCCTTTTCCAGAATATCTTATAAATGAAATCATATAGCATGTAGCCTCTTGTATTTGACTTCTTTCACTTAGCATAATTTTTTCTTTTTTGAGATGGAGTCTCACTGTTGCCCAGGCTGCAGTGCAGCGGCATGACCTAGACTCACTGCAACCTCCACCTCCCAGGTTCAAGTGATTCTCCTGCCTCAGCCTCCTGAGTAGCTGGGATTACAGGCACCTGCCACCACGCCTGGCTAAGTTTTGTATTTTTAGTAGAGACGAGGTTTCACCATGTTGGCCAGGCTGGTTTCGAAGTCCTGACCTCAAGTGATCCGCCCGCCTTGGCTTCCCAAAGTGCTAGGATTACACGTGTGAGCCACCTCACCTGGCCTCACTTATCATATTATTTTTTGAAATTATGCTACCATCCATGTTGCTGCACCCATCACTACAGCTGGCCCTCCAGATCTGCAGGTTCCTCATCCATGGATTCAACTAAACATGGATGGAGAATACTTGAAAAAAATGAAATATATAAAATAACTGTAAGACAACAAAAACAGTAGAAAATTTAAAATACAGTATAATTATTTACATACCATTTACACTGTATTAGGTATTTAAAGCATACCTGAGGCTATATACAAACATTATGTCATTTCATAGAAAAGACTTCAGCATCTGTGGACTTTGGTGTCGGCAGGGGGTCCTGGAGCCAATACCCTGCAGATGCCGAGGGACAACTGTTCACTCCTTTTTATTGCTCAGTAGTATTCCGGTTGTGTGGAAACCCCATCTCTACTAAAAATACACAAATTAGCCAGGTGTGGTGGCACACGCCTGTAATCTCAGCTACTCAGGAGGCTGAGGCATGAGAAGTGCTTGAAGCTGGGAGGTGGAAGTTGCAGAGTCTCCTTTACACTTGCTGTCCTCCCTCCACTGCTGCCTGACACACTCCTCCCCAGCAGTGGCCTCTTCATAGGCAAATTTGAGGAGCACCTTTCAGTTCCTGTCCTGCTTGACTTGGCCCTGATGTTTGAAATTCTTGATGAATCTTTCTTCCGGAAATGCACTCTTTCTATGCTTCCAGGAAATCTTTTTCTTGGTTCTCCAGACAACTTCTTAGACTCCTTGACGAATTCCTTCTTGTTGCCAATAATGGAAACAAACCAGCCCTACCTAAGCAAAGCACATTAAAACTCACTAGAAAGATACAGGGGAGGGGGCGCCCACTAAACCACTAAAGAGACAGGAGGTGGGGAGCTGTAGGACCAGGTTTGGGAACCTGCAAGAATCAAGACCAGAGCCCCTGAAATAGCAAGAAGCTGGAAGCACAGGAACTGTCAGAGCCGGATGGCTGTCACTGCAGTCAGCGCCTCTGATTGTTTGTTTTTGAGATGGAGTCTCGCTCTGTCGCCCAGGCTGGAGTGCAGTGGTATGATCTCGGCTCACTGCAACCTCCACCTCCTGGGTTCAAGCAATTCTCCTGCCTCAGCCTCCCGAGTAACTGGGACTACAGGAGCCTGCCACCATGCCTGATTAGTTCTTTATATTTTTAATAGAGATGGGGTTTCAACATGTTTCTCTCGAACTCCTGACCCCAGGCGATCCACTTGCCTCGGCCTCCCAAAGTGCTGGGATTACAGGCGTGAGCCACCATGCCTGGCCAGTTTTTGTATATTTAGTAGAGACTGGCTTTGCCATGTTGGCCAGGTTGGTCTCAAACTCCTGACCTCAAGTGATCCATCCACCTCCGCCTCCCAAAGTGCTGGGATTACAGGCATGAACCACTGTGCCCAGCCACCTCTGATAGTTTTCATCGTCCTCGGGCCACTTGCTCCCAAATCACGGTTCCAGACAAAAGCTTACAAGTAGTCCAGCTTTGGCCAGGCTCAGTGTGATGGTTAATACTGAGTGTCAACTTGATTGGATTGAAGGATACAAAGTATTGATCTTGGGTGTGTCTGTGAGGGTGTTCCCAAAGGAGATTAACATTTGAGTCAGCGGGCTGAGAAAGGCAGACCCACCCTTAATCTGGGTGGGCACAAGCTAATCAGCTGCCAGCAAGGCTAGAATATAAGCAGGCAGAAAAATGTGAGAGACTGGCTTAGCCTCCCAGCCAACATCTTTCTCCCGTGCTGGATGCTTCCTACCCTCCAACATCGGACTCCAAGTTCTTCAGTTTTGGAACTCAGACTGGCTCTCCTTGCTCCTCAGCCTGCAGATGGCCTATTGTGGGACCTTGTGATCCTGTGAGTTAATACTTAATAAACTCCTGTATATATTCCATTAATTCTGTCCCTCTAGAGAACCCTGACTAATACGCTCGGTGACTCACACCTGTAATCCCAGTACTTTGGGAGGCTCAGGCAGGAGGATGGCTTGAGCCCCAGAATCTTCTTCTTCTCCTTCTCCTTGTCCTTCTCTTCCCTTCCCCTTTCTCCTCTTCCTCTTCCTTCTCTTCCTCTTCCTCCTCTTCCTCTCCTTCCTCTTCCTCTTCTTCCTCTTGTTTGTTTGAGAAAGGTTCTCACTCTGTTGCCAAGGCTGGATTGTAGTGGCACAATTGTGACTCACTGCTTCTCAGCCTCCTGAGAGCCCAGGAGTTTGAGGCTGCAGTGAGCTATGATCACACTACCACACTCCTGCCTGGGTGACAGAGCAAGACCCTGTCTCAAAAAACAAACAAAAAACTCTGGTATGATAGAGGTGAATTGTCTGTTTTATCCTGATAATTCTGCTTACTTTAGTCCCGTGGTTCTCAACTGGGCCAATTTTGCTCCCCAAGTGACATTTGGCAATATCTGGGCAGAGGTCAAGGACGCTGCTTAACATCTTTTTTTTTTTTTTTGAGACACAGTTTTGCTCTTGTTGCCCAGGCTGGAGTGAAATGGCACGCTCTCGCCTCACTGCAACCTCTGCCGGGTTCAAGCGATTCTCCTGCCTCAGCCTCCCGAGTAGCTGGGATTATGGGCATGCACCATCACGCCTGGCTAATTTTGTATTTTTAGTAGAGATGGGGTTTCTCCATGTTGGTCAGGCTGGTCTCAAACTCCCAACCTTAGGTGATCAGCCCGCCTCAGCCTCCCAAAGTGCTGGGATTACAGGTGTGAGCCACCTCACCTGTCCTGCTTAACGTCTTAAAACACACAGGACAATTCCCCCATAAAAAAATGATGACCAGCCAAAAATGTCAACAGTATCAAGGTGAAGAAATTGCCATAAAGGCTTGGTAAACAGGGATGGTATGACGACACTATTGATAGGCCACATTAAAATACTTAGGGCCATATCCATTATCCCTGTTTTTATGATTTCTTCTTTGTCCCCATGCAGTTTCAGGGGCAAAATAAGGGAGTAAGTCAAAGGTGGTTCCAAATAGACATCTGGGAATCTTAGGGTGTAATATGGCCCTCATGGAGGCCCTTGCTGAGCTTAGGGCCTGATTCTGGAATCCTAGCATTGCCAAGAGAGGCAGGCTGGCAGGTGAGAAGACAAATAATGGGAGAGCCCACATATGTTGGAATTCATTTGATGGTATCTAAGCTGGGGTGATTGTCCCCACTAGCATTACATGACTATGGATCCAGTTATTTGGAGAAATCCATTTCCTCCACAGGGAATATATGCTACATTAGAACCAAAGATGGAATCCTTAGTAAATGGAATCATTTGGCAAAATTCAGTTGTCTGAAATTTTTGCATAAAATTCTCTTTTTTATTTTCATTGAGCCAAATAAATAAAGTATCAGGTATTTACTAGGGTCACCATTCTTTGATTCATTGATTTTTTTTTTCAGACAGGATCTTGCTCTGTCACCCACGTTGGAGTGCAGTGGCATAATCTCAGTTCACCGCAACCTCCACTTCCTGGGCTTAAGTGATTCTCCCGCCTCAGCCTCCCAAGTAGCTGGAAATACAGGTGTGTGCCACCATGCCCGGCTAATTTTTGTATTTTTTGTAGAGATGGGTTTTCATCATGTTTCCCAGGCTGGGTTTTTTTTTTTTCAAATGTCTTAGGGTTTTCGCTTTATTATTTCCTTGATATCCACAGCAGAAGTTCAGAGGTATAACTTCAACATTAACAGGTGAAAAGTTCTACAATGACTCGTTGCACTCCATCACATTAGAATAATTGAACTATAATTTCCATACAACACAAGAAAACTACAGTATTTAGTGACAACTGAAAGATACCTGATAAATAAATATATCAACTTACTACTCATGAAAAGAATGGAGCTGGTTATTTCAGCTATAAAAGGGCAAAGCAAAAAGACCATTTTCTAGCCATTTGAAAGTTACTCAAAAAATTGATACAATGGAATGGAAAGGAAAACAAAAAAGATTGTAAGCAACTTTAACAATGTTCTTGCATTCTACTGATACACAAACCTCTAGGGTTTCAGTTGACACAATCAAGTTCAACTTGTACTGACAGAAAATATTAAAAACCTTCCTATTGAGTTTTTAATATCAAACAGGGAGGTTAGTAAATTGTTTTCTGATTCTTCTACAAAAAAAAAGTCTAGAAGAGGGACAGGGAATGTAGTGTGCACCACTTATTATTATTCTAAGTAATAATTTTTACTTACGAGGTCAACACGAGTGCAAAGGGCTTAGTGATGCATCTTATTCTTTAATTTTGGACAGTAACACCCTCAGATGGTATTTTTATTGGTTTGTTTTATATCCCCCTTTTCCATTTGCCCTTCTGTTTTGAAGTGCTTTTTCTTAAAACTTAAGTTCTTTGCCTCCATTTTCTTATAAACCCAATTTCCTCTTTAGTGCAACTCTACCATTTGAAAGGAACCTTTCTATTGTAATTTACAAGCTGTGAATAACCGCTATGTAATTCTTTCCAAGGATTAATAAACTGAGAGATGATTTGAACCAACAGAGGTAGGGAAAGATTAGAAGGGGGATGCAAGTAGCCACAGATCTTAGAGGCGGCCAGCAGAGGGCGCTGCTCCAAGGTGAAGGTTGCACCCTGAGAGGCCATCCTTTTTTGTAGGACCAGACTGGGGTGTAAGGACAGTGCCTCATCCTCACAACGACAGACCTGTGTTCTGGGTGTGGATTTGCCTCCCTTGCCTGCGGGACTTCTGCTAGCACTGCCGTTCCTAGACTTAGACCATGCTAGAATGAGTCCAGGAACCGAGGAGAGGAGATGGGAGTGGCTCCTCCCACTGTGGCCCCTAATAATTCACATGAAGAATTTTTGCTTTCCTTGCCAGGGACCCGGGACTCAGTGGGTCCAGAGGTCCTAGTGCCAAAGGAAGAAATGTGTAGATCAGGAAATACTATTATGGTTTTATTCAACTGGAAGCCGAGGCTGGCCATTTATTGTATGTATTTATTTATCTATCTATTTATTTATTTATTTATTTATTTATTTTGAGACAGAATCTCACTCTTGTTTCCCAGGCTCCCAGGCTCAAGAGATCCTCCTACCTTAGCCTCCTGAGTAGCTGGTACTACAGTCGCATGCCACCTTGCCCAGCTAATTTTTTTTCTTTTTTTTTTTTTTTTTTGAGACGCAGTCTCATTTTGTTGCCCAGGCTAGAGTGCAGTGGCGCGGTCTTGGCTCACTGCAACCTCCACCTCCTGGGTTGAAGCGATTCTCCTGTCTCAGCCTCCGGAGTAGCTGGGATTACAGGCATGTGCCACCGCGCCTGGCAATTTTTTTTTTTAGTAGAGGCGGGGTTTCACCATGTTGGCCAGGCTGGTCTCAACTCCTGACCTTGTGATCCGCCTGCCTCAGCCTCCCAAAGCGCTGGGATTGCAGACATAAGCCACCGCGCCTGTTTTTTTTTTTGTTTTGTTTTGTTTTCTGACAGAGTCTCTGTCACCCAGGCTGGAGTGCAGTGGTGTGATCTCAGCTCACTGCAACCTCTGCCTCCTGGGTTCAAGCGATTCTCCTGCCTTAGCCTCCCAAGTAGCTGGGATTATAGGCGCACGCCACTATGCCCAGCTAATTTTTGTATTTTTAGTAGAGGTGGGGTTTCACTGTATTGGCCAGGCTGGTCTCAAACTCCTGACTTCAGGTGATCCACCCACCTCGGCCTCCCAAAGTGCTGGGATTATAGGTGTGAGCCATCAAGCCCAGCCCTGCCCAGCTAATTTTTACACTATGGGCAAGTATGCTGCCCAAGAGTGCTCTGGAACTCCTGGGCTCAAGTGATCTTCCTTCCTCGGCCTCCCAATGTGCTTGGATTACAAGCATGAGCCACCTTGCCCAGCCGAAGCTGGCCATTTAAAGTTCCTCATGCTGCTGAATCAATAAGGATGGAAGGCGGCTACTATTATGGGCTAAGTGTTTGCATCCTCCCCAAATTCTTTTTTTTTTTTGAGATGGAGTTTTGCTCTTGTTGCCCAGGCTAGAGTGCAGTGGCGCGATCTCTGCTCACTGCAACCTCCACCTCCCAGGTTCAAGTGATTCTCCTGCCTCAGCCTCCCGAGTTAGCTGGGATTACAGGCATACGCCACCACACCCGGCTAATTTTGTATTTTTAGTAGAGATGGGGTTTCTCCATGTTGGTCAGGCTGGTCTCAAACTCCCGACCTCAGGTGATCTGCTGACTTCAGCCTCCCAAAGTGCTGGGATTACCGGCATGAGCCACCACGCCCAGCCCCCAAATTGTTTTTTTTTTTTTTTTTTTTTGAGACGGAGTCTTGCTCTGTCACCCAGGCTGGAGTGCAGTGGCATGATCTTGGCTCACTGCAAGCTCTGCTTCCCGGGTTCACGCCATTCTCCTGCCTCAGCCTCCCGAGTAGCTGGGACTACAGGCGCCCGCCACCACGCCTGGCTAATTTTTTGTATTTTTAGTGGACACGGGGTTTCACCGTGTTAGCCAGGATGGTCTCGATCTCCTGACCTCGTGATCTGCCCGCCTCGGCCTCCCAAAGTGCTGGGATTACAGGCGTGAGCCACCGCGCCCCGCCTCGACCCCCAAATTCTTATGTTGAAGCCCTCACCTCCATGTGATGGTATTAGAAGGTGGGGTCTTTGGGACGTAATTAGGCTGACAGTGCCCCATGATGGGATGAGTGTCTTAAAAGAAAAGACCAGGTGGTCTGGCTAGTGGCTCACCCCTGAAATCTCAGCACTTTGGGAGAAAAGACCAGGTGGTCTGGCTAGTGGCTCACCCCTGAAATCTCAGCACTTTGGGAGGCCAAGGTGGGTGGATCACTTGAGATCAGGCGTTTGAGACCAGCCTGGGCAATATGGTGAAAAGCCATCTCTACTAAAAATACAAAAATTAGCTGGGCGTGGTGGCGCAAGTCTGTAATCCCAGCTACTTGGGAGGCTGAGGTGGGAGAATCGCTTGAACCCGGGAGGTGGAGGTTGCAGTGAGCCCAGATCATGTCATTGCACTCCAGCCTCCAGCCTGGACAGAGAGAGCATCTGAGAGTCTCTGTCTCAAAACAAAAAGAAAAAAAAAAAAAAGAAGAGACCAGAGAGCCTTTCTTCTCTTTGTCCACCAAGTGAAGATATAGCAAGAAGGCAGCCATCTGCAAGCTAGGAAAAGAGCCCTTGCCAGCACCCAATCATGCTATCACCCTGATATGGGACTTCCCAGCCTCCAGAACTGTGAGAAATCAATGTCTGTTGTTTAAGCCACCCAGTATGTAATAGCAGCCTGAGCTAACTAAAACCATCACCGAACTAGCCTCTTTACCTATGATTAGCAAGAGGAAAATGGCTCTGTTACTTAGTAGAGGAAGGAGGCTATGTCTGAAAGCCAAAAATTCACTGGGGACACATCTTAGCAGGCTCTTGACCCTAAGACCTGGTTAATGGAAAAGTAGAGCAACCCAATAAAAACAAGACCACCAAGAAGTCAGGTCTTATGGAATAAAGTATTGAGTGTCCCTATGAGGCACAGAACCCTTCGAAAGGGGATTGGAAGAAGTGGTGGAAGAAGGCGGCTATGATTATCAACTTAGACTTCATCGCCATTTGTAGAAGGAGGCTTCTAACAGCTATGTTTTATGTTAATTGGCTCTTTTCTTTTTTCTTTCAACCTTATATTAAGAGCACTGGCAGAAGCTAGCGGTTTTGGTATCCTGTAATTATTAGTTGTATAACCTTGGCCAAGTAACTCAACCTTTCTGTGCCTCAGTTACTCATCTGTAAAACAGGGTAATAAGTCTCAACCTCGTACTTATGTTGTTATAAAGATTTAACACTAGGCTGGGCATGGTGGCTCACACCTGTAATCCCAGCACTTTGGGAGGCCGAGGAGGGTGGATCACCTGAGGTCAGGAGTTCAAGACCAGACTGGCCAACATGGCAAAACCCTGTCTCTACTAAAAATACAAAAAATTAGCTGGGTGTGGTGGCACGTGTTTGTAATCCCAGTTACTCGGGAGGCTGAGGCAGGAGAATTGCTTGAACTAAACCTGGGAGGCGGAGGTTGCAGTGAGCCAAGATCGTGCCACTGCACTCTAGCCCAGGCAACAGAGTTAGACTCTGTCTCAAAAAAAAAAAAAAAAAAAAAAAAAATTAACACTTTGAACAAAAAAGAAAAAAATAATAAAATTTAAAAAAGATTTAACAATTGGGCCAGGCATGGTGGCTCATGCCTGTAATACCAGCACTTTGGGAGCGTGAAGATGGAGGATTACTTGAACCCAGGAGTTCCAGACCAGCCTGGACAACAAAGCAAGACTTTGTTTCTACTTTAAAAAAAAAAACCAAAGTCAGGTGTGGTGGTACACACCTGTGATCCCAGCTACTTGGGAGGCTGAGATGGGAGGATCCCTTGAGCCTTGGAGGTTGAGGCTGCAATGAGCCATGATCATACCACTGCACTCCAGCCTAGGCGACAGAGTGAGGCCCATGTCAAAAAAAAAAAATTATCCCCAACATTTAGCAGCTTAAAACAAAAAACATTTATTATATCACACTTTCTGTGGGTCAGGAATCTGGGAGGGACTTAGCTGGGTGGTTCTGCTCAGTTCTCTTGGGATGTTTCAGTCAAGCAGTGGCCTGGGGCTGCACTCTTATCTGAAGACTCAATTGGGAGAAAATATGCATTCAAGGTCACTCGTTGGTTGTTGGCAGGCTGTAGTTCCTCACTGAATATTGGTTGAAGACTTCATTGGCTTACTACCTGGACTTCTCCACACACTGCCTGAATGTCCTCCCCACATAGCTAGAGTGAATGAACTAAAAAAGAGAGAGAACACACACAGCCCAGGTAAGAGTTCAGTCTTTCTAAGTCATTATATGAAAAAGATTCTTTTTTTTTTTTTTTGAGATGGAGTCTCGCTCTGTCGCCAGGCTGGAGTGCAGCAGCACGATCCCAGCTCACTGCAACCTCTGCCTCCCGGGTTCAAGTGATTCTCCTGCCTCAGCCTCCCAAGTAGCTGGGATTACAGGCGTGTGCCACTATGCCCAGCTAATTTCTGTACTTTTAATAGAGACGGGGTTTCACCATGTTGGCCAGGATGGTCTTGATCTCTTGACCTTGTGATCCACCCACCTTGGCCTCCCAAAGTGCTGGGATTACAGGAGTGAGCCACCGCTCCTGGCCGAAAAAGATTCTTGCACACACATGTTTATAGTAGCACTATTCACAATTGTAAAAATGTGGAACCAACCCAAATGCCCATCAATGAGTGGCTAAAGAAACTGTGGTATAGATATACAGTGGAATACTACTCAGTCATAAAAAGGAATGAATTAATGGCATTTGCAGCAACCTGGACGGGATTGGAGACTATTATTCTTGTTTTTTTTTTTTTTTTTGAGATAGAGTCTCACTCGGTCACCCAGGCTGGAGTGCAGTTGCGCAATCTTGGCTCACTGCAAGCTCTGCCTCCTGGGTTCACACCATTCTCCTGCCTCAGCCTCCCAAGTAGCTGAGACTACAGGCGCTTGCCACCATGCCTGGCTAATTTTTTTTTTTTTTTTTGTATTTTTAGTAGAGACCGGGTTTCACCATGTTAGCCAGGATGGTCTCGATCTCCTGACCTCGTGATCCACCCGCCTCAGCCTCCCAAAGTGCTGGGATTACAGGCGTGAGCCACCGCACCCGGCCTTTTTTTTTTTTTTTTTTTTTTTTTTACTAACCAGGGGTTTAATATAAATACAACCAGCATAGAAAGACCCAAAACTATACAGAAACCAAAACCAGAATGCCATGTGGTGGAGGCAAAGGGCATAATTCCTGACCCCTTTGGCTCAGCTGCCCTTCCCCACAAATAAAAACCAACAAACAGGACAAATCAGGACAATAAAGAAGATTCATGCTAAGCTGTGGCAGAGGGGGGAAGGTATGATCGGGTGGGGGTGGGACAAGGAATGGCCAGGGAAGATAACTGGGTCAGGTTGGACCCTGGGCTGGGAGGGGGAGGGCAAGGCCCATCACCACAACTTAAGCAAAACCTAAGCTGCCCCCAGGTGCCATAGGTCCCTGTCCCAGCAGGGAGGCTGATGGGCCTGGGCCCATGCCCCTCCCCACCTTTGGGGGTCAGATAGTGGCCACCCAGGTCTGCTGGGTTGGGGCCTGACACAGGCTGTGCATGCCCATTCGGGCTGCCTGTGGAGAGAGAATGGAGTCACTGTTTAACCATGCTACCTGCCTCAGCCCCAGCAGACCACAGGAGGTTGGCCCCAGACTCAATGAGTGCCTGCAGCAGCCGTACAGACACAGCATCCTTGGCCACCTCATGCCCATCCCGGCCATCTAGGATCAGCACAACCCAGATGAGGCCGCTGAAGGGCACCGGATGCCCAGGAATCACCACCTGGTACCAGAAGCGGTGCCAGCCAGCAGGTCCTATGCCCAAACACTTGGTGAGGAACACAGAGCTGCCCAGCTTCATTCGTTGGCACAGCAACTGCAGGGTAGCCCGAGCCCCTTGGGACCCTAACTTGTCCCTTGCCAAGGCCAACTGGCTGCCGTCTGGCTGTGGGGACCACAAGGAGGGACCCACAAGCTGCTGGCGAAGTCGCTGCTTCAGTTCTGGCTTGAGCCACTCCACAGCCACCTGCTCTCCACAGAGGTGTGGCTGCCCTTCCTCCAGGGCCTTTTTGGCCATGGCAGCGGTCCAGTGCGAGCTGAATTTGAGCAGAGCGATCTGCCCGGGCGCCGGTCCGGGGCTGGGCAGCAGCCGCGCCTCCTGCAGGCCGGGACCCAGCGGCTGCAGCGCGGGCTGCAGCGCGGTGCGGGTCAGATTCGGCGGCAGGCAGTCAACGCTCAGCTCACACTTCCCGGTGCTGCGGCACAGAAGCAGCGGGCAGGACGGCCGCAGCGGGTGGTTGTGCAGCGGGCGATGGCGGCCTGCGCGCCGCGCCGCGAGCTGCAGCGGGCATATGCGAAGCCGCGGTTCAGGCCGCTGAAGGTCATCATCAGGCGGAACTCGTAGAGGCGGCCCACGCGCTGGAACAGCAGGATAGCTGGTGCTCATACACTTCCTGAGGCAGCCGCCCGATGAACACCTCTGACCCAGCCGGCGGCGGGCTGCCCACCCAGCCTGGGGGTGGCCCGCCATACTTCCTCTGCCCGTTCACCTGCACCAGGCGATGCCTGTCTGCCTGACCCACGCCTCCAGCGCCGCCTTGTTCTCTGGCTTCACCCTCTCACACCACAGCTCACAATCCCGCGTGGACTGCATGGCTCTCTATTCTCTTTTTTTTTGAGACGTAGTTTCACTCTTGTTCTCCAGGCTGGAGTGCAATGGCAGGATCTTGGCTCACCGCAACCTCCGCCTCCCGGGTTCAAGCGATTCTCCTGCCTCAGCCTCCCAAGTAGCTGGGATTACAGGCACCCGCCACCATGCCCAGGTAATTTTTGTATTTTTAGTAGAATTTAGGAGTTTCCTAAATTCTGGGGGCTTGTCTCCCTGTTCCCCCACCCCGACTAATTTCCCTCGGTCGCTGCCACTGCCCCGTCCCTTAGGTCGCTCGGGCCGCCCCACTCCGAGACTTTTTTTTCTTTCGCTGGTTCTTTCAGCTTCAGTTTCCCTAGAGGGCGGGAGGGGAATATTTGGGGGCTCTCCTGCCTTCCTCTCCGAGCCGCGGAAGGGGAGACGCAGGGAGGAGGTCCGACCGGCTTTGGGCTCCAGCCAGGGGTCCGCGGAGACTATGGTCTCCGAAGGCCTTAGACGCGGGGCATTTCGCCAGCTGCGCGTCTCTCTCAACCGCGCCACCAAGCCCGGAGTCCAGCCGCGCCTCGCTGCGCCCAGCCCCGGCGCCCCAGGCTCTCTGCCCCCGACTCAATGCTCCCGCGCTCCCCCAAGCAGCCGCTGCGCCACCTCGCCCCGTCCCAGGCTCGTAGGCTGCTCAGCTCACGTGACCGCGCTCCGTTAACGGAAGAAACGAGATGGAGGCTGAAGGCGATCCGCAGTGGGGCCCCAGCCATTCGGATTGAGCCTTCTCCCTCCAACCGCTTCCGCAGGCCGGGCCCCTCCTGCCCTGCCCCTCTGGCCTCCCCACCCGGCCCCAGCCGCCCCCACTGCGCCCATTGCGCCCGCCCCTTCCCGGCCGCTTTCCCTTCTCCCTCCGCCTCGGCTCCAACATGAGGGGCCGGCGGGGCAGGCCGACCAAGCAGCCCGCGGCTCCCTCTGCGGAGCGCTGCGCCCCGGCCCCGCCGCCGCTGCCGCTGCCCACGTCCGGACCCATCCGGGGTTCCGCTCGCGGCAACGCGGTAGCAGCCCGGGCAGGTGGGTCGCCGCCAGGCTGAGGTGGCGCCCAAGACGCGCCTGAGCTCGCCCAGGATGGGCAGCAGTAGCCGGAGAAAGCCGCCGCCGCCGGCCCCACCCCAGCACCAGCGCCCCGGCCGGGGGGAGGCGGGGGCAGCCACCTGGCCCGGACGGCTGCGGTCTGGAGGGCTGTCAACAAAGTGGTGTAGGAGGACGCCAGTTACTGCACGGAAAGCAGCGTCAGGAGCCATAGTACCTACAGCAGCACTCCAGGTACCCACTCAGCCCAGTTGCTGCAGACTCCTTCCCCACCTTCTCTGCCCTCCCCCTTTGCTCACTCGTGTGCTGTGCATCCTGCTCCGATCTCCCCCCAACCCCGCCGACCCCCAGAGGGGAAATGCGAGGGCACATCAAGTGGCAAAAAACCAGATTTATAGGAGGAAAGAGGCGCATTGTTCAAAATGGAGATTGCATTGTTGCAGTTGGCGGGCCACACTCGCTCTCTCTTCCCGCCTCCCGCCAACCTCCTCTTTTTCCTCCTCAGAATTTGTACCAGTGTAGTGTCTCCACCGGGCAAGATTGAAACTTGGGCAAACACATATCCATTGCTTTCATTTTTTCCCCTTGTTTTGGTAGTTTTCTGGAATGAAAGAAGCCTCTTGTTTTGCAAACCTCTTTTCATTTCTAATGTGGTTCCTTTCGGATTTTTATTATATATCTGTTCCTTAAAAGGGAATTAAGGATTTGGACAGATTGTGTGCCACAATCTGTTTTCACACCCCTAGCTGTGGTTTTAAAATTATGTTAAGGAAACGGATCATTTGGGTTAGTAGGGGAACCTTATCTGGTCTTGTGTGTTTGTTTTTATTCTTCGAGTGCTAACGGGCCCGTGCAACAGTTTCTGGTAAATGGCTGATTAAAAAGCAAAGCAGAAAGCCAAACAAGACCCAACGAAATTTGGTAATTCATCTGATTCAAAATTGTTTTGGTTAAATCAAAAATTTACAAGACCGCAGGAACACGCGTCTTAACTCATTTGATCGCTTTGCCTTGCTTGGGAAATGCAGGTTCGTGTCACCTGTTGCAGAAGATGTGTAGTTGATCATCTAGGCATAAGTGCCTAAGATGAACTTTTGGACCAACTTCTAAGTCACACAGCGTCAGTATCAGATTTATTACACAACGACTTATTCTTTTCACTCTATTTCTGAGGAAAAAGCCCTCCCGAAATCCGTAATGAATTTCTCCATGGTAACCCCTCTTCTGTTTACACACAGAAAAGTTTCTCTAGGCTGGTGCTGAGATGCATTTTGTTAACCGCCCCGCCCCGCCCCGCCCCGCCCAAAGGCTGCTTTGTATTAAATACGTAGTTGCAGTGTACTAAATTGTGAAATTAACATAACCGAAGCAACAACCGGCAAGACTTGTCCTTTATAATTTTGCAAATCTAAATTAATTAAATTAGAATCTGGTTTTAAAATCATTTTTAAAATAAAGTTTATGAGGAAGTATTTGTGAGGAAAAAGGACCCTTTTTTCCTTGAAGTGAGGTGTGTCCTGTCTTTCTCAGAGAGACTAGGGTAGTAGAAGTGGTTAAATTGAAAAGTTTCTGTTTTTTAATAAATGCTTAAATACTTATTGGAGAAGTAGGGTAGTATTATATTAAGCCAAATGTAAACCCACGTAGGTTGTCCTAACATAAACTGAAAAAAGGTAATTTCTTTTGCCCGATGGTCAGAATCCTCGCCAGACTTGCCCTGGGAGGCTGGCTGGAGAATGAAGGGAATGAATCAAATGTCAGATATTTATGTCTTATATGTAAAAAGGAGTACATGTAAATTCTTGCCAACTTAATTTTAGTGCTTTTTTTTTTTTTTTTAAAGGAGTCTTGCTCTGTCGCCTAGGCTGGAGTGCAATGGCGCAATCTTGGCTCACTGCAACCTTCACCTCCCGGACTCAAGTGATTCTCCTGCCTCAGGCTCCCCAGCAGCTGGGATTACAGGCGCCCACCAGCACGCCTGGCTAATGTTTGTATTTTTAGTAGAGATGGGGTTTCACCATGTTGGCCAGGCTGGTCTCGAACTCCTGACCTCATGATCCGCCCACCTCAGCTTCCCAAAGTGCTGGGACTAAAGGCGTGAGCCACCGTGCCTGGGCTAGTACATCTTTTATAGTAATAATTTTTACCTTAAGAAATCACATGTTGGTCTTTGTACCCAGAGCCGGTAATTGAAACATGGAGACTGGATTGCATACACCCCTGGAGGAAGTTTTTTCTGGTTAGACAGAGCTGAGACATTTTGGCAGGGCAGTTCAGCTAACTTTAAGTCGTATTTGAAGGCCTAGCAAATAATATTTAGGATTGATGGCTGTGCATATGCTGACTTAAATTACAATTTGTAGCTAGGTGTTCTTTAAAAAAATGTGTTTACTTTTGATACTTTTGTGACATTTTGTTTTTCTTTTTTTGAGAAGGAGTTTTGCTTTTGGTGCCCAGGCTGGAGTGCAATGGTAGAATCTCGATCTTGGCTCAATGCAACCTCTGCCTCCCAAGTTCAAGCAATTCTCCTGCCTCAGCCTCCCAAGTAGCTGAGATTACAGGCATGCACCACCACGCCTGGCTAATTTTGTATTTTTAGTAGAGACGGGGTTTCTCCACGTTGGTCAGGCTGGTCTCAAACTCCCGACCTCAGGCGATCCGTCTGCCTCAGCCTACCAAGGTGCTGGGCCTACAAGCGTGAGCCACCATGCCTGGCCTGAGATTTTGTTTTTCTTAATGACACCTGTAGCCTACTGTGTGTCTACTTGTCCTATCCTTATATGAAATTATTAACTCTGTAGAGATAGGTATTGAGCGTATTCCCTCTGCAGCTCCTGTAAGTGTTTTGCACATAGCAAGTGCTCATCAAAGATTGGTTGGATAAATTATTGTTAGTAGATGAGAACTTGTAGTACATGAAGTTTCGATAATTCTACAGTGGGTGTCATAACCCCTAAATATTTTGGATTTAGGAAACTAAAAATTGTCCTAATTGGTTTTTTGTTGTTGTTGTTCTTTTCTAATTGGATTTTGATGGACAATTTGATCAGTGAATGTCTCGCTCTGTTGCCCAGGGAGGAGTGCAATGGCACGCACGATCTTGGCTCACCACAACCTCCACCTCCCGGGTTCAAGCAATTCTCCTGCCTCAGCCTCCTGAGTAGTTGGGACTACAGGTGCACGCTGCCACACCCAGCTAATTTTTTGTATTTTAGTAGAGATGGGGTTTCACCATGTTGCCCACACTGTTCTTGAACTCCTGAACTCAGGCAATCCGCCCGCCTCAGCCTCCCAAAGTGCTAGGATTACAGGCATGAGCCACCTGGCCTGGCCCAGTGAATGTTTTTCATTGCAAGAGTTACTTTGTTTTTGAGTTGCTATTTCATATTGCTTGCCAGGCGTTTTCCTTTATTGGCTGTGATGTTAATTTGGATGTTTTACCTTTTGCAAAGCATTATTTCTTAAGATTATGGTAAAATGGATGTGACTTTTTTTTTTCCTTATTTCTTCTAAAAACAAAATGGAGTACATGTGCAGAACGTGCAGGTTTGTTGCATAGGTATACGTGTGCCATGGTGGATTGCTGCACCTATTGACCCACTCTTTAAGTTCCCTCCCCTCGCCCCCCACCCCCCGGATGTGAGTGACATTTTGAGTTCCAAACTTTTAGAACATGCCCACTTGCCTCGAATGAGTAACAACGCGTGACAGTGAGTTGTTTAGGCTAAGTACTAGTTTCATTGGTTTTATAGTCTGTACTTCCTGGGTGGAAGGCTGTCAGGTAAATGTGTAGATGGAAGAAAAAAATTTTAGAACTGGTTTAAGATATCTGAATAACACACAAAGAAGTATGATTGATGAATTTGAATCCTGTTGTACTGCAAAGGCTGAAAGAGGAATTTACTTTATTGGTAATTTAGAGTAATTTGATTAATTTTTATAGTTTACAGCGTTGGCTTAATTACTGACATGTGACATTCCTAACATAAGAAATAACTCCTAATATAAGAAATAACTCAGTATTTTGTAGGTTATATAACAATGCAGAGGCATTAATTGATATTACTAAAGTCATGAAAGGTTTATTTATTGAAGATTGTTTTCCTTTTATGGAAAAAATGTAAGGATGACAACTTTTTAGTATAAAATTGCAACCACCTAGTTTTGCTTTAGCCGAAAGCATATGGCTGAATAATGCTTTAATTTATTTTTACTTTTTAAATTTAGAATTACTTCAGCCTATAGATTTTATGACATTGCCGATATAATGAGAAGGATTATATAGGAAGTGTTTTCAATAGGCATTTGGTAAAGTTCTGACAGCACTTTGAAATTAAGCATTTGCTAATTTTAAGAAATTGTATGTAAAACAGAATGGTTCTTGTGTTTCAGTCTCAGTCTTATGTGAGACTTCTGAGAATACTTACCTGGAATTTTAAAACTTGGAACCTCTGATGACTTCATAAAACAAAAGCCCTGGTGTTATCCTGGGACAGTTAGTGATTTATGTCCTCTAAGGATTGTGACAGTGGAGATCAGTGGCAGAGATGCCATCAATGAACCATAGATTTACCTCAAACAGAATTTGTCACTGGTTTGACAATATTATTCCCACCAGTGTCAACTTAATATCTTTTCAGTATAATTTCTGATCGTTACAAGTGAGGTACAAAGTGCAGTGGGCATTTAAAGGAGGGTGAGATTATATACCCTGTTTAAGGGGATTGGTGTGGGTGTAGGCTTCCTGGATGGGCATGTGGAGAGTAAGGACAGGCAGATTGAGGGAGGGAGGGGGAGAGAGCGGGAGGGAGCGGCAGGCACTGATAGTAAAGTGTGGGCAGTCTCAAGTAACTCGGTGTAACAAGAGCCTGAGTGTGTGAATAGGAAATTAATCAAAACTCCCTTGTATGTTGTGTTGGGCAGTACTTAGAGGATCAGGCTATAGCAACTGTACTTTCCCCCTCTTCTGTAGAATAGGGATTGGGCTGGATCGTGATCCTCAGGCCTTTTTCACTCCTGACACCCCGAGAAGATATGCTGTATTCCCAGCAGCACCATGCATAAACATGAAACAGAACCACATCAAATTACAGAGATGCTGTTGAACCACTGGTGTAGCCCTCTCTCTCAAATCTGTTTCGAATCTGTTTAATTTTGGGTATTGGGATGATCAGAAGATCTTGAAGCATAGCTTCTGTTCTGCAGGATGGATTGACAAGGACAAGATAGCTGGTGGGTTTTGTAGTCCTAAATGGAAGATCAGTCCAGGAGGTACTCTAGAGTTCTTCTGGCCTTGACACATAGAATGTAGAGAGAGGAATGCATCACCTACGCCTCCCTAAGAATGGTAGTACTTTCAGTAACAATAGGGAGGTCAAGATTATAAGGGAAATTAATGACATCTGTTTTCAGGTATCAGTACCTCAAGAGATTAAACATGATAATTAAAGTGAGAGCCAAAAGGGTTTTGAAAAAGTTGGGCAACATGATTTGTGAGTAGTGGAGAGGCATGTCCTAGTTACGCAGTGATAAATAGTCTTGCATACAGTTCGTGCTGTTCAATTCTGCTCACCCATGGGCATGTTTGGAAGTTTGTGTTGAAACATGCATATAACAGGACTGGGGATGTTAAGACCAGGAGCTCTGGTCTCTTCTGTTAGGTCCTCCTTTCCTCAGTCCTCAAGACCCTGTGTCTTCCCTTTGACTAAAGACCCTTAATGATGGAGACATGGGGGTGAGAGAGTGGTAGTCATGGTGAGCAAGTGGTAATCTGGGTGACACAGGAACAAATCCTAGCTGATGCCCTTTTCCCTTCCTGCTCCTTAGCCAGGCTCGAATCCCTCTTCCTGGGAGATCTTCCTTGAGTCCTGTTGCGCACCTTGTTCTTCCTTCTCTTTGAGTGCCTGTTGACAGTGGTTATGATCTCAGCACTAGCTTAACACTGACACTAATTATTCTATTTTTTTTTTCTTTTGAGATGGAGTCTCACTCTGTCGCCCAGGCTAGAGTGCAGTGACACAATCTCAGCTCACTGCAACCTCCACCTCCTGGGTTCAAGCTATTCTCCTGCCTCAGCCTTCTGAGTGGCTGGGACTACAGGCGCCCACCACCACACCCGGCTAATGTTTGTACTTTTTAATAGAGACAGGGTTTTACTGTGTTGGCCAGGCTGGTCTTGAACTCCTGACCTCGTGATCCACCTGCCTCGGCTTCCCAAAGTGCTGGGATTACAGGCCTGAGCCAACACACCCGGCCTCTAGTTTTTTTCATGCTTTTGGTTCTTTAACATAAGCATCAGGAGGCAGCATGTTTCTTAACTTAAAAAAAAATTATACATTAAAATACACTTTAAAAGATCGAAAGTGACCATATAGAAAGAATTAAAATGCGTGTAAATATAATGTTTCAATTGTTTTGTCTGCTGGTATATATCTACAATTTTTATGTTTTTCTTGATAGTTATATTCAAATATTATTTTGAGAGTGTCACATTTTAAAAATAGCGACAGTAATAGTTAACATTTATTGAACATCTTTTAAATTGCAGAATGATTTTCAAGCAATATTTATGAAAATTCAGTTTTTAAAAGGTAACAGCTTTATGGAGATATAATTTACATACTGTAAAATGTACCCTTGTAAAGTATGCAATTTAGTGGTTTTTTTTAGTGTATTGACAGAGTTGTGCAACCATTAACACTACCTAATTCCAGCTTGTTTTTACGCCCCTGCAAAAGAAGCCCATGCCTATGGCGTCACTCCCTGTTCTTCACCTCCCTCCTGCTCTCCCCTGGCAGCCAGTAATTACGTTCATTTGCTGTTGATTTGCCTCTTACGGACATTTCTTATTAAGTGGAATCATATAATGTATGGCTTCTGTCATTTAGCCTACTGTTTTTAAGGTTTATGCATATCTTAGCATGTATCAGTACTATATTTGAATAACACTTCATTGTATGGCTGTACCACTTTTTTTTTTTTAAATGGAGACAGGGTCTTGCAATGTTGCCCAGGCTGACCTGAAACTCCTGGGCTCAGGCTTCCTGCCTCAGCCTTCCAGCCTCCAGAGTAGCTAGAGTTACAGGCACACACCTCTGTGCCCAGAGACCATGTTTTGCTTATCCATTTCGTAAGTTCATGGACATTTGAACTGTTTCCACTTTTTGGCTATTATGAATAATGCTGCTGAGCACATTCGTGTACATGTTTTTATCTATACATATATTTTCATTTCTCTTAGGTATATAAATAGGATTATTTGCTGGATTATTGCAAATTCAATTTTAATTTCTTTTCTTTTCTTTTTTTTTTTGACACAGAGTCTCACTCTGTCGCCCAGGCTGGAGTACAGTGGCATGACCTTGGCTCACTGCAACCTCTTCCTCGGTTCAAGTGGCCAGGCTGGTCTTGAACTTCTGACCTCAAGTGATCCACCCGCCTTGGCCTCCCAAAGTGCTGGGATTACAGGTGTGAGCCACAGCACCTGGCAGAAAATAATTCAGGCATTAGAATGAATCCTGAATGAGATAGATTGGTTAGGCTGGGATGTGGTGAGCGGGAGGAAAGGAGTCAAGGATGAACTGACTTCTAAATCTCCTGTTTGAAATGCTTGTTCCCCGGTGCCGTGAAGAAACAGCACTTGAACATAAATTTAGTTTACTTAGTAAGGCCATTTTTACTTCCTGCAGAAAGGGTACACTCACGGGCAGTTTTGCCATGAGAGTACACCCAACAAAGGAGATAGGGTCATTTATAACCTGACGCATCTACCTTACTGCTGTTTCCGGTTTCCTTTGGCTGGAACGGGACCTCACATTCTGTATTTGTCCCGATTGGTTAGTAACTTAGAACTTTTTAAAAGAGGCAAAGGTAGAGGGGAACAAAGGAAGGAGGAAGTAACTTGTGGAATGTTGAGAAAGGTAAAAACACTTTTAAATAAGGAAGAGGAACAGGCTATGACCTAATGCTTGCTTGGACCAGCCTAAGCGTGCCAGGGCAAATATTTAGGCTAAATTGTGGGAGCTAAGAACATAAAGTACATTGATTTCTTTATTATGGCTAGCAGATATTTAAGAATGTTAGCACAGGTCTTTGAATAAATTTTGCTTCTAAGAGAAGTTACTATTTATTCTTAATTAGAGAGGAAAGTCTTGAAGAGGAACCTCTACTTTACTTTTTACATCCCCCTTATTTCTCTTTTCCTTGTTCACTCCTTATTTCTTCTCTTCATCTCAAATTGATCTAGTAATACTTATTTCTTCGTAGTTCTCACAGACCCAACTCCTAGTCACCCATCCATCACCTTCTCCAGCCTGCCTTCTCTGATCACCATTCCCTTTACCCCCAGTTGGGGCTGAGTTCCTTTGTTTCCCACCCCCTTAACCTCCAGGACCTCGTGCATTAATTGTTTTAGCCAAATATTTGGGGATTTTTTTTTTTAGGTATCTTTCAGTTACTGGTTTCTAATTTAATTTCATTTTGTTCAGAGAGCATACTTTGTATGACTTTAATTTTGTAAAACATTTTTAGAGGTTTTGCACCCCAAAATTTTGTCAGTCTAAGTGAATATTCCATATGTACTTGAAAAGAATTTTGTATTCTGCTCTTGTCGGGTGGAGTATTGCATAAATATCAATTACGTCAAGTTTGTTGATAGTGTTATTAAGATCTGTCTGACTTTCTACTTGTTTTGTTGATTACTGAGGGAAGTGTTGAAGTCTACAGCTATTGTGAAGGATTTGTCTGTTTCTCCTTGAAGTTCTAGCAATCTTCACGTATTTTGAGGCTCTGCATCTATGTATTTTGAGGCTCCTTCCTAAAGTCCATAAACCTTTAGGAAGGATTGTTTTATCCTCTTAATTATTTAACCCCTTTATCTATATCTATATCTGTTAAGAGGTGGAACTGAAATGGCCTTTTAATGATCTGGCCCTTCCTTCATTACAACCTACTTTGGGCAGGGAAAGTCCCATTCAGTCTCTGGAGTGCCTGGTTAAATCTCTTGAATGCAGTAGGCAGCACAGGTAATTGTGGAACTGAATGTTGAGTCAAATAAAGCCTGTGGGTTGTTTTCATCCTCTGTACTGTCCAGTATGGTAGCTACTAGCCACATGTGGAGAGTTAAATTAATTAAAACTAAGTAGGCCAGGTGTGGTGGCTCACACCTGTAGTCTCAATACTTTGGGAGGCTGAGGTGGGAAATCACTTGAGGCATCAGTTAAAGACCAGCCTGAGCAACAGGGTTTTGTAAAAACCCTGTCTTCACAAAAGAATTAAAATAGTTGGGCATAGGATGGCATGCCTGTAGTTCTACCTGCTTGGGAGGCTGAGGTGGGAGGATTGCTTGAGCCCAGGAGTTTGAGGCTCTAGTCAGCTATGGACTGTGCCACCACACTCCAGACTGGGTGACAGAGTGAGAACCCATCTCTTAAAAAAAAAATTAAGTAAAATGAAAACTTCAGTTTCTCCAGTGGCACTAGCTGTTATACATTCATTTCAAGTGCTCTGTAGCCACGTGTATTGCACCACACAAAGGTAGAGCATTTGGGGCATTTCATATCATTACAGAAAGTTCTCCTGGACTCACTGTAGTCAGTCTGCCTCTGTTAGACCAGTGAGAATTTACCTAACATCTCCTTTTCTAGCCTTTTATTTGCCCTAAATCCTGCACAGCTTGGGTAGCCCCAGCGGTCTGGCTGAGTGAGGTCCTCCTTTGTGGAGACTCTGGGCCCAGCATTATTTGTGTATGTGATGGTATTGCATTTCTGCAATAAGATTTGGGGTCATGTGTGAGATGACTTTCCATTATTTGTTGTTCTTGGTGGTAGGGTGAAGAGGCAGTCAGTTAACACATAGTTAGAAAATCTGCCACAGTCCTGGTAAAAGTAAGCTAAGAGTCATATATGTAGGCCAGAAGGGAAGGAAGGATTAGGATTCAGAGACTTTTGGTTGAGAAATTAAATTTGATAACTCAGAGAATTTCAGTGTTATAAAAGTGTAAATATTGATATGCAAACTGAATTGTGAGATGTTAGTATGTCGTAGTGTGTCTGGGTTCTCCTATATAAAACCTCTTACGCAGGAGTCACTGGCCAAATTATTTGTCTGTGGAACCCCCCTGAGATTTGCTAAGAAAGTTATGCTTAGACTCCTCTCTACTCATGGATATGTTCTGTAATTCCCACACTTGGGAAACGGCTTGGCCATGTGATTCATACCAAATGGCAACATTCAGTAGGTGCAGTTTATATGATTTACTAGAAATAATGGCTTCTTGCTCAATTTCACTATGTTCATAGTGCCTCTTTTGAGGTCTGTGTGTATATTCTATTTATGGAAGTTAAAAAGTATTTCAGAAATGCATATATTAATCTGTGTGGAATTTCTCTTATCCTTTTTCCTCTCTAATTCTTGCTTGGATATTTGTCTCAAGAGATGGTCCAACATTTAAAATAGCGAATAATATCTTAGCCCATCCAAAAACAATCCTTCCTAAAGGTTTATGAACTTAATAACAGAGCCTCAAAATACATGAGGACTCATAGAACTCCAAGGAGAAACAGACACATCCTTAACAATATTGTAGACTTCAACACTCTTCTCACAGTAATCAAGAGAACAACTAGAAAGAAAGTGCAGTTTTCCCTGTTTTTGTAGACATGAAAACTATTTCACACACTTCTGAAAGTCTCATTCAGTAAGTTACTCATTTCTCCACCTTATGACTGTACTGTGCTTTCAAAGTGCTGCACAAAGAATAAAAAGTTTTAAAGTGGCTTTACTGTAATTTCAGATAAATATTTGAACTTTTGAGTCTGAATTATCCAGGTGAAATGCATTGGATTTCTGATCCTCTGTAACTTGGAAGATTACCGTCTTCCAGGTATATTGGTTGTCCTTAACTGCCTTAATGGCATGAGTTGTGAATCTTCTCTGTCTCGGAAGAAACCTAACAGTGGAAATTGTTTATGGCAAGGGTCACAAATTTACATGCGCAGAAGGTCAGGACCCTCTGTAAGGTAAAGGCATGAAGTGCCCCCTTCTTTATTAACACATAACTGCATTTGCTGATAATATTTATTTGCCTAGAATTCAGGCCCTTTTTGCTTTTACAGACAGTGCTGTCTTAAATATGCTAGAGATGTATCTTTAGTCACTTAAGCTGGTGTTTCTGTAGGGTAGGTTCCTAGGAGTGGGATTGGATTGTTGGGTTACAGTGTGTGCTATTTAAAAGACTGAACCAGATTATACTCTCAGCATCTGTTTGTTTTTAAACCTTCCCTAGTCTGTGCTTATGTGTTTTGTTTGCTTGTTTGTTTTTTGTTTGTTTGTTTGTTTTTTGAGATGGAGTCTCCCTCTGTCACCCAGGCGGGAATACAGTGGTGTGATCTCGGCTCACTGCAACCTCCACCTCCCTGGTTCAAGCAGTTCTCCTGCCTCAGCCTTTCAGGTAGCTGGGATTACAGTCACATGCCACCATACCCGGCTTATTTTTTTGTATTTTTAGTAGAGACAGGGTTTCACCATGTTGGCCAGACTGGTCTCAAACTCCTGACCTCAGGCAATCCGCCCGCCTGGGCCTCCCAAAGTGCTGGGATTACAGGCGTGAGCCACTGCGCCTGGCCTGTGTGGTTTTTAAATTAACTTTTTCTAGTCTACTAAGGTTTACTCAGACCTTTAGCAGTTGTTCTTGGATACTGACTAGGCCCAAAGTCCTCTTCTCATCAATATATTGGCAAATACACTCACTTGCGATGTGATATGAGACCCTGAGGTTTACCTCCCAAACAGCAGGATGTCTGTTTTGAGAGTTTCCTGGCCAAGTGGTGGAAAGTACCATGGAAATGGAGTCTTCCTTGCTTCTTACTTAACTTGAGTTTGGACCATAGAGAAGTCATTCTTGTGTGGACCTCAGTTTACTCACCTGTACAGTATAGGATGGACTAGATGATCTAATGGTCAGGGGATTGGCAAACTTGTTCTTAGGGCACCAATTAGTAAATATTTTAGGTTTTGCAGGCCACCTGGCTATGTCACAGCTGCTCAGCTCGGCCCTTGTAGGATGAAAGCAGCCATAGACAATAAGTAAACAAATGAGTGTGGCTGTGTTCCAGTAAAACTTTATTTCCAAAAACAGGCTGTGGCCGGCCATAGTTTGTTCACCCCATTTTTGAGCTCTTGACATTCTTTAGTCTGTGATTTCGATAATTAGTTTAGGAAAAAAGCTTTGACTTTCATAAATAATGCTTCTGGAAATCTAGTAAAACCTTTAAATTTTGGCCAGGCGTGGTGGCTCACACCTGTAATCCCAGCACTTTGGGAGGCCAAGGCGGGTGGATTGCCTGAGCTCGAGAGTTCGAGACCAGCCTGGCCAACATGGTGAAACCCCGTCTCTACTAAAAATACAAAAAATTAGCCGGGCGTGGTGGTAGGTGCCTGTAGTCCCAGCTACTTGGGAGGCTGAGGCAGGAGAATCGCTTAAACTCAGGAGGCGGAGGTTGCAGTGAGCCGATATCGTGCCACTGCACTTCAGCCTGGGTGACAGAGTGAGACTTCATCTCAAAAAAAAAAAAAAAAAAACCTTTACATTTTATTTTTGCTTTTTCCCTTTATCAGGAAAGTAATGTAGAAAATTTAGAAAACCCAGAACATTAATATTTTGGTTCCTCTCATTAGTTAACCATCTTTGGGTGGACATGTGTACATACATACATACCTTTTTTTTTTTCTTTTGAGCAAAAAAGTACATACTTTTTCTTTTTTTCTCTTCTGCCACCCAGGCTGGAGTGCAGTGGCGCGATCTCGGCTCACTGCAACCTCCACCTCCCAGGTTCAAGCGATTCTCCTGCCTCAGCCTCCTGAGTAGCTGGGACTACAGGTGCTCGCTGCCACACCCAGCTAATTTTTTGTATTTTTTAATAGAGATGGAGTTTCACCGTGTTGCCCAGGCTGGTGTCGAACTCCTGAGCTCAGGTGATTCGCCCGCCTCAGCTTCCCAAAGTGTTGGGATTATAGGCGTGAGCCACCGCACCTGGCACATGTATATGTACGTACTTTTTACAAAATTGGATGAAGTATAATTTATTTGCTAAATATTTTCACTTATGCCATGATATCTTATTTAATCTTTAATTTGTCTATGAAAATACCTGCTCTGCTAGGGGACTTCTAGTTGAAAACTCATTAATTTAAAAAATTAATTTTGAATTCAGCCACCTATTCTTTTTTCTAATTGTTTCTTGTAGCTTTTGCTTTGATTGGAATAACTTTATTCTAGGAATAAAGTTGTGTCATCTGCAAACATGAATCATGTACACATCTGATTTTCTTATATTTATATCTCCTTTTTCTCTTCAAATTACATTGCCTTTACCATTGATGGGAACCTGGGTAATAAAGAAAAAAGAAAAAAATTGCATTCCCTACCACCTCCTCCAAAACAATGTCAAATGTTAGTTATAATGATAGGCATCTTAGTATGCTATCCCAATTTAATGGAACTGATGCAGATATTTAATGGTTAACTGTTGGTTTGAGACCTTTAGTGTGTTGAGTATATTCACCTATTTCAATTTTTTTTCTGTTTAAGTTTTTTTTTTTTAAATCAGATATGGCTATTATATTTTGTTAAATGACACCTGAGCATCTTTTGAGATGATCATATAGTTTTCGTCCTGCATGCTACATATTAATTACAGTAGTGTATATTCATAGAATTATATTACTAGATGTTATATTGATTCACCCTTACATTCTTGCAGTGAACCTCTCTTGATCATATTATTTTTTCATGTACTGTTTGACTTTATTTATTTAGTTTTGAGACAGAGTTTCGCTCTTGTTGCCCAGGGTGGAGTGCAGTGGCGCGATCTCAGCTCACCACAACCTCCGCTTCCCAGGTTCAAGCGATTCTCCTGTCTCAGCCTCCTGAGTGGCTGGGATTACAGGCGCCCGCCACTACGCCTGGCTAATTTTTGGTATTTTTAGTAGAGACAGGGTTTCACCATGTTGGCCAGGCTGGTCTTGAACTCCTGACCTCAGGTAATCCGCCAGCCTCGGCCTCCCATAGTGCCGGGATTACAGGTGTGAGCCATCGCGCCCGGCCTGTTTGACTTTTAAAAAGGTATTTTAATTTTTTAGTTTATACGTGTACAGTGCATAATGTATTTAAGATTCATCTATGTTGTTGTATCAGTAGTTTTTTTATTGCTGAGTAGCAGTCCTTTATATGAGTGTATCACAGTGCATTTATCTGTTCAATAGTTGAATATTTCAATTATTTCTAGTTTGTGGCAGCTATGAATAAAGCTGCCGTAAACATTTCCATAATGTTTTTTGTCTGAACACAATTCTTGTTTCTCTTGAGTAAATACCTAGGAGTATGATTTCTGGGTTGTATGTTTATAAGAAACTGCCAAAACTGTTTTCCAAAGTAGCTGTACCATTTTGCATTCTTACCTGCAAATGTATGAAGAGTTCCGGTTGCCCTGTATCCTCCCTAGCACTTGATATTGTCAGGTTTTGTTTTTGTTTTTGTTTTTGTTTTTTTGAGATGGAGTCTGGCTCTGTCACCCAGGCTGGAGCGCGATCTCGGCTCACTGCAAGCTCCGCCTCCCGGGTTCACGCCATTCTCCTGCCTCAGCCTCCTGTGTAGCTGGGACTACAGGTGCCCGCCACCACGCCCGGCTAATTTTTTTGTATATTTAGTAGAGACGGGGTTTCACCATGTTAGCGAGGATGGTCTCGATATGCTGACCTCGTGATCCGCCCGCCTCGGCCTTCCAAAGTGCTGGGATTACAGACGTGAGCCACCGCGCCCGGCCTCAAGTTTTTTTTTTTTTTTTTTTGCCACCTTAATAAGTATATGGTGGTAGCTTCTTCTGGTTTTAATTTCCTTGTCCCTAATGACTAATGGTTCTGAGCCTCTTTTTATGTGCATCTTTTGATTTGCCATCTGTATATCATTGTTTATGGAAAAATACTAAAATCTTTTTTTTTTTTTTTTGAGACAGAGTCTTGCTCTGTTGCCCAGGCTGGAGAGCAGTGGCACAGTCACCACTCACTGCAGCCGCCACCTTCTGGGTTCAAGCCATCCTCCCACCTCTCGGCCTCCCAAGTAACTGGGATTGCAAGTGCGCACCACCACACCTGGCTAGTTTTTTTTTTTTTAATAGAGATGGGGTTTTGATATGTTGCCCAGACTGATTTCGAATCCTGGGCTCAAGCGATCTGCCTGCCTCGGCCTCCCAAAGTGCTGAGATTACAGGCATGAGCCACCATGCCTGGCCAAGATACCAAAATCTTTATTTAAGATGTTTAATTGGGTTGCTTTCTTTATTGTTATTCTTCTTTTATTTAATTAATTAATTTATTTATTTATTTGAGACGGAGTCTCGCTGTGTCGCCAGGCTGGAGTGCAGTGGCGCGATCTTGGCTCACTGCAAGCTCCCCCTCCCGGGTTCACACCATTCTCCTGCCTCAGCCTCCCAAGTAGCTGGGACTACAGGCACCCGCCACCACGCCCAGCTAATTTTTTGTATTTTTAGTAGAGACGGGGTTTCACCATGTTAGCCAGGATGGTCTTGATCTCCTGACCTCGTGATCCTCCTGCCTCGGCCTCCCAAAGTGCTGGATTACAGGCGTGAGCCACCACGCCAGGCCTCTTTTATTTTTTTAGACAGAGTCTCCTTCTTTCACCCACGCTGGAGTGCAGTGGCATGATCTTGGCTCACTGCAGCCTGTCATTCCCCCCGACCCCAGGTTCAAGGTGATCCTCCCACCACCTCAGCCTCCGAAGTAGTTAGGACCACAGATGCATGCCACCATGTGTGGCTAATTTTTGTATTTTTAATAGAGATGGGGTTTCGCTATGTTGCCCAGGCTGGTCTTGAACTCCTGAGCTCAAGCAATCTGCCTACCTTGGCCTCCCAAAGTGCTGGGATTACAGGCATGAGCCACCATGCCTGGCCAATTTCTTACTATTGGGTAGTAAGAGTTCTTTATATATTTTGGATATAAGTGCTTTGTTAGGCTGTGTGATGTTCATACATTTTCTCCCCATCTGTGCCTTGTTGTTCATTGTCTTAGCGGTGTCTTTTTCCCAGAGCATAAGTTTTAAATTTTGATGAAGTCTGATTTACCACATTTTTTCTTTTACACATTTGGTGTTCATCTAACAACTTTACCTAACCCAGACCTTGCCAGACTTTTTCTGTAAAAGGTCAGATAGTAAATATTTCAGCCTTGCTGTCCCTGTTGCAGCTCTGCCATTGTAGCAATGAAAGCAGCCATAGACAATATGTAAATGAATAATAGCTGTTCCAATAAAACTTTATGAACACTGCAGTTTGAATTTCACATAATTTACAAATTATCAATTATATTGTTTTGATTATTACAAAAACAGGTAGTGGATTGGCCATGGTTTGCTGATTCCTGGCCTGACAAACCCAAGTTCACAAAGAGTTTCCTCTTTGATTTTGTTGTGGTCGTTGTTCCACACCTTCTTTTTTCACTGTTTCCTTAAGGTAGAGTGTACATATTTATAAGGGTACATGTAATATTTTGATAGATTCATACAGTGTGTAATGATCAAATCAGGTTAATTAGGGTATCCATCATCTCAGATGTTTATCCTTTTTTTTTGTATTGGGAAGATAACAAATGTTCTAGCTATTTTAAAATATACACTAAGTTATTGTTGACTCTAGTCACCCTACTGTGCAAACAAAAACTAAAACGTATTCCTTCTATCTGACTGAATTTTTATGCCCATGAATCAACTTGTCTTCATCCCTACCTGCTTCCCAGCCCCCGGTAACCATCATTCTACTGCCTATCTCCATGAAATCAACTTCTTAGTCTCTCGTATATGAATGAGAATATGTGATACTTGTCTTTCTGCCCTTGGCCTATTTCACTTAACATAATGTCCTCCAGTTCTATCCATGTTGCTGCAAACAGATTTTATTTTCCAAACCTTAAGCTTTATAGATGACTTCACTTTTTAAATGGCTGAATAATATCCTCTTGTGCATATATACCTCATTTTCTTTGATTTTTCTTTCTTTCTTTTTAAATAGAGATGAGTTCTCACTATACTGCCCAGGCTGGTCTTGAATTTTTTTGCTCAAGCAATCCTCCTGCCTTGGCCTCCCAAAGTGCTGGGATTCCAGGCTAAACCACTGTGCTCCTTTATGCATTTTTTTGTTTTTGTTTTTAAAGACAAAATCTTGCTCTGTTGCCCAGGCTGGAGTGCAGTGGTGCGATCTTGGCTCACTGAAGCCTCCACCTCCCAGGTTGAAATTATTCTCGTGCCTCAGCCTCCCAAGTAGCTGGGATTACAGGCGCCCACCACCACGCCCAGCTAATTTTTGTATTTTTAGTAGAGATGAGGTTTCACCATGTTGGCCAGGCTGGTCTCGAACTCCTGACCTCGGGTGATTCATCTGCCTTGGCCTCCCAAAGTGATGGGACTACAGGCATGAGCCAGTGCACCCAGCCCCTTTGTGCACTTTTAAAAACAAATCTTAGAATTTGTGATACATGTTTTATTTTCATTTTCATTTGGTTCACAATATTGTAAAATTTCTACTATGACTTACTCTTTGACCCATGATTTGTTTTAAAACGTATTGTTTAATTTTCAAACATTTAGGGATTTCCCAGACATCTTTGTTGTTGGTTTCTAATTTAATTCCATTATGGTTAGGGAACATACTCATTATGATGAATTAAAAAAAATGTAGAGGTTTGTATATGGCCTGAAACATTGTTTGTTTAGGTCAATGTTCAGTTTGTAATAGGAAAGATGTGTTCTGCTGCCGTTAGGTAAAGTGTTTCATAAATAATAATTAGGTCAAGTTGGTTGATCGTGTTAAGGTCTTCCCTATCCTTGCTGATTTCCTGTCTGCTTGTTCTAGTGATTACTGAGAAAGGAGTGTTGAAGTCTGCAACTATTGTTATGGGTTTGTTCTCTTTCTCCTTGAAATTCTGTCTGTTTATGCTTCCTGTATTTTGAGGCACTGTTATTAGATGCAGAAACATTTACAGTTTTGTCCTCGATTATTTGACCCCTTTGTCATTCTGAAATAACCTTTATTTCTGGTAATAATAATTATATTAAAAACCATTATTTGGCCAGGCATGGTGGCTCATGCCTGTAATCCCAGCACTTTGGGAGGCCGAGGCGGGTGGATCACCTGAGGTCAGGAGTTCGAGTCCAGACCGGACAACATGGCGAAACCCCATCTCTACTAAAAAGAGAAAAATAGCCTAGTGTGGTGGCACACGTCTGTAGTCCCAGCTACTCAGAAGGTTGAGGCAAGATAATCACTTGAATCCAGGAGTTGGATATTGCAGTGAGCCGAGATCACGCCACTGCACCCCAGCCTGGGAAGCGGAGCAAGACTCCATCTCAAAAGAAAAAAAAAAAAAAAACCCAAACAGGCCAGGTGCAGTGGCTCATGCCTGTAAACCCAGCACTTTGGAAGGCTGAGGCAGGTGAATCACCTGAGGTCGGGAGTTCGAGACCAGCCTGGCTAAGATGGTGAAACCCCGTCTCTACTAAAAATACAAAAGTTAGCCAGGCACGGTGGCAGCTGCCTGTAATCCCAAGTACTTGGGAGGCTGAGGCCAGAGAATTGCTTGAAGCCGGGAGGCAGAGGTTGCAGTAAGCCAAGATCATGCCATTGCACTCTAGCCTGGGTAACAGAGCAAGACTCCATCTCGGGGGAAAAAAAAATTATTTAATATTAATATAAAATTAGTGTTCTATATTAGTAGTATAATACTGTTTTTGACTAGTGTTAAAATGACATCTTTCTCTACCCTTTTGCTTTTAATCTAGATATCATGATATTCATTTATTTTTTAATTTGTAAAAATAGAGATGGGGTTTCGCCATGTTGCCCAGGCTGGTCTTGAATTCCTGGGCTCAAGCCACCTGCCCACCTCAGCCTCCCAAAACGCTGGGATTATAGGCGTGAGCCACCATACTTGGCCATATCATTATATTTTCAAATGGTTTCTTGTTTTTTCGTTTTTCTTTTAAATGTAATCTGACAGCGTCTTTTAATTAATGTGTTTTGGACCATTTACATTTAATATGATTGATAATGATTGGATTTAGGTTTCCTTTTTATTATTTGTTTTCTGATTATTTCTTTTTTGGGGGGTTTCTTCTGTTTCTTTTTTCTGCCTATTTTTGGATTAACTGAATATTTTTTAGTGTTATGTTTTATTAATTGGCTTTTGGTTATATCTGTGCTATGTTTTTGCTGTAGGAATTACAAAATATATACCTAACCTGCCTACTTAGAGTTAGCATTTTACCTCTAAATAAAATGTAAAAGTATTGCAAACATATAGGTTTCTTTATTCTAGCCCCCCCTTATAATTGTATGTATGTGTGTGTGTGTATGTGTGTATATATCTATATACACTTTCAATGTATGTAGATAGATATGTATCTATACTTTCAATGTATATCTACATGCATACATTGTGTATGTATGTAGACGTATATCTACATACATTGAAAGATATATATCTACATACATATACAATGCATGTATGATACCTTTGACTACTACATCCTTCTTAAATTTCCTGTTGCCACTTATGACCCGATTTCCTTGACCAGTTATTCCTCCTTCAAACATCCCTCTTACACGTGATAGTCCTCAGCATTTAGTTTCCCCAACTTTACCCTAATTAACAGTTGACTCAATTACCACCAAAATATCGATGACTTTTTTGAGACAGAGTCTCACTCTGTCACCAGGCTGGAGTGCAGTGGCATGATCTTGGCTCACTGCAACCTCTGCCTCCTGAGTCCAAGTGATTCTCCTCCCTCAGCCTCCCGAGTAGCTGGGACTACAGGTGTGTGCCAACACACCCAGCTAATTTTTGTATTTTTAGTAGAGACGGGGTTTCACCATGTTGGCCAGGATGGTTTCAATCTCTTGACCTTGTGATCAGCCTGCCTCAACCTCCCAAAGTGCAGGGATTACAGGCATGAGCCACCACGCCCGGCCAAAATATCAATGACTTGTAGATCCATTTTCCTACCTAGACCTCTTTGCTAAACTCCAGATATATATTTCCAACTGCCTGTGCTGTCCGCGATAAACTCCACATTGTAGGAAATAGAAAGGAGTTATAAAAGTTTAGGTTCAAAGCAAAATTTAAAAACTCATAAATGAGACAAAATTTTGTGATGATAAAGGCTATGGTCCACAATGAAGATATGAAAGTAATGAACCTTTCTATAAAACGTATATGTGATAGAGCCAGTCCCCAACTTTAAGCCTTTCAGCGATTCAAGTAACTACAGAACATCTTTAAAGTACTGAGAGAAATGTCAATCCAGAATTCTATATCCAGCAAAAATACCCTTTAACAATTAAGGCAAAAAGAAAAAGAAGAAAGACATTTTGGATGAAGAAAATCTAAGAGAATGTGTTGGCGGAAGTTCTGCTCTAAAATAAAAGTAAAAGAAGGTCTTTAGGCCAAAGGAAAATTATGCCAGTGGTAATACTAGAACTTCAGAGATAAAGAGCAGCAGAAATGGTATCTGGGAAAATTTAAAAACGCAAACGGTTGTTTCTCCTCTTAAGCTCTTTAAAATATGTATAGTGGTTGAAAGCAAAAGTTAAAACACTGGTGAGACTTTCAATGTATGTAGATATACGTATATATAGATACATATATCTATATACATGTAGAGGTAATGTAGTTATTTTATGGAGCTGATCTGAGGATAAAATGAAATAATGCATTTTAAAGTGCTTAGCACAATGTCTGGCAAATAGAAAGCACTCTATAGGCCAGGCATGGTGGCTCACGCCTGTAATCCCAGCACTTTGGGAGGCCTAGGCACGTGGATCACTTGAGGTCAGGTATTTGAGACCAGCCTGGCCAACATGGTGAGACCCCGTCTCTACTAAAAATATAAAAATTAGCCGGGTGTGGTGGTGGGCTCCTGTAATCCCAGCTACTTGAAGTGAGGCAGGCGAGTGGCTTGAACCTGGGAGGTGGAGGTTGCAGGGAGCCAAGATTGCACCACTGCACTCCAGCCTGGTCGACAGAGCAAGACTCCAGCTCAAAAAAAAAAAAAATGGGGGACAATGTTACACTTCTTCCTTCTAGAAACATACATTTTATAGAGAGTTGTTTTTTGAAGTCTAGAAGTCTGAAAACGTAGGAGTCAACTCTGAAAAATCTACAGTGGTTTCTGGGGTTTAATCTTGGCATGACTTTACCCCTGCATCTCTGCCCTCTGCAGGTAGTTTTGTTTATGGGTGTCATTGGTTGAATAAATAATTGTTTTAGTTGCTACAATAAATAAAACATGATCTGTGCTCTAAAGGAGTCCACAGTTGAGCCAGGGGGGCATGAGTAATTGCCTGTAATATAATTGTGCTCACGCTGTCATGGAGGACCGTACAAAGTGTCAGAAGCACAGTGCCAGGAGGCACAGCAAAGGGTAGTAGAGGTGACATTTGAGCCAAGCCTTGAAAACTGTCTAGGATTTCTCAGCATTTCAGCAAAGTAAGGCAATTTCTGTCTAAAATATATAGGCAACGTTTTTATTAAAAATACGAGAAATTAATTAAATAACAGATTATGACCACAATGCAGATTTAAAAACTAAGGTATGATGAGTGCCATTGACCGGTTCATCCAGACAGTTCAGAGAACAGAACATCCATGTAGATCCTTCTTGTATTACAGAATACAAAGGAGCGGAAAATTTTGCCTCAGTAACTGCCAGGTCATTCTAATTAAAGTACCTATACATTGTAATATAATTCCTCCATTAAGGTAACAGCCAATCAGGTGGTACAGAGTCTGTGCCATTCAGTCAAGAAATTCACTCCCTTAACCTAGACTGTGCTGGAAATTCATTGACAAATTTTGTTCTTTGGTTCTCCATTTTTCTTCAGAATTCATGCAGACCACTTGACTTCCTTAGCATTTTCTTTTGTGGGCGTATATTAATGTCTTTGGTTAAGCTTCAGCTTCCGTTTGCATCAATCCTGTTGTAATCGTGCCTCCTGAGGCATCTTTTTGCTTCCCTTGCATCAGTTTCCAAAATCCTACTTTCTGCTTGGTAAGGGGAGTATCCATTTTCTTTAAAGCAGTGGTTTTCAAACTTGCCTGCACATCAGAATTATTTGGGGAGAAGGATAAAAATACAGATTACTGAGCTTCACCTGGGATTCTGTAGATTTGAGTTGCATTTGGGATTACTTTAAACAATTTACCAGATGATTTTTGCGGCACCTCCACTTCAGTTTTAGGAAGGACTGTTTCAAGGCAGCTTTTCAAACTTTAATGACCATAGAAATCACCTGAAGATTGTGAGAAACTGCAGTTCCTAATTTAGTAGGCCTGCGTTTAGGCCTGAGGTTCTGAATTTCTCTGAAACGTGATAATAGCAAATCCCTCGTTGAGTAGCAAGGTTGTTTTTTGTTTTTTTCTTTTTTTTCCAATATCTTCATGACATTCAATGAGTAGCAGAGTTCGAAGATAACTTCTGGAATTTCATCTAATGTGTATTAATTTTTACTCATCTGGATCTTAGGGGAAATAACCTATCAGGTTATAGGGAAGTGTTTCTCAAAGTATGGTTCCCCAAACAGCACAATCTGGGAATTGTTAGAAATGCAAGTTCTCGGCTGGGCACTGTGGCTCATGCCTGTAATCCCAGCACTTTGGGAGGCTGAAGCGGGTGGATCACCTGAGGTGAGGAGTTTGAGACCAGCCTGGCTAACATGGTGAGACCCCGTCTCTATTAAAAATACAAAAAAAATTAGCTGGGCATGGTGGTGGTACTTCTTAAAATTTTTTTAGAGACAGAGTATCCCTGTGTTGCCCAGGCTGGTCTCTAAATCCTGACCTCAAGCAATCCTCCTGCCTCAGCCTCTTAAGTAGCTAGGTACAAGCCACCATGCCCAGCTATATTGACTTGTTTTTGAGACGGAGTCTCTGTTGCCTAGGCTGGAGGGCAGTGGTGCGATCTTGGCTCACTGCAACCTCCGCCTCCCGGGTTCACGTGATTCTCCTGCCTCGGCCTCCTGAGTAGCTGGGACCACAGGCATGCACCACCATGCCTGGCTAATTTTTGTATTTTAGTAGAGATGGAGTTTCACCATGTTGGCCAGACTGGTCTTGAACTCCTGACCTCAAATGATCCACCCCCGCCTTCGCCTCCCAAAGTGCTGAGACTACAGGTGTGGGCCACCACGCCTGACCATATATTTACCTTTATGTGAATTTAAGATGTGTGGGTGTGACCAAGTCGTCTGCCGGCTGTTATATAAAGGAGACTTTATCATCAACATGCTCATCATCAGTCACAAACTGCCTATTTGGAACTCCCTTCAGTTCTCAGAGGATGGAAACATTCTTTAAGCGGCCTTGTAGAAATCCTATTCCATGTTAACATGCCAACCAATTTTACTTTCCCAGAGCCACAGAAGGATATCTCATTGTATGCCTCAATTCAATCACCTTTCCATTTTCAAGGACCGATTTCAATTCCTGATTGGCTACTTGATCTGACTGCTTCCTGCTAATCTTGTTGCCTATTGTCTATATATATTCCATTTCTCATTGAATTAACCTTGATCAAATCTGAGAACTCTGCTTAGTAATGACTCCAGGTATACTATACCCACTTTTGTAGCTTATTCAACACCCTCTTCAATCCTGGTTCCACTTCCTGTGACTGAAATGATTACCTGTGGAATATTCTTCAACTTTTGGACTATGATGTGTTTCTAACCTGTGACCATTTCACATAGCCACTCAAATATGGTAAAGGTACGGTAAAGATGATGAAACAGTTACTTGGTATCATTTTGTAAGTAATGAGTTTTTAGTGTGCTTTGGACCTTGAGACCACTTCATAAGCTTTAGATTTTGAGAATTTCACAGCATAAAGCTCATCGCTGATGCAGTAATGAAGGAAATGTTCTACAAGTTAATAGATGAGTGAGAGGAGAGGGCATTCATATTAGATTTATTTACTTACTGAACTCAGAGCCTTGGGTTACTACTTGACCCCCACTGTTATCTAGTTTAAGGGTCCTTTTATTTTTTGTTTTTTTGAGGTGGAGTTTCACTCTTGTTCCCCAGGCTAGAGTGCAATGGCCCGGTCTCTGCTCACTGCAATCTCCGCCTCCCAGATTCTCCTGTCTCAGCCTCCCAAGTAGCTGGGATTATAGGTACCCACCACCACGCCCTGCTAGTTTTTGTATTTTTAGTAGAGACAGGGTTTCACCATATTGGTCAGGCTGGTCTCGAACTCCTGACCTCAGGCAGTCTGCCCACCTCAGCCTCCCAAAGTGCTGGGATTACAGGCATGAGCAACTGCTCCTGGCCTTAAGTGTTCTTTTCTACTTTAGCACATGCACCTAGTTCCTGTCTTTTTTGGTTTTTATAAATACAGAAAAGAGAATAATGTTTTAAAATCAAGGAAAGGCCTAAGGCATCTGTGAGGGTTTTTTGTTTTTGTTTTTGTTTCAGTGAAATGAAGGGAAATGGTCGCCAGCAAGAACTGTGGCAACGTTATCCAAGGTGACAACTGTCTGTACCACCCAGGGGCTCAGAGCCCTTCTGAAGTTTCCTAGATGTTCCGAAAGTCTCCACTGTGACTCATGATACAGGCTGGTCTCCGTGGTAGCACTCAACGTTTAAAAATTAGTCTTCATTGCCAGGCGTGGTGGCTCACGCCTGTAATCCCAGCACTTTGGGAGGCTGAGGTGGGTGGATCCCGATGTCAGGAGATGGAGATCATCCTGGCTAACACGGTGAAACCCCATCTCTACTAAAAATACAAAAAATTAGCCGGCAGTGGTGGGGGGGCACCTGTAGTCCCAGCTACTCTGGAGGCTGAGGCAGGAGAATGGCGTGAACCCGGGAGGCGGAGCTTGCAGTGAGCCGAGATCGTGCCACTGCACTCCAGCCTGGGCGACAGAGGGAGACTCCGTCTCAAAAAAAAAAAAAAAATAGTCTTCATTTCTCCTTCCCAACAAGCATTTCTCTTTCTCTTCAGTGGGAAAAAGTAATTTCATTTTTTACTTGCTCATTGTTTTATTCATTCACTCAATCAACAGATCATCTATCCTGTATTGTATGCCAAGAACTGTGCTTTGTTCTGGGAATGAAAAAAGAATAAGATATGTTTTCCTCTGGCACTTATGGAGCTTATAAACCAGTGACAGAGGAAGGTGCATAAACAAATCAACAAAGAATTAACTTTACTATTCTTATTAATTTCTAATACAATAAATTTGACTATTTGTATCATTTGAGTTTCATGAATATAATCATATTCTACACTTACAAAATGAAATAGACATAAGAAAGAACTGGTGATGTAAGAAATTCACAGAAATGTGTAAAATATTTCAAGAATTAACACTCAGTAGATATTTGCATTGTCAAAGAAGCTTATAAATGCAGATGAACCTCTAGTTGTTTTAGTTGCTTGTAAAATGTATAGAGGTATGTGTATTTCCTCTTTAAGCAGGGGTAACTTGGGGTGGGGGATGGGTGGGTTCATCTTATCTATTCTTCAGGTCATGTTCTCAAGAAGGAGCTACTGAATGGGAAGACTGAAACAATTTCTTTTCTTTGCACAGTTGGTATTGATAAATCTCAGGTGTATCCAAAATAAAATCTCTGGCAGGCTGTGATATTTGTGGGTCTGTCTCTTGTGACTTTAGGTTCCTCTTGGCAGCAGACATAAGGCAGTTGCACATCAGGCCCTTGCCTGAAACAGCTCCTGATGCCAAGAACTGGTGAATTACTACTTTGGTTTCAATGGATGGTCAGAAAGGATCATCAGGATAAACTTTGTGGATTTTCTCTCACTAACCACGCTCTCCTTTCAACATTGAAATTCTAGACTTTAGACAGAAGTATTGAACTGGGTTACAGGGAGGGGATGTGAGAGGCCCCCTGCCATTGAGGATAAGTGGACATGTCTGAATTGGCCTGCTACCTAAAATTAATAATCTCAATCACTTGGATGGTGGTGTCCATAATTTTCTCCACTGTTTGTGTGGCATATAATAAGTAATGGTTGCACCTAGCAATTCATTTACAAATCTTACTTGATTTTGAAGCCATAGAACACCTCAACTGTTAGCTTGAATGACTGGAGTTTAGTTTTTATTTCTCAGAACAAAACAGTTTGAAGCCTAATTAACATCCTCGGAAGGAACTTAACACTAAAACTCCTAACAGCTTCAGTTTTCTGACCTTGAAGAAAGGGAAAATGAAGAGACCATGGTGCCACTTCCGAAGCAAAGCCTGAAGTTCTGTGCTTTAGAGGTGGTGTTGCCATCCTATGATTGCAGGAGTCTGGCCTTGGCTTGGTGGAGGAGCCTGTGGATAAGGCGAAGGAAGGTCTGTTTTCATTGGGGGTAGAGGAGGGTAAGGAGTTGAAATGGGAAGGATCTCTTTTTTCTTGCTGTCTAAAACTTGTCTTTTCAGACACATATCAAGCCTTTCCCTCTCTGAGCTACTGAAGTCCTGGGCAGAGGTTTTCTGTCTTACAATACAGACTTTTACCTTAGGCAATACCTGACAGAGCCTTTAAATAAGTAAATAAATTGCTTTAATAAATTGATTTAATACATTGATTTATTAATTAATAAATTTATTTAATAAATTGATTTATTAATTAACTAATTTTGAGAGAGAGTCTTGCTCTGTCACCAGGCTGGAGTGCAGTGGCGTGATCTCGGCTCACTGCAACCTCCGCCTCCCGGGTTCAAGGCATTCTCCTGCCTCAGCCTCCTGAGTAGCTGGGATTACAGGCGCCCACCACCACACCCAGCTAATTTTTGTATTTTTAGTAGAGATGGGGTTTCACCATGTTGGCCAGGATGGTCTCGATCTCCTGACCTCGTGATCTGCCTGCCTTGGCCTCCCAAAGTGCTGGGATTACAAGTGTGAGCCACCCCACCCGGCCAGAACCTTTAAATTTAAAATTGTACAGTGTACTTCCTGCCAAGAAGCGTAGGAGGAAGAAGGAAGTAATGTTTTTCCAGTTTTCGGTTAAGAACTTGCTTTGTATTAAAATAGTCCTTCAAGTCTACAGCCATACCACCCTGAACGCGCCCAATCTCGTCTAAAATAGTCCTTCAAATATGTATCTCTTATAGCCTTCAGTTATCCCAACAAAATTATCTAAAGATTTGTTTATCTATTTATTATTATTTTTTAGAGACAGGGTCTTGCTCTGTTGCCCAGGCTAGAGTGCAGTAGCATGCTCATAGCTCATTGCAACCTCAAACTGCTGGGCTCAAGGGATCCTCCCACCTTAGCCTCCTGACTAGCCAGGACTACAGGCGTGTGCCACCACATGTGGCTAATTATTTTTTCTGGAGATGGGGTCTTGCTGTGTTGTCCTGCCTGGTCTCAAACTCCTGGCCTCAAGTGATCCTCTTCCCCCAGGATCCCAAGGTGCTGGAGTTATAGGCATGAGCCACCCACCATGCCAAGTCATCATGTAAAGATTTACAGAAAGTTTTGTGTAAACATTGTCTTTTTTTTTTTTTTGAAGCAGAGTCTTGCCCTGTCGCGCAGGCTGGAGTGCAGTGGTGTGATCTCGGCTCACTGCAACCTCCACCTCCCAGGTTCAAGTGATTCTCCTGCCTGACACTCCTGGGTAGCTGGGATTACAGGCATGCACCACCATGCCTGGCTAATCTTTGTATTTTTAGTAGAGATGGGGTTTCATTGTGTTGGTCAGGCCGGTCTCAAACTCCTGACCTCGTGATCCATCTGCCTTGGCCTCTGAAAGTGCTAGGATTACAGGCATGAGCAACTGCGCCCGGCCCATTCAGCCTTTTTTTTACTCGTAGAAGGGCTTCAGTGGAACAAGAGTCTACTAGAGATACTAGAAAGGGTACTCAATTGATAACTGACGTTGAGATTTTTTTCTAGTATTCATGGCCCTCAGGCTTAGGGTTTGAAGTCAGAGGCAGGGCTGTAGGCTAATGGAGGGGAGTAGGCTTTCATGGATGATGCCCAGGGAGGAGCCAGATTATCTGTACCAAACCTTTTTTGTTTTTTTGAGACAGAGTCTTGCTCTGTCGCCCAGGCTGGAGTGCACCGGTGTGATCTCGGCTCACTGCAACCTCCACCTCCCAGGTTCAAGCAGTTCACCTCCCTCCTGCCCACCACCACACTCAGCCAATTTTTAATTTTTAAAAAATTTTTTAGTAGAGACAGGGTTTCATCATGTTGCTCAGGCTGGTCTCAAACTCCTGACCTCAAGTGATCTGCCCATCTTGGCCTCTCAAAGTACTGGGATTACAGATATGAGCCACTGTGCCTGGCCTCTTTTTGAAAATAGTCTTACTCTGTCACCCAGGCTGGAGTGCAGTGGAATGATCTCGGCTCACTGCAACCTCCGCCTCCCGGTTCAAGCTATTCTTGTGCCTCAGACTCCCAGGTAGCTGGGATTACAGGTGTGTGCCACCACACTCGGCTAATTTTTGTATTTTTAGGAGAGATGGGGTTTCACCACGTTGGCTAGGCTGTTCTTGAACTCCTGGCCTCAACCCGCCTTGGCATCCTAAAGTGCTGGGATTACAGGCATGGGCCACCGTGTCCAGCCAACAAAGCTTTTTTTCAGTGAGTGATTCCAGCCCTTGATGCATAGGAGGGTGGGGTCCATAGGAGTGTAGCCTTAACTGATGAATTAAATCTCTGGGTGATGTGAGATATGTGCCAGGTTCTTGGCTTATGTCTCCCTCTAGTACTTTAGGAACTTCCCAACTAGATGGAGGCAGTAAAAATGGGCCCTGCCAGGATGTACCTATAACAGAGACGTTCAACCATACCCTTGTGCTGTCTGCCTTTAATCACGAAGATTATGAGCTAAGATTCGTGGATGCATTTTTATTTTTTAACCAACATGTAGCAATGATCACTCAGATAGGCATCTTAAATCCATTAGTTTGGGTTGGATTTAAGACCGTTGTCATTCCTATGAAAGGGAAGATAGCCCAGATTGCTATTGAGAAGGCTTTGTCAGATGCATTCCAGAAACTGTTGATTGTGGTTCTAGGTAAAACTTTCTTAATCGTCGTTGAAGTACTTCAGTTTCAGTGAGCAAATAAACTCATTTTGAAAAGTTAATTGGATAAAAATATCGATATCTAAAACACTCCCTAGGATGCTTTCATTTGCTAAGTTCTTTCACAGCGACAGGCTCAAATTTGTTCTTTGTGACATTTGTAGAAAAAATGACAGCAAATATTGTCCCTAGTTTATAGCTATAAAAGGACTTGCCTCAGGTCACACAGAAAATGTTTGAGGCAGGTCTTCTTTAATTGCATGCCTATCGTACAGAATAGTGATTATAAGCCCTGGACACATGGATTTGAGTCCTAACTCTGTCTCTTAGATTTTTGTATGCAGTTTTAGGTCTTATGGCCAGAGAGATTTGAAGATATTTAATATCTCTAAGCTGCAATCTTTATCTGCAAACTGGGGTTAGTAATCCAATCAACCTTATTGCTGATATTGTAAGAAAAAATGAGATGACAAGTGTAAAAACTCAGAACTATACTTACAAGGTAAGCAGACAAAATATGCTATTGTTGTGATTGTTTTCTCTCTGAATAAATAAACTCTGCTGAAGAATTTATTAGATTATGTTTCTCGAATCGAGAATTCAGTTCCAGCTCTCATTTCTGGCACTGACATATTGGCCAAATATGATTCTTATACAATAATCAGCTGCTTTGCTGTGAGCCTTGGAAGTGGTCATGCTGTTGAATGGCACTGCTTGTATTTCCTATTCAGTTCTACAGTGGCACAAATGTCATAGCCTGTGCCCAAAGGAAACCTGGTGTTTAACGAGTCCCTGAACAGAGTTGCCTTTCTGCTTCACAACCCTGAAGGCTTAGAGACTGAGATTGTAATTAAGTTACTACAGACCTTTATTTGCTTGTAAGAGGTGGCCCTGATTGCTCTCAGCTTTCCAACCTGGGCAGCCCTTCTAGTGAAAGTCTTACTTCCTTGGTCATCAACTGTCAAGTCTGAGTAATGACATTTAATAACCAAGCTAAATGTGTGGGTTGTCTACCCCTCCCTAGTATGCAAAGGTATCCCTTGCACACACTCACTTCTTAGACCAAAAGCCTTATAGTTCTAGTTTGCCTTGAAGGAAATTGTATTGTCTATAGAGTATGTGGGCCATTTTCTGCCCGTAAAATGTTCAAATGTTTTCTCTCTCTAAAGCTTTGTTCATTGTATCTGGTGGAATTTTGGTTCTCAGGGAGTAGACACCTAGCCATGCTTCTAATGTGAAGTGTCTACTAGCCCAGTGGTCTCTATTTTGGATTTGAACTTACTTCGACCCCCCACCTGGTGCCTTACCTTTTAATCATGTTATGATTGAACATTTTTATTTCCACATTTTTTATTTCTTACGTTATTATTCCTTAGTTCCTATCTGTAAGATCATAAAGTCCTTTGAACCAAACACAGTTGATATTTCATACATATGTTAAAAACTGAGCTGTGAGACCAGACATGATGACTCACGCTTGAAATCTCAGCATTTCGGGAGGCCAAGACAGAAGGATCACTTCAAGCCAGGAGTTCGAGACCAGCCTGGAAAACAAAGCGGGACCATGTCTCTAAAAAAGAGAATTAGACGGGCACAGTGATATAGTGCCTGCTACTCTGGAGGCTGAAGCAGGAGGATGACTTGAGCCCAGGAATTCCAGGCTACAGTGAGCTATGATAGTGCCACTGTACTCCAGCCTGGGTGACAGAGTGAGACCCTGTCTAAAAGAAAAAAGAAAAACAAAAATCGAAGTGTATGATGAAGAGATGAGGAAACTTTCAGGAAAATGCTTATTTCCTGCTTTTAGAAACTAAAAGAATGTCTCATTGTGGGTTGCTACCATTATATGCAGGAAGTTTTGGAATGAAAAAGATTCTGAATTCATCCTTGCTAACTTTATTTCAGAAAGTGGTAAAATAGCTATGGAGTACAGACCCAGTGAAGAGATTGTAGATGTCAGATGGGAAGAAGAACTACACGGTTTAATATAAGTATGTGGAGATAAAAACTCAAAGGTAACAGGGCCGGGCACAGTGGCTCACACCTGTAATGCCAGTGCTTTGGGAGGCTGAGGCGGGTGGATCACCTGAGGTCAGGAGTTCAAGATCAGACTGACCAACATGGAGAAATGGTGGCACATGCCTGTAATCCCAGCTACTCGGGAGGCTGAGGCAGGAGAATCGCTTGGACCCGGGAAGCGGAGGTTCCGGTAAGCCAAGATCACACCATTGCACTCCAGCCTGGGCAACAAGAGTGAAACTCTATCTCAAAAAACAAACAGGCCAGGCGCTGTGGCTCACACCTGTAATCCCAGCACTTTGGGAGGCCGAGGTGGGTGGATCATGAGGTCAGGAGTTCAAGACCAGCCTGGCCAATATGGTGAAACCCTGTCTCTACTAAAAATACAAAAATTGGCTGGGTGTGGTGGTGGGCACCTGTAATCCCAGCTACTTGGGAAACTGAGGCATGAAAACCACTAGAACCCAGGAGGCGGAGGTTGCAGTGAGCCGAGATCATGCCACTGCATTCCAGCCTGGGTGACAGAGCAAGACACTCTCTCGAGGAAAAAAAAAAAAAGAAAAGAAAAACAACTCAAGGGTTGGATAACATTGCCAGTATAACCATAATTCAAAACAAGCAGCAGAATTTGGAGGATAATTTGTTTAATTCTCAGGAAAATGTGAAACTCTGAAACTGCTTTTTGAGTGCAGGGTATTTCCGGGGCTTTTCCTAAAGTCTTAACCCTTGGCTCTGACCCCTTATTTGAAGTTTGGAGAGCAGAACCGAGGATTGTATTACTACAGTTGTGGACACAGGAGAGGGGTTAGTCTCCCCCCGCTCCAGGAGTAAGGGATGCTGGGCTGCTCGAACACAGGCCTTGTTAGAACTCCCTTCAAACAGGATCCCAGAGATGTGGGGAGAAGGTAACTGGCCTTAAGAATGATTGCGCTACAGCTTTTGAAAACTATAATGCCTTTCAAATATGGCTTATTGCTTGGATCTCAATATCTCCCACGTATCTTGGGTGGAATATTTTGCTGAAGATCTTTCTGTCAATCATTTACAATCATGTGCTGCAAAATGAAGTTTGCGTCAACAGTAGACCACATATATGATGGTGGTTCCGTAAGCGTATAATGGAGCTATCCCTATATAGGTATACCATTTTTATCTTTTTTTTTTTTTTTTTTTTTTTTTTTTTTTTGAGATGGAGTCTCACTCTGTTGTCCAGGCTGGAGTGCGGTGGTATGATCCCAGCTCATTGCAACCTCCACCTCCCAGGTTCAAGTGATTCTCCTACCTCAGCCTCCTGAGTAGCTGGGATTATAGACACGCGTCACCACACTCAGCTAATTTTTGTATTTTTAGTAGAGATGGGGTTTCATCATGTTGGCCAGGCTGGTCTTGAACTCCTGAGCTCAAGTGATCCACCCACCTTGGCGTCCCAAAGTGCTGGGATTACAGGCATGAGCCACTGTGCCCAGGCCCCATTTTTATCTTTTACACAGTATTTTAACTATATATTTTCCATGTTTACATACACAAATACCTGCCATTCTGTGACAGTTGCCTTTAGTATTCAGTACAGTAACATACAGTACAGGTTTGTAGCCTAGGAGTCCTAAGCCATACCGTGTACCCTAGGTATGGTGGCTACACCACCTAGGTTTGTGTAAGTATACGCTATGATATTAGCACAATGGTGAAATCACCTAGTGACCCATTTCTCAAGCTCCTCACGTGGCAAGCAATGCATGACTGCATATGAAAGCTCTTAAATAGGGATTGTTTCTAAATTAATCTCAAAACAGTCATTATTTACTATTTATGGAATTTTTTTTAAAAAAAGGAGCAAAAGTCTCATTTCAGTGGGAACTTAACTTGGGGCTACAGTGTTTTATTTAACTTTTACCCCAAAGTTGCAAAGTGTTTTGAAATTTTTCCCTGTAAAATAATTATTTTAATTCAATTTAAATAAAACCCACCAAGGAGACTTCAAGCTTTAAGAAGTCTAGCTTCCTGTGAAATGTGAGAGGAAGTCAGCACTCATTTCAGAAATCTGATTATAACAATAGCTCCATCCCTAAATGAGGTGAATCTTGGAATCTCTTCCATTTTATTTTATTTTATTTTTTTGAGATGGAGTTTCTCTCTTGTTGCCCAGGCTGAAGTGCAATGTTGTGATCTCGGCTCACTGCAACCTCTGCCTCCCAGGTTCAAGCGATTCTCCTGCTTTGGCCTCCTGAGTAGCTGGGATTGCAGGTATGCACCACCACACCTGGCTAATTTTGTATTTTTAGTAGAGACGGAGTTTCACCATGTTGGTTAGGCTGGTCTCGAACTTCTGACCTCAGTGATCCCCCCACCTCGGCCTCCCAAAGTTCTGGGATTATGGGTGTGAGCCACCACACCCGGCCCCCCTTCAATTTTAAAGCCATCACTATGCACCCTATGTCTATGCCAGGCACTAAAATAAGATGAAGCACCTTCTTGGAGTTTACATGCTGGTAATTATGCCAGACAGTAATAAAATAGGTAAGAACGGCTGTGGGGGAAGTCAGCTGGGTTCTAGTTACAGTCGCATTTCAGGAAATGATTTAACATGCTGACTTTAACAACCTAAGCCTCTTCTCCATGTGTGCACACAGGGTAGATCTCTGAACACAGGTGACCCTAGAAGTGCTGTAACTTCTAGGGGAATGGCTGTGTTGAGTCAAGGCAGGATGACAGTTCAGCCTCCTCCCAGGCTAGTGCAAAGGGCTCTTCACTCGGATTAAAACCTTCTCTCCCAGACCGAATTGCCAACTCCCAACACCCCTCCTACAGAAAATTTGGAGTCCTCGCTTATTCCCTGGCAGCCCCTACCTAATAGGGTGGTGAATTAATTATCAAACATGCGACAGTTTAGCGAAAATGGCAACACTTTGGAATAAGTGACTGTAATGTGCATCCTGGCGCCCATTTTGCAGGTCAGTTGCTCTCCCTGGAAGGAAGAGTGTTCTCGGATTTCACCTTAAAGGAGGAAGGCTGCCAGAACTGAACTAGCACTTCTGAATATCCTGAGGCGAGGTCCGGTGACTTCCTTGGGAAGCTCTGCCACGCCCCCACCCCACCCTACCCCACCCTACCCCACCACAGCAGGCGCTGGAGTCCTGGGACCACCAGGGTCTGAGGCCCAAATCCTTCCTCACTAAGGGGAGGAGAGGGGTGTTCCGGCAGGGCAGGATGGGAAGGCGTGCTTGGGCGGGATTGTGACATAAGAGTGCCCTGGTGACATGGAGCAGATCTGTGACATAAATAAAGGTGTCATAAAGACAGGGCGGGGCTCACGCTTAGAAGGGGCACGAGCGTCTCGGAGCTGCCAGAATGTCTTCTGCTCAGTGCCCGGCACTAGTGTGTGTCATGTCCCGGCTGCGTTTCTGGGGCCCATGGCCCCTCCTTATGTGGCAACTATTGTGGCTACTAGTTAAGGAGGCTCAGCCTCTGGAGTGGGTCAAGGACCCGCTCCAGCTCACCTCTAATCCCCTGGGGCCGCCTGAGTCCTGGTCTTCCCACTCCTCCCATTTCCCACGGGAATCTCCCCATGCGCCTACTCTCCCAGCAGACCCGTGGGACTTTGATCACCTGGGGCCCTCTGCTTCCTCAGAGATGCCAGCCCCACCCCAGGAATCGACTGAAAATTTGGTTCCATTCCTGGACACCTGGGATTCAGCTGGAGAGCAGCCCCTGGAGCCAGAGCAGTTCTTGGCTTCACAGCAGGATTTAAAGGACAAGCTGAGTCCACAGGAAAGACTCCCTGTTTCGCCCAAGAAGCTGAAGAAAGATCCAGCTCAGCGTTGGAGCCTTGCTGAGATTATTGGAATTGCACGCCAATTATCCACACCTCAGAGTCAGAAACAGACTTTGCAGAATGAATATTCCAGTACAGATACACCGTATCCCAGTAGCCTGCCTCCAGAACTCCGGGTGAAGTCAGATGAGCCTCCAGGGCCCTCTGAGCAAGTTGGACCTTCTCAATTCCATCTAGAGCCCGAAACTCAAAATCCAGAGACCCTTGAAGACATCCAGTCCTCTTCACTCCAGCAAGAAGCCCCAGCACAGCTTCCACAGCTCCTTGAGGAAGAACCTTCTTCAATGCAGCAGGAGGCCCCAGCTCTGCCTCCAGAGTCCTCTATGGAGAGTCTAACTCTACCGAATCATGAGGTGTCAGTTCAACCTCCAGGTGAGGATCAAGCTTATTATCACTTGCCCAACATTACAGTTAAACCTGCAGATGTGGAGGTTACCATAACTTCAGAGCCTACCAATGAGACAGAATCTTCCCAAGCCCAGCAGGAGACCCCAATTCAGTTTCCAGAGGAGGTGGAACCTTCTGCAACCCAACAGGAGGCCCCAATTGAGCCTCCAGTTTCTCCTATGGAGCATGAACTTTCCATCAGTGAGCAGCAGCAGCCAGTTCAGCCTTCTGAGTCTTCTAGGGAGGTCGAATCTTCTCTGACCCAGCAGGAGACCCCAGGTCAGCCTCCAGAACATCATGAAGTCACAGTTTCACCTCCAGGTCACCATCAAACTCATCATTTAGATTCACCCAGTGTCTCTGTGAAGCCTCCAGACGTGCAGCTCACCATAGCAGCAGAGCCTAGTGCAGAGGTGGGAACTTCTCTAGTCCACCAGGAGGCTACAGCTCGGCTCTCAGGGTCAGGTAATGATGTAGAACCTCCCGCCATCCAGCACGGGGGCCCACCTCTGCTTCCAGAGTCATCAGAAGAAGCTGGACCTTTAGCAGTTCAACAGGAGACTTCATTTCAATCTCCGGAACCTATTAATAATGAGAACCCCTCTCCAACCCAGCAGGAGGCTGCAGCTGAGCATCCACAGACCGCTGAGGAGGGTGAGTCTTCCCTAACCCATCAGGAGGCCCCAGCTCAGACTCCAGAGTTCCCTAATGTAGTTGTAGCTCAACCTCCAGAGCATTCACACCTGACTCAAGCCACAGTTCAACCTTTGGATCTGGGGTTTACCATCACTCCAGAATCCATGACAGAGGTTGAACTTTCTCCAACCATGAAGGAGACCCCAACTCAGCCTCCTAAGAAAGTTGTACCCCAACTTCGAGTATATCAAGGGGTAACAAATCCAACACCAGGTCAGGATCAAGCTCAGCATCCAGTGTCACCCAGCGTTACAGTTCAACTTTTGGACCTGGGACTTACCATCACTCCAGAACCCACTACGGAGGTTGGACATTCTACAGCCCCGAAGAGGACTATAGTTTCTCCAAAGCATCCTGAGGTGACACTTCCACATCCAGACCAGGTTCAGACTCAGCATTCACACCTGACTCGAGCCACAGTTCAACCTTTGGACCTGGGGTTTACCATCACTCCAAAATCCATGACAGAGGTTGAACCTTCTACAGCCCTGATGACTACAGCTCCTCCTCCAGGACACCCTGAGGTGACACTTCCACCTTCAGACAAGGGTCAGGCTCAGCATTCACACCTGACTCAAGCCACCGTTCAACCTCTGGACCTGGAGCTTACCATAACTACAAAACCTACTACAGAGGTTAAACCATCTCCAACCACAGAGGAGACCTCAACTCAGCCTCCAGACCTGGGACTTGCCATCATTCCAGAACCCACTACAGAGACTGGACATTCTACAGCCCTGGAGAAGACTACAGCTCCTCATCCAGACCGGGTTCAGAGTCTGCATCGAAGCCTGACTGAAGTCACAGGTCCACCTACTGAACTAGAACCTGCTCAGGATTCACTGGTGCAGTCTGAAAGTTACACCCAAAATAAGGCTTTAACTGCACCAGAGGAACAGAAGGCCTCCACAAGCACCAACATATGTGAGCTCTGTACCTGCGGAGATGAGATGTTGTCATGTATTGATCTCAACCCAGAGCAGAGGCTCCGCCAAGTGCCTGTGCCAGAGCCCAACACCCACAATGGCACCTTCACCATCTTGTAAGAATCACTTTTCCTCAATTGTCCTCTGTGTCCTGCCTGACATGGCAGCCTTTTCCTGGAGGCCTTCCTGGGCCTTCTTTATCTCCCCAAGCCATATGGACAACTGACTTTCTGCTTTCACCTTTGCTTGTCAACTCTCCCTTCTCCTCATTCTCTTTTAATGTTAGGTCCCTTCTCCAGTCTTTTCCTTTTACTCTGGTCTTTTACTCGTTTTTGTATCCATTTTTATTTAGCCCCATCACATCATTGCTTAACCGCTGCTCTCCTCCCATTTTCGCTTCACCCTCTTTACAGCAGCCTGTCCCTCTCCCGATCTCAGTGATGATGCTCTAAGTGGTTAAGAGTTGATTCCGGAGCCAGGCTGCCTGGGTTTGAACCCAGATCTATTTATTAGCTTGGTGACCCAGAGCAAGTTATTCTGCCTGTGACTCAATTTCCTCACCTTTAAACTGGGGATCATGCTAGTTAGCATTTCATAGGATTGTTGTGAAATTTAGGTGAGTGAATATATGAAACACTTCATCAGTGCTTAGCATATGTAGGAGAGTTGGCTGTTCACATGATTATTCAGTCCTTTAGTTTTGTCCAGAACTCATTTTTGTCCCTAGCTTTCTATATGTAGAACTAGTTTTATGTCAAACCCAGGGCCAAGTATGCTACTGTCTCCAGAACACGAAAATGATAGGAGGGAAGAGGCTGGGTGTGGTGGCTCACGCCTGTAATCCCAGCACTTTGGGAGGCCGAGGCGGGCGGATCATGAGGTCAGGAGATCAAGACCATCCTGGCTAACATGGTGAAACCCCATCTCTACTAAAAATACAGAAAAAAATTAGTCAGGCATGGTGGTGGGTGCCTGGAGTCCCAGCTACTCGGGAGGCTGAGGCAGGAGAATGGCGTGAACCTGGGAGGCAGAGCTTGCAGTGAGCCGAGATTGCACCACTGCACTCCAGCCTGGGTGACAGAGCAAGACTCCATCTCAAAAAAAAAAAAAAAAAAAAATGATAGGAGGGAAGAAAGAGAATAGGCATAAAAAGGGAGGTATATATAATTAAGTACTAAAAGATAATGCAGACCATTGGTGCTAGAATTTGCCAGAATCTGTGATCCTTGAGGTGTGGAGATGCTACATGGGTAAGCTAAAACTTTACTTGGGTCTTAAAGAGTAGCTATAATTTGTTAAATAGAAGAAAAATGGGAGTACAGTCTAGGCAAACGCATGGCTACAGGTATGGTTGGAATTTAGTAGACCAATGTGGCTACAAAGAATTAGGTGAGGGAGCAATGAAGATACGATTCTGTAAAACCTTGATTATCAGCTATAGGAGTTTGAAAGTTACACAATGAGGTATGGAAAGCCATTGAAAGTTTCCAAGCAAGAGAGATTACATGATCAAAACAGGAAGATTATTTTATTTTGTTTTTTGCATTATGTGCAAGTGTAGACATGCAGAGGATTGTTTTAGAATCCATATGTAAAGTGTCCAAAAGGAAAAGCTTAATTCAGGGAGACAAAATAGAAAGGTCTAGCAAAATCTAGGAGTGAAGTGTGAAGGGGCCAAATCAGATCAGTTGTAATAGGAGTGGAAAGAAAAAGCCTAGGATGTTTCAACAGAGGGCACTGGGCCAAAGCTTTGGTGTTACCTGGCATAGGGTTTCTTTCTTCTCATTTGTTGATAATGATAAGCTTTTGCCCATATTTCTGTGGAATTATTTACCATTTTGGTACTGATTTGTAGAAGTCTGTTTAGACACATAAGTGCTTTTAGATAAAATACTTACATTCAAAGTAATTAACTGGCATCATCTGTCCAAGAGATGGGATGGATAAGAAGTTAAGCTTCCAGGAGATGCCTCATCATTTGTGCCAGTGACCCCGCATAATTTCTTGATGAATTGTGCAAACTGGGAAGCTGATAGCTCTGGAAATGAGAAAGCAGGTGTTATTTTCTGTTTCTGAATATCCCCAACAAGGTTGCAATGATTCTTTTACTTATCGTGTTCATTGTTTTCCTACCTATTCAAGGATATAAACTGTGTTTCTTCACAGAAATTTCCAAGGAAACTATATTTCTTACATTGATGGAAATGTATGGAAAGCATACAGTTGGACTGAGAAACTGTGAGTATATTCTCTCCAAATATGACAAAAAGCTAACTGCATTGTAAGATCCTTCTTGGTCCAGAATTTTGAGGTCGGTACCTCTGAGGAAAGATATTTCTCCTCCATGCCCCAAATCAACCACTGTTGATTGCAATTGTATGGTCATTTTAAAATTAAATTTGGTAGGCTCTCTTTAAAATAAGAGGCAATTTAAATTTATTTTTTATCATACAAATAGTACATGGTTATATTCCTTTTTGTTCTCTTTTTTGTTTTTTTTTCAGAGACAGGGTCTTACTTTGTCCTCTGGGCTGCAGTGCAGTGGCACAATCACAGCTCACTGCAGCCTTCACCTCCCAGGCCCAAGTGATCCTCTCACCTCAGCCTCCCCAGTAGCTGGGACCACAGGTGCATGCCACCACACCCACCTAATTTTGTATTTTTTGTAGAGACAGGGTCTTCCTATGCTGCTTAGGCTGGTCTTGAACTCCTGGGCTCAAGTGATCCTCCCACTTTGGCCTCTTAAAGTGTTCATATTACAGGCATGAGCCACCACCCGCAGCCCATGATTCCATTTTTAATATATAAAAATGCAATAACAGATATAACAAAAACTCTCCTTGTGCCCTACTCCCTCATCCCTGAAGTAATGCTACTCTGCATTTAGTATACATGCTTCCAGACTTTTCCTCATTTACCTACATACATATTTACATAAAGCAAAATAGATTTGTTTTGTGGTTTTAAAATTTTTTCTTCGCATAAAGGGTAACATCTTGCAACTTAATTCTTTCACTTCATGATATGCCTTAGATTTCTTTCCTTCCCAGTACTTAGAGGGTCACCCCATTCATTTAAACTCCTGCATAATCCATAGTATGGATGCATCATGGTTTATTTAATAATTCCCCCATTGATGAATGTTTAGATTATGCTTAGTTTTCTTGTTACATGCATTGCTGCAATGAAATCCCTGTACATGCTTCTTTGTGAACATGTGCAAGTATTCCTGTAGCATAGATATCTGGAAATGGAATTCTTGGGGTGAAGACTATGTAGATATAAAATTTTAATTGCCTTCAAAAATTTTGTGCCAACTTACTCTATTGTCAGCAGAATATGACAGCATTCATTTCCCAACACCTTTTCACCGCTGGGTATTCTCCAACTTTTTGCTGAAGTTATGGATGAATAAAAGGGATTCCATCTAAATGTGAATTTTTCTGATTACTCATGAATTTAATTTAGTATCTTTATATGTTTATTGAACATTTGTGTTTCTTCTCTGAGTTTTCTGGCCTTTGTTCATTTTCCTGTTGAATTGTTTTATCATTTTCTTACTGATTTATAGAAGGAATTGGTTTAGACACATAAGTGATTTTGGAAAAAATGCTTACATTCAAAGTAACTGACATTTTTCACAACAGTTTGTGTGTCACATCATTATTTCAATGTACATAGACAAGCCACGATGAGTTCTAAATTAAAAATAAACATATGCTAGGCGCGGTGGCTCACACCTTTAATCCCAGCACCTTGGGAGGTAGGCGGATCACCTGAGGTCAGGAGTTTGAGACCAGCCTGGCCGATAGGGCGAAACCCCATCTCTACTAAAAATACAAAAAGTAGCCAGGCGTGGTGGTGGGTGCCTGTAATCCCATCTACTTGGGAAGCTGAGGCAGGAGAATGGCTTTATTTATTTTTTCAGATGGAATTTTGTTCTTGTTGCCCAGGCTGGAGTGCAATGGTGCGATCTTGGCTCACTGCAACCTCCACCTCCCGGGTTCAAGCGATTCTCCTGCCTCAGCCTCCTGGGTAGCTGGAATTACAGGTGCCCTCCATCACACCCAGCTAATTTTTATATTTTTAGTAGAGACAGGGTTTCACCATGTTGGCCAGGCTGGTCTCAAACTCATGACCGTGGGTGATTCACCCACCTTGGCTTTCCAGAGTGCTGGGATTACAGGCATGAGCCACCACGCCAGGCCAGAACTACATTTTAAAAACAAGAAAATTATTACAAAGGTCAGGATAGTGGTTACCTATTAGGGTTAGAGAGAGGGATATGATTGGAAAGGGGCACACTGGGGCTTCTGGCATGCTAGCAATGATCTTTTGTAACGATGTTTACATGGGTATCTGCTTCATAATTATTAAACTGAATATTTTGGCCAGGTGAGGTGGCTCATGTCTGCAGTCACAGCACTTTGGGAAGCAGACACAGGAGGATCACTTGAGCCAGGAGTTTGAGACCAGTCTGGGAACAGAGTGAGACCCTGTCTCAAAAATTAAATTAAATTAAATATAAACAACATTTATGTTATGTGCACTTTATGCACATTATAGTTCTCCAATTTTTTTGATGGGGGGAAAAAGGTTGAATGGCTTCACTTGCAGCCCTGACATGGTTCCATGTGGGGCTTTCATAATAAGGTTTGGGAAAAGAGAGGAGGAAATGGAGGTTCTGCTGATCTTGGTGCCACCCAGAGTTGGATTCTAAAAGGGATTTTGTGATCTAGAGAGGAGGCATGAAATAATAGAATTTGGTGGGAAGAAACCCACTCTTCAAGGGGTGTGCTTGAGTGTGTGTGTGTGTGTTTGTGGTGGTGGTGGAGAGAGATGGACACAAAAAGGAAAATATAAGAAAAGGTTTGAATGAAAGCAGAGCAGATCCCACCATCTTGAAGTGACCATGACCCAGCTTTCCTCCACATGCAGGAGATGGTTCTGTGTAGCAAATAGTTGTAGTTTGCATTTTAATCTAGAAATAACTTCTTCATTTTCCAGAATTCTCAGAGAAAATAACTTGACTGAATTACACAAGGATTCATTTGAAGGCCTGCTATCCCTCCAGTATTTGTAAGTTAGTTAATTATATTTATGAGTTTTTAGTCATATTATCTGTAAAATGAATAAGGGGTTCAAATTAGATAATCTCTCAGATTTCTTTGAGCAATAAAATTCTGCAATTCTGTAAGTTTGTATAGGGTCTCAGCCCATCTCTAGCACTAGCTACCTCCTGTGCATTTTCAGTTTTTAAGTTATATAGACAAAATACAGACAAAAACATTTCACATGGTAAGAAAATCTGAGCAGTGACTGACACCCATATGAACCTTGTTTTATAAGGGTTCACATATCATTCTTTTTCTATTCAGTCTACAACCAATAGATCCAATCTAATTTATGGTCTATTTTTAAATAGCCCATTAAGTTAAGAATGGGTTTTGCATTTTTAAAGGGACTGTGAAAGAAAAAGAAAAGAAACAAAGAAATATGCGAGAGATCATATGTGGCCCATAAAACCTAAAATATTTACTGTCTGACCTTCACCAAAAAAAATTTCAAAAAGTTGGTTTAGTAGGATGAAAGGAACTAAAGTTAACTTCAGATGGTTGCCTAAAGGAGAAGAAAATGGAGACCACCTGCATTCATTTGAACATCATTAATCCAGAATTTTTTGGTAATTTAATCGGAATTAAATTAACATTTAAATATTAAAAATAGCTGAATTATATCAATAATATTATCAAGAATATTAAGCTACCAAGAGAATAGACTGGTATTAAGGATTTCATTTCAGGAATTGTTATATTAAAACAGATGTTTAAAATGATGGTTAACTGGTAGAGCTAGAAATGTTTACACTAAGAAGCACATCAGAAATGCCCCTAACTCTTCACTAATTACAAAATAACGATCGCCCCAGCCCTGTTACCAGAAAGGGATCCCTGTATTTCTGTCTGTTTAGAGACAAGAAGATACTATGTTCATTGCTATGAAAGCTTGATTCTTACCCTTTGTCCATAGAGGTCTGTATGTCATTAATCCTTATTAAGCTCATTAGTGATGCTCTTTTGCAAACAGATTCTTTCAAATATAGAAGGCTTAAGGAAAGTGGGTGTAAAGACCCTCAGGTGGATGCCAAAGTGCTACAGAGACCATGAAATAATAAAACTACATTTCCTTTAAAATAGTTATTTTCCTTCTACTCACTCCCCCAGCTATTCATTTATTTTACAAATATTTGAGTTTGCTTTATTTCCATGTGTCAGTTTTAAACATGGTGGGCAATGCAGATGAGCAAGACCTAGTCCATGCTTTCAGGGAGTTTATGCTCAGAAGAAATGGGATAAAAAATAACTACATTAAGAAGAAGAAATGGATGTGGGCACTAGGAGGGATAAATTGTTTCTCGAACATAGAAGAGGAAAAAATGCCTTCAATTTGGACCCAGGAGGATGTTACTAGAACAATGCCATTTGAATAGGACTTTGAAGGGCCATTGTGTAACATCAGACAGACATCTTGGGGAAAATACTCTAAACTTGCAAAAGGAAAATGGGAGGGCAAAACACAGGAAAGTATTCAAGGAATGCCATGAGTACCCGTAGAGTACAAGAAGGGAGAGTAGGAAAATGGAGCCAGATCTTCTAGAGCTTTGAATGCCAAGCTGAGGAGCCAACATGGGGAACCGTGTTACCACAGCAGCGCTGTAAGGTAGATCTGCATCACAGTCATTGAGAGGGCACGTTAGAACTCAGTTCTGGACTCCACCCTCGTAGTTACTGATTCAGTTGGTCTAGAGTGGGACCAAGAATTTGCATCTTCAGTAATTTCCCAGGAGATGCTGGTCTTTGCAAGCCACTTCTGGAGAGTTTATATGATGACTGTGTGCAGGATAGTTTAGGTAGGGAGAGACTAGAGATGGAGATATCAGCCAGACAACGTTACACCATCCAGGTAAAGAGGGAGGGACAAACTCCATCACTGTATAACTGAAGAAATTTTTTTTTTATGAAATATTAAAGCAATACAAAACCAAAAATGAATTTCTATTAATATGATAGAAATTAATTCTATTAATATGATTTGAATTAGTTCAAAGTTATGTATTAGGTAAAGGGGTAGCTTCCTTTCAAATGATGTGAAAGGATGTCTTTTATTTCTTCTGATATTGAAGTGGCTTAGGAAAACAGACCTAAACTAAGAAGGTGTAGAAATGTGAGACTTGTTTGTTTGTTTGTTTGTTTGTTTGAGACGGAATCTCGCTCTGTCGCCCAGGCTGGAGTGCAGTGGTGCAATCTTGGCTCACTGCAAGGTCCGCCTCCTGGGTTCATGCCATTCTCCTGCCTCAGCCTCCTGAGCAGCTAGGACTACAGGCACGTGCCACTAGGCCCAGCTAATTTTTTTTTTTTTTTTGTAGAGACAGGGTTTCACCGTGTTAGCCAGGATGGTCTCGATATCCTGACCTCAGGATCTGCCAGCCTCGGCCTCCGAAAGTGCTGGATTACAGGCCTGAGCCACCGCACCCGGCCCGACTATTTTTTTTAATATTAGAAATTGTGTATATAGAGATAAAATCTTTGAGCTCATAATCTAAGATTTGATGACACTACAAAAGGGCATCTAATCAAGTCTACTGCTCTCAGGAAAAATTAATTCCAAAGTCTATTATGTTGTATATTTATTAAAACCATGAAGGTGAGACTCTAGGAGAGGTATGGGCAGGGTTAGGGGCTCTGGAATGTTCCAATACAAGTCCAAACGTTTAGAGTTGAGATGAAAAATAGGTATTCAGTATTATTCTAAACTCTTGCTGTTATTCATACCAATTGACATTTAATAACTAATCAAGGCAATATTTTTGTTTTCCTAGAGATTTATCCTGCAATAAAATACAGTCTATTGAAAGACATACATTTGAACCACTACCATTTTTGAAGTTTATGTAAGTTACAAATATAACTTGATTACATTTGGAATTTTTATAAAACTTAATTATAAACCTTTTTGCTATTCTTGAAATATGATTAAAATTTTACCAGTAGAAAGCTACTAAAATTATACAGCAAATCCTTTTTGTCTCTAGCAAGGATTATTGTGAGAATTATTACACAGATCTTAGTGAATCATCAGAGAGCAGTGGTTCTCAGGTGGTGTGATTTTGCACTCAGGTGGCATTTGGTAATGTCCGGAGACAGTTTTGGTTGACAAAACTGTGGGTGTGCTCCTGGCATCTGGTGGGCAAAGGCCAGAGATGCTGCTAAACATCCTTCAAGGTATAAGACAAACCCCCATGGCAAAGAGTTATATAGTCCAAAATGTTGATGGCACTGAAGTTGTGAAATCCTGTTCTAGAGAAATAAAGATCACTTAACACAGGTATTTACTGAGCATTCACTGTTTTGTATCTAATGCACCACATGTGCAGTGTTAAAGTATAAATCATAAGCCAGTATCTTCCACAGTCAGATTTCCTTAGTGCATAGAGAAAGGATTGAGGTTATGTTCCATCCTATATAAATTAGAATCATGGCAAATGATAAATGTTCTGAAATAATTTTTTTTTTCTTTGGCTTGTGTCTTTTTTTTTTAGAAATCTTAGTTGCAATGTAATTACAGAACTCAGCTTTGGAACATTTCAGGCCTGGCACGGAATGCAGTTTTTACATAAGTTGTAAGTGAAATAGAAGATGAATACATGTAAACAACTATTTATGTACAAAAACTCATACAATTATTGGGTAGCTGGGTATAAGCCCATTATCAACTCTGAAAAGCGTGTCTTAAGATCCATTCATTTTTCTCAAATGGGGAAGCTAAGGTACAAAGAGGCCAAGAGACTTACGTAGCTTATATATGACCTCCTCTGCTTGTCCTAGTTCTGACCTATAGCATGGGCAAGAAAAGGCATCAAAGAAGTGACCCTCAAATTAGCCTTGTTGCTGGGCGGGGTGGCTCAGACCTGTAATCCCAGAACTTTGGGAGCCGAGGTGGGTGGATCACCCGAGGTCAGGAATTCAACACCAGCCTGGCCAACATAGTGAAACCCTGTCCCTACTATAAATACAAAAAAATTAGCTGGGCGTGGTGGTGCAGTTTTTTGCTCCCTGGAGGACTTTGTGTTAAGCTTCCTTCCTTGCAGCTAAATGTTGCAGACATTTAAGCAGTTAGAAACTCTGCATATGAGCAGGAATCAAATCCAAAGTTGTAGGGCCAGAATGGTGGCTCATGCCTGTAATCCCAGCACCTTGGGAGGCCAAGGTGGGAGGATCACTGGAGGTCAGGAGTTTGAGACCAGCCTGGCCAACATGGCAAAACCTCATCTCTACTAAAAATACAAAAATTAGCAGGTCATGGTGGCGGGCACCTGTGATCCTAGCTATCGGGAGGCTGAGGCACGAGAATGGCTTGAACCCGGGAGGTGGAAGTTGCAGTGAGCCGAGATTGTGCCACTACCCTCCAACCTCCCCTCCAGGCTGGTCTCAAACTCCTCTGACCTCAGGTGATCCGCCCACCTCAGCCTCCCAAAGTGCTGGGGTTACAGGTGTGAGCCACCATGCCTGGCCAAGATGGTGTTTATGTTAAGCTATTGTGCAAAAAAAAACTTTTGTAAAGAAAATATATCGCTGTATCTTAATTCCATATACTTTCCTGACTACTCTTCTACCATAATTGCAAAAATTCTATGATTTCTCTGTATAACATACCCATCAAATCAGAGTGGGTATATTCAGTGGCCTGAAGGGGACTCAAGGTGAAGATTCTCCTCTACATCTGACTTTAGAAAAGACTTTCCACCTGCCTTGTGGTTCAGAAATCTAGTTTCACACAGTTCATTTCAAGTTAGAGGGAGGCATTCAGGATGTGTCTGGACTAGAGCAGCAGTTTCTGCACATGCTCCCCTCTGTCCTCATTAATTTGCTGATGCATAACTTAGGAAAAGTACACTAAAGGTCTGTTTTTCTTTTGCCCTCACACCAGAGAACAGGCTCATTAGGTCCCTCCACCAAGAGGTTTAGGTAGCATCAATACAAATGTTTTAAACTCACCATCTTTACTAAGCACTTTATACCACTGGGAGTCCCTCATAAAAATCTGGTGGCCGGGAGCAGTGGCTCATGCCTGTAATTCCAGCACTTTGCTGAGGTGGGTGGATCACCTGAGGTCAGGAGTTCAAGACCAGCCTGACCAACATGGTGAAACCTGTCTCTACTAAAAATACAAAAATTAGCTGGGCATGGTGGCAGGCAACTGTAATCCTAGGTACTCAGGAGGCTGAGGCAGAAGAATCACTTGAAACCAGGAGGCGGAGGTTGCAGTGAGCCGAGATGGCACCATTGCACTCCAGCCTGAGGGACAGAGTGAGACTCTGTCTCAAATAATAATAATAATAATAATCATCATCATCATCATCATCATCTAGCCAGCTTCACTACAATTACGTAGGCAACACCAGGAAAACACTGGAATCACAGTTGATAAAAATTAATGAATTCATTCAAAAACATTCAGAGTGCCATGTCCATTTGTGCCACGTACTGTACTAAGTGCTGGGGCTACAAAATCCATCTCAAAGACACACCAAGATGAGGACTTTGTCCCCAGGGGACTTTCATTCCTCAAGGAGGAAGCGGATGCTGATGGGAAAACATATGAGAGCCATGTGGGGATCTGTACGGCAGGGTGACAAGGAGAAGACAAAGCAGGAATGGGGGCTGGGTTAAGAAAGACTTGAGAGACACTAACTTGCTTATCTTGAGTTTCTGTGTTCATCTTAAAGAACAGAAAAAGGCATTTGCTTCATGGTGATGAAAAAATCAGAGCTAGCTGATATTGGAAACTAGCACTCATTTCATATAAACAGAATAGAGCTGTACCCTTCAAACTAAGTCACAGTTACTTTCAAAGATTGGCACAAGGGTCTCAACACATCAAGTGTATGTTAGGGGCTGGGCTCCGTTGGAGTCAAATCTTCCTGGTAAACAAAGCTACACTGCAGTCATATTTGGCATATGTGACATATAGGCCCACTGCATTTCCTTCCAAAGGCAAGATGCCAAGGGAAGGTGCCAGTAATTTTATGACCAATATGACACCATTTTGTGGTGTTTGTAAGTTGAAACAATATATTTCCCTGCATTACACAAGTTTATAAAAAACAAACAAAAAAAGAGGCCCCAGCTGTGGTTGATCGATGATGAATTGAATAGAGCCTAACCTTCCAGGCTTCTCACTTGCACAGGCCCTTCCAAGGTCCTGGGAGGGCCCCTGGAAATTTTTGTAGTCATAATTTTTTTAATGTTTTTACTAGATAAGGCTCAGGCCCCACAAAATCCTGAAATCATCCCTGGGTTCCAATAGTTACAACCCAGTAAATCTCTTGAATGAAGCCTCTATGTTATTGACAAATACTGACTGGCCAAGTTAGCAGGGTGATAGGGTCAGTCTATTTTGAATCTGAAATCCATCTCAAAGACAGGCCAAGAGCTTATTAGTGGACTTAACTGGATTCTGCTGGCCCAAGCGCAGTAAAGTCAAACAACCATATCGAGGTTTTGCACTGGGGAAAGGAGGACATTTATTTGCAGGGCATCCAAGCAAGAAGGACCAGGCGGCTAACTATCAAAGTCCCTCACTGAATGGGGGCAATAATCATATCTCTTACAGATGAAATCATGAATGAAATGGTTTATGGAAAAGCAGCAATGGTTGATAATCCTAAATGTTAAGTATGTTTATATTTTTTCCCTGACTTTAAAGTGCTTCTCCTTCATTCCTATACACAGGTCCAGACTGATGGCTTATTTTTTAAAATTCTCTTAGTCACTTCATTGGTTCTAACAATAATTTTAGAAACTGGATGACTTTGCAATGTAGAAAGGCTATACTTTATTCAGATAGAGTACACTCACATATTGGCTTGTCTATGGCACATCGATATCATGCCAAGAATGTAAGCACTAAGAGAGAATAAGAGGAAAATCCAGGCTTTATCCCTATTGAATTATTTATCCCACTATTAGAATATTAGTGAGGTAGGTGTGGCCACACTGTGATGGCAAATTGAGCTTCGGTCACAAACATGCCTTACTGTTCCCCCCAGTCTACTGACATCAGCTTCCTTTACATAGCGGTAGATGCACAAAAGTTTGCACAGTTGAGGGTATTGTCATCATGTTTTGGTATGTACTGGAATCCTGGCAGCTTCTTCTCTGATTCGGAGAGGCGCAAACATTAAAGACAAAAAGAACAACTCGAGTCTGTCCTTTGGGGTGATTTAGGGTGGCTGTTTAAATTTGTAGTGGTTGAAAAGTCTTGAGATTGTCACACCTAGCAACTCATACTTTTCTTCTCTCAGCTGCAGCTTGTTCTTTTCACCTGTGTAACAAGCTGTCTTCTCTTCTCACAGAAGCTTAGCATTTCTTCCTCTGCCCCATAGCATTTTTTTCAATACTTAATTTACCAGGTGCTGTTTATGTTGTAGGCACCTAAGTACTTATACCAGTGAGATAACATGTCCGAAGTTCTTAGAACAGTGCTTGGCCTATGGTAAATGCTCCATACATGTTACCTCCTATGATACCTCATTTTTATTTTTCCAACAACTCTTGCGATGCAGTTATTATTATCATTTCTATTTTGCAGATGAGGAAGTTGAAACTCAGAGATGCTAGGTAATTTGCTAAGGTTCACACGGCTAATAAGTGGCAGAACCACTTACAAGCTTTGCAAGTAATTTTCAATGCAGCTCTTAGTTCCCCTGTAATAGGAGCTGAATGATGACAATTTGGCTTTGTGTGCATTGTATCTTACTTTCTAACTTGAATAGGACCTGTAGAGCAGTGAGCTCCACTTCCCTCTGAGAATCCCACGCTTCTGGAGCTCCTGGCTGTACCAGCTCTGGGCATCCCCAGGGTTTATGCTCACCGGTCAGTGCTGGTGTGACATGATGGCTGAGCACCGGCACTGTGTCCAGCGCATTGCTAGGCACTAGACACGTGCTCTTTCATTTATTCCTCAAATTGCTTTGTGCTGTAAATGCTACCCAGAAAGGCTCATGTTCATTACTCAAGTCACTTCACCAGAAAGTGACAGAGCCAGAATTCAAACCCAGGTCTGCCAGATTCCAGGTCCCTTGCTTCTTCTGTTGTTGCTCATTGCAAGGGAGTCTTCTTCAAGGTTATTCTCAGGACTTTGATTAAGATACAGGCTCACAGCTGGGCATGGTGTCTCATGCTGTAATCTCAGCACTTTGGGAGGCCAAGGTGGGTGGATCACTTGAGCTCAGAAGTTCGAGACCAGCCTGGCCAACATGGTGAAACCCTGTCTCTACTAAAAATACAAAAATTAACCAGGCATGGGGACGGGCATCTATGATCCCAGCTACTCTGAAGGCTGAGGCAGGAGAATCACTTGACTCCAGGAGGTGGAGGTTGCAGTGAGCCAAGATCACACCACTGCACTGCACTCCAGCCTGGGCAACAGAGTGAGACTTCATCTCAAAAAAAAAAAAAAAAAAGGAAAAAGGCTCACCATTTCAGATTCTCTAGATTTTGCCCCTGAAAAAGCATTTACATGATGCAGTCCGAGGTCTTGTATGGAGGAGCTTGGTGTGGGGAGATGTGTGGCTCACGAACCTATGTAGGTGAATAAAGGAAAGAGGTTACTTTCTCCCCAAGTACATCGCGCATATTGGGTGAGGGTCTAGGTCATCTGCTTATTTCTTTGACTACCTTCTTCCATGGAACCAGTTTTCCCTGACAGCCTTGGGATTCTAGCATAGATCATTTTGGAGTTTGTCATTTAAATTTATTTTCACGGCCTGCTTTGGACATTTTTTCAGCTAGAGCTGTTAGGATTTCAGTACATTTAAGACAGTGATGACATGCTCCAGTCCTTTCATCTCTGTCTCCTCAGTTAATAGAAAGGAAACATAGCTCATCTATCTGGACCTGTACAGAAGAATTTGGAGGGAAAAAAAAAAAACAGGCAAGAAATGTTCCCTTATTTTGTGAGCTACCTTTATTCTGTCCCATTGTTCTACAGCAAAAGGCTTGTATAAAAATATTTCAGTTTTCCTCATCTAATAAGGCATATTTAATAAAATTATTTAGAGCAGTACTTCTTAAACTTTTACTCTGAGACAGTCTTTGAGGCTGAAAAAAAGCTTGCCACATTTTACTTCCATAAAGATACCAAAAAGGCGATGGACTGGGAGTCAGTGCACCTTAGTTTAATGTATAAAATGAAGGACTTGAACCAGAAATGGAAATGGTCATCTACTGTGAATCTAAAAACACTCGAGGCTGGGCGCGCTGGCTCATGCCTGTAATCCCAGCACTTTAGGAGGCCAAGACAGGCAGATCGCTTGAGCCCCTGGAGTTCAAGTTCAGCCTGGGCAACAAAGTGAGACCCCAATCTCTACAAAAAGACTTTTAAAAAGTGGAAACATAAATATAAATAAATAAAAACATTCATATCATTTGGTTTGTGGAAAAGAGTTGCTGTAGAGTCCTCAAACTTGAGCCGTTGAGCCAGTTCCCACTCAGTCTCTCCATGGCCCAGGCACAACCTTAGTCAAGAAAAGAATGCCTTAGAACAGGAGGAAAAGAGGATAATATCGAATGGCCCTATATTTTGATTTCATTAGGGACAAATGCAAAGATCCTAATGTCAGCTGGAGAAGAGCTTCCTAGTTCAGAGGTAATGCTGAGCTCAAGGCTATGGATGAGCTATCAAGAAAGAGGGAAGGTTGGAGAGTGAGAGAATTTTGGAGGAAAGATAACAAACTTTGCCAAGTTGTTTGGCTACATACTGCCTTACAGTCATTATTTTTGGTGTTTAAAAAAAAATAGAAACAGGGTCTCACTTTGTTACCCAGGCTGGTCTCAAACTCCTGGGCTCAAGCTCTCCTTCTGCTTTGGCCTCCCAAAGTGCTGAGATTACAGGCTTGAGATGCTGTGCCCAGCCTACATTCATTTTTAATAGCTGGGAGGAAAGTGGGCAGAGGAAGATATAGAATGAAGGGGTAGCCGACTTTGTACAGAGCCCACCAGTGGTCTTACAAGTTTTCATGCCAAAAAAAATCACGAAGGATATTTAAAGCCCTAGTTTGAGAATCCATACTTAACCAGTCATGTGGCACTCACATTCTTTCTCTTTGTAACATCATCTTATTGAATATTAGTGTTACAAAACAAGTTAATGGCACTGAAAAACCATCTGGAATAGGAAGAGGAGGGGGATCACAAGGCAGGACAAGCTGTGTGGCTCCCAGCCTCGCCACTGACTCACTCTGATCTTGGTCAAGGGAGAGTGAATCTTCACTCCTCTTTTTTCCATCTGCCAGCATGTTTGGTCTTCTGGCACCTGGTGTTCTATACAGTACAACATGCTTCTTTGTGTTACATTGAGACTTGATCCACATACCATCAACGCAGTATTATAAAGTGTACAATTCAGTGGTGGTTAGTATATTCTCAAGGTTGTATAGCAAACAATCACCATTATCTAACCCCAGAACATTTTCATCATCCCAAAAAGAAACATGGTACCCATTAGCCATCACTCCCCAGTGCTGTCTTCCCGCAGGCCCAGGTAACTACTAATCTACTTTGAGTCCCTATGGATTTGCCTATTCTAGATCTTTCATATAAACGAATCATACAGTATGTGGCCTTTTGTGTCTAGTTTCTTTTCACGAAGCATGTTGTTTCTAAGGTCCTCCCATGCTGCAGCATGGATCATTCCTTTGCAAGGCTGAGTGATATTCCATTGTATGGAGCCATCACTATATCCGTTCATCCATTCATCACTTAGTGGACATGTGGTTGTTTCTACTTTATTTTGGCTTTTATGAATAATGCTGCTATGGACATGCATGTACTACTTTTTGCGTGGACATGTTTTTAATTCTAGGGTGCATCCCTAGCAGAATTGCTAGATCGTATGGCAACTCTTATGTTTAACTTTTTGAGGACCTGTCAGGCTGATTTCCACAGTGGCTGCTCCATTTTACACTTCCATCTGCAATGTTTGAGGGTTTCAATTTCTCCTGGTCTTTGTCAACACTGTCGTTGTCTGTCTCTTCTCATAGCCATCCCAGTGAGTGTAAAGTAGTATCTCGCTGCAGTTTTTGATGGACATTTCCCTAATGATTTAAGACATTCAACATTTTTATGTGTATATGAGCCATTTATATATCTTCTTTGAAGAAATATTTATTCACATCCTCTGCCCATTTAAAAAATTGATTTGTCTTTTTATTGAATTATAGGAATTTCTCTATATCTTCTGGATACTCTGGATATTAGACCTTAACAGATAATTTGCCAATATTTTCTCTCATCCTGTGAGTTCTGTGACTTTCTTGCCAGTGTCCTTTGATGCACAAAAGTTTTTAATTTTGATAAAATCTAATGTATCTATTTTTCCTTTGGTTGTTTGTGCTTTTGGTGTCATGTGTGTGTATAAAATGTCTTATTCTTCTTTAAAAAGGTTCAGTGTTTGGTTTTAAATCAGGCTGTGTCCCTTTCATCTGTCTGACATTCTTGTCACCATGTCAGGCTGCCTTCAGCTAGTAATACTTCATTAAATTCAAAAGACAAAATTGTTTTAAAAGAAAAAAAATCCAGTTTGGAGAAGAAAAAACTGTTGTCTAATTTAAGGTCATGAGATTTACTCTCATGTTTTTGTGTAAGAGTCTTATCGTTTTGGCTCTTACATTTAGGTATTTGACATATTTTGCATCAATTCTTATAATCGTGTGAGATGTAGGGGGTCCACCTTCATTATTTTGCACATAGATGTTCAGTTGTTCCAGCACCATTTAAAAAAAAAAAAACATTATTTCCACGTAGAATTGTTGTAGCACCCTTGTCAAAAATCAATTTTCCATAAATGTGAGGGTTTATTTCTGGGTTGTCAATTCTATTCTATTGATTTATTTGTCTGTCCACATTCCAGTATCACACTGTGATTGCTGTAGATTTGATTTGGGTTTTGAAATTGGGACATTTGAGTCTTCCCACTTTGTTATTTTACAAGATTATTTTGCTATTTAGGGTGCCTTAAATTGCATTATAATTTTAGAACTAGCTTGTCACTTTCTGGAAAGAAGCCAGCTGGGATTTTGATAAGAATTGTACTGATAATAGCAAAGATATGTAATCAACCCAAACGCCCAACCTAACTGCTATGTTATTCCTATTCCAATACTTTGCAATATATGTAGCTTTTTAGAAAGAGGATATGTTAGCAGGGCGCAGTGGCTCACACCTGTAATCCCAGCACTTTGGGAGGCTGAGGCAGGTGGATTGCCTGAGGTCAGGAGTTAGAGACCAGCCTGGACAACATGGTGAAACCCCGTGTCTACTAAAAGTACAAAAATTAGCAGGGGGTGGTGGCAGGCACCTGTAATCCCAGCTACTCAGGAGGCTGAGGTAGGAGAATCACTTGAACCCAGGAGGTGGAGGTTGCAGTAAGCCGAGGTCACGCCATTGCACTCCAGCCTGGGCGACAGAGCGAGACTCCGTCTCAAAAAAAAAAGAAAAATGAACAGTAAAAAAACAAAATGTTTGTGGCCAGATGCAGTGGTGCATACCTATAATCCCTGTACTTTGGGAGGCCAAGGAAGGAGGATTGCTTGAGGCCAGGAGTTTGAGACCAGCCTGGGCAACATAGTGAGACCCTATCTCTAAAAATTTTTTTTAGTTAGCCGAGTGTGGTGGTGCGCACCTGTAGTCTCAGCTACATCTTAATTTTATAACGTTGTAGTTCAGATTAATTCCAACTTTGTTTCAATGGTATACAAAAACTTCGCTTCTCTAAAGCTCCACTCTCACCCCCTCCTTTATACTGTTATTGTCACACATTACATCTTTATATACTTTATGTTCATCAACTAGATTTATAATTATTGCATTATGTAAGTATCTTTTTCTTATTTTTTTTTCTTTATTTTGGGACAGAGTCTCACTCTGTTGCCCAGGCTAGAGTGCAGTGGCACAATCTTTACTCGCCACAACCTCTGCCTCCCAGGTTCAAGCGATTCTAGTGCCTCAGCCTCCTGAGTAGCTGGGACTGCAGGCACGTAACACCACACCCAGCTAATTTTTGTATTTTTAGTAGAGACAGGGTTTCACCATGTTTGCCAGGCTGGTCTCAACCTCTTGACCTCAAGTGATCCTCCAGCCTCAGCCTCCCAAAGTGCTGGGATTACAGGCCTGAGCCACTGCGCCCAGCAAGTGCTTTTTATTTCTTTGTGCAGATTCACGTTAGTACTCCTTATAGGGCAGGTCTTCTAGCAACAAAGTCTCTCAGTTTTTATTTATCTAGAATATCTTAATTTCTCTTCAATTTCAAAGGTAGTTTTGCCAGGTATAGAATTATTGGTTGACAGTTTCTTCAGCACTTTGAATATGCCATTTCATTGCCTTTTGTCCTCCACTGTTGTGTGTGGTTGCTTTGTTTTTAGACAGGGACTTGCTCTGTTACCCAGGCTGGAGTGCAGTGGTGCAACCACTCACATCGTTGCAGCCTCCACTTCCCAGGCTTAAGCAATGCTGTCACCTCAGCCTCCTGGGTAGCTGAGACTGCAGGCATGCACCACCATGCCCAGTTATTTTTAAATTTTTTGTAGAGACAGGGTTTTACTCTATTGCCAGTGCTGGTATCCAACTCCTGGCTTCAAGCAATTCTTGAGCCTCAAGCCTCCCAAGGCACTGGGAGTACAGGTGTGAGCAACCATGCCCAGCATCTCCATTGTTTTTGAAGAGAAATCAGCTATTAATCTTATTGAGGATCCCTTGTATGTGATGAGTTGCTTTTCTCTTGCTGCTTTCAAGATATTCTGTCTTTGGCTTCTGTCAGTTTGATTACAGTATGTTTAGATGTGGATCCCTCAGTTTTTCCTACTTGTAGTTCCTTGAGCTTCTTGAATATGCAGATTGTTTTTCATCATGTTTGGGAAGTTTGGGGCCATTATTTCTTCAAATATTCTTTCTCCTTTTTTCTGTTTTTCTTCTCCTGGGACTCTCATTATGTGTATGTTAGTAAGCTTGATGATGTGTTCCACAAACAGGTCTCTGAGATTCCATTCACTTTCATTCATTTTTATTTCTGTTCCTCAGAGTCAACAATCTCAATTAACCTTCAAGTTCCCCATTCTTCCTTCGGCTTGCTGTAATGTGCCATTGAGAACCTCTAATAATTTTTCCATTTCAGTTACCATACTTTTCAACTCTAGAATTTCTATTTGACTCCTTTTTATGGTTTCTATCTCTTTATTGATATTCTCTATTTGATGAGACATTGCTTTCATACTTTCCTTTAGTTTTCTAGTCTACAGAACTGAATCATTTCTCTTATCTCTTTGAATATATTTTAAATAGCTGAATTAAATCCTTCTCTAGGCCAGGCATGGTGGCTCATGCCTATAATCCCAGCACTTTGGGAGGCTGAGGCTGAGGTTGAGGCTGAGGCCAGGAGTTCAAGACCACCCTGGGTAACTTCGCAAGACCCCAACTATAAAAAATAAAAAAATCTTTGTCTAGTAAGTCTAATATCTGGTCTTTCTCAGGGACAATTTCTGCTTATTTCTCCCCCCACCAAGTGTTTGGGCCATACTTTGTTTCCTTGCATCTTTCATAAATGTTTGTTAAAAATTGAATATTTTAAATAATATAATGTAGCAATTCTGAAAATCAGATCCATGCTGCCAGGGTTTGGTGTTACTGCTGCTTGTGTTAGTAGTTGCTATTTATTTAGTGACTTTTCTGAACTTCTTCTGTAAAGTGTTGCATTATATGTCATGTGTTGCCACTAAAGTATCTCCTTGGTTAGCTTACCGATCAGCTAATGATTAAATGAAGATTTACTTAAATTCTTGGAACTGATAAGTCTCCTAGTTTTTGCCAAGGGGCTCTGTGTACATGTTGGGGCATACCTTCAGCACTCAGCTAGACAATTTACAGCCATGCCTTAGCTTTCACTTCTTGCTTGTGCAGAACCTCAAGATCAGCCAGGGGTGAGAGTTTATGAACTTAGTAGGTCTTTCCTGACCATGCTGGCAGCCTGCCCTATGCATGCGCATGACATTGCAAATTGCCAGGAATATGTCTTATGGACTTCTAGTTTCCCAAGCATATATCAGAGTGTTTCAAAATTCCTGTGGACATCTTATTACTCAGCTTTTCCTATTAAGCTTTTCGATTAGGCTTTTTTTCCCCAAACTGTTATTCATTGCCGAATACAGTTGCCATGTTAAAACACTTGTCTGTAATTGTTTTCCAAAAACACCCTCTGTGGAGAGGCTTTAGCACTAGACAGCTTTCATTCTGGTCAAATAAAGACAAACCTTTCAAATGAGGTCTTCCAGGGAACCACCAGACAGATGACATCATGACAGTTAACTGAGAATAAGGCTTTGAAGGAGCTCCAGCTCCATTCTGCTCCCTCTGCTTGGGGATGTGGGCTGTTTTTCAAGGCAACTACTGAGCTAGAGAGTGAGGAATGGTCTAAGGCAAGTTAACACAAATCTCACTGTTCTTACAGAAATTTTTCTTGAATAAATGCTCCTCGGGTTGCTGCAAGACTTTGGTTACATTTCTAGAGTTCTGAAAAAGTTTATTATGGTCAATTTTTTTTTTTGCCCTTTTCTTGGTGTTTGTTGCTTTTATGAAGGGATGAATTTTTGGATGTCTCTTTTTTTTTTTTTTTTTTTTTTTTTTTTTTTTTTTTTTTTGAGACAGAGTCTCACTCTGTTGCCCAGGCTGGAGTGTGCAGTGGCGCAATCTCGTCTCACTGCAAGCTCCACCTCCTGGGTTCACACAATTCTCCTGCCTCAGCCTCCCGAGTGGCTGGGACTACAGGCGCCTGCCACCACGCCCAGCTAATTTTTGTATATTTAGTACAGACGGGGTTTCGCCTTGTTAGCCAGGATGGTCTCGATCCCCTGACCTCGTGATCCACCTGCCTCAGCCTCCCAAAGTGCTGGGATTACAGGCGTGAGCCACTGCGCCCAGCCTCGATGTCTTTATTCCACCATTTTCACTGATGTCACTTACAACATGGTTTTAAATGTCTGAAGGCTCACTGGGCACATGCCTGTAGTCCCAGATACTCGGGAGGCAAAGGAAGAAGGATCCTTCGAGTCCAGGAATTCTGGGCTGTAGCATGCTATGCTGATTGGGTGTCCGCACTAAGTTCAGCATCAGTATGGTGACCTCCCGGGAAAAGGAGACCACCAGGTTGCCTAAAAAGGGGTGTACCAGCCCAGTTCAGGAATAGAGCAGGTCAAAACTCCCATGCTGATCACTAGTGGGATCATGGCTGTGAATAGCCACTGCTCTCCAGCCTGGGCAACACAGTGAGTGAGAATGTGTCTCTTAAAAAAAGAAGTCTCATCGACCATAGACTAATTAACTATTTAATCATGGGAAATGATTAGGGGAAAGACATAAAAAGAGAAACTGTAATCCACTTTTTTTTGCTCTATCGCCCAGGCTGGAGTACAGTGGCTTGATCTTGGCTCACTGCAACCTCCGCCTCCCGGGTTCAAGCAATTCTCCTGCCTCAGCCTCTGAAACAGCTGGAATTACAGGCAAGCGCTGCCATGCCCTGCTAATGAGAAATTGTAATTCTCATAGAGGTCCTCCCAGAGGAGTAGAAGAAGGTTGAAAGGCACTTCTGTATTTAGTCTTCTCAATATTAAGGCTGGGCCCAGTGGCTCACACCAGCACTTTGGGAGGCCAAGGCAGGTGGATCACTTGAGATCAGGAGTTCAAGACCAGCCTGGCAAACATGGCGAAACTCCCATCTCTACTAAAAACACAAAAAATAGCCAGGCGTGGTGGTGCGTGCCTATAGTCCCAGCAATTTGGGAGACTGAGGAAGGAGGGTTACCTGAGCTTGGGAAGAGGAGGTTGCAGTGAGCCAAGATCACGCCACTGCACTCCAGCCTGGTCAATGGAGCAAGACCCTGTTTGGGTGGGGAGGGGAGGGGAGTGGACGGGAGAGGAGAAAGGAAAGAAAGGAAAGGAAAGAAAATAGAAAGAAGGAAGGGGGAGGGAAGGAAGGAAGGAAAAAGAGAGAGAAAGAAAAAGAATGAAGAACGAAAATAAAAATTTTTTAAAAACCTAAGGTTAAAATAAACCCTTTTTCTTCATACATAAACACATGAGTTCAAATTACAGCTTTGCTGCTTAATAGCTTGGTGACCTAGGACAAGTTATATAACCTCTCTGTGCCTCAGTTTCCTCATTTAAAAATAGGGCAATAATAATATCTACCACATAAGGTGTTTGCTGATCACAAATACCTGGCAACCCAGTAGATACTCACTGTAATAATTATTATTTTTATAATTTCTGCCTAAGTACAAAGATGATTCTTGGGTCAACCTAAAGGCAGATTTTCTTTTATTTCTTCCTGTTTCTTTTATTTTTCTTGTTCACCTTAAAGAATTAAAAAGAAAATCGATTCTAGCATTTTGGAATAAAAATTTGCATCAAAATCAATTTATTCATTTTATTGACATATAAACAAAATGTCATTTGTTTATTCAATAAACATTTGTTAAATGCCTAATACATTTCAGACATCATGCCAGGCACGGGGATGACAGGGCATGGTGGCGGGCACCTGTAATCCCAGCTACTCGGGAGGCTAAGGCAGGAGAATTGCTTGAACCCGGGAGGCGGAGATTGCAGTGAGCCAAGATTGCGCCACTGCACTCCAGCCCGGGCGACAGAGTGAGACTCCATCTCAGGAAAATAAAAAAATGTGGTCTCTGCCCTCAAAGCGCTCATAGTCCAGGAGCCTCACAAGTGGACAGGTGATTACATGCAATGTAAGAAAGGCTGTGATGTCATACAAGAAGACAAGTGGGAGTATGGTTTTGACCAGTTCCTCCTCTTAGATTTATTCCTTCTTCTTTGGCTATAAAGCAAAAGAATTGGTCCTATTTTTTTTAACTGTGCAAATTAAGCCATGAATTTTAAAAACTTTATAAAGATAAAAGACAAGCATCCAGCCCAGTGGCTCATGCTGGTAATCCTATCAGTTTGGGAGGCTGAGGCAGGTAGATCACCTGAGGTCAGGAGTTCAAAACCAGCCTGGCCAACATGGTAAAACCCCGTCTCTACTAAAAATACAAAAATTAGCTGGGCATGGTGGTGGGTGCCTGTAATCCCAGCTACTCGGAAGGCTGAGGCAGAACAGGAGAATCACTTGAACCTGGGAGGCTGAGGTTGCAGTCAGCCAAGATCAAGCCATTGCACTCCAGCCTGGGCAACAAGAGTGAGACTCCATCTCAAAAAAAAAAAAAAAAATAGATGAACAACGAATTATGATGAGCAACTTGAATTATGGAGGATGCTAGAAATAGTGTTTCCTCCACAGTCAGGGCTTCCTACCAACATAGTCACTTTTAGGGTTTTTGACCTGAAAAGTTCTGTGGCATATTTTTTCTTTGCTATCCACTTTTTTTTTCCTTGTAGTCTGAAAGGTTTGTCAGTATACTTTAAAACAATCCTGGTAACAGTTCTAGATTGAAGGAGACTAAAGAATCATGTACTAAGTGTAATGTCTGATGTTTGATTGGATTCTGAATTTTTTAAGCCATGTTATGATTGGGACAATTGTGAAAATGTGTATATGGACCACATAGTAGACAATGATAATATGAAGTTCCATTGGGTGATGATAGTCCTCTGGTTATGTCGGAGAATGCCTTGGTTCTTAGGGGCTGCACACTGAAGTCTTCAATGGTGAAGGGTCATTATGTCTGCAACTGACTCTCAAATGGTTTTGTCCAGAAAATGTATAGACATACACACACGGAAAGCAAATGTGGCAAAGTATTAGCAACTACTGATTCCAGATTAAAGTTATACAGGTGTTCATTATACCATTTGAAAATGTTTCCCAACCATCCTAAGGCTTAAAGGAAAAAAAGAAAATGTTTAAAATAAAAAGTTGGGGGCAGAAAAAGAATACCAAAAATTTTGGGCTCATGCCTGTAATCCCAGCACTTTGGGAGGCCAAAGAGAGAGGGTGGCTTGAGCCCAGGAGTTCGAGACCAGCCTGGACAACATGGTGAAACCCCATTTCTACAAAATATACAAAAATTAGCCAGGCGTGGTGGCACACACCTGTAGTTCTAGCTACTCATGAGGCTGAGGTGGGAGGATCACTTGAGCACAGGAGGCAGAGGCTGCAGTGAGCCAAGATTGCACCACTGCACTCAGCCTGTGTAACAGAGCGAGACCCGGCCTCAAAATAAACAAAAGAAACACCTTTGTGGCAGAGGTAAGGTTGCTATATAACAAAATGCTGGGTTACGGTTCCGGGTCCATTCCATATGAAGATCAGAGGCTTCCACTGGACCCAAAGGAATAATACTAGTCACTTGTGATTGTTCCTCTATAGGTTTGAAAGATGTGTCAGGCCAACTCATTGGATGCAGTTTTAATCTAAAACTCTATACATTGTACCCCCAACTCATAGACTTCTTGTATCCATGAAACCCTCTTCTGTTTTCACAGTCTCAATGTGGCCCCAATAAAGCCATCCTTTTGGAGGACTCAGAAAAGGCCCCCCACAACCTCTGCAACATAATAATTATAGTTAACTCTTATTGAGCACTCACTGTGCACCAGGCATTTTTCAGGTATGGATTCATTTGATCCTCAAAATTCATTAGAGGTAGGTACTATTATAATGACAAGGCCAAGGAACAGAGATTTAACAATTTGCCCAAATTCACATTATTAGCAGAGCTGAGATTGAAGCATAGTCTGGCTATGGAATCTGTATTCTTAATGACCATGCTATACTGCCTAAGATTAACCTTTTACTTCAGTTACAGGGATTGTTTTTATCTCTCTGAAAGTGCCCCCAATAAGCCACAACAATAAATTAATCAATTGTCTCAGTTACCTCTTTTGCCCAAATTTACGTATTGAAAAAAATTCAAACAAGCCAGAAAGATGAAAGAATAGTACAGAATCTAATCAAAGATCAGGCACTGCATGTCATGTCTTCATTTCCTTTAATCTAAAACATGCTTCTACTTTCTTTGATCTTTCATGACATTGGCATTTTTTAAGAGTCAAAGATAGTTGTCTTGTAAATTGTCCCACAATCCGGATTTGTCTGTTTCCTCATGACGAAATTCAAGTTAAGCATTTTTGGGAAAAATACTGCATAGGTGATGTATCCTTCCTGCCTCGTAACTGCAGATGGCCTGTAATACTAAGTTTGATCACTTGACCAAGGTGAACTTCCAGATCTCTCCATTGTAATTATTTTGCTGGGTACAGTGGCTCCCACTTGTAATCCCAGCACTTTGGAAGGCTGAGGTGGGAGGATTGCTTGAGCCCAGGAGTTCTACACCAGCCTGAGCAACATGGGGAAACCCTGTCACTACTGAAAATGCAAAAGTACAAAAAAAAAAAAAAAATTAGCTGGGCATGGTGGTGCAAGCCTATACTCCCAGCTACTCGGGGGACTGAATTTGGAGGATCCCTTGAGCCCAGGGGGGTTGAGGCTGCAATGAGGTATAATTTTGCCACTGTATTTCAGCCTGGGTGACAAAATAAAAATAAAAAATAATAATTTTCCGCTTGGTAATTAATAAATAATCTGTGGGTTGTTACTTTGAGTTCAGTGAAGATCCTGTTCTCAAATGTCTTTTCACCCAAATGTGCATCAGTGATAATCCTTGTCTGAATGAATTTGTATTACACTGATGGTTGCAAAGTGACACTTTTAAAAATTCTGTCATTCCTTCTACATTTACTAGCTGGCATTATTTCATTGAAGAAGAACTCCCCCTCTTTCTTTTTCTATATCACTCTTCGTGGATTCTTCTTTATATTAAATATGTTGTAACTTATTGTTGTTATTCTTTTGAATGCTCAAATTGTCCAGATTTGACCAATGCAATCTTTGTTATTTTTTAACTCCACAATCGAGGTTAAACTAAGCTATTTTTAATGCCCAGAGTAATTTATAATATTTCCCACTCCCAACAGGAATTGAGAAAGGGACTCCAGAAGTTGGGGGCTTATTCAGACTTCTTAAAAGTCTACCTTCTTCCTCTGTACTTTCAGCCCAAAGTGAGACTTTTGAGTTGGGAAGAGATACTTCTGAATTAAACTACTAATCACTGTCACCCAATTCTAATCCCAACCATCTTTATTCTAGGCATACCATACTCACTGCCATGCTTACCCTTCAGTTGGGCACCTTTGCCCTCCTTCCTATTGGCCTTCTGGTTCCTACCCAACTGTCCAGTCCATAGGCTTCAATGACACCTTTTTCCCACACCTGTGGTAGCGTTGGCTGCCTCCTTTACCTACTCAAGTAACCGCTTTACCGCTAATTTATTGCTCTCTGTTTTCATCTATAGGATCTTACCTAGCCATATGGCCTGCTGCCTCTGCCAACTTAAAAACAGCATTGAGGCTGTCTGCAAGACAGTCAAGCTGCATTGCAACAGTGCATGTCTGACAAACACCATACATTGTCGTGAGTCCAAATTGCGCGGTGATAAATTGTTACATTAAGTATTTGTTTTTAAACTTTTTATTTTTAATGATGATAAAATTTTAAGCTAATGACATAATTGCTTTATTTTTATTTACTCATTCAGAGTTAAACTCCCTCAATTTCTGAACTACTCCCTTGCTGAGAGTCAGGTTCTCAGTTACTATTACAAAATTTAATAATAGAACTGTTCCATATGCACAAAGGACCAAGACAAAGGAATGGGAAGGCTAGAGAATAACATTAACATCCACACACTGTGTACTGTGCTCTCTGCTTGATGCTTTGCCCACAGTGATAATTTCTTCATATAGTGCAATGTAGTTTGTAAGGTGGTTTTAAATTCATGAGGTCTCAAGTACTCTCTGCCTTATAGGACAGATGTAGATACGGTTTCGGTTTTTCTGTTTTTACAGTTTTATGAGAGTACAAGTGATGCTGTTTTATTTGAAGCCTGAGAGCTTCTGGTTCCATAACCAGAAATTGCTACCTGACTCTTCTAATAGAATGGAGGTCTTTTCCATTCTTAGACCATCCAACTCTGAACTTGCTCTGAATCTCAAACCTTTCTGTTCACAGAACAAACGCTCAAGGGCTTTCAAGAGTGTTTCTGTAGATTAGGTTTATTAGCATCAACTTCATGACTTCTAAAATGTGACTGCTTTCATGTCCAGATAGCTTGAATACAGGTATCTACCAGTGATATGGGGTGGAGAATTAATAATGCTTGGTTACATAAAGTCAGTGTTGCTTATTTTTCAAAACTTTTTTTTTTTTTACCAATTATATTATTCCCTTCTCCCCAAGAAGTGGGCAGAAAAGCTTTGTTAACCTCCTTTTACAGATGAAGAAAAACAAGATCAGAGGTGCTAAGTGCTGTAGCCTAGTGCCAGGTCTTCTGGCCCCAATTCTGGGTTCTCCCCAAGCCCATGCTTCTTCCACTTTCTCACAATCTTTACTTCTTCCTCTGACCCTCACCACCACCCAAAATGCTTTTAATTCTGGAAAAGAAACCCAGCTGCACACTGGCACACTTGACCTTCCTGCAGTCAGAAGCCTTGGCTGATTCCCCATCCAAAATATTAGAGATGAAATGAAAGCAAAGTAGGCATCTGACAAAAGTTGCTTTTTCCCTTCTGCATTTTAGGACCTCAAGTAATGTTTATCCAGAAACTGCTATCATACCAGAGATTCACTGTGTATTTAACAACATAGGCATACAATCTGGCAAATTTGAAAAACTCTTAACATACACCCCAAATCCCTGCCCAAATTTAAGAACTAGGGTGGACACAGTGCTTTTTTCCATGTCGCATCTTCTGTGATGGGGCTACGATATGTGGGAGCAGAGAATGGGGAGGGTGGAGCGCATGCCAGATGAGGATCTATCAGCAATGGGAGGGGGCCTCCACTTTAGCATCTCCACCCTGCTCCTCTCAGAGGACCGCCTTTCATTGCATTCAGCTGTGATGGTAGCAAGAACACAGGCGCACCGAGGACGAGGAGAGCGGGAGCCTTGTGCTCTCTCTGCATCTGAGGCAGGACAGCACAGGGTATGGAGCAGTCTGCAGAGAGGCCAGCTCATCAGCTCATCAGGGAAGCACTTGTCTTCCACCTTGGGCTTTGACTGAGCACTGGGCAATTGGACCCTGGGGATCAATGAAATAATCCTAAGCAGAGTTACTCTATGTCACACTATGGAATGTTCCAAGTAGATGGCCGTGTTTTCAAAAGATATATTTTCTCCTTTTGTTGTTGCCATTTCATAGGTTTAGGATTGGGTGTGTGTGTCTCCTCTCTGAATGGCACTCAAATGTTTGCTGACTCCTACTCTGCGTGACTGGGGTGTACAGCTATGGACTGATGCATCCCATCCCATCATCTTTCACGAGCAAAGCAGTCTCTTTTTTGACAGCTGAAGAAGAATCTGTAGGGAATCCAGAAGGAGCATTCATGAAGATGTTACAAGCCCGGAAGAATTACACAAGCACTGAGCTGACTGTTGAGCCGGAGGAGCCCTCAGACAGCAGTGGCATCAACTTGTCAGGCTTTGGGAGTGAGCAGCTAGACACCAATGACGAGAGTGATGTTATCAGTGCACTAAGTTACATTTGCCATATTTCTCAGCAGTAAACCTAGATGTGGAATCAATGTTACTACCGTTCATTAAACTGCCAACCACAGGAAACAGCCTGGCAAAGATTCAAACTGTAGGCCAAAACCGGCAAAAAGTGAATAGAGTCCTCATGGGCCCAATGAGCATCCAGAAAAGGCACTTCAAAGAGGTGGGAAGGCAGAGCATCAGGAGGGAACAGGGTGCCCAGGCATCTGTGGAGAACGCTGCCGAAGAAAAAAGGCTCGGGAGTCCAGCCCCAAGGGAGCTGGAACAGCCTCACACACAGCAGGGGCCTGAGAAGTTAGCGGGAAACGCCATCTACACCAAGCCTTCGTTCAGCCAAGAGCATAAGGCAGCAGTCTCTGTGCTGACACCCTTCTCCAAGGGCGCGCCTTCTACCTCCAGCCCTGCAAAAGCCCTACCACAGATGAGAGACAGATTGAAAGACAACACACACTATTTCCATTTTAGAAAGTGCAAAGGCTAGAGTTACAAATATGAAGGCTTCTAAACCAATTTCACATTCCAGAAAAAAATACCGCTTTCACAAAACTCGCTCCGCATGACCCACAGAACACCCAAGGTCAAAAAGAGTCCAAAGTTCAGAAAGAAAAGTTATCTGAGTAGACTGATGCTCGCAAACAGGCCTCCGTTCTCTGCAGCGAAGAGCCTCATAAATTCCCCTTCACAAGGGGCTTTTTCATCCTTAGGAGACCTGAGTCCTCAAGAAAACCCTTTTCTGGAAGTATCTGCTCCTTCAGAACATTTTATAGAAACCACTAATATAAAAGACACAACTGCAAGAAATGCCTTGGAAGAAAATGTTTTTATGGAAAACACTAACATGCCAGAAGTCACCATCTCTGAAAACACAAACTACAATCATCCTCCTGAGGCAGATTCCGCTGGGACTGCATTCAACTTAGGGCCAACTGTTAAACAAACTGAGACAAAATGGGAATACAACAACGTGGGCACTGACCTGTCCCCCGAGCCCAAAAGCTTCAATTACCCATTGCTCAGTTTGAAATTCAGCTAACCCAGCAGCTACAGTCCCTTATCCCCAACAACAATGTGAGAAGACTCATTTCTCATGTTATCCGGACCTTGAAGATGGACTGCTCTGGGGCCCATGTGCAAGTGACCTGTGCCAAGCTCATCTCCAGGACAGGCCACCTGATGAAGCTTCTCAGTGGGCAGCAGGAAGTAAAGGCATCTGAGATAGAATGGGATACGGACCAATGGAAGACTGAGAACTACATTAATGAGAGCACGGAAGCCCAGAGTGAACAGAAAGAGAAGTCGCTTGAGGTGAGGACCACACAGAAACATGAGACCCAGATTTCCCATCATTTAGCATATCCCAGGAAAGTGCCCACACAGAAGAATCTGGGACTCCCAGGCCATAGCTTATCTTGGCCATGTAACTTTGGTCATGACAGTGATCTCCCACTTTGCTCATGTAGAGAGTGAAATATAGATTAGGGCACAAGATGAACTGTAGGCCGGGGGTGGTAGCTCATGCCTGTAATCTCAGCACTTTGGGAGGCCAAGGTGGGTGGATTACTTGAAGTCAGGAGTTTGAGACCAGCTTGGCCAACATAGTGAAAGCCTGTCTCCACAAAAAATAAAAAAATTAGCTGGGTTGATGACACGTGCCTGTAGTCCCAGCTACTTGGGAGGCTGAGGTGGGAGGATCACCTGAGCCCAGGGAGGTCGAGTCTAGTGAACGGTGATTGCACCACTGTACCCCAGCCTGGGTAACAGAGTGAGACCCTCTTTCAAAAAAATAAAAAAGAACCTGTAAGCTACTCACCTGGAATACTGGGGTTTTGAATAGTTAGCTCTCATTCTGGTGTGTTTTTTTTTTTGTTTTTTTGTTTTTTTTAGCTCACAAAAGAAGTTCCAGGATACGGCTATACTGACAAACTCATCTTGGCATTAATTGTGACTGAAATACTAATGATTTTGATTATACTTTTCTGCCTCATTGTGGTAAGGACAATAATTAATTCAGGTTTTCAGAATGCAGTCCTGTTTTTGTGTGGATTCAGAGCTCACAAACTGAAAACCAAAGCCACTTTCCCACCTGCTGCTACTTGACATACTTCTTCAGTCATTTAAGGCTGAGGTGTATGCTTTGTTCTTTTATTGCAGTGTATATTTCAGGATTTTTAAAAGATCCTCGCTTCCAGATCTCTGTGAATTGAAACCAAGTTAATCCCACTAGACTATTTTAAGAAGTCGATATAATAGCAAAATTTCTCCACCCAAAACTATGTCAACAATTGGATGTACTCATCAAGTCACCCTTACTCTGCCACTAATTTATTTCCTTGGTGCTGAAATGATGAGAGAGGTATAATCTCCACCCTCACGGATTTGTCATCACCCTGGAGAGGAAGGAGAGAGCCAAAAGACAGAAGTATTGTCTTGTAGACTTATTAGATTTACACAGTATCGTCCTCCAGTGTGTAAGGCATTGTCTAAATAGGTCCAGTTAAAGCACTACAGAGTAGCCATCTTTTACAAAAATTGTTGGCCACATTTTTAAGTTCGCAGGCGAGGGGGAACGTCTCATACTCTAGCCCTCCTGAGCCTAGACCCTCTGTGAGATGTGTCACCATTTCTTGGACACCACGTGAGACATTCCCCCTCAGATTAGAGATGCTCAGCCTGCATCAACTTATCTAAAGCCTACATCTGGCTACTCTGGGGCAAGTCCTGTTTACAGTGCCCATTCCTGGAGCTTGCCTCTGTTTGTCTTTTGTTCGATTACATGATATATTACTTTTCCCAACAGGCCAGTGCTAGCATATTGGAAGAGTGATTTAATAAAGCTGGCAACCTTGACGCTATGCCACCAGTCCAACCTTATTTGCCTCATTTACCATTTCCATTATTGTGGCAGCCCTCCATTCCAGCCACAGCAGCCCCTCACCATACCCCAGTCACACCACCCACATTTCTGCTTTTGTCTGTGTGTTTGTCCATCTAAAATGCCCTTATTTCACTCTGCCTGTGGGAGTCCTATGCATCTCCCACCAGAAACTGCTATCATACCAGAGATTCACTGTGTATTTAACAACATAGGCATACAATCTGGCAAATTTGAAAAACTCTTAACATACACCCCAAATCCCTGCCCAAATTTAAGAACTAGGGTGGACACAGTGCTTTTTTCCATGTCGCATCTTCTGTGATGGGGCTACGATATGTGGGAGCAGAGAATGGGGAGGGTGGAGCGCATGCCAGATGAGGATCTATCAGCAATGGGAGGGGGCCTCCACTTTAGCATCTCCACCCTGCTCCTCTCAGAGGACCGCCTTTCATTGCATTCAGCTGTGATGGTAGCAAGAACACAGGCGCACCGAGGACGAGGAGAGCGGGAGCCTTGTGCTCTCTCTGCATCTGAGGCAGGACAGCACAGGGTATGGAGCAGTCTGCAGAGAGGCCAGCTCATCAGCTCATCAGGGAAGCACTTGTCTTCCACCTTGGGCTTTGACTGAGCACTGGGCAATTGGACCCTGGGGATCAATGAAATAATCCTAAGCAGAGTTACTCTATGTCACACTATGGAATGTTCCAAGTAGATGGCCGTGTTTTCAAAAGATATATTTTCTCCTTTTGTTGTTGCCATTTCATAGGTTTAGGATTGGGTGTGTGTGTCTCCTCTCTGAATGGCACTCAAATGTTTGCTGACTCCTACTCTGCGTGACTGGGGTGTACAGCTATGGACTGATGCATCCCATCCCATCATCTTTCACGAGCAAAGCAGTCTCTTTTTTGACAGCTGAAGAAGAATCTGTAGGGAATCCAGAAGGAGCATTCATGAAGGTGTTACAAGCCCGGAAGAATTACACAAGCACTGAGCTGACTGTTGAGCCGGAGGAGCCCTCAGACAGCAGTGGCATCAACTTGTCAGGCTTTGGGAGTGAGCAGCTAGACACCAATGACGAGAGTGATGTTATCAGTGCACTAAGTTACATTTGCCATATTTCTCAGCAGTAAACCTAGATGTGGAATCAATGTTACTACCGTTCATTAAACTGCCAACCACAGGAAACAGCCTGGCAAAGATTCAAACTGTAGGCCAAAACCGGCAAAAAGTGAATAGAGTCCTCATGGGCCCAATGAGCATCCAGAAAAGGCACTTCAAAGAGGTGGGAAGGCAGAGCATCAGGAGGGAACAGGGTGCCCAGGCATCTGTGGAGAACGCTGCCGAAGAAAAAAGGCTCGGGAGTCCAGCCCCAAGGGAGCTGGAACAGCCTCACACACAGCAGGGGCCTGAGAAGTTAGCGGGAAACGCCATCTACACCAAGCCTTCGTTCAGCCAAGAGCATAAGGCAGCAGTCTCTGTGCTGACACCCTTCTCCAAGGGCGCGCCTTCTACCTCCAGCCCTGCAAAAGCCCTACCACAGGTGAGAGACAGATTGAAAGACAACACACACTATTTCCATTTTAGAAAGTGCAAAGGCTAGAGTTACAAATATGAAGGCTTCTAAACCAATTTCACATTCCAGAAAAAAATACCGCTTTCACAAAACTCGCTCCGCATGACCCACAGAACACCCAAGGTCAAAAAGAGTCCAAAGTTCAGAAAGAAAAGTTATCTGAGTAGACTGATGCTCGCAAACAGGCCTCCGTTCTCTGCAGCGAAGAGCCTCATAAATTCCCCTTCACAAGGGGCTTTTTCATCCTTAGGAGACCTGAGTCCTCAAGAAAACCCTTTTCTGGAAGTATCTGCTCCTTCAGAACATTTTATAGAAACCACTAATATAAAAGACACAACTGCAAGAAATGCCTTGGAAGAAAATGTTTTTATGGAAAACACTAACATGCCAGAAGTCACCATCTCTGAAAACACAAACTACAATCATCCTCCTGAGGCAGATTCCGCTGGGACTGCATTCAACTTAGGGCCAACTGTTAAACAAACTGAGACAAAATGGGAATACAACAACGTGGGCACTGACCTGTCCCCCGAGCCCAAAAGCTTCAATTACCCATTGCTCAGTTTGAAATTCAGCTAACCCAGCAGCTACAGTCCCTTATCCCCAACAACAATGTGAGAAGGCTCATTTCTCATGTTATCCGGACCTTGAAGATGGACTGCTCTGGGGCCCATGTGCAAGTGACCTGTGCCAAGCTCATCTCCAGGACAGGCCACCTGATGAAGCTTCTCAGTGGGCAGCAGGAAGTAAAGGCATCTGAGATAGAATGGGATACGGACCAATGGAAGACTGAGAACTACATTAATGAGAGCACGGAAGCCCAGAGTGAACAGAAAGAGAAGTCGCTTGAGGTGAGGACCACACAGAAACATGAGACCCAGATTTCCCATCATTTAGCATATCCCAGGAAAGTGCCCACACAGAAGAATCTGGGACTCCCAGGCCATAGCTTATCTTGGCCATGTAACTTTGGTCATGACAGTGATCTCCCACTTTGCTCATGTAGAGAGTGAAATATAGATTAGGGCACAAGATGAACTGTAGGCCGGGGGTGGTAGCTCATGCCTGTAATCTCAGCACTTTGGGAGGCCAAGGTGGGTGGATTACTTGAAGTCAGGAGTTTGAGACCAGCTTGGCCAACATAGTGAAAGCCTGTCTCCACAAAAAATAAAAAAATTAGCTGGGTTGATGACACGTGCCTGTAGTCCCAGCTACTTGGGAGGCTGAGGTGGGAGGATCACCTGAGCCCAGGGAGGTCGAGTCTAGTGAACGGTGATTGCACCACTGTACCCCAGCCTGGGTAACAGAGTGAGACCCTCTTTCAAAAAAATAAAAAAGAACCTGTAAGCTACTCACCTGGAATACTGGGGTTTTGAATAGTTAGCTCTCATTCTGGTGTGTTTTTTTTTTTGTTTTTTTGTTTTTTTTAGCTCACAAAAGAAGTTCCAGGATACGGCTATACTGACAAACTCATCTTGGCATTAATTGTGACTGAAATACTAATGATTTTGATTATACTTTTCTGCCTCATTGTGGTAAGGACAATAATTAATTCAGGTTTTCAGAATGCAGTCCTGTTTTTGTGTGGATTCAGAGCTCACAAACTGAAAACCAAAGCCACTTTCCCACCTGCTGCTACTTGACATACTTCTTCAGTCATTTAAGGCTGAGGTGTATGCTTTGTTCTTTTATTGCAGTGTATATTTCAGGATTTTTAAAAGATCCTCGCTTCCAGATCTCTGTGAATTGAAACCAAGTTAATCCCACTAGACTATTTTAAGAAGTCGATATAATAGCAAAATTTCTCCACCCAAAACTATGTCAACAATTGGATGTACTCATCAAGTCACCCTTACTCTGCCACTAATTTATTTCCTTGGTGCTGAAATGATGAGAGAGGTATAATCTCCACCCTCACGGATTTGTCATCACCCTGGAGAGGAAGGAGAGAGCCAAAAGACAGAAGTATTGTCTTGTAGACTTATTAGATTTACACAGTATCGTCCTCCAGTGTGTAAGGCATTGTCTAAATAGGTCCAGTTAAAGCACTACAGAGTAGCCATCTTTTACAAAAATTGTTGGCCACATTTTTAAGTTCGCAGGCGAGGGGGAACGTCTCATACTCTAGCCCTCCTGAGCCTAGACCCTCTGTGAGATGTGTCACCATTTCTTGGACACCACGTGAGACATTCCCCCTCAGATTAGAGATGCTCAGCCTGCATCAACTTATCTAAAGCCTACATCTGGCTACTCTGGGGCAAGTCCTGTTTACAGTGCCCATTCCTGGAGCTTGCCTCTGTTTGTCTTTTGTTCGATTACATGATATATTACTTTTCCCAACAGGCCAGTGCTAGCATATTGGAAGAGTGATTTAATAAAGCTGGCAACCTTGACGCTATGCCACCAGTCCAACCTTATTTGCCTCATTTACCATTTCCATTATTGTGGCAGCCCTCCATTCCAGCCACAGCAGCCCCTCACCATACCCCAGTCACACCACCCACATTTCTGCTTTTGTCTGTGTGTTTGTCCATCTAAAATGCCCTTATTTCACTCTGCCTGTGGGAGTCCTATGCATCTCCCACCAGAAACTGCTATCATACCAGAGATTCACTGTGTATTTAACAACATAGGCATACAATCTGGCAAATTTGAAAAACTCTTAACATACACCCCAAATCCCTGCCCAAATTTAAGAACTAGGGTGGACACAGTGCTTTTTTCCATGTCGCATCTTCTGTGATGGGGCTACGATATGTGGGAGCAGAGAATGGGGAGGGTGGAGCGCATGCCAGATGAGGATCTATCAGCAATGGGAGGGGGCCTCCACTTTAGCATCTCCACCCTGCTCCTCTCAGAGGACCGCCTTTCATTGCATTCAGCTGTGATGGTAGCAAGAACACAGGCGCACCGAGGACGAGGAGAGCGGGAGCCTTGTGCTCTCTCTGCATCTGAGGCAGGACAGCACAGGGTATGGAGCAGTCTGCAGAGAGGCCAGCTCATCAGCTCATCAGGGAAGCACTTGTCTTCCACCTTGGGCTTTGACTGAGCACTGGGCAATTGGACCCTGGGGATCAATGAAATAATCCTAAGCAGAGTTACTCTATGTCACACTATGGAATGTTCCAAGTAGATGGCCGTGTTTTCAAAAGATATATTTTCTCCTTTTGTTGTTGCCATTTCATAGGTTTAGGATTGGGTGTGTGTGTCTCCTCTCTGAATGGCACTCAAATGTTTGCTGACTCCTACTCTGCGTGACTGGGGTGTACAGCTATGGACTGATGCATCCCATCCCATCATCTTTCACGAGCAAAGCAGTCTCTTTTTTGACAGCTGAAGAAGAATCTGTAGGGAATCCAGAAGGAGCATTCATGAAGATGTTACAAGCCCGGAAGAATTACACAAGCACTGAGCTGACTGTTGAGCCGGAGGAGCCCTCAGACAGCAGTGGCATCAACTTGTCAGGCTTTGGGAGTGAGCAGCTAGACACCAATGACGAGAGTGATGTTATCAGTGCACTAAGTTACATTTGCCATATTTCTCAGCAGTAAACCTAGATGTGGAATCAATGTTACTACCGTTCATTAAACTGCCAACCACAGGAAACAGCCTGGCAAAGATTCAAACTGTAGGCCAAAACCGGCAAAAAGTGAATAGAGTCCTCATGGGCCCAATGAGCATCCAGAAAAGGCACTTCAAAGAGGTGGGAAGGCAGAGCATCAGGAGGGAACAGGGTGCCCAGGCATCTGTGGAGAACGCTGCCGAAGAAAAAAGGCTCGGGAGTCCAGCCCCAAGGGAGCTGGAACAGCCTCACACACAGCAGGGGCCTGAGAAGTTAGCGGGAAACGCCATCTACACCAAGCCTTCGTTCAGCCAAGAGCATAAGGCAGCAGTCTCTGTGCTGACACCCTTCTCCAAGGGCGCGCCTTCTACCTCCAGCCCTGCAAAAGCCCTACCACAGGTGAGAGACAGATTGAAAGACAACACACACTATTTCCATTTTAGAAAGTGCAAAGGCTAGAGTTACAAATATGAAGGCTTCTAAACCAATTTCACATTCCAGAAAAAAATACCGCTTTCACAAAACTCGCTCCGCATGACCCACAGAACACCCAAGGTCAAAAAGAGTCCAAAGTTCAGAAAGAAAAGTTATCTGAGTAGACTGATGCTCGCAAACAGGCCTCCGTTCTCTGCAGCGAAGAGCCTCATAAATTCCCTTTCACAAGGGGCTTTTTCATCCTTAGGAGACCTGAGTCCTCAAGAAAACCCTTTTCTGGAAGTATCTGCTCCTTCAGAACATTTTATAGAAACCACTAATATAAAAGACACAACTGCAAGAAATGCCTTGGAAGAAAATGTTTTTATGGAAAACACTAACATGCCAGAAGTCACCATCTCTGAAAACACAAACTACAATCATCCTCCTGAGGCAGATTCCGCTGGGACTGCATTCAACTTAGGGCCAACTGTTAAACAAACTGAGACAAAATGGGAATACAACAACGTGGGCACTGACCTGTCCCCCGAGCCCAAAAGCTTCAATTACCCATTGCTCAGTTTGAAATTCAGCTAACCCAGCAGCTACAGTCCCTTATCCCCAACAACAATGTGAGAAGGCTCATTTCTCATGTTATCCGGACCTTGAAGATGGACTGCTCTGGGGCCCATGTGCAAGTGACCTGTGCCAAGCTCATCTCCAGGACAGGCCACCTGATGAAGCTTCTCAGTGGGCAGCAGGAAGTAAAGGCATCTGAGATAGAATGGGATACGGACCAATGGAAGACTGAGAACTACATTAATGAGAGCACGGAAGCCCAGAGTGAACAGAAAGAGAAGTCGCTTGAGGTGAGGACCACACAGAAACATGAGACCCAGATTTCCCATCATTTAGCATATCCCAGGAAAGTGCCCACACAGAAGAATCTGGGACTCCCAGGCCATAGCTTATCTTGGCCATGTAACTTTGGTCATGACAGTGATCTCCCACTTTGCTCATGTAGAGAGTGAAATATAGATTAGGGCACAAGATGAACTGTAGGCCGGGGGTGGTAGCTCATGCCTGTAATCTCAGCACTTTGGGAGGCCAAGGTGGGTGGATTACTTGAAGTCAGGAGTTTGAGACCAGCTTGGCCAACATAGTGAAAGCCTGTCTCCACAAAAAATAAAAAAATTAGCTGGGTTGATGACACGTGCCTGTAGTCCCAGCTACTTGGGAGGCTGAGGTGGGAGGATCACCTGAGCCCAGGGAGGTCGAGTCTAGTGAACGGTGATTGCACCACTGTACCCCAGCCTGGGTAACAGAGTGAGACCCTCTTTCAAAAAAATAAAAAAGAACCTGTAAGCTACTCACCTGGAATACTGGGGTTTTGAATAGTTAGCTCTCATTCTGGTGTGTTTTTTTTTTGTTTTTTTGTTTTTTTTAGCTCACAAAAGAAGTTCCAGGATACGGCTATACTGACAAACTCATCTTGGCATTAATTGTGACTGAAATACTAATGATTTTGATTATACTTTTCTGCCTCATTGTGGTAAGGACAATAATTAATTCAGGTTTTCAGAATGCAGTCCTGTTTTTGTGTGGATTCAGAGCTCACAAACTGAAAACCAAAGCCACTTTCCCACCTGCTGCTACTTGACATACTTCTTCAGTCATTTAAGGCTGAGGTGTATGCTTTGTTCTTTTATTGCAGTGTATATTTCAGGATTTTTAAAAGATCCTCGCTTCCAGATCTCTGTGAATTGAAACCAAGTTAATCCCACTAGACTATTTTAAGAAGTCGATATAATAGCAAAATTTCTCCACCCAAAACTATGTCAACAATTGGATGTACTCATCAAGTCACCCTTACTCTGCCACTAATTTATTTCCTTGGTGCTGAAATGATGAGAGAGGTATAATCTCCACCCTCACGGATTTGTCATCACCCTGGAGAGGAAGGAGAGAGCCAAAAGACAGAAGTATTGTCTTGTAGACTTATTAGATTTACACAGTATCGTCCTCCAGTGTGTAAGGCATTGTCTAAATAGGTCCAGTTAAAGCACTACAGAGTAGCCATCTTTTACAAAAATTGTTGGCCACATTTTTAAGTTCGCAGGCGAGGGGGAACGTCTCATACTCTAGCCCTCCTGAGCCTAGACCCTCTGTGAGATGTGTCACCATTTCTTGGACACCACGTGAGACATTCCCCCTCAGATTAGAGATGCTCAGCCTGCATCAACTTATCTAAAGCCTACATCTGGCTACTCTGGGGCAAGTCCTGTTTACAGTGCCCATTCCTGGAGCTTGCCTCTGTTTGTCTTTTGTTCGATTACATGATATATTACTTTTCCCAACAGGCCAGTGCTAGCATATTGGAAGAGTGATTTAATAAAGCTGGCAACCTTGACGCTATGCCACCAGTCCAACCTTATTTGCCTCATTTACCATTTCCATTATTGTGGCAGCCCTCCATTCCAGCCACAGCAGCCCCTCACCATACCCCAGTCACACCACCCACATTTCTGCTTTTGTCTGTGTGTTTGTCCATCTAAAATGCCCTTATTTCACTCTGCCTGTGGGAGTCCTATGCATCTCCCACCAGAAACTGCTATCATACCAGAGATTCACTGTGTATTTAACAACATAGGCATACAATCTGGCAAATTTGAAAAACTCTTAACATACACCCCAAATCCCTGCCCAAATTTAAGAACTAGGGTGGACACAGTGCTTTTTTCCATGTCGCATCTTCTGTGATGGGGCTACGATATGTGGGAGCAGAGAATGGGGAGGGTGGAGCGCATGCCAGATGAGGATCTATCAGCAATGGGAGGGGGCCTCCACTTTAGCATCTCCACCCTGCTCCTCTCAGAGGACCGCCTTTCATTGCATTCAGCTGTGATGGTAGCAAGAACACAGGCGCACCGAGGACGAGGAGAGCGGGAGCCTTGTGCTCTCTCTGCATCTGAGGCAGGACAGCACAGGGTATGGAGCAGTCTGCAGAGAGGCCAGCTCATCAGCTCATCAGGGAAGCACTTGTCTTCCACCTTGGGCTTTGACTGAGCACTGGGCAATTGGACCCTGGGGATCAATGAAATAATCCTAAGCAGAGTTACTCTATGTCACACTATGGAATGTTCCAAGTAGATGGCCGTGTTTTCAAAAGATATATTTTCTCCTTTTGTTGTTGCCATTTCATAGGTTTAGGATTGGGTGTGTGTGTCTCCTCTCTGAATGGCACTCAAATGTTTGCTGACTCCTACTCTGCGTGACTGGGGTGTACAGCTATGGACTGATGCATCCCATCCCATCATCTTTCACGAGCAAAGCAGTCTCTTTTTTGACAGCTGAAGAAGAATCTGTAGGGAATCCAGAAGGAGCATTCATGAAGATGTTACAAGCCCGGAAGAATTACACAAGCACTGAGCTGACTGTTGAGCCGGAGGAGCCCTCAGACAGCAGTGGCATCAACTTGTCAGGCTTTGGGAGTGAGCAGCTAGACACCAATGACGAGAGTGATGTTATCAGTGCACTAAGTTACATTTGCCATATTTCTCAGCAGTAAACCTAGATGTGGAATCAATGTTACTACCGTTCATTAAACTGCCAACCACAGGAAACAGCCTGGCAAAGATTCAAACTGTAGGCCAAAACCGGCAAAAAGTGAATAGAGTCCTCATGGGCCCAATGAGCATCCAGAAAAGGCACTTCAAAGAGGTGGGAAGGCAGAGCATCAGGAGGGAACAGGGTGCCCAGGCATCTGTGGAGAACGCTGCCGAAGAAAAAAGGCTCGGGAGTCCAGCCCCAAGGGAGCTGGAACAGCCTCACACACAGCAGGGGCCTGAGAAGTTAGCGGGAAACGCCATCTACACCAAGCCTTCGTTCAGCCAAGAGCATAAGGCAGCAGTCTCTGTGCTGACACCCTTCTCCAAGGGCGCGCCTTCTACCTCCAGCCCTGCAAAAGCCCTACCACAGGTGAGAGACAGATTGAAAGACAACACACACTATTTCCATTTTAGAAAGTGCAAAGGCTAGAGTTACAAATATGAAGGCTTCTAAACCAATTTCACATTCCAGAAAAAAATACCGCTTTCACAAAACTCGCTCCGCATGACCCACAGAACACCCAAGGTCAAAAAGAGTCCAAAGTTCAGAAAGAAAAGTTATCTGAGTAGACTGATGCTCGCAAACAGGCCTCCGTTCTCTGCAGCGAAGAGCCTCATAAATTCCCCTTCACAAGGGGCTTTTTCATCCTTAGGAGACCTGAGTCCTCAAGAAAACCCTTTTCTGGAAGTATCTGCTCCTTCAGAACATTTTATAGAAACCACTAATATAAAAGACACAACTGCAAGAAATGCCTTGGAAGAAAATGTTTTTATGGAAAACACTAACATGCCAGAAGTCACCATCTCTGAAAACACAAACTACAATCATCCTCCTGAGGCAGATTCCGCTGGGACTGCATTCAACTTAGGGCCAACTGTTAAACAAACTGAGACAAAATGGGAATACAACAACGTGGGCACTGACCTGTCCCCCGAGCCCAAAAGCTTCAATTACCCATTGCTCAGTTTGAAATTCAGCTAACCCAGCAGCTACAGTCCCTTATCCCCAACAACAATGTGAGAAGGCTCATTTCTCATGTTATCCGGACCTTGAAGATGGACTGCTCTGGGGCCCATGTGCAAGTGACCTGTGCCAAGCTCATCTCCAGGACAGGCCACCTGATGAAGCTTCTCAGTGGGCAGCAGGAAGTAAAGGCATCTGAGATAGAATGGGATACGGACCAATGGAAGACTGAGAACTACATTAATGAGAGCACGGAAGCCCAGAGTGAACAGAAAGAGAAGTCGCTTGAGGTGAGGACCACACAGAAACATGAGACCCAGATTTCCCATCATTTAGCATATCCCAGGAAAGTGCCCACACAGAAGAATCTGGGACTCCCAGGCCATAGCTTATCTTGGCCATGTAACTTTGGTCATGACAGTGATCTCCCACTTTGCTCATGTAGAGAGTGAAATATAGATTAGGGCACAAGATGAACTGTAGGCCGGGGGTGGTAGCTCATGCCTGTAATCTCAGCACTTTGGGAGGCCAAGGTGGGTGGATTACTTGAAGTCAGGAGTTTGAGACCAGCTTGGCCAACATAGTGAAAGCCTGTCTCCACAAAAAATAAAAAAATTAGCTGGGTTGATGACACGTGCCTGTAGTCCCAGCTACTTGGGAGGCTGAGGTGGGAGGATCACCTGAGCCCAGGGAGGTCGAGTCTAGTGAACGGTGATTGCACCACTGTACCCCAGCCTGGGTAACAGAGTGAGACCCTCTTTCAAAAAAATAAAAAAGAACCTGTAAGCTACTCACCTGGAATACTGGGGTTTTGAATAGTTAGCTCTCATTCTGGTGTGTTTTTTTTTTTGTTTTTTTGTTTTTTTTAGCTCACAAAAGAAGTTCCAGGATACGGCTATACTGACAAACTCATCTTGGCATTAATTGTGACTGAAATACTAATGATTTTGATTATACTTTTCTGCCTCATTGTGGTAAGGACAATAATTAATTCAGGTTTTCAGAATGCAGTCCTGTTTTTGTGTGGATTCAGAGCTCACAAACTGAAAACCAAAGCCACTTTCCCACCTGCTGCTACTTGACATACTTCTTCAGTCATTTAAGGCTGAGGTGTATGCTTTGTTCTTTTATTGCAGTGTATATTTCAGGATTTTTAAAAGATCCTCGCTTCCAGATCTCTGTGAATTGAAACCAAGTTAATCCCACTAGACTATTTTAAGAAGTCGATATAATAGCAAAATTTCTCCACCCAAAACTATGTCAACAATTGGATGTACTCATCAAGTCACCCTTACTCTGCCACTAATTTATTTCCTTGGTGCTGAAATGATGAGAGAGGTATAATCTCCACCCTCACGGATTTGTCATCACCCTGGAGAGGAAGGAGAGAGCCAAAAGACAGAAGTATTGTCTTGTAGACTTATTAGATTTACACAGTATCGTCCTCCAGTGTGTAAGGCATTGTCTAAATAGGTCCAGTTAAAGCACTACAGAGTAGCCATCTTTTACAAAAATTGTTGGCCACATTTTTAAGTTCGCAGGCGAGGGGGAACGTCTCATACTCTAGCCCTCCTGAGCCTAGACCCTCTGTGAGATGTGTCACCATTTCTTGGACACCACGTGAGACATTCCCCCTCAGATTAGAGATGCTCAGCCTGCATCAACTTATCTAAAGCCTACATCTGGCTACTCTGGGGCAAGTCCTGTTTACAGTGCCCATTCCTGGAGCTTGCCTCTGTTTGTCTTTTGTTCGATTACATGATATATTACTTTTCCCAACAGGCCAGTGCTAGCATATTGGAAGAGTGATTTAATAAAGCTGGCAACCTTGACGCTATGCCACCAGTCCAACCTTATTTGCCTCATTTACCATTTCCATTATTGTGGCAGCCCTCCATTCCAGCCACAGCAGCCCCTCACCATACCCCAGTCACACCACCCACATTTCTGCTTTTGTCTGTGTGTTTGTCCATCTAAAATGCCCTTATTTCACTCTGCCTGTGGGAGTCCTATGCATCTCCCACCAGAAACTGCTATCATACCAGAGATTCACTGTGTATTTAACAACATAGGCATACAATCTGGCAAATTTGAAAAACTCTTAACATACACCCCAAATCCCTGCCCAAATTTAAGAACTAGGGTGGACACAGTGCTTTTTTCCATGTCGCATCTTCTGTGATGGGGCTACGATATGTGGGAGCAGAGAATGGGGAGGGTGGAGCGCATGCCAGATGAGGATCTATCAGCAATGGGAGGGGGCCTCCACTTTAGCATCTCCACCCTGCTCCTCTCAGAGGACCGCCTTTCATTGCATTCAGCTGTGATGGTAGCAAGAACACAGGCGCACCGAGGACGAGGAGAGCGGGAGCCTTGTGCTCTCTCTGCATCTGAGGCAGGACAGCACAGGGTATGGAGCAGTCTGCAGAGAGGCCAGCTCATCAGCTCATCAGGGAAGCACTTGTCTTCCACCTTGGGCTTTGACTGAGCACTGGGCAATTGGACCCTGGGGATCAATGAAATAATCCTAAGCAGAGTTACTCTATGTCACACTATGGAATGTTCCAAGTAGATGGCCGTGTTTTCAAAAGATATATTTTCTCCTTTTGTTGTTGCCATTTCATAGGTTTAGGATTGGGTGTGTGTGTCTCCTCTCTGAATGGCACTCAAATGTTTGCTGACTCCTACTCTGCGTGACTGGGGTGTACAGCTATGGACTGATGCATCCCATCCCATCATCTTTCACGAGCAAAGCAGTCTCTTTTTTGACAGCTGAAGAAGAATCTGTAGGGAATCCAGAAGGAGCATTCATGAAGATGTTACAAGCCCGGAAGAATTACACAAGCACTGAGCTGACTGTTGAGCCGGAGGAGCCCTCAGACAGCAGTGGCATCAACTTGTCAGGCTTTGGGAGTGAGCAGCTAGACACCAATGACGAGAGTGATGTTATCAGTGCACTAAGTTACATTTGCCATATTTCTCAGCAGTAAACCTAGATGTGGAATCAATGTTACTACCGTTCATTAAACTGCCAACCACAGGAAACAGCCTGGCAAAGATTCAAACTGTAGGCCAAAACTGGCAAAAAGTGAATAGAGTCCTCATGGGCCCAATGAGCATCCAGAAAAGGCACTTCAAAGAGGTGGGAAGGCAGAGCATCAGGAGGGAACAGGGTGCCCAGGCATCTGTGGAGAACGCTGCCGAAGAAAAAAGGCTCGGGAGTCCAGCCCCAAGGGAGCTGGAACAGCCTCACACACAGCAGGGGCCTGAGAAGTTAGCGGGAAACGCCATCTACACCAAGCCTTCGTTCAGCCAAGAGCATAAGGCAGCAGTCTCTGTGCTGACACCCTTCTCCAAGGGCGCGCCTTCTACCTCCAGCCCTGCAAAAGCCCTACCACAGGTGAGAGACAGATTGAAAGACAACACACACTATTTCCATTTTAGAAAGTGCAAAGGCTAGAGTTACAAATATGAAGGCTTCTAAACCAATTTCACATTCCAGAAAAAAATACCGCTTTCACAAAACTCGCTCCGCATGACCCACAGAACACCCAAGGTCAAAAAGAGTCCAAAGTTCAGAAAGAAAAGTTATCTGAGTAGACTGATGCTCGCAAACAGGCCTCCGTTCTCTGCAGCGAAGAGCCTCATAAATTCCCTTTCACAAGGGGCTTTTTCATCCTTAGGAGACCTGAGTCCTCAAGAAAACCCTTTTCTGGAAGTATCTGCTCCTTCAGAACATTTTATAGAAACCACTAATATAAAAGACACAACTGCAAGAAATGCCTTGGAAGAAAATGTTTTTATGGAAAACACTAACATGCCAGAAGTCACCATCTCTGAAAACACAAACTACAATCATCCTCCTGAGGCAGATTCCGCTGGGACTGCATTCAACTTAGGGCCAACTGTTAAACAAACTGAGACAAAATGGGAATACAACAACGTGGGCACTGACCTGTCCCCCGAGCCCAAAAGCTTCAATTACCCATTGCTCAGTTTGAAATTCAGCTAACCCAGCAGCTACAGTCCCTTATCCCCAACAACAATGTGAGAAGGCTCATTTCTCATGTTATCCGGACCTTGAAGATGGACTGCTCTGGGGCCCATGTGCAAGTGACCTGTGCCAAGCTCATCTCCAGGACAGGCCACCTGATGAAGCTTCTCAGTGGGCAGCAGGAAGTAAAGGCATCTGAGATAGAATGGGATACGGACCAATGGAAGACTGAGAACTACATTAATGAGAGCACGGAAGCCCAGAGTGAACAGAAAGAGAAGTCGCTTGAGGTGAGGACCACACAGAAACATGAGACCCAGATTTCCCATCATTTAGCATATCCCAGGAAAGTGCCCACACAGAAGAATCTGGGACTCCCAGGCCATAGCTTATCTTGGCCATGTAACTTTGGTCATGACAGTGATCTCCCACTTTGCTCATGTAGAGAGTGAAATATAGATTAGGGCACAAGATGAACTGTAGGCCGGGGGTGGTAGCTCATGCCTGTAATCTCAGCACTTTGGGAGGCCAAGGTGGGTGGATTACTTGAAGTCAGGAGTTTGAGACCAGCTTGGCCAACATAGTGAAAGCCTGTCTCCACAAAAAATAAAAAAATTAGCTGGGTTGATGACACGTGCCTGTAGTCCCAGCTACTTGGGAGGCTGAGGTGGGAGGATCACCTGAGCCCAGGGAGGTCGAGTCTAGTGAACGGTGATTGCACCACTGTACCCCAGCCTGGGTAACAGAGTGAGACCCTCTTTCAAAAAAATAAAATAGAACCTGTAAGCTACTCACCTGGAATACTGGGGTTTTGAATAGTTAGCTCTCATTCTGGTGTGTTTTTTTTTTGTTTTTTTGTTTTTTTTAGCTCACAAAAGAAGTTCCAGGATACGGCTATACTGACAAACTCATCTTGGCATTAATTGTGACTGAAATACTAATGATTTTGATTATACTTTTCTGCCTCATTGTGGTAAGGACAATAATTAATTCAGGTTTTCAGAATGCAGTCCTGTTTTTGTGTGGATTCAGAGCTCACAAACTGAAAACCAAAGCCACTTTCCCACCTGCTGCTACTTGACATACTTCTTCAGTCATTTAAGGCTGAGGTGTATGCTTTGTTCTTTTATTGCAGTGTATATTTCAGGATTTTTAAAAGATCCTCGCTTCCAGATCTCTGTGAATTGAAACCAAGTTAATCCCACTAGACTATTTTAAGAAGTCGATATAATAGCAAAATTTCTCCACCCAAAACTATGTCAACAATTGGATGTACTCATCAAGTCACCCTTACTCTGCCACTAATTTATTTCCTTGGTGCTGAAATGATGAGAGAGGTATAATCTCCACCCTCACGGATTTGTCATCACCCTGGAGAGGAAGGAGAGAGCCAAAAGACAGAAGTATTGTCTTGTAGACTTATTAGATTTACACAGTATCGTCCTCCAGTGTGTAAGGCATTGTCTAAATAGGTCCAGTTAAAGCACTACAGAGTAGCCATCTTTTACAAAAATTGTTGGCCACATTTTTAAGTTCGCAGGCGAGGGGGAACGTCTCATACTCTAGCCCTCTTGAGCCTAGACCCTCTGTGAGATGTGTCACCATTTCTTGGACACCACGTGAGACATTCCCCCTCAGATTAGAGATGCTCAGCCTGCATCAACTTATCTAAAGCCTACATCTGGCTACTCTGGGGCAAGTCCTGTTTACAGTGCCCATTCCTGGAGCTTGCCTCTGTTTGTCTTTTGTTCGATTACATGATATATTACTTTTCCCAACAGGCCAGTGCTAGCATATTGGAAGAGTGATTTAATAAAGCTGGCAACCTTGACGCTATGCCACCAGTCCAACCTTATTTGCCTCATTTACCATTTCCATTATTGTGGCAGCCCTCCATTCCAGCCACAGCAGCCCCTCACCATACCCCAGTCACACCACCCACATTTCTGCTTTTGTCTGTGTGTTTGTCCATCTAAAATGCCCTTATTTCACTCTGCCTGTGGGAGTCCTATGCATCTCTCAAAAGCCAACTCAAGTTCATCTTTCTTCTTGACACCTTCCCTGAATATTCCAGCCCTGCTGAGCCTAGTCCCTTTGTGAGATTTGTCACCATTTCTTGGACACCATATGAGAGACTTCAGAGGCTGAAGTGGGAGGATCGCTTGAGCCTGGGAGGTCGAGAATGCAGTAAGCTGTGGTCGTACCACTGCACTCTAGCCTGGGCAACACAGCGAGGCCCTGTCTTAAAAACAACCACCACCAAAAACTATCTTGGGATTTGAATAGGATTATGTTAAATTTGTAGATTAATTTGAGAATTTACATCTGTAGAACATTCTAGGAACGTGCTATCTCATGTCATGTATTCATTTCTTGTTAATGTCTTTCAGAAGAGCTTTAGTGTTTCCATATATAGATCTTACACATCTTTTATTAGATAAAAGATCTTTGTATTTTTGTTCCTAAATTCTTCATACATTTGTATTGCCATTGTAAATGGGATCTTTCTTCCATTTTCTAATTAGTTATTGGTGGTACATGGGAAAAGTATTTGAGGTTTGTGTGCTGATTTCTTGATTTTGTAGATAGCCACTGTATTGAATTCTCATTACTTCCAGTAAAATCTTAGTTGATTCTCTTAGGCTTCTTTGGCTAACATTTTTCATTTAATATGCAAATAATGATAGTTTTGTCTCTTCCTTTCCAATACTTCTACTCTTTCCTTCCTTTCCCTTTTCCTTTTTCCTTTCCTTTCCTTTCCTTTTTTTTCCCTTCTCAGGGCCTTGTTGTCACCCAGGCTGGAGAGCAATGGTGTGACCTAGCTCACTGTAACATCAAACTCCTGGGCTTAAGGGATCCTCCTGCCTCAGCTTCCTGAGTGGCTGGGACTACAGGCAGGCAGCTAATTTAAAAAATGTGTTTGTAGAGACAAGGTCTTGCTATGTTGCCCAGGCTAGTTTTCCTGCCACTTCAGAGGAAGGACTCAGGTTTCCTTTTTCTCCTACTTTTAAGAGTTTTTATTAGGAATTATCTGTTGAATGTTATCTAAAACAGTCAATAAAATGTATTAAGTGCCAGCTGCATGCAAGACCCTAAGTTAGATACAGTCAGCCCTCTTCATCAGCAGGTCCACATCTTCAGATTCAACTAGATCAGGCTGAATATTTGAAGAAAAAAAAACAATAAAAATACAAACAGAAAGTACAATATAACAACTGTCACCACTGTACAATATGTATACATTTTATTAGTGATGACTTAAATTACATGGGGCCAGGCATGGTGGCTCACACTTGTAATCCCAACACATTGGGAGGCCAACCTGGGCAGCATAGTGAGACCTTGTCTTTATTAAAAATTAAAAAAAAAAATAGCCAGGTGTGGTAGTATGCACCTGTAGTCTCAGCTACTCAAGAGGCTGAGGTGGGCGGATCACTGGAGCCCAGGAGGTTGAGGCTACAGTGAGCTGTGATCATGACACCGCACTCCATCCTGAGTAACAGAGGATGACACTGCACTCCAGCGTAAGCAACAGAGGGCAATCCTGTCGCTAAGTAAATAAAGTATAGGGGGGATGCGTGTTGGTTATAAGCAAATACTACACCATTATGTGTAAGGGATTGAGCATCCACAGATTCTGGTATGGTGTGGGGGCGGTATCCTAGAACCAATCCCCCGCAAGATAGCAAGGATGACTGAACTATGGAAGAATCAAAGCAGTGTTACACAGTATGCAATTCCTGTCTTCAAAAAAGTTACCTCATCAGGTAGATGAGACTTATAATGAATAAAATGAATCAATACAGATTTGGAGATGGTGGTTGTTGTCATAGATAATCTTAATTGCGTTTTCTTCTAAAACAGATGTGTTGTCACCGAAGGTCATTACAAGAAGATGAAGAAGGATTCTCAAGGTAAATATTAGTCTGGTGATTTTTTTTTTTCTTTTCTTTTCAGACGGAGTTTCCCTCTTGTTGCCAGGCTGGAGTGCAATGACGCGATCTCGGCTCACGGCAACCTCCACTTACCAGGTTCAAGCGATTCTCCTGCCTCAGCCTCCCGAGTAGCTGGGATTACAGGCATGCACCACCACTAGTCTCGCGACGTTTTAATTAGAATTTTAGAATTAGAGGAGGGCTTAGAACTCTGCCCTCATTTTTCAGTGAGGAAACTGCCCAAGACAGGACAAATACTTACTTACCCTAATGCTTAGCCTGGCTCCAGTGAAATTAGCTCCCCAGCCAAAGCTGAGCTGGATGGAACTAACAAGGACACACCTGCTGTCCCCAGCCCTTTCGGGAGGTGGGGAGGGATAGGAAGGAGAAAGGTTTTGGTGCCTATTGCTGCTGATGGTGGGCATCAGGCCAGGCCAGGGGCCTTCTTGGAGGCTCTGGGAAAGGGGAAGGGAAGGCCACCGGGTGTGAGAGAGAGGGCACTTGTCTCCTTCAAGGCTGATGGAAGGTAGGATATGTGAGTCCTTCCTCTTAAGTGGCAGGAAACAGTATTTTCTCTTTTATTTATTTATTTTTTCCCCTGGATCCTAGAACTGAGGAAACACTATTTTCTCATCTTACTGGTTTTTGTGTCCCTACTCTATTCCTTTTAGGCAAACCTCACAGAATTTTAACCAGAAAGGCCAGGCAGGATGGCTCACGCCTGTAATCACAGCACTTTGGGATCACTTGAGGTTAGGAGCTCGTGACCAGCCTGACCAACATGGTGAAACCCCATCTCTACTAAAAATACTAAATTAGCTGGGTGTGGTGGCGCAGGCCTGTAATCCCAGCTACTTGGGAGGCTGAGGCAGGAGAACTGCTTGAACCCAGGAGGCACAGGTTGCAGGGAGCCAAGATAGCACCATTGCACTCCAGCCTGGGGAATGAGCCAAACTGTCTCAAATAAAAAAAACAACAAAAAAGAATTTTAACTACGGAGACCTTAGATAGTAGTTTGTCCTTTTATGACAGGAAAACTGAGAAGGAGAAAGGGAGAGTGTCTTACCCCATGGTCACACAATGCACTCTGCCTTTTCCTATTTTATTCAAATTCAAAAATAACATGTTGTGCTTTAAGCTGATTTCGTAGCTCACTCACTCATCAGCGACAGCCAGCCGTATGAAGACTGAGATAGAGAACTTGGCTAGCTGCACTCAGACATTTGCTTGAGGTGATCCAACTTATAGAATAAAGTATCTAGAAAAGGAAGAACCACTTCATCTCCCACCCCCCCATCAAATGATGCCTGTGAGACTAAGTCCAAAGGGGACTGATATAAAATGCTTCCGCCCAGCATGGTTGTGCAGTTTGTTCACTGCACAAGGGCACTTGGCCAAGGGAGTGAGTGGGACTGAACATCCTGCCCCTGCTCCATGCTGAGCCACATACAAAGTCCCCCCATTATATTGTGGGGCCCTTCTGGACAGACATGGGAGAGCTTCTGAAAGTCCCACATGCATGGAATTATTTTCAAGACCCCAGGTATGTGGTCTGTGGTGGTTCTTCTCCCTGTGATTATGGACTGAGATACTCATTTAGTCCTAGTAAGACCAGAGAAGTACATTGTGAGATACGTGGGAAATGGCTGCATCACTCACTGTCTTGTGCATGTGTCTCCCCAGGGGCATTTTCAGGTTTCTGCCACGGAGGAGATGCTCTTCACGAAGGGAGAGTCAGGTACATTGGAGGATTCATTGCTGTGGCCAGGGAAGGCAGAGGACATGCAAAATTAGTATTTCCCTTTCTATCTTCTAGGATGGACTTTTTTCATTCAGACGGCCGCTCTGGCTTAAAGATATGTACAAACCTCTCAGTGCCACAAGAGTAAATAATCACGCATGGAAGCTGCACAAGAAGTCATCTAATGAGGACGAGATCCTCAACAGGGACCCTGGGTAAATGACGGAGCCCTCACAGGTCCCATCTAAAATGAGGAGGGGGTGAGAAGCTTAATTGCTCCTTTCAAGAATCAAAACCTTGGCATTGTTATTCTTATCCCAGGGACAGCGAAGCCCCAACAGAGAAGGGGGAGGAGAGTGAAGCCCTGCCATAGGAGGAGAACCCAGCCCACCTCAGGCCTCCTGCAAAAACACATAGCATAAACAATACCATCAGAAAGAAAAGCAGGACTGAAGCCAGCGGCCCACACATCCACAGAGGCAGCGGGCAGAGCAAGCACAGGGCCATCGTTCCTGCCCTTGTTTCCCAGTCTAATTAGTCACCCAGACCTGAAAACATATCCTCAGGGGGTGGAGATTTTACAATTACCATTGTTTTTGGTGCCCTCTCCCTTGCTTCATCAAGCATCAGTCATATAATACCACAGATTTGAACTCCTGCCCACAGGGGACCTCCCATCTCCTGGCCCCTATCATAGGATCACTGGGCCTACCTGCACTGTGGGGCCAAGCCCTGTCTTTTTCCCAAGCCCTCAAGCACACGCATGAGTGTTCATCCCGACTTGGTAGGGGGCTTTTCACCCTTACAAGATGGCAAAAGATTCACATTGCTTTTTTAAAAATTTGTTTTTCTTTTTAAAAATCCCAACCCTTGGATAGCAGGGAGGTGCTGGAGGGGTAGAGTCAAGAAGAGTGTGAGAACAGTAATTTCCCAAGACTGCCCTCTGTGGGACTGTATTTCAGAAAACACACTGGTGGGGCTACCTCTCAATTCACATGTACTGCCCTAGCCTCTCCCCATCCCCGGCTGACGCTCATCCATAACTGCACTGTTCCATAACAGCAGTAGAATGTTGCAGAAAGTGCTAGGATTCCTCCACTCCATCTTCAAAGAAAAAGTCGCTAATAAATCACATTTGGTAGGTTAGTGAATGTTAAACACATTAGTGAGCAAAAGAAAATAGGAATGAACAAGAATTGGTCATCTACCTAACTGAACACAAATGAACTCTGGCAGTTCAGTAATAGGAGGTAAAGAACCACGCTAATTGCAGAACAGCAGCCCCCCTACCTTCCCAGGAGCAGTGTGACTGGGAAGCAGCCCCGTGTGTATGCTGGTGCAGGTTCTAAGCAAAGTGAGCTGCCCATCAGTTCCGATGAGTTTGCTGATGCTAGACATATGACATCTGTTCTCTTGCTGCCTGCCCCAGTTATCTCCCAAAGTTCTTTACTGAGAATGAAAAGCATCTTTCTCTGTGTGGTGACTTCAGTAGGCCAACAAATATTTGAGTTTAAAGCACAAGACTAGTCATAGGCAGAGCAGCGCTACCATTTACAATTTGCTTACTTGATGCTAAACCGTGGGTTTGGCATTTTACAGTCATATCATCTAGCCCAGCAAGTCATGGAAGCATAGTTGTTAAAATCATCTGACACTTTGGGAGGCTGAGGCGGGCGGATCACGAGGTCAGGAGATTGAGACCATCCTGGCTAACATGGTGAAACCCTGTCTCCACTAAAAATACAAAAAAATTAGCCGGGCGTGGTGGCAGGAGCCTGTAGTCCCAGCTACTCAGGAAGCTGAGGCAGGAGAATGGTGTGAACCTGGAAGGTGGAGCTTACAGTGAGCTGAGATCACGCCACTGCACTCCAGCCTGGGCAAGTGAGACTCCATCTCAAAAAAAAAAAAAAAAAAAAATCATCATCTGACAGATAAGGATACAGGGCTCGAAGAACGAAGGTGACCTGCCCAAAGTGTCCAAAGCCACACATACAAAGCAACAAATTAGGGTTTTAAGCTAGCACTGTTAGACTTCAAAGCCTCTTAACCATTCTACTGCCCTGCTGTAGGGCATGGGGAGATGGGGGGATAAGCCATGGTTGCCATCAAAGAGTTAATATAACAATAACATGCAGATGGATGGCAGCTCCTGTTTATTGGCACCAGCTGTGGTCCAGGTACAGCGCTAAGCACTATAATTACACTGTTAAGTCATCAGAACAGAAGCTCCCCACACCAGCTCTAATAGGGGTGAGTGTTGGACATAAGCAGGGAGCTGAGAAGAAGCCAAGACAAGGCCGGTTGCAGTGACTCATGCTTGTAATCCCAGCACTTTGGGAGGCTGAGGTAGGTGGACCACCTGAGGCAGGAGTTCAAGACCACCCCGGCCAATATGGCAAAACCCTGTCTCTACTAAAAATTACAAAAATTAGCTGGGGGTGGTGATGCACGCCTGTAATCCCAGTTACTCAGGAAGCTGAGGGAGGGAGAATTGCTTGAACCTGGGAGGCGGAGCTTGCAGTGAGCTTATAATGGGCCACTGCACACTAGCCTGGGCAACAGAGCGAGATTCCATCTCAAAAAAAAAAAAAAGCCAACACTAGAGATCCTTCCACTGCTGGGCTCTCAAAGTCTGGATTCCAAGCACCTCCAGGTTTCTATTTTGGCATATTTACATAATTTCGCATTTCGATGCTTATAATTTTTTTATATAACAAGAAAATTTTATGCATCTCAAATGTGTACATTTTTTTTTTCAGACAGGGTCTTGATCTGTCACCCAGGCTGGAGTGCAGTGGTGCCTTCATAGCTCACTGCTGCCTCAAGCTCTTGGGCTCCAAAGATCCTCCTACCTCAGCCTCCAGAGCTGGGGGTCTACAGGCGCGTACCACCATGCCCAGCTACTATTCTTATTATTCCCAAATGCCACCCCACCATATTTCTAAAAACTCCCAAAGAAAGATTCTACTTTGCCCAGTTTGTCCTCAATTGAGCAGTTTTGTCTAAGCCCAGAGTTTCTGCTGGGCCAGAGTATGGATGAGCTGTCTCTCCCTGGCTGGTGCCCATGCCTGCCTGTAGCCTGGGAGGGGGAGTGGCGCCCAGGGTCAGGTGGAACAAAACATGACTGCCTAGGGCTGCCTCTGTCTCCATCTCACTGATCGCAAATCACAGCTCAGACAGCCAGCTCTTAAGTGAGACCTGAGTGCCAGAGAGGGGTGGATACAAGGCCAACAGTTACTAAATGAATGAAAATTGTGATTCCGATGAAGCCTGCCAGAGAAATAAAGCATTTTTTAAAAGATGGAAATAAGGCGATATCTGATTAGGGCAAACATGATGCAGACAAGAAATGCACCGGTTCAGAGGAGGGAAGGTCAGGCCGCCTGGGGGGAGTCCACGAAAAAGATGGAACGTGCCAGATGCTGTGCCTGGTGCTGGGAAAGAGTTGACTAGGCCAGCATCCCTTTCCTCAAAGGGGGGGCTCCTAGACTGGGGGGAGGGCTGGACATCTGAATACATCCTGAGGAGACAGTGTGGGACAGCATGGTGGCAGTGGAGCCAGCCGTGGTTCTGCTCTTGGTCGACTGGAAAGGAGTAGATGTAAGGGATGGTTTAGAAGAAGGGAAGTGGAAGAAAAGTTTTCTGAGCTGACAAGAGGAAGGAAAGGCCTTCTAGAAGGACACTAAAAAGGCAGAGAAGCCCTAAGCAGAGTGAGCACCAGACTCCACAGGTTAAGGGCTCAGTCACACAGGACCATCCCCATGTCAGACCCCAGGTGCAAGGCCAAGCATCTCCTATGCATCTGACCAACTGGCTGTAAATTGGAGGTCCCCACAACTCCCTCCTCAGGTTTGAACATTTGCTAGAACAGCTCATGGAACCCAGGAAAACAGTTTTCTTACTAGTGCTGATTTATTACAAAGGATATTTTAAAGGACACAAATGATGAAGCCAGATGAAGAGATACACAGGGTGAGGTCTGGAAGGGTCCTTGTGGAGTTGGGGTGCACCACTCTCCTGGAACATGGATGTGTTCGCCAACCCGGAAGCTCTCCAAGTCCTGTCTTTTAAGGAGTTTTCTGGAGGCTTTATCACATAGGCATGATTGAGCTCCAGCTCCATTCCCCACGCCAGAGGATGGGGAATGGGGCTGACAGCACAACGCTTCCAACCATAGGTCTTTTTGGTGACCAGTCCCCAAATAAGGAGCCCACCAAGAGTCACCTCATGAGAACAAAGGACGCTTCTATCACCCAGAAAATTCCAAGGGATTTAGGAGCTCTGTATCAGGAACCAGGTTTAAGGACCAAATGTTAGAACAAAAGATGTGCAACCATAAAAAACAGCGAGATCATGTCTTTTGCAGGAACACAGATGGAGCTAGAGGCCATTATCCTCAGCAAACTAAGACAGGAACAGAAAACCAAATACTGCATGTTCTTGTAAGTGGGAGCAAAATGATGAGAACTCATAAACAACAGACACTGGGCCCTACCTGAGGGTGTAGGGTGGGAGGAGGGAGAGGAGCAGAAAAAACTATTGGGTACTAGGCTTGGTACCTGGGTGATGAAATAATCTGTACAACAAACCCCCATGACACAAGTTTAGCTATATAACGAACGTGCATATGTACCCCCTAACCTAAAAGAAAAGTTTAAAAAGGAAAAAACACCTAGGAGAAAAGAAAAATGATAAACTAACAAAGGACAATGCTCTTAGCACCGCCATCATTCAGGAATTTCCAAGGGTTTTAGGAGCTTTGTGGTAGGAACTGGGGGCAGAGACCAAATATATATTTCTTCTTATGTTACACTACCCCAGATAGGAAAACAGAAATTAGATATTTCAAACAAAAAAGGGTTGTATATAGGCAATTAGTGCTTATCACTGGAGGGGCTAGAGGTGGTGAAGGTTGTGGGGAAGGGGTTGCACCACTGGCTTTCAGGCTACTTTACCACAGCTGATTTCCAGAGGATGGAAGAAGTCAGGAAACTTGGGAAACCGCTGCTGAGGTCCTTGCAGCCCCACGGTCCCCAGGCTGGTGACTGGTGGGGGAGTATGGAGTCCAGCTGACCACCAGAGCCTGCACACCTGCTGCTATGGGGGAGGAAAGGATGACTTCTACCTCCTTTCCACATTCCAAATTCCACGTGACTACATTTTATTGGCAGCACCCCGCTGGCAAGCGAGCCTTGATGTGTGCTTCCTGGGCTTCTGGCACCTGCACAGAAAGGGGTGAAATGAGTGTCACGAGCAGCCACCACTCTGCATCACACCTCCACATCCAGGTGTGCTGGAGAGCCCCACTTACACTTGGAGGTGTCCTGGCACCCTACCCACTTTTGGTAGGTGTTTGGGTGTCCGAGGCTTTGCAAAAGAAGAAGGCGGGGAGTCTACGGTGGAGTGACATGGAGACCTAGCTAAGTCAGAGGCCTGGAGAGGTGTCACTAGCTGGGCAGCAGGTAACACACAATCATCCTGAGCTGATTGGAGAAACACCTGGGATTGATTCAGAGTTTTTTCTGGAATGTTTTCACTGGAATGAAAGCTGAGCGGTCTGCAGGCCATATAGTATTGGAGAAAACTTAGCCCTCATTGAAAAAGGCTACCAGAGAAAAGATATCCACAGGGAAATTCAGGAGTTTTGTTTGTTTTTTCTTTTTTTTTTCTTTTAAGGTGGAGTTTTGCTCTTGTTGCTCAGTCTGGAATGCAATGGCACGATCTCAGCTCACTGCATCCTCTGCCTCCTGGGTTCAAGCAAGTCTCCTGCCTCAGCCTCCCTAGTAGCTGGGGTTACAGGCATGCGCCACCATGCCCGGCTAATTTTTGTATTTTTAGTAGAGACGGGGTTTCACCATGTTGGTCAGGCTGGTCTCGAACTCCTGACCTCAGGTAATCCACCCGCCCTGGCCTCCCAAAGGGCTGAGATTACAGGTGCGAGCTACCACGCCTGGCTTGTTTTGGGTTTTGGGGTTTTTTTGTGTTTGTTTGTTTGTTTTTGGAGACAGTCTCTGTCACCCAGGCTGGAGTGCAGTAGCGTGATCTCGGTTGACTGCAACCTCTGCCTTCCGGGTTCCAGTGATTCTCCTGCCTCAGCCTCCCGAATAGCTGGGATTACAGGCACCCACCACCATGCCTGGCCAATTTTTTTTTTCTCTAAAAACAGTTTCACCATGTTGGCCAGGCTAGTCTTGAACTCCTGACCTCAAGTGATCTGCTCACCTTGGCCTCCCAAAGTGCTAGGATTACAGGCATGAGTCACTGTGCCCCGCCAGGAAATTCAGTTTCTGAAAATACACCTGTGGATCTCTAGCCTTGAACATCCTTGGATGCTGCTTTAAATGACTGATCCTCAATGCCTCCCTTCTAACTCACACTCCCCTATATCAATCTCCCAGAAAAAGGGACCTCTTTTATTCTTTTTTTTTTTTTTTTTTTTTTTTTTCCACAGGCCTCACTTTGTTGCCCAGGCTGCTTTTGAACTCCTGGCCTCAAGTGATCCTCCCGCCTTGGTCTCTCAACGTACTGGGATTACAGGTGGGAGTCCCCGCGCCCGGCAAAGCCTATATTAAACCCTTTTATGCACACTCGGCGGTACTGCAGAGAGGGCAGGGAGGAAGCAGAGGTGCCCTGGCATCTTCAGCTGGAGGTGAGCAGGGCGCTGAGGGTGGGAGAGGCCCGGCGCCTGGGGATGGGAGGCAGGACTGCACCTTCACAGGGACGCTTCCACCCTACCCCGGAGGTTAGGGCCTCTCGCCCAGCTCTGGCTCTGAGGTCCTGGAGGGAGGGAGATGCTGTTGCGACTCAGAAGATTGGGGGAGGGCCACCCCCATTCGAGAAGAGTGAAAATCCTGAGCCTGAAGAAGTGGAACCGGTTGGAGCCGAGGCTTTAAGAGGATGGCGTTCGAAAGAGGGTCTGGCGCCGCCCTGTGGACCGTTCGGGCTCGCAGGGCCGAAGGCTCCGAAGACTGAGACCTGTGAACCATGGGGAGGCTCCATGCGGATGGGGGCCACAGCCCCCGCCGGAGCCCCCACACTAGCCCTGGACTTCTCCACTGACTTAGGACATGAGAGCTCAATAAGCTCCTTATTTAACGCACTGTTGTATCAGGTCCCTGTGGGAGCCACTGGTTCTTTAGCCTAATAAAGGAGCGGGTGCACGCACTGGATTGGTGAGCTACCGCCACTGCAACGCGTCCTAATCAACCATCCTAAACGGCGGCTCGAACAAGGTTCTCGCAGGCCTGTGCTTGGGCTTGAATGCTGGTCCAGCCGCTGCGCTCTGTGGCTCCCTGTAGGCCTGCGGATCGGCCAGGGGGCTCCGTTCCTTTTGGGCGGAGGCTGAAGAAGCAGCGGCTGCACCAGAGAAGGCCCTCTGGGTGAAGGTGGGAGCGCACGGGGCCCGCGGAACCACCTAAGGCGACTTCAGACGTGGGCTCGGAACTGGCAGCCTTTCGTTTCTGCTTCATTCCAAGGCCAGAGCAAGCCACGTGGGCAAACCCAAAGCCAGGGGACAGGAAAGTATCCTCCACCCACAACGAAACCATGGCAAGCGGTGGATGCAGGTACGGCCAATAGTCTATCTATCCCGGTGAGTGAGGAGACCTGCTTTGAGGGTTGCACAACCTGGATCTGCTTTTACAGTGGTGTCTGTCACTATGAAGACTCCACCATGGGTCGCCATCAGGTCAGGGATCCTGACAAGGCAAGAACTGCATCTTCCTCTGCACACAGCTCTGCTCCCTTCCCCGCCATGCATAACACCAAGCCCAGCCCTGAGGGATGACTCAGGAATATTACTGAGAGCATTTTAGGCCATTCCTTCATTATCCCCATGTGACTTGTTATGAAATATAGACTGACTTCCTGAAGATCAGCACATAGTGCTAAGTATTTGGCTTGTAATCTGTAGAGACTCTGCCATTTGGAGCTGGGATCTGTCCCCAGAGCTGTCAGACACCAAATCCTGTATCTACTGCCACCCAAAGGGACCTCCAGAAGAAAGGGGTTATACAGGGTCAAACACCAAGGCAGGTTAGTGAAATTTCTGTGGAGGCCATTTAAACCTGGAGTCTCACCACCTGAATTGCCCTCAGAGGACGGCTGTCTAGGGCACAAACCTAGTCAGGGGTCCACATGGACTTAAGGACATTTTTTTTTTTTTGAGACAGTCTCATTCTGTCATCAAGGCTCGAGTACAGTGGTGTGAACTCAGCTCACTGCAAGACTCAACCTCCTGGGCTCAGGTGATCCTCCCACCTCAGCCTCCCAAGTAGCGGGAACCACAGGCTCGTGCCATGATGCCCAATTAATTTTCTTTTAAATTTTTTGTAGAGATGAGGTCTCCCCGTGTTGCTCAGTCTAATCTTGAACTCCTGGACTCAAACGATCCTCCTGCCTCTGCTTCTCAAAGTCCTGGGACTACAGGTGTGAGCCAACGCACCTGGCCTCTTAAGAATAATTTTAAAAACAATGAGGTTCACCGTCAGAGCCCCTGCTGCTCTACCAAGTCCCTTGGCCCCTCTCAACAGGGCAAAAGCAAGATGAGCCCCAGATGTTCTGCTTAATGACCACCTTTCCCAGGAGACTTTGCTCTTTAAAGGAGAACCACTTAGAGATATGAGCAACCTTAAAGAATGCCACCAGCACTAGTGAATGCCAGGCACGGGCCACGTGGGTGGAGAGTATATTTTAGGGCAGTCACTCATGGTAAATTATTTCCACCAGCCCCCAGAAGTGACTATTCAATGTCCAACTATGTCAGGCCCAGGCTAATAAAAGTAGAGGCATGAGGAACCTAGGGTTGTTCTGAAGTGCCTTGATTATGGTATATGTGGAAGATTTTAGAGCTTGTTGTAAAAAGTGATGACCCATGGCCCCCCAGGCTGGGTCTGGGATTGCCTTTGTGGATTACAAGAGGATATTATGCAGCAGTTTTTAAAAATGAGGCAGACTGGGACAATCTATCTCCAAGATGCATAGGTGCTGTTAAGGGAACAAAGCAAGATTTAGTAGGGCGTGTATAGTATGCTACTGTGCACTGTGCGTTATCTGTACAGAACTGTGAGGTCTGATACAGTAGCCACTAGCCACATATGGCTATTTACATATAAACTTAGGTTGGCCACAGTGGCTCATGCCTGTAATCCTAGCACTTTGGGAGGCCAAGTGGGAGGATAGCTTGAGGCCAATAGTTCAAGAACACCCTGGGCAACATAGTGAAGCCCCTTTTCTACAAAAAATTTATTTATTTTTATTTTTTTTGAGACGGGTCTCACTCTGTCACCCAGGCTGCAGTGCAGTGGCGCAGTCTCAGCTTATTACAACATCTGTCTCCTGGGTTCAAGCGATTATCGTGCCTCAGCCTCCAAGTAGCTGGGACTACAGGCACGCACCACCATACCCAGCAAATTTTTGTATTTTTGGTAGAGACAAGGTTTCGCCATGTTGGCCAGGCTGGTCTCGAACTCCTGACCTCAGGTGATCTGCCCGCCTCAGCCTCCCAAAGTGCTGAGATTACAGGCATGAGCCACTGCGCCCAGGCAAAAAATTTAAAATAGTAAAAATCAGCCAAACATGGTGGCATTCATCTGTAGTCCCAGCAACTTAGGAGGCTGAGGTGGGAGGATTTCTTGAGCCCAGGAGGTCAAGGTTGCAGTGACCTATGACTGCACCACTGCACTCCAGCCTGGACAACAGAGTGAGGCCCTGTCTCAAAAAATAAATAAATAGGAGTTTGAGGCCATGTTCACACTCACTGCAGTCCAGTCTGGTAAACAGAGCAAGACGCTGAGTCTTTAAAAAAAAAAAAATTTTTTTTAAAGTCAGCTGCTAAGACACACTAGCCACATATCAAGTGCTCAACTGCCCCGTGTGGCTAATGGCTTCCAAACTGGCAGCACAGGCAACTGTTTTCATCACTGAAGTTCTGTTGGACAAGAATACCTCTGGAAGCACACACGAGAAACTGGTAATGGCGGTTGCCTTCGGGGAGGGAAACTGGGAGAGTGCAGGGCTGTATGCCCTTTTGTACCTCTTGAATTTCATATCATGCGTTTGTACTAGGTGTTTACAAATTATTTTAAAAACATACTGGGAATTAGGAATCCCCATATGGAATCACTGCAGTGGGACACTGATTCCCAAAAAATTACTTTGCAATTTGCCTAAAACAAATTAAGCTAATAGCTATCATGATTTCATATTTAATATTTTTTCACAGCTTAGAGTTTTTTTAGCTCCTGTTGCTATCTCTCTGCTCTTATGAGCTCACAGGGTGACAAAGTGAATTAGTAAGTAGCAGGAGAACATTAAAGGAAAAACTCCTGGGCAACAGGGCAAAACGCCGGCTCTACAGAAAATACAAAACATTAGCCAGGCATGGTGGCATGCACCTATGGTCTTAGCGACTTGGGAGGCTGAGGTGGGAGGATCGCTTGAGCCCGGAAGGCGGTAACTCAATCCCAGCAGAATCCCAGGGAGCGAAGGTGGCTCATCCCAAAAGAAAAACAAGAAGGAAATTCTATTACCAGAAGACAAAGGGATGAAATGAGGGATGGAGAATCAAAGACTGAAGCTACTAGGGTTTGTTTTTATTAATATTTAATTTTTTCAGAGGCAAGGGTCTCAGCATGTTGCCCAGGCTGGCCTTGAACTCCTGGCCTCAAGCAATCCTCCTGCCTGAGCCTTCCGAGTTGTTGGGATTACAGATATGAGCCACTGCATCCAACTTTGGTTCTTGTTTGTCTGTTTTGTTTTGTTTTGTTTTTTTGACAGAGTTTTGCTGTGCCACCCAGGCTGGAGTGCAGTGACTCAGCCTCGGCTCACTGCAGCCTTGACCTTCTGGCCTCAAGTGATCCTCCCACCTCAGCGCCAACCCCCACTGCCCTCCAATATCTGGGACTACAGGTGCGCGTGACCGCGCACAGCTAATTTTTAAATTTTTTGTAGAGATAGGGTTTCACTATGTGGCTCAGGCTGGTCTCCAACTCCTGGACTAAGCGATCTGCCTGCCTTGGCCACCTCCCAAAGTGTGAGCCACCGTGCCCACCCATTGAACATTGAAGCTAGACTGGGCAAACCCTTAAGCCTAAACCAGTAACAGTTTTTCACAAGTTCATAGATGTTACTGTGGTTAATAACACACAAATTCATTTAAAAGCATGTGTGTCCTCATAGTAATTTTTGGTCCTTATTTTTATTTTTATTTTTCAGTTAATGGATATTAAAGATACAACTTTATTTTGTTTTTTTTGAGACAGGGTCTCACTCTGTCGCCCAGGCTGGAGTGCAGTGGCATGATCAGAGCTCATTGCAACCTCCACCTCCTGGGTTCAAGAGATTCTCCTCCCTCAGCTTCCTGAGTAGCTGGGATTGCAGGTACATGCAACCACACCTGGCTAATTTTTGTACTTTTTGTAGAGATAGGGTTTTACCATGTTGCTCACGCTGGTTTTGAACTCCTGAGCTCAAGTGATCCACCTGCCTCGGCCTCCCAAACTGCTGGGATTACACACGTGAGCCACCACACCCGGCCTAAAGATATAATTTCTATCATGAGGAGATCCAAGAACTATTCTCTTTTTCTTTTTTTAATGTTAGAAAGGGATTCTTAACTGAGTATGTGCTGCAGCAAAGGGAGGGGAAATTAAGCAAGAAGAGAAGGGAGCCAGGAAATAAAGGCCCCAACCCAGGAAGCAGTTAAGCAAAGTTCCAGGATGACCACATGTGACAAGTTTAGGGGATAACTTGAGCACATGGAGGACAGAACTTGGAGAGGGCACTGTGGGCCTGGGCGCCACCTGCTCCACCAGAGCACTGGAAGAGAACGATGGCACGATAATGGCAGATGGCACTGAAAGAAAAGGAGAGAGCTTGAGGCACCCTTGGGGGAAGCAGCCATCATCAGAGTGTATTTTATTTTTATTTTATTATATTTTGAGATAGAGTCTCACTCTGTTGCCCAGGCTGGAGTGCAGTGGCATGATCTCGGCTCACTGCAACCTCCACCTCCCAGGTTCCAGTGATTCTCTGCCTCAGCCTCCCAAGTAGCTGAGACTACAGGGGGCACCACCACACCGGCTAATTTTTGTATTTTTAGTAGAGATGGGGTTTCTCCATGTTGGCCAGGTTGGTCTTGAACTCCCGACCTCAGGTGATCCGCCCACCTTGGCCTCCCGAAGTGCTGGGATTACAGGCGTGAGCCACCATGCCTGACCTCACAGCACATTATTAAGCTCTGTGGTGAATAATATTTATATAGTCACAATTCTGTAAACACTGTTCATTTTCTACAAATTGTGGCAAACCCAAACCTCAAGAATGGACAGGGCTGGGGTGTAAAAGAGCTAAGTCCTTGCCAGGTTTACCAGGAAGGCAACAGACAGTGTCTAAAACTATGAGACAGCTGGGCGCGGTGGCTCACGCCTGTAATCCCAGCACTTTGGGAGGCCAAGGCAGGTGGATCACGTGAGGTCAGGAGTTTGAGATCAGCCTTGACAACATGGTGAAACCCCGCGTCTACTAAAAATATCAAATTAGCTGGGCATGGTGGCAGGTGCCTGTAATCCCAGCTAGTAGGGAGGCTGAGGCAGGAGCATTGCTTGAACCCAGGAGGGGGAGGTTGCAGTGAGCCAAGATGGCACCACTGCACTCCAGCCTGGGTGACAGAGTGAGACTGTGTCTCAAAAAAATAATAAAATACAAACAATGAGACGTGCAGGAGATGTGGGGAGAAGCACCAGAAGATTCTGCTGAAAGCCTGCTCCCCAGAAGGGTGGGAACAATAGGGACAATGAACTGCTGTTGTTCGTTATGTTTCATCCCCATTCCGTTTCATTTTATTGAATTGTAAACCGTGTGTATAACAACACTTTTTAATCAATTTTTTAAAAAAGAGAGAGTGGAAAGAAACCGCTTCCTACAACAGAACTGAAGAGCACACCAGTGATTACAGTGTCCAGAGAGGAGGGTGCATTAACACTAGTTTTATTATTTCAATCAGATGCCAAGCAAGAATATATCTGGGGTTCAGACAAGAAAGGCTCTCATTCAAGTGCTTACAAGAGCAATGGAAGGCAAGGACCTGCCCAATTGGCAGGGTGAAAATTAGCCACAACTAGAATAGTAACAACTGTTCATCTTTGAGCACTTACTACAGGCCAGAACTTGCATTAAGGATATCATCTTTTTCTTTTCTTTTTTTCTTTTCCTTTTTTTTTTTTTTTTTTTGTTGTTGTTGTTTTGGAACAGAGTCTCACTCTGTCATGTAGGCTGCAGTGCAGTGGCGCAATCTCAGCTCACTGCAACCTCAGCCTCCCAGGTTCAAGCGATTCTTGTGCCTCAGCCTCACAAGTACCTGGGACTACAGGCATGAACCACCATGCCTGGCTAATTTTTGTATCTTTGGTAGAGATGGGGTTTCACCATGTTGGCCAGGCTGGTTTCGAACTCCTGGCCTCAAGTAATCCACCCACCTCAGCCTCCCAAAGTTATGGGATTACAGGCGTGAGCCACTGTGCCCAGCCAGGATATCATGATATTTACTCCTCACATCAACTGACATTAGCCCCTATTTACAATGAGGAACTGAGGCTCAGAGAGGTTTTGGCACTTGCCTGAGGTCACACACTCTGGGCTCTCTGCTTGGGGCTGAGGGCGAAGGGGCGTTGTGACTTACTTCTCTTTCCTGAACATCAATAAAATTCAATTTAGAAATTTCTGTCTTCAGTGCGATCTCAACGGGCCTGTGAAAAATGCTGACTCGGTGGCAGCTGTCAGCTATCTTAGCCCCATACTCATTGGGTTGCCCTGGGCCCCACACTGTTTTAAGGAAGTCCCAGCAAACAATATGGGATAGAGATGAGATTCAAACCTAAACAGCCCTGGCTCTAAAATCCACTGAACAAAGCTGAAACTAGAATCAGAAAGAACTAGGTAAGAATCCTACTTCTAGCACTTACTACTTCTGTGGCTGTGGCCCCCCCGCAAGTTACTTAACCTCTTTTTTTTTTTTTTTTAAGAGATGAAGTCTCGCTCTGTCACCAGGCTGGAGTGCAGTGGCGTGATCTCGGTTCACTGCAACCTCTGCCTCCTGGGTTCAAGCGATTCTCCTGCTTCAGCCTCCCAAGTAGCTGGGACTACAGATGCGTGCTACCACGCCCAGCTAATTCTTTGTATTTTAGTAGAGACAGGGTTTCACCATGTTGGCCAGGATGGTCTGGATCTCTTGATCTCATGATCCACCCACCTCGGCCTCCCAAAGTGCTGGGATTACAGGCATGAGCCACCGCACCTGGCCACTTAACCTCTTTTAAGCCTATTTTCTCATCCATACAATAGAGATAATGGCAGCACCCACCTTTCAGGTGGCTGGTAAGGAATATTAGGTGAACACAGGTGCCTATGTATGTTCTTCCATTTTCCATAAATGTTAATTCCCTTATCCCTCATCTCCTAGGTTAGTCCCGGAGGACAGACTTGAACTTTGAAAACAGAAAGTAACTGCCAAAAGGGATTATTTAGGGCACAGATTTCCCCCTTTCATTATCCTTTAGGTCCTCAGTGGTGAGGGCAGGGGACAGGAGAGGTGGGGTGAAGCCCAAATTCTTGGACCTCATCCTAGAGTGACTCTTTAGGGTTAGTGTGGGGCTTAGGAATCTGCATTTTGGACCTGTCCCCAGGGCATTCTGATGCCTACAGTTCTCCTGTGTGGCTTTGAATAACGCTGGGTAGTGCTTTAAATCCAAGCTGACAGACCAGTGGGATGTGAACCATCCTTGCAAATGGTTTGAGCCCTTTCTGCACTGGCCTCCAACTTTGCCTTGCTCAGTCTTCAGCTCCCCTTCCATTCTGGCCCTCTCCCCTTACCCTTTCCTTTTTCACTTCCTTTTATTTTTATTTATTTTTATTATTATTTAAAAAAAATTTTTTTTGAGACAGGATCTCACTCTGTCGCCCAGGCTGTAGTGCAGTGGCATTATCTTGGCTCACTGCAATCTCCGCCTCCCGGGTTCAAGCAATTCTCATACCTCAGCCTCCTTAGTAGCTGGGACTACAGACACACACCACCACACCTGGCTAATTTTTGTATTTTTAGTAGAGATGGGCTTTCACCATGTTGGCCAGGCAGGTCTCGAACTCCTGACCTCAAGTGATCCACCAGCTTCGGCCACCCAAAGTGCTGGGATTACAGGCATGACCCACCGTGCCCAGCCTCCTTTTTCACTTCCCACCTTCCTCCCCACCTCTGGGTGCACCCTTCCCTGAGCTCAGCCTGTATTCCTATGTGCTGGCCACTTACCAGCCAGTCCCTTCAGCTGCAATACCCTTTACTCACCTAGAAAGCTCATATCAAAAGTCGCCTCCTCCAGAATACCTCTCAAGTTCTCCTCTCTGGTCCCTTGGCCCTTTGCAGGTACCTTTTTTCTTGCGCAAGTCACGTGATAATGTAAGGGTTTTTTTTTTTTTTTTTCCCCCCATCTGGAGCCTGCCTGGTGGGCTCAGGGTCCATTTGTGCAAACATGCATTTCCCTCTCCTCTGCGCCCCCTCCTTCATGATCCATGCTTTATGCAGCTTCCCCAAGGCATGCAGAGCAAGCTGAGAAGAGGTAGGCAAGCCTGAAGACTTTTCAAAGAAGCAGGGTAGCTTGGGAAGTAAGAGAAGACCAGGAGATAGGGGCTCCTAAAAAGCAGACAAGAGATTACCGAGGGGTTCCCCACAGCTCCAGCACACAGCCGCTGCACAAAAATGCAGTGGAATTACTGAGGGACATTATGTGCTTGATGGGGGACAGGGAATGCTTGTGCCAAGCCACCAAGGATTATGCTGTGCCAGTTGTATACTATCGTTTTGCCAAGGTGAAAGGATTTCCCTACTAAATCCCTTACTTTCCACTTTGTTTAAAATGAGTTTAACACCGAGAGAATAGTTTGTCTCTATGTCCTTATTTCTAATCTTCCTGCTCAACCATTAACTGCAGTAAACACACTCAGACCCATCTAGTCTAAAATTGAGAAGGGGAGGTTCTCACTCCTGGAGAGAGAATTACTGAAAGGGCGGCCCTCATACAGTCCAGGGTCATACCCCCAAGTGCTGGTTTTATACTTGAAAGCAGACAGTGGGACTCTGAACTTTGCAGAGATAAGAGGGACACCTTCCTACCCAGAGAAGCCAAAAGAGCACAGGACGCCCAGGCCGAGGGCAGTGAAGCTTGCTTCCAAGAACTGGCCCGTTCCCCAGCCAACCCCTGTGCCCACTTAGGACTGGCATGTAGCAGTACCTCTCCTCATCCACACTCAGGCCCTAGGCTCCCAATTGACCAAAGCCTGCAAGTATAAAGTGTCCAGAGCATGGGTCCCTGCCAACACTCCCTGCCCTGCTCTTCACTACCTGTGGCCACCACTTATGACATTTTGTTCCGAGTTCATCTGAAAGAGAAATGTCACTTTTGCGTTAGAAAGAAGATATACAGGCCAGGTGTGGTGGTTCATGCCTGTAATCCCAGCACTTTGGGAGGCCGAGTCAGGAGGATCGCCTGAGGCCAGGAGTTGGAGACCAGGTTAGGTAACACAGTGAGACCCCTGTCTCTACAAAATAAACAAATTTTTTTAAAAATGAAAAGATTGGCCGGGCGCGGTGGCTCACGCCTGTGATCCCAGCACTTTGGGAGGCCGAGGCGGGTGGATCACCAGGTCAGGAGATCGAGACCATCCTGGCTAACACGGTGAAACCCCATCTCTACTAAAAACATAAAAAAATTAGCCGGGCGTGGTGGCGGGCTCCTGTAGTCCCAGCTACTCGGGAGGCTGAGGCAGGAGAATGGCGTCAATCCAGGAGGCGGAGCTTGCAGTGAGCCGAGATCGCGCCATTGCACTCCAGCCTGGGCGACAGAGCCAGACTCCGTCGCAAAAAAAAAAAAAAAAAGAAAAAAGAAAAAATTAGCTGGGCGTGGTGGTGCACGCCTGTAGTCCCAGCTGCTTGGAGGCTGAGGTGGGAGAACCACTTAGTCCGTGAGGTCAAAGCTGTGGTGAGCCGTGATCGTGCCACAGCACTCCAGTCTGGGCGACAGAGTGAGACCCTGTCTCAAAAAAAAAGCAGAAAGGAAGAAAGAAATCCTCTACACGGGCTAGAAGAGAATAACCAGACCCCTAAGCTTCAAGCCAGGCGGTGCTAATGGGCGAGTTACACACGGGAGAGTGCCCAAGGGGACCTCAAGGCGTTCCCTTGGGATAAAGTGTGGTCAAAACAGCTATGTTTATCCTGAAAGCGCAAGGCGGAGGCTCCAATTTGGGCCCGGGCTCCGCCCCACGGGCTGCACTGCTGCCCTCGGAGAGGCAAAGATAGGGCAGGCGTTATTAGTCCCACTCACAAGTGGGAACTCTTCAGCTGAGGGAGGCGAAGTGACAGCCCCAATGTTGCACAGATGGTTCTGAGGCCAAACGAGGTCAGGAACCCAGAAGCCAGGATCTAGTTTGACGCAGACCTGCGGGAGGCGGGCGGTAACGGATGCGTTCTCCCTGACACCGGTGCCTTCGCCTCTCTGCGCCCTGCAGGCGCCCCCAGTTCCCCAGCCTCCCAGACCTCGCATCTGCCCCGGGGCTCAGCTCCCAGGGACTTCCGGGAGCAGCTGGCCCCGCCCCAAGGCTCCTTCGGGCTGCGCGATTGGCACCGCGGGCCGGGGCAGGGCCGGAGCGCCGAGCCAACGTGATGGCGTCAGGGGCCGGGGCGCCGCTTCCTGTTGTCAGTGGCCGAGAGACCGCATCGTCGGCTCGGAGGCTGAGGGGCTGCCGCGGCCGGGAGCGCCCCTCGCCTCGCTCCTCGCTCCGCTTGGTGAGTTAGGGGGTCAAGATGCGAGGAGGGCGGCGGAGTGGTGGGAGGGCCGAGGCGCGAACGGGCGGTGGGCCTCCCGCTCCCTCCGCGATTCCCAGCCCCTGGTTACCCTGAGACTGCCCGGCTTCAGGGCCCTCAGCCCTGTCCAGCCCGCGCCCGCTCCTCTCCGACCCAGCCTTCCCCCTGCACCGCCGCTGTGGCCCCGTCCCCTCCGTCTGTCCAGCCCCCAGCCCGCGCCCGCATCCCCTCACCAGCGGTCTTGCTTAAATGCAGCTTCACTCGTGACCCCACTTTACCCCAGTTCCAACACCGATCTCGGCCACGTCCCTTCGCCCCGCCCTGACACACCTCATCCTCTCTCCCCACCCCTCTGGTAATCCCGATGCTCCGCGCTTACCTCCCCGAGACCCACCATTCAGGTTTCCCCTTTTCTGGCTCAGCTTTCTTATCCCAGTCACCCCCATCCCCCGTCCAGCTCCCCAAGATCTGCTCATCCCAAACATTCTACCTCCGCCCTCTCATCTAAGACCCACCCCCAAAGTAGGTGCCCTGTTGAGCTCACCGCTTTCTTCTGGATAACTCCGATCTCAGCCTTATTCCAAGTCTTAACTGTGTCTTCTCGTCCTTAGTCTCCTAGCCACTGTATACCTTCCTTTGCGTCTCCTGCCGTACTGAGGACAGCCCATCCCTAAGTCTTTGCCAAACTGTCCCGAACTCTTGCTGCCTCCTTTCCTACCACCCTCACCCAATCTTGTTAAAAATGACATCTCCATGTCCTTTCACCCCCGCTGACCCACCGCAACTCTTCACCCCAACTCTGCGTCCATTGCTTCCCTCGACCCAACTCCCATTCAACCTGAGAACTTAGTGCAGAGTCGCCTGCCAACTCCACCAGCTGCCCCTCAACAGCCAAATGTAGGTGCTCACTCAGACCCGCAGTTACAGACTGAGCAGCATGATTGGCGGGTGCAGGGGCTCAGGTGGTAAATAAGGGTGGAGGAGCAGTGGGCTCTCCCCAACTCTTGGGTGGGGCCGGGGTTTTTCCTGGCATCTGGTCTCCTGCACCTGTCCTCAGGGATTGTGTTTTTGGCATTCATATTAAATGACTTGTGCTGGCTGCTGGAATGGTAGGTATCATTCAAATATCTGGAAGGTGAGAGACGGCCACTCACTCAGCTCACTTAGCACAGAATGATGGAAGCTGTCACTTCCTTCTGGTTGGTGTTCTCGCCCTGGAGAGCTTCTGGGAAGTTCTGTGTGGTGTTGGCTGTGGTCACAGAATATTGTTCGTGTTCCTTTTCTTGGCACTTGTAAGGGCCTCTCCCTGCCAGAGCTGATGGCAGATCAGTCCTGATGCTGAATTCAGGGGATATGATGGGTGCCAGAGGCAACGTTACCTGTTGTGAAGAGTATAGGTGAGTAGGTCCTGGGGAGGCTGAGGCCTAGGTGGGTACAGAGGCTCTTGAATCGCTTTCTTTTCTTTTAAGTGCTGGATCATTGACTTTTGGCCATCTGGGTTCCATGAACACAGGGAACCATGTTATCTCAGAGTAGCTGAGGCAGAAGGACATTCCAGAGGCACCCAAGTCCCATGCTCAGCATTTATAGTTTCCTGGGGGCTTTTTGGTACACATTTTCTCTGAATCCTGAGGACCCGGCATCAGATGGGTGGGCCATTTGATTGCAGCTTTTTTCTTTCTTTCTTTCTTTTTTTCGACGGAGTTTACTCTTGTTCCCCAGCCTGGAGTGCAGTGGCATGATCTCGGCTCACCGCAACCTCTGCCTCCCAGGTTCAAGCGATTCTCCTGCCTCAGCCTCCCGAGTAGCTGGGATTACAGGCATACACCACCATGCCCGGCTAGTTTTGTATTTTTAGTAGAGATGGGGGTTTCTCTGTGTTGATCAGGCTGGTCTCCAACTCCCGACCTCAGGTGATCCACCCACCTCGGCCTCCCAAAGTGCTGGGATTACGGGCGTGAGCCGCCGCACCTGGCTGATTGCAGTTTTAAAGGGCCCCAAAGAACACTGTCTCTGCTTGCCACTTATAGTCGTATTCCTTTGAAAAGTGAATGCTGTTTACCTTCAATGTCCTCCCATTAATATGCAGTATATTTAAGTTGTTTTCAGCCTTATTGGCAGCTTGGCTTAATGACAGGAGCTCCACAGTTGCCCCAGCACTTAAGAGTTGTATACCCCAACTTCCCACAGTGTGTGAAGTGGAGGTACTTACCCCGTGCCTTGTTTTTATTTTATTAATCAATTCATTCAACAGCTTATTTTTTGAGCACCAGTGTGTGACAAACACTGTTCCAGGTACTAGAAATACAATGGTGAATGGGTCAGGCAACGGTCCTGTTTTCATTCATTCAGAGTTTGGTCCTTGTTAGAATCCTCTGGGATATGGGACAAGAATACAGGAAAGCTGGGTGATACTGGATGGAAGGAAGGAGGGAGGAAAGAAAGATAGCTAGTGTTCACTGACTCCACAATTCTGCCCTCATCCACTAGCCCTGAGTCTGGGAATCACAAGCTAAAAGTTTCTCACCCTTCATCTGGTATTTAATTGCTTCAAAGCTCCAACCCCCACCACTCCACCCATCACAGAAATCCAGCTTTCCTCAGGTGGACAGAGGTGCAGTTTCCTCAGTCAGCACTCACATGCCTGAAAGATCAGCTGCCTTTCTGAATCAGAGGATAACTTTGTCATTCTTTTCCAATTGAAAAAACATGACTCATCAATTGGTACAGCAGTTGGATGGCTTAAAGCCAGGCTGTGGCTCTGAACAGCCAGTTACACAATTCAGGCAGTGGAGAGAAGGCCGTGGGGAGTGGCTGAGGAGTCCCTCAAGAGAAGAGGTTGCTGTTCACTGATGGTGGAGTGTTTTGAGAGTGGTGGAACCAGGTTATCCCTTTCTTCTTTTAACGTAAGTCTCATCCAAGTCATTCTCTTTTTTTGCTTCCTTGATCTCTGGAGGAAGTGAAATTGGACATATAGAGAAGGCCAGGCAGTATAATGCAGGAAACCAACCGGAACTGTTCCTTCCTAACTATGTTGGAACATTTAAGAAAGTATAGCTCTGAGACTTTAGGAGCATTGGTAGGACCTGGTCTCAGCTGGTTGGGGCTATAAACCTGATTGGCAGAACTGTTTCTTGTTGGTTTCAGACCTTCTGTGATGAAATGGAGCTTCCGAGTACCTCTAAAGAAGAAGTAATAGTTTGTCTGAATTTGAGCCAAAGACCTGAGGCCTTTTGGTCCAGGGAAAGATGCAGGAGTTGGGATGAAGAAACCAGAGAGTTCTGTCCCTTACCCGAGACCCATTGCTACTGAGCCTCAGTTTTGTCCTCTGTAAAACAGGGATAATCACTCTCTCACGGGATTGCTGTGAGAATTAAATGAGGTTAGAGAGGGACATCAGAGAAGCTTGCTTTCTGCACTCTGGAGAGCTATGTGAAGGCGAATGAATACACAGGGTGGCAGTAGACTTGGTGTGGTTTGGGGCTTCCTAAATGGCACCAGTCACCTTTCCCCTGCTAAGATTTCACCCGTCATGTTCAAGAGCCCTTTGGTACTGTTGCCCAGCTTTGCCTCACTCCCTTCAGGTAGGTCTCCTTGAAGCCACACCTCTCTTCACTTTGGTTCTTTGTGTCAATGAAGAGCGTTTTGAGGACAGAAAGTGGAACCAGTTCCATAGGATGGTAGATTCAGAATCTGGGCCACCAGGGTGGGTGACGCAGTACTGTCCCCACAGTCAAGAGACACAAAGCCTCCTTCTGATTCCCGCCGTGAGTTCTTATGTCACTGACCATCTGAGCCCTGCCTCCCTGAGCATGATGGAACAGATACAGATAGGTGGGGTGCTATGGCTGCCTACAAACAGAGGTGTCCTGCATTGTGGCTGGAACCCCAGAGGCTCAGTCCTGTCTTGTGAATTTTCAAGTGGCTCTTCTGCTGGATTTCTCTGAGCTCTTGTCAGTCATTTTGTGGCATTTCTGACTCTGTTTTAGGCCAAGTGACCCTTCTCTTGTCTGGCCCTGTCTCTCTTAGCTTCAGTTTATTATTATTAATTTTTTTTTTTGAGATGGAGTCTCGCTCTGTTGCCCAAGCTGGGGTGCAGTGGCACAATCTTGGCTCACTGCAAGCTCCACCTCCTGGGTCCACGCCATTCTCCTGCCTCAGCCTCCCAAGTAGCTGGGACTACAGGTGCCCGCCCGGCTAATTTTTTGTATTTTTAGTAGAGATGGGGTTTCACCGTGTTAGCCAGGATGGTCTCGATCTCCTGACCTCGTGATCCACCCGCCTCGGCCTCCCAAAGTGCTGGGATTACAGGCGTGAGCCACCGCGCCCAGCCAGCTTCAGTTTATTATTTATTTATTTATTTGAGACATAAATTATTATTATTATTATTATTTTTTTATTTTATCTTTTTTTTTTTGAGACGGAGTCTCTCTCTGTCGCCTAGGCTGGAGTGCAGTGGCGGGATCTCGGCTCACTGCAAGCTCCGCCTCCCAGGTTCACGCCATTCTCCTGCCTCAGCCTCCCGAGTAGCTGGGACTACAGGCGCTCACCACTGCACCCGGCTAATTTTTTTGTATTTTTAGTAGAGACGGGGTTTCACCGTGTTAGCCAGGATGGTCTCGATCTCCTGACCTCGTGATCCGCCGGCCTCGGCCTCCCAAAGTGCTGGGATTACAGGCGTGAGCCACGGCGCCATGCCATAAATTATTTATTTATTTATTTATTCTTGCTTTGCTGCCCCGGCTGGAGTGCAGTGGCATGATCTCGACTCACTGCAACCTCCGCCTCCTGGGTTCAAGTGGTTCTCCTGCCTCAGCCGGTATGGTAGCTGGTAATACCAGTAGCTGGTATTACAGGCATGGGCCACCATGCCTGGCTAATTTTTGTTTTTTTTTTTAATTAGAGATAGGGTTTCACCATGTTGGCCAGGCTGGTCTCAAACTCCTGACCTCAAGTGATCCTCCTGCCTCGGCCTCCCAAAGTGCTGGGATTACAGGTGTGGGCCACGGCACCTGGCCTATTTTGTCTTCTTAGCATACTGTTACTTGGCCAGAGCACTCACTTACCAATGGCCTGCTCCTCCCAGTGAATACTCTGTGAATACTCTATCACTCTCAGCTAATTAGTTAATGAGGTCTTAATGGGCCTGGGCTATAATTCAAATTATTGGGTCTAAGTCCTTAGGGTCCCGGCCCTGTAGCTGGTTAAGGGAAGGGCAACTTTGGGGCTTCGGGCTCTCTCTAGAAGGGTGGGCCTGAGGGCCTCAGGCCACTGGAAATTGTGGACTGGGATTGGAGCCCAGGGTTTCGGAGCCAGAGAAGCTGGACGTGGCCTGCTGAGCTGCAAAAGGGTAGCCTTGATGGAGCCTGACCTCAAGACCAGGCCTGTTTCTGGAAGTGACCCTAGATGCAGAGTCACTGCAGCATACAACCCCCTTTTCCTGTCACCCCGTGGCCAGAATGTGGAACTGGTCTCCAGAGGAGGGCTCTGAGAATCCCTGGGTAGCTGGGAGCAGACTATGGTGAAGGGTGAGGCAGTCAGATGGGGCTGTAGTCAGGACTGAGGGCTCTTCTGGCCATCTGCAGCACCCGGCCTGTTACTGGGTCTGCAGGAACCATCCTCCATACATGCCTGCTTCCTCCTGAGGGACCTGACTTAGGGAGGTTGGCTCTGGGTCCTGACTCCCTGTGTCCTGTTTGCCCTCTGCTATCCCCAGAAGCCAGAGATCCAATCAGAGCACCTTCCACCATTTAGGGCCAGCCTGCCTGTCTGCTTTCCAAACCTCATGCTGCTCCAGGGCTGTCCAGGAAACCTTTCCTGCCACACTGGCCTTAATGTTCCCCTGCACCCCCTGTTCCCGGCCCCCAGCGAAAGGGTCTTCCCAGACCACCCCTGGAATCCTAGCTCTGAGGTGATGGCACTGTTGATGAAAAAGCCAAACTCTGTTAAATATTCGAAGAGGTTTATTCTGAGCCAAATGTGAGGGCCATGACCTGTGACATAGTCCTGGGAGGTCCTGAGAACATGTGCCCAAGGTGATTGGGGTACAGCTTGATTTTTATCCAAGTTACAGGCAGAAGTTACAGGCAAAGACATAAATTGATATATGTAAGGTATACATTGGTGGGGACAGGGTAAGGTGGATTAAAAGATTTTCCTGATTGGCAATTGGCTGAAAAAGTTAAACTTTGCCTAAAGAGTTAAAAGTCAGCAGAAGAAAAGCTTGGGGTTAAGATAAGGTGGGTTGTGAAAGCCAAGGTTCATGTAACGTAGATGAAGCCTTCAAGAGAATAGATGGTAAATGTCTCTAAGGTGTCAGACTCTTAGTTAAATCTCCTCTAAATCAGGAAAAGGCCTAGAAAGGGAAGGGAATCTCTGCAGGACATAAATTTTCCCAACAAGAGATGGCTTTGCAGGGCCATTCCAAACTATGTCAAAAATATACTTGGGGGTAAGATACTTTGATTTCCTTAGGGCCTGTTATCTCCCATGTGATGTTAGACCAGTCAGGTTGGAGTTGGTATCTTAATTGCTGAGAGTCTGTTCTGTCAGTCTTAGGAGTCTGTTTTAATGTTAATGCTGGTCAGTTGTGTCTAAGCTCCAAAAGGGAGAGGCTAGGATGAGGCATGGCCCACGCCCCACTTCGTGTCATGGCCTGAACTCAGTTTTCAGTTTTTTTGAAATCCCTTTGGCCAAGGGGGGCCCATTCAGGCAGTTGGGGAGCTTAGAATTTTATTTTTGGTTTACAGCACTCACTCAGGAATCGGGTTTTCCTAGGGCTGGGGTTGGCTTCCTCCTGGGGGCTGGTGGTGGAGTCAGGCCGCTTATCAGCCCTGGGACCTCAGGAACTTCCTTGACCTGGGTCAGCTGCCATTTCCTTATCTGTCAGGTGGAGACAATAAAACAGCACTCCTAGGGTCCTTAGGAGGAACATAAATTAGGCAATATATGTAAAGAGAACTGAGCCCATTTAACTTTTCTTGGTTTTGTTAACTTCTTTGTGCGGTGATTGAGAGCTGAGACAGACATCACCTTTCCCTTTCCCCTGATGCTCAGCCAGGAGTTGGCTAGAGATTTGTTTACGTGTGAATGTGCCTGCCTGGCCCAGGTCTGTCCAAGTTGCTGTGGTGGGGCCAAGCCAGTCAGCAGCCCCCTCAGGCTCAGGCTAAAGTCCCCACCCCACCTGCCCCACCCCACCCCACCCCACCCCACCCCACCCACTTCCAGGAGGAAGCTGGCAGCCCTGAGGGATTTAACCACTCACTGACTTCAGCTCTTCCTGCATACTCATTTAGGTGATGACATTCTTGGTCTGTAGGTTTAGGTGGCCACATCCACTGGGATGACAGATGCCAGGTACAACATATCAGGTACAGGTACATATCAGGCCCCGTGACAGGCATTTTACACATTCTCCATCTGAGAGGTCTGAGCATGCCTACCTGGTTAGTGGCAAACTGCGATGAGACCTCATGGTCATCCCGGTTAGACACGTCCCTGTCTGTGCTGCTCAAGCCAGACCCTCGAAGCCCAAATGAGGAGCAGAAGTGTAGCAAGGGAGCCCTCCCCTTTTGAAGCCGTTCCAGTGGTACTTTTTACTGCTGAGCTGGCAGATGTTGGACTGGGACAGGAGTGAGGGGTGGGGGCAGGGTGTTGCAGGACCCAGCCCCTGAATGTGATGTGTGAGCCTGTGAGCCCCTGCTTCCTGGTCCCATTGGGTTCCTGCCACCTTCAGCTGCAGCCTCCCCCTCGAACCTGCAGCTCCGTATCTGAATCAGCCTGTCGTTCCCTGCCTACAGGTTTCAATCCTACAGGGCCTTGGCTTTCTGGGCAGCATTTGATGTGAAGCGCCCTTACCACCTACTCCTTGGGGTGGACCCACCCCTGGCACCCAGGACTCCTTGCCTCCCAACGACTAAGCCCCCTGGGCTTTCCTTCCTTGTTTCTTTCCTTCAAATCTATTATCAGTTTTTACTTTTGTGTTCTGCAAAGGCCTTTTTGGTTGCAGTTTGAGTAAGAGAGGCTGACCTCCTGCTGCTTGCTGGGAATGGACTCTGGCTGGGGGAAAGTTCCCTGCCCATTCATCTGGCTGCCATCTGTCTCTTCAGGTGTCATGTGATTCTCTGAGGGAGCAGCTGCGTGAGTGGAGATGCTTTCAGTGGTGGAGAATGGACTGGACCCCCAGGCTGCCATCCCGGTAGGTGGGTGAGGGAGGATCAAGGGCGGGGAAGGGCTGCAGGGGACAGTTGTATCATCGGCTTGGCTCACTTCCTTGGGCACTGTCCTGCAAGAGAGACCAGGTTGAGAAAAAGTTACAGCACAAGCAGGCTCTGAGGAGACCCTGTCTTTTCTAGATCACCTTATTGGTGATAAGATGGAGATTTATGAAAAGCAGTGGGAATTTAAGATCAGTAACCTGAAGACCAAGGATTTCCATTCAGCCCTTCAGCCCTCTGCCCTTAGGCCATGATTTGGTCACAGTCTGGCCAAAGCACTGAATGGGTGGGAAACAGATATTCCCAGGCACTGGTTTGTTGTTTCAGTAATGGGGGTAAATTGGTAACTTACATGTATCTGAACACTTACCATTTTCTAGGATATTCTAAATGTAATTATTTGTGAGCAGTTCACTGGAGCCCCCTAGGACCTTTTCTTGGACAGCCCTTTGCACCCTCCTGGGCTATCTTGGGTACTCCAGATAGAGCTCTCTGTTCTCTTGGAGAGGCAGGAAGTCAGGTAGCTTTGGGGCTGGTCCCTTAGCAGCATCCTGAGATGGCTTTCGGGGAGAAGCCAGGATTTCCTTTCCTCCCCACTGCTGCTTCCCAGCTCAGAGAACTCTGCTTGAAAGAAACTGTAGCTCTCAGAGACGTGCCTTTCCCCGTCCTGGCCACAGGAGAGTCCAGCTCCACCTGTTTCCCAGCTGGCTTTCATGCAGAGGCTCTTCCCTCCCCTCTGCACCCCCACTCTCCCACCCCCAGTGCCTGCCGAATCCCACCCCAGGACCCTCCAGAGCTAGGGCAGAAGCCTGGCCAACCCAGCCTTCTAACAACAGCTGCACAAACTGACTCCATGAGGGTATGCCTTTCTTGAGGGTATGCCTTATTTCTCCCTGTATACCCTAACCCAACACCTAGTAGGTGCTCAATTGAACGAAGTATGTATGTACTTTTTAAATATAATATACAAATAACATCTTGCTTTTAAAAGAACATTTAAAATTAGACTATTTCAAGATTAAAAACTTTTGAGCTTCAAAGGATACTACCAAGAAAATGAAAAGACAACCCACAGAATGGGAGAAAATATTTGCAAATCAAATATCTGATAAGGGTCTAGTATCCAGAATGTATAAAGAACACTTATAACTCAACAATAAAAAGACAAATAATCCAGTTATAAAATGGGTAAAGGATTTAAATAGACCCTTCTCCAAAGAAGATACACACATGGCCAATAAAGATGCTCATTATCATTAGACATCAGGAAAATGCACATCGAAACCACAGTGAGATACTACTTCACACCCCCTAGGATGGCTGTAATAAAAAAGGCAATAACTAGTGCTGGCAAAAATGTGGAGAGATTGGAACTCATATATTGCTGGTGGGAATGTAAAATAGTGCAGCCACTTTGGCACACAGTTTGGCAGTTCCTTGATAAGTTAAACATAGGGTTATGTGTACAGTTCCACTCCTAGATATATACCCAAGAGAACTAGAAATATAAGTCCACTCAAAAACTTGTACATGGATGTTCATAGCAGCATTATTGATAATAGCAAAAGAGTAGAAACAACCCAAATGTCTATTAACTGATGAATGGATGAATAAAATGTGGTATATCTAGGCAGCGGAATATTTTCTGGCAATAAAAAGGGATGAAGTCCTGATACATGCTACAACATGATGGAAAATATGCTAAGTGAAATAAGTCAGATTCAAAGGGTCATATGCTGTATTGATATCTATTCATGTGAGATGTACAAAATATGCAAAGCCACAGAAACAGAAAATAGATTAGTGACTGCATTCACTTCGTATTCCCCTTTCTCCCAGCCCCTGGCAATCACTAATATACAGTATTTCTTTTTGGGGTGATGAAAATCGTTTTTTTTGTTTGTTTTTTTGTTTTTTTGTTTTTTTGTTTTTTTGAGACGGAGTCTCCCTCTGCTGCCCAGGCTGGAGTGCAGTGGCACGATCTTGACTCACTACAAACTCCACCTCCCAGGTTCAAGTGATTCTCATGCCTCTGCCTCCCAAGTAGCTGGGATTATGGGTGTGCACCACCATGCCCGGCTAATTTTTGTATTTTTGGTAGAGATGGGGGTTTCACCATGTTGGCCAGGCTGGTCTCGAACTCCTGACCTCAGGTGATCCACTCGTCTTGGCCTCCCGAAGTGCTGGGATTATAGGCGTGAGCCACTGTGCCCGGCCAGAAAATCTTCTAAAATTAGGTAGTGGTGATGGTTGCACAATTGTGTGAATATACTAGAAACAATTGAACTGTATACTTTAAATGGGTGTATTTTATGGTATATGAATTATATCTCATTAAAACCGTTATATTTTTTCAAATTTAACTTTTCAAAGAATGTTAACATTTAGTGTTTTGGCTGAAATCAAAATAAAAGATTAAAATATGTAGCCATAATCCTATCACCCAACAATTCAAACCAGTTTTTCTGTAATCCCTTCCAGTCCTTTTCCAATCACTTATGTGATTTTCACATGCTTATAATTATGCTCAATTTTTACTCTATATTTCCAAAAGACTCTATGTACATTTTGTGGTGTATCATTTAACAAACATTTATTGAGTATTTCTATGTGCCAGGCACAGTGCCAAGTGTTGACACAAGGATGAATAAAACACTAGTCTTAGTGCCACACTCAGCTCTTTTATATATATGTTTTTTGTTTTGTTTTGTTTTGTTTTGTTTTGTTTTTCTGAGATGGAGTCTCACTCTGCCACCCAGGCTGGAATGCAGTGGCACGATTTTGGCTCAGTACAACCTCTGCCTCCTGGGTTTAAGTGATTCTCCTGCCTCAGCCTCCTAAGTAGCTGGGATTACAGGCACTCACCACCACACCTGGCTATTTTTTTTTTTTTTTTTTTTGAGGCGGAGTCTCGCTCTGTCGCCCAGGCTGGAGTGCAGTGGTGCGATCTTGGCTCACTGGAAACTCCGCCTCCTGAGTTCACGCCATTCTCCTGCCTCAGCCTCCCGCGTAGCTGGGACTACAGGCGCTGCCACCACGCCCAGCTATTTTTTTGCATTTTTAGTAGAGATGGGGTTTCAGCCTGTTATCCAGGATGGTCTCGATCTTCTGACCTCGTGATCCGCCCACCTCGGCCTCCCAAAGTGCTGGGGTTACAGGCGTGAGCCACCGTGCCCGGCCCACACCTGGCTAATTTTTGCATTTTTAGTAGAGACAGGGTTTCATCATGTTTGCCAGGCTGATCTCAAACTCCTAACCTCAAGTGATCCGCCTGCCTTGGCCTCCCAAAGTGTTGGGATTACAGGTGTGAGCCACCACACCCAGCCTCTTTTTAGAATTTATCTAGTAGGTTTTCTGGTTTTCACCAGAAACCACTTCCCAAAAAAAAAAGAAAAAAAAAGGTAGTCCTGTCCTCAGGAGAATCCTCATAGTACTATAAATCAGAAAGTATTATTTCCACTTTAACAGATAAGGAAATTGAGGCTCAAAGCGGTTAAGTGGAATGTCTGAGGAGGCCCATCTGGTTACTGGCAGCTAGGACTGAGCCTAGTCCTCTGGCTTCCAGGCCTAGGATCTTTCTTTTTTTGAGACAAGGTCTTGCTATGTTGCCCAGGCTGGAGTACAGTGGTGTGATCACAGCTCACTGCAGCCTTGAACTCCTGGACTCAAGCAGTCCTCCTGCCTCTGACCTCCCAAAGTTCTGGGATTACAGGTTTGAGCCACCACGCCCAGCCTAGGATCTTTCTTAAAGTAAACCATGCTCCTGTTCTCCTCATGTTTTTATTGTTCTAAAGCAGTGTGGGTGTTTATTGTTTGTTTGTTTTTGCCTCTTGGCTTATTGATTCTCTACAGAAGCTTGTCCATGTAAAAAAGGTGGGAAGCCCCACCCTTGTCCTAGATGGATTTACCCAAGCTCCCATCACTGCAGCTATGATGGGGCCAATATTTAAACACAAGATTATATGGCTCTAAGTTCACTTAAGTTTGGTCTAAAAAACAAAAAGTATCTATACTAAAGGACATATGAAACAAACAATAACAGTAATTATCTCTGGGTAGTGTGTGTGATTTTCCTTTTCTTCTCTATGCTTTATCTTTCTTTGCTGTAGTTAACAATGTGCTAATTTTGCAGAAGGAATCTACAGACACACACATAGATGTGTGTGCATGTGGTTGCACACGTATTTGGCACCAGCTAAAGGATTACACTCTAGGGACTCTCCATAGGATTTTCCGCTAAAGGCCTGTGTTCTGTGTGGTGCTGCCTAGGTCATCAAGAAGAAGCTGGTGGGATCCGTGAAGGCCTTGCAGAAGCAGTACGTGTCCCTGGACACGGTGGTCACTAGTGAAGACGGAGATGCCAACACCATGTGCAGCGCCCTGGAGGCCGTATTTATCCATGGCCTGCACGCCAAGCACATCCGAGCTGAGGCCGGAGGAAAAAGGAAGAAAAGTGCCCACCAGAAGCCTCTGCCCCAGCCTGTCTTCTGGCCCCTCCTGAAAGCTGTCACCCACAAGTGAGATTTAGCTGGAGAGGTTTTGCTTTGCGGAGGAGCAGCAGACTATGGGACACTTGGCTTTTCCTCCCCAGCTGTTCAGGAAGCCAACAGAGGTGCCCTGTGTTCTAGCATAGAGAGAGGGTGAGGTAGGGGTTGAAAGTGTCTTCTAGAAAGGCTTATCTCTAGACCAAGCTTCCCAGCCAGTGTGCCAGCAGATCTTGAGACCCTCAGCACTCAGGCAAGAGCCTGTGGCTGCTTTGAGACTGGTCACAAAAAGCAGGTGAGACTGGCCACCTTTAGCAGGAACAGCCTTTTTTGCCACACTGGGGCAGAGTTACATAGTTACAACAGAGGTTGTGTGGCCTGCAAAGCCTGAAGAATATACTATCTGGCCCTTTACAGAAGGGCTGACCCTGCCTTGGATTTGCTGACCCTGCCTTAGATTATTCAAACATCCGAATTGTAAATCTTTTTTTTTTTTTTTGGGATGGAGTTTCGCTCTGTCACTCAGGCTGGAGTGCAATGGCGCGATCTCGGTTCACTGGCACCTCTGCTTCCCAGGTTCAAGCAATTCTCCTGCCTCAGCCTCCTGAGTAACTGGGACAACAGGCGCGCACCATCACGCCCAGCTAATTTTTGTATTTTTAGTAGAGAGGGGTTTTGCTATGTTGGTCAGGCTGCTCTCAAACTCCTGACCTTGTGATCTGCCTACCTCCGCCTCCCAAAGTGCTGGGATTATATAAAGAGTGGAATCAGGAAAAGCATATGAATATTCACCCTGAGACACTTATCTCTTTGGCCCCTAACTGTCTGGGCTTTTGAGCAAGTAGCTGGCACTGTGCCTCTGAGGACTACTAAATGCCACCTTCAGCCCAAAAGAAGCCTTGTCAGTCTCTAATCTTCCTTTCCATGCAGATTGCCACTGCCTTGTCTCACGTTCTTCTTTCCTGGGTGACACTGGCTTTCTATTTGTCCCCCTTATCTCACTCTGTCTTTCCTTGAGTCCATCATCTGGTCAACATTTACTGAGCTGAAGCTCCCTGGAGCTTACTCACTGAGCCTAGTAGAGTGCGGTCTACATTCCCATGGAGGAGATAAACCTGCGCTAGGGACTGTGGTAGCTCAGAGGGGCATGTACATCAGACGGAGGCATTCTGGGACTGAGTTTGGTACACCTGGGGTCTGATCTCCTTATGCAGAACATCTACCCTGCAGTCTGCATGACTGTGGTCAAGTCACTTTTCTAAACAAAAATCTGTAGCCTACAGGCTCCCAGATGCTAGCCTGGAGACTGATTCACTAGGTTGGGGTCCCAGAACTTGTATCCTGCTCAAGTTCCCCAGGGGGTTCTGGTGCACAGCTGGGTGTGGGGCCATTACCCCGTGTTGCCTTATTGATTTGATATTTAAGACCCTCTCTTTCCTGGCCTTGCAACCAAACCACCCACTTTTCCGCCACATGCTGTAATTGGAGCGCTCCCCAATCCTCTTACAGGGTTGTTGATTTCCTACACTTTATGCCTTTTTCCATCAGTCCCTTGTGCCTGAGGGCAGGGACCATGTCTTTACCCTGCATCTTCATTGCTCCAAGGACTTTGCACTTAAGGAGCTCTGACAGCATGCCTTAGATGAGCAGATGTGTCAGGGGCCCCGTGGTAGTTGGAATGAACATGGAAATTATCTTTCACAATTCCAATCTCAAAATATATATATATATATAATGTATAAATATATATAATTTATATTTATATATTTATTATATATAAATATAAATATATATATATATATTGCCTAGGCTGGAGTGCAGTGGTCCAATCTCCGCTCACTGTGACCTTTGCTTCCCAGGCTCAAGCTATCCTTCCACCTCAACCTCCCGAGTAGCTGGGTAGCTGGGACTACACGTGCAAGCCACCACATCTGGCTATGTTGTTGTTGTAGAGACAGAGTTTCGTCCTGTTGCCCAGGCTGGTCACGAATTCCTGAGCTCAAGTGATCCACCTGCCTTGGCCTCCCAAAGTGCTGGGATTACAGGTGTGAGCCACCACATCTGGCCTAAAACACTATTACCCAATATTTTTTCATGCCTGTATCTATTTGCAGTAGTTATTCCTGGTTCCTGCTAACCAGTGGATAAAAGCACATCTCTGTGATTTGGGGTAGTTTCTTGAAACACGTCTGTTCTCCCTTCCCAGACACATCATCTCAGAGTTGGAGCACCTGACGTTTGTCAACACGGATGTGGGCCGCTGCCGGGCATGGCTGCGGCTGGCCCTGAACGATGGCCTGATGGAGTGCTACCTGAAGCTGCTGCTGCAGGAGCAGGCCCGCTTGCATGAGTACTACCAGCCCACCGCCCTGCTCCGGGATGCTGAGGAGGGCGAGTTCCTCCTTAGCTTCCTGCAGGGCCTCACGTCCTTGTCCTTCGAACTCTCCTACAAGTCTGCCATCTTAAATGAGTGGACGCTCACCCCATTGGCCCTGTCTGGGCTTTGCCCGCTTTCTGAGCTGGACCCTCTCTCTACCTCTGGTGCAGAACTACAGCGGAAGGAATCTCTGGATTCCATTTCCCATTCTTCAGGCTCTGAAGACATCGAAGTCCATCACTCGGGCCATAAGATACGGAGGAACCAGAAGCTGACTGCCTCCTCCCTCAGCCTGGACACGGCCAGTTCATCCCAGCTGTCCTGCAGCCTAAACTCTGATAGCTGCTTACTCCAAGAGAATGGCTCCAAGAGTCCAGACCATTGCGAGGAGCCCATGTCCTGTGACTCAGACCTGGGCACAGCAAATGCTGAGGACTCAGACCGGTCTCTGCAAGAGTGAGTACGCTGCCCCCACTCCTTCCCATCTTCTCTCTTCCCTCCTTTCTTTCCTCTCCTCCTCCCTTTCTTCCCATAGCATGTGATTGTCTGTTACTGAACTCTATTAGTAATTAAAGAAAGCCAAGGGAGTCATCGACTTCTCCAGGGACTGGAGTAGCTGGGAACTGTAGCAGGCAATACAGGCATAGTGGAGAAAGTGGACTTAGAACAGCTTAGAGCTGGTTTGGGCTCCAGCTCTGCCCCGGTGACTTTTAGCAAGTTACTTGGCCGGGTGCGGTGGCTCATGCCTGAAATCCCAGCACTTGGGAGGCTGATACAGGAGGATTGCTTGAGCCCAGCAGTTCGAGGCCAGCCTGGGCAATGTAGCAAGATCCTGCCTCTAAATTAAAAATAAATAAATAAATAAAACAAAAACTGAAAACAAACAATAACAACAAAAAAACAAGATACTTAGTCTCTACAAGGCACAGTGTAAAATATTGTTGTCTTCATCTAGAAGGAAGGAAACTAATAGGTCAGAGTACATTTAAAACGTCCAACAAATAGATGAAACATAACGCATAAGAGTGTGACTTCACAGAATACCTCCTGGGGGACACAGGACCTGAGTGCTGCATGCAGGAGGTGGTGGACAGGTGGGGACAGACAGATGTGTGGAAGAGTATGTGGGGCAGATGAACTAGGCTGAAGAGAGAACTGGGCAGAGCCTTCTTCACACAGCCTTTTAAACATTTTTTTGCAGCTGGGCACGGTGGCTCACGCCTGTAATCCCAGCACCTTGGGAGGCCAAGGCAGGTGGATCACAAGGTCAGGAGATTGAGACCATCCTGACTAACATGGTGAAACCCCGTCTCTACTAAAAATACAAAAAATTAGCTGGGCATGGTGGCGGGCGCCTTGTAGTCCCAGCTACATGGGCGGCTGAGGCAGGAGAATGGCATGAACCCGGGAGGTGGAGCTTGCAGTGAGCTGAGACCGCACCACTGCACTCCAGCCTGGGTGACAGAGTAAGACTCTGTCTCAAAAAAAAAAAAAAAATAAATAAATAAAATAAAAAATTTGCATAGATAATCTTTTTATGGTTAAAAAAAATCTAAAACATATACAGTGAAAGCCTTTCCCATTCCTGTTCTCCCTCTACCCTGTTCTTTCCTCCCACCCCTAAAACCATAATAATTTCCTGTATATTCTTCCAAATTTCTAAATGCATCTACAACAAATACCAGTATAAAGATTTTCAGCTGGGCGCAGTGGCTCACGCCTGTAATCCCAGCACTTTGGGAGGCCGAGGCGGGCGGATCACAAAGGCAAGAGATCGAGACCTTTCTGGCTAACACGGTGAAACCCCATCTCTACTAAAAATACAAAAAATTAGCCGGGCGTGGTGGCGGGCGCCTGAAGTCCCAGCTACTCAGGAGGCTGAGGCAGGAGAATGGTGTGGACCCAGGAGGCGGAGCTTGCAGTGAGCCGAGATCGTGCCACTGCACTCCAGCCTGGGTGACAGAGTGAGACTCTGTCCCAAAAAAAAAAAAATAAAAGATTTTTAAAATTTCTTCCTTATTTATTACTTTCTCTCCTACAAAGGCAGTATATACACACTGTTCTATATCTTGTTTTGGAGAAGATCTTTTCATTTCAGAGCTTCTTCATTCTTTTATTTTTATTTTTTATAGAGACGGGGGTCTCACTGTGTTGCCCAGGCTGGTCTTGAACTCCTGGGCTCAAGAGATCTTCCTGCCTCAGGCTCCCAAATTGCTGGGGATTACAGGCGTGAGCCACTGCGCCCAGCCTCATTCTTTTTTTTTCTATTGCATATTGTTCTAGTGTATGAATGTACCTTAGTTTACTTAATCAGCCCAGTATTTAATGGGTGCTGGGGCCTGTGTTTTCATAAATAACCTTGTGTATGTGGTCTTTTAGTTCTGCGTAGCTATCTCTGTTCCATAAACTCCCAGAAGCAAAATTGCCGAGCAAAAGGATAGACTAATATGGAATGTTCACAGATTATTGCCCATTTACACTCCACCAGGAATGTCCTTGTTTCTTAGCCTTGCCAACTGATGGTATTAGTGAACTTTTGGATATTTGCTCATCTGATAGGTGGAAAATGGGAACTTCTTATTAAAAGCCTCCTTCAGCTGGATCCATGCTGCATCAGCGGAAAAGAAGGTCCCACGTGTTTGGGACCTTCTTTCCACTCGCCCTGTGCCCTCGCCTTGGTTCAGGTCCCTCCAGGGTTCTCACCCACCATGGAAAGAGCACCAGCGTTGGGTGGTGTTACGGACTGGGCTTGGAGCCGACCTAGTTTCGAGTCCTGTTCCACCACTTACAAGCCCAGGAAGGTCAGGCACATTGTTTGTTAGTCAAACAATATAGGAGATTGTCTCGTAGTCCCAGAAATGGCTTCTGAGCATATTAGGTGGAGTTTTCAAATGTTAAATGGAGGAATTTAGATAGAATACATTGGGGAGGAACAGTGTCTGCCTCCTGTGACCACTGGGACCATGGCATGACAGGCCTGCAGTGTGACCCAGGCACAGGGCATGACCTAGGTTCACTCACCTGTCTTAGCCCTTCCTGTGTGTCTGCCTCCTCTGCAGACCAGCCAGCCATCCCTTGTCATATGTCTCGCCTTTATCTCATGTGTCTTGTGATGGAAAATTCCAGCTTAAGGTCACTGAATCAGTGACCATCCTCTCTGTGCAGGAAGTGTTGTCCCGGCTATTATGGGGAAACTGGAGGGTCAAGGGTCAGGATGTATAGACAAATGCCGGACAGTGGTGTGAGTAACTGGCAAATGTAAGACATACAGATGCACAAACACACAGCCAGCACCAGCATTCATAGAGCTGGGCCTTGAAGTTAGTCCTTGAGCATCCACAGAGACCAGCATTTCTTGAAGTGTATATTTCAAGGGTAAAATGTTCTCACCGACATTTAGAGTTCATCAAAGTTGTTACATTATTTAAATATTTGTAACTTTAAATTAGACATAAATTCCTTGTGCTTATCATTACACATATAAAATCAAAACATCCACAAATCAAACATAAAGAAAAGCATAAAAGACACAACATTCAAAATGAAATTTATTAATATAAAGCGGTTCTGTTTGGCAGAAACCAAATTGCAGTTGGCCTAGTGAATTGACTGTCCTAAATAGCTTCTTCCGTGTAGATTGGATCTGTATTATAATCATCACTGAGTGGCATAGGTATAGTCTGGAGGGTTTAAGTACTTAGATTTAAGTACTTAGAATGGTCCCTGGCACAGAGGCATCAATAGTGCTCAATTGATGGTATTGTTGTATTTTATTTTATTCAATATTTTATTTATTTTTTGAAACGGAGTCTCGCTCTGTCCCCCAGGCTGGAGTGCAGTGGCATGATCTCGGCTCACTGCAACCTCCGCCTCCTGGGTTCATGCGATTCTCCTGCCTCAGCCTCCCGAGTAGCTGGGATTATAGGGGCCTGCCACCACACCCAGCTAATTTTTGTACTTGTTGTAGAGAAAGGGTTTCACTATGTTGGCCAGGTGAACTCCTGACCTCAGGTGATCCGCCTGGCTCAGCCTCTCAAAGTGCTGGGATTACAGGCATGAGCCACCATGCCCAGCCTGGGTAGACATGTTTTTAATTCTCTTAGTTACATACCTAGGGGTGGAATTGCTGGGTCATATGTAACTCTATGTTTAACTTCTTGAGGAACTACCAAATTGTTTTCTGCAGTAGTTGCATCATTTTACATCCCCACCACTAATATATACAAGCTTTAATTTCTCTACATCTTTTCCCACCCTTATTATTTTCTGTCTTTTTTATTACAATCAACCCAGTGGGTATAAAGTGGTATTTCATTGTAGTTTTGATTTGCATTTCTCTGATGACTGATGCTGTTGAGTGTCTTTTCATGTGCTTATCAAACATTTGGATATCTTCTTTGGAGAAATGTCTGTTCAGATCGTTTGCCCATTTAAACATTTAGTTATTTGTCTTTTTATTGTTGATTTGTAAGTGTTCTGTATATATTCTGGATAATAGGCCCTTCTGTATAATTTAAAAATATTTCCCCCCATTCTTTGAATTGTCTTTTTACTGTCTTGATAGTATCCTTTAAAACACAAACGTTTTGGCCAGGCACAGTGGCTCACTCCTGTAATCCCATCACTTTGTGAGGCCAAAGCAGGCGGATCACGAGGTCAGGAGATCGAGACCATCCTGGTTAAAACGGTGAAACTCCATCTCTACTAAAAAAAAAACAATACAAAAAATTAGCTGGGCGTTGTGGCGGGCGTCTGTAGTCCTAGCTAATCGGGAGTCTGAGGCAGGAGAATGGCATGAACCCGGGAGGCGGAGCTTGCAGTGAGCCGAGATGGCGCCACTGCACTCCAGCCTGGGCGACAGAGTGAGACTCAGTCTCAAATAAAAAAAAAAAAAACCACACAAACGTTTTTTATTTTTGTTTTTTGAAACAGAGTTTCACTTTGTTGCCCAGGCTGGAGTGCAGTGGTGTGATCTCGGCTCACTGCAGCCTCCCCGTCCCGGGTTCAAGTGATTCTCCTGCCTTAGCCCCCCAAGTAGCTGGGATTACAGGTGCGCACCACCACGCCCAACTAATTTTTGTATTTTTATTAGAAACAGGGTTTCACTATGTTGGCCAGGCTGATCTCGAACTCCTGGCCTCAGGTGATCCACCCGCCTTGGCCTCCAAAGTGCTGGGATTACAATTTATTTTTTATTGCTTTCTTATGCTGTAGATCTCACATCTAAGAAACCATTGCCTAATCCAAAGACATGAAGTTTATACCTCTCTTTCCTTCTAAGAGTTTTACAGTTTTAGCTCTTACCTTTAGGTCTTTAATCCACTTTGAGTTAATTTTTGTATACAATGTGAGATAGCAGTCCAGCTTTTTTCTTTTGCATGTGATTATCCACTTATCTCAGCACAATTGTTGAAAAGACTATTCCCTCCCCATTAAAATGTGTTGGTGTCTATGTTGAAAATCAGTTACTCTTTTTTTTTTTGAGATGGAGTCTCGCTCTTTCACCCAGGCTGGATTGCAGTGGCACAATCTCGGCTCACTGCAACCTCCACCTTCCGGGTTCAAGCAATTCTCTGCCTCAGCCTCCCGAGTAGCTGGGATTACAGGCGCCTGCCACCAAGCCTGGCTAATTTTTGTATTTTTAGTAGAGACGGGGTTTTACCATCTTGGCCATGCTAGTCTTGAACTCCTGATCTTGTGGTTCTACCCACCTCAGCCTCCCAAAGTGCTGGGATTGCAGATGTGAGCCACCACACCCGGCCAAAATCAGTTACTTATACATGTATGGATTGGCCACCTATTCTTGACCATAATGTCTTGAAATGTTGTTTGGGGTTAAGATGGTGCAGAGCTCACTGGAAAGACAATCAGGTAAGCAACTTGAATTCTAAAATCCTCATTTCCCTAAGCCCAAATTAAGCAGAGCTTCATGTATCTTCTGGACCCAGTCCAAGCCATCAGGGCAGATGCAGGGAGGCTTTGGGGCCTTAGACAGCCTGTGGCCACCTGAACCAGGCTTTGCCCATGACATGCTCCACTGGTTTTATAAGCAGAAGAGATAGCAAACGGGTTTATTTTCAAAATGGAGCTTGGATCCTCAGAAGAAGCCTCAGGAGAGGGAGGAGCAGTTGCTAGTCAGTGCACATTCCAGAGGGCCCAGGGCATGTTTCTGTGCAGTGTGTATGTGTGAGTGTGGTGTGCATGCACGTGTACCAAGGCAGTAACATTTGCTCCCTGTGGCCCCAGGAAGCAGCACGGAGGAGACAGGGAGTGGCAGTCCCACCATAGAGAGTGAGCAGGGGCACATCTCGTGTGTACTCATATCCACCCTCACACACCTGGTATACATTGAGCTCCAGCAGCAGTTTCTGGGGATGTGAAGCTTCTCTGTCTCCACATCCAGTCCAGCTCTGAGGGGACCAGCCCTTGCACCTCCCCTTGCTGTCCCAGTGCCTGCACAGGAACAAAGTATGACCTTGCTTAGGAAACCTGCCTAGCCCTCGCTTCTCCTAGTCCCTGCCCCAGGGCAGAGTCCTGGCATCTCTACTCCCTGTGCTGTGGAGGAGGAGGCTCTGCTGCATACCATGTTTGGGGAAACGATTGCCCACACAACCATGTGTTTGGCTGAGCAAGCTCTCCAGGCCCACAGCTAGCCTGCTCAGAATGCCAGTAAGTCCTCATTCATACCAAGTCCTCTTCCTCTGCTGGGGAGCTTTTTCGCCTGAGATCCCAGGCTCCACAAATCACCTGTCCACGCAGTCTGCCTAAATCCTGGCCAGGAAAAACGTGGTGGGAGTGTCAGAGGAGGACTGCGTGAGGGGGAGTGCAGTGGATCATTTAGAGGGTGTGGGTTGTTTTAAATCATAAAACAGCAGTTTTGCATTCTTCCCTCTGCCCCAGTTGCCTTGGGCATTATCGCAGACAACCTGTCACACAGGTTTCTTTGTTTAAAACTTCTAGGGTATTGTTGGAATTCAGCAAAGCCCAGGTAAACTCTGTGCCAACCAACGGACTGAGCCAAGAAACAGAGATCCCCACACCACAGGCCTCGCTCTCCCTCCATGGCCTCAACACCAGCACATACCTGCACTGTGAGGCACCTGCAGAGCCCCTTCCTGCCCAGGCAGCCTCTGGAACTCAAGATGGTGTCCACGTGCAGGAGCCGCGTCCCCAGGCGCCCAGCCCCCTGGACTTACAGCAGCCTGTAGAGAGCACCTCAGGCCAGCAGCCTTCTAGTACTGTCAGCGAGACAGCCAGAGAAGTGGGCCAAGGGAATGGCCTGCAGAAGGCCCAGGCTCATGACGGAGCTGGTCTGAAGCTGGTAGTTTCCTCACCCACCAGTCCGGTGAGTGGTGCAAGCCGTTCAGGGGGCAGTCTTGGGAAATGTCAGCTGACACAGGGTTTCCCCAGCTAGTGACCCTGAGTGGTCTCTGCCTTTTCCCTGTTAGCCTTCCTCTCCCTGCATAGTGATAGTGTTAATAGCATCATGATGATGGGGCTCATGTTTCTTGGCATGTGAGCTGTAGATATAAGCCCGGCTGTTTCTTGGCATGTGAGCTGTAGATATAAGCCCGGCACTGTGCTGATCACTTCCCGTGTGTATCTCCTGTCATTTTCACGTCACTTTGTGAAGGTTGTTCTTGTCTGACCGCAGTCTCAGCTCTTTAACCACTACCACTCACCAGCATAAGGCCTTGGGCAAGTCACTTCAGCTCTCTGAACCTTCATTTCCTCCTTAGTACTTGTTATTATTAAATTAATATTTTTTGATTTTTGGTTTTTGGTATTTTTTTCAGATGGAGTCTTGCTCTGTTGCCCAGGCTGGAGTGCAGTGGCACAATCTCTGCTCACTGCCACCTTCGCCTCCTGGGTTCAAGCAATTCTCCTGCCTCAGCCTCCTGAGTAGCTGGGATTACAGGTGCCCACCTCCATGTCTGGCTAAGTTTTGTGTTTTTAGTAGAGATGGGGTTTCATCATGTTGGCCAGGCTGGTCTCGATCTTCTTGCCTGGGCCTCCTGAAGTGCTGGGATTACAGGCATGAGCTGGTGCACTCAGCCTATTAAATTAATGTTTTTAGAAAATACTAGGCCTTGAGCATACTCACTTTGCAACATGACCCAGGTTTTAGAGCCGTGCTGTCCAATATGGCAGCTACAAGCCACGTGTGGCTGTTGAACACTTAAAATGTGGCAAGTCCAAATGGAGATGTGCCATGTGAAATAAGCGCTGGATTTCAATAACTTAGTATGATAAAAGAATAGAAAATCTCATTTTTATGGATTACAAGTTAAAATGAAAATATTTGGGGGCTGGGTGTGGTGGCTCACACCTGTAACCCCAGCGCTTTGGGAGACCAAGAGGGAGGACTGCTTGAGCCCAGGAGTTGGAGACCAACCTGGGTAACAAAGTGAGACCCCATCTGTACAAAAAATACAAAAATTAGCTGGGCATGGTGGTGTGTGGCTGTACATATAGCATGAGGCTGTAGTTAATTCTTTTCCATTGTTCTGCAGTATTCCATTGTAAAAATATATTGCAACCTATTACCCATTCTCCTGTTAATGGACATTTGGGTTGTTTCCAGGTTTTGACTATTATGAAGAAAGCTGTAGTGAACATTCTCATACATGCTTTTGGAGAACCTCGGTGCTTATTTCTGTGGGTATATATACCTGGGAATGGAATTGCTAGGTCCTTGGGTGGCTTATGTTTACCTTTAATAGATACCACCACCAAACAGTTTTCTAAAGTGTTTGTGCTAATTTATACTCATATTGGCAACAAATGAGCATTCTAGTTGCTCTTTATCCTGGCCAATGGTGTTACCAATCTTTTTAATTTTAGCCACTCTGGTAGATGTGTAGTGGTTTTAATTTTCATATCCTTGATGACTAAATGATGATACCTTTTCATTTGCTTATTGGCCAGTCAATCCTCTTTTATAGAATGTCTGTCCAAGTTGTCATTCCGGTCTTAAATTGAGTTGTATGTGTATGTGTTGATTTGTAGGAACTCTTTATATATTACAGATATAAGTCTTTTATTGGACAAAAATAGTATATTTATCAAGTATCTTTTTCTAGTCTATAAGGCTTGACTTTTAAACCTCCTAATAGTATTTTTATTGAACAGAGGTTCTTTTAATGATGTGCAGTTTATCAGTCTTTTTGTTTATGGTTTGCTTGGTTTTTGTCCCATTTAAGAGATATTCATCTCCCCCAAGGATCTGAAGGTATTTGCCTATATTATCTTCTAGAAGCTTTAGTGATTTATCTTTCAAAATTAGGTTTATGATCTTTCTGGGATTAATTTTTGTGTGTGGTGTTAGAAGTCAAACCTCATATTTTTCCATATGGATATCTGATTGGCCTCACTGTTTCTTGAATATGACCATGTAAATCACAAAACTGTCAGTGTGGGTCAGAGTCTTCGAATTTGCTATCCTGAAGATGCTTCAGTACATCCTGAAGATTTGCTTCCTGAAAATGAATGCTCTAGGACCCTGAAGGTTGTGACTGTGCACCTGCCAACTCAAGCTGAAGGCTGAAGAGGAAAGCTCTGCAGCCCCTTCCTCAAGCTGGAGGCAGAGTGACGTCTGCTGGGGATGCAGGCTGTGCGCCCCACAGGACTCCAGAGTGGCACTAAGCATGTTGAGTTCACTCCTGCCCATGGTCTAGCTTCTGCTTTGCAGGCTCAGGCATCTTATCTTGCCAGGGCCTCAAAGCTGGTGGGACAGAATAGCATCTTTGCTCACTAAGCTCTGACCCACCGGCCTCCTTGCAGCTCTATAGTCCAAGCGAACTCCTTCCAACATCAGGCTTCTTTTAAAAAAAAAAATTTTTTTGAGGCAGAGTCTCACTCTGTCACCCAGGCTGAAGTACAGTGGTGCAATCTCAGCTCACTGAAACCTCCGCCTCCTAAGTTCAACTGATTCTCATGCCTCAGCCTCCCAAGTAGCTGGGATTACAGATGCCTACCACCATGCCCAGCTAATTTTTGTATTTTTACAAAATTATGGGGTTTCACCATGTTGACCAGGCTGGTCTCAAACTCCTGGCCTCAAGTGATCTGCCCACTTTGGCCTCCCAAAGTGCTGGGATTACAGGCATGAGCCACCGTGCCCGGCCCAGCCTCAGGGTTTTACATTTGCTGTTCCTTCTTTCCCGACTCACTTCATTGTTGTCTCAGCCTTCCCTGACCGGACCCCCGTAGCTCAAAAGCACCATCCCCAGTGACTCTCTGTCCCATTCATCTGCTTGACTTTGCTTATAACACTCATCACTATGTGCAATTACAGTATATTATCTCTTTGTCTCCTTGTTTATTTTCTGTCTTCCTTACTAGAATATTAGCTCTATGATACAGAGCACCAGGCCTGTTCACTTCTGTATTGTCAGCACCAAGCACTGTACCTGGGAGAAAGTAGGCATGGATGAATAGTTCTTGAACTCCCAAGAGACTCTTGAGATGCCAATTCCTAAGTTTATTTTGTTCCCCCATCCTAGCTATAAGGCTGTTTGGAATGGTTCTTTTTCTTGGTATCTCCAGCAAGTACCTGGCCCAGAATCATACAAGATGTGTGAATAAATCATGACCATCCCAATGTCTTTAATATAAAGTAACAAAGATAAGTCAAGGGGACTGGAAGGAAGGAGACAAATGTGAAACTTAAGATTATGGACGTTCAGGCGAGGCGTGATAGCTCACGCCTCTAATCCTAGCAATTTGGGAGGCCAAAGTGGGTCATCGAAGTGTACCATCGAGTGGACAGGGTGGTCAGGTTGGTGTGATCATGGCAGGCTCTGCCTCTGTGCCAGCTACAGGGGACTCTGATTGCTGGAAGGTTGCTTAGGGAATGTGACATCTAAGCGCTTGGTGCTGAATCCGATGTGAGAATCTCGGATCCTGCCCCCGTCCTGTGTCTGTCTCACAGGGAAGTTGTGGATTCATTCACTGCTTATTCAGTAGGTAGTCACCAGGTGCCACTGAATAGCCTGCCAGCTCATGTGGGCCTGCTGGGCTCCTGGCCTGTGGACAGTGCCAGGCTGTGCCCTGCATGTCTGCCCCTGTGGTCCTCATCTTTCTGTACTTCTATCAGTTAGCCACGTGCTTTTTATTTGATGTTATTTTGGGGGAGATGTTGGGGTCGCTGTCAAGTTTTATAGTGTAGAGACCCATTCAGTCTTTCTTTTAAAAACATTTATTTTTAATTCATTGAACCCAAAGCACCTACTATAAGCCAAGCACCATGTTAGGTCCTAGGGGTAGAGTGATACAACAGGACAGACAAAGGCCCTTTGGGGACAGACATTAAATTAGACAAATGATTATCCACATCATAATTACACTTGTGCTAAGCACTGGGAAGGAGAGGTGCAGGGAGTAGGGGCCTCTCAAGGGTGATGCATGTCTGGGATCTGGGGGTTGTGAGTTCGTTTCAGTTTAACTCCCAAAAGGCAGTGTGAGTTCTAGGACTTGCTCTTAATCACTGCCCCCATGGACCACCTGCCCATGGTATGTGGTTCCCCTTCCACAGTTATGAGTACAGGCAGTTCCTTTGCCTGGCATAATGAGGACTGGCTGGACAAAGTCTCATCCTTCTGAAAGTGTCCCAGAGACCTTCGTCTCACTCCTCAGCCACACTCCTCTTGGGGATTCAGCTGTTGTATATGGTGTCATGAGCCCTTTAGTAACGCAAGGTGGCATTTCTCTGTCTTGGGTCGCTGGTGGCAGTTGCAGCTCTGGTATAGATCCTTCGTCGATGATGGTTTCTCTCCACTGTTAAAGGGCGGGGTGCTGGCCAGACATGGACCCTGAGTGAGCAGGTTGTCGGAAGGTGGTGGGAAAAAAGGAGAGAAGGGGGCCGGGTGCAGTGGCTCACGCCTGTAATCCCAGCACTTTGGGAGGCTGAGGCAGGTGGATCACCTGAAGTCGGGAGTTTGAGACCAGCCTGACCAATATGGTGAAACCCCGTCTGTACTAAAAATACAAAAATTAGCCGGGCATGATGGCGTGAGCCTGTTATCCCAGCTACTCAGGAGGCTGAGGTAGGAGAATCACTTGAAACTGGGAGGCAAATGTTGCAGTGAGCCGAGATCACACCACTGTGATCCAGCCTGGGCAACAGAGTAAGACTCCATCTCTAAAAGAAAAAAAGGAGAGAAGAGAGAAACAGTGGTGTTCATGCATGCACTCTCTCTCACACCCTCTCTCTGCTCCCCACCTGCCTGGGGCCAGGGGCACACAGCCTCAGAGCTCTGTCCAGGCCCATGTGCAGAAGCTCCGAGGAACCTGCATTTCCACTGTTTTTTCCCTGTTGCTTAAGAGAGTAAAAGATGTTCCCTAGTTTCATTTCCTGGCAGCTGTGCTCAATGGACTGTGTCTGAACATTTCCTAGTAGTCTTTTTCCTCAAAGGAGAGAGAAGTCCTCCCCAGTGAATGTCCATATACTTTTTTTTTTTTTTTTTTGACACAGACTCTTGTGCTGTTGCCCAGGTGGGAGTGCAATAGCTCCATCCATCTCGGCTCACTGCAACCTCTGCCTCCAAGGCTCAAGCAATTCTTGTGCCTCAGCCTCCCGAGTAGCTGAGATTACAGGCATGCACCACCATGCCCAGCTAATTTTTGTACTTTTAGTAGAGATGGGGTTTCTCCATGTTGGCCAGGCTGGTCTCAAACTTCTGGCCTCAAGCAATTTTCCTGCCTCGGCCTCCCAAAGTGCTGGGATTACAGGCATGATCCATCATGCCCATTCTGAATGTCCATAATCTTAAAATTTACATTTGTCTCCTTCCTTCCAGTCCACTTGACCCACCTTTGTTATTTTATGTTAAAGACATTGTGATGGTCATGATTTATTCCCTCATCTTGTATGACTCGGGCAGGCACTTGCTGGAGATATCAAGAAAACCATTCCAAACAGCCTTATAAATGCTAGAATGAGGGTAAGCACAGAATATTGTGGGATCCCAGTAGGGGCCCTAACCCAGCTAGGGGGTGGGAAGGGGTGGAGGCTGGGGAAGGGTGAGAGAAGCTTCCAGGCAGAGGCGATGGATGTCTCCTGAGCTGAGTCTTCAGGGACAGTGCCCTCTCCCACCAGGCGCTGGAGATCACACAACTTCCCAGGTATATGTGAGGCTGCCAGGACAGCCACATGGTTGCCAGGGAGCTGTTTCTCCCACCCATTTTCCTCAGGGGGGTCCCCCAGTTCTTGATGACCTAGGCAGGCTTTGCTCAGAATCTAGTGTTGTGGATGGTCCCCAGTGGCTGCCCTGACTGACACATCATCTGTCACTGGCAGGGGGGAAGCACCTGCCAATTCTGAAGGCCCCGTGGAGGAGTCTCTGGGGACCTAGTTCTGTGAGCTACCCCTCAAGTTGCCTGAGTCAGAACTTGCCACCCTTGGCTTGAGGAGTCGTGTAGCATCTGAATGGATCCAACTGTCCAAACCAACCCTTCCCTGTTTACAAAGCAGGGAGTGCAGTCTTGATTCAGGGACTGGAAATAGCGATGTCAGGGTGAGGTTAGTGGCACTTAACAAAACAGTGGGGCTGGTCCCACTGCTTGTGTGACTCATTTCCTCTGTGTACACAGCCACTTAGAGTGGCCCAGCCAGCTTCCTTGCCTCTGCCCTTCCATGTTGAGGCACAGAATGCCAGGGAGGACTTGAAATACTGGAGAAAAGGAACCAGAATCCACTCCCACAAGCCCACTCACCCCAGATGCTCCCCGCAACCCCATCTTCCCCAGCCAGTGAGCAGCTTCAGATTCAAAAGAGAACAACGAAGGGAAGGGGCAGGGCCTGGCTGCCTGGGGTTGCAGGGGCCTGCACAGAAGTGGGCGGCAGAGACAGAGGCGGCCAATGAGGACCCTGAGGCCTGCTCGCCAGGACTCCCTCATCTCAAACCCAAAAGCAGGACTGAGAAACCCTACATGCTGGGACAGCTGAATACCCACATGCAAAATAATAACACCCCTTCCTTACACCTTACACAAAAACTAACTCAAAATGGACCAGAAACCTAAATGTAAGAGCTAAAACTATACAGCTCTTGGCAGAAAACACAGAAGTAAATCTGTGATACTGACTTAGGCAATGGTTTTTTAAGATGCAACACCAGAAGCACAAAAACAACAACAAAAATAGATAAACTAGACTTTATCAAAACTAACAACTTATGTGCTCCAGAGGGCACACCATCCGGAAAATGAAAAGACACCTCACAGAATGGGAGAAATTATTTGCAAATCGTAAATCTGATAAGGGTCTCGTATTCAGAATATATAAAGCACCTTACAACTTGAATTAGTCCCTAGGGCCACCATAACAAAGTACCATACACAGGGTGGTTTAAAACAACAGACATTGGCTGGGCGCGGTCGCTCATGCCTGCAATCCCAGCACTTTGGGAGGCCGAGGCGGGTGGATCATGAGGTCAGGAGATCGAGACCATCCTGGCTAACATGGTGAAACACCGTCTCTACTAAAAATACAAAACAAAATTAGCCAGGCGTGGTGGCAGGCACCTGTAGTCCCAGCTACTCAGGAGGCTGAGGCAGGAGAATGGCGTGAACCCGGGAAGCGGAGCTTGCAGTGAGCCAGGATTGTGCCACTGCACTCCAGCCTGGGCGACAGAGCAAGACTCTGTCTCAACAACAATAACAACAACAACAAAACAAAAAACAAAAACAGACATTGCTGGGCAGGTGGCTCATGCCTGTGACCTCAGCACTTTGGGAGGCAAGGGTGGGCGGATCACTTGAGTCCAGGAGTGCAAGACCAGCCTGGCCAACATGGTGAAACCCCATCTCTACTAAAAATATAAAAAATTTGCTGGGCATGCTGGTGCATGCCTGTAGTCTCAGCTATTCAGTGGGGCTAAAGCAGGAGGATTGCTTGAGCCTGGGCAGTCAAGGCTGCAATGAGCCCTGATTGCGCCACTGTACTCCAGTCTGGGCAAAGAGCGAGACCCTGCCTCAAAACAAAACAAAACAAAATAGGCCAGGCACAGTGGCTCACGCCTGTAATCCCAGCACTTTGGAAGGCTGAGGCAAGTGGGTCACCTGAGGTCAGGAGTTCAAGACCAGCCTGGCCGACAAGGTTTTGTCTCTACTAGAAATACAAAAATTAGCCGGGCATGGTGGCAAGCATCTGTAACCCCAGCTACTCGGGAGGCCGAGGCAGCAGAATTGCTTGAACCTGGGAGGCGGGGGTTGCAGTGAGCTGAGATTGCACCATTGCACTCCAGCCTGGGTGACAGAGTGAGGTTCTGTCTCAAAAACAAAACAAAACTGGTATTTATTCTCTGATCGTTCTGGAGGCTCCTTCTGGAGAATCTAAGGAAGAATCTGTTCCCGCCTTTCTCCTGGGTGGCGTTGCAGGTGCTCGTTTGCATTCCTTGGCTTGTAGACATGTCACTCCTGTCTCCCCTCTGCTGTCACACATGTTCTACTGTCATACAAGTTCTTCCTCTGTATCTCTGTCTTCACTTGGTGTTCTCCTCTCTTTGTGTATCTTTTCTCCTCCTCTTATAAGGACATCAGTCATACTGGATGAACAGCCCATTCTACTCCAACATGACCTCATCTTAACTAATTACTTCTGCAAAGACTCTATTTCCAAAAAAGGTCACATTCTGAGGTACTGGGGGGTAGGGTTTCAACATGTCCTTTTGTGGGGGGGTCACAATTCAACCCACAACACAACTCAGCAACAAAAAGACAGCCCCATTTTAAGACAGACAATGGATTTCAGTAGATTCCAATGGATTTGGATAGATTTCCCAAGGAGAGAAATTGGAACCCTCGTACATTGCTGGTGGGAATATAAAATGGTGCGGCCACTTTGGAAAACAGCTTGGTAGTTCCTCAAGAAGGGAAACATAGAGTTACACATGACCCAGCAAGTCTACTCCTAAGTATATACCCAAGACAATGAAACATGTCTACACAAAAACTTGTGTATAAGTGATCATAGCAGCACTATTCATAATTGACAAAAAGTAGAAACAACCCAAATGTCCATCAGCCGAGGAGTGGATAAGCCAAATGTGGTGGATCGAGACAATGGAATATTATTTGGCAATAAAAAGGAATGAACACTTAAACATGCTTATATAACATGGATGCACCTGGAAAACCTCCCACTAAGAGAAAGAAGCAGGCACAAAAGGTCACGTGTCGTATGGTTCCATCTATATGAGATGTCCAGAACAGGCAGGTGTGTAGGGACTGAAAGTAGGTAAGTAGGTGCCTAGAGCTGAGAGTGGCCAGGGGAAATGGGGATGACGGCTAATGGGTACGGGGTTTCCTTTTTGGGTGAGGAAAATTTGCTAAACTTAGATGGTGGTGACGATTGCCCAACTCTGACTAAGCCAAAATGTTTGAATTGGACACTTTATTTATTTATTTTTTTAGAGATGGGGTCTCATTCTGTTGCCTAGGCTGCAACCAGGCTGGAGGGCAGTGGCGTGATCACGGCTCACTGCAGCCTTGACCTCCCTGGCTCAAGCGATTCTCCCGCTTCAGCCTCCTCAGTAGCTGAGACTACAGGTGTGTGCCATCACACCCAGCTAGTTATTTTTTGTAGAGATGGGTTCTCACTGTGTTGCCCAGGTTGGTCTCAAACTCCTGGGCTCAGGTGATCCTCTCACCTCAGCCTCCCAAAGTGCTGGGATTACAGGTGTGAGCCACCATGGCTGGCCGAATTACATACTTTAAGTGGGTTAATTTTATGATATAAGAGCCATATCTAGATAAAGACTTAAAAAAAAAAAAAACTTCAGGCTGGGCACAGTGACTCACACCTGTAATCCCAACACTTTGGGAGGCCGAGGTGGGTGGCTCACCTGAAGTCAGGAGTTCTAGACCAGCCTGGCCAACATGGTGAAACCCCGCCTCTACTAAAAATACAAAAATTAGCTGGGCATGGTGGTGGGCGCCTGTAATCCCAGCTACTCAGGAGACTGGGGCAGGAGAATCGCTTGAACCCAGGAGTCAGAGGTTGCAGTGAGCCGAGGTTGCGCGATTGCACTCCAGCCTGGGCAACAGAGCGAGACTCCGTCTCAAAACAAAAAAACTTTAAAACAAACAACTGTTGTCTTCTTTCCCAACAGAAAAACAAGAGCTGGATCTCAGAGGATGACTTCTACCGGCCTTCCCGGGAGCAACCCCTGGAGAGTGCTTCAGACCACCCAATAGCTTCTTACAGGGGGACTCCAGGGTCAAGGCCTGGTCTCCACAGGCATTTTTCTCAAGAACCAAGAAAAAACTGCTCCCTGGGGGCGTTAGACCAAGCGTGTGTACCTTCCCCAGGAAGAAGGCAAGCCCAGGCAGCCCCATCCCAGGGGCATAAGAGCTTCCGGGTGGTACACCGGAGACAGATGGGTAGGTTACCAGGAGGGTCCCGGGTGGGTCCCATCTGCAGGGACCAGGCCTTTCAGAAGGCAGCTGTGAAGTTCTGTTTTCCATTGCTAAAGGGGTAGTGTGTTCCCACAAGTGTTATAAAACCTCATTCCAGAATGCCATCATAATCATGTTCATTCAGGGAAGCATTTCAGGAAAAGTAGTATATTGTCTCAAAACTGCCTACAGAGGACAAAAATACTGTTTCACCAGTCAAATAGGAAAATATTTTCCCTGAAAACTATGCAATTTATGATTATAGAAAACTCTTGATTCCACCTGTAGCTCAGAGCACATCCGGCCCCATGAAGCCCCAGGTGTTTTAAATGGTCCTTCCAAACGTGTTTACCCTCAGTAGTTGGTTTATGTAACAGCTCTGGGTGGCTTGATCAAATCTGCTATTTGTTTTGTTTGTTTGTTTGTTTTGAGATGGAGTCTCCCTTTGTTGCCCAGGCTGGAGTGCAGTGGCATGATCTCTGCTCACTGCAACCTCAGCCTCCTGGGTTCAAGCAATTCTCCTGTCTCAGCCTCCCAAATAGCTGGGATTACAGGTACCTGCCACCACACCTGGCTAATTTTTTTTTTTTTTTGAGGTGGAGTTTCCCTTTTGTTGCCCAGGCTGGAGTGCAATCATGTGATCTCAGCTCACCACAACCTCCGCCTCCCGTGTTCAAGCAATTCTTCTGCTTTAGCCACCCGAGTAGTTGGGATTACAGGCATGAGCCACCATGCCTGGCTCATTTTGTATTAGTAGAGACGGGGTTTCTCGAAATTGGTTAGGCTGGTCTCCAACTCCCGACCTCCGGTGATCCACCCCGCCTCGGCCTCCTAAAGTGCTGGGATTACAGGCATGAGCCACTGCGCCTGGCCAATTTTTGCATTTTTAATAAAGATGGTGTTTTGCTATGTTGGCCAGGCTGGAGGATCTGCTATTTGTTTAATGTCCTCCAGTGCTTCTTTTTTTTTTTTTTTTTTTTTCTGAGGCAGAGTCTTGCTCTGTCACCCAGGCTGGAGTACAGTGGTATAATCTCAGCTCACTGCAGCCTTTGCCTCCCAGCTCAAGTGCCTCAGTCTCTCCAGGAGCTGGGATTACAGACATGCACTGCCACACCCAGGTGATTCTTGTATTTCCAGTGGACATAGGATTTTGCCATGTTGGCCACACTGGTCTGAACTCTTGGCCTCATGTGATCCACCCACCTTGGCCTCCAAAAGTGCTGGGATTACAGGTGTGAGCCACTATGCCCGACCTCCCCAGTGCTTTTTACAGCAAGGTCAGCTTGATCTCCACACACTGAAATTCCAGAAAGCCTTAAATAACCATAACCAAATTTTTCAGTAACCTTCATGATGGGTTTCCTCTTCAAAACAAACAAAAAAAGTACGCTCTAGAATTGGTCTCTTTCTCTCCTCATTTTCTGTCTGCAGTGACCCAGCAGAGAATCCTGCCCAGCTCAGGGGGCCTTGCTGTGGGTAGCCCTGGCATGGGTTGTGTGGGTAGAGCCCGGTCTCCGGGCTGGCTTCTGTTAGGTTTGTCTGTTGGCCCGTGTGATGGCTGTGGTCTCTAACCTGCCAGCGAAGCTGTGCTTCAGGTCTAGGCCATCAGGTTTCTTGAGGGGCAGGGAACCCCCATAGAATAGTGTGAAATCTCCAAGGCTATTCCAGGCTGGCGGAGAGAGAATTGTGTGTCCTTTGGACACCCTGGTTGTTGTCACACCCCAGGCAGCAGGGAGCTGTGGGCAACATGTGATACATAGGCACTCACCTGCTCATTCATTCAGCAAATATTATTGAGGCTCTGTGATGTGCCAGGCACTGTTCTAAGTGCTGGAGACATAGCAGGCAGCAAAGCAGTGTCCCTGTCTTCATGGGATTTAGATTCTAGTAGAGGAGACGGGAAATAAAATTAACAAGTAAGCATAGTGTGTGGTCAGGTGGTCATAAGTGCTATGGAGGACAGTAAATCTCTACCTGTCTACAGAGGTAGAGAGTGGACCACTGCATATAGGATGGCCAGAAAAGCCCTCACCAATAAGGGGATGTTTGAGGAGATGCAAGGGGAGAGAGGGAAGGAGTCATGAGGCAATGTACGTGTTTCAAGCAAGGAGAACAAATGCAAAGACCCTGCGCTGGGGCTGCGCTTGACACATCCAGGGACAGTGGAGACCAGAGTGGCAGGAGAGAGGAGATGGGGGCGTGGCAGTGAGCGATGAGGTCAATCTGACGAGGCCTGTGGGCCACTGGAAGCACTTTGGCTTCAGCTAAGGGAGATGGCCGCCACTGTGGAGTTTTGGGGCAGAGGGACATGCTCTGACTTCCCTTTAAATGGGTCATCATGGCTCCTACGCTGAGGGACTACAGGGGAGAAGGGGAGAAAGACCAGTTAGGAGGTTGTCATCACAAGCCAGGCCAGAGATGACAGTGGGTGGGGTGCAGCTGGGGAGAGGCGGGGATTCCGGATGTGTGGAAGGCAGAGCCAATGGGATTTGCTGATGTAGGCTGCGAAAGAAAGAAAACCTGGGGTAACACCAAGATTTTTAGCCCAGGCATCTGGAAGGATGAATTTTGCTATTTGGTGAGATGAGGACCATTCAGGAGGAAGCAGGCTGGCAGCAGGAATTCATCCTGGACATGTCAGCTGAGATCCTAGTGGACATGTATGGCACAGGTGGATATATGAATGTGGATTTCAAGAACAAGGTCCAGGCTGGCGATAAAAATTGGGAGCTAAAGCCTGAGAGCAGGTAGAGTGGTGAGAAAGTGGCATCTACAGAGAGGAGACAAGGACCCAGGACTGACATCTGGGCACTCTAACGTGAGAGGCCACAGGGAGGACCGAGCCAGAGAGATAGAAGGGTGGGGGCGAGGGCTGAGGAGTGGCCTTGGGGTTTGGCAACGAGGAGGGCATTGACCATCTCAGAAACAGTGTCAGTAGAATGGGGGGAGAGAAGCCTACTTGGAGCAGGTTCGAGAAGGAATGGGAGCAGGGAAACTAGAGACCAAGAGGTTTTTTGTTTTGTTGAGACGGAGTCTCACTCCTCTGTCACCCAGGCTGAAGTGCAGTGGAGTGACCTCAGCTCACTGCAATCCCCTGCCTTCCCGGTTCAAGCCATTCTCCTGCCTCAGCCTCCCTAGTAGCTGGGATTACAGGTGCTCACCACACCTGGCTAATTTTTGTATTTTTAGTAGAGACGGGGTTTCACCGTGTTCACCAAGCTGGTCTCAAACTCCTGACCTCAAGTGATCCACCCACCTCAGCCTCCCGAAGTGCTGGGATTACAGGCATGAGCCACCGCTTCCGGCCAAGATGAACAGTTTTGATGCCTCTTCAAACAGGTTTTCTGTAAAGGGGCCTGAGAAATATGGTGGTCATTAGGGAAGTGCATGGAGACGAGAGGTGTTTCTAAAGATGGGAGAAATGACAGCGTGCATGTGTGCCGATGGGAGTCACCCCATAGAGAAGGAAGAAAGCAGTGACAGAGGAGAGGACTGCTCCTTGTCCTTGAGTAGTTGGCCAAGGGAGAGACCTCCTGCACAAATGGAGGGTTTGGCCTCACGCAGAAAGAAGCACACTTGGTTCATCCCTGGCAGCAGGAGGGAAGGCGTGGGTGTAGGGAACAGGGCGTGTGGAGGGGATCTTTTGGGTGCTCTTATTTTCTCAGTGAAATACAGGACGCAAGAGCAGCAGTGGACGGTGAGAATGGGGATGTTCCCATCCAGCTTTCAGGGTCCCATGTGATAGTGCCCCGTGGCTGGCCTGTGTTCTGGGGACAGTCACTGGCCACATGCACTGCAGGGCATCAGGCAGCAGAGGCTGCCTTGGGCAGGACAGAGACAGGCCCGCCAACTAATGTGCCCCTTTTTGCCTCTGCCTCCAGGACTGTCCAACCCATTCCGGGGTCTCATGAAGCTGGGCACCGTGGAGCGGCGGGGGGCAATGGGCATCTGGAAGGAGCTCTTCTGCGAGCTCTCCCCGCTGGAGTTCCGCCTCTACCTGAGCAACGAGGAGCACACCTGTGTGGAGAACTGCTCGCTGCTTCGCTGTGAGTCTGTGGGGCCAGCCCATAGTGATGGGCGCTTTGAGCTGGTCTTCTCTGGCAAGAAGCTGGCCCTGCGCGCCTCCTCCCAGGACGAAGCTGAGGACTGGCTGGACCGGGTGCGGGAGGCCCTGCAGAAGGTCCGGCCTCAGCAGGAGGATGAGTGGGTGAACGTGCAGTACCCAGACCAGCCTGAGGAACCCCCCGAGGCGCCCCAGGGCTGCCTCTCTCCCTCAGACCTGCTCTCGGAGCCCGCGGCCCTCCAGGGCACACAGTTTGACTGGTCGTCCGCCCAGGTTCCAGAGCCAGATGCCATCAAGGAGTCCCTGCTGTACTTGTACATGGACAGGACCTGGATGCCCTATATATTTTCTCTGTCCTTGGAGGCTCTGAAATGTTTCCGCATCAGGAACAATGAGAAGATGCTGAGTGACAGCCACGGCGTGGAGACCATCCGGGACATCCTGCCAGACACCAGCCTTGGGGGCCCATCCTTCTTCAAAATCATCACGGCCAAGGCTGTCCTGAAGCTGCAGGCCGGAAACGCCGAGGAAGCCGCCCTGTGGAGGGATCTGGTCCGCAAAGTCCTGGCATCCTACTTGGAGACAGCCGAGGAGGCGGTGACCCTGGGCGGGAGCCTGGATGAAAACTGTCAGGAGGTGCTGAAATTTGCCACCCGGGAGAATGGCTTCCTGCTGCAGTACCTGGTGGCTATCCCCATGGAGAAAGGCCTTGACTCCCAAGGCTGCTTCTGCGCAGGTGCCGATTTGCTCTGCTGCCACCCCCAGCCTGCCAGCCTCACTCCACCTCCTGCTGGTTCCTGATTTAGGCTCCCCACCCTTCTGCCTCCCCGCAAATGCCCCCATCCTTCCCCTAGGGATGAGGCCACAGATCAGGCTTGCCCTACAGCTTCTGCTCCTCCCCAGCCCCGGCTGGGGCCAGTGCCCTGCTCATAGGCAGTGGGCCCTGCTCACCCGTCCCTCTCCTGCCACCTCCCACTGATGGGCGGCAGGCTGGCTACTCACTGCGCTGCTCAGGGAGTCCCAGCCTGCTTCATTTTCTTCTTGCTCTACCGTCCTGTTCTTTCAGAGCAGGGGCATGGTTTCCTTCCAAATATTTCTGCTGCTTTTATAAGTGTACACCCTTTTTTTTAATTATAAAAATGGGCTCGTGCTATTCAGTGCTGTCCAATAGAACTTTCTGTGATGATGAAAATGTCCTAGATCTGTGTGTCCAGTGCCATAGCTGCGAGCCATGTAGTGCTACCAGGTGCTTAAAGTGTGGCTAGTGTGGTTAAGCAACTGAATTTTCTATTTAAATTCATTTGCATTTAAAGGGGACACACGGGGCTCTTGGCTGCTGTGTTGAATGCTGGATATATTGTTCCACAACTTGGTTTTTTCCTACACTGTGGATGTTATTCCAAGTCAGTACATCTGCTATGTCTTCCTCATCATCAAATCTAATACTTCTGTGCTGGGCACTGGGCCAGCTGCTTTATTTGGATTATCTCATTTAAGTCTCATAACAACCCTGTAGAGATAGGCGCTACTATTATCATCTCTGTTGATAGGGGAGGAAACTGAAGCACAGAGCTGGTAAGTACCTGGTTGGTGTCTGCTACTGAGCTCACACAGCTAGTAAGTGGCAGAGGCAGAATTTTCCTTTTTTGTTTGTTTGTTTGTTTGTTTTAGTAGAGATGGGGTCTCCCCCTGTTGCTCAAGCTAGTCTTGAACTCCTAGGCTCAAGTGTTCCTCCTGCTTCAGCCTCCCAAAGTGCTGGGATTACAGATATCAGCAACCATGCCTGGCCAGAGGCAGAAATGGGACCCTGACAGTCAGGCCCCAGAGCCTTTGCTCATAGGCAGGACCCTAGAGGGCATCCCTCTAGGGTCTTATTCAAGGTTGAGTGACATCCCCCTGCCCATGTTCCATTGTTAGCCCCTCCCACTCCCCCCACCATCCAGGGGCAGATGGCATCCCATCACCATGGGACCCTTAGGTGACCTGTGAGGGGGTTGTCCTGCTGCAGAAGGCCAGAGCAAGAAGCTGAGCCTTGGTTTGGGAGCTGTCCTGTTGGCACAGACTGGAGGGAAGCCTGTTTCAAGCATCTGAAAGGAATTGGTCTGCGGTTGGCCCCGCGAGGATGGGAGAAGCTAGGCAGAACAGAGCTTCCTGCAGAAAACACCTGCAAGCCTCGCTTGACCTCTCCCCCGCCTGCCCCAGCGCTCACACTTTGCTCTTCAGCCTGTGAAGGCCAGGCTCTGAGGGGGCCAGGACTCCAGGGCTTGCAAGAAAGGGTTCCTCGCCTGTGGGTGTGAATGCTGCGGGGGCAACTCTCACCATGGCTGCCACCCACCAGCGGGTGGGACTGTGCCACCGGGGAGTTTGGGTTTCCTTTCTACCCAGCAGGCATGGCTCAGTGGCAGACACCAACCACTGGCATCTGGGTTGTATTTCATAATTTGCAGGGTACTTGCAGAACCTTGTCTCATTTAAGCTTTGTAATAACCCCACAAAATAGCTGGTAGTAGCTGAATTTTACAGTCACTGAAATGGAACCTTGAAGAAATCAGGTGAAGGTCAGGGTGAGGCAGCTGGTGAGGAGCAGAACCCGCCCTCTGGTCCCAAGGCCCGGGGACCCTTCTGCCTGCCCTTGGAGGAGTTAGGGCACATGTTCAGGGTTTGAGTCAGGGCCTCTGCTTTTTGCCCAGGGCACATCCCACTCCCATTCCCACTGGCTCCGGCTGTGGAGACACCTCCAACCAAGGGGGCTGAAGCCAGCCCTACCCCACAGTCCCGAGGCATCAGACACTGTGCACACTCCCCTGCCCCCTGCTGGCTGCCCATCCGCTCCCTGTTGCCAGCCCCGACCCTGGTCCCTGTCCCCCAGCTACTTCGCTGCTTGCCACAGCCCCTACTCTGCTGCTTCCATTCTGGGGCCCGAGTGGAGGGGTGGACCTAGAGGAGGCTGGCATTGCCAAGCCAGCAGTGGGGACACCGGACACAGGCAGCAAGGGGTAGTGGAGCAGAACTCAGGCTCTGGAACCAGCCAAACCCAGATCTGAATGCCAGCCATGCCACTTCATCACTATGTGACCAGACAGATTTCCTAACCTCTCTGAGCATCCATTTCTTCAGCTGTAAAATAATGATAGTTCTTACAGTGTGTTGTTGTAAAGATTAATTAGTAGGGGAGTTCTGAGTGGTGGAAATACGAGTGGTGGTTATTCTTGTGTTTGTGCCTACCTTAAAAAAAAATCAACCAGCAGATCCTTTCCACCACAGCAGCTCCCAAGTTACTAGGAGCTGACTCTGGCCACACCACTCACTCTCCACCCATCTCCCCAGGCTGCTCCCGGCAGATCGGCTTCTCCTTTGTACGACCCAAGCTCTGTGCCTTCTCTGGCCTCTATTACTGTGACATCTGCCACCAAGACGATGCCTCAGTGATTCCGGCCAGGATCATCCACAACTGGGACCTCACCAAGCGCCCGGTAAGTCTCAAGCCCAGCAGCCCAGCTGCTGAGGGACAGAGGGGTGTTCACTCCTCTTTGCTGCTGCTGTTCATCTGTTTAGAGGAGTTTGGCTCCTCTAAACAAGGGAAGCCAGGGTCACTGGTTCAGGCACTGTGATGTTGGGGAGCTAACCAAGAGAAAAGCTTGGTGCCTGTCCACAGCCTTGGGCAGGGCTCTATCGGTGGCTGTCTTGGTCCCCAGGAGGAAAGAGTTTGAGGATGGTTTCCTGCAGCTACAAACATAACTGCTTAAGGCACCAGCAGATAAATGATAGATAGATAGATAAAATAGATTTGATAGATTAGATAGATGGATGGTGGATGGGCAGGTAGGTAGGTGGATGAACAGGTGGCTAGGTGGATGGTTAGGGGGCTGGGCAGGTAGGTAGGTGAATGAGCAGGTGGCTAGGTGGATGGGCAGGTAGGTAGGTGGCTGAGCAGGTGGCTAGGTGGATGGGTAGGTAGGTAGGTGAATGAGCAGGTGGCTAGGTGGATGGGCAGGTAGGTAGGTGGATGGGTAGGTAAGTAGGTGAATGAGCAGGTGGCTAGGTGGATGGGCAGGTAGGTAGGTGGATGAGCAGGTGGCTAGGTGGATGGTTAGGTGGATGGGTAGGTAGGTAGGTGAATGAGCAGGTGGCTAGGTGGATGGGTTGGTGGATGGATGGATGGGTAGGTGGTTGGGTAGATTGGTGAATGGGTGGATAGGTAGGTAGATGGGTGCCTAGATAGGCAGATGGGTAAATGGTTAGGTGGATGAGTGGATGGCTTGGTGGGTAGGTGGATGGGTAGGTAGATAGGTAGATAGGTGGGTGAATGGGCAGATGGCTAGATGGGTAGATGGTTAGGTGAATGGGTAGATGGGTAGGTAGATGGGTAGATGGGTGGGTGAATGGGCAGATGGCTAGATGGGTAGATGGTTAGGTGAATGGGTAGATGGGTAGGTAGATGGGTAGATGGGTGGACGGTGGGTAGATGGCTGGGTGGATGGGTGAATAGGTAGGTGGATGGGTAGATGGGCTGGCCAGGGCTATACCTTGGAGCAGTCATCCTTGCCTTTGCCAACCCTATGAGGCCCAGGTGAGTGCACTCCCCTGTAGGCCCTACATGGGCTTATTTATTTCATGTTTTTGAAAAGCACTTTTTCTGTGACTTCCCCCATTATTAAGATAATACACAGTTATTGTTTAACATTTTAAAGTTACAGAAAAACCCAAAGACCAATCAAAATTCTGTGTCATAACCAAGAGATCACCATTATTAACATTTCGGGGTATACCCTTTTCTGTGCATTTATTGACATATGCATCTATTTTTTATAAAGTTGGGATCACACAGGACTCATACTGCTTTATAAGAAGCTTGGTTCACTTAATATTATGCCTTGGGTACTTTTTTATGTTCACCAAATGCTTTTGAATAAGATGTATCTTAAAGTCTTTCAGAATTTTCCTTTTCTCCAGCTGAACTTAGCCACTTTCCTACCTGTGTTACCATGAGCAAATTAGCTTCAGTTTCCTCATCTGTAAAAGGAGGGTTAACAACAGTGTCTGTGTCGGGGTTGTTGGGAGGGCAGGTGTGGCAGTGTGTGCCTGTCAGTAAGAACAGTGTCCTTTCTCTCCCTGGGGCCTGTCACACCTCCTGCCTATATTCACCCACCCATCCACCCATCTACCTAATTCACTTGGTTAGTGTCTGCCTCAAGGGGTGCAAATTTGGTTTTCTTCCAAGGGCACAGATTTCTACTAAGACAGACACAGAAACACAAGGAAGAAGCTGTTTGCTCCTCTGGAGAGCCAGGGCCTGCCAGCTATGTAGTCCTGATGTGTGGATGTGTCTTCATCATAGTGCAGGGTGATTCTCTCAGTCAGTTCTACCTCAACCTCCACCTCCCTGGGGCGGGGAAACCCCGCAGAAGTTGGCTTCATTTTGATTTTTTTGTTGTTTGCCTTGTCCCCGCCCTCGCTCTCAGTGTTAAATATTTAACTAACTACATAGAGGAAATTAAGCCTCAAAATCACCAAAAATGCAAAGAACCCTTTGATCATAAAACACGTTAACTATTTACAGGACCCTGATACTTCCGTTGAGCCATCTCCTTATTCACTGCCCTCATCCTTGTGCCACTTCCTTTTCTAACTAGAAAAGTACAATCCTAGCTGGGCACAGCGGCTCATGCCTGTAATCCCAGCACTTTGGGAGGCTGAGGTGGGCGGATCACCTGAGGTCGGGAGTTGAGACCAGCCTGACCAACGTGGAGAAACCCTGTCTCTACTAAAAAATACAAAAATTAGCTGGGCGTGGTGGCGCATGTTTGTAATCCAGCTAATCCGGAGGCTGAGGTAGGAGGATCTCTTGAACCTGGGAGGCGGATATTGTGGTGAGCTGAGATTGCGCCATTGCACTCCAGCCTGGGCAACAAGAGCGAAACCCCACCTCAAAAAAAAAAAAAAGAAAAGTACAATCGTTTTCTAGGCATATCTGAGATCAGGAAATCCTCAGCTCGCTCTCCCTCTCAAAGATTGCTGGCCTAGGAAAGACAGGGAAACTCAAGATAGAAAGTAGGGGGCCCACGGGTTTGGGGCCTTATTGTTCGCCGTTGCTGTTCTGGCTGACCCACTGGTGCTGAGGCCTGGCTGACCCACTGGTGCTGAGGCCTGGCTGGCACTGGCAGGATGTCAGCCCAGGAGTGGGGCTTCTTTCTGTCTCCTCCATTCCCGCAGGATAGGAACAGTCGCTGGGGAGCACAAAGCCCCTGCCCATCTGCAGTGTTTGGCAGTGTTCAGCGCACATTCCTGTGTGTTATTTCACTGGAGCCTCACCCAAGGCCTGGGGCCAAGTCATGGGAAGAGCTGAGTTAGGACTGGAGAACAGCAGCTTGACCCAAGTCACCAGGAGTTTGCCATTGGGCTGTCCCTGGGCTGGGGGGCTGGTACCTCAGGGCCCCAGGCTTTGGGAAAAGAAGAGGTTGTCCATTGCTGGGGGAGGTGAGAGATGCTGGTGGAGCTGGGAGACAAGAGGTCAGAGGCCCCCTCAGCCCCCAAATACAGGGGCAGGTCTCCTGAGGGCCAGTTTAGTCCCCCAACCCTCAAGGGGACAACAGGGCCACACCAGGCACTCACACAGCAGCTGATAGCAGCTCACATTTACTGGGGATGTGCCACCTGCCAGGCCCTATGCCAGGAGCTCTCCTGGAATACCTCTTTTAATCTGAATTCAAAATAATCCCATGAAAAAGAAGCTCCAGTCCTGGGCTGACATCCTGCCGAGTGCCGGGCCAAAGCACTAAAGCAGCAGCAGCGAACGAAAAGGCCCCAAACCCGTGAGCCTTAATTGCTCTCATTTTCCCCATTTTACAGATGAGGAAACTGAGTCACAGAGAGGGATAAGTTTCACCAATTCATACAGGTATAAAGTGGTGGAGGCAGGATTCAATTCCATTCTGACTCCGAAGCCAGACTTTTTTTCCCCTACACAATTTATCAGAATTTGAAAAGGTTGCTGGATACGACAGTCAAATAAATCAATTTCATTTCTATATATCAGCAAACAAATTACTATTTTAAAAGATAATCACTTATAATAGTATCAAAAACAAAGCCACCAGAAATAAAATATGTAACGAGAGGACTAGTTAAGATGTTAAAGATCTGAGCCAGGCCAAAGCCAGACTTCTAGTCACTGTGCACTTGTCGGCTGTGGAGACAACAGCTCCTCCGTCCTTATGATACAGCGAGATCACTGCAGGGGAGGGGGCTTCTGATTAGTGCAGCAGCCTGGTGTTCAGAGATGACACCTCAGCTCAAACCTGGCAGGTTCTGCAGGCAGGTTGTATAAGCTACGTTAGCCCCTCTAAGCCTCCGTTTCCTTATCTAGAAAACGGGGACAGGGACACCCTCCCTAACGTGTTGTTCTGAGAATGACGGGAGGATGTGGTCAAGTTCCTGACCCAGTGTTTTGCAAATAGTAGGCGCTCGATTATTGGCATTGGTATTAGGATCAGGGCCAAGGGTAGAACCTTCAACACCCTGTCAGCCAGGAGAGACTGAGATGGATCACTCAGCTGCACACGGAGTCCCGGTGTTGCTACTGGTGTGAGCCGAGGGAGCTCAGGGAAGCCTGTTGGTGAGCTGTGTCTGATCTGTAGCTTCCTGTGGCTGGAGCCTGACTCAGCCCGTCACCTGGTTCCTGAGTCAGGGCACAGAAGGGAGTGCCTGTTTCCTTCAGTGGGGGGAAATAGGGGCTGGGAGGACAGGAAAGAGTGGGAAGGATCTGTGAGGCCCAGAGGGAGGGGGCGTTATCAGAGCAGTCCCTCCCTCATCTCAGCATGATTGGGGAGGGGGCAGTGACCCTTGTCATTAGAGGGAGAGCGGGTTTGGGAGTCAGATAAACTGGGTTCAGAGCTTGACTGTACCATTTACAAGCTGGGTGACCCTAGCCAAATCTCTTCATCTCCTTGAGCCTCAGTTTCCCCATCTGTAAAATGAAGATAGCCCCTCAGGTAAGTGAGCAGGTCATGTGGCACCTGGCCAGGCAGTGCTCACTGAACAGCCATTCCTTCCCATCCCCAATGCCTGGTGGTACCCCCAGATCTGCAGGCAGGCCCTGAAGTTTCTGACACAGATCCGGGCCCAGCCCCTCATCAACCTGCAGATGGTGAACGCGTCTCTGTACGAGCATGTGGAGCGGATGCACCTCATTGGGAGGAGACGGGAGCAGCTGAAGCTCCTGGGGGATTACCTGGGCCTGTGCCGGAGTGGCGCCCTGAAGGAGCTCAGCAAGAGGTGAGCAACCTCTACGTGTATGCGTGTGAGTGCACGTACACACGCACATGCATGCACACAAACACATACTTATATGCACATGTACACACAGACACACATACACATGTGCACACATACCCACACACATAAATTTATACACAAATGCATAGACATCCACACCCATGCACATGTGCACAAATGTACACACATGCAGGCACTCGTGCACATGCACACACACACAGGGGCAGTGCCCAGGGCAAGGCGTCCACCTGGAGGAAACCTGGGCAGAGATCTTCCCACTGGGCCTGCGAAATGATCACATCTTTTGGGGGTGATTTTGGGGTTTTGTTCATGTATCTATTTGTTCACTCAAAAACATGGACTGAGAACATACTAAGCACTGCACACCTGGCGAGGCATGTAGGCTCCAACAATGAGCAGGACAGAGCCAGGGCCGACCCGCCGGAAGTCTCTGGCCTGGCAGGGAAGACAAGTAGGAAAGCCAGCAACTCCATCCGGGGGTGAGGGTGAGAGGGAGACAGGTGGGAAAGCCAGCAACTCCATCCGGGGGTGAGGGTGAGAGGGAGACAGGTGGGAAAGCCAGCAACTCCATCTGGGGGTGAGGGTGAGAGGCAGGACGTCCTGGAACCACAGAGGCTTGACATCCAGCCCAGATCAGAGGAGGACAAAGCAGGAAGGACTTCCTGGAGGAAGTGACTTATAAGGTGAGACTTGAAAAATTAGGAAGAATCAGAAAGGAGAAGCAAAGGGGGAAAGAGCATTCTAGACAGAAGGAATGGCACGCACAGGCCATGAACGAAGGCACCGTTGGTGGAAAGCCCAGGGAGAACTTTGGCTACAGTGAGGAGGGAAGTGGGGAGTGTGGCGAGAGGCAGGTGAGGGCCAGATGTTCCCATCTCTTCCCTGTACCAGCCAGTCGTCTGGCCCATGCCAGCCTCCCTCCTGAAATTCTCCAAAGAAGACGTGATCCGGGCGGGGCCCTCAGGATGCCCTTCAGGAAGCTTCTCTTACCCAGGGCCTGGGGCCTTTGGTGCTCAGGAATGGGATGTGATGCTGGGCTTCAACAGGGACTTAGGCCTCTCCATGCCTGTCATAAACGCTTCCTAGTCCTCAGGTCACGCCCAGGCTGCAGTCTTCCCAGGGCTGTACTCTCCCAGCACCCTCAGGAGGGCAGACCTCAGGCGGAGAAGCCTGCCGGTGCCTACTGCCCAGAATGGGCTTCAAATCAACCTCTGCTGGGTTTCTGGGGGCAGGGACCAGTTCACAAGCCCCTCCAGGTTCCCCCGTCTGGCCTTCCCTCCCCACAGGGCTGGCCCAGAGAGCGCCTCTCTGAAGACTGCCTCCTCCATCCTGGCTGCAGTGCTCCCAGAGCCGGGCCTCCTCAGGGCCAGGGTGTGCCTCGAGCAGGTCCCCAGGGGCTCTCAAGGGGTACTGCAGGGGGCTCTCCCCTAGGCAGAGAGGAGAATTTGGCCCCACAGCTGCCAGCTGAGCCTTGGTCTCCTCTGTAGGGCCTGGAAGAACAGAAAGCCTTCCAGGGACCACCATGTGGGACCCTAGACCCTAGAAGACTTCACCCCAGGAGGCTCTGCCCATCCCAAGCATCGTGGGTGACTGGGTCTCCACCTCTTGGCAAGCGCTGACTTACTCCCTACCTCTGAGAGTCCATGACCCAGGGCTCCAGAGAGACTATCCTCCTGCCCACCTAACCAGGTGGTGAAATCTCTGGGGTCAGGTGGGGCCTTATCACCCTCCTTGGTCAAGGAGCCAGGTACCTGCACAGGCATGCAGACCTGTGTAGACCAGATGCCTGTGGGGTGGGTTGTGGACCCCAGCCCCATTCACCCATCCCCACCCTGCTGAGAGAGTCTGTTCATCGGCTTTACAGACCTGTCTCTGTGGGCACCAGGGGCAGCCCTGTCTCTCTCCCTGACCCTCCTGCTCCATCCCTGGGCAGCAGCGCTGTACTCCTGCTAGGCGCTCAGCCTGCTTCCCATGCCTGTGGAAGTCCCATGGAAACAGCATGGGGCAGGGGAAAGAGTGTGGGAGGCCCTCACCCACTGTGAGTCAGGAAAGTTGCTTCACTTCTCCGGGTCCAGCTTTCCCGTCTATAAAATGGGCCAGTGATTCCTCTGTTCCTGTGGCCTCCTGAGCAGTGGTGAGAGCTGCATGAGGGACCCAGAGTCTGGGCCACAGATGGCCCTGGGTCAGCATCGTGTGTGCCCTGAGGGCACCTGATCCAGCCTTGGCAGGGGCCAGAGGAGCTCCCAGAGGAGATGGCATCTGAGCTGAGGGCATGCAGAGATATTTTCCTTTTTCCTTCTAAAATGTTTTTCTTCTTTACAAAGGTCAATCTTCCAAGCGAGGAAAATTTATGAAAGGGAATAAAGCAGACCATTCAATCAGCCCTTCTCAGAGCCCACCACCACCTGTTTCTGCACCTCACTCCATCCACACACACATGTTGCCACACCAGTGGCATTGTGTGTCTGTTGAACTGGGGCTTAGAAAAATGAGAAAAGAGTAGAAAGGGCAGAGGAGAACCTGGCTTTCCTGGCTAAGAGACCGGTAGCAAGAGGCTGGCAGGAGCACAGCTCACTGACACCCTTGAGGGGCTCTGGGCAGCTGGGCTTCAGGTGCAGGGCCCAGAACTCAAAGGGCCCTCGAGGCCTTTGGATTTGATCTGCCACCTGTGGGGAACCATTGAAGGGTTTTGAGCATAGGGCTGTCACTTCCGGTCAGCGGCTTAGAAAAGACCACTCTGAAAAGACCAGGTGCGGTGGCTCATGCCTGTAATCCCAGCACTTTGGGAGGCCAAGGTGGTTGGATCACCTACGGTCAGGATTTTGAGACCAGCCTGGCCAACATAGTGAAACCCCGTCTCTACTAAAAGTACAAAATTAGCCGGGCGTGGTGGCAGGCACCTGTAATCCCAGCTACTAGGGAGGCTGAGGCAGGAGAATCACTTGAACCCAGGAGGCAGAGGTTGGAGTGAGCCAAGATCACGCCACTGCACTCCAGGCTGGGAGACAGAGTGAGACTCTGTCTCAAAAACACAAAACAAACACACAAAAAGACCATTCTGGCCCCAGTGGAGTGCAGTTGGTGAAGGGGAGAGCCCTGGGTGGCAGCTGGTGTTAGTAATTAGCCCAGGGAGCTGGGCCTGGACCGAGTCAGCCAGAGGGAAGGTTGAGAGGAGAGGGCTGAGACATGGGAAGGTCTTGGATGTCAGGGAGTCAGGGAGGAGCTGTCCTGCACTAGTGGCAGCTGCCTGGCAGGGTTCTCTCCGGCAGACCTGGGACATGTCTCCAAGGGCCAGAGAAGCCCCTGACAGTGTCCTCTCCAGCCCTTGGGAGGAAGCCATCACAGAAATGCCCCACACCCTGTCCACCCACCAGACCTCATTGTCCCTCCCGACAGCCGGGAAGGGGTGGGCAGAGGAGGAGCCAGGGCTCAGGAGACAGGTGGCACCCAGGCCCCCCACCCATGTCCCCCGGATCTTCCAGCCCTTGCCTGGCCCTTTCCTTCCCCATCACTTCATCGGTTCCAGGAACTAAGATTCGACCTTTCCCCTCATCTTCTTCTCTCCCGGAGAGCCGTCCAGATTCCTCTGGTCTCTTTCCCAGGTAGCCAGCCTCACGCCAGAGGACAAAGAGGGTTCTCCTCATTGTGTGGGTGGAGAAACTGAGGCCCCAAGTAGGCCTGACTGTGCCCCAGTGCATGAGAGTTTCTCTCCTGGAGGCCAGGAGAAGTGGCCTCTCACCCCTGGGTCAGCGCCCTCTCCCCTCTGGCCTTGACTGAGCACTGCGGAGAAGCCACTTCCAAGTCCTTGCTGAGAGGGTGACAGGCCCAGGGCACAGGGGCTCCCAGGGCTTCCACGACTGTGGTCAGAGGACAGATGGCAAAGCTAATTCTCCATCCAGATCCGCCCACCCTCCTGCCAGCTGAAGGCCAACCTGTGTCCCCCCAGCCTGCTGTGTCCCATGTTTTCTTGGTGACAAATGGCAGCTTCCCTTCCTAGAGTGCAGGAAGTTTACTGGGGACACCAGCATGGTAAACTGAGGGGCCAGTTGGCATCTTGGCCTGTGTGGCTGCTTGGTGAGACTCACCCTCTCCACCCCGGATTGGGCTCCCCTGGACCACAGCTGAGCCACCAGCTGGGACAAGGCCAAGCCCCCATTCCAGATGCTCCACAGTTTGCACCCCGGAGGCCCAGACCCAGGGCTGGCACCATCCTGTCCCCAGATGTCTGGGGCATCCTGGGGCAGGTTCCCAAGCATCCTCTGACTTGGAGTAACCTCCCACCCCCAGTACCCATGTAAACACACACAGCCAGGCCAGGCAGGTTTTGCACTAAGGGACTTTCTGCAGGTGTTTCCTCCCCATCAGGATGGGGCCCCCTGGATCCCTCCCATTGGTGTGGTAGAAACTAGAGCTGCGTTGGCGGCTGAGCCCTTGTTCTCTGCTCCCCCGGCCACCTCTGAAATGGGATCTGCTGTGCTTAGGACACGTCTCAGCACTGAAACCAGTGTAGCACTGAAACCAGACACTTGAATGTCTGTCCCTCGGCCAAACCAGGGGCCACAGGAGGGCAGAGGCCATATCCTGTGCATTGCTGTCCCCAGCACTGTCCCTGGTATGTAATGGTGGCAATAATGACAACAGCCTGCATCTCTAGGCATTTGCTAGGTGGACAGGGGTGCAGGCTCTGGAGCCAGGCCCCTGTGTTCAAACTCCAGCTCTCCCACCTACTAGCTGTGTGACCTCAGGCAAGTGATTTAACCTCTCTGTTTCCTCTTCTCAGAGTTGGGATTGTGATAGTACCAGCCTCACAGAATTATTGTGAGGATCAAATGAATGAATGCGTATGAAGCTCTTAGCCCAGTTCCTGGTCCCAGGTGTCTGCACCCATCCTCCTTCTCATGATTAATTACGTGTTTACTGTGAGCTTGGCACCAAGCCAAATGCTTTAAATAAGTTACTTAATCCAGACAACTCCATTTCCCAGAGAGGGAAACCCAAGGTTCAGAGAGGTTAAGTAACGTGCCCAAGGTCCCACCAGCTAGTTAGTTACGTTGAAGACCAGGCCCCAAGCCCAGGCAGGCCGAATTACACTCCTAGCCCCTGCCCCGCCCAGGCGGGGGGTGTCTGCCTGGTGAGCAGCGCCAGGGGAGTGTAAACAAACAACACAGGCTAGCCTGGGTTCTGGAAACCTTTCTAAAGAATCGCTTGTGTTTTGTTTGAAGGCTCAACCACAGGAATTATCTCTTGGAATCTCCGCATAGGTTCAGTGTTGCTGACCTCCAACAGGTAAGAGTGTCATGCTTCCCCCGCCCAGACCTCTAGAGAGACTTCATTCCCAGAGAAGTCAGCAAGGAAGATGGAAGAGGGGGTGTCTGTAGTTTACTGAAGAAGACAGCAGTCTGTAGCTTTTCTGCAGCTCAGGGTGGGTTGCCCTGCTGCCCCAGCTTCCTGGGCAGGGACGGATACCCCCAGCACCCCTGGAATAAACAAGCACTCCAGCAACCCCAGGATCACAGGGAAGAGAGTTTGGAATACTCCTTTCCCCAAGGGGAGGGTACAGTGAATTTGGGTCTCAGCTATAAATCCCATTAGCCCCCAGTGACCTCAGTGCCCACGGGCTGGACGCTGGCATTGCTCAGCCTGATTCAGGGAGGTTTTCTTTTCTTGCCCGTGTGGAAACGGGGGGTAGAAGTTCTCCAGGCAGGGTGCCATGGCACCTCAGTGCAGCTGCTTGAAAGGCCTGGGGCCTCAGTTTACCAGCCCTCCGCAGATCGCAGACGGGGTGTATGAAGGATTCCTACTTGCCCTCCGCAGATCGCAGACGGGGTGTATGAAGGATTCCTCAAGGCCCTGATTGAATTTGCCTCCCAGCATGTCTACCACTGCGACCTGTGCACCCAGCGCGGCTTCATCTGCCAGATCTGCCAGCACCACGACATCATCTTCCCCTTTGAGTTTGACACCACAGTCAGGTATGCGGGACACCCAGCCAGCCGCCTTCCAGCCCCACCCTTCCCCACACCCACAGCCTGGCCCAAGCACGCAGGGCAGCAGGCTTCGCTCTGTGGGCAGGAACTTATTGAACATCCACTTTGTGCTGTGCCAAGGGGTGGTGCAGTTGTTGGGGCAGCCCATGCTCTGGGCAGTCATGGCCAGCTCCAGTCCAGCTCAGGGGACAAGACAAGCTTTCCCAGGACTCCTCTGCCTCTATGGAACCATCTCTCTTCCTAAAGAAGAGGTGGCTGCCGGCTCTCTGAGTGGAGCCTCCTGGCGCCTCAGTGTATGCATGGGTTGAGGAGGGTTGTATGAGTTACCACCCTGCACTGTTGGCATGAGACCAGGCACAAAGTGGCACCTGGTGGGTGGTACCTGCCACTGCCACTGTGTCTGTTGCTGAAATGATCACTCTTGTTCCCAGTTATTGCTCATTATCCGCAACCTCTCAATGGAAAAATTTGTCCAGACCTTCCTGCAACCCATGTGGGAGCAGAAAACTGAACTGGGAACATTAGTTCTTTTTCTGTCGGTGTCCACTGGCCGGGATGCAGCCCTGAATGGGCCTGGGGCTGAGTTTTTAAAATTATACCATCTTGGCCGGGCGTGGTGGCTCACGCCTGTAATCCCACAACTTTGGGAGGCCAAGGCAGGTGGATCACTTGAGGTCAGGAGTTCAAGACCAGCCTGGCCAACATGGTGAAACCCCGTCTCCACTAAAAACACAAAAGTAAGCCAGGTGTGGTGGTGGGCACCTGTAATCCCAGCTACTTGGGAGGCTGAGGCAGGGGAATCACTTGAATTCGGGAGGCAGAGGTTGCAGTGAGCCGAGATCGTGCCACTGCACTCCAGCCTGGGCAACAGAGCAAGACTCTGAAAAATAAATAAATAAAGTAAGTAAAAAAAATTTTTTTTTTCTTTTTGAGATGGAGTCTTGCTCTGTCGCCCAGGCTGGAGTGCAATGGTGCAGTCTCGGCTCACTGCAAGCTCTGCCTCCCGGGTTCATGCCATTCTCCTGCCTCAGCCTCCCCAGCAGCTGGGGCTACAGGCACACACCGCCACGCCCGGCTAATTTTTGTATTTTTAGTAGAGACAGGGTTTCACTGTGTTAGCCAGGATGGTCTCGATCTCCTGACCTTGTGACCCGCCCACCTCGGCCTCCCAAAGTGCTGGGATTAAAGGCGTGAGCCACTGCGCCTGGCCGTAAATATTTTTTAAATATAGGCAAGAGATCTTTAATGAATCTCAAGCAGCATTTATAAAAAATGCAATAGGACAGAGAATATCAGTGTGCATTGTGTGACGTATGGGTAAGCACTGTTTCAAGACTCTCCTGTTCCAGAACGGAGAGGCACGGTGTGCGTGCATGGGTTACACAGTACATCACAGCCGTATCGTGGGTTCTGGTCAAAAGGGCTGGCCAGCGTGGCCACAGGGCAACCTCCAGCCCAGCCGGCACCAGCAGGCCTACTGCTCTCTCCCCAGGTGTGCCGAGTGCAAGACCGTCTTCCACCAGAGCTGCCAGGCTGTGGTGAAGAAGGGCTGCCCCCGCTGTGCCCGCCGGCGCAAGTACCAGGAACAGAACATTTTCGCCTGATGCCCATCTGCTGACCCCGCTCTGAAAGCCGGGGGTGAGTGTGGCTCAGCCATCCCGGCTGGGTTTGCCATCAGCCCAGGATACTCACCGTGTCACAGCTGTGTCCCCTTGTCAGGAAGACCCTCAGATGTGGCCAGAGCACCGGCCTCCCAGAGAAAGCCCAGGAAGTCCCCGTGGTGTCCCCTGGCCCTCCCCCCACCCCTCTGCTGCAGGAGGCGTGGCCACCACCAGATGCTCCCTGTCTGGGGCAGGCAGGGCCGTTTACTCACCAGGCCCTGGCTCACCAGCGTCCCGGCGCCTCCGTTAGGGCTGCCCAAACACTGTGGAAAGGGGACTTGGGGAGCATTTTCAATTCCACATTCCTGATTAAAAGGTCTAGTTTTTTAAGGTGGGTTTTTCCCATTCATATTTCAACAGAAAGTATTTTTTTATTCTTGACCCTACGTGAGTCACCCATGAAATCCAGACATTCTCACCCCCAGCGGATGCACAGGAGCCACTCAGGCCTGGCTTAGAGGTAGCGGGTGGCTGGTGGGCAGGCCACTGCTGGGACAGGGTCTATGGGCCCACCCAGTGCCTTTCCTTGGCCCTCACTGCCAGTGCCAAACCGCCCCTCAGCAGGGCAGGGCCAGTCCTGGCGACCCCGGTTCCTCTGTGTCCTCTTTACTCCCCACCCCAGTGCGTCTCGCCTGCTGAGCCCACCGCTTTCTCAGCGTCAGAGCCCCTAGCTCTTCTCTAGCCTGGGGCCTTGGCCCCATTAGGAGAAGGAGAAATGACTGGAAACCAGCACTGTCAGCACTTTGAGCCCTCCTCGGTTTATGGAGGGTCGCCGTCTTGCCCACCCCCGATCCCCGTGCGCTCCTCACCCCTCTACAGACAGGGGCGCTGCTGCAGATGCTCCAGGCCCACCTTGGTGGGTGCCCGGGGTCACACTCTCTGCCTGACTGACCCCTGCCAGGGCACAGATAGGCAGGACCCCAGAGAGGGCAGGCAGCCACGCCCTGCACTGTGGAGAAGTGACCTGGTCCTAAGCTGTGCAGGGCGTGCGGGGGAACTGCCCTGTGGATGCAGCCACCACCTCACAAAGCCATGAATTCCCAAAGCATCACTGAACTTGCCCAGCCGGGACACTGGAGACTGAAGAAGTTCCCCGGAGCAGGACTGCCTTTGAAGGGGCCTTGGGGCTGGGGTGGGAGTCTGGAATTGTTTTCAAAGTGATGGTCAGACCCTCCAGGCTTCGGGGAAATGTGGGTTTGCTGGTCTCTCTGTCGCCTTCCCCCACCTCTCCTGGACCTAGCAGGCCCTCAGTCCTAGCTGTCTTACCTGCGCTCAGCTTGGAGTCAGGCCTCAGGTGGAGAGCCGCATGTCACTGTCAGAGATGAGCCCACCCCCACCCTTCCCTGGGGGCGATTAGCTGCTGAGTCACCCACCCAGCCTTGGAGCTGGATGCCTGTGCAGCAGAACAGAGGCAACGGTGGCAGGCAGGTGGAGGCTGCGCACAGCTTCTCCCGGTCATGGCACACACCTGTGCCCAGACGCCAATGCCTCCTAAGCCAGGAGCTGGGTTATGCACCGCCATGGCCCACATTAACGCTCCACCACAAGCCCAGCCTAGTCAGAGCCCTCATTGCCCCATCCCTGAGTGGGCAGGAGCCTGGCCTGGGGAGGGCTTGGGCCTGTGAGGATTCTCCCCGAAGGTGCCCTCGGAGGCAGCAGGTTTGAGGCCCTGGGGGGCCCGTTCCCCAGAAGCTGCCAGTGCTTTCAGATGCATTGACTCTTCCCGCCTCCCCTCCCTCAGAAAGGTAGTGCCCACACTATTTTTAAAATGTTATTTTATGCAATACACTGTTCCTAGTGAGCAGGGCTCTGGCCCTGAGGAGTCTTTGCAATGTATTGAAGGAATTGCTGCCGTGTGAGTTTTGAATGATTTTGCAGTAAAGACCTGATCTTTCTCATCACTGGTCTGGCTTCTGAATTCTAACACTGCCACGGCCAGGGGGGAGACCACCAGCCATCTGTTACCATCTGTCAGGGTCCCCTACCCTCATGTTAGTCCCTGGCACGGGGGAAGGCTTGGGAGGTCCGTGGCAAACACTTGTAGGCAGAGGGCTTGCATGCCAGGAGTGGGCAGGGAGAAGAGAGTAAGAAAACCACCTTGCCAAGCCCAGCAGTCAGGCTCTTCCTGGGGTAGGATCTCAGGGTCTCTGGGGAGGTGTACCCACACTTGTATAACAACTCAAGCTGATCCCACGCCGGTGGCTTCTTTTCCTGTGACTTAAATGTCAAAACACAGACCCTTGACACTGGATCATGTGAAACCTCAGGATACAGGGGACATTTCTCAGAGGAGAAATAAAGGAGAGATGGGGCTCAGGAAAGAAGGGTTATTTAAGTGGATCCCCCGATTCAGGGCTCATGGTTTTAGGGCTCAAAATGACTTTTACTTGGCTGCTGACCTTCCTCAGAAGTTCCAGGAGAAGCCCAGGGGACCCCTCCAAGGGGAGGCCCACACCACTGTCCATTTTAAGAACAGGAGCAGGAAACAGACTTAATTCTCAGGGAAATCAGGTTGCAGTAAAATGGGATGGAAACAGACAACATTCAGGTCTGAGATTTCCTGTCCTTAAAGGCCCCTTTCAGATTACAAGGTGGCACCCTCTGCCAATCTAGGTGCCCCAGCTTCCCCCAAGGGCTTCACCTCCCTCCAGGACAGTAGATGGTAGGCCCGGAGAAGAGAAGAGAAACTGGGAGAGGGAGGCCCAGAGGAGGGCCACAGCACGTGACCTGGTGCTGCCCTGCCGGTGGGTTCAGGCCCTCTCCAGCCTCAGCAAAGCGCCCCTGAGGCCACTTGTTTCCCCTTCTCCCCTCCCTTTTTTTTTTTTTTTTTTTTGGATACAGTCTCACTCCAATGCCCAGGCTGGAGTGCAGTGGCGTGATCTTGGCTCACTGCAACCTCCACTTCCCGGGTTCAAGCAATTCTCCTGCCTCAGCCTCCTGAGTAGCTGAGACTTCCCCTTTTCCTCTTCTCTCTGAAGGAGGACAGGTGGTTTGGAGATTCCAGTCCAACCCCCAAGAGCTTATCATATAATGTAAGTAGTCATAATAGCTGATGTACCCCGGCATGGTGGCTCACACCTGTAATCCCAGCATTTTGGGAGGCCGAGGAGGTTGGATCATCTGAGGTCAGAAGTTCAAGACCAGCCTGGCCAACATGGTGAAACCCCGTCTCTACAAAAATACAAAAATTAACTGGGCATGATGGCGGGTGCCTGTAATCCCAGCTACTCAGGAAGCTGAGGCAGGAGAACCACTTGAACCCGGAGGCGGAGGTTGCAGTGAGCCAAGATCGTGCCGCTGCACTTCGGCCTGGGAGACAGAGTGAGACTCTGTCTTAAAAAAAATAGCTGATATATTGTGTGCGCTGGGCATGTGGTAAGCACTGCTTAGTGGACCTCATTTAATCTTCCCAATAATCCAGTGAAGTGGGTGTTACTATCCCATTGACAGGAAAGAAATCTGAGCTGCAGAGATAAGGCAGAACTCCCAAGGCCTACCAGCCGCCAAGCAGCAGAGTGGGGCATCATACCTGCCTGACCCCACGCAAAGACCATCACCACTGCCAGCCACTGCCTGGCTGTGCTGCAGGTGGAGAGGGACCTAAAAGGTAGGGAGGGAGAGAAGATTCCTCCAGCCACGATTTTCTTTTTTTCTTTTTTGGTTGTTGTTTTTTGAGACGGAGTCTTGCTCTGTCGCCCAGGCTGAAGTGCAGTGGCACGATCATGGCTCACGGCAGTCTCCGCCTCCCAGGTTCACACCATTCTCCTGCCTCAGCCTCCGGAGTAGCTGGGACTACAGGCTCCCGCCACCACGCCCGGCTAATGTTTTATATTTTTAGTAGAGACGGGGTTTCACCGTGTTAGCCGGGGTTTCACCGTGTTAGCCAGGGTTTCTCAATCTCCTGACCTCATGATCCGCCCGCCTCGGCCTCCCAAAGTGCTGGGATTATAGGCGTGAGCCACCGTGCCCGGCACCAGCCACTATTTTCTAAGCATGTCGGGCACCAAAGACCAGTGCTGAGTTCTGCTGTGTGCCCACCCTGGAGGGTCCCAAGGTGCCACCAAGGCTCAGACACACAGATTCTCAGAGGAAGTGTGGACTCACAGGTGGGCAATGCCTAGCAGAGGCAAAGATATAGAGGTAAGGGAGTTCCTTACTTACTATATCTTACAAAGATATAGAGGTAAGGGAGTTCCTTACTTACTATATCTTACAAAGATATAGAGGTAAGGGAGTTCCTCTGAATCTGGGTGGCCAGATTCAGCTTCCCACCCAACCCTGGGTCCCCAGGAGGTGGTGTCAAGAGAGGCCATGGCCTGGGATGCGGGCCCTTCTTCCTCCCAGAACACTGGCCTGAATCAGCCAGCTCTTGGCACACACAGCCAGGTCCACAGGCACAACTGTTCCTTGGGGCCCCTGAGGGCAGGGGGTGTGCTGGGGCTGTGGCTTGTAATGTCTGGAGTGAGTGCAGGCTCAGATCAGGGCGAGGCTGCTTGTCCAGAGAGGCAGAAAATTCTCCAACAGAAGACCCCCAAGGCGGAGGGCCCTGGGGCTGGACTCCTGGAGGTTGTTCTGAGCTTACCCTGTGGACGGATTGGAGGGTGGCCCTCCTTCCCCACAAGGATCAAGAGGGGGTGGGGGATGGTGGGAGGGCAATCTGGCCAGGCGAACCTGCGGGGGAGGCTCCCGCCCTCCCCAGTCCCACCATCTCAGCCCCGCAGCCTCTTTCTCCCTGGAGACAGCCAGGTGCGGCCCAGGATCCCGGGAAAGGCAGGGGAGGGGGTGGCGTCTTCGCTCCTCAGGCGCTGGCCCGGCCCAGAGGGGACAGGAAGCCAGGACACCGGGGATTGTCTCTCGCAACCGCAGCCCAGCCCCAGTCCGGGAGGAAGTTCTGCCCGGCGCTCTCCGCCGGTGCCTCCCTGGTTATATTGTTGAACAGGAAACCCGGCAGCGCGGGAGCCGCACAGTCGAGGAGGGAGCGCGGGACGCCGAGCCCACGCGCGCCTGCCGGGGCAAGTGGAGGCGAAGCCGGCGAGCGGACGCCCCGAGGTGCCCGGGCAGGCAGGGTCGGGAGTGGGGCGCCGAGCGGGGGTTGGGGGTGGGAAGTGGGGTGGGGGTGGGGAAAGGGCAGGGTTGGGAAGGGAAGGGTGCGGCAGGTGGCGGGTCCGCACCCGGGAGCTCCGCGCGCCTGCTCCCCTTGTCTCCGCGCTGGGGCGGGAGCTGCGCGGGCCGCATCCCACGGGGAGGAGAAGGTAGGCGAAGGGCTGCCCTCCATCTGGGGGCTGGAGGGAAGCAGGCCCAGGCCCCCAGCGCCGACCCAGGCGTTGACGCCCCTGTAGCTTGAGTCGCCTGGGCAGTGGACGCAGGGGACCTCCTGGCGACTGGTGCGCTGTCGCGCTCCAGGGATCCTCCCGGCTTCCCCAATCCCTCCCCTTCTCTGCGTTTCCCCAGGGTCGGGGAAGGAACCGAGGTCCGGTCCCCTTCTTATCCAGCCCGAGACATCGAGCTCCGGTGGGCGTCCCTGCGCTGGGAATCCCGCTCGGAGTTTTTCCAGGCCCGGCCGGGCTGCTCCGGGAAAGGCCCTGGTGAGGGAAGAGGTGGGCCCGGAGCGGGCGGATTTGCAATCCGGTTGGAAGGGCTCGCAGTGGGTGATTCAGGGTGCAAATGACCTCCCCGGGAACAGGAACGCCCGCACGAGACAACCAGCCCCAGCCCGGCATTCCCAGAGCCGCGCACAGGAGGGACGCAGGCACTCCCGGACAGCAAATCCCGGGGGGTGGGGGGTGGGGGGGCGGGGAATAGAGGGGGAAGGCGGAGCGGGGGCGGTCCCATCCTCCTTGGGCTCCGCTCGCGACCTGCCAGTGCCCCTTCAGACGCAGCAGTCCCGGCTCCAGGTGCCGGCCTTCTGCTCTGGGCCTCGTCCCAATGCCCCCCAAGGTCCCCAGCAGAGGCATTCAGGCTCCTCCTCGCCCCACCCAGACACGGCTGCTTTGGGTATCGGTGACAGCACTCCTGAGCGTCCCTGTCCCTCTTCGCTCTGCTTGCCAGCTCCTGTTCCGCGCAGCCTCTCCGGCCTCGCCCCTGGAAACCCCGCCCAGGGCGATGGTAGGGGCCTAACCTGCAGCCACCGCCGGCTCCGCCCACCCAGCCCATGGGCTCCCTGAGGCCCGCCCAGCCGACGTGAGTGCGCTGCGGGGTCCAAGGGGAGGGGGCGCCGGGGGAGTGTCCTGCTTGGGGTTTGTTGGTTCAGCACCGGGCAGCTCGATGACCCCGCCTCCGGGGCCCAGCGTGCTTAGTGACTCAGTTTACACCCTTTCCTCGTCGAGGAACGCTTGACAAAGTGGCGGAGGAGCCCTGCTGGGGCCCCCGTTGGAACCTGCTCCTCTGCCTCGGCAAGCGGCGGTCTCCTGGCCCCGGGTCCGGGCCACCTTAGGGGGCAGGAAGAGGTGTGGTCAGTGTGGGAGTTTGGAGGGGCCATGCACTTCCGGAGAAAACCGACTCATGGCTTTGGTGGAGGGGCGCAGACAGATTTAGTTAGGCTCTCCCCCATCCCTGACACCCCGAAGCCCGGGCGGGAGCGGGGCTTATGACCACCACTCCGGAGAGCTTTGGGTGGCCCTGCTCTGGGACTCCGCACTTATAGTCACTGTCTCAGAGTGCATTCTCCAGGAGCCACTCGTGGGGACACTGTAGGGGTCACAGGGCAGGTGGACAGGCCACAGGGGCAGGGCCTTTCTCGGGGGGCGGCGTGAGAGCTGGAGAGCAGGGGGCGGTGCGGGCCGGGCTGGGCGGGCCGGGCTCGGGCTCACGTCTGCGGTGATGCAGCTGGGGAAGGAAAGAGAAACCGAGAGAACCGGTTCCCCTGCATTGGCAGCGGAGGCCTCTACAGCAAGGCCCTCGGACTAAGGGGGGCAGCGACAGCCCCCAGGTAGAGCTGTTCGCTCGGCCCCCTACAGAGCCCACATTCCAACTCTGACCAGGGGGTCGGGGCGCAAGCTGCTGGAGGGAGGCAGTGCTACGAGACCCTCTGCTGATTCTCTGCGGGCGGGAGGCTTCCAGGCGGGACAGAGCCGGGGAGCGGCAGTAAATGGGGTGTTCTTCCTACTTGACTGACGGAAAACTAAGGCGCAGTCAACTATTAAGCAAGCGTGGTGTCGACCTTAGAGCGGGCAATCACCCCTCGTTTTAAAGCCAAGGCTTCCCTCGCAGTCGATTTGGACCAAGACTACCCACAATCTCCCCACCGCAGGACTGAAGCAAGGGTCAAATCTTAGAATCAACCCCACAGAACGAAGGGCTGTCCTAATTCCAGCACTGAGTGTAAGAATGGAAGCCTTACATGTGATTTTATGCAAGTTCCCATTTTAGAGATGGGAAAACTGAGGCCCGAAGGCGAACGGCGAGTGCAGGATCGGGACTCGAACCCAAGTCTGTCCCCGAGTGCGGGGCTATTCCAGGCTCGGTGGTCTTGACCTCCGCGGCCCTCCTTCTTGTTGCCCGCAGGAAAACGCCGCGGCTGCGATGGCGGCGGACGTGGTGGGGGACGTGTACGTGCTGGTGGAGCACCCCTTCGAGTACACCGGCAAGGACGGGCGCCGCGTGGCCATCCGGCCGAATGAGCGCTACCGGCTGCTGCGGCGCAGCACCGAGCACTGGTGGCACGTGCGGCGTGAGCCCGGCGGCCGCCCCTTCTACCTGCCTGCGCAGTACGTGCGCGAGCTGCCCGCGCTGGGCAACCCTGCCGCCGCCGCGCCGCCAGGTCCCCACCCGAGCCCCGCGGCCCCTGAGCCGCTCGCCTACGACTACCGGTTTGTGAGCGCGGCGGCGACCGCGGGCCCCGACGGCGCCCCCGAGGAGTCCGGAGGCCGAGCCAGCTCCCTGTGCGGCCCTGCGCAACGCGGCGCCGCGACCCAGCGCAGCAGCCTGGCGCCCGGCCTGCCAGCCTGCCTGTACCTGCGGCCCGCGGCGCCCGTGCGGCCCGCGCAGTCCCTGAACGACCTGGCCTGCGCCGCCGTCTCGCCTCCCGCCGGCCTCCTAGGAAGCAGCGGCAGCTTCAAGGCCTGCAGCGTGGCGGGCTCCTGGGTGTGCCCGCGGCCTCTGGCGCGCAGCGACTCAGAGAACGTCTACGAGGTCATCCAGGACTTGCACGTCCCGCCGCCGGAGGAGAGCGCAGAGCAGGTACCTCCCCGGGCGCTGGGGCGCGGAGGCGGGTGGCGCGCTAGGGACCGCGCCCGCACGGAGCCGGGGCGCAAGGAGACCCGCTCCGCTCAGCGTCGGGCACGACGCCCACCTCTGTCCGAAGACTTCGGATGAGCTCCCTCTCCCCAACCGCGAAACGTGAGGGGTGCACGCCCGCAGTCCCTCATCAGCAATTCCCAAGCTCCAAAGCTCCCTGGAAGCCCAGAGGCTTTTCGTAATCCAATTGGTGGCAAAATTGCGCTTGAACTGATGTGAGGCTGCTGATGGTCTTTATTTATCGCACTTGTGTGAATATTCATGTTTCGCTGCAGAAATGCAAATGAGCTCGATGGTCGGCTGCTGCCCCAAGCCCTGCTGGGAGGTTATATAACCTACTGCAGGTGTGTGCCCCATATTATCTTTCCAAGTCCCAGCTGTTCTGTATTCCGAAGCGCATCTGGGCACGGAACGGGGGATTGCGGGCCTGCCCCGGCCCAACCGACTTGCCCGTCTCCCAGGAGTCTGGGGTCAGATGAGAGGGTGGATGTGAAAGTCAGGCGTCTGCTTCCCTTTGAGGGTGCTTCCAGCATTTCAGTTCCTTTTTTTAAAGAACTCTTGATGGGTTTGTTTCAGAAAGACGTCCGGTTAAGTGAGGTTGTTTTTTTCCCCCTCTTCAGAGTCCAGTTGTGTTCATCTGGGAAATCGAAAATAGAGCACGTTTTAAAAACAGGTCTTACATCCTCAGAACACTCTAGGCGACCCTGACATTTTGAACTTTAGGAACTTTTCAGAGAGGGGCAGCCCGAGGGGAAAAAAAGATGCTCAGAACCGTTCTGCCATCTGCCACCGGCCGTGTGATGATCTAGGGGCAGTTCTTTTCCTCTCTTAGGGTCTCGGTTTGTTCTTTAGCCCAAAGGGAGGGGTTGGACAGATGACCTCTGATCCTCGGGAGCCTCTGATTTCTTTCGCTGTACCTGATGTCATTACCATGAACACTGATGCCCACTATGTGCCAGGACTGAGTCCGGGATGCCCAGACGAAGGAGACACGCCTCCGTAGGCCCGCTGCTGGGTGTTCCCTCCGCCCGACTCGTTACAATGCAGAGCTCAGGTTTTGAGACTAGGGAAAGGGGAACTGGATTCTGCTGGGTCACCTGCCAGCTGCTGACAGCCACTTAACTTACACGCGAGGACGTTCCCCCAGGCCCAGCGTCCTCTGGTGTAAGCACAATACTTAAGGATTAGGGTTGTGAGCCTTAAACGAGGTAAGGCTTCGAAGCGCTTGACAGCAGCAGGGGGTCCACCCAGGCTGTCTGGGTAGTCCTGGTTTGGCTTCCCTGGGTCTCCGCCGCCTTCACTCAGGCTTCTGCAGCGGTAGCCCGCCGCCTTGTGGCCAGGGTGGGGAACGGCACCCGGCGGGCGGGGCTGGGCACTGCCACTCTGTCCTAGTGACGGTGGGAGGGTGCCTGCCCATCTGAGCAGAGCCCCTGGAGGTGGGGGAATGGCCTTGCTCTTTGAACCTCGCATCTGGCCCAGGGTCTGGCTCAAACAGAGTGCACAGAGAGTGTGTGTTGAGAAGCGCAGAGGTGCGGCAGCCCTTTACCTATGAGCCAGGGCTCTGTAGGTCTGCAAGGGCCAACACCCCAGGCCCCAGGACCAAAGAGGAAGGAGACTGCCCAGGTCCTGACATCTCCTGAGAAGACAGATCACCCCGGCTGCCAGGGCGCCTGCCAGGTGGCCCCTCTGCCCATCCTTCCTCCAGCTCCCAGCAGGTTCCCAGTTGCAGTGGCATATGGAGGGAGGGGCACCGATGATAGGGGTAGGGGACTTACCCAGGGGGGGAATCTAGGACATTGGCCAGAGACAGGCAGCTCTCTGGCCCCACTTGTGACCTCCACAAGTCGCTTTGCATCTCTGGTCCTGTTTCCTCCCCTGTGCGATGTGTGCAATAATACCACGTTCCCTGCCACAGAGCTTTATTCAAGAGGCAGCTGTGGGTCTCCCTGGTGCTCCACCCCCAACAAAGTCCAGGGTAGGGAGTTGGCCCTGCCCCCGCAAGGGAACCCCATCCCTGCTCTTAGTTGTCCCAGGCAGAGTTTCCCCACCATGATCCTCCAGGCCCATTCACTCCTTCATTAGGCATCAACTAGCTGAATACCTGCCAAGCCCTGGTGAGCCTTCGGATCTGGAGAGGACTGAGGCACAGCCACGATCCTGGGGGACTCACCCTCTTGGATAGGAGGCCAGCAAGAGAAGACATGGGGCCGGGGCTCAGAGTGGAGCATAGGGTTGAGAGTGGGTGCCCACCCGGGCAGGGCCTCGTGGGCCCTTGCCAGGAATGTGCACATTATCCTGCAGCCGCTGTGAGGCTTTTAGCAGAGACAGGAATGGGATTGAGAAAAAAATCCCTGTGGCCAGGGCTTCAAGAATGGCTGAAGCTCTTGGTGGTCTCGTGGGCATGTGTGGAAACAGAGGTTTGGGAGATGGATGGGCAGGGTCTGGGGGCCGAGGGAGGTGGGAGGAAAATCAGGTTGAGTTCTAGATTCCCAGCTGGCACTCGTGGGCAGACAGTGGTGCTGCTTCCTGACGGGGGGATGACTTGGGGAGGAGCAGAGTGGAAAAAAGATGGGGCCCACCTGGATTTAGGTGCCAAAGGGAAGAGAAGCATGAGAGTGCTGGCTCAGAGGCCAAGAAGTGTCCAGAAGAAGGACGCACAGGAAGGTCATGTGAGAGAAAGGCCGTATAACACTTACCCTAAGTGACCACTAGACACTCAGCTGGTCAGGGGGCTGCTGAAGGCAGAGGGCAGTGGTCAGTAGTGAAGTGAGGGTGCGAATTGAGTGTGTGGACAACGGGCAGAAGGAGAGAGACACAGTGTGGCCAGAGGGGGTGTAGGGTCATGGATGGAACCGTCCCCAGGCTCAGGTGGGTGGGCAGGAGATGGGGAGGCTAAAGATGGGGAGAAGGTTGTTGCTGAGAAGGGATCTCAGAAGAAAGTGGGTGCAGAACAGAGGGGGCAGGATGTGGGGATGGCATGGCACGGGGGCACTGGGGAGTGTGTGGGGATGCCCTTCTGTCAGGCAGCAGCTCAGGGCTTAGGGCAGGCTACCAGACAGGGCCAGGGACCCCCAGAACAGAGGAGCTCCTGCCATGGATGGTGTTTTACAGCCTTGTCACTCCCCATGCACTCTAATCGCGCATATTGAGCACTTGGGGTGGGCTGGTCACTGTGCTGGACACTGGGGACAAAGTGTGGTAAGATGCAGTCCCAAAGGGGCTAACAGTCCTGTGGGCTCTTGCTGAAAGGCTTGTAACCCAGGGTTAAGCTCCCAGCAGCTTGGAAGGCAGGCGTAGGCACCTCCATTTGCCCTGAGTACAAACAGAGGTTCAGAGAGGTTTAGTGACACGACGAAGCTCACACGGCCAGGAAGTGGCTGTGTTCAGGACAGTTCCAGGCCCCCTGACCCCAAGCCCCACCCTGGCCAGCAGGTTCAGTTTCAGCCTGGTGGCCTTTAGGGTTGGCCACCCTGTTCCCCTCAACAAGAACAGTACAAGCTGAAGGCAGGCACATGCTCCTTCTTCTGAGCGTCCTGCGTGCCCAGCCCTGTTGTGGAAGAGTTGATGTCCCAGGAGGGACATCTCCTGTTCTTTTGCTGCCCAGGAGAGGGCAGAAGCAAACCCTTCTGAGAGGGGATAGAGGGAGACGGGGGAGGTAAGCAGGGATGACTCCTCCTCTCCCACAAAGAGGCCACTCAGGGAGCTCTGGGAAGCCAGGCCAAAGCCAGTGCAATAAAGGGGCCTCTGAGACTCTTCCCTTGGTCCTGACTCTGGGATTTCAGGGTGCGGTCACCATCCCCGCCCAGAGGTGGGAAGGCCCAGGCAGGTGGAGCTGGCCTGGAGCCCGCCCCTGCTGCTGGGGCATTGGCCGCTGGGAGGGAAGTTCCAGCCGGGCTGCTGCACCTTCTTATACAAGCAGCCCCGGAGGCGCCGCACATGAGCAGGCAGCCCCGACTGGAAGGAGCCCGGGGCCCTCATTCCTTCTCCTCCACTGGGAACTGAGTGAGTCCTCGCCCCTGGGGGACTAGGGGGTGGCCACAGCAGTTTCCCCAATCTCTCCCCTCCCTTTCCCGAATCCTAAAACCCATCTGGGGGCCCCTCCCCTCTGGATCCAGGCCCAGCACCCACTTCCTAGGACAAACTCCAAGGGCAGCCCGAGGCCACTGTGACTGAGAGAAAGGAACTGGCCTTGGGACAGACCCTCCTGTCCCCCTTCGGGGCCAGCTAGGGGGACTTTGGCAAGGGGTGTTGGTAACAGCAGGAAGCTGAGGCCAAGTTGAAGGGACTCTAGCTAGCCCCTTGCTCGTACTCCCTCCTCCGGCACCCCCCACCCCCAACCCCCAGGTGGGGCAGCCACCCTGGGGTGGCCCTGCTGGTTTCTTTACACCTGACCCAGTTCCCTCCCGGTGACTCACCTGCAGCCCCAGGCTGTCCCAGGAGCCCCTCTGCCTGCCTAGGACCTGACTTAGGAGACAGCAGCTTCTTGGATCTCCCTCCCACCCTCACCCCACATTGCTGTCCACCCAGAGATCTCCCTGCCCACCCCCCGCACCCCCTGGCTCTCCTGCAGGCCCCATGATCTCTTCAGGTCTCGCTGGAGCCTGTGCCTGGCTCTCACCTCTTAGTCCTTGGCTCCCTTCAGCGCCCAGGGGCCTGCGATGGGCCCCAGGACAAGCCCACCTGCCCCCTCACTTTCTTCCCAGGCCTCAGCAGTTGACCTCACTCTAGACCTGTTTTTTGTAATGTTTATTTCAATGGTTTTGCGGAGCAGGTGGTGTTTGGTTACGTGAATAAGTTCTTTAGTGGCTATTTCTGAGATTTTGGTGCACCCGTCACCCGACTGGTGTGCACTGTACCCAATGTGTAGTCTTTTATCCCTCACCCCCCTCCCACCCTTCCCCCACTCCCAAGTCCCCAAAATCCATTATATCATTCTTAGGCCTTTGCATCCTCATAGCTTAGCTCCCATAGACCTGTTTTCTCTGCCCTTCCTAGAGCTGACTGCGTCCAGTACAGGGAGGGGTGGGCATCAGTACTGAATGCCAGCCTGGATGGGTGGTCAGTGCCAGGCCCTGGGGAATGGGAAAGTCCATGATCGTGACCAGGGCGTAGCTGATGATCAGGGATGTGGTCGAGTCTCCATGCCTGAATGTTAGGGAGATTGGGAGCTGGATCTGTGCCGGGGAGTGAGAGGTCAGTGGCTGTTGGTTCATATTGAAGGGGAAACAGGGCTGCCAGGACTAGGGCTCTGGGGCACAGGCACAGAGGTGCTCTTGCTAAAATTTGGGAAGCTCTGTTTCCAGATTGCAGAAGGATTCTGGTGTTGAGGGAACTTCCAGAACTGTTGCCTGAGCCGGGTGAGGCCTGCAGGACCCTTCTGTCCAGCTGAGGCTGCTGTGGGTGCCCACCCTGCCTCCTTGCCCTCTCCTGGCTGGGGGTCCCCTGTGAGGCATGAAAGGAGGGGGGCAGGGGCCCCTGCCCAGGCCTCCATGTCTGTCTAGGGACTGGGCCAGAGAGAGGAAGCAGAGGTAGCAGAAGGGCCTGCCTGCAGAATCATCCCAGCCTCCCCCTTCCTTTCTCCTCCTTGGCCCAGTTAAATGTGTAAATTACTATTCCCTCCCTATAAAAATAGCTTAACTCCATTACAAATATTTGAATAATAGGAGGAAATCTCAATCGAATGACTGTGAGCATGTTGGTTTCTTCCCATTTATTCTGCCTTCTTATGCGTATCTCTTGGGCAGTTCCCGTAGAGACATCACAGTGTAATGACGATTGTGCCTTCTGCTTTTTCATTTACCATATTCACCTAGTCAGTGAATGTCAGCCGCTGTACTGGGGGCTAGGGAGCAATGAAAAATAAAGGATGGTTCCTGCCCTCAGGTAGCTTACTGTCCAGGAGAAATTGAACAGCAGATCCAGTTATGATATTGTATGGCATGGCAGTTATGGTATGGAAGATATGATATGATATGATATGTCTGCAGAGAGCTGTTGGGGGCATGTTGGAGGAGCTGCCCTCCCAGAATCTTGTTGGCAAGAGGGAAATCCAGGAGTGCTTCCTGGAGGAGGAAGGTGTTGGCAGAGTTGAATTCGAAAGGTTTCTACAGTTCCCGCTCATGAAACCCTCTGGACCGGGTGCCTTTTTCAGTGGCAGATTTTTTTTCTCATCAATGGTAATTAGTTTATTTAAGTTTCTACTCACCTTCTAGTTAATTTTGGCCATTTTATATTTTACTAGGAAAGCATTCATTTTCTCCAGATGTGTAAACTCTCCACTTTTAAAATTTATTATGAATTTCTTTGTGACCAAGTAAATGATTTTGCTAAGTTTTTCACAGACACATAAGAAAAATGCGTATTTTCTTTTTTTATTTTTATTTTAATTTTATTTTTTTGAGATGTCGCCCAGGCTGGAGTGCAGTGGCGTGGTCTCGGCTCACCGCAACCTCCACCTCCTGGGTTCAAGTGATTCTCCTGCCTCAGCCTCCTGAGTAGCTGGGATTACAGGTGTGCGCCACCACACCGGGCTAATTTTTGTATTTTTAGTACAGAGGTGATTTTGCCATGTTGGCCAGGCTGGTCTGCAACTCCTGACCTCAAGTGATCCACCCACCTCAGCCTCCCAAAGTGCTGGGATTACAGGTGTGAGCCACCACGCCTGGCCGGAAAAATGCATATTTTCTATTTAAGGGATATAAGGTACTATCTGCATCAAATCATGTTTATTGATTGTATTATTCAAACTTTCATTTCCTTTGTATCCTTTGCTTGGGGGCAGGGGTCTTTTACTCTAATTCTGATAGAGATGTGTTATGTTAAACCTTCCTCTCACATTTTCTCTATAAAGCTCTTCTGGGGCTTTTCCTAGTTTTTGCTTTTTATATTTAACTACGATGCTGTCAGGAGGATGCAGATTTCGAGCGTTCTTTCGTTACAAATTGTGCTTTTCTATCATTACGTGGTGTCCCTCTTTATCCTATTCTAGTGCTTAACCTTAAATTTCACCCTTCTATTGTTTATATGACCACTCCTTATTTTACTTTATCTTTTTTTTGTACTTGCTTAGCATTCTTTTATTTCCTACTATTATCATTTTTTGAAACTACTAATTTCTTGTATATGTCACATCACTGTTTTGTTTTGTTTGAGATAGGGTCTCCCTCTGTTGCCCAGGTTGGAGTGCAGTGGTGTGATCATGGCTCTCTGCAGCCTCAGCCTCCCTGGCTGAGGCAATTCTCCTGCCTCAGCACCTTGAGAACGTGGGACCACATGGCCCACGTGCCACCATGCCCAGCTAATTTTTTTTTTTTTTGGTATTTTTTGTAGTGATGGGGTTTCTTCGTGTTGCCCGCCACCACTGTATTTTTATTATTTTCATGGATTTTTGTTTGTTTTTTGAGATGGAGTCTCGCTGTGTCACTCAGGCTGGTGTGCAGTGGTGCGATCTTGGCTCACTGCAACCTCCGCCTGCCAGATTCAACTGATTCTCCTGCCCCAACCTCCTGATTAACTGGGATTACAGGCACACGCCACCACATCCAACTAATTTTTGTATTTTTAGTAGAGATAGGGTTTCACCACATTGGTCAGGCTGGTCTCAAACTCCTGACCTCAAGTGATCCACCTGCCTCACCCTCCCAAAGTGCTGGGATTACAGGTATGAGGCACTGCACCCAGCCTATCACTGTATTTTTAAACCCAAGCTGACTCTTTGTCTTTTAGTGGGAGAATTCAATCTGTTCACATTTCATTTAACAATTGATCTACTGTACTTGATTTGATTACCTTTGGCTTATTTTACATTTATTGGTTTATCTTGCAGTTTTTTTCCCTCTGATCTGGTTATCGATTTCCTTTTTCTTCCTGTTACACTTTCCATTTCATTATTGGCAGCTGTCCCTTCTCTGGGGTTCCTAATCAAACACATATTCTTTAGCACATGCCTCGATGGGGATTCTTTTCTCAGCACCCTCATTTGGAGCTTACAGAACCTGTCACTCTGTAGACTCCGGTCTTTTCTCAGCTTAGGAACATCTATTTGTTGCTTGATTTGATTATTGTTTCTTTATTTTTTATTTTTTTGAGACAGGGTCTACTGTGCCACCCAGGCTGGAGTGCTATGGCACGATCACGGCTCACTGCAGCCTCGACCTCCTGGGTTCAAGTGATCCTCCCACCTCAGTCTCCTGAGAAGCTGGGAATACAGGCGCACGCCACCGTGCCCAGCTAATTTTGTTTGTATTTTATGGAGAGACAAGGTTTCACCTTGTTGCCCAGGCTGGTCTTAAATTTCTGGGCTCAAGCAATCTGCCTGCCTTGGCCTCCCAAAGTTCTGGGATTACAGGCATGAGCCACTGCGCCCGGACTGTTGCTCGATTATTGTTTCTTTTACCTTTTCTTTCCTTTGCATGTGAGCGCTCCCAACTGGGTCCCCCCCAGTTTATCTTTGGTCTCTTTATTTCATTCTTGTTGTACTTTTGCTCTGAGGTTTGATGTTTCTTCTTGACCTTCCAGGCTGCAAATTTGAATCTCAAGAGTGAATTTCTTCTCCTTCAACTAGTACAATGACATATTTTAAGTTCTAAAAATCAGTCTTTTTTTTTTTTTTTTTTGAGATGGAGTCTTGCTCTGTCGCCCAGGCTGGAGTGCAGTGGCATGATCTCGGCTCACTGCAAGCTCCGCTTCCCGGGTTCACGCCATTCTGCCTCAGCCTCCTGAGTAGCTGGGACTACAGGCGCCCCCCAACATGCCCGGCTAATTTTTTGTATTTTTAGTAGAGACGGGGTTTCACCGTGTTAGCCAGGATGGTCTCAATCTCCTGACCTCATGATCCGCCTGCCTCGTCCTCCCAAAGTGCTGGGATTACAGGCGTGAGCCACTGCGCCCGGCCAAAATCAGTCCTTTTTTAAAACTCTGCTTGATTTGAGTCTCCTTAAGAGTTTGTATTCAAATTGTAATTGCATTCTCCAGCCCCTCTATTTTGCCAATAGCCTTGAATTTATTTTACTAGATAGTATTTTTACAGGTTTTTTTTTAAATCAAAGCAATATTTTAAAGTCTATAGTAAAAATGTCACATGTACACTGTTTCCCTGCTCTGTTCTCCATCAACTCAAAAGTCACCACTTTCATTCATTCTTTCTTCATTCTTCCAAAGTTTCTGAGTACAAACTAGTATAATTATGTATCTGATTACTTAATTTTCTCTCTCAAGCAACACCGTCCTATGTGTAAAACAAGGTAAAAAACAAAACAAAACAAAACAAAAACCTTGTTTACTTTTTATTTCTTTGACAATGTATCTTGGAGATTGTACCTAGAGAGGTTCTGTCTCCTTCCCTACAACTACAAATAATCCATTTTACCAGTCTCCTGTTGACAGGCATTTGGAATATTTCCCATTTTTTGCTGTTACAACAATGTCATAATGAATACTGTTATATATGTACAGGTAGAAGTAGGAAAAATTGCAGAAGTGGGATTTTGGGGTCAAAAGATAAATATTAGATATTTGATGAGTATGTCCCATGAGGCATATACCAATGTGCCCTCACCAACACAAATTAGTGTCTGGTCCCCAAAGCCTTGCCAACTGACTGTTGTCAAACTTTTGTTTTCTGCCAACCTGACCATAAAATGTATTATCTTAAGGTACTTTAAATTTGCATTTCTCTTTCCAGTAAGATTATCTTTTCATATATTTAAGGGCTGTTTGTTCCCCCCCTTTTTTTTCTGTGAATGGTCTATTTATATCCTTTGCCTGTTTCTGTATTGGGTTGTTGGGCTTTTTTCTTATTGAGTTCTAGTAGCTTTTTCTATACTAGGGAAAATAATCCTTTGTCTATTATTACATGAGTTGTAATTCCCTCCCCCACCCTGAGTTGTCTTTTGACTCTGCTAATAGCATTATTTTGCCACACAAGTTTTCTTAAAATATACTTATGTAGTCCAATGTATCACTCATTTATTTTATGGCTTTTATATTTTGCATCTTTGTTACAAAGTCATATATATATATATATATATATATATATATATATATATATATACATACAGCATAAGTCTTTTATATATATACACACACAGCATAGTATATATTGTATATATTTATATGTACATACAGCATATTGAAGTCTTTTATCTATATAAAGAGACACATATATAAAATATATAGGCTTATATATAGGTATATACATACAGCATATTAGATTTTGTTTTCTTCTTTGTATTTATGGCTTCGTTTTTAAAAACTTAAATCTTTAATCCTTTGAGGGTTATTGTGCATGGACAGAGTGAGATGTGGACCCTCCCTTACTTATATACTTGTTTATTTATGTTTATCTCTGGATGGGCAGCCAGTTGTCCTGTGACCTTTCACTGACAAGTTTGTCTTTCCCCATGACCTGTGATGGCATCTTTAGTGCGTCCTGGGTCCCGGCTGTGCTGGGGTCTGGTGGCGGCAACTGGTTTGGTGGTTCTCTCTGTTCCCCCTGCTGAGCTGTCACAGAGTGAGTTTATATGACTTTGCTCCCCAGAGCTGGGGTCGAGCTGCAGGAGTACCCACTTGGTGGGGGGGCCCTAGAGTGGAGAAGAGATGGTGGTCTCTGCCAGTGGGCCTGTGGGCATGGGGCATCTGTGATGTCAAAACACCAGCAGGAATTCTCCCTGTCTCCTTGGTGCCCTGGCCTTACGGGTAGAGACTACCTGGCCCACCTGTTTGGCCCTCCTCAGCTCCTGGGCTCAAGGGTACAAAAGCCACCCTGCCTTCTCCCCAGGGTCCCATGATGGGCCAGCCTGCCCCAAGGTTCCCCTGGGAGCCTCCACCTCAGACACAGCCTCTCACCTGTGCCAGCCAGGTCCCACCCACCCACTGTCCCAGCCTCTGCTTGACTCAGGCAGTAGCAGGTCGCAGTTGGCAGCAGAGGGGAAACAGGGCGTGTTTAAGTGGCCTTATTCCCAGAATCCTGGCTCCAGAGCTGTGTCTGAAAGGGAGAGGAACTACTTTGTAACACTTCGGGGGTGGGGGGAGCTGGAAGGGCAAGTCTGTTTCCAGGTGAGAAATAATGAACAACTTTTTTTTCTTTTCTTTTTTGAGACAGGGTCTCGCTCTGTCACCCAGGCTGGAGTGCAGTGGTGCGATCACGGCTCACTGCAGCCTCAACCTCCTGGGCTCAAGCAGTCCTCCCGCTTGGTCCTCCCAAATAGCTGAGACCACACGCTTATATGGTAGTGACAGTGAGGATGGAGAATAGTAAAAAAGTTTAAGGGATTTTTTTTTTTTTTTTTTTTTACTTTTTATTATGAAAATGTCCAAATAGGCTGGGCCTGGTGGCTCACACCTATAATCTTAGCACTTTGGGAGGCCGAAGCGGGAGGACTGCTTGAACTCAGGAGTTCAAGACCAGCCTGAAAAACGCAGTGAGACCTCGCCTCTATATTAAAAATAAGTAAACAAATTTAAAACTGAAAAAAAAAGAAAATGTCCAACATGAAGAAAAGTAAAAAAATTTTTTTTTTTTTTTTTTGAGACAGAGTCTCGCTTTGTCGCCCAGGCTGGAGTGCAGTGGCACGATCTCCGCTCCCGAGTTCACGCCATTCTCCTGCCTCAGCTTCCCAAGTAGCTGGGACTATAGGCGCCTGCCACTGTGCCCGGCTAATTTTTTTATATTTTTAGTAGAGACGGGGTTTCACCGTGTTAGCCATGATGGTCTCGATCTCCTGACCTTGTGATCCACCCGCCTCCGCCTCCCAAAGTGCTGGGATTACAGGCGTGAGCCACCATACCCGGCCAAAATTTTTTTTTTTTTTGAGACAGAATCTTGCTCTGTCACCCAGGCTGGAGGGCTGTGGCACAATCTCAGCTCACTGCAATCTCTACCTTCCAGGTTCAAGCGATTCTCATGTCTCAGCCTCCCGAGTAGCAAGTGCCACCACACCTGGCTAATTTTTGTATTTTTAGTAGAGACGGAGTTTCACCATGTTGGCCAGGCTGGTCTCGAACTCCTGATCTCAAATGATCCACCTACCTCTGCCTCCCAAGGTGCTGGGATTACAGGTGTGAGCCACCATGCCCAGACAAAAAGAATTTTTTTTTTTTTGATACTGAGTCTTGCTCTGTCGCCCAGCCTGGAGTGCAATGGCACAATCTTGTCTTATTGCAACCTCTGCCTCCCGGGTTCAAGTGATACTCCTGCCTTACCCTCCCAAGTAGCTGGGATTACAGGCATATGCCACCATGCCCCACTAATTTTTGTATTTTTAATAGAGGAGGGGTTTCGCCATGTTGGTCAGGCTGGTCTTGAAAGTCTGACCTCAGGTGATCTGCCTGCCTCGGCCTCCCAAAGTGCTGGGATTACAGGCATAAGCCACCACGCCCAGCCAAAAATAATTTTTGTTTTTTTTTTTGAGACAGAGTTTAGCTTTTGTTGCCTAGGCTGGAGTGCAATGGCTCGATCTCGGCTCACCACAACCTCCGCCTCCTGGGTTCAAGTGATTCTCTGCCTCAGCCTCCCAAGTAGCTGGGATTACAAGCATGGGCCACCATGCCCAGCTAATTTTCTTGTATTTTTAGTAGAGACGGGGTTTCTCCATGTTGGTCAGGCTGGTCTCAAACTCTCGACCTCAGGTGATCCGCCTGCCCCAGCCTCCCAAAATACTGGGATTACAGGCATGAGCCACCGCGCCCGGCCAATAATATTTTTAAGAAATGAATACAGGCCGGGCGCGGTGGCTCACGCCTGTAATCCCAGGACTTTGAGAGGCTGAGGCGGGTGAATCACAAGGTCAGGAGTTTGAGACCAGCCTGGCCAAGATTGTGAAACCCTGTCTCTACTAAAAATACAAAAAATTAGCTGAGTGTGGTGGTGGGCGCCTGTGATCCCAGCTACTCTGGAGGCAGAGGCAGAGAATTGCTTGAACCTGGGAGGCAGAGGTTGCAGTGAGTCAAGATTGCGCCACTGTACTCCAGCCTGGGCGACAGAGCTAGACTCCATCTCAAAAAAAAATTAAAAAAAGAATACAGTTACTTATTGCCTAGATTTAACAATAGCAAGGAGCCAACTCCTTGCTGGCTGCTCTACTAGAAAAAAAAAAAAGAGAGAGAGAGAAAAGAGAAAAAACAATATTTGCCGTGTTTATTTTTATTTATTTATTGCTGATGAATTATAAATTCTAGACATCATATTTCACCCCTAAAAACTTCAGCATGAGGCTGGGCGCGGTGGCTCACGCCTGTAATCCCAGCACTTTGGGAGGCTGAGGTGGGCGGATCACGAGGTCAGGAGATTGAGACCATCCTGGCTAACACGGTGAAACCCCGTCTCTACTAAAAAAAAAAAAAATACAAAAAAATTAGCTGGGCCTGGTGGCGTGCGCCTGTAGTCCCAGCTACTCGGGAAGCTGAGGCAGGAGAATGGCGTGAACCCGGGAGGCGGAGCCTGCAGTGAGCCGAGATCATGCCACTGCACTCCAGCCTGGGCGACAGAGCCAGACTCCGTCTCAAAAAAACAAAAAACAAACAAAAAAAAAAAACAAAAACTTCAGCATGCATCTCTGAAAAGTAAACACCCTACCATTATTATATCTGAGAAAATTAACAATAATTCCTTAGTGTCATCTATGACCTAAGCCATCGTCAGATTTCTGCCTTATCCTAAAACATCTCTCTCACAGCTGGTTTGTTTGGTTCAGGATCCCGTCCAAGTCCATGCCTTGTATCTGGCTGTCTCTTCAATCTCCCTTGAAGAGCCCTACCCTTTCTTTCTGCCTGGACATTGACTCATTGCCCTGCCTGCAAGGTGTCTATTTGCTTCCTTGCAGCAGTGTTTCCGTCTTCCTCTAACCTTGGTGTTACCTGAGAACTGGTAGGCAGGTCTGCAAGGCTTAGGCTGGTCGGATCAATGGGGCTCAGTGTCAGATGAGGCAAAGCCAGCAGGAGGCAAGGATGATTCTACCTTGAGTGACAGAGGTAGATGTCACTCAGATGCTAAGATCGGGGAAGGAGGAGGGAGAGGACAAATTTGATTTGGGGCACACGGTTTTCGACATGTACAAAGGACATCCAGATGGCAATGGGCTATGTGAGCCTGGAGACTGTGCTGCGAGTTGTTGATCTACAGCCGGTGGGGCTGGGCTCTCCCAAGGCGGTGGAGTGAGAAGCCAGGTGAGACACCAAGCATGAGGCCGTGGCAGAGGAGGTGGAGCCTGGGGCCCAATTGCTGAGCAGTAGCAAAGAAAAAGAAGGAAAACTAGGAGGCCTGGCCTGAGGAAGCCCAAGAAGGAGAGGATTTTAAAGAGCAAACACTGGAGAGAAGTCAGGCCAGAGGAGGACCAGATCTATCATCAAGGAAGTGGTAGAAGGCCTCTAAGCAGTGGGCTGATTGTCTAAGTGAGGGAACAGAGAAGTTGGCTCAAAAAGGAGGAAGGGAAAAAGGAATTAGTTGTTAAAAGGAGATGCAGAGCTGGGTCCAGGGAACAAAACTTTTTTTTTTTTTTTTTTTTTGAGATGGACTCTCTCTCTGTCACCCAGGCTAGAGAGCAATGGTGTGATCTCTACTCACTGCAACCTCTGGGGTTCAAGTGGTTCTCCTGCTTCAGCCTCCCAAGCAGCTGGGACTACAGGCAACTGCCACCACGCCTATTTTTTTTTTTTTTTTTTTTTTGGTATTTTTAGTAGAGATGGGGTTTCACCATGTTGGCCAGGCTGGTCTTGAACTCCTGACCTCAAGCGATCCACCTGCCTCAGCCTCCCAAAGTGCTGGGATTTCAGGCGTGAGCCACTGTGCCCAGTCAACATTTTCTTTTTAAGATGGAGAGACCAATTGGGTGCAGTGGCTCAGGCCTGTAATCCCAGCACTTTGGGAGGCTGAGGTGGGAGGATTTCTTGAGCTCAGGAGATCAAGACCAGCCTGGACAACATAGTCAGACCCTGTCTCTAAAAAAAAAAAAAAAAAAATTAGCCGGGCGTGGTGGTGTGGGCCTGTACTGCCAGCTAGCCAGCTACCTGGGAGGCTGAGGCAGAAGGATTGCTTGAGTCCAAGAAGTCAAAGCTGCAGTGAACCATGATCGTGCCACTGCCCTCCAGCCTGGGTGACAGAGCAAGACGCTGTCTAAAAAAAAAAAAAACCAACATGGAGAGGCCTTGAGTTTGTTGAAATGAGAAAGGGACAAAGGTAGTCAGAAAGGAAGGGTTGGAAATTTGAGGTGAGGCCACTTCCGAGCAAGCGGGAGGCTATGGGGTCCTTCAGGACCGGGCTGAGGAGGTTGGCTTGGACGGCAGGCCCCTGTGCCTTCCACTGGGGGAGGGGGAAGGAATGGTGGGTGCAAACACAGATACGTTTGAGGGGGAGGGCAGAAGGTGATCATTCCTTGGTCTCATTTTCCCACCTCCCTAGTCTGGCTCATCCCTACAGCCTTCGCTGGCTGGGAGGTTCCCTCATGGACCATTTCTTTTTTTTTTTTTGAGATGGAGTCTCGCTCTGTCACCCAGGCTGGAGTGCAATGGTGCGATCTTGGTTCACTGTAACCTCTGCCTCCCAGGTTCAGGCAATTCTCTTGCCTCAGCCTCCCGAGTAGCTGGAATTACAGGCGCACGCCACCACGCCCAGCTAATTTTTGTATTTTTAGTAGAGACAAGGTTTCGCTATGTTGGCCAGGCTGGTCTGAAACTCCTGACCTCAAGTGATCCTCCTGCCTCGGCCTTCCAAAGTGCTGGGATTACAGGCCTGAGCCACCGCACCCAGCCCCTCATGGACCATTTCTGATCCCTCCTGGCCCCAGCAGCCCTGCTGGGTGTCTGCCAGCCTTACTTAGAGCACAAGCGTTGTGAGCCCTGAGGATGCCCCACCCCAGCTCCCACCCCGCCCTGGAGGAGCAGGCCAGGCAAGCAGCCCCATGAGGTCACCCAGAGGCTGGGGACAGAGTCCAGAGCCGAGGGCACCCAATCGAAACCCGAAGTCAGAAAAGCAGAAGTGCAGGCCTGCTTTCCCCCAATCCCCATGGGTGTGGGAACCCAAGGCCCGCTCAGTTCTTTCATAGAACCAGCCCTGTGACGGAGTAGGGTTGACAGCTCTGTTCTACACATGAAGAAACTGAGGCCCAGAAATTCAAGCAGCTGCTCAGCGAGAAGCTGAAGTAGAGTCTAGACAAGAGTCCAAGTCTCTGGTCTCCGGCTCCACTCTTTTTCCCTCTGAATCAATGGAAGCTTCTGCCCCAAGCCCAAGAAAAGGGTCTCACCTGAAACCGTTACATTTGGAATCTCACCCCACATCCATGCAATAAGATTACACTGAGTCAGCCGGGCTGCTCATGCCTGTAATCCCAGCATTTTGGGAGACCAAGGCGGCGGATCACTTGAGGTGAGGAGTTTGAGACCAGCCTGGCCAACACGATGAAACCCCATCTCTACTAAAAGTACAAAAATTAGCTGGGCATGGTGGCAGGCACCTGTAATCCTAGCTACTCAGGAAGCTGAGGCAGGAGAATCACTTGAGCCTGGGAGGCAGAGGTTGCAGTGAGCTGAGATCGAGCCACTGCACCCCAGCCTGGGTGACAGAGTGAGACTCCATTAAAAAAAAAAAAAAAAAAAAAAAAAAAAAAAAAAAAAGATTATACTGAGCCGTGGTGCCACACCTGGGAGGCACAGTCAAATCACCCAAGGAGGCTTAAAATTAAACACTTTCCCCAGGTCCCGGCCCAAACCACTTCCATCAGAATCTCAGAGGGCTGAGCTAGGCACAGTTCCCCAAAGCCTACTGAGGCCTGAGGCCCAGGATCCTGTGGGGTCACCCCCAGCTCCTCCGATCCTGCCCCTGGACATGTAGCTCTGGGCCAGGCCGGGATGGTTAAAGGGAGACCCAGTTTCTGTCCTGGAGAACATGTGTTTGGGGGAGGGACCTGTCGTGTGGACATGACTGAGCTCCTTGAGGCAAAGATCACCATTCCTTCTGGCTCTCCCTCCACCTGGCTTGGGTGGCACAGAGCAGACTCACTGAGTCAACAAAGGACACCATGTCCCCTCGCCAGCCCCTGAGCCAGTTCCTGGGCCAAGTCCTGGTTTGGAGGCGTTCATTTTGCCTCTAGCCCCAGAGGACTGGGTCTTCCTAGTGCACCTGCTCCTGCCCCAGCACTTCCTATGAGGGTTTGGGAGGGAAGAGTGAGGTCAGAGTGGGGAAAGGAGGGGTGTTGTGCAGCTGGTTTGTTCTAGAACCTCTCCTGACCCTCCCCCTTGTGCCTCTCAGAGGCATGAGGGTGTGGTGGAGGGAGGTGGACCCCTCTGGGGAGCCACTGTGGTCATCACCTCCTCTCACTGGGGGGAGGGAATCCGAGACAGGGCCTGAGAGCCAACTTCTGTGGCCAAGAGCAGGCAGGAACTGTGTGAGTTTGTTCACTCCCTATAGTTTGGGGCTGGAGCCCCCTGGGAGACCCCCATCATGGGGGCCCAGCTTCCTACTGGGGAAGAGAAGCAGGTGAGATGCCAGGTGAGTTGCTGGCTGCCCATTCTGCAGTCCCAGCCCTGACACTGACACTCCTGGCTCTGCCATAGGGAGTCCCTGCCCCCCATGCTACCTGCAGGGCAATGCTGAGGGCCTGAGTTCCACACCTGTCCTCTTCTCTCCCCTCTCCACCCAGCTCCTCCCTGGTGGCTCAGAGTTTCTGGCCTCTCTGGAATTTACAGAGGCTATTCCTGTCTCTGAGGCCTGGTTGCATAACCCTTGGTGACCTGTCATATGCACGCACACGTGTGTAGTGTGTGTGTGTGTGTGTGTGTGTGAGTCCTCATCCCTGGCCTCAGGGTGGGGACAGAGAGATGGGTCAGGTGTGTGATAAGCATGAGGCCTCCAGCCTTCTGTGATTCCTGCTGTCCTCCACCCTGATAGCGAGGAGGGGATTAGTCTACCCCTGGGGTCTGGGCTTCTGAGTCGGGTACAGGGGATGGGACACTGGTATGAGAGCTTTTGTGGGCAGAGCAGGGCATGGGGCCCAGTCTTGCTCCTAGTGTGATCTCTACAAGTGTCTCGTGCCCCACATTCACACTGTGCCTGGCTCTGCTTGGGGTCCTTGTCCCCAGCCCACAGTGGGTACAGGAGAAGAGGGGCTGAGAGACATGGCAGGGGAGAAAAAGAGATCCAGGGTGGGGGCCAGAGGAGGAAGAATGGGCCTAGAGTGGAAGGGTGGGGGTCAGAGCCTGACCAGGAAAGGAGGTGGACTTCAGCAGGGGTGGGCTGGTGGGCTTAGTGCTGCCTGGCCCTTAAGCCTGGGGAGGAAGCACTTCTAAGGGAGGAGGGAAGACAAGATGGACCCATGGGCTCAGAGGAGGGGCTGTAACTTCTTACTCAGGGCATGTGTCCACTGTGCGTGGCTGGGGTCTGTCATCCCCACACGAGGGGGTGAAGGGAAGAGAGGCCAGGAAGAAGATTTAACCTTCCTCCTGGAAGAAGCTGGTGCCTGGCCCTCTTCTCTGGGTCCTTAGAGAGGAGGGGACAGGCACGGGCATACTTGTACACGTATGTGGACACGCAAGTGAGAGTGGGCACATGTGGGCATGCAGGCGTGGGAGGGCATATGCATCTTGGTGACCGAGTCTGGAGGAGACAGACCCAGGTGGTCAGGCGGGCAGATAGTGATGTGGTCAGAATCCTTCCTGTCCTCCTCGGGGCTGGCACAGTCCAGATGCCAGCTCCCTGTGATATCACATCTGCCCAGACCCCTTCCTCTTTGGGAACTCTTCCCCTCCCCCCCACAAGCTTCCTCTTTCCCATTACACCCTCCCTGGGCCTAGAGGGAGTGGACAACCACTCATTGTCCTGTTTCCGCCCCAGGAGCCACTCCAGGCCAGCCCAGGCCCCCAGCACTCAGCGCCCCCTCTGCCCACCCTGTCTGTGCAAGCGCGCCCCTCCCCCACAGGCTCAGCCGTGATTCTCTCTGTGCAGTTCATGCTGTGGCTGGGTCTGGCCGTGATCTTCCTCTGTGCAGCCCACACCATGGCTATGTCTGGGCCTCGGATGCGGCTCACTGGTCATTAGAGCACTGAGTGGGGCAGCCAGCAGTGTTTCTAGAAGCATAAAAATACCCTCAACCTGAGGCCCCTCCACCCCACCCGCCCCAACTCAGGCAGCACTTCCGCAGCCCTGACAGGAAATGGGCTGGAGTCTCAGCCTCCCGCCATCTCGGCAACTTCTTGTTTCCCTGTTGCCCTGTGCCAGCACTGGGGTAGTGCCCCTGGGCTCTACCCCCAAAACCTTCCCAGGGCTCTGTCCCGGCAGTTCAGAGGGGCCAGGATGGTGGACATAATCGCCAAAGTGACCAGGAGGCAGAGTCGAGCCTTGCCGGCACAGGTAGGGGATGCTGGGGTCAAGGGGTGCCCGGTGGGCCTCTACCACAAGCCCTGTTAGGAGCTGGGTGAGCTGGGGCTTAGAGCAGGGAGCCTCTTGGAAGTTGGGGCTCATACTTCCTTTTCTCTTTCCTTCTCGGAGGCCCTGCCCATCCAAGAGGTGGTCAGCTTGGGGCAAGAGTGGCAGGGCTGCCACCTGCTTGTGGACAGGGGAGGGAACTGGAGATAAGGGGTGAACCACTGTAAGGCAGTACCAGGGGGCTGGGCAGCCTGGAGCCTGAGAGCCAGGTCCCTCTTGGCTCCTCCTCTGGCCTGAGGTCGGAAGGCCACTTCTTGTCTCTAGGATGCGACCCAAGAGCCATTGATCCCGTAGTCAGGCCCCTGCTTATGAGCTGCATCTGGGTCTTGTCTGGGCCTCCATGAACAGGAGCAAGGAGGAGGGTAGGGGTGGCAGGCGCCTGTAACTCCTTGAAGGCCAGAGGATGTGGAGGGCGTGACTGCACCTGGCCCCAGGAGCTGGTTAGAACCCAGCTGAGGCTCTGCCAGGAGAGGAGAGCATCTCTATCTCAGCACTGTGCAGGGTCTGCCGAGAGTTCCAGAGTTTGAAGGGGCCTGAAGGACACTGCAGTTCAACACCCACCACAGGGCTATGGCTTCCCTAACAGGGAGTAGACTCTGCTCAGTCACCTCCAGTGAGGGCCCCTCACTACCTCCAGAAGCAGCCTGTGTCTCTGGCAGCCCTAGTCCTCAGAATGCTTCCTTCAGAGGAATGCTGCTGTGCCCCTGCAGCATGATACCCCATCTTCTCTTCCTTGTGACAGCCCTGTCATGCTGGGGACCTAAACTTCTACCTCCGAAATCTCCTCTGTACCTGCTGGGGACATTCCTTCGTGTGAGGACCCCATCAGCCTCACTGGCCTGGGACTCCTCGTGGACCCAGAGCCATGGCCCACAGCCTGCCAAGTAGAAATTCCTGCTCCAAAGAGCCTGTTCCTTATCAGCTCATCCACCCCTGGTGGAGCCTTTCAACTCCTGCCCCAGTGCGTTCAGCTGGGAGGATGGGAGGTGTGTCTGGTTCCTCTGCCTTCCTCTCCCCGCTGCTTCCATCCTGCCCTCCCCAGGAATCTCCTGGTTTCTGTGGCTCCGACCCTCCTCCTCAGAAAGCTCAAGCTCATTCCAGGCTCTTCTGTCATGTCAGGCATGTTTGTTGCTGAAACTGGGCATGGGTTAGACTTGTGTACACAAGCAGTTTGTGGCAGACCTGCTATGTGCTTCAGGGCATTGGCCCAGCTGCTGGGGGGCAAATGGAATCAGCTACATTATCCTTAGTCTTGCTCTCAAGAAAATCCTGCCTTTTGGGGCAGAGGAGGTGGGCAGATGGTTGGACAACTGGCTGCCCACCAAGGCAGAACGCCATTGGGCCTCAACAGAGCAGTGAGCAGAGTGCCAGCAGGTTTGACCTCTCCCTGGAGAGGCTTGTCAGCTGAGCACCGTGAGAGAGCAGGATTTGGGTAGGCAGAGAACCAGAGAAGGGAATTCCAGGCTGAGGGAATGGCTGGAGCAAACGCTTCGAGGTGGGAGGATGCCTTTTCTGTTGGGGGCCGGTGAGAGGCCTGTTGTGGTTGGACTACAGGATGCCACATCAGAGCTATGGTGGGGGTAGAGAAAGGACAAGTGGGGTGGAGGGTCCCCTCTCAGCCACACAGCAGCCTGGAGGAAGGGGAGAGGAGAGAAGAACTGATGGGCTGGGATCCCCAGCTCTCCCTGTCCCCCAGGCGCCTGGGGACTGGCACCCTGTCTAAAACTGTAACATCCTCTTCATTGACAGTGTTTTCATTTCTTGCTTAGCAGTGATCAGCACTGACATGCTGTCCATTTACTCATCACCCCCACCATTTACACACAGGTGCACTTGAGTGCCAGCTCTGCCAGGGAAGGATTTGTGTCCCTTTCTTCCCTGCTGTATTCCCCGTGCCTCAAACAGTGCCTGGCACAGAGCAGGTGAATCTTTGTTGGGTAAACAAATGTTCTTCTTTTCCTTCTTCTTTTCATTGTTTTGGTTTGGTTTGCTTTTTTGGCATCAGTTTGGTGAAAAATGAATTTTTTTTTTTTTTTGGCATCTGCCTAAGGCTCAGGGAGAGACCACCCTGAACAGGTGCTTCCTCTTTCGAGGAGTTTACAGCTTAGTGATGGTGTCACAGTCAGCAGAGGAACTTCTGTGAATTTTTAAAAGTTTTGTAGTACAAAATTTTGAGGCTGCAGGAAAGTTCAAAGAAAACAAAACAAAAACAAACCCCTATAATCACAGTGCTCAGAAGGGACCTCTGTTAGCATTTTGGAAAGTTTCCGAAAACACAAAATTGAAATGTGGAAATCTGCTTTCCCCTGAAGTATTGTGTATGCTTAGAAAATAGTAGTAATTGGCCAGGTGCGGTGGCTCACACCTGTAATCCCAGCACTTTGGGAGGCCCTGGTGGGCGGATCACCTGAGGTCAGGAGTTCAAGACCAGCCTGGCCAACAGGGCAAAACCCCATCTCTACTAAAATACAAAAATTAGCCAGGCGTGGTGGTGCGTGCCTGCAATGCCAGCTACTTGGGAGGCTGAGGCATGAGAATCGCTTGAACCCAGGAGGCGGAGGTTGCAGTGAGCCGAGATCACACCATTCCACTCCAGTCTGGACGACAGAGCGAGACTCCATCTCAAAAAAAAAAAAAGAAAAAAAAGAAAAAGAAAAAGAAAAGAAAAGAAAATAGTAGTAATCTCCGTATGCCATGCTGCTGCCTGGGGTTTGAGAATGTAGTCATCTGTCCCTCTGTGGGGCCAAGGGTGCTGGGCTGAATGTGGGGGCACGGGGATGGGGGGAATCTCAGGAAAAGGCTGGAACCTGGCACCTCAGCTGAATCCTGAAGAAGGAATTGGAGTCAGCCAGGCAAAAAAAGGGGTGGAGATGGGCCTGGGCAGGCTGCAGATGAGCCTAGGCCTGGAGGAAACACAGCAGGGACGGTGGGGACCTCTAGCAACTGGTGCTACTGGAGCTTAAAGTTCAAGGCAAGGGGCAAGGAGTGGCAGGAAATAATAGTGGAAGCACAGGCCGGTGAGGGACGGTCTCTTGTGCCTGGTTAAGGGCTTAGACTTTGCCCTGCAGCCAGCAGGGAGCTCTGAGGTGTGAATCAGGAGAGCCTCTGTTCCGGGAGGCTTACGCATGGCTAGGTTTATGTTCTATGTGATTGAACCCCCAGCTGCCCTCACTCTCCTTTGGGGTGGAGTAAAACAATTCACCTCTCTTTGCCCCTCCATTCTCCAGCCCATCTGGCTGTCCTGTCTCCCTCTCTTGTCTGGAATTGGTTCTGACACCTGCAAACTTCACCTTGGAAAGTTCAGTCCCCAAATCCAGACAGGGTGCTGATTCCAATCCCAGAGCTTTCTGGGCTGAGAGTGGGGTGGGGTGGGAGCTCTCAGTGGAGCTGTAAGAATGCAGCTTGAATCCAGGAGGTGGTGGTTGCAGTGAGCCAAGATTGCGCCACTGCACTCCAGCCTGGGTGACAGAGCTAGACCCCATCTCAAAAAAAAGAATGCAGCAGGGCCCTGAATGGGCACCATAAACAGGGGCACGCCCCAGACCACTTCTCAGTTCCTGCCCAACCTCTGACTTGCCTCTGTGAGTGCACAGTTGTGAGAACTGGGTTATCGATGTTTTATTATTATTGATAAATATAATTAATGTAATTGACCCACCCGTCTGGGGCACTAAATACTTTACAAAGTACTTTCAAGAGCATTTCCTCATTCACTCTTCACTACAGTTTCCGGAATGGACAGAGCAGACATTTTACACCCAGGAAACTGAGGCAGAGAGGTAGTGTGACTTCCTGAAGGTCGCCCAAGGGGCTAAAGCTCAAGAAGAGGCCACTTCTAACAGGCACTTCCCCTTTCAAGGAGTTTACGGCTTAGTGATGGTGTCACAGTGAGCAGAAGAACTTACGTGATTTTTAAAATGCTTTGTTGTACAAAATTTTGAGGCTGCAGAAAAGTTTAAAGAAAATAAAGCGAAAACAAATAAACCCCTATAATCGCACTGCCCAGAGGGGACCTCTGTTACCATTTTGGAAGGTTTCTGAAAACACAAAATTCCTCCTTTCTCCTCCCGCAGGTGGACGACCCACCGGAGCCCGTGTACGCGAACATAGAGAGGCAGCCCCGGGCCACTTCACCGGGCGCCGCTGCAGCCCCCCTTCCCAGCCCGGTGTGGGAGACGCACACGGACGCGGGCACCGGGCGCCCCTACTACTACAACCCAGACACGGGAGTTACCACCTGGGAGTCGCCCTTTGAGGCTGCCGAGGGTGCCGCCAGCCCAGCCACCTCCCCTGCCTCGGTGGACAGCCACGTGAGCCTTGAGACCGAGTGGGGCCAGTACTGGGATGAGGAGAGCCGCAGGGTGTTCTTCTACAACCCGCTGACGGGCGAGACGGCCTGGGAGGACGAGGCCGAGAACGAGCCCGAGGAGGAGTTGGAGATGCAGCCGGGCCTGAGCCCTGGCAGCCCAGGGGACCCGCGGGTGAGGGGCAGGGCCAGAGTGGGCGGTTCTACCTCTGAGCGCCTCTGATCCCGCCTCCTGCTCCCAGAGGCCCAGGGACACACGGGTGAGGGGGTGGTGATGGGTGGGCGGGGCTACCTCTGAGAGCCTTTGACCCCTTCTCCTGCTCCCACAGACCCAGGGACCCCAGGGTGAAGGGCGGGGCTGGAGTGGGCGGGGCTACCTCTGAGCGCCTTTGACCCCACCTCCTGCTCCCACAGACCTAAGGACCAGAGGGTGAGGGGTGGGGCAGGATGGGTGGGGCTACCTCTAAGCGCTTCTGACCCCGCCTCCTGTTTCTGCAGACCCAGGGACCAGAAGGTGAGGGGCAGGGCTGGAGTGGGCGGGGCTACCTCTGACGCCTTCTGCTCCCACAGCCCCAGGGACCAGAGGGTGAGGTGCGGAGCTACCTCTGAGCGCTTCTGACCCCGCCTCCTGCTCCCACAGCCTCAGGGACCAGAAGGCAAGGGGGTGGGCCTGGTCCAAAACGGCAGGGCCAGCAGGCAGTACTGGCACTCAGAGCCTCTGACTCCACCTTCTGTTCCCCGCAGCCCCCCACTCCCGAGACGGACTACCCCGAGTCGCTGACCAGTTACCCCGAGGAGGACTATTCTCCCGTGGGCTCTTTCGGTGAGCCCGGCCCTACCTCTCCCTTGACCACACCCCCCGGCTGGTCTTGTCATGTCAGCCAGGACAAGCAGATGCTCTACACCAACCACTTCACTCAGGAGCAGGTAGGGGCAGGGGGCAGATGGACCCGGACAGCCTCAGAGTCCTCCCCACAACCTTCCTCACTAATAGGTCGCCTCAGTGCTCTAAACCGCAGCTCCCACACAGAGCCTAAACCAGCCAAACACAGTCACCTGCACCTGCCCCTCCAGACTCCCTGGTGCTGTCTTGGAACCTGGTTAGAGGGAAACTTTTCCTCCCCTCTCATAAGCTGGGCTGGAGGCCCTGACCATTCCTCTCCCCACAGTGGGTGAGGCTGGAGGACCCCCACGGGAAGCCATACTTCTACAATCCAGAGGACTCCTCTGTTCGATGGGAGCTGCCCCAGGTAACAACCTGGGGAAAGGGGGGTGTTGGGGAGAGAGGAAGAGATCATATACGACTGTGTCTTTCTCCCCAGGTCCCTGTCCCTGCCCCTCGAAGCATCCATAAATCCAGCCAGGATGGTGACACCCCAGCCCAGGCCAGCCCTCCAGAGGAGAAGGTAGGGGAGGAGCCATTGAGGTCCTGGCAGGACCACCACAGAAGCAGTGGGGGGCTTCTGGAGTTCCTGGGAGGAGGGACTTGGTGGGATCTATCTGTCTTCCCCCATAGGTCCCAGCAGAGCTGGATGAGGTTGGGAGCTGGGAGGAAGTCTCTCCTGCCACAGCTGCTGTGAGGGTAGGCATCACCCCCTACCCCCAGCCAGGTGGTGGTGCTGGCGAGGAGGGTTCAGTGGAGACACGGGCCCAGACCATAGAGAGTGGCAGCTGAGCAGGTGACCAGCCTCTACTCCCCATAGCTCACCCCTTAACTACACACTCTTGCGCCTGCTCTCTCTTCTCTCTCTTAGACCAAGACCTTGGACAAGGCAGGGGTGCTCCATCGCACCAAGACGGCAGACAAGGGAAAGCGGCTCCGGTGAGAGCCCATCTACACTCAGGCCGGGGCAGGGTGGGCCTTGGTGACGATGTTCACTGAGCACTTCCTGTATGCCAGGCTCTTATTAATCCTCACAACAACTTCGTGAGTGGTCCTCTGTGGACCCTGAGACACTGTGAGATAAAGTGACTTGCTCAAGGTCCCTCGGCTGCTAGGTGTTAGAGTCGGGATTCCAGCCCTCATAATGGGGTGCCCTAGCCTGTGTTCCTAAGCTCTGACTTGTTCCTGGGGTAGGAGGGGCCCTCAGCCCAGGACCAAATCTAAGTCCTGCCACCCCCACTTCCCCACCCCCACCTAGGAAGAAGCACTGGAGTGCCTCCTGGACTGTGCTGGAGGGTGGCGTCCTGACATTCTTCAAGGACTCAAAGACCTCGGCTGCAGGCGGCCTGGTAAGGCCAGGCCCTCAGGGCAGGGACCATCCCATCTGCTTTTTTTTATTTTTATTTTTATTTTTTTTGAGACGGAGTCTCGCTCTGTCACCCAGGCTGGAGTGTAGTGGTGTAATCTCGGCTCACTGCAACCTCTCCCTCCTGAGTGCTCCTGCCTCAGCCTCTCGAGTAGCTAGGACTACAGGCATGTGCCACCATGTGCGGCTAATTTTTGTGTTTTTAGTAGAGATAGGGTTTTACTATGTTGGCCAGACTGGTCTTGGACTCTTGACCTCAGGTGATCCGCCCACCTCGACCTCCTCAAGTGCTGAGATTACAGGCGTGAGCCACTGTGCCCAGCCCCCATCTGCTCTATCTAATCTGGCTTGGAGATGACCAGGTCTGAGAGAGTGGTCCATGAGTGTCAGAGGAGCTGGGCCTTGGCAGGAAGGGGGTGATACTGGCAGATTCACTCCAAGACAAGTAGTTTTAGCCCACTGGAGATGGGGAACAGTCTTGAGGGTGGCCAGCTCCAGCCTGGAGGGCAGGGAGGCTGGGGGTGGGCACACCTGCTTGCAGGGATGCAGACTGCACTCCTTTCCTGTCCTCCCCTGGGTGGGTGGGCAGCAGTGGACATGCCAGCCAGCAGGCTCCATGGTTAAGAAGCATCAGGGTCTCTGGGTTCAGGAACACTTGGGGCACTTTTCCCCAGAGTTGTTTCCTGGCCATGCCAGTGACCCCATCCTATTCCTAGGGTCAGAGTGCCACAGCAGACACATCTGAACTGAGGGCTCCCTGTGACCTTCCTCCCTCTCCCACAGAGGCAGCCTTCCAAGTTTTCCACCCCTGAGTACACAGTGGAGCTGAGGGGGGCCACTCTCTCCTGGGCCCCCAAAGACAAATCCAGTAGGAAGAATGTGCTGGAGGTGAGTGGCGGGGTTGGGGAGAAGGAGGGAAGGGGCTTAGTGATGCCTGCCAGCTCTCTGACAACTATTGACCTGGAAATGACCTGGGGGTTTTTGACCCTTAATTCCCTATGAGCCAACACTGAGTGCAGCTTTTGGCTGTATTAATAGAGGTAGGAACCCAGAGCCAGAGAGGTGATATTGGTGCAGTTGTTGGCAGTGCTGTGGGACCCTTACTGTAGGCAAGCCCCAAGAAGGAGGACCTGGGAAGAATTGGGGCTACCATTCTCAGGGCTCAAGGCCAACGCTGCACCCCCGCCCCAGGGGACCTGTCCTTTGTTTCTAACATCACATATTCTGCAGTTCCCTCTCCAGGAGCTGAGTTAATAATAATCCTTGCCCTGGAGGGTGGTGAGGAGTAGGGCCTCTGGGAGAGGAAATTCTCATGACTAGAATGGCAGCCCTCGTCCCAGCCTGAGAGAGACAGGAGGCTCCCTGTCCCTGGCTGCTTACTGTGACAGGCCTGGTTGGGAAACCTCTTTCTCCCCAGGTCCCTTTCCCTGCCCCTGAGCCAGAGCCCCATTTCCGACTGGACCGCATCCCCAGTGAATAAACTGGGGCAGTGGAGAAGACTACCATGCTACCCCCGCAGGAAGGGAGAGAAGACCCAGAAAGGGTACTCCCAATGCCACACCCTTCACTGTCCATGTGTTGTCTTGTTTTTAAACTACTCTTACCCTGACCTCAGTACCTAGAAGGTTTGAGGCAGATCACAACAGAAACACACGTGGTGAACTGTCAAATTAACTGAAAAGCCAGGACCATGAAAAACAAGTAAGAGATGGGACTCAAGATGGAGAGGAATTAGGGGGCAGATGATGTATGGGTGCTAAGGTGGTGGTTACTGAAGAAAATTTAGCTCCGACTTTCCTGCTAGGTGAGGTGAAAAGAGAAGGGCTATCAGGTGCATGTCTCTTTGTTGTTGAACAAATAATAAAACCCACCCAGATGTTGAGGGAATCAAAGCTTTTTCCTAACCCTTCACTCTTAAATTTCTTGTATGTAGCTCCATGAACATGGGATCTAGAAGCACATGCCAGGTACCCTGCAAAACAGCTCCAGGAAGGTTTAATTCAGGATCCGGGACTGCTTCAGGTAGCATCATTATGATGAAGGCCAAGAGCATGACCTCATGTCTAAGCTCAGAAAAAACAGTTCTGCAAGGAACCTGAGAGTGTAGTTTCCTGATTATTCACCAAGCTCCATTCAGTTCTAGAGCCAGGATATCTATAAAGCAAAGTTGGAAAACTGGTTTCATCTCATGAGCTACTCTGATGAGTAGGTCTGGAGTCTTGTGGGGTTTTGTTTTTGTTTTTATTTTTTGTTTCTGTTTTTAGAGACAAGGTCTTGCTCTGTTGCCCAGGCTGAAGTGCAGTGGCACGGTCAGAGCTCACTGAAACCACAAGCCCCTGGGCTCAAGCGATCTTCCCACCTAAGGCTTCCGAGTAGCTAGGACTACAGGCGCGTTCCATCACATCTGGCTAATTTTAGTTTTTATAGAGATGGGGGCTCACTATGTTGCCCAGGCAGGTCTCAAACTCATGGCCTCAAGTGATCCTCCAGCCTTGGCCTCCCAAAGGGTTGAGATTACAGGTGTGAGCCACTGTGCCTAGCCTGGAGCCTTCTTGAGAAGAATTCTGAAGGCTTCTCTGGGCTTGGCAGGATAGAGTTCTGTGATCAACTAACAATATCTGCTATGGTGTTAAATTGAGGAGAGACATCACTATTATGATTATGATTATGATTATGATTATGATTATTATCCAGAGTCTCACTCTGTTGCCCAGGCTGAAGTGCAGTGGTGCAATCTTGGCTCACTGCAACCTCTGCCTCTCGGATTCAAGTGAGTCTCCTGCCTCAGCGTCCCGAGTAGCTGGGACTACAGGCGCCTGCCACCATACCCGGCTAATTTTTTTGTATTTAGTAAAGACAGGGTTTTACCATGTTGGCCAGGATGGTCTCAATCTACTGGCCTCAGGTGATTTACCTGCCTTGGCCTCCCAAAGTGCTGGGATTACAGGTGTGAGCCACCATGCCCGGTCTGAGACATCACCTGTGCTAGTCATGTTTCTCCCCTGACTTTGAGGGATAGGTATATCCTTCAAACAGTTCTCAATGAAGATCATCACTGATGGACTTTTGATGAAAGTTTCAGAATAGGGCTTTTTGAGTTGTCTTTGCTGGCAAGGACTGGAAGGCAGGTGCTGCTCAGGCCAGTGGGAAGGTGGGCAGGCCTGAATGGAAATCACAAGCCCCTGCCTCCTGGTTGACTGCTGGCCATCCTCCCTCCATGCAGGGCGGCCTGTAGGCAGCTCCAGGGTTTTCCTCAAGAGACAGCCCCAAATTTTATATCATTGAGGATGGATGGCTTTGTTGGGCCCAGGAAATTTTCACAGCAGGTCTTTCTAGTCACCCCGAGTTACAGAAAACTTCAGCAACAGTCCGCCAAAAGCTGCTAGCATTTGCCTGTGCGGTCAGCAGGATAAATGTTTTGTTTATTTGTTTGTTCTTAGAGATAGGGTCTTACTGTGTTGCCCAGGCTGGAGTGCAGTGGCTTGATCGTAGCTCACTGCAGCTTCCAACTCCTGGACTGAAGTGATGCTGTCACTTCAGCCTCCCCAGTAGCTGGAAGTACAGGTGCACACTAGCATGTCTGGCTAATTTGTAAAAATTTTTCTAGATATAGGGTCTCACTATATTGCCCAGGATTGAACTCCTGGTCTCAAGGACTCCTCCCACCTTGCCCTTCCAAAGCACTAGGATTATGGGCATGAGCCGTTGTGCCTGGCTGGGGGTGAATATTTTGTGAAATACATTGCTATGTAATGATACAGCTTTGCCCTCTATATGAAACTTGCAAATATGAACTGATTATGTTTTGAGAGAGCTGCCAAAAATCATGGCTGTTGTTTTAGAAGTGTTGTCAAGCCATTCTCTGGGATAATCTTGAGCAGGGCTCTTGTCTGCTTTGATTAGAGTGAGGCTGTGTTATCTGCCTCTTGAAGGTTCTCTGTCCTTTGCAGGGGAGGGCTAGGGGATGAGATATGCCATTTTCTTTTCTTTTCTTTTCTTTTCTTTTCTTTGAGACAGAGTGTTGCTCTGTTGCCCTGGCTGGAGTGCAGTGGTGCGATCTCGGCTCACTGCAATCTCTGCCTCCCGGGTTCAAGCGATTCTCCTGCCTCAGCCTCCCGAGTAGCTGGGACTACAGGTGCGTGCCACCAGGCCCAGCTAATTTTTTGCATTTTTAGTAGTGGCAGGGTTTCACTGTGTTAGCCAGAATGGTCTCCATCTCCTGACCTCATGATCCACCCGCCTCAGCCTCCCAAAGTGCTGGGATTACAGGCATGAGCCACTGCGCCCAGCCTCATTTCATTTTAAAAAGCAGTTTAAATAGTCTTCAAGTATAAGTTTAAAAGGACAGCAAAGATAGTCCAATCCAATTCTAGAAGTTGTGTCCTGGGGTCTGAGACAGTTTCTGTTGTCTCTGACTCTCGCTGAACCAAAAGGGCAGGGTTGGTGTGAGCTGTTGCCGCCAAACATTCACATTAACCTGGAACACTGGGTCCTCAGAGCCAGAGGCTGATAAGGAATCCAACTAAGCTGCCATCCAACTCAGAAAGGGCTTTGAGCGTCAGTCCTATGGTGGCAAGTTTCCCTCTGGTGTTCTGTTTAATTTATGCTTCATGATGAAGCGGGCTAACAGAAGATGTGTTGCCCAGGCTGGAGTGTGGGAGGTGGTGGGGACTCCTGGCTGCAGAAGGTGGGACAACGTTTCTGAGTCCTCAGTGTGTGTATGGGGAGGGGCAAGGGGAGACCTTTCTTTCCCTGGGATCAGCCATGATCAGCTTTCAAATCCTCTCTCCCTATATTCACTGTTGCTTCTAGTAGACAGGGGTCTCAACATAGGAAGTTTCTGGGTTTTGTTTTGTTTTTTTTTTTTTGAGACGGAGTCTTGCTCTGTCGCCCAGGGTGAAGTGCAGTGGCATGATCTCGGCTCACGGTAACCTCCGCTTCCCGGGTTCAAGCAGTTCTTCTGCCTCAGCTTCCCAAGTAGCTGGGATTACAGGAGCCCGCCACCATGCCTGGCTAATTTTTGTATTTTTAGTAGAGACGGGGTTTCACCATGTTGGCCAGGCTGGTCTCAAACTCCTGACCTCATGATCTGCCCGCCTCGGCCTCCCAAAGTGCTGGGATTACAGGTATGAGCCATCGTGCCTGGCCTCACATAGGAAGTTTCTTTCACTTAGTTTGCAGGCCAGTGCTCTGCATGAGGCCTGCCATGTTCTGTGGCTTGCAGGGAGGCAGGATGGGGGAGGGAAAGTGTACCAGACAATTGAGCCATGCAGCTCTGTGCTCATCACTCACTAGCTGTGTGCCCATGAGGAAGCAGCTAAAACTTGCTGAGCCTCAGTTTGCTCATCTGTAACACAGAGATGCTGTCAGCCACTGCTTTACGTGAGGCAGAGATCCAAGACTTAGCCTGGGGTGAGGCCCTTGCTCCATTAAGCTCTGAGTGCCTGGGGGCAGGGACAGGTCACCTCTATCTCTGTACCTACCCCCAACTAGGGCCAACCCCCAGGGCAGACCCAGGGTACCAGAGATGACCCACTGACTTGTGTCCCTCCAGCTACGGAGCCGAGATGGCTCTGAGTACCTGATCCAGCACGACTCGGAGGCCATCATCAGCACCTGGCATAAGGCCATTGCTCAGGGCATCCAGGAGCTGGTAAGCAGAGCCCAGGGCCTCTAGGGGCAGTGGGGAGGGGGTGGCCATTATGAGTGGGGCCCTCTGCTCAGGCTCAGGGAGCTCTAAGGTACCAGTGGGTAATGCAAATGCAGTCCCCACTAATGGCTAGGATGGCAGGGTAGGCGGCTGAAGAAACTGCCTTCTGTAAGTCTGTGAATCCAGCCCTGGGGTTGGCCCTGCAGGAAGACTCTCCAGGTGAGGGTAGGGCACATTCTAAAGGAAGTTCCCATTTCACGGGAGGCAGAAGGCCAAATAAATACTCTGCAAGCCAACCAATGGCAGGCTGAAACTAGCAGATAAAATTTTAAAGGATTGATTTCAATAGTCGACCATTTTTTTAAGGCTGAAAACACCAATTGCATAAGTAGAGCTAGGACAGGGGCCCTCTGACAACTACTGACCTGGAAATGACCTGGGGCTTTTTGACCCTTAATTCCCTATGAGCCAACATTGAGTGAAGCTTTTGGCTGTATTAATAGAGGTAGGAATCCAGAGCCAGAGAGGTGATATTGGTGCAGTTGTTGGCAGTGCTCCGGCCACAGCTGGAGGTGCAGGCTCAGAACTGGGAGCCACGTATTGAGGAATGCTGACCCAGTTAGAGGAGCTGAGGAAAATAGAGAAAGAAGGCACCAGGTGGGTAGGAGTCCCCAGGATAGGAAGGGGTGTGGGAGAACAGGATGACTGTCTCTGCACCTTAAGGGCTCCATGCAGCTAAGGGAGGTGAATGTTCTCAGGCTCACTGGTGGAGGTAAGGAGAGTTAACCTGGTTAAGGGAAGAGAGGACTCTTCGCTGAGGGTCTCCAGGCCATGCCTGTTGGGAGTGCATTTCGGGTCCCTTGCCCCATCCTGGAAGGACCCGCAGCTGGCTCAAGGCCCCGCCTCTCTGAGGCTATGGGAATCCAGTCCGCAGAGCTGCCCCCAGAGGAGAGCGAGAGCAGCAGAGTGGACTTCGGGTCGAGCGAGCGCTTGGGAAGCTGGCAGGAGAAAGAGGAGGACGCGCGACCGAATGCAGGTGTGCGCAAGGCAGGATGGGGTGGGGGCTCCAGGAGGCCTCTCCTGGGGAGTGACGGTTGCTGGGGCCTGCCTGGCCTGCCCTGGCGCTGCCTCCTGACTCAGTCCTGCCTTTCCCCGCGGCAGCCGCGCCCGCCCTGGGCCCCGTGGGCCTGGAGAGCGACTTGAGCAAGGTCCGGCACAAGCTCCGCAAGTTCCTCCAGAGGCGGCCCACACTGCAGTCGCTGCGGGAGAAGGGCTACATCAAAGGTACCCGAGGCCTGCGGGGGGCGGGGACCCGGGACCGGGACGGGGCGCAGGCTGGGCAGGAGCTGATGAGCCTCTGCCCTAGACCAGGTGTTCGGCTGCGCGCTGGCCGCGCTGTGTGAGCGCGAGAGGAGCCGGGTGCCACGCTTCGTGCAGCAGTGCATCCGCGCCGTCGAGGCCCGCGGTACGTGCGCTGCGGGGGTGAGGGCGGCAGGCATTGGGGTGCCCGCAGGCCTCCTGCCAGGACCGCAGGCTGGAGACCCCTGGATGGACGCAGGGTCCAGGGGGAAAGTACGGGAGGCCCCGAGTGGGAGTCATAGCAGGGACCCGTAGCCCCACCCTATCCCCATCCCTGAACCCGGGATCAGCGCCTCCCTCTGGCCCAGGGCTGGACATCGACGGGCTGTACCGCATCAGTGGAAACCTGGCCACCATCCAGAAGCTACGCTATAAGGTGGACCACGGTGAGGCCCGTCCCCAACCCCTGCCCCAGGGCCTGAAGGCGCAAGGGGTACTGATTTCCCTTCCGTCCTCCTCCCTTCCTCCGCCACAGATGAGCGCCTTGACCTGGATGACGGGCGCTGGGAGGACGTCCACGTTATCACCGGAGCCCTGAAGCTCTTCTTTCGGGAGCTGCCCGAGCCCCTCTTCCCCTTCTCGCACTTCCGCCAGTTCATTGCGGCCATCAGTGAGCACCTGGGGCAGGTGGGGCGGATGGGGTAGGGGCGTGGCGGGGCACCCCTTTAGCAGGCTCCCCTCGCCCAGCCGATACCCCCTACCTCCCGTTCCGACTCCCTCCCTCTAAACCTTCCCTCACCCAGAGTTGCAGGACCAGGCCCGGCGCAGCCGCTGTGTGCGTGACTTGGTGCGCTCGCTGCCCGCTCCCAACCACGACACTCTGCGGATGCTCTTCCAGCACCTCTGCCGGTGAGCCGGGCGGCCCGCGCGGGAAGGGGGAGGCAGGTCCCGGCTGAAGCCCCCAGCGCCTCCCCGCAGTTCGCAGTTCGGAGCCCTGAACCCACCCACCCCTGCCACAGGGTGATCGAGCACGGCGAGCAGAACCGCATGTCGGTGCAGAGCGTGGCCATTGTGTTCGGGCCCACGCTGCTGCGGCCCGAGGTGGAAGAGACCAGCATGCCCATGACCATGGTGTTCCAGAACCAGGTGGTGGAGCTCATCCTGCAGCAGTGCGCGGACATCTTCCCGCCGCACTGACTGCTGGCCTGTGACTGGGGCGGCGGCCGCGGTCCTGCCACACAAGCTGGGCGGCGGAGGCCACGCAGCCGGGCCTTCTTCTCTCTGGGACCCTCCGCCAGCGCATAGCCGCAGGCCGGTGTGACTTCTGCACCCTCGGTTCTGAGGGTACGGTGACCCCTAGTGGGCAGTTTGCAAAATGTGATTCCTTCTTCCCAACTCCCCATCCCCCCTTCCCTTCCCGTCACGTCCTGTTTGGGGGTTAATTCGGTTTTTTCTCTGTTGCATCGCGCCTACTGTGCGTGTGCGATAGCGTGTGTGGGGGTGAGAGTTTGTTTTCTGGAATGGTAGGTGCTGGGAGGAGGAGTTTGATGGAGGGCTTCCTGGCTGCTTCTGGCCCTCACCTCGTGGAGGCCTTCACAGAGACCCTGTGGGCCCTGGCCCTGTGCTGGCACTGTGCCAGTCATGAGGCAGCTCTGATCACTTCCCCACTGTGGAAACAGGACTGACCCAGCCTTCAGTGTGGGCTGCTGAAGCTATCCTCCTCAGGCCTCAGGGATGACCTCCTGCCTGAGCCTCTCACAGGCTGGCTGTGGGCCAGTTTCATCTGCTTTCCTGTTGGGGGTCCCGGGCCTCTGCTGTCCTTGACCCACTGGTGTTCTGTGCAAGGCTTCTTCCCATTCACCAAGTGCACACCTTGCATCTGCCGCTCGGCATGCACCAGTTCCACACACCATCCCATTTTACAGACAAGGACGCTGAGGCCTGCAGCAGCAGTGTGACTTGCTCAAGGTCCAGTGAGTGACCTCATTCCCCAGAAAAGGCTCCTCCCACACCAGAGTACAGCCTGGGTAGGGGGAAAATCAGTTCTTTCAGCTACCACCCATCCAACCTTTGGGCCTATGTGAAAAGAAAGGAACTAAGCTGGGTGTGTTCTGTCTGGACCTGGGGAGGCCCCTGAAGGCAAAGAGGGAAACTGTCCCAGCTGTTCTGTCCTAGGGGAGGGGGACATAGCCCTAGCAGGAGCTCCCAGCCCCTCTTGGCACTCTGACACACAAGTACACCCATCTGGGGCCCGCTTTGCCACGAAGAGCTGGGCAGGCCTGCAGGGTGTGGGGAAGGAGGACACAACCTCAAGAAAGGAAGCGTGAACCCCAGGGAACAGCGGGTCCCTTCCCTCCTCAGACACAAGCCACCTCAGCTTGTGGCTCTTGGCCCCCAGCCCCACCAACCCACCTGTTCATTTATTCAACAGACAATGACAGCTGATATTTATTGGACATTTGCACCATGCCAAGCATTCGGCTTGGATTATCCCATTTGTTTCTCACAGCCGGTATTTATTGTCTGCTCCTCTGTGCCAGGTGCTGTGCTCTGGGCAGGGGCACTGCATGGGCTGCCTGCCCTGGTGGAGCTTGTGGTCTGATGGGTGAGGCTGACCCAAGCCCACCCCATTGCCAACAGGGCCAGGGCAAGAGTACACACAGGGGCCTCATACCATATGTCTAAATATTTAAAAGTTATCAATCAAGCTAACAACTGTTAAATAAAATATGTTCTATTCTCCTACTTTGACAAATGTGTCTTGATAATGACCTGGAAGGCCAGGTTCTAATTTAAACTTCTTTGACTTTTCCAAGTTCCATGCCCAAATGTGGTGGCCGGAGAAGGGCAGGCCCTGGGCTCAGCCTTCCCTCTCATCTTCCCTCCCACAGAGCCCTCCTCCCCCAAGCAGAGGCTCACGGGCACATATGTGGACATCGTAGTCCATGTGTGCCAACTGCCCATACCCCCTGCAGCCAGCTGCCGCTTGGCTACCCCACTGGTGACGTAGTCCACCCTTGAGGGAATGGGCTTGGAGCTATTTGGGCGGGGCATGCTGGGGCCCCATGTATCAGAAGCATGTTCTAAAGGGCAGGTCCAGGCTTCAAGAGGGCTCCCCAGATTCCTCACCCTGTGGGGAGAGCCACAGACACAGGAGCCTTCTCCTGCAAGAGGACCCATGGCAGGGACCCCTCTCATTTGAGTCCAAGGGTGAAACTAGATAGACAGTAAGCAGATAATTACTTGGTTATCACATTTGTACAAGAGCTAGCAGAAGTGTAGAGTGCTCGGAAGGTGTGTCATGGGGTGTGAATGTTGCCCAGGGACCTGAGATGCTTCTGCAGAAGCCACATTTGAGAGAAGCAGTAAAGAATGAAGAGGAGTCGAGCAGAGGGGTTAAGGGAAGGGTGCTAGTCAGTGGGAGTGGCATGTGTAAAGGCTCTGGGGCAGGAAAGCTTGTGGGGAGAACAAAATCTGAGAGAAGACCATTGTAACTGGAGCCCAGAAAACCAGGGAGCATGGGTATGAGGTGAGGCTGGAGAGCTGTAAGGGACAGAGCATGTGGGGCCTTAAGGCCAAGGACATTGGGTCCCCAAGACAAGGAGCTGAAAGGCAGGGAGATCTTGGAAAGGTGTCCGCTCACCATCTCCTTCACCACCCCAGGCTTCTGACCCTGCCAAGGCCTCAGTGGGCAAATAATACAGCAGCAGGCAGAGAGGTCCTAGAATTATCACATTTTTGTCATGAAGGGGAGCTTCAGAAATCACCTACCACCAATGAGGAAACCTCTAGAGAGAACATCATAAATCACCTGCAGCCACATGGCAGGTTGGTGGCAGAACCTGGCCCAGAGCTTCATTTGCACAGTCTAGGGACCTACCGTGCCCCTCACCAGAAGTCCGAGGCTCAGTCATACGTCCCCAGCCCTGAGCACATGCATGGTGAGCACTGTAGGTGTGCATCGAATAGGTTTGGAATGAATTGGATTGTTCTGAAACACAAAGAATGTAGAAGTGGTGTCTTCCCTCTTGAAGCTCCGTCTGGATGGGGAGAGCTATAAAAAGGAGCGACAGTGGCACAGCTGATAAGGGCTGCCACGGGGATCTCTCCCCAAGCCCACTGCCTCTCAGCAGATGCCCTTAAGTCCTCCTGCAGCCTATAGTCTGCCCCTGAAGCTACTCTCAGAAAGGCCATGGTGCCCACTTGGTTGCTAAGTCTGGGGACGTGCCCAATCCTGTGCAAGTAAACACATGGACTGTCTGTTGTCCTTCTTGAGACATGGACTGTCTGTTCCTTTGCCTGCAGCAACATGGGGTTTCCTTTTTCTTTTTCTTTCTTTTTTTTTTTTTTTTGTTTGAGACAAGGTCTCACTCTGTTGCCCAGGCTGGAGTGCAGTGGTGCGATCATAGCTCACTGCAGCCCCAACCTCCCAGGCTCAAACCATCCTCTTGCCTCAGCCTCTCAAGCAGCTGGAACCACAGGCACACACCACCATGCCTGACTTTTTGTAGAGATGGGATCTCACTGTGTTACTCAGGCTGGTCTCAAACTCCTGGCCTCCAGTGATCCTCCTGCCTCAGCCTCCCAAGGCACTGAGATTACAGTATGAGTCACTGTGCCTGGCTTACATGAGTCTTCTCTACCACTCCACCCCTCCCTTCTCAGCTCCCTGTGTGCTCTGCTTGCCCTATACATGGTGATGCCCCCACTCCCAGATTGTGCCCTTGGCCCGCTTCTCTCTCCCTTCCACCATCCGTCATCCATTCCACCCTGCAGACTCAGCCACCAAGCCTGCACTGGTGTCACCCAAATCTCTAGCACCAGCTTGGAGTGCTCTCTCGCGAGTCATGTGCAAAATCTACCTGCTCAGGAGACACTTCCATGTGGATGGCTGCCAGACACCCAAAGTGCAACCCATCTGCAACAAAGCTCAAACCACCCCTGCTCCCTGTCTCTGAGCATGGCAGCCCCAGTCCCCAGAGTCCCAATCTTCTACTCCTAAATATGTCCCATCCTCCATCAGTCTCCCTCATCTGGGTGATCACAGCAGCCTCTGAATGGGTGCTCTCCTCCCCATTTAATCCTCCACCCAGCAGCCACCCCTCCCACCTATGCATACCAGCTGTGCCCACGCTGCCCCGGGACACTCCAGGTTGCTTCTTGCCTCGATACTTTTGGGCCAACAGTCTTCCTGCCTCCTTCCCTTTCCCCTGGCCAGTTCCTCCTCCTCCTCCCCCAAGCCTCAGCTCACACCTGCCCCCTACACCCTCCTCAGATCTCATGCGTGTGTCTCTCTCATCACACTTAGCTCACTGGATATGATTGTGCTTCCGTGGCCAGGCCTTCCCACTGGGCTGTGGGCTCACAGAAGTTTGCAAGTTTTATCCAGGTCATAGCCTGCATCATTACCTCATTCCTTTTTATTGTATTTATTGTATTTATTTATTTATTTTTGAGACAGAGTCTCACTCTGTCACCCAGGCTGGAGTGCAGTGGTGCAATCTTAGTTCACTGCAACCTCCACCTCCCAAGCTCAAGCAATCTTTCCATCTCAGCCTCCCAAGTAGCTGGGACTATAGGCGTGTACCACCACACTTAACTTTTGTATTGTTTGTAGAGACAAGGTCTTACCATGTTGCCCAGGCTGGTCCCGGACTGCTGAGCGCAAACAATCCTCCGGCCTCTGCCTCTCAAAGTGCTGAGATTAGAGGCGTGAGCCACCACACCTGGCCCTCATTCTTTTTTATTGTCAAATAACGTTCCATTGTATGGATACATCACATTTTGTTTATCCATGTGTCAATTGATGGACATTTGGGTTGTTTCCACTTTTTTTTTTTTTTTTTTTCCTGAGACAGAGTCTCACTCTGTCTCCCAGGCTGAAGTGCAGAGGCATGATCTTGGCTCACTGCAACCTCCACCTACCAGGTTCAAGCAATTATCTGCCTCAGCCTCCCGAGTAGCTGGGATTACAGGCGCCCGCCACCACACCCGACTAATTTTTTTTTTTTTTTTGTATTTTTAGTATCGATGGGGTTTCACCATCTTGGCCAGGCTGGTCTTGAACTCCTGACTCCGTGATCCACCTGCCTTGGCCTTCCAAAGTGCTGGGATTACAGATGTGAGCCACTGCACCCAGCCGGGTTTTTTCCACTTTTTGGCTAATATGAATAATGCTGCCATGAACACTCACGTACAAGTTTTTCTGTGGACATATCATTTCGGTCAGCTAGGGCTACCATAACAAAATACCATAGACTGGGTGGCTAAAACAACAGAAGATTTATTTCTCACAGTTTTGGAGGCTGGAAGTTCGAGTAAGGGGCCGGTACAGTCAGGTTCTGATAAGGGCTCTCTTCCCAGCTTGCGGACAGCCACCTTCTCACTATGTCCTTAAGTGGCACAAAGAGAGCGAGCTCCAGTCACTTCCATTTATTACAAGGACACTAATCTCACCTTTATGGTCTCACATGAACCTAATCACCTGCCAAAGGCCCCACCTCGATGCCATCACATTGAGGGTTAGGGCTTCAACATATTAATGGGGTGGGAGGCACAAACACTCAGTCTATGACTCATGTTTTATTAATTATTTTCCAGGAGTTTGCTGGATTAAATTGCTGGAATAAAAGGTAACTCTACCTTTAACCTTTTGAGGAACCATCAAATTGTTTTCTATAGCTGCACAATCTCCCACCAGCTATGTTTGAGGGTTTCTGTTCCCTCTCGCCTTCTGCAACAATTGTTTTGGGTCTTCATTCCCTCCAACCCCTGGCCCTCCCAGCCTTCCCTCTCTCAACAGGTGACCCACCTCCACCTCCCGGAATGGTGGACACACTTAACATCCCATCACAAAGCTCAGCCCTCCCTCACCACGGCCTCACTGGCCTCCTTTCCTCGGTACCTCAGAGCAGACATTTCTCCAGGGTACAGCTCATCTGTTTTTTCAGGAAATATCCATGATCACTGGCCCCTCTTCTTGCTATTTAGCTGCTGTCTCAGGTTGAATGTCCCAGGAAACAGAGACGTTGGCAGGGGGCTTGCTGGGCGTGATCTCGGGACCAATGCCTGAGGGGTGGAGCCAGCAGGAGTGGCTGAGGGAGAAGCTGAGCTGGGGCACAGCCCCTTCTAAGGCCTCAGCCACCCCATGGGAAGCCCTGGAGCTGGGACAGCCTCAGTCTTGTGTCCCATTATGGCCAGGGGGCCAGGCCACTGGATATGGGCTGCCTTGTAAGGTGGGAGAAGGGAGGGCATGGATTTGGGCAGAGCAGCTCTCTTCAGCCCAGGACACATCCTGGAGAGAGGCTCAGATGAGTGCTATTGGCTGCTGACCCTCCCTGTCCTTTGGGAAATCATCGCTCAGTGCTGGAAGAGGGCATCTGAGCAGCACCCATGGTATCCACTGCATCATACTGGCCACTTCCCCTTGCCACGGGAACACGCTGAAGTGCCTCTCTCTGAAACCCCCTACAACCCCACGTCTCTCTGCAGCTGCCACCATCCTCCTCCTCCTCCCCTTTGCAGCCAAACTTCTCAGAAGTCATCTAAACTCACGGTATCCATCCGCTTCTCTTGTTCGCTTCTCAACCCCACCCCCCGCCCACATCACACCACTGAGTTTCTTCCCCTAAACTCACTGATGATTTCCCATTGATAGCTGCTGGATATTTGGGGGTCTGTGTATTAATTGCCTTTTTAGTGGCACCCTATCCTCTGCTGACCACCCCATTCTTGGAAATGTTCCCTTTCTCTTGGCTTGCAGATTCCCCTCATTTTCCTCCCACCTCGGGCCATGTGTCTCATTCTCTGCTGCACAGCCAGTACAAGCAGAGTCCTTGGGGTCCACCCCTCCTCTGCTGTCCTCCCTCCCTGGATGAGACTGGCTACACCCACAGCATCAGTGACTCACTGATCCATAGTGCCTGGCCTGACTGCTCTCTAAGCTCCCAATCCTGGTGTCCTCTGACAACCTGACATCTGCTCTGGGACGGTCCTCAGCCCAAGACTGGATTTGTGATTTTCCCCAAACCTTGTACTCCTCCAGGGTTTTACCTGTCCCAGGCAAAGGGTCCATCATCCCCCGAGTCAGGTGAGCCAGAAACCTGGGAATGTGGCCTGCTCCCTCCATCTCATCTGTCTCTCCTGCCTCCATGCCCGATCTGTATCTGTTAGTCCTTCCTGTCTGATCCACCCCTCTCCATCACTAGGGCCCCTTCCTGGTCTAAGGGGTTAATATCTCCGGCCTGGACCCTGCAGCAGCTCCCAGCCCCCTTCCCCATCCCGCGTCCTCATTGCCCCCACTGCATCCAGCCTCATTTCAAAACACATGTCTGATTAAGTTATCACCCTGCCTAAAAACCTTTCCTCTCATCTAAGGAAAAGACCAAGCTTCAGCATGGCCTGCCTTCTCTCGTGAACCAGTGTGAGGCAGTGGCTCAGAGCATGGGCTCTGGAGTCAGGCTCCCTGGATTCAAATGTGAGCTCCACATTGCCCTTGCCAGATGCTTCTGGATAACTGACTCATTCCTTTGTGCCCCAGTTTTTTCACCTGGAGAATGGGGATGCAATAGCAGCAGGTGGTTGTGAAGATGCCATGAGACAATACTCACAAGGCTCTGAGAACACAGTCTGGCTGCAGTGAACACTTGCTCGGTCCTGTGCCTTACATGCTCTTTGGTTTCTGGACTGCAGCTACACTGGCCTCCCATCGATTTCACAAATGTTTCACACTCCCTCTGCCCCAGGACCTTTGCATGTGCTGTGTTCTCTTTGTAGTTCTCTTCTCCCTTTACTTAGTCATCTTTTAGCACTGTGCTCAGGTAACTTCCTTGGGCAGCTCCTTCCAATGCCCAGCTAGGTCAGCGTTGTTTGCTACACATCATCAAAGACCCATATGCTTCTCTTATCTAAATTTGTCATTTTACCCTCATATATCATGATTATTTATTGCTGTCTGGACTTCCCTGCCATGATACTATAAGCCCAGAATGGTGGGGACTCTGTCGTTGCTCACCATCGTATGCACAGTGCCTGGCACATAAAAGGTGTTTAAGAGGCCACGTGCGGTGGCTCATGCCTGTAATCCCAGCACTTTGGGAGGCCGAGGCAGGCGGATCACGAGGTCAGGACATCGAGACCATCCTGGCTAACACGGTGAAACCCTGTCTCTATAAAAATACAAAAAATTAGCTGGGCATGGTGGCAGGCGCCTGTAGTTCTAGCTACTCGGGAGGCTGAGGCAGGAGAATGGCGTGAACCCAGGAGGCGGAGCTTGCAGAGAGCCAAAATCGCACCACTGCACTCCAGCCTGGGCGGCAGAGCAAGACTCCGTCAAAAAAAAAAAAAAAAAGGTGTTTAAAAGATACCCATTAATGAGCTGATACACGAAAAGGAAGACAGCTGGAGTTCAATCCCTAGCTCTGCCATTTCCTATAAAGTGATCTTGGGCAAGTGGTTCACTTCAGTGTGCTCATCTGTAAAGTTAGGAATTCACGCCTACCTCAGAAACTTCTCACCATTATAAAATGACATGTGCAACACGCACGGCCCAGCACCTGGTGGTGGAACATTTGCACCTGGAACATTTGCAAAGTCTTGATAGTCTTTGTTCCTCAGGCCCAAGGATAGTCCTGGGTCCTGGGGTGAGACAGCCTCTGCGGTGGGACAAGACGTGGAAGGGCTGTAGAGGAGCCCCTGGGGTGCAGCCAGATCGCCTGGTGGACAGTAGAGCACATTGAGCCAGTGACTCTTTGGTTTTCAGAGCACTGGAGCCGTCCTTTTTCAAGTCTTCAGTCCAGCAGTGTTGTAGGGAAAGGTACTTTTGTCTGGCTTGGGCAAGAGCATCAGAAGCAGATGACTGTCTCCTCAGGCCAGTACAGGAGGGGACCCACTGGTATCAACAAGAGAGGCCCTGCCGGGTAGAACTGGAGCTGTGAGTGAGGTACAGCCCCCTGTGTCCTCCAAGAGTGGATATTCTTGTTTCGTTGCCAGTCTCAGAGCAGGGCTTGGTATATTAAGAGAGATGGCAAATGTCATTCCAGAAGAAAGGGCCAGCCCATGAAGGGCTCTGTGCCCTGCTGGGAGAATGGACTTCATCCTTTATGGCCCAGTGGGTGCCACTAGGTGATGACCAGGTGGACAATATGGCCAGAGATGCTTTTCCGTTTTTATAAACTTTTTATTTTGAAAGAATTATTGACTTACAAGAAGTTACATAAATAGTACAGACAGGCCTGGTGCAGCCAGCACCTGGCTTCCCCTGGTGGTGCCGTCTTACGTAACCATTGTGCCTTATCAAAACCAGGAAAGCGATGTAACTAACTATAGACCTTGCTTGATTTCACCATTCTTTGCATGCACTCATTTTTGTTTGTCTTTGTGTATAATTCCATGACATTTTATCACATGCATAGATTCATGTATAGCCAGCACTGCAGCAACCAAGATACAGAATGTTCCATCATCTCAAAAGAAACTTCTTATGCTTCCCTTTCCACTGACATCCTCCCGCTCCTTCCCTAATCCCTGGCAACCTTGTCTTTATCCATCTCTATAATTTGCTTCTTTTGAGAATGTTAATGGATGGAAATATACAGTATGCAACCTTGCAAGGCTGGCTTTTTGCACTCTGCATAATGCCCTTAGGATCCATTCAAGTCATTGTTGGGTATCAATAGTTCATTACTTGTTACTCCTGAGTGGTATCCTACAAATATGCTTTTAAAGAGATTTTCCCAGCTGTGGCTGAAGGAGGGAGGGAGGGGACCAATTAGGAAGCTGCTGGTGTTCAAGGAAATATCACAAGACTTCCGTCCTGGCCCAGGCCCCACACCACCTCTCTGCAGCCTGGAATTGGCCCTAGAAGTGTTCAGGCTGGACCTCACTTCAGACAGGGTTGAAGCGTGAGGGCTTGGGAGTCTTGAAGCTGAACTGCCAGTAGGGGGCGCCAGAGGCCTTTTGCCCAAGGGGCGATTCCGAGGCGGGAACAGCAGGGAGTGTTAGAGGGAGTTTTGGGCTGCTATGCATGGGGCCAAGAGAATCCTGAAGTCTTCGCCCTCTCTTGACCCCAGCCCCCATGTTTCCGGCCAATCCTGAGCTTCGAGGCTGGGGGATGAGGCTGATGACATGTAGTCGAGGAGAAGGTGAGGTGAGGCTTGGACCAGGAAGAGGAGGTCTGGGGTCAGGCAGAGGGAGGTCCCTGTGGGCCTGGGGTTCCCCATCAGAGGGCGGATCTGGGCTCAGGCCACCGGGCCGGGCATTGGCACCTCTGCCTCACCCATCCTTCCCATCCTCAGCAACCAAGGATTCTCCCAAGAGAAGTCTCCCCAGACCCTGGAGCGTGTGCTAGCCCCTCTTTGCTCCCACGCTCTATACCTGGCTCTTGCCTCCCTGCAAGATGCCTTTCCAGATGCCCCACCGCCCCCCACTCAGTGCCTTACCCAGCATGCTGTGGGCTGCGTGGATCCCGCACTTGTGCAGGGCGCAGAGTGGGCGCTTACTGAGCTCTGGCACCTGCTAAGTGCTGAGGAGCCAGGAAGAGGTGCTCTGTCCCCAGTATCCCAGGGGCCTTGGCATTCAGCCGCCTCTGACTCCTGTCTGCTTGGTGGAACATTCCTGAGCAGCAGGTACTCTCCTCAAAACCCGCACGGGTCCTCCATGCCCTTCAGAGCTCAGCTCACTCTCCCTGTGCGATCTTTGCCCCGTCCTCGGCTCCTTGTCCTCTGGCTGACTCTCTCCGCTCTCACGCCAATGCCCAGCCTCCCGGGATGCCTCTGCTGTCCGTGCAAGCCATGTGGGTCTCGCCGCCACGCCCTCGCCCCCATTCTCTGCCTCCTGCCCCACCACCACGAAGCCTTCCCCAGGGCCTTGCATATATCAGGCTTAAAAAATGTGAGCCCCCATCATCTGTGCCCCCACAATGCATGGGCATGTGGACTTCGTAATAGAATCTCCTTCATGTGGCCTGGTCTCGTCACTGGCACACAACACACCTGTCACCTCCAGAGGCTTCTCATTCATTTCTGATCACCCAGAGCTTGGCACACAGAAGGGGTCAAGTGAAGTTAGATTGAATAAATGCATGAATGTGCCAGTTGTCATATCTTTGAAGCCTCCTCCTGTGACTGGTTGCCCCTCTGATTGCTCCTTGGTGGTTTTCCTTGTGGGCACTCGTTCCCCTGTGGCCTGTAAATGCTGGCAGGCCGCCCTCTCCTCTGCTCAGCTCACTCTGCCCCCTCCCTAGGCAAGCTCACCCATCCAGCCAGCTGTAACTGCTGCCCTTCTGCTGCCAGGCCCCAAATCCATTCCACAGCCTGGAGCCCTGAGCCCCAGGCATACCTCCCACCACTTCCTCTTTATTTGCTTGTCTTTATCTGTCCTTCCCCCATCTGTCTTTCCCACAAACGTTAAGCTCCATTACAGCAGGAATTTTGTCTGTCTGATGGACAGCTGCATGCCTGGTGCCAGCACATGTTCGGTAAATATGAATGAATGAATGAACGAATGAATGAATGAATGAATGAATCTCCCTCTGAGGTCATGTAAACACTTCCAATTCAATGTATCCCAGATTGATTTTGTCATCTCCTCTCTCCCCATAATTTCCTTCTCCTGTCTTTGCTACCTCTCTCCTCCCAGTCCCCCAGTTTAGAAATCCCAGTGTTGGCTGGGCACGGTGGCTCACGCCTGTAATCCCAGCACTTTGGGAGGCCGAGGCAGGTGGATCATGAGGTCAGGAGATCGAGACCATCCTGGCTAACACGATGAAACCCCGTCTCTACTAAAAATACAAAAAATTAGCCGGGAGTGGTGGCGGGCACCTGTAGTCCCAGCTACTCAGGAGGTTGAGGCAGGAGAATGGTGTGAACCTGGGAGGTGGAGCTTGCAGTGAGCGGAGATCGTGCCACTGCACTCCAGCCTGGGTGACAGAGTGAGACTCCAACTCAAAAAAAAAAAAAAAAAAAGAAATCCCAGTGTCACTTAACACATCAACCCATCAACCAGTCACTGCTTTCCCAGATTCTACCTCCAATCTTTCCCACCCCACGCCACCCCAGCCCCTGGCTCACTCCTGGCTTAGACCCTCCCCGTTTGCCACCTGGATCTCCTCAACTGCTCCTCCCTCAGGCTCCCCTCCTCCGCCTTTGCTTCTGTGCTCATTGCCACTTGATTTCTCTAAAACACCACTCTTATTATGTCAACCCCTGCTTACCAACCTCATTGCATCCACATCCCATACAGTTGTGTTTCCCTAAGTGGAGGACTCACAAAGTGAGTGGCATATGGCATGATTCTAGGAGGTTCAAGGACCCCCATACCATGTACCAAAGGTGCACTGCAGTGATCTTTAGTAGTTGCAAAATGAGGAACTTGTTTCTTCTCTAACTCTGTCCAGCCTTTTGAGTACACCAAGGAGAGTCTCCCTGTTATCCTTCACATCTGTTTTTCTCTTGCTAATCTCTCGTTTTTGCAGGGATCAGGATCCCAGCCACAGCCACCAGCAGCAAGATATCAAGCTAGAATGGAAAGATAACATGGTCTTAATTTTATTTATTTTACAGTTACCTACTATATGTGACATGTGATATTGGGTCTTTAGTTATGGTAGTAATGTTCCATAAAATAAATTTATTTGGGAGACAATATTGCAAATTGCATATCTATCAAAGAAATAACATCCCAAATATATCAAGAACTCTTGGCGGGGTGCGGTGGCTCAGCACTTTGGGAGGCTGAGGCTGATGGATCACTTGAGGCCAGGAGTTCGAGACTAGGCTGGCCAACATGGCAAAACCTGTCTCTACTAAAAATGCAAAAATTAGCTGGGCATGGTGGTGTACGCCTGTAATTCCAGCTACTCAGGAAGCTGAGGCATGAGAATCACTTGAGCCCAGGAGGCGAAGGTTGCAGTGAGCCAAGATTGCACCACTGTACTCCAGCCTGGGTGACAGAGTGAAACCCTGTCTCAAAAAAAAAAAACAAAAAAAAACTCTTACTTATCAATTTAAAAAATCAATAGAAATAAAAATGGGCAAAGGCCTTAAAACTTAACAAAAGAGGATATGTGAGTGGCCAATAAACATGAAAAGTGATCAATTTCATTAGTCTCAGAGATATGCAAAACCACAGCATGATATCACTATACACCCACAGGGCTAAAGCGAAAAAGACAGTATCGAATGTTGGCAGGGGTGTGGAACAATTGGAAGTCTGATTTACTTCCAGTGAAGATATAAACTGTAACAACTACGTTGGAAACTGGCCATATCTGCTGAAGCTAAACATATCTACACTACCCTATGACCCAGGAATTCAATGCCTAGGTATAATTCCAGCAGAAATGAGTACATGGCATTTACCAAAGTCATGCACAAGCATGTTCATAGCAGCTTTATTCATCACAGCCAAAAATGAAAAATAACCTGTATGTTCATCAGTAGAATGGGTAACGTGGTATATTCACATAATAGAATTCTGTATCAAGTGAAAATGAATTAAGCCACACAAATGCTGAGCAAAAGAAGCCAGGCACAAAAAAGAGCAGTTGTTATGGTTCCATTTATATAAAACTCAAAAGCAGGCAAAATTAATCTATGCTGTTAAAGCTTGGAGAGTGGTTACCCTGTGGAGTTGTTCATTGGAGGGGGCTGCTGAAGACTCATAATATTCTGTTTTGGACCTGGGTGAAAAATTATTGTGTTCTTACACAAATGAAAAGTGATTGATTTGTGTACTCTTTCATATGTACATTATGCATCAATAAAAAATTATTTAAATTTTTTTTTGAGACAGAGTCTTTCTCTGTGGCCCAGGCTGGAGTGCAGTGGTGCTATCACAGCTCACTGCAGCCTTGACCTCCTGAGTTCAGGCGATCCTCGACCTCCTGAGCTCAGGTGATCCTCCTGGCTCAGCCTCCTATGTAGCTGGGACCAGAGGTGCACATCACCACACCCGGCAAATTATTTGATTCTGTGTAGAGACAGGAGTCTCACTTTGTTGCCCAGGCTGGTCTTGAACTCCTGGCCTCAAGTGATCCTCCCGCCTCGGCCTCCCAAATTTCTGGGTTTGCCACGGTGGTAAGCCACCGTGATCAACCAAAATTACTTAAATTTTGGGTTTTTGTTTGTTTGCTTTTTGTTTTTTAACGTGAAACATTTAAAGACAAACATTAAGAAAATGATGCCGGGCGTGGTGGCTCACGCCTGTAATCTCAGCACTCTGGAAGGCCAAGGCAGGCGGATCATCCGAGGTCAGGAGTTCAAGACCAGGCTGCCCAACATGGAGAAACCCTGTCTCTATTAAAAATACAAAAAAAATAGCCAGGCGTGGTGGCAGGTGCCTATAATCCCAGCTACTTGAGAGGTTGAGGCAGGAGAATCGCTTGAAACAGCAAGGCGGAGGTTGCAGTGAGCCGAGATTGCGTCACTGCACTCCAGCCCGGAGCAACAAGAATGAAACTCCGTCTCAAAACAAAAAAAAAGAAAGAAAGAAAATGAAAGTTCTAGGCTCTGACAGCTTTAACTTGAAGGTACAGTGCAAATAGCAGGTATTTGGAGGAACTTTGCCTTGGATCAAGTCCAAATTGCCATGCCTGGCTTAGAGGTCCTGCATCATATTATAAAGACAGTTCCGCATGGTAGTTGAGAGCACAGATTTGGGAAAGGGGAGCTTAAAAAAAAAGAACACAGATTTGTGAAGTTGACAAACTTGACTTTGAATCTGAGCTGTGCCACTGGCTGTGGCACTCTAAGCAAGTTACCCAGACTCTCTGAGCATCAGCTTCCTTACCTATAAATCACCTTAGAGAATGATGGACTTGCTAAGTCGGGGGATGAAGAGGCCCAGCACTAAACACACTGCGTGAGTGGGATAGCTGCCTGCTGCTCCCTGAACCAGCCCTGCTGTTTCACACACACCTCCTTGCACCCCCAGGTGTTTGCACATGCCGTTCCTCTGTAATGCCTTTCCACCTGGCGATCACACTGCTCATCCTTCCATGTCTAGCTCAAGCGCCTCGTCCCATGTGATGCCAGCCCCAGATGGGGGCTGCATCACTCTTTCTGCATCATTCCACCCATGACATGTGCACGTCCGACGCTAATTATATCCTGTTTGGGCTATTTATATGGTTTGCCATTCCTGTAGCTGTTGGCACCATACTCGGCTCCTAGGAGGAGGCTTTCAGTACCTCCTTACTAGACAAATGAAAGAATGGACAACTCGTCAAATGATTCTAATTTCCCTGCAGCTTCCTGGCAGGGAGGGCCTGGTTCCTTTTGCGTGCTCATAAGAACATCAGACGTGCAGCCGTGTGTTTAGGGACCTTATCCATCTTATGGAGAACTGGCACCACAAGATGTGTTGTGGGTGAGTGGTTATCACCATGACGTCAGCCTCAAAGGTTAGGGATGTCCCCAAGTCATTCCAGTTCCCTTTAGCACCCTATATGGATAGGTCACCCATAAGAGCACCTCCAACTTCTACTTCATTGCAGAAGGGTAACAGGTTCCCTAAGCCAGGCACTTGCTGCATAAGAAAGGGATGCTTTTATTTTTTTTGAGATGGAGTCTTGTTCTGTCACCATGGCTGGAGTGTAGTTGTGCCATCTCGGCTCACTGAAACCTCCAGTTTCCAGGTTCAAGCCATTCTCCTGCCTCAGCCTCCCGAACAGTTGGGACCACAGGTGTGCACCACCACACCCAGCAATTTTTGTATTTTTAGTAGAGATGGGGTTTCATCATATTGGCCAGGCTGGTCTTGAACTCCTGACCTCAAGTGATTCGCCCGCCTTGGCCTCCCAAAGTGCTGGGATTACAGGCTTGAGCCACCACACTCGGCGCTTTATTTTAAACTTTTATAAGTAATCAGCAGGTGCAGGGGGAAGAAAGGGGCACCTTGTTTTGATATGACTTTGCGTGTGACTGAGTTCACAGTTCCCTTTGTGGTTTGATAAATTGGGCCATATTCCTTTAACAAGAAAATTGCCATAGAACCCCTTTGAAACCTGTGCTGCCCTCCAAGATCTGGCGAGACAATGAGCATCTCACTTCACCCCGCTCCCCTGCACTCCTTGCTCTCCCCAAATATGCAGGCACTTACACAGCCCCTGGCTGTGGCCATGCCCGTCCCTCAGCCCCACCTTTTCCACCGGTGGAAGTCAACCCACAGGTACAGTTACCACCAAGTGCTGGCCTTGTGCTGGTCAGAATAAGATGGAAACGGCAAGAACCCTGTCTTCTTATCTCCCACGCGGAGTCAGATACAGAGAGAAATTCACAGTACAGGATGGTGCGTGTCGTGGGGGAGGGGCATAGGGCCTGAGGGAGACCAGAGATTTGGGGACAAGGGTAGGGAAGGCTTCCTGGAGGAGGTTGACGTTTTGATTTCTGGTGAGTTTGCTCTGTCCCACTAGAATGTGAGCTGCATGAGGGCAGGGCCCTCCATCTTGTCCTCAGCTGTTTCCCCAATTATGAATGCTCAGGACCATGGTGAACATACAGTAGCTGTTTAATCAACAACTGCAAAGGAATCAGGCAATTGCTGAGCTAGCTTGGGAGGGCTCCGTGAAAGCTGGCCCTTCTGAAGGCATTCTAGGATGGAGGTCCTTGGTGAGCAGAGGCCTGGCACAGGGAACCAGCAGGATGTGTGAGGGGGATGGGATGCAGTTGGAGTAGACAGTCGGAGGATGGAGTGCCCAGCAGGCAGGGCAGGGCCGGGCAGTGGGAGCCCTCACCCTCCCTCACCCCCTTCCTATTCTGAGACCCCACTGCCCCTGGCTCTTTGTGTACACTTCCTACACACCCTAAATCCCGCCTCGTGTGACACAAGTTCATTTATCAGCACTTATTTAGCACTTACTGTGTGTCAGGTGTGGTGCCAGGGCAAAACACCTACCATGTGCAGCATGAGGCAGTTTCCAGAGTGATTTTCCATCCAGTACCAGCATCCCTAGAGAAAGGGATCCATCCATCCACACATCCCTTTATTTGTGCAATCATTGACAGGCAGGGAACACGGCAGGTACAAAGGTCCTGGGTGGGACAGTGCTCAGGCACTGGAGGAGGAGAGGAAGGTGGTCGGTGTCTACGGAGAATGGGAATGTTTGATGGGGGTGAAGTGGGAAGTGGAAGGTTTGAGGTAGGAGCCAGCAGCCAGACTGGGAAAGGCTTGTAGACATCTGGATTAATTCTGCAGTGAGATGCAAATCCACAGAAAGCCTCTACAAAGGTGAGGGATGCATTCTGGTTGACATTTTAACAAGATCATGGGGCCAAGCTAGAGTTAGAGGATGCAGAAAGACTGGCATTAGCTTAGGGTCTATGTAGGAGGTAAAACTGTGGAACCAACTGCGGAAGCCATTATTTCTCTTCCAAACCGCTTTCTCCCCATCATTTCAGAAAATGGTACTACTAGAACTCTATTGCCCCAGCCAGAAATTTCTAATTTCTGCATCCCTTCTCTCTTTCACCTCTTACATTCGATCAGCTCTGACAGTGTCCGGCAAGAAAGTGGAACAGCTTCCAGGCAGTGCCATGCGTGCATTTCAGGTTAATGTGCACCATCAGGCAGCCTGGCTATGAGATAGGCTCAGCAACTTCGGCTTCCCTGGTGCAGCCGGGGGAAAAGTGCACAGTTGGCTTTGCCACAGTGAGGTTCTGCCAGCTGAAGACGACAAGGGGAGCAAGAAACAAGAGCTGGGGCTGTTGCAAGACAATAATCAACATGGTAGACCAGGGACCCCAAGGTGGAAAAGGAGGGAAAGAAGGGGGGGTTGGATGGCCGGAGAGAAAGTAGAACTTTAGAAGGAACCTGCCCCAGAGAAAGAGAACTGGAAGGATAAGAGGTGTGGTCAGGGTAAAAATTCAGGGATGGTGCTGTGAGAAAAGAGGACAAGGTGTAGGATGTGACGGTGGGAGTGGACAGCTGGGTGCAGTGGAGAAAGTAATGTCTGGAGGCGAGGAGGTCAGGATGCAGACGAGGCACCGTGTGGATGTTAGAGTCATTTTGAATGAGGCTGGGTGGACCACAGGCAGTGAGCCAGGAGCTAAAGGTGCCCCAGTGAGGGGGAGTGGCTGGGAGGTGGGGGGCACCAGCACTGGCAGGGGCATGGGTGGTTGGTGTGTTCAGAGGAACCGAGGGGCTGGGCGAGGTGGCTTACACCTGTAATCCAGGCACTTTGAGAGGCGGAGGTGGAAAGATCCCTTGAGGCAGAAGTTGAAGACCAGCCTTAGCAACATAGTAAGAACCCCGTCTCTACACATGGTTTAAAAATTAGCTGTAGCCGGGCGTGGTGGCTCCCGCCTGTAATCCCAGCACTTTGGGAGGCTGAGGCGGGCGGATCACGAGATTAGGAGATCAGGACCATCCTGGCTAACACGGTGAAACCCTGTCTCTACTAAGAATACAAAAATTAGCCAGGCATGGTGACACACGCCTGTAGTCCCAGCTACTCGGGAGGCTGAGGCAGGAGAATCGCTTGAATCCGGGAGGTGGAGGTTGCAGTGAGCCAAGATTGTACCATTGCACGCCAGCCTGGGCGACACGGCGAGACTCCACCTCAAGAAAAAAATTAGGTGAGTCTGGTGGCATGTGCCTGTAGTCCTAGCTATGCAGGAGGCTGAGGTAGGAGGATTGCTTGAGCCCAGGAGTTCAAGGCTGCAGTGAGCTTTGATCACCCCACTGCACTCCAGCCTGGGTGACAGAACAAGACCCTGCCTCTAAAAAAAAAAAAAAAAAAAAAGCAGCAGCAGCCAAGGGTTGAAGGAAGAAGGGTTTGGAATTGGCCTACCTCCACGTCCTGGCAACGAGGTGCTTCCTCTGAACAGGGCTGCTGGGACGCTTCCCCCCAGGGCCAGGAGTGAGAGGTGGGGGTAAGATAAGGATGTGGGGATGGTGGGAGGATAACACTGGAGGGAGGGAGGGTCCCAAGGAGGGTGCAAAGTTAACTAGCTGTTAGCAGAGGCTAGCTTTTCTAGGACGGCCTTTAACCCCTAAACTGCTCAAATTGAGTTTTGCCTAGGTCTTTCCAGGCCAACAACACTAGTCTCCCCCAGTTCACTCCCTTCCTCTACACTCTGGGGCAGAGCCAGGTGTAAACAGCTGAAAGGCACAGGGGGCAGGCCCCATCCCTTCAGCCCTGCTCCTTTGTAGATAATCTCTGCAGGCACCAGAGAGGTGCCACCTAACGGCACAGAAACTGCTCTTCAACCGTCAGGAGGGTTGGGGGAGCCTGGGGCTCTGTATTAGCCACCAGGACCCCCTCATTCTCTGCTCTGTTTGAAGAGAAAGCAGGTGCCTCCCAGAGGGCCACCGCTACCTTGTCTGTGTGTGCAGGTGGGGCCTGTTTAACGTCAGCATTTCCTTTGTCCTGATAGGCTCAGCATGAGATTCCTACCTTCTGGGCAGGAAATGGGAAGACATTGGCTGTGTGATCCATCGTCTTGGCTTTTTCTTTTTCTTTTCCTTTCCTGTCCTTTCTTTCCTTCCTTTCTTTCTTTCTTTCATCAGGTGATCTCAATGGACGCTCTGAACAACTCATTGTCCATTCTCCAGCGCTGGGCAGGAGGGGGGATAGACCCTGGGATAAAGGGGATGAAGCCTGGTCCTGAAACTCCAGGATTTCAACAAGTGATCAGTGGGCCAGAGCTGGAATTGGAGTACAAACAGGGAGGGAGTATGGGATCTCTAAGGAAGCTCACAGGTTTTGTGTCTTCATGGAGTCTGGGCCAGGGGCAACAGGAAGCCTGGATTTGTCTTTCCAGATGGAGGGACTCGCCTAGTGGCCCTGTGACAACTGAGAAAGGCAACACTCCCAGCAATCCCCATCTGAGCATTAGCAACGTATTAGGTCACCCTTTCCAGTGACCTCACCACACCCCTGATGGGTAGGCAGTGCCACAGCTTCCATTTCACAGAGGAGAGAGCAGTGCCCAGTCTACAGCTGGTTTTGGCCCCACAGTAGTGGGCACGTTATGCATCCATTCACTTATGCATTCAAGGAATGTTTATTAAGCACCTATTATGTGCTAGGCACTGTTGTAGGCATTGAGGATGCAGCAGATTACAATGCAAAGAAACCTCCCTGCCTTCATGGAGCTCACACTCTAATGGGGGGGGATAGGGGAGAGAGCTAAATAGTAAAAAGAGCTGACGTGGTTTAACATCACAGACCACCAGGCGCAGTGGCTCTCGCCTGTAATCCCAGCACTTTGGGAGGCTGAGGCAAGAGGATCACTTGAGTTCAGAAGTTCAAGACCAGCCTGGGTAACATAGTGAGACACCCCCCAATCTCTACAAAAAAAATTTAAAAAATTAGCTGGATATGGTTACATACACCTGTAGTCCCAGCAACTCCAGAGGCTGAGATGGGAGGATCGCTTGAGCCCAGGAGTTCCAGGCTGCAGTGAGCTGTGATCCTGCTACTGCACTCTAGCCTGGGTAACAGAACAAGACCCTGTCTCAAAATAAATATAAATAGGCCAGGCACAGTGGCTCACCCCTATAACCCCAGCACTTTGGGAGGCCAAGGTGGGCAGATCACTTGAAGTCAGGAGTTCAAGGCCAGCCTGGCCAAAGTAGCAAAACCCCATCTCTCAAAAGTACAAAAATTAGCCAGTCGTGGTGGTGCACACCTGTAATCCCAGCTACTCAGGAGGCTGAGGCAGGAGAATTGCTTGAACCCAGGAGGCAGGGGTTGCAGTGAGCCGAGATCGTACCACTGCACTCCAGCCTGGGCAACAGAGCGAGACTGTCTCAAAAAACAAAAACGAAAACAACAACAAAAAGAAAAATCAATCAATAAATAATATAAATGAATAAATAAATAAATGTCTTCCTAAAATGAAATATCTAAAGATACTGACTAAAATAGAAATACAACTCCCATGTAACTGCCAAATCCACAAAATAAATAAATAAGATGACTCCACAAATGCTGACCGCCCTGAGGGAGTCTGAGGGCTTATAAAAAGCAAAGGGTTTGGGATTGAAGAGCCAGAGAGACCCAGGAGAAAAGGTCTTGTGCCGGCTTTGAGGAGAAAAGACACAGACTTCAGTTTCTTTTCTTTTTTTTTTTTTTTTTTGAGACGAAGTCTCACTGTTACCCAGGCTGGAGTAGAATGGCGTGATCTTGGCTCACTGCAATCTCCGCCTCCCAGGTTCAAGTGATTCTCCTACCTCAGCCTCCCAAGTAGCTGGGATTACAGGCACACGCTACCACACCCAGCTGGTTTTTGTATTTTTAGTTGAGATGGGGTTTCGACATGTTGGCCAGGCTGGTCTCAAACTCCTGACCTCAAGTGATCTGCCCGCCTCGGCCTCCCAAAGTGCTGGGATTACAGGAGTGAGCACTGTGCCTGGCCAGACTTCAGTTCTTGACGGGAGGAGTGCCAGATAATTTGCAGACATTTAGAACTGCCAAACAGCTAGGAGTGGTGGCATCAGAAGGTGAACGTGGGGTGTCTGATGACAAAGTCTACACACTAGGACTCCACACGCTGCCAGGCTGCAGGGAAAGAGAGGAGAGGGTCTCTGCTAAGGCGGTGGATGTGTGGATGGGGATGGAACAGAGAGGAGACATGCTGGGAAGGTCAAAGTGTTGTCCTATCTGGCATGGACACCCCAGCTTGCGCAGGCAGAGGCTGGGGAACTGCTGGGTTGGAAGGGGGGCTCTATGGGCTGGAGAGGTACATGCTCAGGAGGCCCCTTCTCCCCTGCTGGGGGCCTGGATCAGTCCCTGGGGCCAGGGAGAAGGGAGAAGGAGGGTCCTGCATTCAGTGAGCCGGGCGGGGTTTTGCAAGGAGCTGGCAAGAGAGCACTGGGGATGCCGCTGCCCAGATTGTAGCCACCACAGCCCTTGGGAAGTGAAACTTGTTCAAGGCCAGCTTTCTCATTCGTTTGAGGTTGACGTTCAGTGGCTCTCCTGTTCAGGGAGGCAGACAGAGGCCTGGTGGCCCCAGCCCAGGGCCTGAAACACACTGAAACTTGCGTGGGGGATGTGGGAGAAAGGAGGCCTCCCAGATGACCCCCGCTCCCAGTGGGGATTCCCAGCTGGGTAAGGGGAGGGCTGTGAACTCCCAGGTCCTGAATTCACTGGGTCCTTCTCCTCTAACACCATACCCAGGGGGTAGGGGTGGGGGTGGGGCAGGGACTCTGGACTGGCTTTTGGTAGCCGCTGCACCAGGAAAGATTTTTGTGACTTTCATAGGTCACTTCCCTCCTGAGTACTCAGTTTTCTCATCCACCAAATGTCAGGTCAGGTGATCTTGAAGGTCCTCTGCTCTCCCAGCATCACCAGAAAGATTATTCACCTCAAGCTCTTTCTCTTAGCTCCCAAAAGCAGTCGGCTGGCCGGACGAATGCCCAGGAGGTGTTCTTAAAGATGAGGGTAGGGTCAGCCCGGATCCACCATGACCTGTCTGGGCCTCACCGCAGCTAGACCTACCACCTCCCAACTTGCTCCATTCACTAGCGAAATGGGGAGAGAATGTGGGTGGCTTGGGGTGGGCTGAGGCCTCCTTCATTTTTTTTTTTTTTTTTTTTTTGAGACGGAGTCTCACTCTGTCGCCCAGGCTGGAGTGCAATGTCACAGTCTTGGCTCACTGGAACCTCTGCCTCCCAGGTTCAAGTGATTCTCCTGTCTCAGCCTCCAGAGTAGCTGGGATTACAGGCACGCACCACCATACCCGGCTAATTTTTGTATTTTTAGTAGAGACGGAGTTTCACCATGTTGGCCAGGCTGGTCTCAAACTCCTGACCTCAAGTGATCCTCCCGCCTTGGCCTCCCAAAATGTTGGGATTACAAGCGTGAGCCACCACGCCTGGCTGGGGGTATCATTATTATGCCCCTTTATGGATGCGGGAACTGAGGCACAGAAGGGCTAGGTAACCTACCCAAGGTCACACAGCTGAAAAGTGGCCAAACCAAGGCTAGGGCCTGGGGAGCTGGAGCCCTGAGTCTGGGCTTAGTCACTTGAGATTTCTTGTCTCCCAACAACTGCCTGTAAGTGGTAGGCATTGGCTCTGTGACCCAGGAGGGGAAAGGTCGTTTGCCAAGAAGGATGATGTCTTTGGCTGTAGTGGACAAGGAGAGCTTCCCAGAGGAAGGACAGGAGAGGGAGTGGGACAGACAGGGTAGGCAGAGCCTTGTGTGCAGCCCCGTGAGGAAGACAGGAACTCGGGCTTAGACCCACTGGCTTGTTTCCGGCTGTGACTTGACCTCTCTGAGCCCGGGCTGCTCTGTAAAATGGGTATAACACAGACCCACAGTTTCTTACTTAAAACCTTGGGGCCAGATGTGCTTTGGAATTCAGAATTCTTTAGATTTTAGAAACAATTTGGTGCGTGTATAGAATGGCACCCTCAGGGTACCTGGGACCGCATTCTTGTAATCAAACATGTACTTTTTTTTTCTTTTTCTTTTTTTTTCCATCAGCAAACATGTAAGTATTCACGTGCAGCCAGATAAGTGAAACTGCAACTTAATCTCAGGTTGGTTCAGGTCAGATTTCGCCATCCTGTAAGCTCGGTTTTCAGGCATTTGGGGAATCTGGAATTGAGGAGAGGAGAACGTGGTTCCTTAGGAGATCAGGCCTGAGAATCCCCGCACAGAGAGAGAGGGCGCTTCCTCCGCAGGCTTCCCTGCCTGCTGGGGGCCAGGGAGGAGACCAGCTTGTTGGAAGCGGAGACGTCTAAGGAGTTTCCAAATAGGAAAACCAGCGGCTGCAGGCCTCAGGACGTGGCCGGGCGAGCCGCAGCCTCATCCCGCGAGCGGGCGTTCCTGAGCTGCCTGCACCGTGAGTCACCCGGACGGCCGCGGGCAGCGCGCAGGAATGCGGCCTCGCCAATCGGCGGGGAGCGGGTGGGCGGCGGGCAGGCGAGGGCACCTCCGGGCTGAGCCGCTGCGCGTGACTCAGCAGGGACCCCCTGCGCGGGCGAGCCGGCTGCTGCCCTGCGGGGGACCCACCCGCTGGGACCTTGGTAGGGGATATGGGAAGAAACTGTACACCTTCCATTTGTATTTATTTGTATTTCTTCCTTTTACGTTTAAATTTATTTTCAAATAGGTAGTACCTTCATATGCTTTAAAAATGTAAAGCGGCCGGGAGCGGTGCCTCACACGCCTGTAACCCCGGCACGCTGGGAGGCTGAGGCAGGAGGATTGCCTGAGACCAGGAGTTGGAGGGCAGTCTGGGCGACAGAGGGAGACCCCCCGTCTCGACAAATAAAATAAAATAAAGATATAAAGATCTGGAAGAGATATTTGTACACCCATGTTCATAGCAGCATTATTCACATTGGCCAAAAGGTGGAAGCAACCCAAATATCTATGGAGAGATGAATGGATAAACAAAATGTGGCCCACGCATATATTATTCAGCCTTAAAAGGGAAGGCGCTTCTGTCACATGCTACAACATGGGTGAACCTTGAGGACATTGTGCTCCGTGAAATCAGCTTGTCACAGAAATACGAATACTGTGTGATTCCACTATATGAGGTGTCTGGAGCAGGCTTCTTCACAGAGAAACGGGGGTGCCAGGAACCTAGGGAGAGGGGAAGTGGAGTTCTTTTACGGGTACAGAGTTTCAGTTTCGCAAGATGAAAAGAGCTCTGGAAATGGATGGTGGTGATGGTTGTACCAAAAGGCGAATGTACTTAGCACCACTCAACTGTACACTTAAAAAATAGCTAAGATGGTAAACTTTGTTATGTGTGTTTTACCAAAATTAAAAAGAAAAAATTTAAAGGTACAAAAGTCACTCTCCCAGTCCTGGCCTGCAAGCCATCCACTTCCTTCACCCAAAACACCTAGTCTCACCAGTTTTCGTGTATCCTTCCAGAGCGTCTGTGCAAATCCATATAGGCATGTGTAAGTATAAACATATAAATATAAATCTGCATAATAGTCTATATATACACACCTGTTCCTCTTTAAAAAAAAACAGTGGGGCTGGGCACGGTGGCTCACACCTGTAATCCCAGCACTTTGGGAGGCCGAGGCAGGCAGATCACTTGAGGTCAGGAGTTCGAGACCAGCCTGGCCAACATGGCGAAACCCTGTCTCTACTAAAAAATACAAAAAAATTAGCTGGGCGTGGTGGCAGGTGCCTGTAGTCCCAGCTATTCAGGAGGCTGAGGCAGGAGAATGGCATGAACCCGGGAGGCGGAGCTTGCAGTGAGCAGATAGCGCCACTGCACTCCAGCATGGGTGACAGAGTAAGACTCTGTCTCACAAAAAAAAAAAAGAAAAAGAAAAAGAAAAATTAGCCGGGCGTGGTGGCAGGCACCGATAATACCAGCTACTCCGGAGGCTGAGGCAGGAGAATCGCTTGAACTGGGAGGTGGAGGTTGCAGTGAGCCGAGATTGTGCCACTTCACTCCAGCCTGGGCAAAAGAGCGAAACTCCATCACAAAAAAAACAAAAACAAACAAACAAAAAAAACACCAAAAAAAAAAAAAAAACCAATGGTAGCGTATTCTGTGCTTTGTTTTTCCATTTAAAAATACACCTTGGAGGCCAAGCGTGGTGGCTCACACCTGTAATCCTAACACTTTGGAAGGCCGAAACAGGTGGATCACCTGAGGTCAGGAGTTCGAGACCAGCCTGACAAACATGTTGAAACCCCGTCTCTACTAAAAATACAAAAGTTAGCTGGGCATGGTGGCAGATGCCTGTAATCCCAGCTACTGGGGAGGCTAAGGCAGGATAATCGCTTCTTGAACCTGGGAGGCAGAGGTTGCAGTAAGCAGAGTTCATGCCACTGCACTCCAGCCTGGGTGACAGAGCAACACTCTGTCTCAAAAAGAAAAAAAAAATCTTGGAGACCTTTCTAAACCAGTACCTAACAAGCTTCCTCATTTTTTTTTTAACAACTTCATTGAGATATGATATAATTTACATAAAACACATCCATTGTAAATGTACTATTCAACAGTTTTTTTTTAAATGTATAGAGTTGGGCAGCTATCACCACAAGCCAGTTTTATAACATTGCCATCATCCCCCAAAGTCCTGTTGGATCCATCTGCAGTGAATCCTCACAGCCATCCCAGCTCCAGCAATGACAGATTTGCTTTCTCTACAGATTTGTGTTTTCTGGAAATTTCATATAAATGGAAGCACACAATATGTGGTCTTTTGTGTCTAGCTTCTTTTACTGAGCATAATATTTTTGAAGTTCATCTATGTCGTAGCTCATTTAAGAAGTTTGTTCCTTTTTTGCTTTTTGTTTTTTGTTTTTTTGATACCGAGTCTCACTCTGTCGCCAAGGCTGGAGTGCAGTGGTGCGATCTCGGCTCACTGTAACCTCCACCTCCCAGGTTCAATCGATTCTTGTGCCTCAGCCTCCTGAGTAGTTGGGACGACAGGCGTGCGCCACCACTCCCGGCTAATTTTTGTATTTTTAGTAGAGATGGTGTTTCACCATGTTGGCCAGGCTAGTCTCAAACTCCTGGCCTCAGGTGATTCACCTGCCTCGACCTCCCGAAGTGCTGAGATTACGAATGTGAGCCACTGCGCTCGGCCAGTTTGTTCCTTTTTATTGCTGAGTAGTATTACACTGAATGGATATTTCACATTTTGTTTATCCAGTTACCAGCTTTTGCATATTTGGATGATTTACAGGGTTTTTAAAATGTACAATGCTGCTATGAGCATTCAGGTCTTTGTGTGGCCACATTTTTACTTCTCTTGGGTAGTTTCTGTTTAACTTTTTAAGCAACTGCCAAGCTGTTTTCCAAAGTGGCTGCATCATGTTACATTCCCAACAGCAATGTATGAGGCTTCCACTTTCTCTACATTCTCCACCACACTTGTTATTATTATCTGTCTTTTTGATTATAGCCATCCTGGTGGGTTTGAAATGGTATCTCATTGTGGTTTTAATTTGCATTTTTCAAATAACAAATTGAAATTGAACATTTTTGTGTGCTTATTAACCATTCTTTTTTATTATTGTTAGGAGAGAGAGGGTTTTCCTCTGTCACCCAGGCTGGAGTGCAGTGGCACAATCATAGCTCACTGCAGCCTTGAGCTTCTGAGCCCAAAAGATCCTCCTGCCTCAGCCTCCTGAGTAGCTGGGACTATAGATACACACCACTATATCGGCTAATTTTTTTTTTTTTTTGTAGAGATGGGGTTTTGCTATGTTGACCAGGCTGGTCTCAAACTCCTGGCCTCAAGCAATCCTCCTGCCTCGGCTCCTGAAGTGCTGGGATTACAGGCATGTGTCACAATATCCTGAGCCATGCCAGCCCATATATTTTCTTTGAAAAAAATGTCTATTAGAGTCTTTCATCTTTTTTTTTTTTTTGCAGCGGGAGTTTTGTGGTGGCGGTGGGGGAGTCTTGCTCTGTTGCCCAGGCTGGAGGGTAGTGGCACAACCTTGACTCACCACAACCTCTGCCACCTGGGTTCAAGCGATTCTCCTGCATCAGCCTCCTAAGTAGCTGGGATTACAGGCGCCTGCCAGCACACCTGGCTAGTTTTTGTAATTTTAGTAGAGATGGGGTTTCACCATGTTGCCCAGGCTGGTCTCAAACTCCTAGCCTCAAGCAATCCACTTGTCTCGGCCTCCCAAAGTGCTGGGATTACAGACATGAGCCACCACGCCTGGGTTGTTTTGTCCATCTTTACATTTAGTTGTTTGTCTTCTTATTATCGAGTTATAAGACATCATTTTAAAAAATAGGTCAGTCATAGTTGATTGTATGCATGGGACGTCATTTGTTTAACTTGTTTCCTATTGATATCTCTTAAAATTTTCGTTTTATACGTATTTTTATAATAGGCATAATATATTAATGCAATAGTTTATGTTCCTGACATAAATAAGCAAATACAATTGGAATACATCCTCAAGTTAGTTTGCTGAGAGGGATCATTAAGGCCTGGTGACCCCTGACCTGAGCCTTCCTCCCCCTCCCCCCTCTCCCCGCCTGCCCCACCCCGTCCATCAGGCCCTTTCTAGCAATCTCAAGGTTTGTAGAAACCTTGTTAAAAGCCCTCTTTCCTGGCAGCCTCTGACCTCCAAAAAGTCTGATTGGGATCCCCTAACTGATGAGGGAGGCTGAGGCTGAGGGAGTCCACCCAGGGTAACATCGGCACGGTCTGAATCACAGGGCTTTCTGGAATGACCCAGAGGCCACCCCTTCCTTAATTTGGGAAGCTCCAGGCTAGAGGACATGATGAGTGTTCATGCTGAGGTTCTCCTGAGTCCAGCAGCGTGAGGCGAGCTCAGAGCCCAGGAGTGTGGTTCGGGATGGTGCTGCCCTCAGCCCCCATGCTGCGTCCTGACCCCCCGCCCATCCATCTGCCCAGCCTGTCAATGTGGACTCACACACACCTGGTGTCACCTCAGAGCAATCCAAAGTAAAAGACCCTGCTGGTCCATGTCTCCCCTCCTGGTGGTTCCTTCATCTCCATTATCTTCTTCTTCATCATCCTCATTGTCACCACGTACTGCAGACATGTCCCATGCCTGTAAGTGACTTCTGGGATACTGTTTAATCCTCCAACAAATCCTACGAGCTGGAGCTTATTAGTTCTCTATTGCAGAAGAGAAAACTGAGGCTCCGGGAGGCTATGGGACTTCTCTGTCCCATCTTAGCAACAGAGGTGGAATCCACAGTCCACACCTTTGACTGGGACATGGCCCTACCCACCCTTCAGGGGCTGAGAACTGGCGCAGACTCAGCCTTCAGCTGATTTTCACCTGATTCTTAGCAGACGTCTTGGAAAAACCTCCTGGTGACATAATAAGAGCAGTGTGGCTCCAGGGTCGGGGAGGAATTTAGGGGGTGAGAATTGGGGGTGCCCCCCCTTGCCCTGAGCCAGGGCAGCTGCAGAGAAAGTACTATTCAGGGCAGGGCAGGAATGGACCCTGGAGAGCCTGAGGGTCCCACAGGGAGAGCACGCTGTCTACCCCCAGCACAGCCCCCGCCTCTCCTGGGGCTCAGCAGGCAGAGGGGAGAGGGCAGGTTCAGCCCAGAGAAGAGGGACTGTCACAGGTACCAAGCTTGTCTACTTTGGCAGGAGAAAGCTAAGGTCTGTAATCACACTTTCTGTTTTCACTTTTCTTCCATTTCTGAGTAAGCATTTCTATTGGAAAACTCCAGACTTGTCTGAGCTCAACGAAAGGAAAAGGGATCTGTGGGCACCCAGAGCAGGCCAGGGGTGGGGGTGGGGAGCCGGGCCCCTGAGTGGGTAGTATGCGTTTCCAGGGGCTCAGATCTGATGATCCCATCCTTGGCTCCACAAATTCAATCCATGCCCCTTAGCTTGGCATTCGAGGCCTTTCCTTCATCTGGCTTCAGCCCCTGCTTCTCTCTGGCTTACATCCAGGTTTCTGCTCACATTGTTCCCTATGCCCACAATGCCCTTTCCTCCCATCCTAAGAGATCCAATGCCCAAACTCTGGTCATCCTTCAAGGCCCAGCCCAGATGCCTCCTCCTCCATGAAGCCTTCCTTGACCCCCTCAGCTGGACATGACATCTCCCTCTTCTGAATTCCCACAGCCCTTGGTTCATACTTCTCTGAGGGCGTATTCCATTCTCCCACCAGCAGCAGACCTTGGTTGTGACCCTACCCAGCATCCTTCCTCCTTCTGATCAAAACACTCCAATATTCCATGAGAAATATCTGTCGCCCACCTTCAGACATGTGGTCCAGAAGAAGCTGATTCCACTCCCAGGATCCAGAGAGGCTCATAAGGCCCAGGCCTCGAAGTCGGAGTAGCCCATCTTTTCTCCTACCCCCTCCACTTCTGAACCCTGTGCTTGCTATGGGATCAGTTCAGGTATGGGGCTGTGACTCAGTCACAGCCAGAGCTATATCAGGGCTTTTTTCCTCTTTCTTTCTTTCTTTCTTTCTTTCTTTCTTTCTTTCTTTCTTTCTTTCTTTCTTTCTTCCTTCCTTCCTTCCTTCCTTCCTTTCTTTCTTTCTTTCTTCCTTTCTTTCTTTCTTTCCTTCTTTCTTTCTTCCTTTCTTTCTCTCTCTTTCTTTCTTCTTTCTTTCTTTCTTTTTTTAATTTATTTATTATTATTATACTTTAAGTTTTAGGGTACATGTGCACAATGTGCAGGTTAGTTACATATGTATACATGTGCCATGCTGGTTCATTCTTTCTTTCTTTCTTTCTTTCCCTTTTTTTTTTTTTTTTTGTTTTGTTGTTGTTTTTTGAGACAGAGTCACCCTCTGTCGCCCAGGCTGGAGTACAGTGGTGTGATCTCACTGCAACCTCCGCCTCCCAGGTTCAGGTGATTTTCCTGCCTCAGCGTCCTGGGTAGCTGGGATTACAGGCGCATGCCACCACACCCAGCTAATTTTTGTATTTTTAATAGAGACAGGGTTTCACCATGTTGGCCAGGCTGGTCTCAAACTCCTGACCTCAAGTGATCCGCCCACCTCAGCCTCTCAAAGTGCTGGGATTACAGACGTGAGCCACCGCGCCCAGCCTCTCTATAGATCTTACTCTGGCCCTGGGTTCACGTCACTTGCAAGTGAAAAATCCCTGACTGCTATTTATTCCTTTGCTCTGTTTCTCTGCAGCTAATGTCCTACTTGGACCTGCAGGATGGAGGCTCCTGGAAGTCAGGTGCCATGATCTCTTGCCTTTGTGCTCCCACAGCACCAAGCACAGGGCCAGCCGCACAGAAAGTTTCCACGAGGGTTTGTAGAACCGTCTGTGGGAGGAGTGAACACGCTGGCTGTCCTGGCCCTCCCCACCCCAACCAGGAGCCCATCTCGGGCCTGGGACTCTCCACCTTCTCCCCAGACCTGACCTGGCAGTGGACAGCCCAGACTGGAGCTTCCTGCCTGCCACACTGGCTCTCCAGTCAGCAGAGGCCAGAAAGTGGTGATTTCCTGTATTGCAGGATCAGATGGCAGAATCGCAAGAGCTCCGCATCCCCAGGGACTCATCTGAAAGACAATGTGAAGCAAAGACAATGTGAGGCGTGGGGAGACTTCCAGGTACTTGGTTGCATCTGGGGAGGGGCCAGTGGTGTCTGAGCTTTAGCTTCTGGAAGCCGGCTGCTGCGGGGTGGAGACAGAGGGGCTGTGCCAGAGAGGGAACAGCTCTAGAAACCAGCAACAGGGAGAAGTTTGATGCAGGGCAGAGGGGAACCTGGGATGGGAGGCTGGGCAAGGGGCTCCTGCTCCCCAGGGGGCTGATGAAGACCCTTGGTGTTCTCCCACCTGCCTCTGGGAGCTTGTGGTGTTTTTGTTGTTGTGTTTTGGTGTTTTGTTTTGTTTTGAGACTGGACTGAGTCTCACTTTGTCGCCCAGGCTGGAATGCAGTGGTGCAATCTTGGCTCACTAAAACCTCCACCTCCCAGGTTCAAGTGATTCTCCTGCCTCAGCCTCCTGAGTAGCTGGGATTATAGCGCCCGCCACCACGCCCAGCTAATTTTTATATTTTTAGTAGAGATGGGGTTTCACCATATTGGCCAGGCTGGTCTCGAACTCCTGACCTCAAGTGATCCGCCCACCTTGGCCTCCCAAAGTGCTGGGATTACAGACGTGAGCCACTGCGCCCAGCTGGGAACTTGTGTTTTAGAAAGTCCTTCAGTTCCATCCTTACTCTGGAGCACTGTAAAGTTTATAAAACAAAATGTCTGAGAGCACCACCTTGTTAGTAACCAACTGAGTGGAACCCTACTCTATCTAGTGTCCTGTTCTGGTGTATTGGTCAGGAGAGGCTATAGTGTGCTGAGGTAAACATTGACCTCCAAATCTTAGCGGCTTCTTGATGCAACAAAGGTGTATTTTTCTCGTTCACACAAAACTGCTGCAGGTTGGGTAACTGTCCAGGTTAGCTGTCCCTTGTACAGGCTACTTCCTTCTAGTGGCTCTACCATTTCAAACCATGGCATCTGTGGTTGCCACTAAAGGCCAAGAGAGAACAGGAGGGTTGGACAGCAGCACTTCAGTGTTTCGGTCCAGAAATGACACCTGTCACTTCCATTCACAGCCTGTTGGTCAGAGTTTGCCTCATGACCCCACCCTGACTGCACGGAAGGCTGGGAAGTGTGGAGGAGGACATGAGTAGTCAATGAGCATTGAGTGCCTCTGCCATGCTGGGTATCCCAGGGGAAGAGGAGACACAGGCACAGAGGACTGGAGGACTTTGAGGCTGGATATCTAGGTTCAAACCCAAGCTCTTCTAGAATGACTAGAAGCTATGTGACCTTGGGAAAATTACTAAATGTCTCTGAGTCTTGCTTTTCTCCTGTGCCAAACGGGGATAAAATAAGAGTTCCTACCTCACGAGGTTGTTGGGAAGATAAATCAGACCATGCTTATAAAAAGAGCTAGTGGTGCCCAGCACAAGGTTGGCATTTGTATTAGTCTGCTTTCACGCTGCTAATAAAGACATATCCAAGACTGGGTAATTTATAAAGAAAAAGAGGTTTAATGGACTCACAATTCTACGTGGCTGGGGAGGCCTCACAATCATGATGGAAGGCAAAAGGCATGTCTTACATGGTGGCAGGCAAAAAGAGAATGAGGGAAGCAAGTGAAAGGGGTTTCCCCTTGTACAACCATCAGCTCTCATGAGACTTATTCACTGTCATTTGAACAGTATGGGAGAAACCGCCCCCGTGATTCAATGATCTCCCACCGGGTCCCTCCCAAAACACGTGGGAATTATGGAAGCTACAAATCAAAATGAGATTTGGTTGGGGACACAGCCAAACCATATCAGCATTTAATAAGTGGACACTATTTGATTAGTCTGTTTAGAAAAAGTTGAAGATGCTCAACATATGACTGAAAAATAGAGCTAATTGAAAAATATAGCCAAAGCCTCCCTTTCAATAGCTGGCTCCCTTGTCTGCCCCTGCCCAGGGTCCCCTTGCTCTCCTTCCCTCCCCTCTGCAAGGACTTATAAGGATCCCCCAGTCAACCACTCCCCTGTGTGCGAGAAGATCTGCCCTCTCCCCCAGGGTGCATGTATCTGAAGTCTTAGTGTTGGGTACACGCATCTGAAGTCTTGGTGTTGATCGTGGGGAGAAAACCTTGGTGCTCTGTTGAAGAATACCAAACATTAGCAAGCAGATGAGAGAGGGGCACATATGTTCTCCAAACAGTGCTCCTACTTGTGTTTATGGCAAACAGGGTGCCCAGAGAATGGAAGATGCTGAGATCCTTGAAAAGTGTCTTGGAGGAGGTCAGGTTTAGGCAAGCGACTAGAAGGAGGGGGACCCCGGGTGGCTGAGGGAGGAGGGAGGGGCTGGAAAAGAGCCTGTAACAACCTCAGCAATGGAGGAGACAGTAAGAAACCATGCTGGTGATGGAGTGGGAGATAACTCTTCACATCCAGAGAGCTCTGCACAGTTTAAAAGTAAGGCCACCTGACTGGTGAAAACTCAACAGAGCTCAGTGGCAGGGAGAGCAACATCTGAACTCTCCTTTCCAGTGTTGCTGTCACTGGGAAGCAGTTGCCGAGCCAGGGACCACATTTCCCAGGCCCCCTTGGCCCCATGCCACGTTCTTGCCAATGGAATGGGAGCAGAAGTAACGTGTGTCACTTCCAGGCCAAGGCTTTTGAGGAGTGGTTATGCCTTTCATGGGGTCTCTTTCCCCTCCTATTAAATGAGTGTAGAAGATGATAGTTAGACCAGGCGGTGGTAGGGCCTCAAAATGGAAAAAGCCTGGTCTCTAAATCACTGCATGGGGGAAGGTCACCTGCAAACCAAGAACATCTGCAATGAACTGGTAAATAAGTGGGAAATAAACAAAATATATTTGGGGGTTTATTTGTTGTAGCAACTAGCATTGTCTTGAAGCATGGTGAGTACATCTTTCTTTGAAGGGGCTTCTGGGGCACTGTGAGGGGTACGGAGGGATGAAAGCCCCCTTTGGCACTGCCACTGCTCCTCCCCCAATGGTCCTCTTGCTTCACAAGGGGGAAGCTCTCTTGCTCTCCTTCCTTCCTTCTCCACCCACATTCTTCCCAACAAGACAGGGACAGGACCCAGCATGGGTGGAGTTTTGGACATCCAGTTTGGACATTCTTATTTCTTAAGAATCCTTCCTCAGAGCATGAGTTGGAAGTTTTGGCACTTTTGAGAGATGTGACCAGCTGACTCTATAACTGGGTGGGGCAACATGGGAAAACGAGATGGAGAGACCACCAAGGGAGGCAGTCAATGGAAGGGAGCGGAAAGGAAAGCCAGGCCAGGAGCTTGGATGTGATTTTTTTTTTTTTTTGAGACGGAGTCTCGCACTGTTGCCCAGGCGGGAATCCAGTGGTACAATCTGCACTCACTGCAATATCCGCCTCCCCAGTTTAAGCGATTCTCCTGCCTCAGCCTCCCAAGTAGCTGGGATTGCAGGCACCTGCCACCACGACCAGCTAATTTTTGTATTTTTAGTAGAGACAGGGTTTCGCCAGGGTTGGCCAGGCTGGTCTCGAACTACCGACCTCAAGTGATCCACCCATCTTGGCCTTCCAAATTGCTGGGATTACAGGTGTGAGCTACTGCATCTGTCCTGGCTATGATATTTTGAGTAAAGGGAAGTCCAGGTGTTTCAGACCCCATCTCCTCCCTGCAGGCTGAGCCAGCTAAGCAAGGATCAGGGCCCATTGTGGCTTCTCCTGGAGAGGGGAGAGTATACCACCTGTACCACTGAGGCCAGCTCATCTGTCCCCAGAGGACCATGCTCATCTCAGGCCATGGTGGCAACAGCCCCCACAGAGGGGTGGCTGCATGATGCAGCTCAGAAGGCTTGGGGGAACAGGAACACCTTCCCAAGGCTCCTTGGCATTGTCCTGCCTTCACCTCCCAGGACAGTGTTGAGGAAGAACATTCCTTCTTAGTAACAGGGCAGAGAAAGGAAGACGGTCTTCCCCGAAGTGCTATGCATCCGACTTCCCCCCATCACATGGCCACCTTTCTTTTCCACCCTCCCAGATCTTGCACAGCCATCTGCAAATAAGTGGTGTTCCTCCACCCCACTTCCCCACACCTAGGATAACCTGATGGACTGTCTTTTCTGGTGCTCACCTCTGCTGCTGTCAATAGAAAATGAAATTTTAAAAATTTCCTGGCCGGGCGCGGTGGCTCATGCCTGCAATCACAGCACTTTGGAAGGCAGAGGCAGGGGGATCACCTGAGGTCCAACCTGCCCAACATGGCGAAACCCTGTCTCTAATAAAAATAAAAAAAATTAGCCGGGTGTGGTGGTGGGCACCTGTAATCCTAGCTACTCGGGAGGCTGAGGCAGGAGAATCGCTTGAACCTGGGAGGTGGAGATTGCAGTGAGCCGTGAGCCGAGATCGTGCCACCGCACTCCAACCCGGGCGACCAGCAAAACTCCATCTCAAAAAAAAAAAAAAAAAAAAAAATTCCTGCTGGGCACAGTGGCTCATGCCTATAATCCCAGCACTTTGGGAGGTGGAGGCAGGAGGATCGCTTGGACCCAGGAGTTTGAGACCAGCCTAGGCAACATAGCAAGGCTTCATCTTTACAAAAAATTTAAATTTTTTTTTTTTTTTTTTTTTTGAGACGGAGTCTCGCTCTTTCGCCCAGGCTGGAGTGCAGTGGCGCTATCTCGGCTCACTGCAAGCTCTGCCTCCTGGGTTCACGCCATTCGCCTGCCTCAGCCTCCAGAGTAGCTGGGACTACAGGCACCCGCCACCACGCCCGGCTAATTTTTTGTATTTTTAGAAGAGACGGGGTTTCACCGTGTTAGCCAGGATGGTCTCGATCTTCTGACCTCATGATCCGCCCACCTTGGCCTCCCAAAGTGCTGGGATTACAGGCATGAGCCACCGCGCCCGGCCAAAAATAATGTTTTTAAAATTCCATCTTTAATAGCTCTTTTTAAAACCATGAAATACTTAGGAATACATTTCACAAAAGATATGTAAGACCTCTACGTTGAAGATTACAAAATATTATTGAGAGAAATTCAAGACCTAAATAAATGTTCATGGATTGGAAGACTCAAGATTGCTGGGATGACTATTCTTTCCAAAATGATCTCTAGATTCAACTCAATTTCAGTCATAATTCTAGTAGACTCTTGTCAAAATTGAATGTGTTGATTCTGTGGACACATGAAGGGGAACATCACATTTTGGGGACTGTTGTGGGGTGGGGGGAGGGGGCAGGGATAGCATTAGGAGATATACCTAATGCTAAATGACGAGTTAATGGGTGCAGCACACCAACATGGCACATGTATACATATGTAACTAACCTGCACATTGTGCACATGTATCCTAAAACTTTAATAATAATAAAATTAAAAAAAAATTGAATGTGTTGATTCTAAAATTTTTATGGAAATGCAAAGGACCTAGAATATCCAAACCGCCTTGAAAACAAACAAAATTAGAGGATTTATCCCGTCTGACTTCATGACTTTTATGACTTTTTTTTTTTTTTTTTTGAGATAGGGTCTTGCTCTGTCACCCAAACAGGAGTGCAGTGGTGCAACGATAGCTCACGGCAGCCTGGACCTCCCAGACTCAAGGAATCCTCCTGCCTGAGCCTCCTGAGTAGCTAGGATTACAGGTTCACATGACACCTAGCTAATAGTTAAAATTTTTGTAGAGATGGGATCTCCCTATGTTGCATAGGCTGGTCTTGAACTCCTAGCCTCAAGCCATCCTCCCACCTCAGTCTCCCAAAACACTAGGATTACAGGTGTGAGCCACTGTGCCCAGCCTTCATGACTTATTAATTATAAAGCTATAGTAATCAGAACATCGTGGTAGTAACATACGGTTAAACAAATAGATAAATGGAATGAAGACCTCAGAAATAGACCCACAATTAAACAGTCATTTGATTATTGTATAAAGTCATCAAAGCAGTCCAATGTAAAGTCTATTTCACAAATGGTGCCAGAACAATTGAATATCCATATGGAAAAAAAAAAACTTTTTTTTTTTGAGACAGGGTCTCACTCTGTCACCCAGGTTGGAGTGCAGTGGCGTGATCTCAGCTCACTGCAGCCTCTACCTCCCAGACTCAAGCAATTCTCCCACCTAAGCCTTTTGAGTAGATGGGACCACAGGCGCTCACCAGCACACCTGGCTAATTTTTGTATTTTTTGAAGAGACAGGGTTTTGCCATGTTGCTCAGGCTTGTCTCGAACTCCTGGGATCAAGCTGCTGCAGCCTCCCAAAGTGCTAGGATTACAGGTGTGAGCCACTGTGCCCGGCCTGGAAAAAAATAAACTTCAACCCCTCCTCCCTCACACTATTCATAAAAATTGATTTTAAATAGATCATAGAAATCAATCAAAAGCTAAAGTTATTTTTTGGGTTAAAATGTTAAAATTTCTAGAAGCAAACAGGAGAATATCTTTGGGACTGGGGAATAGGTAAGGTATCTTAAAATAGATCACAGAAAGCAATTTTTTTTAAGATTGATAAATTGACTTAATCAAAATTAAAAATTTCTGTTCATCAAAAGACAGTATTAACAAAATTATATGCAAGCCTCAGGGAGAAAATATTTGCAAAACATATCTGACAATGGATTTATATGCAGAATATATAAAGGATACCTACAACTCAATAATAAAAAGATAAATACCTCAATTTTTAAAATAGGCAAAATATTTGAATAGACACTTCACAAAAGAAGACACAGATGGCCAAGAAACACATGAAAAAGTGCTCAACATCATTAGTCATCAAGACAATATAAAATAAAACCATAATGAGACACCAACATACACCCACCAGGAAAGCTAAAATTAAAGATTGACAACATCAAATGTTGGCAAGGATGTAGAACAACTGGAACTCTCATACATTATTAGTGAGAATGTAAAATGATGCAACCACCTTGGGTAAAAAGCTGGTAGTTTCTTATAAAATGAAACCTATCTATGACCCAGCAATTTCATGTTTAGGTATTTACCTAAGAGAACTGAAAGCATATGTCACAGAAAGACTCATAAAAGAATTTTCACAGCTGCTTTATTCATAATTGCTAAAAACTAGAAACAGCTCCAGTGACTATCAACAGACGAACAAATAATTCTTCTGTTATAATCGCCTAATACAATATCGCTGAGCAACAAAGGATATTAACTACCAATATGTGCAACAACAACATGGATGAATCTCCCACTGCTAGCTGTGAAACTAGCTAGATCCAAAAGAGTATTTACAACTGGGACTCATAATGCAAGTCCTAAAATAGGCGAAAACTAATCTATGGTGACAAAAATAAGAATGACTGAGAAGTTGCATGAGGGGACTTCCTCAGGTGATGATAATGTTCTTGATATCTTTTTTTTTTTTTTTTTTGAGACAGAGTTTCGTTCTTGTTGCCCAGGCTGGAGTGCAATGGTGCGATGTCGGCTCACTGCAACCTCTGCCTCCCAGGTTCAAGCAGTTATCCTACCTCAGCCTCCTGAGTAGCTGGGATTACAGGCATGTGCCACCACACCCAGCTAATTTTGTATTTTTAGTAGAGAAGGGGTTTATCCATGTTGGTCAGGCTGGTCTCGAACTTCTGACCTCAAGTGATCCACCCACCTCGGGTGGCTCATGCCTGTAATCCCTGCTGTTGATATCTTGATAGGGGTTTGAGTGACACAGGTACAGGCATTTGTCAAAACTCACCTTAAACTCACTCATATTTAAGATCTGTGCATTTCCTGTGTGTAAATTTTACTTAAAAAAGGCAAACAAATATTGAACTCTAGTTAATTATATTCATCCTGAAGTGTTTAGGGGTAAAATATACTGATGTCTGCAACTTTCTTTGAAATGATTCAAAAAATAAATAAAAAGGCAGAAGGATGGGTGGATGGGTGGGTAGACGGATGGGTGGATGGGTGGGTAGACGGATGGGTGGATGGAATGATGGATGGACAGATGGACAGATGGACGGATGGATAGATGGAGAGAGAGATGTACAGATATGTGATTAAGCAAATAGAGTAAAACGTTAATTGTAGAATCTATGTGGTAGTTATATGAATGCCCACTGTATAATTCTTTCCAGTTTTCTGTCTGTTTGAAATTTTTCATAATAAAATGTTTTGGAAAAAAGGCAAATCAAATCTTGGGCAGCACAGTCTGGACCATTTTTTCTCCTCTTAAGAGACCACTGGGTTGGGCGCAGTGGCTCACGCCTGTAATCCCAGCACTTTGGGAGACCAAGGCGGGCAGATCACGAGGTCAGGAGTTCGAGACCAGCCTGACCAATATGGTGAAACCCCGTCTCTACTAAAAATACAAAAAAAAAAAAAAAATTAGCTGGGCAAGGTGGCGCGCACCTGTAATCCCAGCTACTCGGGAGGCTGAGGCAGGAGAATCACTTGAACCTGGGAGGCAGAGGTTGCAGTGAGCCAAGATCGTGCCACTGCACTCCAGCCTGGGCAACACAGCGAGACTCTGTCTCAAAAAAAAAAAAAAAAAGCAAAACGAAACAAAAAAACAACAAACGAACAACAACAACAAAAACAAAACACTGAAAACTACCCCATCAGGCCTGCATCCTTGTTCACCAGAAGAAGCCACCATTGATCCACCATTACCAGACACTCATCCCAGGCTGGCCAAGCCTTCTTCTCATCTTCCCAAGCCCTCCCGCTGAGCTCTCTGGAACTCCCACTCTACCCTACTCTCAACCTCTTCTGGAACTCCCACTCTACCCTACTCTCAACCTCTTCTGGAAGTTTCCCCCTACTTCCTGGCCCTAATGGAAACCAAGCAAGTCCCTGAGATATACTTCCTCCTGGCTCAGAGGAAGCTATTGTTTCTCTCCTATTCCAGGATCCTCAGAGCCAGGAGGTGAGAGGGACACGTGTTTTTCTTACTCCCTACTACTCTTTCCAAGTCCTTTCTCTTCCTTCCTCCTTCAAAAACCCTAGTTCTGGCCAGGCACAGTGGCTCACACCTGTAATCCCAACACTTTGGGAGGCACAGGCGGGTGGATCACTTGAGGTCAGGAGTTTGAGACTGCTGGCCAACATGGTGAAACCCCCATCTCTGCTAAAAATACAAAAATTAGCCGGGCAGGGTGGCGCACACCTGTAATCTTAGCTACTCGGGAGGTTGAGGCACGAGAATTGCTTGAACCCGGGAGTCGGAGGTTTCAGAGAGCCGAGATCATGCCACAGCTCACCAGGCAGGCTGGGTGACAGAGCGGGACTCTGTCTCAAAAAAACAAAAACAAAAACAAAAAAACCCTAGTTCCTTTGAAGTGCACACTAACTGGCTAAACCACTCTGTACCTCTCTCCAGTGCATCCATCTGTCTCCTGCCCAACCTCCTTGTTCATTGTGGACTTTAGCTCCAGGCACTGTCTCCACTCCAGCCCTGTCAACATTCTTGTGACCTCACCATCCACATGTGTGAACTTCAATACCCTGGCTTCTCAGTCACTTGAACTCCTCACCTCCAAAGACCTTTTGCTCCACTCCAACTCTGCCACCCGTTTGCATAGCACACTCTAGACCTTGTCCCACCTCCAACATCCTGATTTCAGGATCCCACACTTAGACACCATCACCCACCCCTCTGGCCCTCTGGCTCTCATTCCCCACTGCACCAGTGTTCTGAGTGAGGAGAGCTGCAATCCCGCCACCCCACCACTTTTCCTCCACAATCCTTCTCTTGTTCTCTTCTTCCCATCAAAATGCCCTACCTTCTTGCTTGCTTTACTTTTCTCTGTAGCGTTGGCCATCTTCTAACATCGATAAAACTGACTTATTCATTTTATTAGTTGACACTCTCCACCCAATAGAATGTGTGCTCCAGGAAGATAGCGGATTTTGTCTGTTTATTTGCTGCTATAGTCTCAGTGTCTAGAGCAGTGCCGTGGCATGCAGTAGGTGCTTAATAAATGCTTGTTGAAGGAAAGAGTGAGAGAGGGAAGGCAGGAAGGCAGGCAGGCAGGAAAGCAGGAAGGCAAGAAGGCAGGAAGGCAGGAAGGCAGGCAGGCAGGAGGGAAAGCAGGAAGGCCACCTTTATTTAAAAAACAGAACCTGTCCCTCCTCAGGAATGTCCTTTCCTTCCCACCTCTCCATCAGTGCCATGCTCTCCTCCTTGTGACAATTGGAAGCGTATCCCTGCTCCTCTCCAAGGCCATTTGCTCCACAAGTGCAGTAGACGCTGTCTCCTCTCACCTCCTTAATAACTGATTGGACTCGTAAGACATTCTCCCTCCTCTGCCATCACCAGCCTCTGTCTCTGAATTAGATCCTTTCAGCTGGGCGTGGTGGATCATGCCTGTAATCCCAGCACTTTGGGAGGCCGAGGCGGGTGGATTATTTCAGCTCAGGAGTTCCAGACCAGCTTGGCCAACATGGTGAAACCTTGTCTCTACTAAAAAATACAAAAAAATAAAAAATAAATAAAAATGAGCCGGGCGTGGTGAAGCACGCCTGTAATCCCAGTTACCTGGGAAGCTGAGGCAGGAGAATTGCTTGAGCCTGGGAGGCGGAGGTTTCAGTGAGCTGAGATTGCACCACTGCACTCCAGCCTGGGTGATAGAGTGAAACCCCGTCAAAAAAAAAAAAAAAAAAGATTTCATTTGCCTCTACTATCTTCCATCTTTTAAAATTCCTCTCCTGACGCATGTGCACATGCAACTACTGTGCCATTGCTTTGCTCCCTCTGCCTCAATTTCCATTCATTATTATCATTATTTATTTATTTATTTATTACTCTGTCTCCCAGGCTGCAGTGCAGTGGCATGATCTCAGTTCACTGCAACCTCTGCCTCCCAGGTTCAAGCAGTTCTCCTGCCTCAGCCTCCTGAGTAGCTGGGACTACAGGTGCGCGCCACCACCCCTGGCTAAATTTTTGTTTGTTTGTTTGTTTGTTTGTTTTTAGTAGAGATGGGGTTTCACCATGTTGGCCAGGCTGGTGTCAAACTCCTGACCTCGTGATCTGCCCACCTTGGTCTCCCAAAGTGCTGGGATTACAGGCGTGAGCCACCATGCCCAGCCCCCATTCATTCTTCAACCCACTTCAACAGCCATCTCGGCCCAGGAAAATCACATGCTAGGACGACACAGAGAGACATAAAGAGCCTGAATACCCAGTGATGCCAAGGAAATACAGAACCAGCCCAGGACTACCTACTTCCAGGCTTCTATTTTGTGTAAGTGAAATAAGTTCTATCTCATTTAAGCCATTGCTATTTGGGGTTTGCTCTTACGTCAACTGGTCAACTGAATCTTCAGTGATAGATCTTATCGCTCCTACTAGGCTGAAAGCAATTGAGGGCAATGGCTGTACTTATTTGCTTCAAGTGCTTTTAAGAACATAGGTTCTAAGTAAATGCTTGTTGGGGTGAATGAGATCTTGAAAATTAGCCAGACGCATCACCCTAGAAGATGGAGGACCCACGCTGAGCACCAGCCTAAGGTTAGTGGCCAGGATTCCTTTGTTCTGTGGATAAGTGTGGTCACGTGTGGGATGGGGAAGCCAAGGGGAAACACACTGAGGAGGGAAGAGGAAGCGAGAGGTGGAGGTAATGAGTCATGCTTGGTCTCCTCCTGGGTGTGAGGAGGCTGATGAGCCTTATTGGTCAGGGGGTGCAACTGGAGTTCCATCCCTAGGTTTCTTTTCTTACAGTTTTATTGAGATTATAATTCACATACCATACAATTCACCCATCTACAGTGTACAATTCGGCTGGGCATGGTGGCTCATGCCTGTAATCCCAGCACTTTGGGAGGCCGAGGTGGGTGGATCACTTGAGCTCAGGAGTTCAAGACCAGCCTGGCCAATATGGTGAAACCCCATCTCTACTAAAAATACAAAAATGAGCTGGGCGTGGTGGGGGGCACCTGTAGTCCCAGCTACTCGGGAAGGTGAGGCAGGAGAATCGCTTGAACCCAGGAGGCGGAGGTTGCAGTGAGCCGAGATTGTGCCACTGCACTCCAGGCTGGGCGACAGAGCGAGACTCTATCTCAAAAAAAAAAACCATTTAAAACATTAGCCTGGTGTGGTGGCACATGCCTGTAGTCCCAGCTACTTGGGAGACTGAGGTGGGAGAATTGCTTGAGCCTAGGAGGTTGAAGCTGCAGTGAGTCATGATCACCCCACTGCACTCCAACTTGGGCAATAAAACAAGATCTCCCCCACAAAAAATTAAAATTAAATCAAAAATAAAATAATAAGGTGTACAATTTAATGATTTTTAGTATATTCACAGAGTTGGGCAACCATTGCTACAATCAGTTTTAGAACATTTTTATCACCTGAAAATGAAACCCCATACCGGTTAGCAGTCATCCCCCACTTCCCCAACCCTCATTTTAATCCTAAGCAATCATTAATCTACTTTACATCTCTATGGATTTTTACTCCTTCTGAACATTTCAAATAAATGGGATTATACAGTACATGGCCTTTTGTGCCTGACTTCTTTCACTCAGCATGCTGTTTTCAAGGTTAACCCAGGTCATAGCATGCATCAAAACTTCATTCCTTTGCAAGACTAAAATAATAGCCTTGTATAGATATATCACATGTTATTCATCCATTCATCAGTTGATGGGCATTTGGGTTGTTTCCACCTTCTTTGGCTATTATGAATAATACTGCTATGAACATTCACATGCAAGCGTTCTTGTGTCTGTATATTTGTAGTTATCTTGGGTAGGTACCTAACTTGGAGCGGAATTGCTGGATCATACAACTCTGTGCTTAACCTTTTGAGGAGCTGCCAGTCTGTTTCCCAAAGCAGTTGCACTGTTCTATATTCCTATCATCATGTTTTCTCCCCCACATCCTTGCCAACAATTGTTATTGCCTGTTTTGGTCTTTTTAATCTCAGCCATCCTAGTAGGTGTGAAATGATATTTCATTATGGTTTTAATTTACATTTCCTTGATGGCTAATAATAGTGAGCATCTTTTCACATGTTTATTGGCCCTTTGCATGTCTTCTTTGGGGAAATGTCTATTTAGATCCTTTACTCATTTTTAAATCAGGTTATTTTTTATTTAGTTGTAAGAGTTCTTTATATATCAGACCCTTATCAGATACATGATTTGTAAACATTTTCTCCTATTCTGTGGATTGCCTTTCACTTTCTTGATGGTGTCCTTTGAAGCACTTAAGTTTTCAATTTTGATGAAGTCTATCTTATCTATTTGTTGTCACTGTTGCTTGTGCTTTTATTATCATATCTAACAAACCATTGCCTAATCCAAGGTCATAAAGTTTAACCCCATGTTTTCTTCTAAAGAGTTTTATAGTTTTAGGTCTTTCATCCACTTGTAACTTTTTTTAATATAATGTGAGGTAGAGAGGCAACTTAATTTTTTTGTGTTTGTGGCTACTCAGTTATCCCAACACCATTTCTTGAAATTCTTTCCCCATTGAATTGTTTTGGCATCCATGCCAAAAATTAGCTGATCATAAAGGTGAGAGTATTTCCGAATTCTTGATTCTATTTCACTGATCAATATGTCTATCCTTATGCCAGTACCATACTGTCTAGATTACTGTAGCTTTGTAGTAAGTTTTGAAATTGGCAAGTGTGAGTTCTTCAATTTTGTTCTTCTTTTTCAAAATTGTTTTGCCTATTCTGGATCCCTTGAATCTTCATATGAATTTCATAATCAGTTTATTGATTCCCGGAAAGAGGCGAGCTGAGATTTTGATATGGACTACATTGAATGTATAGATACATTTTGGAAGTATTGTCATCTTAACAACATTAAGTCTTCCAATCCACAAATATGGGATGTCTTTGCATTTATTTAGATCTTAATTTCTATCAACAACATTTTGTATTTTTCAAAAGTATAAGGTTTGTACCTTTTTATTAAATTTATTCCTAAGTACTTTATTATTTTTGATATTCCTACAAATAGGATCATTTTTAAATTTCATTTTCAGATTATTCAATGCAAGTGTATAGATATACAACTGATTTTTTTTATCCTACAACTTTGCTGAACTTGCTTATTAGTTCTAATAGTTTTTTTAAAATGGATTTTCTATATAAAAGACCATGTCATTTGAGAATATTGACAGTTTTACTTATTCCTTTCCAATCTGGATGCCTTTTATTGCATTTTCTTCCCTAATTGCCCTGGCTAGAACCTTCAGCACAATGGTGAATAGAAGCAGCAAGAGTGAATATCCTTGTTTTGTTCCTGATCTTAGGGGAAAAGCATCCAGTCTTTCACTATTAAATATGATGCTAACTGTGAGTTTTTTGTCTATGCCCTTTATCAAACTGAGTTCTTTACTAGTCTTAGTTTGTTGATTATTTTTATCATAAAGGGGTGTTGGATTTTGTTAAATGCTTTTTCTGTGTGGATTGATATATGATGTTTGTCTTTTATTCTATTGACACAATGTATTACATTCATTTTTTTTATTCAACCAACTTTGCATTCCTAAAATAAATCCCACTCTGTCATGGCGTATAATCCTTTGATATGCTGTTGGAATTGGTGGTTGGCATTTTGTTTTTATTTTTATATTTTAAATTTTTCTTATTTTTAAAAAAATTTCAATAGCTTTTACGGTACAAGTGTTTCAATAGCTTTTATGGTACAAGTGGTTACATGGATGACTTCTATAGTAGTGAATTCTGAGATTTTAGTGTACCCATCACTAAGTGTACACTAGTGTACAGCCAGGTAGTGTACGCTAGTGTACAGCCAGGTAGTGTACGCTAGTGTACAGCCAGGTAGTGTACGCTAGTGTACAGCCAGGTAGTGTACGCTAGTGTACAGCCAGGTAGTGTACGCTAGTGTACAGCCAGGTAGTGTACGCTAGTGTACAGCCAGGTAGTGTACGCTAGTGTACAGCCAGGTAGTGTACGCTAGTGTACAGCCAGGTAGTGTACACTGTACCCAATATGTAGTCTTTTATCCCTCACCCTTCTCCCAATCTCTGCCTCCTGAGTTCCCAAGGTCCATTATATCATTTTGTATGTCTTTGCATCCTCATAGCTTAGCTCCCACTTATAAATGAGAACCTGAATTACTGAATTACTTCCTGAATTACTTCACTTAGAATAATGGCCTCCAGCTCCATCCAAATTACTGCAAAACATATTATTTTGTTCCTTTTTATGGAGCAAAAAATATTAGTACTTTTTTGTAGTAGTATTCCATTGTGTATATATACCACATTTTCTTTATCCACTCATTGGTCGATAAGCACTTAGGCTGGTTCCATATGTTTGCAACTGTGAATCGTGCTGCTATAAACAGGCATATGTATGTGTCTTTTTCATACAATGATTTCTTTTCCTTTGGGTAGATAACCAGTAGTGGGATTGCTGGATCAAAAGGTAGATCTACTTTTAGTTCTTTAAGGAATCTCCATACTGTTCTCTATAGAAGTTGTACTAATTACATTCCCACCAGCAATGTCAAAGTGTTTCCTTTTCATCACATCCACACCAATATCTTTTGTTTTTTGACTTTTTAATTATGACCATTCTTGCTGGAGTAAAGTGGTACCTTATTGTGGTTTTAATTTGCATTTCCCACTGATGTTGAGCATTTTTTCACATGTTCGTTGGCCGTTTGTATATCTTCTTTTGAGAAATGTCGATTCATGTCCATTGCCCAATTTTTGATGGAATTATTTTATTTTTTTTCTTGCTGATTTGAGTTCCTTGTTGATTCTGGATATTAGTCCTTTGTTGGATGCACAGTTTGCAAATATTTCCCCCATTCTGTGGGTTGTCTGTTCACTCTGCTGATTATTTCCTTTGCTGTGTAGAAGCTTTTTAGTTTAATTAGGTTCCATTTATTTATTTTTGTTTTTGTTGCATTTGCTTTTGGAGTCTTAGTCACGAATTCTTTGCCTAGGCCAACGTCTAGCAGAGTTTTTCCAATGTTATCTTCTAAAATTTTTATAGTTTTAGGTCTCAGATTTAAGTCTTTGATCCATCTTGAGTTGATTTTTCTATAAGGTGAGAGATGAGGATCCAGTTTCATTATTCTACATGTGGCTTGCCAGTTTTCCCAGCACTATTTATTGAATAGGGTGTCCTTTCCCCAGTTTATGTTTTTGTATGCTTTGTTGAAGATCAGTTGGCTGTATTTAGTTTTATGCCTGGGTTCTCTATCTGTTCCATTGGTCTAAGTGCCTATTTTTATACCAGTACTATGCTGTTTTGGTAACTATAACCTTGTAGTATAATTTGAAGTCCAGTAATGTGATGCTTCCAGATTGTTTTTGCTTAGCATTGCTTTAGCTATTTGGGCTCTTTTTTGGTTCCATATGAATTTTAGGATTGTTTTTTCTAGTTCTGTGAAAAATGATGATGATGTTTTGATGGGAATTACATTGAATCTGTAGATTGCTTTGGGTAGTATGGACATTTTCACAATACTGATTCTTCCCATCCATGAGCATAAGATGTGTTTCCATTTGTTTGTGTCATCTGTGATTTCTTTCAGCAATGTTCTGTAGTTTTCCTTGTAGAGATCTTTCACCTCCTTGGTTAAGTCTGTTCCTAGGTATTGTATTTTATTTATTTATTTATTTATTGCAGCTGTTGAAAAAGGGATTGATTTCTTGATTTGATTCTCAGCTTGGTCGTTGTTAGTGTATAGCAGTGCTACTAATTTGTGCACATTGATTCTGTAACCTGAGACTTTACTGAATTCATTTATCAGATCTAAGAGCCTTTTCGATGAGTCTTTAGGGTTTTCTAGGTATACGATCATATCACCAGAAAACAGGGATAGTTTGACTTTCTCTTTTCCAATTTGGACGCCCTTTGTTTCTCTTGCCTGATCTCTCTGCCTAGGACTTCCAGTATAAATTTTTCTTATTTTTAATTTGACAAAGCCTCATTCTGTACCAGAGAATGCATCTATATTCATAATATGTATTGGTCTGTAATTTTCTCTTTTTTGTGTTATCTTTGCCTGGTTTTGGTATCAGGCCTCAAAGAATGAGTTGGGAAGTGCCTAAGTTTCTTTTTGACTAAACTGTTGGTCAAACTTATATCTTGATATTTACAACACTCAGGAAAAGCCAAGGCCCTGCAAAGTTTATCTGGTATTCTCAAGTGGAACATACATCACCATCAACTGGGCACTGTTCAAAGCAAATTCCTGGTTCCTGAGCTCCGGAGACTCTGATTTGCAAAGTCTGCAGCAGGGCTGGGTACTCTCTATTTCCTTTTTTTTTTTTTTTTTTTTTTTGAGACGGAGCCTCACTCTGTCGTCCAGGCTAGAGTGCAATGGCACAATCTTGGCTCACCGCAATCTCCGCCTCCCAGGTTCAAGCGATTCTCCTGCCTCAGCCTCCTGAGTATCACCATGCCCAGCTAATTTTTGTATTTTTAATAGAGATGGGGTTTTGCTGTGTTGGCTGGGCTGGTCTCAAACTCCTGACCTCAGATGATCCACCCACCTCAGCCTCCCAAAGTGCTGGGATTATAGGCGTGAGCCACCATGACCGGCCAGTACTCTCTAACAAGCACCCTTAAGAGATTCTCAGATGAGCACCCTCTCATTTCCCTTTAAGAAACATTGATAGAGTTGCCCAAGCTGACCCAGCTAAGCAGCCAAAGAGGATGGGCTAGAAAAGTGATGTTTCTTCACCCAGGAGTCTGAGCTTTTAGCGTGTTCGTGTCCATAATGAATATCTAAGGCAGAAGTTAGAGTATGCATTATTTCCCAAAATTATTTGTCCACAAAAATCTCTTATCTTTTGGATAAGCACCTCATAGGATTGATGTTTCACAGCATATACTTTGGGAAGCACTGACCCAGAATTATGCAAATGTCTCTTTGGAATCTCATGGGGCTTTTTTTCTAAGCACTAACGCACTGTGGCTTGAAGCTGCTTTTGTATGTGTCACCATCAGTCAGATGTTTGCCGGGGCCTCCATTAGGATTAGCTGATTTAGGCGCTTGCCTCGAGAGCAAAATTTCAGGAGGTGCCAAAACTCCATAATCAAGAAAAATTATTATTTGGAGGCTGGGTCAACAAGACAGCGCATTGGCAGCCAGTGGAGTAAGGAAGGGATACAATGGTGTAGCGTAGGGGGTGCTTAATACTCACCGTGAGTGGAACCGAGAGCCGGGGTCTATCTCGGTGGGGCAGCAGGGCAGTCAGGCCAGGCATCTGGCCTGTCTCTCCTGTAGAAACTGCTCCAAAGGAGGGGCAGCCCTCTCTCACCTCTTGACTCCCATCCCAGGCACAATACATGGAACACAGGATTATTCAACTCCCTTAGAGACAGAGATGATGCCAAGTTGACTTACCTCCCAGCTCCTGCTCAAGTATCTAACCCACTGAGCACAAGGAGACTCAGTCAATGCCTGTGGGCAGACAAGGGGCTGGATCTCATCTGGAAAGCGTCCCTGGTCTTTGTGTGGGTGCCTTGCTTTGGATGTGCTCCCAAATCTGACTCGGGGGGAGGGAGGCTGGGTGCCAAAGAGTTTCTGGAAAAAGTCTGTCCTTTTCCGAATACCCTTCCTCTCTGTGTCCAACAGAACTTGACCTCAAATGTGCAAGTTCTAACATTCAAAAGAGTTGGGTTTGGGCCTGATTGGGCTAGTGCTAGATGTTTGTGATTTATGCAATCACTGGGGTCTGATTAAGCTCCACAGCTGGAAGGCCTTCAGCCATGACTTTGGGGAAAAAAAAAGAAAAGAAAAAAACACAAAACTCTGAAAGCCAAGAGTAGGAACAGCTTCCTGGGCCCACCCTTCAGGCTGGTTCCAGGACACTCCCTTACTCCACCACTACCCACTCATGTATCTCATTAAAAGGGCTTTATAGGTCTGTCTCTTCTTTGGAATTTCCATTTCTTCTTTATTCCAAGAACTATAAAAGCCTCATCAATTAATTGCTAACCACAGGAATCAGAACAGGGTTCCCTTTAACTAAGTGTGCAAAAGAGTTATTACAGAGGCTCCACGCTGATCTGCTCAAAAGAGGAAATGTTTTCTCTTAGACGACATCTAACTGAAGATAAGCCTCCAGCTGACTATAGAAGATTACTCTCTATGCAACAAAAAGCTGGTTCCCCACGGCCTCTACTTGTCAACACCTCATAAATTTACTTTGAGTTGCTTCATAAGCTCAAAAGTACAGTGATATCTTCTGGGAATTAAGCTTTGTAATAACTTGATTGTGTTAAACAAATAAACTTCAGAAGGCAGGGCAAGCTAGACCCCAGGGAAGCTACCCGGATGTGTGGCCTTGAGGGTTGCTGGAAGGCAGGTTCTTAGAGACTGTGTCCCTAGCTCTAGGATGCTGGCCCTCAAACAAATGTCATTTCACAGAGCAGGACCTGAGACCTAGGGTGAGAGAGGGGGTGATTGGTCCATATTCACACAGTGGCAAAGCTGGGGTTAGGATCTGGGTGTTGTTGCCAGATCCTCTCTCTTTCCCTACCGACCCCCAGGATCCAGCACCTCCACTCTGCTCCCCACCCTCCTAGGAGGGCAGGAAAGAATCTGACAAGACTGGGCGCAGTGGCTCACACCTATAATCCCAGCACTTTGAGGGGCCAAGATGGGAGGATCACTTGAGGCCAGGAGTTCAAGACCAGCCTTGTCAACATAGCGAGACCCCATCTCTATTAAAAAAAAATAGAAAAAAAAAGGAAAGACTCTTACAGCTGCCCAATGGAACATGTGTAGGAATGAGAGTCAGCCATTTTCTCTCCTCAATCAGTCTCTGCATTTTAAGTCATTTATCTTTATTGTGCTATGAAAGTCTTTGGGTTGTGTCAAATGGATTTCAGGCAGGGAGGGAGCAACTGGTGAGAAGTTAGGAGGCTGCTGAAGTCATACCTGGAGTAAAACAGAAGTTCTCACCCCAGACTGCACAGTAGAATCACTGGGGGTCATTTTTTTCCGTGTGTGTGTGTGTGTGTGTGTGTGTGAAGCACCTGTCTGCTGTTGAAAGGGGGGTCTTTTTTTTTTTTTTTTTTTTTGAGACGGAGTCTCGCTCTGTCGCCCAGGCTGGAGTGCAGTGGCATGATCTCGGCTGACTGCAAGCTCCGCCTCCTGGGTTCACGCCATTCTCCCGCCTCAGCCTCCCGAGTAGCTGGGACTACAGGCGCCCGCCACCACACCTGGCTAATTTTTTTGTATTTTTAGTAGAGATGGGATTTCACCGTGTTCGCCAGGATGGTCTCAATCTCCTGACCTCGTGATCCACCCACTTCAGCCTCCCAAAGTGCTGAGATTACAGGCATGAGCCACCACGCCCGGCCGAAAGGGGGGTCATTTTTAAAATCCCAAATGTGCAGACCACATCCCAGACCAATTACATATAAATCTCTGAGGGGGAGCCCCAGACTTCAGGCTGGAGGGCAGTGGCACTATCATAGTTCACTGCAGCCTTGACTTCCTGGGCTTAAGAGATCCTCCCATCTTAGCCTCCTGAGTAGCTAGGACTACAGGCACAAGCCACCACACCTGGCTAATTTGTTGTTGCTTTTTTTTTTTTTTTTGAGATGGGGTCTCACTATCTTGCCCAGTCTCAGGATTTCTTAAAGCTCCCTAGTGATTCCAACAAGCAGCCAAGTTCCAGAACCATGGAGTAAAACCATTCTAGATCAGGCACAGTGGCTCTTGCCTGTAATTCCAGCACTCTGGGAGGCCAAGGTGGGCAGATCAGGAGGTCAGGAGATCAAGACCAGCCTAGCCAACATGCTGAAACCCCCTTCTCTACTAAAAACACAAAAATTAGCCGGGTGTGGTGGCGTGTGCTTGTAGTCCTAGCTACTTGGGAGGCTGAGGCAGGAGAATCGCTTGAACCCGGGAGGCAGAGGTTGCAGTGAGCCAAGATCACTCCACTGCACTCCAGCCTGGGCAACAGAGTGAGACTCCGTCTCAAACAAACAAAAAAACAAACAAACAAAAAATTTCTAAACCAGATGAAGCCAAAAAGGGGTGGGACAGTTGCGGTTGTGGTGATGAATGCCCAACATTTATGTGGACAAAGCTGTGTGATCTTGGACAAATCACTTAATGTCTTGGGGTCTCTGTTTCCTCATCTGTAAAGTGAAGATGATTCTATAACCTTCCTCATAGGGTTATTATAGGGTTGAATGGGACAATGCTTGTAAGTCCTTGGCACAGTGCCTGGCACACAGAAAACACCCAGGAACTTTAGGTTTTGCCTATTATTTTAGAGTTTACAGTGATGTTTTCTATGCAGTATCTCGAAATTATACCTTACCTCCTCAATTATAGGGGTGCACATTTTTGCATTTTAACATCTTTAAAAGTGTAATGCATAGACAGTGTCTTATATTCAGCGACATGACCCTCACCTGCGCTAAGCACTGTTCTAAGGGTTTTATGTTAATTACCTCCTTTAACTCTCACAATATCCCTAGAGAAGAGGATGATTATATCCATCCCCATTTAAGAGACTGGTAAACTGAGGCCCAGAGTGAAGTGCCTTGTCTGTGTTCCCATAGTCAGTGGCAGAACAGGGATTAACCTTGGGTCGGGCTCTAGAGTCTGTGCTCCTGACCACTCTGCTATATAGCAGCTCATGGAAACTGAAAGGCAGGTGAGGTGAGCAGAGTCATCCAGCTGGGATTTGAATCCATGACACCAAAACCACCATGCTTGTTCCCTGTCCTGCTTCTGACTGGAGGCCGATTCCCAGCTGCAGCTGGGGGAGAAGTCCACATGTGGCTGTCAGTGTGTCTGCACAGAGGGGGAGCTGAGACCTAGGGTGAGAAAGAGGGTGATTTGTCCATATTCACACAGTGGCAAAGCTGGGGTTAGGATCTGGGTGTAGATGCCAGAGCCTGTCTCTCTTTCCCTACCCACCCCCAGGGCCTAGCCCCTCTGCTCTGCTCCCCACCCTCCTAGCAAGGCAGGAAAGAATCTGAGAAGGCTGGGCACAGTGGCTTACAACTATAATCCCAGCACTTTGAGAGACCAAGATGGGAGGATTGCTTGATTTACCTACCCTGCCTGGTCTGCCTGGCTGGTGCCCCCTTTCCTTCTCTCCCCTCTTCCTGTGCTAGCCGCGTCTCCTCTCTCGCCGACCTCCATAGGCAACCACTAGGGTATATTCTCTGGCCCATCTGACATGATATTAGCCAGTGTCAACGGCAGGGATGAATTCTTTCCTACCATCCCAAGGCACATCGGGCCCCCCGCCTCACACGTGTTCTGCTCACCATGCATCCGCCTGTACGATGGATCCTGGGCCCTCGCCCTCACCATCCCAGCACAAGAGGGAGTCTCATCATAGTGGCTCCTATCCCTTCAGTGTGTACTCTGCCCCACCCGGCATTCTGCTAATTGTTGCATGTGCACGCCTCAGTTTCCCCACAGCTGCCCCATGAGCCCGGTGGAATGATTACCCCCACTTTGAAGGTAACAAGCCTGAGGGACTCAGGCTGAGCAGCTTGCTGAGATGGAACATGAACCCAGGTCCGTGTGACTTCCACACCCGTCTTCCAGGAAATATTTGTGGAATCCATCATTTTATTACATTACAATATTAATCCATACAATAATGGGTTCAACAAATATTTCCTGGGTTCCTCTCGTGGGCTGGCTGAGCTGGGCATAGCATGGTGAGCAGAGCAGGGTGAGTCTCAGCCTTCAGGGAACTTAGAACCAACTGGGCCAATGGACTCGATTTGAAGACTCACACCCGGATGCGGTGCAGCTTCAGATGCAGAGGGCCGTGGAAGAGGCCAGCGGGAGGCTGGAGCCAGCAGGAACCGTGGAGCCTGTTTCAGCAGAGTGGCAGGAAGTGAGGAAGGGAGGCCTGGAGAAGGAGCCAGCCTACCTTCAGGAGTCAAGGGGGCAGGACTTTGCTGGTATGGGGAGGGCCTCGAGCAAGCGTCCAGCCACGCCCCCTCCTCCCCTACTGGGAGAGCCACAGGATGCCCCAAGAGCAAGAGAGCAGGCAGAGCCCTGACAGGATCCAAGTCGAGTCATTAAGAGACTCTCCGCCTGGGTGGATCCACTGTCAGTCTCAGCACCCACCAGCTCCCATCCTCCTCTGGCAAAGGAGAGGTCATCCCCCAGGTCCATGGCTGACGGGGCAGAGGACCGTATTTGTCATCCAGCTCCAGCTCAGATTCTTAGGAAATAACAAAGTAACAAGAGATCAGAGAGGTCTAACTCAGTCAGAGGCGCTGGCAGATTTTAATCAAAAACAGCACAGAAGTTAAAACCTTAACCCAAACCATCCCTGCCAGATAAATTCAGTCTCTCCTGGAAGTTCTTTATAAAGGGTTCTCCATGCACTGCACAGTACACAGTCATCAGTTTCTGTGCTTAAATAATACTCATGGGCTGTGAATCCTTCTTCACCCTAAGCCTAAATCTTCTTTACTGGAATCTAACATGAATACCAGCTTCTCACTATATTTCTATTTGTGAGATAATATATATTTGAAGATGGTAAATTGTTTTCCAATACAAACTTAAAAATTACACCAGTCGCAGTGACTCACATCTGTAATCCCAGCACTTTGGGAGGCTGAGGCAGGAGGATGGCTTGAGGCCAGGAGTTTGAGACCAGCCTGGGCAACATGGCAAAACCCCTTCTCTACTAAAAGTTTTAAAAATTAAAAAATCCGGGCATGGTGGCACACACCTGTAGTCCCATCTACTCAAGAGACTGAGGTGGGAGGATCGCTTGAGCCCAAGAGGTCAAGGCTGCAGTGAGCTATGATCGGGCCATTACACTCCAGCCTGGGAAACAGAATGAGACCCTGTCTCAAACAAACAAACAAACAAACAAACAACTTAAAAATTTTGTGGCTCACACCTACAATCCAGCACTTTGGGGGGCCAAGGCAGGTGGATCATTTGAGGTCAGGAGTTCCAGACCAGCCTGGCCAACATGGTAAAACCCTGTCTCTACTAAAAATACAAAAAAAATTACCTGGGCATGGTGGTGTGCGCCTGTAATCACAGCTAATGGGTAGACTGAGGCAGGAGAATCGCTTGAACCCAGGAGGCCGAGGTTACAGTGAGCTGAGATCACACTACTCCACTCCAGCCGGGGTGACAGAGTGAGACTCTTGTCTCAAAAAAAAAAAAAAAAAAGTAAAAATTAAAGATGACCCTAGAGCTTTGATGTAAAATGGCAGGGTTATCTTAAGCCACTTTGCTCCTTTGGTTCTGTTGGCACTGAGACAGCCAGTGAGGAGGAGCAGGGGCACAGGAAGGAGGGTGCAACTGCAGCACAGCCAAGGAGACAGGGACCAGGTCCCACCCCAGCCTTAAGCAGGGCAAAGACAGGAGCCCAGATGCCCAGGGACCCCTGTGAACCACCCGTCAGCACATCCCAGAAAGGTCCTGAGGACTCCAGAGTCACTCCAGTCCTTCTCACCTACCTTGTCACAAGAACCATCACACACACACACACATACATACTGACTGGCATGAACATTTTGGGGTGTCAGATGTAACAGTGCCAACTGAGGGTAGGCTTGACAGATCTAAATGCTTGTCCCAACTTTGCCCTTTCTAGCTGTGTGACCTTGGACAGGTACCTAACCTCTCTGATGGTTGGTATCCTCTCTGGGAGAATGGGGTGAAGACTCACACAAGACAACCCTCATGGGGTAGTTCTGAGGACCGATGGAGTCATGGAGCCAAAGTGGCTTGTGAACTGGACTAACACGACGTATTAGATTCATGGTTGCCTTAGGTCTGACCCTGAGCAGGAGTCCAAGAGGGACAGGCAGGAGAGGAGAAAGAAGTGAAAGGTGTGGCAGCCCTGGAAATGTCCCTAAGCCCCAAAGCTAGGCACCTTGCTGCTGTTGGGGTCTCTGCCAGGGTCTGAGGTGAACATACATGGTGAAAACAGTCGGGGGTTATCTGGGTCAGGTCCTGGACCTGACACTTTTCATGGGATCATCTCAAAAGAGCACGAGGGCTGGACATGGTGACTCATGTCTGTAATCCCAGCACTTCGGGAGGCCAAGCAGCAGGAGCCTCACTTGGGGTCAGGAGTTCAAGACCAGCCTGGCCAACATGGTGAAACCCCATCTCTACTAAAAATACAAAATTTAGCCGGGCATGGTGGCATGTCCCTGTAGTCTCAGCTACTCAGGAGCCTGAGGCAGGAGAATCGCTTAAACTTGGGAGGTGGAGGTTGCAGTGAGCCAAGATCATCCCATGCACTCCAGCCTGGAGCAACAGAGGGAGACTACGTCTCAAAACAAAACAAAACAAAACAAAAAAAAGCACCAGGAGGCAAGCATTTTGGTTTTCCCATTCTACAGAAGAGGAAACTGGGGCTTGGGGAGGTTCAGTTTTTAGGCTGGGCTGGCATTCCCCTGGGTGCTAATGGCTATGCTGTATGGCTGTGTAGGGGGTACATGGATTCTGCAGGACAGGAAAGCGTTAGAAGCTTCCCCCACGGGGCCAAATTCTCCATTAGACACAGGAGGCACACTGACGCTTTTGGGGCCCCGTGAAAATGTTGGTGGTGGTGGTTTTTTTTTGAGACAGGATCTCATTTTGTCACCCAGGCTGGAGTGGAGCAGTGCAATTGCAGCTCGGTGCACCCTCCAACACCCTGGGCTCCGGTGATCCTCCCACCTCAGGCTCCTGAGTCTGGGACTACAGGAGTGTGCCACCACACCTGGCTAAGTTTTGCATTTTCTTATAGAGATGGGGTTTTGCCATGTTGCCCAGGCTGGTCTTGAATTCCTGGGCTCAAGCAATCCACCCGCCTCGGCCTCCCAAAGTGCTGGAATTACAGGCCTGGCTGAAAATGTTTTAATTTTATTTTATAATCAGAAGAAATGTTGAACAAAATAATAATCAATAGATAATCATGAATCCAGCTTGGGTTATATTCATCTTTATACCAACACAGTTGTATAATATACTTTGTAATATTTTTCTGTGGAGGAAGGGACCCATGAACGCAAAAGGCAGATGTGGCCCTGGTGCCCCAGGGCTCTGTCTCGACATGGGAGAGAAAAGTCAGGAGCTCCTTCTCCCTCTCCCCACCTCACTGCTTCCTCCCAGCCCCTGGTCTGGCTCAGCAATGCCAGGCCAGACCAAGTCCGGCCGACTGAGCCAAAGCCAAAGCCCCAAGGGCAGCCCAGGTCACCCCGGCTTAGCCTGTGGAGCCCCCACCCCACACCCTGTCCCAGGTTCTTCTCCCAGAGCCCCCTGCCATCCCAGCATCCTTGCAGCCCAGAGCTGAGGAAGGGAGTGTTCCGATTCCTGGCAATGCCCAGCTTCCTGTTTTTCTCCAAGTGGATGAGGTCAGGCTGCTGGAAAGGGACATGGGGGCCATTTGTGGGCCAATAGATCCCAGCCGTGTGGATGGACTCAGTGGCTGGGGGAGGAGTGGGGGAGCTGCACTGGGCCCCTGGGCCCCCTACTATCCACCCAGAGGGCCCTCTCTTCCTGATACCCCCGCAGACTCCGGCAGATCCCCACACACCTCTGCAAGGTCTCCTTGTTCTCTCTGACCTCCTGAGCTTCAATTTGCTCATCTGTGACACAGTGAGGGGGCTTCTGCAAGTGCCTGCCTACCTGCTCCGGGGACCTAGGCCAGACTGAGAGTGGGGTGGGAAGGGCTCTGCCAGCCACCGAGCAGTGAGGCTGGTGACGGGAGCTGCAGGAATCACAACTGCGCCCGTTTACCGCACCCCCGCCCTGTGCCAGGCCCTCCCCCTGTGCAGTTTCAGCTTCACATGGCCTTATGAGGATCGACTTCTTATTTCTATTTTGTGACTTAGGAAAATGAGGCTAAATGCCTCACCTATGATCACAGGGATAGGAAATGACCGATATCAGGCCTGTGCCCACACCACAGCCACCTCCCTCCTCACACTGCTGCTGTGGACAGTGCTGTCTCAGAACCTGGTGAATATAGGTTTCCCTCTGGTGGGAGGATCATAGGATCCTGACCCGAGTACATGAGATGTTACTACATGGGGAAGATAAGACGCTTCACCAGACAGGGCCAAAAGACACCAGGGATTACATCTGTAATCCCAGCAACTGGGGAGGCTGAGGTGGGAGGATCACTTGAGGCCAGGAGTTCAAGGCTGCAGTGAGCTATGATCACACCACTACACTCCCGCCTGGGTGACAGAGCAAGACCGTGACTCTTTTTTATTTTATTTTATTTTATTTTTTTAAACGGAGTCTCACTCTGTCGCCCAGGCTGCTGGAGTGCAGTGGTACAATCTCGGCTCACTGCAACCTCTGCCTCCCAGGTTCAAGTGATTCTCCTGCCTCAGCCTCCCGAGTAGCTGGGACTACAGGCCTGCGCTACCACACCCGGCTAATTTTTTTATTTTAGTAGAGACGGGGTTTCACCATGTTGGCCAGGCTGGTTTCAAACTCCTGACCTCAAGTGATCTGCCTGCCTTGGCTTCTCAAAGTGCTGGGATTACAGGCGTGAGCCACCATGCCCAGCCATGACACTGACTCTTAAGAAAAAAAAAGAGCCAACTCACAGCCTTCAGCCTCCCCCCGCCCCCCCAACACACACACACACACACACATACACACACACACACACACACACAACCCACCGTCCATTCAACACGATTCATTGCACACCTTGGGATGTCTTTTGAGAATTCTGCACCCTTCTGGGGTGGCGGAGTCAAACTATTCAAGTTCAAATTCTAGCTCTGCCAGTTACCAGCTCCAAGGCTTTGGGCAAGTTTCATAGCCCACTTTGCCTCAGCCTCCACCGTAGAGTGGGGATAATAACAGCTCTGACCTCCTAGGAATTAAGGCATGCATTAATCAATCATGTCAGATGTCATCATCAGCATCCTCTCCTCCTCCTCCCTCTCAACCCCTCTTGCCTGACTTGGCCTCTCTCTTTTCTTCCACTTGCCTCTGCCCTCTTCTCTCTCCTGTGAACTCCTCCCTCATCCCTTCCAGGCCCTTTCCTGAGATGGAGAGCGGCCACCCAGAAAAAGGAGACTCAGGCCAGGAGTACACGAGGCCATGGCCAAGGGAGGATCCATGTGGAGGAGGCACCCACGAGACAGGGCAGGGCCCCACCCTGCAAAGGGCCCAAGTAAACCGCTCAGCCTCCTTTCCCGCTGAGCCCTCTGGGGTCTGAAAGCAGGGCCTAAGGGTCATTCTCATGCTCACTCTAAGCCCAAGGACTCAGACCCAGCAGACAGAGATCCAAAAGGGAGAACAATAGGCAGCTGAGCCACACAGAAGCTGGCTTTTCATCTGGATGACCTTGAGCATGAACAAGAAATGATGGGGAATGGAGCCTCCCCTGTGCAGCAGAAAGCAAGCCTAGGTCAGCCTGCCCTTCAGCTCAGTGACTTTTGGGATATAGGAAAATAACACAAGAGTTCAATGCCTGATACGTGAGTAGGCGCTCAAGAAATACTTGTTGAATGAATAAATGACTCCACATGGGGGTAAGGTGTTGGAGATGGGAGCAGACAAGGAGTGCTAACAGCCACATTGGCCACACTGAATGTGGACCAAGATGGTAGCTCCCAGGGTAATACCTGCAGCTAACCCTGGCAGAGCACTGCTCTAAATACCTTACCCATGGTGACTGATTACTTCACCTAAAACCCCTTATGATGGTTCTATTATCATCACCCCTGTTTTACAGACAAGGAAACTGAGGCATAGAGACATCAAGAAGCTGGTCCAAGGTTACAGAAACCCAGGCGTTCTGGCCCAGAAGCCATGCTGTTAACCCCTGTGCTCCCCTGCTCTCAATTTTGTTCTGAAGAGGGAATATCCTGAGCTTTCAGCTCATGTGCTTATCTCTCGGTTCAGATACCATGCTTTTGGCTTTCCTGGAGTTTTCTCAGTGTACGTGCTCTACCTGGGCCTCTGTCCGTGGTCTGTTTCTGCTGTTGTTTTACTGCTGTCATCTGCCTTCTCAGCAGATCCATGCTGTTGGCTACCTGGGCTCAAAATCAAAACAATGTCAGCAGTTAGGGGAGAGATGGTGGTGGTTTGCACCAAGACGGAGGTGTTGAAGACAGAGAAAGGGAATGGTTGGGCTCTGTTTTGGAAGTAATAGGGAAAGGACTGCCTGATAGTTTGGATCCATGGGGTGAGAATAATAATGACACCCACCTCACCACAAATTAAAGAATAGAATGCATGGAAAATGAGTGATAGAATGATACGAAGTAGGTGATGTAGCATGTGACAGCCATGACTGGTTCTATAAAGCAAAGAAGCCAGGCATGGTGGTGCACACCTATAATCCCAGCACTTTGGGAAGCTGAGGCAGGAAGATCACTTGAGCCCAGGAGTTTGAGACCAGCCTGGGCAACATAGTGAGACCCCGCCTCTACAAAAAAATCAAAAAACTAGCTGGGCATGGTGATACACACCTGTAGTCCCAGCTACTCGGGAGGCTGAGGTGGGAGGATCCCTTGAACTCAGGAGTTTGAGGCTGCAGCGAGCCATGATGGCACCACTGCACTCCAGCCTGGGCAACAGAGCGAGAACCTGTCTAAAAAAAAAAAAAAAAAGGAAAGGAAACAGGTGAGAGAAAGGAGAGATAGCCATGAAGAGAATGCAGGTTGAGCAAGCCCCGGGCTTGTTCCTATTGCTGGGAGCTTTCTGCCACACCACATTTGTGCAGGATCCCAGCTGAAACTCCCAGCCAGGTGCTCTTGCTGTGGGTACTTGGGCCAGCCCTGCAAACGCCTATTATCTGGACATAATTATCAACAGTGCTTCTGTGGCAGATGCTGGGAAGTGCCACCCAAATCCTTGGCTATTGGCAATGGGAAGATGCCTTCAGCTGTCAGCCTTCTTTGAAGACTGTCTCAACTGAGAACAGCCTCGCCCAAGGTCATACCTCCTTCCAGAGGTAGCCAGTATCCAGTGACTTATCAACATAATGGTATGAAGGCCAGGCCTCCTCACTCCAACTGGAGATGAAGCTGAAGGGCCATCTCAGCCGAAGGTGCCCTGTGGGATTGGCTGAGGCCTTCGTTGAGACTCCATCACATCCCAACATCTCCCTCTGCTCAATCTTGCTTTGGTCCCTTCCTTTTCACAGGTGTTGATCCTCACGGCCTCCTAATCAACTTTCTGCACACTAATCTCCATTTCAGAATCTGCTTCCTGGGGAACTCAACCGGCAACCATCACTTTTACTCCCAAAAGGTGTCCCAGTTAGGATAACAAGTTATACCATCACCCTAGCTCTATGAGACCTACCAAGTCACAGTGTTTGTTACTACTCACTGTAATTACTTATTTAATGACACTAGACTAGGAGCTGGAGGAGGCAGGAAATGTGTAGGTTTCATTCCCAATCATGCAGAACCCAGGGCCTGTCACAGCAGGTGCTCAATAAACATTTGTTGAATGGATGAATAAACCACCTTATCTAAGCATTTAGAGACCAGGGCAGCTCCAGGGAGAGGAGGAGGAGGAGGAAGCTATAAGCAGTGAAAACAAAGCAAGCAGCTGCCAGACAGGTGCGTCCACACCTCCATCCCAATCAACTGCCCTTGCTTGTAGCTCCCCCTTGGTGGGCCTGGCATATGGGGAGGGCTCAGTCAGGCTCCTTCACTCATTCATGTAATATCTATTGAGCCCTTTCCATGTGCCAAGCCCAGTGCAGGAGGCTGGTGTCCAGAGGTGAATCCAACCCAGGCCTCCATCCTCCAGAACCTCACAGTTTAGAAGGGGAGGCACGTGTGCGAACAACAATTATGACATAGTATGAGAAGTCAACAGTATGCCAAGGCTACCCTTGATTTTTATTTTAGCAAGATTTCACCTGCACTGACAGTGGGTGGAGGGAGGAAATGGGATCCCTGGATTTGTCTGCAACCTCAGGAGTGGTTCCAACCCCAAGTCGGTAAGAATCCCACCCCTGCTGGTGTTCCCTGGCTCCCGCCTCCTGCTCCTGATTCCTTCTTCTCCTCCCTTCTACTGAAATTCATCAGTCCTGCAGCCCAGGCCAGGCTCACAGTGCTTTCCAAGGTGGCAACCACCTAATCATATTAATAAAAATGGCTGTGGGGCCAGTTGTTCCCTCCTATGTAAAGTTCATGTTTTAGAGATGGCTTTCCAGAGATCATGGCCTTGGTTTTGTTGCCTACTCCAGACCAAGTGGGCAGACAGCTTGATGCTGGGTGGGAAGAGAACCTGACTTGTAGACTTGCCCAACCTCTGCTCAGCAGGCAGGCAGCAAGTCACCCAAGTGGGTGAGATTCCCAGGAATCTCAGCTCAGTTCCTGGAGGAAATCTGGAGCCAGTTTGGGGAGCTGGCAGTGCCCAGGAGAGCTGGCAGGCCCAGCCACCTCTCTACCCACCCTCCTCACCTCCCATTCTCATCTCCTGTTAGTCAGAAGGGGCCTTGGCTGCCACAGGAAGCTCACCCACAAAGCAGAATTCCAGGAACTCCAGGCTGAGCAGACTCCTGGCTGCTTTCTCAGTTCCTTTTTGCTTCTTAAAGGTCTCTGGTGCCAGAGCTCAGCCCCCTGACCTTCCAGGCAGAACCCTGGCTGGTTGTCTCTGCACTGCTCCCTCCCTCCCCCACAATTACACTTCTCCCTTCTTGGGGCTTCTGAGACTCCTAGAAGGTCACCGCTGGAAAGGACCGTATAGATAGCAAAAGAGGAAGCTGCGAGGCCCTAAGGAGAGCCTCTATCTAACCGCTCCCACCTGCCAGAGTCCCCAGCCTCCACAAGTGTAGTCATTAATTGGGCCCCAAGTGGTGTGGGCCACTCTTTTGTCCCTGGACCCTTTCTGTAGGTGATGACATAAAAAGATTTAACTGCCTTACAAAAGGGTAGTGGGGGTGGATGCCAGTAACTCATCACATAGCCCAGGATATGAAGGGAAAAAGCAGAGCCCGCCATCTGCAAATTATATGCCAATTATACAATGGGGTAGTATGCAGTCTTTGCAAGGAATAAGGCAGCTCTATATGTACTACGTGGACCTCTAGTGCACAGAGGATACAGAAGTTTCTAGAAGAATGAAGGTATACCTGGAGGGGCTGCTAACTCAAGCGTCTGAGTGCCAAGTAATGGGAACATTGAGTGGAGGAGACTCCAGGCAAGAATTTGTCCCGTAATTAGGATGACGCAGCAGGCTTGGGCAAGTGTATGTAAGTGCCATTTGGGAGCAGGATCACTTTATCCCCTTTCCACTCCCCCACTGCCACTCCTCTCCCTCGAGCCACAGAGAAGAGCCCTAGGTAGGATGGACTGTGTCCTGCCTTCTTGCAAAATGTCTATCCATTTATTTCTTCACTTATTTCTTCAGCAAAGACGTTTGAAGACCTGCTGCAGACACTGATGGCACAAATGTAATCAAGATAGATGTGGTGTCTGTCCTCATGGGGTGCACACAGTCTGATGGAGACAATTAATGCCATGTAGTGTGGGATAAAGTGTCAGGTGAGCAGAGAAAAAAAGAAGGTTCTAAGGGAGCACAGATGATGCCCCATCAGTGAGAGCTGGGTACAAGGGAGAAAGTCGAGTCCTGCCTAACCTAGGGGATGACAATGGGTTGGTCAAATGACAGTACCTCAGGCTCAGAGAGGTTAATTATCACCAAGATCACATATCTAATAAGTGATAGTCACCAACTCAACTGCCCATCTGTATAGACTGACTGGGTTGGAATCTTGACTTTGCCATTTTCTTTTCTTTTTATTTTTTTTTGAGACAGAGTCACCCAGGCTGGAGTGCAATGGTGTCATCTTGGTTCACTGCAACCTTCCCCTCCCAGGTTCAAGAGATTCTCCCACCTCAGCCTCCCAAGTAGCTGTGATTACAGGCACGCACCACCGAGCCTGGCTAATTTTTGTATTATTAGTAGAGACAGGGTTTCACCATGTTGCCCAGGCTGGTATTGAACTCCTGGCCTCAAGTGATCCACCCATCTCAGCCTTCCAAAGTGCTGGGATTACAGGCGTGAACCACCATGCCCAGCCACCATTTTCTTTTTTGATTTATTTTATTTTAAATTTTTTGCAGAGACGAGGTCTCACTCTATTGCCCAGGCTGGTCTTGAACTCCTGGGCTCAAGCAATCCTCTCGCCTTGGCCTCCCAAAGTGTTGGGATAACAGGTGCGAGGCACCATGTCTGGCTGACTTTGCCAATTTCTAGCTTAGTGCCCTTGGGTAAGTACTCTGTACCTCAATTTCCTCATTTGCAAAATGGGGATATAAGAAAACCTGCCTCACTGGGCTCCTTGGAAAAAGTAAATGCATTAGTACAGCTATTCTCAAAGTATGGTCCTGGGACCCCCTGGAAGTCCCCAGGACTCTTTCAGGGGGTCCATGAGGTCAAAACTATTTCCATAGTAATGCTAAGACATTATTTACCTTTAGTGCTCTTTTGTGGAGTTTTCCAAAGACCACGTGATATAGGACATCACAACTGATTGAATGGAGATCTATGAATGCCGCTGTCTTCCATTAAGCTAGATTAAAGGGATTTGCAAAATATAAAACAATGCCACTGTCTTCAGTAATTATTTTTTATTTTTCTAAATAGTTATTTTCAAAAAGAATGTTTATATTCATATGTAATGGGTTATTAGTATTTTTAGTGAAGGCATTTTTTTAAATTTATGAGTTTTAATTTCCAGTACTGTAAATATCAATAAAAATTCCAGCGGTGCACAGTCTGCTTGCACTGGCTTGGGAAAGTTGACTGTACATATCTCTTCCCATTTCACATTCAGTGATGTTAGGTTGGTATCTTGAAATCGGCCACGGTGGGCCAGGCACGGTGGCTCACGCCTGTAATCCCAGCACTTTGGGAGGCCGAGGCGGGTGGATCACCTGAGGTCTGGGGTTCAAGATGCCTGTAGTTCCAGCTACTCAGAAGCCTGAGGCAGGAGAATCTCTTGAACCCGGGAGGCAGAGGTTGCAGTGAGCCAAGATTGCACCACTGCACTCCAGCCTGGGCAACAGAACAAGATTCCGTCTCAAAAAAAAAAAAAAACAAAAACAAAAAAGAAAGAAAGAAAAAGAAATTGGCCATGGTGGAAGTATTTACACTATGGAAATTGGTAAGTGCTACAAATTAGGACTTTTCAGCAGAGAACCAATTGTTAAACATGTACCATCACACCATCGGATATCATCTATAAAAACAAAAGCTCTTTGGAGTCCTCAAAAAAATTTATGAACAAGCCAAAAAGCTTGAGAACCGCTGAGCTGGTACTTATAAAAATGTTTAAGTCAGGCCGGGCAAGGTGGCTCATGCCTGTAATCCCAGCCCTTTGGGAGGCTGAGGCGGGCAGATCATGAGGTCAGGAGTTCAAGACCAGCCTGGCCAACATGGTGAAACCCCACCTCTACTAAAAATACAAAAAATTAGCTGGGCATTGTGGCAGGTGCCTGTAATCCCAGCTACTCGGAAGCCTGAGGCAGGAGAATCGCTTGAACCCAAGAGGCGGAGGTTGCAGTGAGCCAAGACTGTGCCACAGCACTCCAGGCTGGGCAACGGAGCGAGATTCCATCTCAAAAAAAAAAAAAAAAGTTTAAGTCAGGGCCTGGTACATGGTAGGTCCTCAGTCATTAATTGAGAGCTCCACTAGATTTCAAAACTCAAGGACTTGCCCTCTAATGGATGGCCTTACTTTTTGTTGTCTCTTATTTCTCAGGCTCCCAGGTGCTCCTTCAGTTGCCTTGGAGCCCTGCGTGCTCCCACCTACTCCCTCTCCATTCAGCTGCGGTCCCTCTTACTGCCCACCTCAAATGTACTCTGCCCAGGGCCCAGAGGTATCACCCACTCTCCGACCTGTGCCGCAGAGAAAGCCAACAACCACAGCTAGAGACTTACTACCACCTACTTGACCTAAAGAACACATTTGTGAAATGCCCCTTGTTTACCTTTCCAACCACCAAGCTAATTGTTTGTGTCTTTAGCTAACAAGTTGTGGGTGATTACAGCCCCACTTGTGGTTATGGGCACTGTTCAGAAGCTTCTGGCTTTGAGATCTCCTCGAAGGCTTACTTGGTCTTGGTTGTTTCATCATATTATATTTTTAGAGAATTACAGGGCAAGCCTCAGCCAGATTACGAAAATCTGACTAAGGGTGTTGCATCAAGGTCCCCAGCAGGAGCATCTCCAACCCCCTCCAGAGCCAGCAATGACAAAGAGAGCGGGGCCTTTGGGGGATTCAAAGTGAAAGAGATCTTCTAAGAGAATGCAAATTGGTGACAGTTCATGAAAGCAAAACAAAGCGCCCGGCGCGGTGGCTCACGCCTGTAATCCCAACACTTTGGGAGCCCAAGGCGGACGGATCACAAGGTTAGGAGTTCGAGACTAGCCTGGTCAACATGGCGAAACCCCATCTCTACTAAAAATACAAAAATTAGCAAGGCTTGGTGGCATGCACCTGTAATCCCAGCTACTCGGGAGTCTCAGGCAGGAGAATCACTTGAACCTGGGAGACAGAGGTTGTGGTGAGCCGAGATCACGCCACTGCACTCCAGCCTGGTGGCAGAGCGAGACTCCATCTCAAAAAAAAAAAAAAAAAACCCACAAAGCAAAATTTTCATGACCAGGAACTCCAGGAAATCTAAGTATAAGAATCACCAAATAAGTAGTAAACAATAATAAATGATAAGCAAATCAGCTGCCTAGGAAGAATTATGGAGGTGAGAATGTTTCAACATGAAAGATGAGTGAAGATACAAAAATAAACATAAAATACAATATAATAAGCCTAGCCTTTTCTCCTTGCTTTGTTTAATTTGATGATTTCCTAACCTCACTCATTTGACTATCACCTTTGTGGGTTTTTTCCACATCTGAATTCCACCTATGTTATTAATTTACTTAACATTCTTCTCTATATTGACTCATTTTTTTTTTACTTAAATTATTTTGAGGCTGGGCACGGTGGTTCATGCCTGTAATCCCAGCACTTTGGGAGGCTGAGGTGGGAGGATTGCTTGAATCCAGTTGTTGGAGACCAGCCTGGGCAACATAGTGAGACCCTGTCTCTACAAAAAATAAACAAAATTAGCCAGGCATGGTGGTGCATGCCTGTAGTCCCAGCTACTTGGGAGGCTGAGATGGGAGGATTGTTTGAGCCCAGGAAGTTGAGGCTGCAGTGAGGCATGATGGTGCCACTGCACTCCAGCTTGGGTGACAGAGAGAGACCTTGCCTCAAAAAAATAAAATAAAATAAAAAATAAGTTTAAAAAATTATTTTGAAAGGAACCTGCGTATTTTAAAGGGAACCTTCATATTTTGACTATAGATGGAAAATCAATAACATTTGCTATATAGAAATAAATCCAGTAACAACCAAACATTGTTATTCAACTCTAGCTAGGCTCTGTGGTCTGTCATACACTCTAAACCTAAGGCCAGCACTTTCTGTCTTAAAGAAATTTACAAGTGTCAGAGAGAGATACATTAAAGACATATCGGCACTCAGCGAGGTGCGGTGGCTCATGCCTGTAATCCCAGTACTTTGGGAGGCCGAGGCCGGTGGATCACTTGAGGTCAGGAGTTCGAGACCAGCCTGTCCAAAATGGTGAAACCCCATCTCTACCAAAAATACAAAAATTAGCTGGGCTTGGTGGCACACACACCTGTAATCCCAGCTACTCGGGAGGCAGAGGCAGGAAAATCACTTGAACCCGGGAAGGTGGAGGTTGTAGTGAGCCGAGATTGCACCACTGCACTCCAGCCTGGACAACAGAGCGAGACTCAGTCTCAAAAAAAAAAAAAAAAAAAAAAAAAAAAGACACATTGGCACCAAAGTGAGACTTTCTACTTGACTTAATTAGAAGAATTGAAAGTGTGACCCACTTCTAGTAGTTAATCCTATGGCTATTCTCCACTACAGAATGGCAGCTCCATGATGCAGGGACTCCATCTATTGTGTTCACTGCTCTGCCTCTGGTGCCTAGACCTGACCTGGTGCATAGTAGGTGTTCGGAAAATATTTGTGGAACGCATGGATTAACTAATATGCAAAATGAAATACATATAAGGATATTTATTGCAACAATTCTTATAATGGTTGGAAATGGTTGGAAACAAGTCTATCAACAGTGAACTGGGTAAATTATATACCAGTCATACAGTTGAATAGCATGAGTCTTTATAAAAGAAGGAGGCAGTTCTATATGTATGATGTGGAACCCACTGATAAGTGAGATAGGCAAGGTACAGGGCAGTTGTGGATAGTATGCTTCCATTAACTTTTTAGAAAGAGGCTATAGGAATGTATCGTTTGCACATGCTGAAGTACATCTGGAAAAATACACAAGGAACTGGTAAGAATGATTGCTTCGTCTACTGCCATACCACCCTGAACACGCCCGATCTCATCTGATCTTGGAAGCTAAGCAGGGTCAGGCCTGGTTGGTACCTGGATGGGAGAATGGTTGCTTCAAAAGAGCCTGGGGGCCAAGCACAGTGGCTCATGCCTGTAATCCCAGCACTCTGGGAGGCCGAGATGGGCGGATCACCAGAAGTCAGGAGTTCAAGACCAGCATGGCCAACACGGTGAAACCCCATCTCTACTAAAAATACAAAAATTAGCTGGGCCTGGTGGTGGATGCCTGTAATCTCAGCTACTTGGGAGGCTGAGGCAGGAGAAGCACTTGAACCCGGGAGGCAGAGGTTGCAGTGAGCCAAGACTGAGCCACTGCACTCCAGCCTGGGCAACAGAGCAAGACTCCATCTCAAAAAAAAAAAAAAAAGAAAAGAAAAGAAAAGAAAAAGAAAAAAAGAGCCTGGGGCCAGAGGTGGGAGAAGCATGCTCTTTTGGAATTTGTACAAACCGCATGCATCAATTATTCAAGAAATAGACAAATCTAAAAAAGAATTAGAGAATAACTAGCTCAGCATGAGATCCAATGTTTCTTAGAGCTGTGGGCCACCACACATCATCTAGTGCACCCCTCGGGAACCACATGCCTCCCTTTGGGGAACTGTGATTTATAGTAAAGCTCTGTCCAGATGGCACGGATTGCGTGAAAGCATTCTTGTCTCTACAGACAGACATCTGCTCTAATCTCTGCATCTTAACACCTGGGTTTTCCCTCTACCTAATTTGAGCATCCTTTATCTGAATCGGGTGAAATATATCTTGGTCCTGATCAAGACTTCTTGTGATTAGCACAAGGAGTCACGTAATCCTTGACTGACATTTCCGGCATCCTCTCTAGCCCATGAAGTCACTCATCTCCTTCCACAGCTTTCCCAGGTGAGATTCCCTTTCTCAGAAAACAGGAGTAGCTCTCTCTACTCATGTAGGCTACAGACCTTCTTTACTGTTTCCATGTGTTACACAATCCCTAATGAGCATAAGCTTATTACATTTTTTTTTTTGAGATGGAGTCTCACTCTGTCGCCCAGGCTGGAGTGTAGTAGCTTGTGATCTCGGCTCACTGCAACCTCCATCTCCCGGGTTCAAGCGATTCTCCTGCCTCAGCCTCCCGAGTAGCTAGGATTACAGGCATGCGCCACCATACCCAGCTAATTTTTGTATTTTTAGTAGAGACGGTGTTTCAACATGTTGGCCAGGATGGTCTCGATCTCTTGACCTCGTGATCCGCCCGCCTCGGCCTCCCAAAGTGCTGGGATTACAGGTGTGAGCCACTGCACCTGGCCAGCTTATTACATTTAAGGCTTTTGCCGCAGTGTAATTTCATCCTGGGGCTACTTTTCGCTGTTGGGAATTCTCAAGCTGGCTAAATTTTACAACTCTTAACTGTACCAGTCAGTATTGCATGTCACAGAAACCCAGCTGCAGTGGCTTCATCACATGCCAGAAGCTGAAGGTCAGCAGTCCCCAGGAGGTGGGCAGTCCCTGGCTGCATGACGGTTCCATGAGTCTATTGGGGACTCAGAGCCTAGCTTTCTGCTCTGCCATCGTAGAATTCTTATGCTCAAACACTGGCTGCTACACCTCCAAGCACTGGGTGTGCATTCCAAACTAAAGAAAGGGGATAAGGCCAAGGGCAACAGACAAAAGGGCTTGTGCCAGCTAGGTCTGTCCCCCAGCTTTCCCAGAAGCTCCATCCAGAGACTTCCATGTACATCTCACTGGCCAGAATTACATCAAATAACCACCCTAGCTGTAAGAGAGTCGGGGAAGCATTTCACACTGGGCAGGTCACCACTATGAATAAAATCCGGGTTCCAATCAAAAAAGGAGAGATTGGATATCCCCCTCTGAGCAAAAGATATTATGTTATTTTATTGTTTTATTTTATTTTTTTTGAGATGGAGTCTTTCTCTGTCGCCCGGGCTGGAGTGCAATGGCACGATCTTGGCTCACTGCAACCTCCGCCTCCCGGGTTCAAGCGATTCTCCTGCCTCAGCCTCCCAAGCAGCTGGGATTACAGGTGCATGCCACCACGCCCAGCTAATTTTGTATTTTTAGTAGAGACGGGGTTTCACCATGTTGGCCAGGCTGGTCTCCAACTCTGGACCTCAAGTGATCCACCTGCCTCGGCCGCCCAAAGTGCTGGGATTACAGGCATAAGCCACTGCACCCAGCTAAGATATTATTTTAAACCAATTCTATTAGCTGTTAGTATGCATGGCTAATCCACCCTAGGAGAATGCATACTTCTGGAGGGCAGTAATGCCTTTTTTCATGTTTATATCTTTCACGCTTCTACTGAAGGGTTGAAACTGAACATGAGACATATTTGGAGGCAACAGTGGGGGAGTAAGGTTAGATACTAAGATGGAACAGGCTTCTGAAGTGGTCAACAAGGAGCCACAGAAGGTTCTATTTGTATTTTTTATTTTTTGAGACAGAGTCTTGCTCTGTCACCCAGGCTGGAGTGCAGTGGCACGATCTTGGCTCACTGCAACCTCTGCCTCCCAGGTTCAAGCAATTCTCCCGCCTCAGCCTCCCAGGTAGCTAGGATTACAGGCGCCCACCACCACGCCTGGCTAATTTTTGTATTTTTAGCAGAGATGGGGTTTCACCATGTTGGCCAGACTGGTCTCGAACTCCTGACCTCAAGTGATCTGCCCGCCTCAGCCTCCCAAAGTGCTGGGATTACAGGGGTGAACCACTGTGCCCAGCCCACAGGAGGTTCTTGATCTGAAGAATGGTTTTGGAGCCACTTCAGGTCAACATACATTTACCAAATACCAACTCACCATTTGGTGATTACAAGCTGCCATCAAGGTGCATACTGTCTGTTAAGAGAGATAAAGTAGGCAGATACATAGCTGGGCTAAGTGGTGCTTGGAGAGGAGGCGTTTCATCAGGAACTTGATGGATGGGTATGATTTGACAGGCAGAGGCAGAGGGGTGCATTTCAGTCCACAGGGCAGCCTTGGGTCAGGATGTACAGACAGGTGGTTTGGGTCAATGGTAAGTAGTACAGAGGGTGCCCACAGGGAAGCTGTGAAAAGTAAGACCAAAAGAGGTGAGTTGGGGCTAGACTGTGAGGCCCTTGTGAGCCAGATAACAAGCTTGTACTTCATCAGTAGGCAATGGGGAGCCATTGAAAGTTTTGGGCAAGGGAGTGACAGACAGTGTAGGAGGGATTGGAATATAAATGACAGGAAGCAAGAGGAAAGGCTGACATACTACAAGGGCATCATCAGAAAGGGGAGACAAAGGGAAGCCACAGACAGAGGTATAATGGAGAGAGCATCAACATGGCTTGGCATGAGACAGCAAGAAGAGGCGGGTGATGGAGACTCCCGGGGTTGGCGGTGAGGTCATTAACAGAGAGGGGTGGCCAAGGAACAGGTTTGGGGAACAGTGCAAAGCTGGAGATGCCAGATGGCTAGAAGGTGGAAATACTCTATGGGCCCCTGGAAACTCTGGTTTGGAGCCCAGGATCACGGTCAGAACTGAAGGTGTTAATCTGGCAGTCAACAGCAAAGAGAGGACAATTGAGAGAGCCAGGGCAGCCCAGATACACTATGTCCAAAGCTGGCGCTCCTCTTCTTCTTCCAGAATCCTCTCTTCTCCTGCGGCTCCCAACCTCTGCAGCCTCAACCTCCACCTCCCAGGTCAAGCGATTCTCCTGCCTCAGCCTCCTGAGTAGCTGGGATTACACACGTCAGCCACCACGCCTGGCTAATTTTTGTATTTTTAGTAGAGACGGGGTTTCTCCATGTTGGCCAGGCTGATCCCAAACTCCTGACCTCAAGTGATCTGCCCGCCTTGGCCTCCCAAAGTGTTGGGATTACAGGCATGAGCCACTGCACCTGGCCTCCCTCTCCAATTCTTAACAATTGAGACCCTCCAAGTTTCAGGCCTAAGCCCCTCATTTCTCTACACTCTCTCCCTTGGAGTCCTCATCCACTACTGGCTGTATTGAATCATTCAACAAACAGTAGTTGAGCACCTATTTGGTGCCAGGCACTTGACTAGGCCCTGGTGCCGGAGAGAGATGAATGAGTCATGAGGCCTGGCCTCAACAGGGGAGATGGACATGGTAACGATAGATGTGGAGGGTAGAAGGAATCCCTGCGCTGGTCCCGGGCTGTGTGCTCCCCCATCCAGCCCTCACCTGCTCTGCTCTGCATTGCAAGTGACTGACCCCTCTAGGCTCCCAGGCCAGTAAGAGGCTCTGGCAGGAAACCCAAAGGTAGAAGGGAAGGAGAATGCAGGGATTTCTCCCCATCCCTCTCAGTCTTAGTGGTATCTGTGGAAGTGGTTGTGTCTTCTCTATGGTTTCAACTTCTTCCAAGTGACCCCAGTCCCAGCCTTTGATTACACTGCCCCAGTCCAGTCCCTCCAACCCAGGGGTCGCAGCTGGATTCCTGGTTACTTCCCCCATTGTCTGAAGAACTTCTCCATCCTTTCATCCCCTATGTAACCAATTTCCTGCATTCAATTCTATGTTTATTCTGTTTAAAAACTCAGAGGCCAGGCGAGGTGGCTCACACCTATAATCCCAGCACTTCGGGAGGCCGAGGCGGGTGGATCACCTGAGGTCAAGAGTTCAAGACCAGCCTGGCCAACATGGTGAAACCCCGTCTCTACTAAAAATACAAAAGAATTAGCCGAGTGTGGTGGCAGGCGCCTGTAATCCCAGCTACTCAGGAGGCTGAGACAGGAGAATTGCTTGAACCCGGGAGGTGGAGGTTGCAGTGAGTCAAGATCATGCCACTGCACTCCAGCGTGGGTGACAGAGTGAGACTTCATCTCAAAAATAAATAAATAAATAAAATAAAAATAAAAATTCAGAATGAGGCTGGGCTTAGAGGCTCATGCCTGTAATCCCAGTGCTTTGGGAGGCCAAGGCGGGAGAATCGTTTGAGGCCAGGAGATCAAGATCAGCCTGGGCAACACAGGGAGACCCCTACCTCTATCAAAATTAAAAAAAAAAAAACCCTCAAAATGGGTCCTGTTTTCCTGGCTGGATCCTACCTGACATGATACAGTCTCCCCATCTTCTTGCCACACTTGCAGTGGCTTAAGTCCTCATCTGTTGCTACCTGTTCAAGGAAGCTCCCTAAGGGCAGGGACTGGTCTGGAGGTTCCATGCTTCCTACCCAGAGCCTGACACAGAGGAGCTCAGTGCATCACATTTGTGGCTGGCTGCAGATAAGAAACTGAGACAAGGTCATCTACTAGGAGGCAGTTCATGGAGAGAAGGGCTGGTGAGCAGAAACCAGGCTGTAAGGAGCCCACTTGGGTGGGAGATGAAGCAGACTTTCAAGAAGTTTGGGAGTGAAGGGGGAAAGAAGGCTGGGCTAACAGTGCAGGGGAAAGCCAGAACTAGCAAGGTTTTGTTTGTTTGTTGTTTTTAGGGTGTCCTCGGCTTGACCTCATTTGTAGGTTGAAAGGAAGAAGCGAAAGGAGGGAGATATCGAAGGGCAGGAGATGCTGGGACATTGGGAGTGGAATGACAGGACCTATGCGATCTCTTAGGAAGATTCAATTCACCAGAAGGCTTGAGGATAGTGTGGAGAGGAGACTAGAGGTAAGCAGGTGAGTCTGGAGGGGAAAATCTCCAAATCAGGAAATGAGAAGAATTTGTGTCAAGCCAGGGCACCCTAAGAAGGCTCCAAAGTTGGGAGAGGAGGCTAGATCTCTGGAAGGTGTGCCCAGGACCTGTTCTTGTAAGGTCATCTTTGCCCAGTACCCTCCAGAGTCCCCTACCAGCCCTCACCTCCATTCTTTGCTGAAATTGGCACTCCTCTCCCCCTCACCCACATCGCCATGGCCCCTCCTCTTCTACAGCAGCTCTGTGGTTTGTGGTGCCCCCTGCCATCTCCCTATGTGGGGTTGGTTTGGTGGGCAGCAGGCACAGGCCAGAACCAGCACACAGTGGTGTGCCAGCAGGTGTTTAACAACCAACTCAGGATGGGTAGCCCTGATTTATACTGTTTGCCAACTTCCATGGTATAAATACTCCCAACATGTCCAATTTCAAGCTACCAATATGAGATCACTGATCACAAAATAGCTAGAGAGAATGGATCACACTTTGCCTGCATCCATTTATCCATTTCCCCTCCTGCCTCCCTGGCCTCTCCATAGACCTCAGCTAACAGCAGCAGTAGGGCAGGTCCAAGCTGGGGAGGGCAGCAACAGCACTGTGGCTGCAACTTCAGGCAGTCCCGACAGGGAAAGGAAAACTGCTCTCCTCCAGGAACATCCACCCTACAGTCCCCAGTCATCTCTTATCTCAGCCTCACATCTGAATTCTCAAGTGTAACTTCAGAATCTCACAGTAATTTGGGGCCTGAAATCCACATTCAGATGACTCATCAGCCACTTTCTCACTGGACATGGCTCAGCACCATAAACCATGCTGACTAAGGCAATAAAAACCAGAATATAATTTCCTTTCTTCCAAGGCAAACAGAAAAGGAAAAATGATCCAAGGATAGCATTCCTTCACTGATTTACTCACTCTTCAGCACTGTCCTAGAGAACTGATGGGCAATTGGCTCCCTGAACCCTGAAGTCTCTCTGCAGAGTCCGGCATGCAGGAGGGCAGGGGCTCTGAAGTCAGACATGGTTTGAATCCTGGGTCTCCTGTTACAGCAAAGTGACACTGGGAAAGTTACTTCTGTCTGAGCTTCAGTTTGCTCATCAGTGAAATGGGGACAGTAATACTACCTATTCAATGGGGTCAGACTGTAGGGGTTTTCAACCGGGGGCAATTTTGCTTCCTTGGTGACATCTAGCAATGTCCAGAGACATTTATTGTCACATTGGGTGGATGAGGGAGTGCTATAGGTATGTAGTAGACAGAGGCCAGGAAAGCTTTTAAACATCCTGCAATGCACAAGACAGCCCTGATGTGGTTTGGCTGTGGCCCCACCCAAATCTCACATTGAGGCCAGGCGCAGTGGCTCATGCCTATAATTCCAGCACTTTGGGAGGTTGAGGTGGGTGGATCACTTGAGTTCAAGACCTGCCTGGCTGACGTAGCAAAACCCCATCTCTACTAAAAATATAAAAATTAGCCGGGCATGGTGGTGCACACCTATAGTCCCAGCTACTCAGGAGGCTGAGGCACGAGAATCACTTGAACCCAAGAGGAGGAGGATGCAGTGAGCTGAGGTCGCGCCACTGCACTCCAGCCTGGGTGACACAGGGAGACTCCATCTCAAAAAAAAAAAAAAAAAAAAAAAATCTCATCTTGTAGCTCCCACAATTCCGTGTTGTGCAAGGGACCCAGTGGGAGATAATTGAATCACTGGAGCAGTTTCTCCCATACTGTTCTCATGGTAGTGCGTAAGTCTCATGAAATCTGATGTTTTTGTAAGGGTTTCCCCTTCACTTGGCTCTCATCATTCTCTCTTGTCTGCTGTCATGTAAGACATGCCTTTTGCCTTCTGCCATGATTGTGAGGCCTCCCCAGCCACATGGAACTGTGACTCCATTACACCTCTTTCCTTTATAAATTACCCCATCTCAGCTATGTCTTTATCAGCAGCGTGAAAACAGGCGAATACAAGCCCCGTCCCCCAACAATGAATTATCCAACCCCAAATGTCTATAGTGCCAGGCTGAGAAACCCTGGCCTAGAGGGAACATTCAGTGAGGTTATGCACATGAAGTACTCTAAGTCTATCTGGCTTACTTTTTGTAAAGTATCAGAAAACAAGCTGCGATTCTTTCGGAATAGCACAGTCTTAACGCTATTTCCAGACCTGAAATGGATGGGGTGTGAGAACCCTTGAGTACTGAGAACCTAGTTCACTGCTCCAGGTGTGAGTCATCCTGTAAATGTCAATTTCTTGTATTTAAAGCAGAGCTGAGGCTGCACAAGTGACTCAAGGCCAGAAGCTTTCCCAGGTTGTCTTGACTTAAGCTTGGAGGAAGTAATCTCGTCCCGAAGCTCTCCTTCCAGAGGGTGCAAGCATTTCAAGACTCAGAGACACCACACTGCTCACTCTGGGTAGGTGTATTGTTTCTCACCTCACCCACACACAGTGGGGCTTGGAAAGACCTCAGAAAAGTAGCTGAAACGGAGAGGCCTTGCTTATCCCGAATATCTTCCTTACCAGTGTTTAGTGGTTTGCTCCTCCCCTGCAACCTGATGTGACATTCCTTCTCCAGAGTTACAGTTTTGAGTCAACACAGTTCACTGTCTCTGATTAATACACATTAATGTTCAGGGACGGACTTAAAGACAGATCATCTTGATGGGGTAGGTGGGAGTGTACAGGGGACCCAGGACCAGAGGTGTCAAGGGAACCTGGGCAAAGTACAGAGACACTGGGTGTTTTAAAGAAGGAATAGTGAAAGAGAGAGAAGGCAAAGGCAAGCCAGGGAGTGTCTGCAGACTCTGGAGGTGTGCCCACATCTTTCCTGAGAAGTGGTGTGCCCAGAGGCAAACAGGTGGTGGGAGAGGCAATAAGGGCATCCAAGATTGCCGATACCAACCTGTACATCTGGCCAAGCTCTGCCTTTCCCTGAGTCACTGAAATGCAAAACCCTAGGGGTGGAAAGAGATTTGGGGGCCACCAGTCCAGCTTCTTTCTTGTCTGCCATCTCCCAGCTAGTCAGTGGCAGAGCCAGGGTGGGCGCCAGAGACTGTTTGGCTCTAAAGCACGGACTCTACGGGAGCCACAACCTCAAATGCTCCAGGGGCCAGACAGGTGACATAAGGTTAGATGGTTGGGTGGCGGGAACTGTAAGGAACCGCAGGCTCTGCTCTAAGGCATTCAAATTCAAATTTAAAAAAATATTGGGCCAGCCAAACAAAGCATATTTCTGGCCTGGGTGAGTGAATGAGGCCCTCAGGTTGTGAGTTTTTGACCACTGCCTAAATAAATGGTCTTCCCTATTCCCCAGCAGAGATGACTGTTTGGCACAGATATCCAGAAAGAAGAGTTCAGCTTCGGACTGTCTGCAAAGTAGTCTCAAGCAGATGGTGGTCTTTGCTCAAACACTTCCAGAGATGGGGTGTTCCTTACTTTTCAAGACAGCCTTGGGTGGGGCCTGCCTATCCCCGGACTAGAGCCACTCACCACACCTACCATGGACCCTTCATGGAAGTGGGATGCCCAGGGTAGGAGTACATCTTTTATTTTGCAATAAAAAAAAAAGTTTGGATTTTTTTTTTAAAGGACTGCCTCACTCTGTTACCCAGGCTGGAGTGCAGTGGCACGATCATGGCTCACTGTAACCTCAGACTCTCAGCCTCCCCTCTAGCTGGGACTGCAAGTGCAAACTACCACGCCTGGCTATTCTTTTATTTTTTTGCAAGGACGAGGTCCTTGCTATATTGCCCAGGATGTTCTCCAACTCCTGGCCTCAAGCGATCCTCCTGCCTTTGCCTCCCAAAAGCGCTGGGATTACAGGAGTGAGCCACCGTGCCTGGCCTGGAATTTATTACAAATAAAATACAAGCTCAGTGTGGAAACACTAGATAATACAGAGGGGCAAAAGTTAGAAAAAGTTTCTATACCTTCCCTACTCCCCACCCCCGACCCCCATTCAGAAAGAAGCACTGTTGACACTTCAATGCATATTCTGAACTCCAGGTCCTTTCTTTGCATACATCAAGCTCTCATCCTCTTGCTGGCTCTGTGGTCTGCAAACCCAGAGAGCAGATGCTTTGCTCAGCGCTCGTACCACGCCACGCACCCACATGCTCTCTTTGTACCTGGGTTTCAACCCACAGGTCGGGCCCCTGTAAGCCCTTGGCTCCCCAAGCTTCTCGAGGGCAGGCACTGTAACCTTCTTTACTCATTCCAGGGATTCTACAGGACCAGGCACACGGTAAGAGCTCAATAAAAACGTCTCTACCCCCACCACCTCCCGCCTCAGCCGCCACCGCTTGGCAGCAGAGAGGAAGCGGAACGCGCGCGACCCACGAGGGAGAGCGCCTCGCTGTCTCCAAGGTAACCGAAGTCAGTGGCAGGGAGTGCCCACGCATGCGCACACTCGCCCTTCCTTCCCGTAACCTCGAGAACGCAGCTGGTAAGACTGCCAGAAGCCGAGGGCGCATGTGTGGTTCCACCAACACCCTAGTCGCCTCCGCCTTCTGTCAGTCCGCCCGCCCAGCGATCTCCCTTCTACAAACATCGTCCGGAAATAGTGCCCATTTCTGGAAACCAGGCCTCGTTAACCAATCGTTGCTAGGGAGCGGGAAGACGGGCTTGCCGGGACGACCGTCTCATTGGTTGGCGTAGGGGAGTGGGCGGGGCCACGGGTCGCGGTGCGGCCAAAGAAAGGAGGCGCGAAGCGAGGCAAAGTTACAGCCTCCGGGGGAGGCGTGGCCCCGGGGGCGGCCGAGAAGGCGAGGGGGCGGAGCCCGGGACCGGGGCGGGGCGACCACGGGCCGGGAGCTCAGCGGTCGGCGGCCGGCGGCGGGAGATCGCGGGCGAGCGGAGCGCAACACTCGCTTGGTTGGGGAGATCGGCGCTTGGCCGGTAGGTGACGGGGCGGGACCCTGGGGCCCGGTGCGAGGCGACCAGGGAGCGGCTGGGATGGATCGCCTCTCAGCCCCGGGCTGGGCTGCGGCCTGGCCCCTCGCCCCGGAGCAGTGGGGTCGGCGGCCAGGCCAGCGCAGTCCGACGTACCCCGTCCAACCCACTCGCAGCGGTCCGCGGGCGCGCCCTCGCACGCGCTGCCGGTGCCGCGCTCGCCCCGGGCCTCCAGGCCGCGCACTCCTGCTGGCCACACGCTGGCTCCGAGCGCGCGCAGGGGCCGCCTGCTTCCCCTTCACTAGTGCCCCGCGCCGCCGCCAGGCCCGCCCGCCTGCTCTGCGCCCCAGTGCCCCCAGGATGGAGCTCGCCTGCCGCGGGGCGGACGTGTCTCCTGCAGGAGTGCGCCCTGGCATCTGCCCTGGCGTGAAACCCTCCCGGCCTTTCATGGGAAGTTCTCAGGTCACACCTCAAGGCGGGGAGCAGGAGCTAAGCCTGTCCTCAGCATGCAGCGGGGCAGTGCTGGCCGCCCGCAGCATCCTCCCTCCGCCCTCGGACCCCAGTCCTCCTCTGTAATTCTTCTGGGCTCTCCAACTCGGGACTTTATCTGTCGGTTCAAATATAACATTCCCATCTTGGAAACCCATCGTGGCCCTGGCATCTTGCAGCCACTGGGCACCAGGCAGAGAGGGGCCACTTGTACGTACGTTTCCCACCTGCCCGGGAGCCTCCTTAGTGCTGGGTAGCTTCAGAAAAAGTGTTTCCTTCCTAGTCGAGGTTAAAAAGTTGCTCTCGGCCCTAAAGGGTGGACTGGAGGTATGAATGAGGGAGAGGATAAGTGGTGAAAAGGTACATACATCAGCAAAGTAAATGGTAAAACTACTTTTGATCGCTGGAGACAATGAACACCAATGACTTAATTAAGGACTTTAAAAGCACATGAAATTAAATGATTAGAGTGAGGTCATGATATAAAATAGGAGTCTGGAGTTTATTCCAAGAAAAATGTTGGAAACCCCTTGACTAGAAACATGGTCTTTCTGAAAGATTAGAAGGAGACAGTATCTTAACATTAGTGATGTGTTTTTTGCTTAGTGTCTTCATACCTGTGAGCTCCGTTTTCCTTCAGATGGCTGTGTGGTAAGACAGATTGTAGTGTCTTGTTTTATGGGCGAGGCACCTGAGGCAGGTGTGTATGAGGGAGTGGGGGTGGTATATATCTTGCCTGATGCCTCATAGCTGGGACTAAGGATGGGTCTTTCCCAGAATCCTAGATCAGGACCACATTATAGAACTGAGATGCAGAAAGGAGGGAGAAGTTTTTGGTGTGGTTTTTATGCTCTTAATGTGAGAGGACACTTAAAAAGTGCTTGCCTTACTTTGGTTGTGTTTGGATTTACTCTTGGTGTTTTTTAAGTGATATCAATCAGTTTCTTTGGAGCGATGCCAGACCTCTGAATTTTTCAGACACCTTTCGGACATCCTTATTTATTTTGAAGGGTGTGGAGAACTTCTCAGAAGATCTCAAAATAAAAGTAATCGTCTCTGACTCTAATTTTAGAGATAAGTACCCAGGTATGTGTACCAGCTCTTTGTGAAATCAGACAGCAAGACGCTGCCAAGCTTCAGGCCATCTTCTGAGTGTTTTCTGATTATAAGAAGCAGTTCTGAAGGGGGTTTTTTGTCATTGGTATTGTCTGTTAAGAGTTTGTGGGAGCGGCACCACAGAGACCCTGCCAAATCAGTCTCCCTCTATTAAACAAAAATGTCTGGTTGGGCTGTTTCGCCTCAACAGATGAAGGTTTGGTTCCTCATTTTGGTTCTCCTGTTGAACACTGACTCCTTTGTGATCTGCCTGGAATATGTGTATATCATTTACTGCTGAGAAGATGGCTTGCGCTGATTGGTTGTCCAGCCCTCGGCAACTGTTGTGATTTTTTTTTTTTTTTTGGTGATTGATAACAGTTCATCCCTGGCTAGGGTCTGGTGAGAGATCTGCGGAGATGTGAAAGAGATGAAAGCTTTATCCAGGGTTGTTTTCTTCGTTGTTGGCACCCTCTGAACAGTGTTGTATCACTTTGGCCTGTGAAGGCACTTTTAACTTCCTATTTTTTTTCCTGTCTCAATGGACAGCACATGGGCTTTCCTAACAAGCCTGCCTGCCTCGATGAAGAGCTGACAGATTCATATTGGTTGGTTTGACAGATGTTCTTTCTGGGGGGAAAGTTCAGAAATCTTAAAAGCAAAGTCAGTCCTAAGTAAAAAGTCTAAGTCAGCCCAATACGCATAAAGGCAGCGTACTTCTACTAATGGCTTCCATCATCTCAAGGTTGTTTTTTTTTTTTTCCTGGCAAAAGGTTAAAATGCAACTAAAATTCTGCTTTCGTGATTAATAAGTCACTACCACAGTTGTGTCTGATGCTTCCTGTTTGCCCCATTTTAGTATTTCAGTTAAACTGGAAACATCTGAGCATTATGGGCACTATTGATGGCACCAGTGTGAAATTGGTGGGCCGGGGACAATTCCATGTCAGTGGATTTAGGGAGCTCTAAGGATGTCAGCCCCTCTGGTCTCCACACACCAGGATTCCCTAGTAAGGGAACAGAATGGGGCTGAGCATCTGCAAGAGCTGGGTGGGCATTCAAAGTGATGCATGTGTGAAGGTTTTGCATTTACTCGGTGATGCTGGCTAAAATGCTGAAAGTAGTAGCCCAAAAAGGGAAGGCCAGACGTAGGGCAAATTGTAGGGGAGCATTTCTGTTGAGCTGAGCAGGACATTGAAGTATGAGATTTTTTTGTTCTGGGCTTATGACTGCCTGAATGACAATGCAGAAAAAGTCATTTTTCTTCAGTGGCCGGTGTGCTCTTTGTATTCTAGTTTAAAGGAGCCTCTTCCCTTCTTGCTTTTCTACATGTCTTAATCCCTCAGCTCCCTGATAGAAATCCCTTGAAATTATGTGGCATCAAGAATAATTTTATGGCCAGTCTTTGTATTTTCACACCATACTCATGTGAAGAAGGGCAGGGACAAAGATCAGAAAAGTGAAGCCTCATAAGGAGAAACAGACAGGATTGCTCAGAATCTAAACCCCCTTTTCTTGATATCTAGGTCACTGCTTTTTCTACTACCTTGCTCATGAAACGATAAGGATTTTCTTCCCCCAAACATGTCAATTTTGAACATAACGAAACCAGGGTAGCAGCTTTATTTATTTATTGTACCAATCAATTATTAATTGATATTGATTTTTAATTAATAAAAGGCCAAAAGATGAATAGCCTGCTGCCTGGACAGGTGTGCTTGTGCCCATTTTCCAGATGTAGAAACAAAGGCAGAGAGCCCGTGATTTGTCCAGAGCAACAGAACAAGTCCTTGGTGTCTCCGTGTCACATGTGGTGGCTGAGGCTGTCAGGTCAGAGAGACCTGGGTCAGGTCGAGGTCTGCCACGGCCTGCCTGTGTGCCCGCAAGCAAATCACTTCACTTCTCTAATCATCAGGTGCCTCATCTGTGAATGGGATCAGAAATACTTCATGGGGCTGTTTTGAGTAGAAAATGAGAGGAGATATGTAAAGTGCTGAGCCCAGTGCCCAGCACAGAACATAGAGGCTGTAACTGTTGTTGTTGTTGTTGTTGTTCTTGTTGGTGGTGTTTGGTGGTGGTAGTAATAGTAGTAGTAGTAGTAGTAGTAATAGTAGCAGTAGTAGTTGCCAATTACTGCATTGTGACTAAACCTGTTTTCTGTAAGATGATGTCAAGAAGGGTCAGACTGCCTGACAGGCCAGAGTCATTTTCTCAGTAGGACCTTTAGGGGGACAGTCCTTCAGTCTAAAAGCTTCAGCTCTCGGGTTCTCCCTGTCTTACACTATATACTGCCCTCACCATACTCCAAATGAGGCTACAAAGGTCCAGGCTCTGCCCAGTTGACAATCCTAACTCTGAGCTGGAGACACAGCTAGGCCTGTCTAGGGGCTTCCTGTGTCCCACACGTGATCAAGTAGGTTCCTGCATTAATCCTGGAGGTGAGGAAAGGGAAAATACTGTATGGCATGTAGATCAGCAAGGACTTGTTCTTTGGGGGAACAGGAGGGAACATTTGGTTCTGTGGGATGAGGTTCCCACTACCACATGGCATCCCCAGCTCACCACCCTTTCCCCCTCGTAAAGATGTCTTTGTCAGCTTCTCTCTGAGACTCTGTCTGGGGGCCCACGATCTGCAGTCAAGGACTTGCAGATTCCCCTTTAAATCTCACAAGAAGCCTGGAATGGTGACGTGTGTTTCTTTAGTCCCAGCTACTTGAGAGGCTGAGGCGGGAGGATCACTTGAGCCCAGGAGGTCAAGTAGCTATGGGCAACATAGCGAGACCCCATCTCTTGAAAGAAAAACGTTTGTTTTAATCTCACAAGGGAAAAAAAAAGTTTCATGTTATATTTTAAAGTCTTTTTTCACCTTAATACAAAACAAAAATATAGGCTCTCACCAGGCTACTGTTCCCTTTAAATAACATTTTGTTTTCTCTTGGGGAAGCTGACTTGATGGCCGAAGAGTCATTTCTAAAGTGAAGCTAGTTTTTAGAAAAAATAGATCACCGGATGTCAAGCCTCATGTGGAGCTCGGTTCAGATGAAAATGAAACCAGCAGGCCTGGCGTGGCAGCTCTGCACTTGACTTCAGGCTGGAGGTGAGAGGCAGAGTGTGCCTGGACCTTGCTCCATAACTGGTTGGCCCCACAGAGTGCATTTGATAGGTGCCTTAGTCATTTTCCAAGCAGCTTTGCTTAGGTGAGCAGAGCACTTTCTCTGGAAGGTGAGTCACCCATGCAGGGGTGTAGGTGACAGGCGATTTATTCCCCAGCACAGTTGCAGAGAAAGTCCTGAGCAGACCTTCGTGAGGAGCCCTCTGCCACAAATCAGCCTCATCCCAGCCCCAGGGCTATGGAGGCAGGGGGCAGGAGGTAAACAGGAGGCTTCTGGGGCCAGTGGGCTGACAGCGGAGGGGGGATCGTGGACGGGGCACAGAGCCCAGATCAGCAGTGTCACTGACTCCTAAGTCCAGCCACCCTGAGGGTGGAAAATGGCCTGCTTCCAGTGACAGTCAGCAAAGAAGCAGGAGGGGAGCTTTGGCCCTGGGGAGCTGGGAAATCCCTTGGCAGAGAGCAGAGAGACAAGCCCTATTTTGGTGTGAAAAACCTTTTAGGAACGCTTTTCCACCTGCCTCCTTTTCAGCCACCTGAGTTGGAGTCTCTGCAGAGCTCCAGCGATTGTAAAGGCTAGATTAAACCCTGGATTTCAGAAAGCTTTAGGAATCCCAAGCCTGCCACCATCTCAGTTGTCTACACTTCTAGGACCAGGATTTGTACCAAGAAAGAAGCAGCAGGGGGTACTCCTGAGCCATCCCTCCCTCCCAGGTTCTGGTTACTACAGCTTCTCCTGACGCTCTTTCTGCTAAAGCCACTATCAGGTGTCCATTAACGCAGAGATTTTCTTCAGACACTGTTCTGGACTAGTGCAGTTGGTGTTGAACTTGACCGATTATGGTCAGGGACATCTATAAGCAATGTCCAGGACCAACTACAAGGAGGGCTTGACTTTAATGAAGCTGCAGCTCTTGCAAATAATCTCGTTCCCTGTCTCTGGCAGACTACCAACCCAGCCCCTGTACCCATACCCCATCAGTCTGGACCAACCAGTAGTCACCTCCTGCTGGCATGGCTAAATAACCTTAACCTCACTGTCCAGAAAGAGCTGTTAGGATTATAGCCTGGACATGATCATTCACATTTTTTGCAGTGAGAAAATGCAGAAGAGAAAATGGTGGCCCAAGAAAGCCAAGTGGGTTGCCCAAGGCCACACAGCTAGTTAATGGCAGAGCCTGAACTATAAAACCCAGACTCTTCACTGTACTCTGCTGCCAGGGAACGAAGGAACTAATCCTGAAGCAGGATTTTTTTTTTTAAACTAGCTTCTCCTTTTATTCCCCTACCACAACCCTATCACTCTCAGCCTTTCTGCAAGCTCTGCCAGGCCTGGGAAGGGTGGAGCCACAGCAGCTGCTGCCCTGGGTCTAAGAAAAAGTAAACAGAAAGCTATTTGTTGGACGCTGTCTTATACCATGAGGTTCATGTAATCAAAAGGAGGTCAAGGTTGATAAGAAAATACAATTACCAGGAAGTCTCAAAGGTTGCCCACACCTTTAGGGCACTTTCCTACCTAGCCAAGCAGTATCTCACCTAGAGTGGGTATTTAGTAACTTTCAATGATTGATTACAGGGGTCCAAACCCACAGTGCACGAAGCTCTTCTGCATCTTTCTTCTGTGCAGGAGGTGCATGCATACTCTGGGTGTTATCCTAGCTGATCTGCCTGGCTCCTCTCAGTGAGAGGCTCTTCCTTGTGGGTGAAGCATGATGTCATGATGTCATATCTGGATGGTGGCCCCTGTAAGTGCAAAGAATTATTGTAGCCAAAATCTACCACCCACCTTCTACTGACATTAAAGTTTCCTTTTACTGGGCCAGAATTAAAAGGTAGGTGTTTCTGGTCCATACTAGGGATAGCCAGGAGGGTTGGGAGGAAAAGGAGGCTTAGCCAGCCTCCAATGAGGATGTGGTTGCCAGTTAAGATTATAAATGGAGGCTGGGCACGGTGGCTCGTGCCTGTAATCCCAGTGCTTTGGGAGGCTGAGGCGGGCGGATCACAAGGTCAAGAGATTGAGACCATCCTGGCCAACATGGTGAAACCCCATCTCTACTAAAAATACAAAAAAGTTAGCTGGGCATGGTGGCACATGCCTGTAATCCCAGCTACTCGGGAGGCTGGGGTAGGAGAATCACTTGAACCTGGGAGGTGGAGGTTGCAGTGAGCCAAGATCCACCATTGCACTCCAGCCTGGGCGACAAGAGCGAAACTCCGTCTCAAAAAAAAAAAAAAAAAAAAAAAAGATGGACTCCTTTGGCCAAGGGAGTTGATTGGACCCACCAGACTCCTTGAGTCCTGCCCAACAGTCTCCACTGGCAGATGCTGTGCCTGGAGAGGCAGGAATAGCTTTGTATAGATCAATGTGAAGGACAGAGTCCTGCACCACCTCCCTCTAGCATGTATTAGATACTTGCAAATATATGCAAATCCGAGCCCAGATGGGTGTTGTCCAGTTCAGAAGGGTTATCTTCTCAAGCAATTAGAAGTAATTGGGTCTCTAGGTCAGCATTTAGGAAAGGGGATGGCAGGAGAGGCTCCACAGCCATCTTTCAGGACACCTGCTTGCTGGGGTGCAGTTAGAATACAGCCACCAAGTTGTGACTCCCTCCCTTCCAGCCTGCCAGGTGATTGGACAGTGTGGACACGTGTCCCTGTCCAGCCAGGCTCTCAGAGCCTGTGGCACTCATTTATTCCTCAGAAGTGTGTCTGTCCTTTCACTCAGGAACATTTGCCAAGTGTGTCAAATGGGCCATGTCTGCTAGGTGCTAGAAA